>NC_000007.14:28990242-30240242 GCF_000001405.40 Homo sapiens | reverse complement strand
GAACATCCTCATTTTGGGAGGCCAAGGCGGGTGGATCACTTGAGGTCAGGAGTTTAAGACCAGCCTGGCCAACATGGTGAAATCCTGTCTCAACTAAAAATATGCAAATTAGCTGGGCATGGCAGCGCACGCCTGTAGTCCCAGCTACTCAAGAGACTGAGGCAGGAGAATGGCGTGAACTCAGGAGGTGGAGGCTGCAGTGAGCCGAGATAGCGCCACTGCACTCCAGCCTGGGCGACAGAGCGAGACTCCGTCTCAAAAAAAATAAATAAATAAAAGTAAAATTAAAAAAATAAGAATAAAAGGAATATCCAAAACTGCAGAGAAGGCAGCCCAAATGAAAGGTGAGTGATGGTGCAGGGCATGGTGTATACACACAGCAGTGTGTGTCTGTGTGTGTATGTACACATGAGCACATGTGTATGCAGAAGGATTAGCACCGGGACCTGAGCCTAATAAAGTTAGGAAGGAATAAACTATGCAGGGTCTTGAAAGCTAGATGCATAAATTTGTAATCATTGCAGTAGGCAGCTTAGAGCTACTAATGGGGAAAGAAATTTGGGCACGGGTATCTATCTAGGTGATGACATAAAAGCAAAGTAAAAATGGAGGAGAAATAATCCTAGGATATTTTGAAGGCACAATTGACAAGCCTGGATGATTGGCTCAATTTGAAAGGCTGAATGGAGGGAACAGTCAATGTTAATGCCAAAGTTTTGAGCTCAGGGGCATGTTGGCACCAACATAGAAAGGGAAGTTTGAAAGAGCTGAAAGAAGATCATGAATTCTGTTTTAGAAGTGACATTTCATTTTTCAGCAAGAGACTTTCCATCCTCATTTGTTTATTTGGCTATGTGGTTACCAGAACAGATTTGCATCTGGAGTGCAATGGGGGAAGCCTGGGGAACAAGAACAGACTTCTCTCTCACCCACATTTCTGGCTTTCTTAGCCAACAATACAAGACCAGAAACCTCCACTAGATATTAAATGGCTTCTTGGTCTTGCAGTGAAGCCTCTGGCTAGAATGAGACACATGGAAACCTGTGAGTCAAAGAGAAGATCTCAGAAACCCATTATTTGCTGTGACTTCAGAGCAGTACTCACATTCTTTTGCTGACAAGTATGTACCAACCAAATTTGGCACTGTCAGCACACTGGCAGGGAGCCAAGATGGTAAATAGAAACTGATCCATCACAGAAAAAAAAAAAAAGAGGAGAGCAAATGATCATTCCACCCTACATTTCTTGGGCAAATAAGGAGGCAAATGATCATTCCACCCCATAGAGCTCATGCCCACCTCTGAGATAATAGACCATATCCCTGTTCTCTGTAACTCAGGCAACTTTAAATACAGCATCCCCAAATGACATCAGGTTGTAAGGCCCTGGTAAAGGCAATTGTTTGAGGCTGCACAGACTCTGCTGGAACTTTGGGAATCTTTCTGCATTCCAAGCACCTAAATGGGGGCTTTCTTGATAGGTAGTCCCTGGGTTAACCTCACTTTGATTTTCATAACACAATCATGCACTTGAGTTTCAATCTGGCTGTGGATTTTAGAGCACAGATTAACAGATGCCTATAGAGTCTATATAATTTTGAACGCTAGCATGTAACCCTCACAATCACTCTCACTAGAATCAATTCATTTAGGGACATTTGGCTTTTCTCTTCCAGGCATTCTGGAAGTCCTAAGTGGGTCCACTTGCCATGTAGCATAGTGAGCAGTTGTTCAGCATGTAGGTTTTGTGCAAGCAGAGCTATGCTAAAGTAACAGCTTTCCTTCTACGAGCTTCTTTGACCTGGGGAAAAATTATCAGTTTCTTTATCAGTAAAACAGGGAAATAATACCTAGTTTCAAGTGGTATTGTGATTAATAAATTATATAAAGAGGCTGTATTCATTATGTTTTGCTGCCTAACAAATTACCCCAAAATGTAGTGGCCTAAAGAACAATAAAAATTAATTATCTCATAGTTTCTGAGGGTCAGGAATTGAGGAATGGTTTAGCTGGGTGGTACTGGTTCAGGGTCTTATAAGGTTCATGGATGTCAGCCAGGGCTGCAGTCATCCAAAGGCTAGACTGGGGCAGGAGGATCTTCTTGTAAGGCTGTTCACTCACATGGCTGATATGTGGTGCTGGTTCTTGGCAGGAGACCTCAGTTCCTCTCCACAGGATTGATGGAGTGTCCTCAAAGTGACAACTCGCTTCTCCCAGAGTGACCCACCAAGAGACCAAAGCAGAAACTGCAATGCATTTTAGGACTTGGCCTCAGAAGTCACAATCACCACTTCCATTGTATTCTATTTGTTAAAGAGGTCAGCCCTGATTCAATATGGGAGGGGACTACGCAAAGGCATGAATATCAGGAAACAAGTATCATTGGGGGTTTTCTTGGATGCTGGCAACCATAGGGCTTGCACAGTTCCTAGCTAAATGGTAGCTAATAATATGAATAATATTATTATCTGCTTTTTATCAAATAAAAACCGTTTATTTTCCTCTGTTCTAAAATGACCCAATCATTGCTTTTCTGCTCTCAGATCTACTGGCCTGTCAGTCCCCTAGTGATGTCAGAAAGGGCAGCACCCCATGACCTCACAAGTGTGAGTCAAATAACTTGTATTCTGAAACTTTGGCCTCTTCTATTTCTTTATATATGTAATGAGAATACCTAACTCCAACTTCCTGATTTCTCTGATGATTTGAATGCTGCTGTCAGCCAGCATGTGCAGGACATAAGCAATCACTGCTGCAGGAAAGATGCTGACTTGCAGTTCATGGCCTGGCTCTGCTAGGCAGAGAGTAGTGACCCAGGTCACCCCTGTGACACCATGGGGACCATGTCAGAAACGGAAATGTGCCATTATGGGGCAACTAAAGAAGCCTGTCATCTCTCAGGCAGTGTTTGTTGGCACTGGTCCCAAACACCTGGTTAATTGTAAGTCACTGTCATGGTAACCTTCCCTACATCATCAGAGTAGATGCTACATGCTTAATGAAACTCATATTGGCTAGTGATGGGATGGCTGAGGACAGGTCAATGGCAGAGGCTGCCAGTTGTTTCCCAACGTCAGTTCTACCCTTCTTCCATAGGGAGAGATTCCTAAACATTAGCTGGGAACAAGGCACCCCATAATAAAATCTATGCCTTTCAGGCTTTTTTGACAAAGTTCTGGCCAATGGGACATAAGTGGAGGTGGTACATGAAACTTCTGAAGAGGGAGGCATGCCTTCATTCTCCTCTTCCTCCTTCTTGATGGCTGGAATGTTCATGTAATGACTAGTGCTCAGAGCTCCAGGTGCCATTTTGAACCATGAGGTGACCTTGGGAATGGAAGCCACTTGTGGCAGAGCAAAAAGAAGAAACCTGGGTCCCTGACACCATGGAGCTCCATTCCAATCATGGGTTGCCTGCTTCTAGATTTCTGGAACATTAGAAAGAAATAGCTTTTCAATTCTTTTAAGCCATTCTTACTTGTTTTCTTTCTGTTGCTTTATGACCAACATAATCCCAACTACATAACGTCCTATGACAATGGCTATTATCCCAGTTCTAGCACATGATCTGTCACCAGGGCATGCATGTATCAAACGCAGGAAAGTCTGTAGAAATGATTCCAGGAGAGAGAAGAGAAACCATCATTTATAGTTTTATGAAACATTTATTGAGCTGTCCCTACTATGGGCAAGGCACCGTGAGGGATTCAAAAGTGAATGGGTCTCATCCCATGAAGCTTAACTATCAAATTGACATGAAGGAGGTCAGACAGTTGTGTACGGAGTTTGTTGAGTGTTTCTCCTCCATTTGGGCTTCCTGTTACTGCCACTTTGTTCTTTGTGAAGAACTTCTACATGTCAGGCACTGTGCTAGGTGCCGGAATCACAATGATATACTAAAGCAGATGTAGTATTAAATACATCTCCTTGTGCAGTTAACAGTATAGGATGATGTCATATGCTATAGGTATACTTTGGGTTCCTGTGTCTTTAAAAAAGTAAAATTCCAATGGAACAGAACAGAGCCCTCAGAAAAAATGCCACATATCTACAACCATCTGATCTTTGACAAACCTGACAAAAACAAGAAATGGGGAAATGATTCACTATTTAATAAATGGTGCTGGGAAAACTGGCTAGCCATATGTAGAAAGCTGAAACTGGATCCCTTCCTTACACTTTATACAAAAATTAATTCAAGATGGATTAAAGACTTAAACGTTAGACCTAAAACCATAAAAACCCTAGAAGAAAACCTAGGCAACACCATTCAGGACATAGGCATGGGCAAGGACTTCATGTCTAAAACACAAAAAACAATGGCAACAAAAGCCAAAATTGACAAATGGGATCTAATTAAACTAAGGAGCTTCTGCACAGCAAAAGAAACTACCATCTGAGTGAACAGGCAACCTACAAAATGGGAGAAAATTTTCGCAATCTACTCATCTGACAAAGGGTTAATATCCAGAATCTACAATGAACTCCAACAAATTAATAAGAAAAAAACAAACAATCCCATTAAAAAGTGGGTGAAGGATATGAACAGACACTTCTCAAAAGAAGACATTTATGCAGCCAAAAGACACATGAAAAAATGCTCATCATCACTGGCCATCAGAGAAATGCAAATCAAAACCACAATGAGATACCATCTCACACCAGTTAGACTGGCGATCATTAAAAAGTCAGGAAACAACAGGTGCTGGAGAGGATGTGGAGAAATAGGAACACTTTTACACTGTTGGTGGGACTATAAACTAGTTCAAACATTGTGGAAGTCAGTGTGGCGATTCCTCAGGGATCTAGAACTAGAAATACCATTTGACCCAGCCATCCCATTACTGGGTATATACCCAAAGGATTATAAATCATGCTGCTATAAAGATACATGCACACGTATGTTTATTGCGGCACTATTCACAATAGCAAAGACTTGGCACCAACCCAAATGTCCAACAATGATAGACTGGATTAAGAAAATGTGGCACATATACACCACGGAATACTATGCAGCCATAAAAAATGATGAGTTCATGTCCTTTGTAGGGACATGGATGAAGCTGGAAACCATCATTCTCAGCAAACTATCACAAGGACCAAAAACCAAACACTGCATGTTCTCACTCATAGGTGAGAATTGAACAATGAGAACACATGGACACAGGGAGGGGAACATCACACACTGGGGCCTCTTGTGAGGTGGGGGGAGGGGGGAGGGATAGCATTAGGAGATATACCTAATGTTAAATGACAAGTTACTGGGTGCAGCACACCAACATGGCACATATATACATATGTAACTAACCTGCACATTGTGCACATGTACCCTAAAACTTAAAGTATAATAACAAAAATAAAATAAAATAAAAAAGGAAAATAAATAAAAAGAAAAAATAAAAAAGTAAAATTTTATTAACATTTCTTATTTCAAAAGTGACATATTCAATAAGCAGAAGAAAATAATCACATATAATTCAGGGACAAATATTTTTAACATTTTGATATTTTTATACTTTAAAAAAATTAGGATTATGTGTTTGGGTACCTACTTTTTCAGTCAATATCATGTTGTAAAAATTTTGCCATAACAATATGTATATTCCCACAACAATATTTTTAGGGGATATCATGTATTCCATTGAATGGAGCTAATGTAATTTATCCAATCCCTTATTGCTGGACATGCAGGCAGATCTTAATTTTCACTCTTATAAACAGTTGCTATGATGAATCTTTATGTAGTTAAATGTTTTTTATATTTATGATTGCTTCCTTGGAATAAATTCTTCAAAGTGGAATTGCTACATTAAAATTTTTGTAAAATTCTAAGAGTTTTGGTACAAATCTAAATTAACTTTCAATAGTTAGACAAATTTAGTCTCCCTCCAGCAGGCCAGGAGTTTTCCTAAATGGTTCTTTTTTAATATAACTACATTGACAGGGCTCCCATAACTCGATGAATCACTTGTGCATTTGTATGAATCGTTTTTCAGACTGTTTCCCTTCCCAGAGGAAAGAGCAGAGCTCCCAGAGAGGCAGGAGCCTGGCAAAGGGCACAGAAAGATGGGCCAGGCCTGTGAACAGCAGTCCCAGCCAAAGGCCTTCTCCACAAGTAGACCTGCCTAACTCCTGCAGAGTGTTCCTCAAGCTGATGAAAATGCACATTACATTCATTCTAAGGGCAGAATTTTCTCTTCCCATGAGTGACAAAAAAAAAGATAAATAAATAAATTCAGAATTCTCAGATTGCAGCTCCAAGTCCTGCCAGCAACAATTAGTTGTAGAGAGGATAATGGTGTTTCCTCTTCTCGATCTTCACCTTCTCATACTTTTCTTCCTCTCTCATTCTTTGTCATCTATTATTTTCCAAAATAAAAATAGCTTTGTTGAATTTTCTATTTATATCCTTTCCAAGCAAGAAATAGGGATCTATATCACCATTTGAATGAATGTTCATTATCCTATTGTGGGGACGTTGTATGATTTATTTAACATGTATTAAATAATGTCTTGACAGCCATTTTGTTGTCTCCAATCTTCAATTTTTCACTAGTGTGCATCCCGACACCTCTGTCTTTGTATGCTTGTCCAATTTCCTCCTTAGGATAAATTCCTAGAAGAGGAATTGGGTCAAAGTAGATGCCTATCACCAAGCTGCCCTGCAAAGGGTTTCACCAATTTACTTCAAGAGGGAGGTTCCTAACATTGCAGGCAGGGCATGGGCACAGAAAAGCTTCTCCTCGATTTCTATTTCTTCCTTCCTTTCCTGTTAGCTGAGAGAGGCAAGTTGCTTTCTAGAGACCCCAACCACTCAATTAACTCTGTTAAAACTCTTCCTTCCTTTCTCAGATTAAAAAGAAGAAGAACTGTTTTGTGTCTTAGCCAGGAGCCCCACACCTTCTGTTACAAAGGAGTAAAATTGAAGGTGCCAGTCATTCAGTTGAAAACAAAAATTGCTGAAACTCGGTCCCACTGAGTCATCATCCATTAAAAACCTTGTAAGTTTTGTGTGTGTTTAATACATCTGGTATATTCACACAGAGGCCCACACACGTTTGATTATTTATACGGGGAAGGGTGTGTGTCTAGGGGATAAATGTATATATGTGTGTATAGATTACACATATGACCAAAAACTTAAAACAGAAAAATATAACCTCCCCTTTTCAAGGCATAGATTGATACTTTCTACAGAAGTAATCAATAAACCTATGTTTTTTTCATGTTTACAAATACAAATGAATAGTAAATATTTATTTTCCTGATTTTCACGGACATTGCTGATCTATACCTGGCATTTTTGGTAACATGCTTGTACCCTAAAGTGAGAATGGCAAGGGCTGCAGTCAGGGGCTGGGGGAGCCAGCAGGGCACTTTACAATTTCTCAGAAGGTGAATACTGGCCGCTGACTTTCATGTTAGGTCCAAACCTGAACTCCACCTTCTGCCCTCACCACCCCCAAAAAAACCCTCTGAATACAGAGACTTGGCTACTACTTCCTTTGACTATATAGCTACAGGAGAGATATAAAGAAGTTTTGTTTTTTTTTTTTTACAACACAGTTTCACTCTCCATTTCTTAAGGAAAGGAGCTACGCAAGTCTCAAGTTGGGATGACAAAGCTGTAATTGGAGCATCTGGTCTCCCTGCCTCCAGTGAGGCTGGGCATTTCCCAACAATATGTTCCGCAGGGTTTTCTGGTTTGGAGTCAAGCCACTGAGATACTGTCTCGCAGTTAAGTAGATCATGCAATTAGACAGATTAGACAGAGGAGCTCTCTCTCTCCCTCTCTCTGTTTTCAGTGTAGTTGCTTCCTCGGTTTGTGTTAATTCTAATAAGGCTAGTTAGAAGTCAAGCCATTCCACCTTCCAGCAACATGTTAACCAGGAGATAGGGTGCCAAGTTCATATTATTTGAATTTTTTAAAACATAGAATGTTTTCAGAAATGCAACTGAAACTGTAGTGGAATCCCTACCATCCCTAATATTTCACCAGATTCAGAATTTCAAGCATCAGTGGAAAGAGCAATTGATCAGGATCCCTATGCAGCCCCAGCTGTGATGCTAACCAGCTGTGTGGACTGTTCCCTTTACTCTAGTCTTCTCTGCCAACAGTGATAATAATGTGCGTGCTTCCCATCTAACTCATGGAGTTGCCACGGTAAGAACCAACTGAAGTAACAGGAAAGTATTTTGGAAATATACAAGGCAAGGTAGTCATCACTGCTGCCATGGCTTATTTTACTTGCTTGAGACCATATAGAAGGGAGGGGAAAGACTGATTTTATTACTCTAGCTACTCCCATTATTCTCTTAAGCAAGACACAAAGCTAATTCTTCCCTCTCCATGCAAGCCATTCTGCACTTACATACTCCCTGGACCTCGCTCCTGCCTCTAAAGACCTCCAGGGAAGGAAATTCTGTTCCACCCAGGCAACTCATTCTGGAGTTCAAAAACCTCATTATCTGGAAGTTCTTTCAATGTCTATCCATAGCCCCTTGTACTGCCAAGTAACTGATTACCTCTGATTCTGATTTCAGAGGAGATGAGGATTATCTCTTTCACCCTACTGTGACCTTCAAGGCTGTTGAGACTTTGCTGCTAAGTTTTCTTCTTCCCCTCTCCAGTGGAGGAAACATAAGATTTTCACATCCAGTTCAGAGGAATGTCAAGAATTTATTTTACATGCAGTTGAAAAGTTGATGCTGCAAGAACCCAGGACTCAGAATCAGGCTGAGGACAGGCTCTTAGATGAGGGAAAAGTCACCAACCACAAAGACATCTCCTGAAGTTGATCAAAGCGTTCCCATCTGTTGCCCAAGAGACAATGACCAGGCAGGGCAGATCAAAGAAAACCAATGTTTTATGGTGATAGTTAGAGCACCCTAGGGCTGCAGCTGTCAAAGTTCTGTTCTTCAGTGGTCCAGCCAGTGGAAGGGTCTGGCAATGTTCTGTTTTCCAGAAGCTTCCTTTGTAAAACTTCAGAATGCTCTTGTATTAGTCCATTCTTGGGCTGATATAAAGAAATACCTGAACTGGGTAATTTATAAAGAAAAGAAGTTTAATTGGGTCACAGTTCTGCAGGTTGTACAGGAAGCATAGAAGCTTCTGCTTCTGGGAAGCCTCAGGAAGCTTCCAATCAGGGTGGAAGGAAAAGGAAGAGCACACACTTCACATGTCCAGAGCAGGAGGAAGAGAGAGCGAGGAGGTGCTACAATCTTTTAAACAACCAGGTCTCACAAGAACTCACTATTACGAGAACAGCACCAAAGGGATGGTACTAAACCATTCATGAGAAACTGCCTCCATGATCCAGTCACTTCCCACCAGGTCCCACCTCCAACATTAGGGATTACAATTTGACATGAGGTTTGGACGGGGACACAGATCCAAACCACATTAGCTCTGAATGTCTTCAACAAACAAGAGTCAGGGGCATATGTTACCACCACCTGTATTTTACAGAAAGAGAAATTCAGATATATTGTTCATCCTTTTTTGCAACTTTCTGCACTACATAGTGGACTCTTTATCAAAGCTAGGGTATTTTTCAGGGATGCTAAAGTATTGAAATAAGTTCCAGCACTGTGATTTATTTCTACAGAGAGGCTTTCATTTTTTTTGCATCCTACTGCGAAGGAATCACTTTCCATAAGGGAGATCATTTTGAGTTTGAGTGTAACGCGGTCAATCAGGAGGCAGGGATGGGAAAGCTCCACCCTTACATTGACTTACACCTAAGGCAGAGAAGGGCCTTCTGCAGATCAGAATCCCATTGGCCTTTGTCACTGAAGTAGCAATGCTTCTCCTCTTGTATGCAATGGGTAGTCTCCGAGCCCAGAGTGACCTGCAGAGTCTCAGAACACAGTCCACCTTCAGCTCTGTCAGTCCTTCGGTATGTGGGCATTGGCATCGAATCCTGGCACTAGGCCTGCCTCTAACATTAGTGGTGGCCAGGGCAACAGTACAGCTGGAAGCCCCCTGCACTCCACCTGCCCCACCTCTCTTCCCATCCCTAGCTCCATCTTGTACTGAAAAGGATTTGGGGACCCAAGCTCCATCTGCTGTACTCCCCAAAACATCTGCCTTCAGCCACCACTCAGACCAATCAAGTAGCATGTTCTAGAATAGAAATGGGGCATGGCCTCCAGGTAGTCACATCCTCTTGGTGCCTGGTCTCTTTCCTCCATGGAGGTAGGTGGAATGGTTTGAATGGATGGTGTCCTCTGAAAAATTCATGTTGAAACGTAATCCCCAATGTAACATTATTAAAACTTATGGCCTTTGAGAAGTAAGTCATAAGGGCTCTGCCCTCATGAATGGGATTAGTGTCCTTATAAAAGGGCTTGAGGTTGAAGGGAGTGTCTCCAGCCCCTCCATCCCTTCTGCCATGTGAAGACACAACATCCCTTCTGCCATGTGAAGACACAACATCCCTTCTGCCATGTGAAGACACAACATCCCTCCCCTCCAGAGGATGCAGCAACAAGGGACCATTTTGGAAGCAGAGAGCAGCCCCCACCAGACACCAATCCTGCTGGCACCTTGACCTGGGACTTCCAGCTTTCAGAACCATGAGAAATAAATGTCTATAGTTTATAAATTACCTAGTCTGTGGTATTTTGTTATAGCAGCACAAATGGACTAAAACAGAGGGCAGAGGGAGAGGGAGCTTTCTAAAGCTCAACCCTAAACCCTTTCACTTGCTAGCTGAGGCAAGTTGCTGAAACTGCCTCTGCCTTAAATTCCCCATCTGTGAAATGGGAATAATAGAGATGCTTACCTCATGGGCTGCTATGAGCACTAAATGAGATAATTCATGTAAAGTGTTTAGAACAGTGATAGGTCGTAGAAGCACTCATAAATGATAGCCATGATTGTTCTTAATTTATACCTGTAGAGTCTGAATTCTAGGCAGGTAACCACTTCCCCAGCCACTGCATTCATCCCATTTAAACACCCTTGCCACTATGCAGTTGCCACCAAGCATTGAACAGTTTCCTAGACCAGCGCTGCCCAATAGAAAGTCAATGCAAGTCAATAAGTAATTTTTAATTTTCTTTTTAAAAATAATTTCAACTTTTATCCTAGATCCAGGGTTACATATGCAGGTTTGTTACATGGGTATATTGTATGATGCTGAGGTTTGGGGTACAATGGATGCCATCACCCAAATAGTGAGCATAGTACCCAATAGTTAGTTTTTCAACCCTTGCCCCACTTCCTTCCTCCTACCTCTAGTAGTCTCTATTGTCTATTGTTGCCATCTTTATATCCATAAGTAGCTAATGTGTAGCTCCCACTTACAAGTGAGAACATGTGGTATTTGCTTTTCTGTTCCTGCATTAATTTGCTTAGGATAACGTCAAATTTTCTAGTAGTTACGCTAAAACAAGAAAAGAAGGAACAGGCGAGATTAATTTCATAGTGTATTTTATTTAACTCAGTATGTCTAAGATATTATCATTTTGACATGTAACCAAGATAAAAATTATTATGGATATATCTATGTTTTGGTACAAAAGCTTCCAAATCTGGTGTTTATTTTATGCTTACAGCACATTGCAACTTGGACTAGCCATGTTTCACACACTCAATAGCCACACATGTCCTGTGGCCACCATATTGGCCTGTGCAGCTCTGGATCCTTGCTGCCTATGGTGGCCTGCTAACCAGTTGCATCTGCACCGGCAGGCCAGATCTACCAAGTCAGAAGCTGCATTTCAGCAAGATCCCCAGGCGATACGTGTACACATTAAGGTTTGAACAACACTGGGCTAACACTATCGGCTAAAAGCAAACTTGGAGCTTGTAGAAAGCAAGAAGGAGCTCTCCCCTCTCACCACTCATTCTTTGTGCCTCTTTTGAGACCCCTCCAGAGAGCTTCAAAAATGTAATGCCTAGACCCTACTCCTGAGATTCTGATTTAACTGGTTTAACGAGGGACCTTGGAAATAGGAATCGATTAAGACGTTCCACAGGTGATTCTGACACGTAGCCTGGTGGAGAATCACGGGCTAACCCAACACTAAACACTGTGGCCTCATTCAGCTGCCAAACACACCTGAACTACATCCTTTCAGGCTTTGGAGTAAGTCAGGTTGAGCAACACAGCTCAGTATAAGCAGCTAAATCTCTGTAAAATTGTTCAAATGGTCCCAGTTGTCTCACAAACTCCCAGAAATTAATGCCATATGTGAAAATCGTATCCCTTTGGGAAAATAAGACATTCTTAATGTGGCTGCTGCTGTCCATTACTGGCTGCAGTTTGCTAGCTCAAGTAATTCCCTTTTGGTTACCAAGATATAAGGAAAATATAGAATGTATATATTTATTAAATTATTAATTATCCTACTAAAAGTCCTCATGTTCAACATATTAATATTGTTGGTCATTTCCAGGAAATAGTTAAATTCCACAGACATTTATTGAGTCCCTACTGTGTTCCAGACCTAAAGGGGCTGCAAAGATGTTTCAATAAAACAGATCCTACCTTCAAGGACCTCACCACCTTGTGGGGACCCAGCAAGGGCCTGGGATTCAGGAGAGTCGAGTCTTATCTGTCCTTCAGTTTCTCAATCTGTAAAAACTCAAATAAAATAGAACATGTTTATTACCAGTACTTAGAGCATCTAAAGGATTTCAAGCATCATCACTTTTTAACATTATTGTTGGCATTTTTTAACCTTAAAAAGTAATCTCAATGTATACATTTTCTAAAGTCACTCATTTTCTTCTTGAAAAGAAAGCTTTCTGGATAAGGCATAAATATAACTTTAAGTCATTGTGGGTCCAACTTGATCATTTTCCCCCACTGTTTTGAAATACTATATATTTAATATAATAATGAAATGGTTAGGGACATGCAGTTTTAAATTATGCAAATCACAAATGCTGGAAAGGAAGACATTTTGGTACTCTATTTCTTTCCAGAATTCTTGTGTGTGGGTTGGGTGGGTGTGCACATGGGCACGTGTTTGCATTTTTTCTTGCCTGAAAAGGAACACGAAAAGGCAGAAGAGGAAAGAGAAGGGACAGTTAAAAAGACAGTGACCCTGTCTCAAAACAAACAAACAAAAAAAAACAGTGAGCGAGGCAGCGGGAGGTGTAAGCAGAGAAGAAGGAGAAAACATGGCTTTGAAAGGCTACCTTGAGGGAGAACACAGGACTGGTGAGAGGAGAAAAACCACGGTTGGAGGCCACCTGCCCCACCTGCTGGCAAGGACCTAAGTTTTCCCTGGAAGCGGACTGCGCTGCCCCTGCTGGAAATTGACAGGCCTTCTGCCCAAAGGAAAAAAAAGTCCCATTTTAAGAACAAATCAAGTTGACAACACATTGCCATTCTGTCTTACCGGGTTGAGTCTTAGTGTAGCCACTTTGAGGAGCCATTTAACAGGTATCAGGCTGCCTGCTCATAGCTGAAAAGCCTCCCCAACAGAACATATGGCTCAGAGCTGGCCCCTGCTCCCTTCACACAATTCCTCTCCACCTCGTCCCTCCCTCACCGTGTGTGCAGCCAGGTGACGGGGCTTGGCAGGTGCCTCTCTGGCTCTCACTTGCAATCCTCCATCATGGTACCCTCACATCCTTCTGGGCATGCAGGCAGCAGTTTGGCTCGTGAGATCGTAAATGTCAACCTGCCATCACCTGTCTTTCCTTGCTCATCACCCTGAGGGGCAGAGCTGACCCGAAGCAGACAGCAAGCACCATCGTGGGAGGCAAAATGGATACACCGAGCCAAAGGAGTGTGATTAAAAGGCCTAACTCCCTTCTCTCCCTATTGCTGGCATTGGCCCTGCTAAGCCCATCTCCCAGGAAGATTGCCTTTGTGATTGTGTGTCACCCAGAAAAGAATAATAGCACGTTTCTCCAAGTCCCTTCTTGTGAAAATATAACATGTCAGGAAAGAGGGGGAGAGATGGAGGGGCAGGAGAGAAACTTTGCAGCTGACACCAGCTGTAGCTGTTTCCCCATTTCTGGATGCCTGCATGGTTCTGCTAAATGGTGGGGGAGCAGCTGGGGCAGCCAGGGAGGGAGCTGAGGCCTGGCAGTGATTCAGACACACAGAGCTTGCTGAACCAGTGTGTTTTATAAGAAGGTGGCAGAAAAGGGAAGTGGAAAGGGAATGACTAATAAGGAAGTAATTTTGAAACAGAAACCTGTCTGGATTTGGAAGCCAGAGTGACAGCCCCAGGTGGGAGAAGGAGCAAGCCTGTTATTAGAATTGACGAACACATAAGTGCTGTATCACTCCCCAAGAGCCCTGCCTGTCTCCCTCTCAACTCTCGCACAAGTGGCCCTGTATCAGGAGTGAACCACACAGAAACAAAGTGCTTTAGACAGACGCAGGATTTACACTGCCAGAGCCTCAGCTGAAGAGGCCTGACCCATGTGGAAGGCCTGCAGATAAGAGAATGAGTGCAAAAATAGAAGGATCAAGAGATTAATTATAAAGCAAATATAGCAACAGAGCAGAAAATGCGGACAATTGAAGGGGAAAATCCATGCTATTCCACCTGCCTAATGATGGTATTTTCATTCTGTGAATGCTTTCCTAGCCTTGCCCACATATACACATTTTTACAAAATTTTCAGTGTACCCAGAATTTCATACTTGCTTTTTTCATTTGTCTTTACATCAGAAACATTTCTCCTGCTATTTCACACTGTTCTTATCACTGGTAATTGCTATAAAATATTTTACCTAATGGATATACCACAATTTACTGAAATATTTACTCTGTAAGTAGATTGCACTTTTAAAAAAAAGACGTATTTGAGGTATAATTGATATACAACAAACTGTACAAATTTAAAGTGTATAATTTGATAAGCTTGACATGAGTCAGCCTGTAAAACCATCACTACAATTAAAATAAAAACATATCCCTCACCCCTCCACCAAATTTCCTGCAACCCCTTTGCAACCTCTCTCTCTTCTCTGGGTCATTTCTACTTGTTAGGTTTTTATTTTGGTGGTCTTCCATGCCTCCTTGTATTCATACACTTGTGTAGTCTCCTCTCCCTTGAATCTGGGCTGCCTTGTGATCTATTTTAAATAATGGAATGTGGTGAAAGTGATGCTATGCTAGTTTCAGGCTTAAGCCTTAGAAAAGACTAGCAGTTTATGTGTTTGCACTCTTGAAATGTTTCATCTTGGAATTTAGCTGTCATGCTGGGAGGAAGCTCAAGCAACGACATAGAAAGGACCCCTGGAAGAAAACCAAGACCCCTGGCTGAGAGCCCTAGCTGAGCTCCCAGGCAGCAGCCAGCAGCCACAGCCAGCCATTTGGACATTTCAAGCATACTAGTGCTCCAGCCCACACCACATGAAGAGAACTGCCCAGTCAACCCACAGAGTCCTGAGAAATTATAAATCATCATAGTCTAAGCCACTAAGTTTCTTGAAGTGGTTTGTTACACAATTATGAGTAAGCAAAATAGGCTGAGAACACAAGCGATTTTTGTTAGGATGGAGAGACCCATTCTTGGAGAGTCCCATGAAACAGAAACAGAGAAGTGAAGCAGGATTTTTTTCAACCCCATGTCACTCTCCAGCTCTTGCCTCCTTTACCGCTAAATTTCTTAACAAAGTGCTGATCCTTGCTGTCCATCCTTCCTTGCCTTGAGCCCACTCTTAAAATTGGCCTTCCAATGGTCCTATCACCTTTAAAAATGCTCTTCCTGGAGTCACCAGTGAATTTTTTATTGCTCAACCAAGAGGAAGCTTCAGTCCTCATCTTATCTGACATATCAGCCACATTTCTCTTCCTTCTTTAAATCATCTTCTTCCTACATTCACTGAGTAAGATAGATATTGGTCCATCCACATCTCGGAGACCTAAAGAAATAGTGACTTAAAAGCACAGGATTTTATTGCACTATCATGCAAACATTGAAATTGGTGTGTTGGATCTGCTCTGCAACATTGTCCCAAGCCCAGGTTCTTTCTATCTTGTTGCTCTAACATCCTTAGGTATCCCACCTGTCTGTGTGGTTCAGGATGGTTCTTCCCACAGCCACAATCCACCACTGAAAAAGGGAAAATATATAGGAGAGAGCATATCCTTTCCCTTTAAGAGAATAATCTGTAGTTGCACATGTTGTGTTCAGATCCTGTAGCCGGAACAGTCACATGGTCACATCTAGCTGCAACAGAGGTTGGTAAATGCAGTCTTTAGCTAAGTGAACATGCACGCAGCCAACAATTCTATCACTGTGGAAGAAAGGGAGGATGGATGTTGGGGCAACTGGCAGTCTCTGTCATACTCACCTTTGTGACTCCTTCTCATTCTCCTTTGTAAGCTTCTCTTTTTCTACCCAATCTTGAAATGCTGATATTCCATAGGCCTTAACCCACCTCCCTGCCTTTCTCATTCTACACATACTGTACTCTGTGTAATTTAAACAGCTACAGAATGTTCTCAGTTTGTAACTTCCTATGGCCGTCCTGCCAATCCTCCCCTCCTTTACCCACTACCCTGTGTCATCATCGTGTTTCTAAGGGAAAATAGATTTGTTTTAACATTAGCCACAGCTCATCTATAGAGCTAAGGTGTATGTGTGGGAGGAGAGAGAGGTTAGAAAGGATTTTAAAGTGTTTTTTCAAACTTGGTAGAAATATTTTTTAACATATTTTTTCTTTTTTGGATCCTAGACCACCTTTGTTTTTTAACCTTAGAAAAGTGTAAGAAGATTCTGTGGAGAAAAGCCATATGAAGTCTGAATTCCCTAGGCATGGTTAATAATAGCCAACTTTCATAGACCATACAGCACTTTATAAATCCCTTAATCTCCTGTGATCTACACACCTAATCTGTAAGGAAGCTATTATCCATATGTTACTAATGAGGATGATGGTAATCAGATTGGTGGTCACCTGCCAGAATCACACAGCTAGCGACGCACAGTCAGGACTTGAGCACATGTGTCCCATTGGTCTGCACTGTGTTCCCACCTGGAGGCTTCCAGATGTGGCTGATAGTGTTTCCTAAAGGAATACTTGGGGCTAGATAGGTCCTAAAAGTGTCTGGCTGCCTTAGAGTAGGGGATGCTTATATATTGACAGAGGACAGTTTCAGCTGCAGATCTGTGTGGCAGCAGAGAGCGGAGAAGTTTGGTAGAGGTTATAATTAAAACCCAAGTGCCAGTTCTTGGAGGGATGCACACTCAGATCCTGCTCAGGAAACCGGGGGAGCGGGGCAGCTTCCTTATGACTGTTGCATGCTGATCGTCCTGCCTGAGGCTGGGTTTTGGGCTTTCCCTCCCTTTGCTGGGTGCTGTTAAAAAGGACCAGGTTCCTGCAGGCCTCTCTGTCAGCCTGGCACTGGCTTTACAGTCTCCCAGTGGTGTGATTAATGTCTGGGCTTAGGAGGAAATTTCCTCTGCAGGTTTGAGTTTATGCAGGTGAAGGGAAGGTACAGCTGATCTAAAGCATCTGTAGGCCTCCTGGGGTTCTGGGCATCCCTGGGCCTTTCTCCACCTCCTGTTGGTTGGAGGATGTAGGAGCCGACTGAGTGGAGGTCTGCGGCATGCTGGGCCCAGAGGTAGTCAAGTGTATTCCTCATGATGTGTCCTGAAATGATGTCACCCACGCTCCTGGGGGTGGGAATGAGGTAGGCAAGGCTCAAAACCGTGCTCAGGCACCCCCACTCACCCTCTCCAAGCAGAGTAGTCAAACAACAATCATACCAGAGTTTTTTATCCTTAAAATAGCTGAGGGGCTCAGTTTTTTCAGCAAAAATTGAAAAGTGAAAAACCTTGATTCAAGTGAAAGCCTACTATTGATATTAATTTAATGGATGAGATTTTTTTTGCCTTTACTGGAGTGTAATTACATACAATAAACTGCTTCCTTTTCAAGTGTATGATCTGATGACTTTTCCCAGGCATGCACACTTGTGAAATCACCAGCACAAGCAAGATACAGAACATTTCCATCATCCCCAAAAGCTTCTTCATTCCCCTTTGCAGTACTTTCCACACTCTGCCCCTGCGCCCAACACTGCTGATCTGCTTTTCGTCGCTACAGATTAATGTATATTTTCTAGAATTTATATAAATGGCATCAGAGAGTGTGGACGCCTTTGCTTCTGTCTTCATTCACTTAGCATAATGATTTTTAGGCTATCACTAGTTTATTCCTCTTTATTGCTAGTAATATTCCATTTCATGGATAACCTCATTTTGTTTATCCAATCACCCACTGACGGACATTCGAGTTGTTTCCAGTTTTTAGTTCATGCGCATAAAGCTCCTCTGAATATTTGTGCACAAGTCTTTGTGTGGGTGTGTTTTCATTTCTCTTGGGTAAATACCTAGGAATGAAATGACTAGGTCATATGGTAATATGCTTAAATTTTTTGAATATGTATTAACTTATTTTCTTTCTAAATGAACTTTATTTTTTTAGTGCGGCTTTAGGTTCACAGCAGAATTGAGCAAAAAGTACAGAGATTTCCCATTACCCTCTACCCCCACCATGCACAGCCTCCCCATTATCAACATCCCACACCAGAGTGGTACATTCGTTACAGCTGATGAACCCGCACTAACACATTACTATCTACAGTCCATAGTTAACATTAAGGTCCACTGTAGGTGTTGTGCATTCTATGGGTTTGAATAAATGTATAGTGACATATATTCACCATTATAGTATCATATAGAATAGTTTTATATTCTATATGATATAATAGTTTTACTTATTATAGTATCCTATAGAATAGTTTTACTGCACTAAATATCCTCTGTGCCTTGCATATTCATCCCTCCACCAGGCCCTGACAACCATTCATCTTTTTACTCTCTCCATCATTTTGCCTTTTCCAAACTGTCATATGCTGGGAATTATACAGTATGTAGCCCTTTAAAATTGGCATCTTTCACTTAGTAATATGCATTAAATTTCATCTATGTCTTTCTTTTAGAGACAGAGTCTTGCTCTGTCACCCAGGTTGGAGTGCATTGGCGTAATCATAGCTCACTGCAGCTTCGACCTCCTGGGCTTGAGTGATCCTCCTGCTTCAGCCTCCTGAGTAGCTAGGACTACAAGTGTGAGCCATCATGCCTGGATAATTTTTTAATGTTTTTGTAGATATGGGGTCTAGCTATGTTGCCCAGGCTCACATCCATTTCTTTTCTGGCTTGATAGTTCATTCCTTTTTAGTTCTGAATAATATTCCATTATCTGGATGTACCACAGTTTATTTATCTCCTTACCTACTGAAGGATATCTTGGTTGCTTCCAAGTTTTGGCAAATTAGGAATAAAGCTTCTGTAAATATCCATGGGCAGGTTTTCGTGTGGATGAAAGTTTTCAACTCCTTTGGGTAAATACCAAGGAGCATAACTGCTGGATCATATGATAAGAATATATTTGTTTTTGTAATAAAACCATCTTCCAAAGTGTCTACCATTTTGCATTCCTAGCAGCAATGAATGAGAGTTCTTGTTGCTCTAACTTCTTGTCAGCATTTGGTGTTATCAGCATTCTGGATTTTGGCCATTCTAATAGGTAGGTGGTGTTATCTTGTGTTAATTTGCATTTCCCTGATGACACGTGATGTGGAACATCTTTTCATATACTTATTTGCTAACTGTATGTCTTCTTCGGTGAAGTGTCCATTAAAGTCTTTGACCCATTTTTACATCAGGATGTTTGTTTTCTTATTGTTGAGTTTTAAGGGTTTTTTTTTTTTATATATTTTGAATAAAGTCCTTTATCAGATATGCCTTTGCAAATATTTTCTTCCAGTCTATGGCTTATCCTTTTATTCTCTTAGCAGTGTCTTTCACAGAGCAGAACATTTGAATTTTAATGATGTCCATTTTGTCAGTTTCTTCTTTCATGGATTGTGCCTTTAGTGTTACATCTAAAAAGTCATCACCAAACCCAAGGTCATCTAGACTTTCTCCCATGTTATCTTCTATGAGTTTTATAGTTTGCATTTTACATTTAGGTCTGTGATCTATTTTGAGTTAATTTTTGTGATGGGTTTAAGGTTTGTATCTAGATTTATATTTTTGCATGTGGATACCCAGTTGTTCCAGCACCACTTTGTTGAAAAGACTATCTTTTCTTCATTGTATTGCCTTTGCTTCTGTGTTAGAGATCAGTTAGCCACATTTATGTGGGTCTATTTCTGGGCTCTCTGTTCCGTTTTATTGAGCTATCTGTCTATTCTTTCACTAGCACCACACTTTTGTGATTACTGTAGCTTTATAATAAATCTTCCATTACATAGGGTTGGTCTTCCAACTTTGTTCTTCTTCAATGTTGACTTGCTACTTCTGGGTCTTTTGCCTCTCCATATAAACTTTAGATCAGTTTGTCAGTATCCACAAATTAACTTGCTAAGATTTCATTGACTTCACATTGACTTTATAGATAAAGTTGGGAAAGAACTGACATCTTGACAACATTGAGTCTTCCTATCCATGAACATGGAACATCTCTTTATTAAGTTCGTCCAGGATTTCTTTTATCCAAGTTTTGCATTCTTCCTCATGTAGATCTTGTGCATGATTTGTTAGATTTATACCTAAGTATTTCATTTTTGGGGTAAATAGTATTGTGTTTTAAATTTCAAATTCCACTTATTCATTGCTGGGATTTAGGAAAATGATTGACTTTTGTATACTAACCTTGTATCTTGCAACCTTGCTATCATCACTTATTAGTTCTAGGAGTTTTTTGTTAATTCTTTCAGATTTTCTACATACATAGTTATATCATTTGCAAACAATGGCAGTTTTATTTCTTCCTTCCCAATCTATATATCTTTTTTTCTTGTCTTATTGCATTAGTTAGGACTTCCAGTTAGATGTTGAAAATAATTGGTGAAAGAGAACATCCTTGCATTGTTCCTGATCTTAGCAGAAAGCTTCTAGTTTCTCAACATTAAGTGTGATGCTAGCTGTGGGTATTTTGCAAATGTTCCTTATCCAGTTAAAGAAGTTTCCCTCTATTCCTACTTTGCTGAGAGTTTTATCATGAATAGATGTTGGAATTTTTCAGGTGCTGTTTCTGCATCTATTTATACGATCATGTGATTTTCTTCTTTAGCTTTTTGGTGTAATGAATTACATTAATTGATTTTTGAATATTGGACCAGACTTGCATACCTGAGATAAATCCCACTTGGTCATGGAGTATAATTCTTTTTATACATTGTTGGATTTGATTTGCCAAATTTTTTTGAAAATTTTTGCATCTATGTTTATGAGAAGTGTTGGTCTGTAGTTTCCTTTCCTTGTAATGTCTTTGGTTTTAGTATGAGGGTAATGCTAGCCTCATATAATGAGTTAGAAAGTATTCACTCTGCCACTATTTTCTGAAATAGATTGTAGAGAACTGGTATGATTTTTTCCTTAAATTTTGGAAAAATTCACCCATGAACCTACCTGGGCTTGGCACTTTCTGTTTTGGAAAGTTATTAACTGTTACTCAATTTCTTTAATAGATATAGGCCTATTCAGATTGTCTATTTCTTCTTGTGTGAATTTTGGCAGATTTTGTCTTTCAAGGAATTCATCCATTTTATCAGCTTATGAAATTTGTGGGAAGAGTTGTTCAAAGTATTCCTTTGTTATTCTTTTAATATCCACAGGACCTGTAGTGATATCCCCTTTTATTTTTAATATTAGTAGTTTGTGTTATTTCTTTTTTTTCTTCATTAGTCTGGTTTAGACACTTATCAATTTTATTATTGATATTTTCAAAGAATCAGCTTATGGTTTGATTTTCTCTATTGATTTTGTGTTTACAATTTCATTGATGTTTGCTCTAATTTCTATCATTTCTTTTCTTTGCTTACTTTGGATTGAGTTTGCTTGTTTTTTTAAATAATTTCCTAAGGTGGAAGCTTAGATTATTGATTTTGATCTTTTTTCTCTTCTAAATATGCATTCAATGCTATACATTTCTCTCTCAGCACTTCTTTCACTGCATCTCATAAATTTTGAGAAGTTGTATTTTCATTTCCATTTAGTTAAAAAATATTTTAAAACTTCTCTTGAGATTTCTTATTTGACCTATGTGTTATTTAGAAATGTGTTATTTAATCTCTAAGTATCTGGGAATTTTCCTGGTATCTTTATGTTGTCAATTTTAATTTAATTTCATTGTGGTCTGAAAGCAGACACTGTATCATTTTTATTTTTTTTTTAATTGTTAAGATGTGTTTCATGGCCCGGAATGTGGTCTATGTTGGTGTATGTTCCATGCGAGCTTGAGAAGAATGTGCATCGTGCTGTTGTTGAATGAAGTAGTCTATAGATGTCAATTATATCCAGTTGATTGATGATGTCACTGAGATAAGCTATACCCTTACTGATTTTCTGGCTGCTGCATATGTTCATTTCTGATAGAGGTCTCCGACTATAATAATGCATTCATGTATTTGTTTTTGCTGTTCTATCAGTCTTTGCCTCACATATTTTGATACTTTGTTGTTAAGCACATACACAATAAGGATTGTTTTGTTTCTTAAAGAATTGATCCTTTTATCATTATGTAATAACCCTCTTCATCACTGATAATTTTCCTTGCTCTGAACCCTACTTAGTCTGAAATTAATATAGTTACCCCAGCTTTCTTTTGATTAATGTTAACATGGTATATCTTTCTCCATCATTTTTCTTTTTTGTTTTTTGAGACAGGGTCTTGCTCTGTTGC
The DNA here is from genome assembly GCF_000001405.40 of Homo sapiens. Taxonomy (NCBI): domain Eukaryota; kingdom Metazoa; phylum Chordata; class Mammalia; order Primates; family Hominidae; genus Homo; species Homo sapiens. The sequence continues at coordinate 30,217,560 of NC_000007.14, read as the reverse complement.
TCAGGCTGGAGTGCAGTGACACAATCATGGCTCACTGCAGCCTGGACCTCCCCGACTCCCACCTCAGCCCCCCAAGTAGCTGGGACTACAGGTGCATGCCACCAAACCTGGCTAATTTCTTTTTAATTTCTTTGTAGAGACAGGATCTTATTATGTTGCCCAGGCTGGTCTTGAACTCCTGGGCTCGAGAAATTCTCCTGTCTTAGCCTCCCAAAGTGTTGGGATTACAGGTGTGAGCCACCATGTCCAGCCATCACTTTGCTTTTGACCTGTATGTGTCTTTATATTTAAAGTGAGTTTCTTATAGACAACATAGAGTTGAATCTTGCTTTTTGATCTGCTCTGACAATCTCTGTCTTTTAATTTATCTATTTAGACCATTGCCATTTAAAGAGATTATTGGTATATTGGATTAATAGCTATCCTACTTGTCACTATTTTTTATTCATTGCCCTCATTCTTCGTTTTTATTTTTGTCTTCATCTCTTTTTCTGCCATATGGTTTTTATAGCAGAATTCATTTTATATGATTCAATTTTCTCTCCTTTCTTAGCATACCAATTATACCTTTTTTTAAAAAAAAGTTTTTAGTGGTTATCCTAGAGTTATCAATATACACTTACAACTAATCCAAATCCACTTCCAAATTGTACTATACTGTCACAAGTGGTACAAGTACCTTATAATAATATATTTTTAGTTATTTTCTTTTGACCCTGTATTATTGTTGCCATTAACTTTACATATACATAAGCTCATGCATGTGCACACGCACACATACATAAGCACACAAAATTGAAGACGTTGATATTACTATTTTGAACAAACTCTAGTCTGTTAGATCAGTTAAAAATAAGAAAAAATAACTGTTAAAATTTACCTTCACTTATTCTTTCTCTAATGCTCTTTCATTCTTTATGTAGATTCAAGTTTCTGACCTATGTTGATTTTCTTCTCTCTGAAGAATTTCTTTTAACTTTCTTGCAAAGGCAGATTTACTGGCAACAAATTTCCCTCAATGTTTGTTTGTCTGAGAAAGTTGTTATTTTTCTCTCACTTTTGAGGGATAATTTTGCAGGATATAGAACTCTAGATTGGTGGTTTTTTTCTCTCAACACTTTAAATATTTTACTACACTCTCTTCTTGTTTACATGGTTTCTGAGGAGAAGTTAGATGTAATTCTTATCTTTGCTTCTCTGTAGTTTGAATCCTTTTCTCCTCTGTCTTCTTGCAAGATGTTTTCTTTGTCTTTGATTTTCTGCCATTTGAACATGGCATATTTAGGTGTAGTTGATTTTTGGCATTTATTCTTCCTGGTATTCTGACATTAACTTGGGAAAATTCTCAGTCATCGTTGCTTCAAACATTTCCCCTGTTCCTTCCTTCTTTTCTTTCCTCTCCTTCTGGTATTCCAATTACATGGATTTACACCTTTTGTAGCTGTCTCACAGATCTTGTTCCTTTTATATTTTTTATTTTTAGTCTTTTTTTCTCTTTGCTTTTTAGTTTTGGATGTTTCTATTGACATATCCTCAAGCTCAGAGATTCTTTCCTCAGCCATGTACAGTCTGTCTATTAATAAGCTCATCGAAGGCATTCTTTATTTCTGTTACAGTTTTTAAAAAATTCCTGGCATTTCTTTTTGATTTTTCTTAGAGTTTTCATCTCTCTGCTTACATTATCCATCTGTTCTTGCATGCTGCCTTTTTTTCCCCATTAGATCCCTTAGCATATTAATCACAACTGTGATTTTTGAATTCACAATCTGATAATTTCTATATTCCTGCATATCTGAATCTGGTTCTGATGCTTGCCCTGTCTCCTCAAACTGTGCTTTTGTGTTTTTTTGTTAGTTTGGTTTTTGTTTTTGTTTTTTGTTGTTGTCATTTTGCCTTTTTGTACACCTTGTAATTTTTTTGTAGAAAGCCAGACATGAAGTACTGGGTGAAAGGAACCACAGTAAATAAACCTTTAGTAATATGGTAGTACACAGTGGGGAAAGAGGACCTGCTCTACAGTCCTATGTTTAGGTCTCAGTCCTCTAGTGAACCTCCGTCCCTTGGCTAGAAACTTTACAAATTCCTCTCAGTTTCTTTTACCCACCTTAGGTGAGAAAGGATGGCTGAAGGGGCTGGAGTTGGATAATTACTTTCCCTCAGTTTGGTTAGGCTCTGGCAAAAACGCAATAGCTTAGGCTCTAGTGAAACAGTTTCTTATTAGGACAGTACTTCTTAAGAAGGCCGGTATATTTCAAAATGGCCACTTTTCTCTCCCTGGTGAAAACACAAGAGGATTTTTCTCTGATCCTTGCTGTGAGAACCTGGTAGAGCTCCAGGGCATAAGCCTTGCAAAAGGATTGGGTCCTCCTAGAGTTGTGTTGTGTGTGTGGGTTTTGTTTGTTTGTTTTTTTGTTTGAGACAGGGTTTCCCTCTGTCACCCAAGCTGGAGTGCAGTGGCACGATTTTGGCTCACTGCACCCTCCGCCTCCTGGGTTCAAGCGATTCTCCCACCTCAGCCTCCTGAGTAGCTGGGATTGCAGGTGTGCACCACCACTGCCCAGCTAATTTTTGTATTTTTTAGTACAGAAAGGGTTTCATCATATTGGTCAAGCTGGTCTTGAACTCCCAACCTCAGGTGATCCGCCCCCGTTGGCCTCCCAAAGTGTGTGAGCCACCACACCCGGCCAGGTCCCCCTGGAGTTTTTAACTCATAGACTTATTCACACTAAGCCTCCAGCGATTCATCAGTTATACTTCAAGTTTTTCTATCTCAGCATTGGTTTCCACGGGGCTTTCTGTTTGTGGGTTTCTGCTCTGGTAACTTGTGATTCTCTGTATCCACTTGTCTGTCTCTTCAATTTTTAAAGTAATTTGCCTTGTGACCCCACTTCAATGACAGATCACAGTTGTTGATTTTTCAGTTTGTTCAGCATTTTACTTGTTGTTAGGATGAAGTGGCTCCTAAGCGCCTTACATCTTGGACTGGAAATCTGAATGCTTTAATTTTTAAATAAATTGCCAGAATGTCCATGCCATTTCACAGTTCTACCAGCAATGTATGAGAGTTCCAATTGCATCACATCCTTGTCAATACTTTGTATTGTCAGTCTTTTAAATTTCAACCATTTGTAGTTATAAAATGAATAAGTTCTGAGGATATTATGTACAGCATGGTGACTATAGTTAATGATACGGTATTATATACTTGAAATTGCTAAAAATAAATCTTAAGTGTCCTCACCACACACACATAAATGCACACACACACAATGGTAACTATGTGAGGTGAGTGTGTTAATTAATTTAATTGTGGTAATCATTTCACAATGTATACATGTATGAAATCATCATGTTGTACACCTTGAACATACATCATTTTTATTTGTCATTTATACCTCAAAAAAGCTACAAAAGGAATTTTAGCCATCTTTAATTTTTATTTTAGTTAACGACTAATTATATGAAACATTTTTTATGAGCTAATTGGTCATTTATGTATCCTCTTTTATCAAATGTCTTTTCAAATCTGTATCTGTTTTTAAAAATTTGTTGTTTTTCTTCTTTTTATTGAGTTGTAATACTTGTTTATGTTTTCTGTATACAAATCTTTTGTCAGACAAATGTACTGTGAATGTTTTCTCCATTCTATTGCATAGTGTCTTTCAAAGTGCAAAGTTTAATTCATTTTTTTTCTTTTATGGGTTGGTGTGTGTGTGTGTGTGTGTGTGTGTATCCTAAGAAACTTTTGCCTACCTTAAGATTGCAAAATTGTTTTCTGTGTTTTTTTCTAGACATCTTAGTTTAGCTTTCACATTTGTTTAGATCTGTGCTGAGGTCCATTCTGAGTTAGTTTTTGTGTCTGGTGTGAGGTAAGAGTAATTGATTAACTTTTATAAATGTATTATCAGTATGACTTTGCCCACATAATGTAACAGTAATTTTAGAAGAAATAAAGAATTTAAATTCATAGAAATGAAAAGTAGAATGGTGGTTGCCAGAGCCTAGGGTATTGGGAGAACTTGAGGGTTATTTTGCATGGGTACACAGTTCCTGTTTGGGATGATAAAGAAGTTCTGGAAATGGAAAAAGGCAAGGGTTGGGCAGCAATGTGAACGCACTTATTGCCCCTGAATGGTGCCCTTTAACATGGTTACAATGGTAAATTTTCTGTATGTTTTAATGTCAGTAAATAAATAAATATGAATTGAAGTAAGAAACAGAAAGAGGAAGGAAGGGAAAAAGAAAAGGCAGAAAACATCTGGGGATGTTCTTGTTTTCTGACACAGCAGCAAAACTTGGAGTTATAAAAATCTGTTTAAAAATAAATCAGCCAGCCTTCAGGCTTAGAACCGTGAATTCTCAACTGAATTAAGAAGCATTTCATTTTGTTTAATTTGCATATTAATGCAATGCAAATATCAGAATGGTAGGAAGTAAATGGGGAGAAAATGGCACCAGCAGTAAACACATGGTTAAAAAGGTGCACACTGCATGTCAGTGTGAAGGGCATGAAGATGACAGATGAAGAGACATAAGGTCTGATCACATTTAAAGTCAGTTTATCCCGAAGATCTAAGGACAGACAGAAATGTGACAACAGACAGATTGCAGCAAGTTAAGTGGGTGCAATGACAAGACAAGCCTTTGTTTAAAGTTCATTTGAGATTAGTGTCAGTAGAACAGCAGTGAGATGAAAGGCAGAAAAATGTTGGCCAGCAAAACACTGATGCCGCTGTCCACAGGCGGCACAGCAAGGAGAACTGGAGTACATACAGGTTTTCATACCATGCCGGGAACGAGCCTGCGGCAAGGCAATGCACATTAGTAAAAACTCAGACTGCGCAAACTCTTTGCTTCTGCAGACAGCTTTGTTAAAGACTGGAGTATTATTTAGGTTTCTTTTTGCCTTAAAAGAAAAACAGTTTTGCTTTTAATTGGCCAAGCAAGAACAAAGACTTCACGCTTAGATACTTGCAGCGTTGTCTTTTTGAATGCTGTCTATCATGCCTGTTGGTTCAAATTTTGGGGCAGAATGGGTATAAAACCCACATGTTTCCTGGTTACACTGGGCTTCCTCTCTCTTGGCAACCATACCCCACCCCTGGGCTGGACCCTACATCCCATCCTGTCACCCAGCCGTGCAATTTTTCTGGTGTTACAATTTACCCAGTGCTCACTAAAAACTTAGAAAAAGAGTCGACAGTAGATTAAGGAAGTACAAGGGAGCTAAAGTATAACTTGAAGCAGAGTGAATAGAAGAGGGCAAGAATCTCCGAACTTAGTGGCAGCTGAAGCACTGTGCTAAGTCCTGCAAGGCCTTAGCCTGGCCCTGTGGGAGAGGACCCTAATCATTCAGTCATGTCTACCAGGGCAAGCAATGGGGACTGGTGGCATTTGGACCCCCTATTTGCCATTTGGGGACTGGGGCTAATCCTCTTCCTAGTCTCTTACCTTTCAGTTATGGTCATGTCCAGTTCATTTTTTTCTGGGGTCCAATTCTATGCAAGGTGACTATATTAGTGTCCTAAGGCTGTCCTGACAAATTACTGCCAACTGGGTAGTTGAAGACATCAGAAATTTATTCCCTTATGGTTCTGGAGCTGGAGGTCTGAAATCACAGTGTCAGCAGGACTGGTTTCTCCTGGGGGCTCTGAGGTTACATCTGCTCCAGGCCTTGTCTGGCTTCTGGTGTTGCAGCAGCTCTGGGCATTTCTTGGCTTGCGGCTGTGTCAGCCCAAGCTCTGCCTCCATCATCACATGGCCTTCTTCCCTTGTATCTTCATATCATTTTTAAAATAAGGACACCAGCCATATTAAATTAAGGGCTCACCTGCTTTAGTATGACCTTTTCCTAACTAATTACATCTCAATGACCCTATTTTCAAAGGTCACGTCTGAGGTTCTGGAGAATAAGACCTCATCATATCTTCATGGGGACACGATTCAGCCCATGACAACGACTAAAGCTGAGGTTTTTACTGAAGCATTAAGTGGTGCAAAACCAGAATTGCTTTGGAATTCACTTCTCCTGTGCAGGTGAAGAAAACCAGGATAATAAAGGGAAATGCTTATCTGAGGAACTATACTCTAGGTTTAAATGTCCTCTCTCACTTACAGGACTTTTCATTCCTCCAGGCTCACCGATTTTTATGAGAACTGAAGGCAGAGTTTTCTCCAGAATCCTGGGCTCTGGAATTCAGCAATGCCGGTCAGAAGGTACTTTGAAGGTCTTTTCTTGCTTCTTGTTCCTTCTGTTTCTTGTTCCACAGCTGGCCCCATGACAGAAATATACCATAGAGAATTCTCGGTATTGTTCTTAGCACATGAGTTAACATGAAGAAACACAAATGAAACTAAATATTTCTGCAAATTCAGACAGACCTGGTCCAGAGTTTAAATTCATGAGAACAGACCCAGAAGTTCCTGCAAATGCTTAACACGTATAAAATATTACTTTTCTTGGCGGGGTGGGGGGTGGATCCCTGGTTTAGTCCAAGACTTTTCTGAGTCTCAGTTTATTCATCTGCAAAATGGGAGGTGTTTGCTTCTAAAGGAAACTTAGGGATTCTTTCTCCTCTCCATTGTCCCCTCAGGCTGCTGTCCTGGGCAATCAGTATAGAGGCATCCTTCCGTCACCGCGGGCAGGTGGAGCTTTCACTAGGTCTGGTTAAGTGGACAAGAGTGGCAGGTCGTTACTTCTATCTGCAAAGATGGCGATCAGCATCTTCCAGTACTCTGGGCCCTCAGGACCCCTGCAGTACGCTGTGTTCCTTCTCACGCTTCACCCCAGGATGCAGACTGTTTGCTTCTCCTTCCCTTCCTCCCTATGCAGACTCATCCCTCCTGTGTCTGTGTCGCCCTCCTCTGTCACTCACCCTCGCTAAAACCACCCTAGGTCAACGTAACAAAGCAATTCTTAGGCAAGTGTTAGTGGCCGAGAACATGCTCCCAGGTGACCTTCCTAAGTAATACATGTATGCTTCAACAAAGGCCTTCAAGGACAATGTCCTGACTTCATCAAACCTTTGTTTATCACCACGTAGAGGACACAGTGTGATTCTTCCTATGGGAATGTCCATCTGGCCACTGGGACAGACTGTAAGGACGACAAGTGTATTTGTGACACCTGAATTGATAACACATGGACAGTCCCTTACTTGGTTCTCGGCAGCACCAGCCACTGGAGAGAAGGCTTCTTCCCCATGGTTGGTGAGCCTCTTTGCTGACATAGTGGAGTAGGACTAGGCATGATTGTGCCCCGTGTAGCATGTGCTGTTGGTTTTGACAATGAGGAATTGACTGGCTTCTGTGAGTGAATCCTGTATACCGTCCTGCCCTTAAGCAGCCTCTCTCTCTCTCCCTGGCCAACACTCAGAGAAGTACTTGAAGGGCTCTCATCCCTCTCTCCCCTTCCTCTGCCCTGTGTAGTTTCCTCCCGGCCTCCTCCGGCAGCTCCTGCAAGACTCAGGCACCACTTCTTCCCCATGTTTCCCTCCTTGAGTCTTCATTCTCATTACTATCCATTCCTCCTAAGCTAGCAAAGAAACTTCAAAGGGTGCACACTCAGATGTGGCTCTCCAAAGGTTGCCTGCCCTGGAAACTCGATTTGATCTACAAAGGCAAAATGAACTTCTACGTCTTATAGTTTTGGGTTTTTCTCTTTTCATTTACTTCTCAGCAATGCTCAGGCCATGCATGGGCTCACCCTTTGCTAGTGATCAACCTGATCCTGATTATTATTGGGCACTTTGGATTTAGAAATGTGTCCCTACCCTAGACAATGCGCAATGGCATCCTGTGATTCTGGCGAGTGATCACCAGGCCTATACTCCTACCTTTCTCTGGTATTGGTGATTTCTCTAAGACTGTTCAAATCAAATAAGCACAGTATCTCACCTAACTCTCCCACCCCCTTTTGTAAAGTGATGTGAAACAAATCAGCAAATGCCTTACCCAGTTGATTTCCAGGAGGCCCTGACTCCAATTGTGTATCCAAATTTCCACAAGGCACAGATTAACGAGCTGAATGCAGTGACTCCAAGAAGCTAAAAGTGTGTGGTGTCTTTTCCGAGGGAGGAAGGGAGGAGCCCTCTTCTGCTACCCTGGTCCCTGTAATAAAGTCCAGGAGGATGAAATCTTAAGGATAGAGCTCTCAGAGTGGAGGACAATCCCAAAGAAGGGGCTCTGCAAACCATTGTGAACCAGAAGTTGAACGTCAGTGAACATACCCCAGTGGCTCGAGAGTCAGGTGGGCAGCCCATAGAGAGCACTCGCTCTCCCATTGTTCAGGCTTTGCCATCCAGATCCTCACCCTGCCTTTTTATTAGGTCTTTTCTCTATTCCAGGCACTGTTCTAAGTCCTTGACATCCTTAACTCAGTGGTTCTCAAACTGGGGTTCAGGGATCCCAGAGGGACTAAGAATTCCCTAAGATACTTTAAACATTTTTTATTTCTATTTCAATAATAATTTCAAAATGCTCTCACAGAAGTGTATTGGCCAGGTCTTCTGGATGGGCACCTTAGAGCTATGGACTGCTCATTTCAGCAACTGTTGGCACTTGGGTTTCTTATCTTTTGTTGGTATCTGGAAGTGCTGTTTTAATTGTCACTGGCTGGTGAAGAAAGGACAGATGCTTTTCACTAACCCACATAGAGAAGGCATCACAAACCTAAATGCCTATAGGAGTTGGTAGGGTCCATGAATGAATGAAGCTGGTGGTGTGGAGTCAGGGGCAGACTAGAAGCCCAGGCTCAGGCTTCTAGGGGCTATTGTTCAGCTTCGACCTTGTGGCCTCTTGGAAATATGGACCCTGTGGGGCTTGATTTTCCAGCTTTTCAAGAGAAGCTGGAAAGGCAAATTTTACATAAAAATTTTAAATTCTTCTATAATAGCAATAAATTGAAAAAATTAACACTGTGAGAATTAAATAAAACATGTTCACGGACTACATACAGCCTACGGTCCTCCAGTTTACAACCACTAGACTAAGGAAAGGTTTGGGTGAGTAAAATCATCATTGAGTATATGGTAGTCTAAGGATGCCAAGCTCTAAAGAACCATGTCCTGGTATCACTAGAAACCAACATTTCGAGAAGCTCAATTAATTTCAGCAAAATAACATCATCCAACACACTTCAGTTTTAACTTTGTTGGCTTGTTTTTGGTTTTTATTTATTTGTAAACTTGCCTTTGGCTTTATAGTTGTGTAAGAGTCTATTTGTCAGTATGGAAGAATTGTTGTTTTTTAAATTGACAAATAAAAGTTTTATATATTTATGGTGCACAACATGTTTTGAAATATGTACACATTGTGAAATGGCTGAATCAAGCTAATTAACATATGTATTAACTCACATACTTATCAGTTATTTGTGGTCTAACATAAATAGTTCACATCAGCAGTGGGCATCTGTAAGATATGTCATTCTCAAGTCTGACAAATGATGTCTTGTCTCCTCTAATCTTCACAAACATCTTTAGAAAGATGTATTATTTAACTTTTTTTTTTTTTTGAGATGGAGTCTTGCTGTGTCGCCCAGGCTGGAGTGAAGTGGCGTGATCTTGGCTCACTGCAACCTCTGCCTCCCAGGTTCAAGCGATTCTCCTGCCTCAGCCTCCTGAGTAGCTGAGATTACAGGTGTGCACCACCACACCTGGCTAATTTTTGTATTTTTAGTAGAGACGGGGTTTCACCATGTTGGCCAGGCTGCTCTTGAATTCCTGGCCTCTGGTGATCCACCCACCTCGGCCTCCCAAAGTGCTGGAATTACAGGCATGAGCCACCGTGCCTGGCCTATTTCACATTTTACAGATGAAAAAACCAAGACTTAAACAGGTTAAGTGGTGTGCCCAAACCCACACAGTTAATGAAAGGCAGAGCTGGAATTTGAACCTGGGGCAGGACTGACTCCAAAGCCTGTGGTTTCAACTCCGACTCCCAAATGAGCAGCAGTGCACTCGTAGATGATACCATGCCGCTCCCATCTGAGTTCTCTCACCTTGCTTTTGATCTTTCACTGCCATCTGCCTAGTGGAACCTACACACCATGGAGATTTAGAGGGGCCCCAAATAAGGGGGAGGGATTCCAGACATGGCACTTGAGTCTCAGAGAGACCAGAATTTAGAAGGGGTTAGAATCTGTGTTCAGAACTGTTATCAATGATTTCTAAGTTACCTTGTTGGTCACCTCAGTTTTTGTGAGCTGGCCTGCCAACCTAACCACCCTTACAATCTTGTTTTTAAAAATAAATGTTGTGTAAGTTCCGATAAACTTTTGAAACCAGCTCAATGGCAACTAAACTGCCTGGATCGAGATTAGGTGTGGTTGGTGAGGAATCAGCTGAGACAGTGGTAAGTCGATGTCCCCTGTAGGCAGGTAAGCTTTTTCTCTGTTCTGTGTCACATGCCACCTTCCTAATTCAGTGTGCTACTGTGGGAACCTGTGCCTGGGGAATGTGAAAGGTTGACCACAGGTCCATCAGCTCACTCGGGGCAGCGAGACCTGAAGAGGAACCGTGGCTAAGGACAGATTAAACAATGCGGGAGGAACCCTGGGAAGGAAATACATGAAAACGGTAATAGTGATTATCTGAATCACTGTTGCATTATGGGAGACTTTCATTTTCTTCTCATACTTTTCTACAATAGCAAAACAATGTATTGCTTTTGCTATAAAGAAAAATCATTTTTTTTTCACTAAAGAAAAAGGAATTTTTAAAAATGCACACTGCCTGTAGGGACGGAGCACACACACAGCCATCTGTCACATCTCCTTAAGTGTCCCACAGTGTGAGAAGACAATAGAAGCCACAGATGGGATGCAGAGTAAAACATGCGCCACTGTGAGAGCCGGGAGCATTCCAAGGCACTTATTAAAGGTGTGGGCAGTGACACGCTTCTTTGTTTCTTTCCAGCTGACTCATGCCCAGCTCTGAGTGCTTATTCCTCCCCTGCCCCCTAAGCCCAGGCTCCCTCTGCTCCCTTCAGTGACTGGCACAAGGACAGGAAGCTTAGCTGGTCCTGAAAAATAAAGATGCAGCCTGTTCCTTAACCCATGGTGGTTGTCTTGGGTGCGCCTTTTGTCATGTCGCTGCCACTGCCAGTGTTGGTTGGATATCCTAGGAGGGCACTTCTCCCCACCACCTGCCATAGTGTGCATGAATGGGGCACCTCCCTGCTAACCACAGACCCTGCCTTGAAAACCTTTGCTACAACCAGGGGCTCCCCCTTTCTCCCAGGTATTAACATAATATCTCAATGGGGCCCCACAAAATCCACCAACCCCAAACCCTTCCTAGCATTAAGGCCGCAACTTCTTCCAGCCCTTCAAAAGCCTCATCTCAAGTTCCTACGATGCACCCCGCTGCTCCAAACCCTCTCCATTTTGTGCAACCCCTGACGCTCCCTAGATGGGTCCTGAACAACCAGATAAAGACCTGGGAAGATGGTGGTCTTTTCAGTAGCCTGTAAGACACAGAAAAGCTGATCATTCCCCATGGCGCAAGGGAGCACAGAAATTAAGGATGCAAAAGCCTGGCTCTTTTCTGTGAAGAAAAAATGGGAAATTACCATTTTAGTCCCTTAGCTCAGAAGCCCAATGCAGCAAAATAAATTATGAAATGCGTGCTTGTGTGCAAACAAAACATTAAACTAAATACATTACTCCAACTGCAGAGTTGTATCTGGGGATGAGAAGGGGGCGAGGGAATCTTTGCCTCCACCCCAACACATTCTCCCTATGTTATGACTCTTCAACAACTTTCTTAAATTGTGATAAAATACACATAACATAAAATTAACCATTTTAACCACTTTTGAGTATAAGTCCGGTGGCCTTAAGTATATTCACATTGTCGTACTACCATCACCGTCATCCATCTCAAGAACTTTTTTCATCTTCCCAAACTGAAACTCAGTCCCATTAAGCAATAACCCCCATTCCTCCCTGCCCCAGCCCCTGCAACCACCATTCATTCTACTTTCCTCTTCTGTGAGTTTAACTTCTCTAGGTACCTCATAGACGTGGAATCAAACAATATCTGTCTTTTTGAGACTGAATTATTTTACTTAATATAATGTCTTCAAAGTTTATCCATGTTGTAGCATGTGTCAGAGTTTCCTGCCCTTTTAAGGCTGAATAATAATATCCCATCGTATGAGTATGCCACATTTTGTTCATTCATTCATCCGTCGATGGACACTTGGGCTTCTTCCACCTTTTGACTGTTCTGAATCATGCTGCTATGAATGTGGGCATACCAATATATCTTCAGGTCACTGCTTTCAATTATTTTGGGTTCCAACAACTTTTCTCAAGGTATTATATTAACATAATGGTTGTTAAGTCTATGGTAAAGACTGTATGATAAAATTAAGATGAGACGTGGAGAAGTGGGTCTAAGGGCCACTCCTTTCTCACACTCACCCCTTGGCTGATGGCAGCAGCTCAGCAAGCTTGTGCTGCCGAGGACAGTGAATTTCTCAGAGATTCATCCAGCTAAATCATTAAGGAGTAGCCAAGAAGGACACTGTGAAAACATAAAGGGGCCGGGCATACAGGCCACGCCTGTAATCCCAGCACTTTGAGAGGCTGAGGCGGGCAAATCACTTGAGGTCAAGAGTTCAAGACCAGCCTGACCAACATGACAGGGTGAAACCCTGTCTCTACTAAAAATACAAAAATTAGCCAGGGTTGGTGGCTGGCGCCTGTAATCCCAGCCACTAGGGAGGCTGAAGCACAAGAATTGCTTGAACCTGAGAGGCAAAGGCTGCAGTGAGCCGAGATCACACCACTTCACTCCAGCCTGGGTGACAGAGCAAGACCCTGTCTCAAAAAAAGAGAGAGAGAGAGAGAAAACATAAAGAGAATGGGGAGTTTCCAGTTTGGCGAAGAGTTGGCTCAGGTGTCTCCTCCCTGATCTAAGGTAGTCTTGATGGATTCCTGTTTGAAGGTCAAGTGTTGGCTTAGAGGACTCTCCAGGGTCCAGGCTGTGATTCTGGCCTAAAGTCTCACCCTCCCAGGCAGTCTGACCCAAGTTAGAACACGAGGAAAATTCACTGAGATGTAAATACAAGGTAGCAAAAAGGCATTCGCCATCTCACACCTTGGCTGCCCCACCCCAAAGAAGGACATAGCTTCAATAAAAAGTCCAGACAATGTATTTTGTTATTTTTGATTGACATATAATAATTATACATATTTATAAGGTACATAGTGATGTTGCAATACATATAAGGTATAGGTGATCAGATCAAAGTAATTAGCATATCCATCATCTCAAACATTTCTAATTTCTTTGTGTTGGGAACATTCATTATCCTCTTTCTAGCTATTTAAAATTATGTGATATATTATTGTTAACTTTGTCATCCTACAGTGCTATAGAACGCTAGCACTCATGCCTCCTATCTAGCTGTAATTTCATATTCTTTTTTTTTTTTTTTTGAGGCAGAGTTTCGCTCTTGTTGCCAGGCTGGAGTGTAATGGTGCGGTCTCAGCTCACTGCAACCTCTGCCTCCCAGGTTCAAGTGATTCTCCTACCTCAGCTTCCCAAGTAGCTGAGATTACAGGCACCTGCCACCACACCCAGCTAATTTTTGTATTTTTAGTAGAGATGGGGTTTCACCATGTTGGCCAGGCTGGTCTTGAACTCCTGACCTCAGGTGATCTGCCCACCTCAGCCTCCCAAAATGCTGGGATTACAGGCATGAGCCACCACACCAGGCCTTGTAATTTTGTATTGTTTAACAAATCTCGAGACTTTTTAAAAAATATGCTGTTTTTTGTCAAACCAAGTTATTAAACATTTTAATATTATAACATCAGTATTAAAAAATGGATCAAAGTTGTTTTTATTTTTGTTTTTAAAGAATGAAAGCAGGCATCTGAAATCTAAAGAGTGCTAACTTACTGAACCCCTACATAGGTGGTTTCATGAAGTCGCTTTGCTTTTTACCAAATGACCAGGAAAGAGGGAGGGAAGTAATCTTTGGAGCCAAACTTAAATGTGACTATTACATGCGGATGCCAAGGCACAGGTTAAAAGTCCATTTAACTTGAGGGCTAAATCTTTATAAATAGTATTTTTATATTGAAGCAAACATGAATATATTACAGAGAGGAAGTCAAATATTTCCATTCAGGGCATTAAGAAGAAATTTAAACTCAAAACAAGCCAGTTAGGTCGCCAGCTCCTGTGTCCAGGGATATGTTTTTACTCTTATTTGTACTTCTGGAAAGTTCAGGGAAAAACTTTCAAGAAGGAAATAGATAATCTTGGCCCCTCTCTCTACATCATGGCTTTTCAGCTTCAGTTCTGTATTAGTCAGTATGGTAACGACTATGGAAGGGAGAAAACATAATTTATTTCTTTGCATTTTTATGTTCTTAGTTGAGACACTCTCCTAAAAACAAAAGTCACAATAATAAAAGAAAAAGAAGCAGAAGTTTATTAACAAGTGCTGTACCTGTCATGTGGGAGAGGCCTCAAAAGTATTTCTCTCTCGAGGCAGTGGCTTAGAGGCTTTGCTTAAATAATGTTTTAACAAAGAGCCATAAATAGTACATAGTGTCAAGACAAAAGAGAGAGACATTCCCGTCTTTGAAAAGGCGGGAGAAAGTGGAAAATAGTAGAATCTATTTCCAGATTCCTCTGGTGCCTCCTGCTGCCTTCTCTGGGCCAATAAGCAAGTGTCCAGTAAGGAAGGATTTATGTCCTGCTGTCAAGCAAATAGAGGCTGAGGCAGAGTGTTCCCCTGCATTTTTAGTGTTTTTAACTTAGCAATCCTCAGTGTTTTGAGGAGAAATGTTTTGGTTTCCTTCAACTGTAACAAGCAAGCTCCAAATCTCAGTGGTTTCACATAACAAAGTTTTAATTTTTTCCTCTGTATCACAATGCAGTAAAGATGGGGATGTAGTATGGTATGAGAGACTGGTCCACACAGTCACTGAGGGATCCAGGTTCCTCCCATCTTGTGGCTCAGCTACCCTCTAGGACTTCAGAGTTCTCTCCTAGATCCTCTGCATCTAGCCAGCAGACAAATAAAGAGAGACTATGTATGATCTCACAGAAGATTTAAGAAGGCAGGCCTGGAAGTGGTGTGCAACACTTCCAGCCACATTTCACTGGCCAGGACTAATTGCATGGTCCCATCTAGATGCAAGGGGGTGGGGAAATGTTGTCTAGCTATGCCCACAGAAGGAGCAGAGCACCCAGATATTGGTGGGCCCTAGCAGTCTCTGTCTCAAATTCCCAATTGGCTCATTCTTTTCAATGTTTTGAGTTCATTCTCCCTCATATACTCCCAGATAGAGTATATGATTACCCACTCATTAATCTATACCAGGTTCCTGGCCAACCTGTAGTTGCTTCATCACAGGCTTCTGTTCTCAAAGCTGCCATGCCACATGTGACCAGGCAGAGGCTGAGTTTTCTGTAGCAGTAGGAAACACGTCTGCAACACACTGTCACCTGGGGGCGGGGAGGGGAAGACCAAGCAGCATTCTCTGGGCATCTCACCTCCACCTTCCATCATATAGTCATACCCCAGCATCATGGGTCATTTTATAAAAGCAACTTCCCCAGCTTCTGTTGTTCACCCTTCTTTCTTAGAAGAGCTCAGAAAACTGTCCATGGAACCAGAGAAGGGCACAGCCCCCCACATCCCTTCCAATGAGACCTAGAACTCCCCAACTCTAGGCATCACGTCTCCCTCTCAGTCAGAGCAAAAGATTCCAAAAAGAAAAGATTCCAAAAAAGAAATCAAATATCTGTGGGCCTGTGGGCCTCAGCAGGTCACCAAACAACCCAGGACCAGTCTGAGTTTCCTTGTTTAGGCTCAGCAATGGTCATCTCATAAATGATCTGTAATGTCCTTCATTACAGATGGAGAAAAAAATGCATGAGTGCATGAGGGTGGTTTATAACAGTGGCAGCATACAGAGCGACCTGGCAGCTTTGTGGCCACACAATGATGGCTACAGTATGAGGAAGAGAGAACAGGGCTGGCTTTGGCATAGGAACCAAGGGGAAACGGCAGATCCCAGGGGCGTTCTTTAGGAAACGGCAGCAAGCCTGCTGATAGATGAAATGCATCGGAGTCCTTGGCAAAGTGGTTTCTATTGAATCTGAAATTGTTTGGGCTCTTTTGAAAATACTGGTGTTAATCCAAGTCTGTTGTTGCCACTGCATTTTCATTTCCTCTTCTCTCTTATATTTCTTGTTGCTTACATTAGTCCTGAATGGTTTACCTGCCATTTTTTACATAAGCAAATATTTTTAACCTCAGTGAGGTCACATCCTAACATTATTAACAGACCTTTTGTTCATTTTGAGTAAGAGAGAAAACTCCATTTTTCACATAGATCTTCATTAGACTTGAATAGAAAAAAAATGATTTGGTTTTCTCCTTTAAGATGTATTAAGCATCATATAATGCTACCATTCATTGGGGGTTCAAGTGATTTTGATGGAGCAGTGAATGAAGGGAACATCCACCCCAAACTGCTCCTCTCTTTATCCTTTGCCTTTTATTATCCTCCTTCCACACTACTGCCCCCAAAGAAAGTCACCCCACAAGTCAGTGAAAATCTGCCGTGGAACCTTCCTGAAATGGCACAGAGTCTATTCTCTTGCTCCATGGCAAATCTGTCATCCAGCAGTTGGTCATTTTTCCTCACCTATATAATGAAGCTTAAGATTTATTACAAACTTGGTCCAAAGCCTAATTTCTGTTCATAAAACCCTGTCATTCTTGGATGAACTATGCTGTTTTAGGGCCAAGATTGTAATGAAACACTGGCTTGGCTGTTCCCAACGGTGGGATTTAGGAAATCTAAGAGATGCTGTCTTCAACAGTGAACAAAGAGGTTTAGATCACCTGGAATCACTGGCTCTGAGCTGTTGGTGGAGTTAGCCTCCTTTTGTCCACAATGCTCACATTTCCAAGCCTGGATCCTCACATCTATTGAACAACTCATCTTGAGATGGGTCCCATGCCCTTATTTCAGATCTTTTGAAATTAAGTGGAAAGGAAGTAATCATCTTCCTTCCTTATCCTGCTGCCTTGGAACAGTTTTTCACCTCACAGCAGCAAATCTGTGGCAGCCACTTACTTCATTCATCTCCAGATGGGTCCCTTTATCTATAAATGTGTTACTGTAACATTTTCTAGACCATAAATGGCTGAAGACATCAGACAGAGCTGGCATAGAATGTAATAAAGAGTAGGGATTTTGCTTTATTCAACTTTATATGTTCTGTAGGCCTCAGTACCTAGTGGGTACTAAATAGCAGGTGGATGAAATAATGTAATAATGAATTTGCTACTGATTTTTCACCTGGAAAGACATTAAGGCACTTTACACAGTCTCCACCATCTTTTAGGGTTTTGAAGTTTGTGCTTGTATTTCAAAAAAGAAATCATAAATAAAAGAAACAACTTGGACCTTAGACAAAGCCAGAAAAACTCAGCTCTGAAATAAGTCGTGGCAACAACCCAGCCATTGATTTCTTTACCTGGAAATTTACAGGAATAATGAGTTGCTGCCTCCATAATGATTGCAAATTGCTGCTTCTCAGTCACTTAGCTTAGACAAGCTAATATTTTCTCTAACCCCAAACCAAGATGGTCAGAGCCACAGAACAATATATTGTAAGAAGAGAGGTGTGCCACACAACATTCCTTAAAGCGTGTTCCACCTAGCAGCATCACTGGGACCTATCAGGGTCAGAGTGTTCAGTGGCCAAGTGAATTTAGTTCACATCGCATATTATAAATACCCCCATCTTGGACATGTATGATGATGCACTGTTGCATATTACAGACTCTGAGAAGTTGACCTGCTAAAGAGATTTGATCACAGAATCCTATTTTCAAATAATGTCTATTACCTTTGGACAGAAGCTACTTTAAGAAAACACTGCTCTGCCCTGAAGGTCATCAATACCATTTTCATAAAGGTGAAGCAGGGATTTGCAACCTGCAATGTGTTTGTGCCAGAAATGGCATGCAGGCCCCTGGCTACCAATACATATTCCCTTCTCATGAAAGGTGACCCTGACCATCTGCCGTAGGAGTGTAGGCCAGAAGGACCACAAAGTAGGAAGCTTGACAAAGGCTGGCAACCCTGAGGTACAGCCAATAAGCCCCGGCTCAGGTTGAGTGTGCACTCATTCCTAGAGTTACAGCAACGTTCTGTTGGTCAGGCTGGACCCTTGGCCAGCCACAGGAATGGGCCACAGCCCTGGAAGCACATCTGACACTTACATCAGGGGCAGATCAGAGACTGGTGCATTTCCTGTAAATATTGGATTTGGGAAAATATTTGTGTTATTTGCTGTTACTTTGAAATAAGTCTACAACCTGTTAGACTAGATGGGGAAATATACATAGTTTTCACTATAAATTTCAAATAGTCTTACGGAGTCCTGATAAGATAAGTAAGCAACAATGAGGAAGGAGCCCCAGGTTGGGGAGAACAATGACCAATTTTTCTGAGAGATGGCTAGTCACAAACAACTGGTGGGCACAATGACATTGTTCCACATGTAGCCCCCTTCAGCATGACCCTATAAAACTTCCCTCCAGCCCCTGCCTATTTGCAGACAGTCACTTCTCTGTTGTGCTGCTCATTGCAACCTTGCAACGTATTTTCATAGCTTCTCTAATAAATCTGCCTTTCTTTATCTACAACTGTCTTGGTAAATTCCTTTATGGCCCATGACACCAGCCCCAGCTATTCGCACCTACAATATTTCTTTGGCTCTTACAGGGACCTCTCTCCCCTTTCCCTTTCTCTCTTCCAACTGGGGACCCTTCGTGGACAGCACACAAAAACAGAAACAACTGACAGTCTCTGGCAGGGCTATACCCTGATGAAGCTAGAAGGTGTCCATGTGGAAGCATCTTACCACCATCACCTGATCAGATGAGGGACCTTAGTTCAGTTTCTCCTTTTCAGTCTTCCAGCAGCCAACGTCTAGTATCCCTTTGTCAACTTACAGTAACTGGTCAGGGCTGCTCTCTGGTGTTGCCTGAAGTCCAGGGGGTAAACAGGGTTGGCTGTCTTTCCCAGAAGGGAATAAGGCTCTCTCTTATCCTTTCTAGTCAAAAGCCCCCAATCCTTACTTATAGCATGATTGGTGGTGAAAGCTCAACCAAGACAAACCTGCACATGTTCTGGGGAACTCGGACCACCTCTTTCTCACTCTAAATTCTCCCATGAAGACAGCCAGACTTCCTGCTCCAGGTGTTCCCAAATCAGGTGATCTCAAGTGGCCACAGAGCAGTGAGTCTCCCCATTCCTCTCCCCTCTTCTAGGTTGCTTTCCAGCTGAGTTCTCCCTTCACCCTCATTCCTCATGCCTGGACTGGCCATACAGCGTAAGGCCCTACGCCAGGAGATCCTTCCTAATAGGTGGGACACCCCTCTAGGAATGCATCTGAGAAGTCCCCCAGTGGACTTGAGTGGAACCCCTTTCTTCAGTGGGATGCCTGCCCCAAGAGAAAGTGCGACTTGTGTCCCACTCTAGTAGACATCATCCTCAGTTGCTTGTCGTTTTCTAGTCTCACCATGGGACAAACCCCATCTTTTCATTCAGAGCCACCTCTGGGTTACATTCTAAAACATTAGGATAAATTTAATCCTCAGATTCTCAAAAAGGAGCATCTAGTTTTCTTGTGTAACACAGCATGGCCCCATTGCAGGAAGTCCTCAAATTAGCCTCCTCAGTTTTTTATAACTGAGAGCAGAATAGGGAGGACAGGGCTAAGAAGAAAGAAAAACAAAGGGACAAGAGGCAGGCTCAGCTGCTGGCTGCTTTACAAGCCCCCAGCCCCTTCCAGGTTGCCCTAAGAACATCCCTCCAGGTAACTGCCACCAGTGCAGAAGGCCAGGCCACTGGAAAGCAAACTGACCCAAAGGAATAAACGGAAAAAGCCCTCTGTGTCTTGCCCCCTCTGTCACAAGCTTGGCCACTGGAAACAAGACTGCCCTGAGAGCTGAAGTGTCCCTGGGACAGAATTCCAACCTCTGATGGCCCTGAGAGAAAGGGGCTCTCTGCTCCAGCTGGCTTCCAAATCAAACATTATCATCAACAAGACAAAGCCAAGGACAACCCTAGAGATGGAAAGTAAAATGATAAATTTCCCTTTTGGGTTCAAGAGCTGCCTACTCTGTACTAATCTCCTTCTCTGAGCAACTCTCCTCCAAATCCTGTTGGGTAATTGGAGCAAATGACACCCCCTCCCTCCAAAAGAAAAGATTCACATTTCTTTATGTTACTGAAGGGTCCAATTACCATTCTCCCAAGTCCCCAGTAATGTCTAAATACTTCATACCCCTTTGGGACGGAAATATACTTTCCAAGATGGGTGCCTGCTTTAATATTTGCCCAACCTCTGCATTCATCTTTCCCTCTAATAGTCCTATTTCTCCCAGGAAAGCTACCTAAATCTTTAACCAATAACTTCAACCTAAATAGTCCTACCTAACTCAGGGTTTTAAAAATAGCTCACACTTATTCAGACAAGTCCTAGCAAGAATCTAACCCAACAATTTCTTGAGGGGGGATAACCTACAGTATGTAGATCACCTCCTCATTTGCTCCCCCTTCATGGACAATATGTATTAACACAGCAATATGCAGTACAAACCTTAACTTCCTAACAAAATAAAATAATTTTTGTCTAATTCAAAGGTTATTTAAAGGTTTTATATTAAACAAGATCAAAGGAATCAGGAAATAAGAGAGACATAAAAAAGTTATAAAAGTAAAGAGGTATTTTTTGGTAAGGAAGGTTGTAGAAAAGAGGATTTATATAAGAAAGGATCTTGTATGGTAAATTCTTGGCCTAAAGTAAAATGACTGGTTGTTTTAAAAAGAGGGATGTTTAGGACAAGACAGAAAGTCCAAGTGTGTCATAGATGGTCTGCATAAGTCATGAGAAAATCTATGAATGGAAATTTATAAAAGGAATATTGTATGTAATTAAGGTATAGTAGTCTCTCTAAAATTGGTTCCCTATGCTGTGTCTAATTAAATTTAAACACTTTTTCATTGAGTTCAACTTCCAGGTTATCTAAATGGGCTTCCAATAAGGACAAACAGTCACACTGCAAAAGGTTTTTCTTTGCCTTTTTGGTAACTGGCTTAAGAAACAAAATTTCCCCTACTGGAATTGAGCAGTTTCACCTTCAAATGATGCTGTGAATGGAATATCTGTCTCACCCCAGGGATGCCTGCTACCTTTATGAATCTCCCCTGGATTCTGCAAGACACCAGTTTCACCTTGACATGTTCCCCCTTTGTGATGAGTCCCTTCCTCCAGCAAGATGCAATATCCTAAGTACCACAATCCGGGACAATGACCTACAGGGTCTCCTATCAGACCAACAACCATAGGTAGGGTCAATTCTACACCCCAGGCCAGCAGGAAGTAGTTGGAAGACGAGTTCTCTGCCCCAATGCCAAAGATTTGTCATTGTTTTCTCTTGGGGTGGAATGTAGGGTCCTGAAAGGTAAGCAACAATGAGGAAGGGGCCCCAGGTGGGGAGAACCATGAATAATTTTTCTGAGAGATGGCTAATTACAAACAACCCAAAGGCACAATGACCTTATTCCACATGTAGCCCCAGCAGCACAACCTTCTTCCACTTGTAGCCCCCTTCAGCACGACCCTGTAAACTCTCCTCCGGCCCCTGCCTCTTCGCAAGTAGCCCCTTCTCTGCTGTGCTGCCTATTGCAACCTTGCAACATACTTTCATATCTTCTCTAATAATTCTGCCTTTCTATACCTACAACTGTCTTGGTAAATTCCTTTATTGCCCATGACACCAGCCCCAGCTAGTCACACTGATGACAAGTCTCAGGGGTTATGCAGGCTTCTAGGGCAAAAACATGTGCCAGACACTGTTGTGTGAAACAGGGTCCCCAGTCCTGATTGCAGGAAGCTATTTTATCCTATTCAGTAGCAGCATGAGGTTCTCCTGGCATGGTCATATGCTTCATGATGTATTTTCTGATGTGTTTTTCTCCTCTGTCTTTCCACCATGTGTCCTTTCCGCATCAGTCAACTTGGCACAGTATCCTTGCCTCTGGGATAAGGAGGCACAGCGGAAAGTTGAGAAAACATTTAAAGAGTCAGTTCTTGGCTTTTAATTTCCAAAAGCCTAAGCCTTGGGAGCAATAGGAAAAACACAGGGCATGTGCATTAGATTTGCAAGAGTATCTGATGGGAGGACATAAAGTTTACCTCATCCCCCCTGCCCCCTGCCTCACCCAGACTAAAGTTCTCCCAGTTAGGTAAAGGACAGCAGAGAAGCAGCAGTGGTTGACACTGGTGGGTTGTGGAGAGGTACACCATGCCTGCTCCAGACTGAGACTCAGAGAGGGGCAGGCAGGAAGCCACAGTCTGAGAGAGCAGAGTGAGTGGGAGATCTGTGGAAGTGGCAAGATGGCAGAGCTGGGCTGCGGAACTTACCAAGTTTTCCATGACAGCAGTTGGCTCACATGTGCCCAAGGGTGGCACTAAACTAGCACAAAGAGCAGGGACAGAAGGGGTCACTCACCAGTGAATCAACAACCAAAACAGCAAATGACTACAATCCACAACCCAAGTCCCAAGCAGGGCCTCTGAGAGGTGCTCGACCACCACTGTATGATACACAGCATAGCTGGGCCCAGATCTCCTTCCAGACCTCTGGCCCTCGAAATTGGGACAGGTTTCCCTGCCTCCTGCTGCCCCCACCCAGCCCTGGTCCTAGGTCTCACATGCTGGTGCTACATGAGTCCTCTGGAACTCAGACAATCTCAAAAGGAGGAAGAGATGGGAGTTATGATGGAAATTAACTTCTGCTGAAGAAAAACGATATTTTATTTCATGCACACGTGTGTTTGTGGAATGAGATTTATACTTAATATGATTGACTAGCAAATAATTTAATCCTAAAGGTATGGTTTATTCCAATGAATGGTGACAGAAAAAAGGGTCTAGCTTCACAGAGCTCATGGATAGACACACATGCACACAACACATATAAATATACACACTGGTACACACATAACCCCTACACACCTGTACAAACACATGCACTAGAGACAGAGACACAAAGACATGTACAGCATCTCACACTCATAGACACATACACCACACATACATACACACGCACACCATACACACACACACCACAGTGACATACCACACACATATATACCATATATATGTGTATATATATATATACACACATATATATACACAAATATGTTTACTACTTTACACCTACTTAGCTTGTCTACACCACCCATAGCCTGATGGTTTCCTCACTACTCGAAGTGCTGTGGGCTTAATTACCATCTACTATGGGTGCTGAATTCGTGTCACATGTCTTTGATTATCCAAATCTGATCTCAACTCCACTGGAGCAGAGGCATTGCAGTCTCTACAGAGACTTGTCTTGTTATTTCTCCCATATCCTTGTTCTCAATCCTTCGATGACTTTCAGCTTGACCCATGAACATAGGCATAGCTGAGACCCCTTTCGGGCCACGTCAGCACCCTAGGGATGATAAGGTGATGATATGGAAGGAACCTGAACCTCTGACTACTTCACAGTGCCAGCATGGACTTTCATATGAAAAAGAGCTAAACTTTCCCATCTAAGCTACTGCTATTTGGGGTCTCTGTTGAAGCTGCTAATAATATATCCCAATTAATACAGTACTTGAATTTTAATGTTTTTTGTGAATCAGAGAGAAAGCCTTGGTCCCACATAAGATGAAGAATGAGAATTGAAACCCCCTTATGAAACTGTCACTCCGCAGAGCTATATACTTAACAAAACAGTTAGCTAGGGTAAAATCCATTCATCAGCAAACTGAGACAACAAGGAAACTTGTCTGTTTTTGTCCTACTTTGCATGGGGAAAATGTATTCCATGATCGTTCCTAACCACACGCCCGCTTCCATTTTAGGACTTGAAATTTACATTGCTTGCACGATATGGTAAAAGAAAAGAACATAAAACTTGGTTCTAAGCCTGTAATACCCCTGAGACATTAGGCAGAATCAAAAGCAGAACCACCCTGGAGGGCCACATCTTCAACCCAGACCATGTAGATAAAGCCTGACTAAAGTGAGATTACAAACCATATAAGAAAACAACCCACCAAGAACAAGAGTCAGCATATGGAGCAAAACATACAGGAAAGGGCTCTCTGGTCTTCAGCCAACACCAGTCTCTGATGTTACACTTTTTCCCAAGCCCATGGCTCTCATGCCAATCTCAGGGACAGGGCTCTTTGTCAAACTGGGACCCTGGTGTCTGGGCTTTAGTCTCTAAGTGCACCAGACACATGCCCCTGTGAAGTCCTGCTGTCAAACCCAGGAACTCAAATGGAGCATGGCATATCCCTTCTTGGGACTACATTCTGCAGGCCCTTTTCCTGTCTTGGGAGAAAATGTCACACACACACACACACACACACACACACACACACACACACACACACGTGCACACACACACATCTCATTTGGGTGATTTAACTCTTACAGGACTCAAAGTCCTTTTTGCCACTCCTACTCTAATTCTTCTGCAGTGGATACAAAACAAAAAGTGATATCAAAAATTATCTTGTAACCAAAGAAGGTATTTTCAGATGCTTTAGAAAGGGTATAATCTCCTAGAATTATTAGCTTAGACAGAGAAGCGACTTCCAAAGTGGAGCCTTTCATTCCCTCTGCTCGATGTGGCCCTCTCCTTCCTTTTCATCCCAGCTCCTGCTGATCCTTCAGGATTCAGCTGAAGTGTCACCTCTTCCAAGATTTCCCAGACCCTGGGGTCGTGCTTAGACAACACTCAATAACAAGAATAAGAAGAATAATAAGAACAATAACCGGTATTTATGCAGCACTTACATTGTTGTGAGCTCTTTGTATATGGTACCTCATTTCAACCTCACAACAATTTTCTAAGATTGGTGAAATTACCATCTTCTTTTTATAGATGAGGAAACTGAGGCATACAATTAAATACATTGTCCAAAGTCAAACAGGAAGCATCATCATTGGGATCCAAACCTATATGGTTGGCCTGCAGAGGACTTCTGTCTGAGTTTGTGTTCTCCAAAAGTAGACCCTTGAGATTAGGGTTTGGGTGCAAATGCTCTATTTGGGAGGTGATCCCAGGATACCCAGGTGAGGAATAGGGGAGTGAGACAGAGAAAGGAGGAAAGCCAGCAAAAGGGTCCATCTATGGACAATTCAGCCCAACCTGCCAGGGACCTTCTGAAGGGTTAAGAAAAGAACACCTCTGAACTATTCCACCCGGAAGTAGGGGAGCTGGGGTGCTGAAACTCTAAATGCAATCCTTCATGGGTTAAAGATTTGTCCCTGAGTCCTAACCACTCAGCACTTCCAACCTGTCCTGTGGCTGGGTTGAGCACACACCTACACAGGACCTTGAGCTAGAAAGCCGACAATATTCATGAAAACTGTCTTCTGATGCCACAGGGGACGTCCAGGGTGGAGCTGACACAGATGAGCCAGGCCAGCAGCATGAGCTGCACCAGCCCCTCCCACATTACACTGTCCCGCCCCCTTGTCTTTCCTCTATTATAATGGCATTTATCAGATCATTGTGAAGTTGGTGGCCCAGGTGTCTGCTGTATTAATCAGAATTCTTGCTTGTAAGTCGAGAAAGCCTCAACTTCCATTAACTTAAACAAAAAAGTGACCTTGTTGGTTCCTGTAACTACAAAGTCAGACACCCAACCATCTAGGAGGAGTTACAGCTAGACCCAGGAACTCAAGCATCTGTCTACCCACCTTTTAGATCTCCTTTCCTCTGTGTTGGCTCTAATTTCAGGCAAGCTTTTTCCATGAGGCGGCAAAGGCAGCTCCTGACATCTCCAGGCTCACCCTGTTCTTATTTGCTGTTTCAGATGGCGGGTGCCTTCCTCATTAGCTCCACCAAAAGTCCTGGGGAAGGATTTAAATGGCTGAACTCAGGTCATGTGTCAATTTCTGAACCAATCACAATGGTCAAAAGGATTGTGATACTCTGATTAGCCAGGGCTGGTCACACCCTCCTCCTTGGAGCTAGCAGAGGTGACATTAGTGCCAATGAAACCACACTGACTGCAAGCAGGGCTATGCCGTAAAGAGATGATGGGCAGAAGCAAGCCTGCATCCATGATGCTTCTCCTCAGGGCCAGGCTGTTGTTTCCTCCATTGTACAGATGGCATCTGACTTCACTGAGTAGTCCCAGCTCCTCACCAGCACATGCACATGAAACATGCTTCCTCGACACTTGTTGAATGAATGAATGAGGCTCAGGAGCATTCTGAAGGGGAAATATCCACAGGTGTCTGAAAGGCTTTGTGAAGTTGTTATCATCCTGAGGTTAGGATTATTCCAGTGCTTGTCTTACTTGGCATAGGTGTCCTTCAAATGCAGGCCCACTCTACCTCCAGCCTGGTCTTCAGCCAGCCCTCCCACAGGCCCACGCTCCTCCCTCTCCCTGGAGCTCTTTCCTTGCCCTCTTTGCCAGCCTTGACCTCCTGGGCTCAGATGATCCTCCCACCTCAGCCTCCCAGGTAGATGGGATTACAGGTGCGTGCCATCATGCCCAGCTAACTTTTTTTTTTTTTTTTTTGGTAGAGATTAGTTTTCGCCATGTTGCCCAGGTTGATCTCAAACTCCTAGGCTCAAGTGATCCTCCCAAAGTACTGGGATTACAGGCTCAAGACACTGCGCCCAACTTCAGGGACACTTTCTATCTGTTCTCAGTTAGGACAAATCCCCCTGCTGTGGGCCCTCTGGGCACCTCATCCTTCCCCCTCTTCAAACTCATTATCTTATTATAATGACTTGTTTCATTATCTCTCTTCCCTGCCACACGTGGTAAGCTCATTGCGGTAGGGAACTCTGGGATGTTTTCTGACACCAGCAAATTTTCCAAGACCAGTAGGGTGTCCTACAATTCAATTCTGACACCAGAGTTAGTAACCCAGAGTTTGTGCAAACCCCACAAGTCAAGAGCTCAGTCTCACAAAACTATCCCTATTTCAGATGCCAGTCACGGGGCCCAGGCCACCCATATTTCTGACTGACCAGCTGTAAATCAGGGGTTCCCACAGCCCCTTCCCCCTGTTTCATATTGTTAAAGTGGCTCACAGGACTCAGAAAAATACTTTACTTACATTTGCTGGTGTCTGGGCCAAGGGAAAACTTACCCTTCGCCCTCTGAAGGTTCGCTGAAAATCACTGACAAGGTAGAAGAATAGGAGAAAAGGCATACAGATTTATTTGATCATCATTTTATGTGACCCTGGAGTCTTCAGGATGAAGACCCAAAGATACAGGGAAAATGGTCCATTTTTATGCTTAGGTTCAACAAAGTATGGAGAGTTATGTAAAAAAATATGATTGGACAAAAAGGGAGATCTGATGCTAATAGATTGAGTGAGGAAACCCAGCAAGGCCTATCTATCTAGATTCTCTTTGCCTCTCTGAGCAGCGTTCCTTCCTTCTGGGTGTGGGACAGGACCCTCTCTGGAATGGGAGTCTGATGACCTACAGTCAAACAAAGTAGGTCAGATCATTTCTTTATGGCCAGTTTTTACACAGAAGGGGAGGGAGAGTTAGAGTCATATTGTATTATGGCTGGCTTTGGGGAAATGGGGTTCTGGTTTCTATGACCCACCTTGTGGAAGAGGAATTTTAGTTTCTGGTATGGCTTGCCTCTGGGGAGAGTGTGACTGAGAGACAGGAGGGCAGAAGGTCAGAGAAAAACTTTTGCTTCTGAGGTGGCTTTGGAGGCCTTCGTTTTGGGGAATTGTTTTCTGAGTCCCAACACTGGTTAATTATAAAGGATACAAATGAACAGCCAGATGAAGAGGTGCACAGTGCAAGGTCCAAAAGAGTCCCATGCACAAGGGCGTCTGTCTCATGGAGCTGGGGAGTGCCACCCTCTCGGCACATGGCTGCATTCACCAACATGGAAGCTCTCCAAATCTCATTGTTCAAGAGTTTTTATAGAGCTCAATCTCCAGCTCCCACTTCCTCCCATCCCGGGAGGTGGGCAGGTGGGCTGAGAGTTCCAACCCTCTAATCACTCAGTCTTTCTGGTGACAAGCCACAAATACTCCTTCCTGGAAATCCCAAGGGTTTCAAGAGTGCTGTGCCAGGAACCATGGACAAAGACCAAATCTATTTAATGTAGCACAAGAAAACATTGACCACATTCACAGTTGTGCTCCTATGCCTAGCACAGTGCCTGGCACACAATAGGTGTGCAGTCTATATTTGCTAAATGAATGAATGAGCCAAAAAATGAACGCATTATTTCGTTGAAGTGTGGAAGAAATTCCCCCAGGCCCAGGGTGGCAGAGCTGAGTGCTTGCCTTGGAACCCACTTGAGTAATGAAAAACACCCGGTGCCAGTTTTCCAGGAGTGCCTTGGGTGGATCTGGAAGAGTGTCTGTCTTCACAAGAGAAATGGCTTTCTTTGTCAGCTCCCTGAATGACTGCCATAATGGCACCCCAGGGGAAGCAGCTGTCTTCAGGATAAATGGAACAAAGGCTGCCTTCTTTACAGACCAGCCCAGCAGCCCTCCCTCCTCCTCCTGGGAAAGGCAACCTCAGGTGGGGCTTCAAGGAACTCTGTGCTGGTGTCAAAGGAAGCCCCCTGAGAAGCAGCCTCCTACTAAATGAGTCACTGGAAAAAGAAACCTAAACCCACTGGAAAGCAAAGTTAAATGGGATTGTGCAGTCCCAAAATGGAACAGAACTTCTTCCCCCACTCCCTTTCTTTTCCTGAGGAATAGGTTCCCAGAAATATTGAATAATATGGTCTGGCTCTGTGTTCCCACCCAAATTGTATCTTCTATTATAATCTGAATTGTAATTTTTATGTTTTGGGGGAGGGACCTCGTGGGAGGTGACTAGATCATCGGGGTAATTCCCCCATGCTGTTCTTATGATAGTGACTGAGTTCTCATGAGATCTGATGGTTTTATAAGGGGCTTTTCCCTGCTTTGCTCTGCACTTCTCCTTCCTGCCACCATGTGAAGAAGGATGTGTTTGCTTCCCCTTCTGTCATGATTGTAAGTTTCCTGAGGCTTCTCCAGCCATGCTGAACTGTGAGTCAATGAAACCTCTTCCCTTTATAAATTACCCAGTCTCTGGTATGTCTTTATTGGCAGCATGAGAAAGGACTAATAAAGTAACTTGCTACTGGTAGTAGTGGGGTGCTGCTGTAAAGATACCCATAAATGTGGAAGTGACTTTGAAACTGGGTAACAGGCAGAGGTTGGAACAGTTTGGAGGGCTCAGAAGACAGGAAGATGTAGGAAAGTTTGGAACTCCCTGGAGACTTGTTGAGTGACTTTGACCAAAATGCTGATAGTGATATGGACAATGAAGTCCAGGCTGAGGTGGTCTGAGATGGAGATGAGGAATTTCTTGGTAACTGGAGCAAAGGTGATTCTTGCTATGCTTTAGCAAAGAGACTGGCAGCATTTTGCCCCTGCCCTAGAGATCTATGGAAATTTGAACTTGAAAGAGATGATTTAGGGTATCTGGTAGAAGAAATTTCTGAGCAGCAAAGTGTTCAAGAGGTGACAAAGCATAAAAGTTTGGAAAATTTGCAGCCTGACAATGCAATAGAAAAGAAAAACCCATTTTCTGGGGATATATTCAAGCCAGCTGCAGAAATTTGCATAAGTAACAAGGAGCCAAATGTTAATCACCAAGACAATGGGGGAAAATATCTCCAGGGCATGTCAGAGACCTTCAAGACAGCCCCTCCCATTAGAGGCCTGGAATCTTAGGAAGAAAAAATGGTTTCATGGGCAGGGCCCAGGGCCTTGGGGCTTTGTGCAGTCTTGGGACTTGGGACCCTGCATCCCAGCCGTGGCTAAAAGGGGCCAAGGCACAGCTCAGGCTGCTGCTTCAGAGGTTGCAAGCTTCAAGCTTTGGCAGCTTACATGTAGTGTTGGGCCTGCAGGTACACAAAAGTCAAGAATTGAAGTTTGGGACCCTCCACCTAGATTTCAGAGGAGTATGGAAATGTCTGGATGTCTAGGCAGAAGTTTGCTGCAGGGGCAGAGCCCTCATGGAGAACCTCTGCTAGGGCAGTGCAGAAGAGAAATGTGGGGTGGGAGCCCCGACACAGTCCCCACTGAGGCACTGCTTAGTGGAGCTGTGAGAAGAGAGCCACTGTCCTCCAGACCCCAGAATGGTAGATCCACCAATAGCTTGCCCTGTGCACCTGGAAAGGCTGCAAACACTCAACATCAGCCCATGAAAGCAACAGGGAAGGGTGTTGTACCCTGCAAAGCCACAGCGGCAGAGCTGCCCAAGGCCATGGGAGCCTATCTCTTGTTTCAGTGTGACCTGGATGTGAGACATGGAGTCAAAGGAGATCACTGTGGAACTTTAAGATTTAATGACTACCCTATTGGATTTCAGACTTGCATGGGGCATGTAGCCCCTTTGTTATGGCCAATTTCTCCCATTGGGTGGGTAGACAGATGCTTGAGTTCCTGGGTCTAGCTGTAACTCCTCCTAGATGGATGGGTGTCTGACTTTGTAGCTACAGGAACCAACAAGCTCACAGTTTTGTTTGGGATGAATATATTTACCCCCATTGTATCCAGGAAGTAACTAACTGGCTTTTGATTTTACAGGCTCCTAGGCAGAAGGGACTTTCCTTGTCTCAGATGAGACTTTGGACTTGGGCTTTTGGATTAATGTCGGAATGAGTTAAGACTTTGGGGGACTGTTGGGAAGACAAAATTTTGCTTTGAAATGTGAGAAAGATGAGATTTGGTAGGGGCAAGGGGCAGAATGATATGGTCAGGCTGTATGTCCCCACCCAAATCTCATCTTCTATTGTAATCCGAGTTGTAATTTTCATGTGCTGGGGGAGGAACCTCGTGGGAGGTGATTAGATTATGGGGGTGGTTTCCCCCATGCTGTTCTCATGATAGAGTGAGTTCTCATGAGAGCTGATGATTTAATAAAGGGCTTTTCTCCACTTTGCTCTGCACTTCTCCTTCCTGCCACCATGTGAAGAAGGACGGATTTGTTTCCCCTTCTACCATGATTGTAAGTTTCCTGAGGCTTCCCCAGTGATACTGACCTGTGAGCCAATTAAACCTTTTTCCTTTATAAATTACCCAATCTCAGGTATATCTTTATTAGCAGCATGAGAACAGGCTAATACACTGGAGTAGAATGGAATAAACCCAATTCCAACTACAGTCCCTATTAGGACCATAATAATAATTCTCTTCAGTCACTTTCTCATCTGTTCTCTAATTTTTTTAAATAATTAAAGATAAGCATATTGTTTTTGTTATTGCCAAAACTAAAAAAGCATGACTACCAATAAAAATGAGAAGCCTAGATTTTATTTCATTGACCGTAATGCTCAAAGGATTATAAAAATAAGACATATTGGTATTTAAAGCATACACAATTTGAATGTATTTTCATCAAATAAATTAAATTAAAATAAATATTTAAAAGTCCCCCAATCTAAAACTTTAGTGCTTTCAAATGCGTATTTTTCTTCTAAAAATTCAAAATTTATCTTTAAAATTAAGAGGCAAAATACAAATTATAATACATGAATATCTGCTATGATCTGAATGTTTGTATCCTACCAAAATTTATGTGTTGAAATCTAATCACCAAGCTCATATTATTAGAAGGTAGGGACTTTGGGAGGTGATTAGGTCATGAGGGCTCTCACAGTGAGATTTGTGACCTTATAAAAGAGGTGTGGGAAGCTTCTGAGCCCCTTTTGCCCTTCTACCATGTTAGAACCCATAGAAGGCACCATCTGTGAAGAAACAGGCCCTCAGCAGACACTGAGTCAGCTGGTATCTTGGCCTTGGACTTCCCAGTCTCCAGAACTATGAGCAATAAACTTCTATTGTTTATAAATTAAACATTCTAAGGTATTCTGTTATAGCAGCCTGAAATGGACAATGTCAAATATTTAAATAAAAATTATTTAAATGAAATCATTTTAGGAAAATAACACCCTTCACAATTCTACTGTTCAACGTCCATCTAGTTGCCAATAAAGAAAAAAGCATCACAATTCATGCATGTTATACAATGACCTCCATAAAAAAATTTTTCAAGTAACATGAGTTACTTAATATTGCAAAATGGTCCCCAGTTGCCACGCACATCTGTGTACTTTGCCAATCTGTGAGCACCCCCAGATCCAAAACCAGGAATTGAAACTCAAAGAGGGCAAGGATGCCTGCCTCCACTGGGAACTGATACTTTGTTATGCAAGAATCTACTGTAGTTTATGCTGTTTGGGGGAAGGGTTTGACAAATTACTTGATTTGTCATTTCTGTTTTCTGAGTACTTATGCCGCTCAAATTCTCCAGACCCAAGGCCTTGCTGGCCCAAGTGAACAATGGCAGAAGTCCCAAACCTTCCTGGCACCCAGAGGTAGTCTCTTTGGTCTCAAGGACACAAGGCAGATGTGATCTGGGGCCTGAGGCCTGAGGAGTACTGGTCACAACAGTGGCTATTCAAGGACATGAGTCACACTCTTCTAGTGCCAATCACCAAATAGAACAGCCATGTGTTCTTTAACACATTTATTTTTGTGTGGTTTGCGATACTGGGGCCTTCTAAAGCAGGAGTTGGCAAACTTTTTCTGTAAAGGGCCAGATTGTACATGTTTTTAGCATTGTGGTCCATAGGGTTTCTATTGCAACCATTCAGTTCTGCTGTTGTAGTGCAAAAGCAGCCAAAGACAGCTTGTAAATGAATGAGGGTGACGGCGTTTTAATAGAACTTTATTAACCAAAGCAGGCCAGATTTGGTCCAGTTGGTTGGCCCTTGTTGTAACTAACACACAAGACCTTTGGTGGGGGTCTCTCTTGCTTGTATCTAAACACAGTTCTGACTTTTTCATTTTTATAATTCTGTAATCTAAAGGATGAGATCCAAAAGAAATAGAAAACCTTTATGTTCCTCAGCTAAACTTCACCCAGTTTTTCATAGCTGTGATGAGAATGCTAGTCTTCCTAGTTGTGTGACCTTGGGAAGTTACTTAAATCCTCTCACCTTCAGTCTCCTCATTTGTGAATGGTCTACTTGCTCTATCTAGCTCCCTCAGGAGATTGTTGAGAAAGTAAAAATAACATCATGATGATGAAGATAATGATGATGGTGATGATAATGCTTCTCATTTGCAAAGTGCTTTTTAGTTTTCCATTTAACCTTTATAAGAATCTTATGAGATAGTATCAACCCCATTTTCAAATGTGTGGAAACAGGCACAGAGAGCGTTAATAGCTTGTTGAGAACTACCAACTGGTAACCAGCAAAACAGGTCTCAAAACCAGGGCTCTTGAATCCCAGTGTCAGGCCACTTTTATTTCAACTATGCAGAGTCTTTATGTAAAATATGAAGTACTATGTAAACCCAGTCCTTTTTGAAACACTATTTTATGCATCTTGGACGTGGGACACATTGGACTATAATTGTCCTAATATTTAAACTTTACCATAGACATTCTTTCAAAATGCCTGTGACACATTTGAGTCATTACTGAACAAACACTATTTATCCCTGTATCTTGGGTTACGCTGATAGGAACAGAAAACATGCCAGCTTTATTAATTTCTTCCCATATGGGCTTTTTCATTTGGCTGCCAATGAGCGAGCTCATTGCCAACTCAGCAGTGAGTTACATTAACATGGATTCCTCTATTATCTTGTCCAAAAAATGGCTCTCACCTGTACAGGTGCAACATGTACTTTAAGGAGGACACTTAGGAAGCTCTCCTGTGTTTGACAGGGCTCAGTGGTTAGACTTGATACTGCATCATGTGTTCACCATGGCTGTTTACTAAATGGTGAAAATTTTGCTATTGTAGATTCTAAATCAAAGTTGAATCTCTTTCATTTTGGTGGGATTACAATTTGTCAAATAGCTCTTGTGTTATGGTTTGGATCTGTGTCCCCACCCAAATCTCCTGCTGAATTGCAATCCCCAATGTTGGAGGAGGGGCCTGATGGGAGGTGATCGGGTCATGGGGGTGGTTTTTCGTGATTTAACACCGTCCTCCCCTTGGTACTGTCCTCCTGACGGTCAGTTCTCATGGGATCTGGTTGTTTAGAAGTGGGTAGCACATCCCCTCTCTCTCTCTTGCTCCTGCTCCAATATGTAAGACGTGCCTGCTTCCCCTTCACCTTCCACTATGATTGTAAGTTTCCTGAGGCCTCCCCAGAAGCAGAAGCAGCTATGCTTCCTATACAGCTTATAGAACCATGAGCCAGTTAAACCTTTTTTCTTTATAAATTACCCAAGCTCAGGTGTCTCTTTATAGCAGTGTGAGAACAAACTAATACATCTTGACACTGGACTGTTTGACATTTAAGGTTTGGAAATGTTTTCTATTTTTTTGTTTGTACAATAAAGGACATAATAAGAGTAGTGTCCATGACTAATTAAAAATGCGATTCTGACTGGCTCAACCCCATGAGCTCTATGCTTCCTTATATTTTCACGTAACTGTTCTCTCACAATGCTGCTTTTTGTCACATGATTCTACAATATTAATCTCATAAAGCTGTGCTGCCTAACATGGTAGTCACAGATCACACATGGCTATTGAAATTTAAATCAGTTAAATGTGAAAAGTCACTTCCTCTAGCCAAATCTGAAGAGCTCAATAGCTATATGCAGCAAGACACTAAACTGTATTGGGTAGCACAGATATAGAAATTTCTATTATTCGAGAATGTTCTATTGGATGGCACTGTACAATGGATTTAGAAACTAAGACTGACCCACTTACTTTCTTCTTTTAAACCACCCATACTAAGATCAAGACTCCCAGCAACAACAGGTACCATTACATGTCATGTGCCACGCACTGAACTAAGCCCTTAGTGTATATTATCTCATCAAATCTTTGTAATAAGCTCATGTTATCATTAAGATTTATTTAGAACTCGAAGCTCACATAGTAAGAGGCAAATTTGAACTTTGAACCCAGGTCTTTCTGGCTCCAAATCCTAAGCTCTTCAACAGTCAGCTATACCAACTCCTCCTTCTTCTCCTCCTCCTCCCCCACTAACTCTGATGTAGGCCTGGCCAGGCAATCAGGGATAACGCCAAGGCTAAATGCCATGCTGTACCCTGCCAAAAGCAAGGGCAGAGCTGGGCACGAGTAGGCAGCTTGAATCATCTTGGTGGGGGTAATTCAGTCCCATCTAATTTTGGGACAAAATGAAAGCTGTGTTCTTCATAACAAATGACTGAGACTTTTCACAAACTGGATAATTTTCCAGTGGAAATACCCAAATAAGAGTAATCACTAGTAGATCTGTTAAGATTGGTGAGTAAAATTTGACATTAACCAAAAGAACTGAATGCATTGGCTTATTATTATTATTCTCTTCATTCTTTTCTTTTTGAAAGTGCTGATTTCATTCCACACATCCCATGTGCCAGCTATTATTACATTTCTGTGTTTCAAAAATTTTCTCTGGGCCAATTCGGAGAAGGCTGGCTCCTGCCCCTCATTCAAAGCAAACAGCCCGTATGTCTCCCTAAATGTTGAGCTTTTACTTTGAAGCTTAAATTTAGTCTTGTTTTTTAATGTAAACAAATCTGCAGATTAGATGGCAGAAATGTGTGTCTCTAGGAGACAGCCTATAGTGTTTCTTTAGCTCGTTGTGAAAACTCCATGTTTCGCACCGATCATGGATTTCTTACTACAGTCTTTCTATTCTTCCCTCCCTTTTTCTTTCCTTTTTCCTTCACATGTGCTATGGTTTGGATATAGTTTGTCCTCACCAAAAGTGATGTTGACATTTGATTCCCAGTGGGGTAGTGTTGGGAGGTGAGGCCTAGCAGGAGGTGTTTGGGTCATGGGGGCAGATGCCTTACAAATACCTTGGTGCTGTAACTGCAGTAGACAGTGAAATCTCATTCTGGGAAGGCTGGATCAGGAAAGGGATTCGTTCCTACAAGAGTGCATTGGTATCAAGCCAGGACACCCCTTGGATTTTGCCCCTTGGCGCATTTCCGCTTCCCCTTTGACCTTCCGCCATGTTGTGACGCAGCATGAAAGCCCTCACCAGCAGCTGAGCAGATGCCAGCTCTCTGTGTAAATCATCCAGTCTCAAGTATTCTCTTACAGTAACACAAAGCAGACTAAGACAACACGGTTCCCTGAAACTTAGCTTCTCAGTTGTCTCCATTAGCACTTTTTAATAGGTCATAACTTTGCCAGAGTAAGTAAATCCAACTTGGAACAAGTCAGACTGAGGATTTTCCCCAAAATGAGTTTCCATAGAAATCATGGTAAGCCCATGAAAGAAAATTTCCTTGGAATTAAACAAAAATGCCATACAATTGTCAGGATCTAATTCAGCCTCATCAAACTTCATCTAAAAGCAACGGTGCTGGATGGCAGAATGGAGAACTGTGTGACCTCCCTCCCAGGACCATGGTTCTCTTGAACCTGAATATGTTATTTCAGATCCAATCATTAGACCATTTATTAAATATCCATCTGGCATATCAGACACACTGGGTAATTAGCAGTGATGAGTAAGAATACAAGAGCAGACCAATTATAAAACCTCCTCCTATTAGTCATATGGTTACCAATTATCACACGCAAGCCAAATCCTGTCCATAGTCAACATTCAAAAAATAAAATCTATTAACAAGGCAGGCTTTTAAGTTCATGATGTCAGGATTGTGCTGAACTGCACACATCAGAATGGAAATACATTAGGTCAACAGATAGAGTGAAAAATACAAGATAATAAGATCCAGAAGAGTCAGAACCAAAAGAGCTGGGACCTGACAGAACCATGTGGCCAAAGCTGAATGTCAAGATTTCACGACTTGGGCAAAATTGTTACTAAGCTTAATATTGTTGCTTTGAGGGGTCTGTAAGCTTTGAGGGTCATGAACCCTGTCTACTTTTACTCTCCCTCATATCTTCAGCACCAAACAGCCCCCACCTTATAGTACATATTCAATAAGCATTTTATAAACTAGTGACTACATGAATAATGAATAAAGTGAAATTTGTCTTTTTGACCAGCTTTTCTATCTTTTGTCACAAGCACTGTCTCTCTTGGTCAAATTCTTGAGATACCTTGCAGACTATGATAAGCAATGGCCTGTTACTCAAACCTTCCTGATTTGTTTGGTTGTTCTATTCTTCATCAAACCTCAACTACCTTAGAACCCTTTCTCTCAGAGCCAGTTCATTACATGAACTTATTTATGCTGGTTAATGAATGCAAATAAGTGGACCTATTCCTTATAATAGGCTTCCATTTTAACATTTTAACATCATGGTTAGGAGTGAGGACTTTGGAGTCAGACCTGGGTTGGAATCTGCCACTTAGTAACTAAGACCTGGAGCAAGTTACTTAGACTTTTAGTTTCCTCATCTGTAAAAGGATGTAAATAGTTCAATACCTATCTCATCGTGTGGTTATGAGCATTAAAAGCAGTCTCCACGTAGAATGCTTAGCACTTAGCTCACAGTAAATCATCAGTTCTCAGAGTGTCTTCCCACACTCCAGCATCACCATCACTAGTTAGTTATGTGTTAGAAATGCAGATTCTCGGCTCCACGCTAGCTTTTGAATCAGAAACTCTGGGGGTGAGGTCCATTAATCTGTGTTTTAATCAGGTTTCCAGGTGATTCTGATGTAAGCTAAAGCTTGAGAACCACTGTAGTAAATGTTAGCTGTAGTAATAATAATAATAATAAATTATAGCTAGCATTTATGTTATAATAATGTGTTGATATTGTTACTAATTTGACAGAGACCATCTAGAATACTACTTTAGTTGAGTTGTGTTCCATCCAAGTTCTGGGAAGCCTGGGGGCTCATGGAGTTATATTGGAGGCCACTGCAAAATGAGGAGGGGCAAATCACAAAGAGAGATCTAGGTTGTCCCCAGCCCTGCTTTGACAAGTGAGCTCAGCTTTATCAGTTTTATATACTTCCGTTCCGTTCCATTCCATGTTAAGTTTGCTTGACAAAAGAGTTCTGCTCTGAGATAAATCTTGAAAATCACTGCCTTCCCCAAAGTGCCAATGGGAATTGGACTGGACTATGAGAGGGAAACAGGGGACCAGAAGATTTTCCTGGGCTGCTCCCCACAAAGGATGATTAACGCCAGCCCTGCATTCAGATCCAAACTCCACAAACAGTCTCTGGGAATTGTGCTGGGCACGGTGCCTTTTGTCAGACATCATATTATTCAGTCCTTACAAGGTGTTACTTCCCCTTCTTTTCAGATGAGAAAATGAAAGTGAAAAGAAGTTAAGTAACTTGTCCAAGGTCACACAGCTAGTGGAGCTGGGACTAGAGACAGATCACATGATTCTGAGATTTGTTCTCATTCTCCAGGAATGGCTGCTGGTCATCCTGAGTGGCTAACAACACCCCCAGGGAAATCAACCCTAGGGTGCTGGACGGACTCTGCAGAGATGTCAGATCCCACTTTTGGACTAATGGACAGCAGGCAGCTGGCTTCTGCTCCACCATTTGCTCAGCACCAAGGCCTGGGACAACTTATTGGTTCCTTACAAAGTGAGTCATGGTCACAAAGAATTAGAAAGTCCTCAGATTTTGGAGTTCAGAGGGGCTTTTCTCTATGGGCAAGTCAGTCAGGCTAGGAAGATGGTCTCAATACACTAGATATGTAGGAGTAGGGAGCTATGAGTACAAGAATCCAAATGCCAACCCTGTAGCCATGCCAACCTATAACCAGATTTATTGCATGGTTTTAGGCAAGTCAAGTTTAGTCCTTTACACCTTGGTCAAAGGCCTAAGTAAATGGTCAAACCTTTTACTTGCCATCCTAGGTGAACTTTGTTTTTTTGTGGGGTTTTTTTTTTTTTTTTTTTTTTTTTTTTAGAGTTAGAGTCCTGCTCTGTTGCCCAGGCTGGAGCAGTCATGTGATCATAGCTCACTGCATCCTTGAACTCCTGGGCTCAAGCGATTTCCCCCCACCTCAGCCTCCTGGCTAGCTAGGACTGCAGGTACAACTGCCATGTCTGGATAATTTTTCATATTTCTTTGGTAGAGACGGAGACTTGCTTTGTGGCCCAGTCTGATCTTGAACTCCTGGACTCAAGCGATCCTCCCACCTCTGCCTCCCAAAGTGCTGGGATTAGAGGCATGAGCCATTATGCCTGGCCCCAAGGTGAACTTTAAAACCAAATTAAATAATATTGAGAGATCTTTAAGCTCCTTGGAAAGTTGCACCAGATAAATATTTTTGTCATTAACTGCAGTATTACTTATTCACTTATTAGCTCATTGCAGAAACGTTTATTAAGCACTTTCCATGTGCCAGGCATTATGCCAGGTACTGGGGATATAAGGGTGAACAAGACAGCTGTGGTTTTAGCCTTCTAAGAGCCTATGATTTGGTGGGAGCGGGAATCTTCGGGAATGGTCTGTCCTGTGCTGATTACACAGAAGTGCTATTAAGTATTTATTATGTTTTAGGCACAGTGCTAAGTGCCACACACAAATTAGTATTTCACTTTCTTCTCACACTGATCCTTTGAGGTAGGAAAAATGATGTCCACATTACAGAAAAGGAAACTGGGACTCAGAAAGTTAGAGTAACCTGCCAAAGTAAAGTTCACTGTTACTAAATGACGAGATCTAATTTTAAAACCATGCTGTTAGCCTCTATGTTATAGGTATTTATGTACATACATACCCATGTATAAGGAATATGTTTTTCAGTGCTTTAGAAGGATATATATGGCCTTTAGTAAGTTTTCAATAAATATTAATTAAATCAATATACAGTTTGGGGTCGAGCTAGAGATAGAAAGTCCCAGTTGAGGAGATGAATCGGGGTGCTCCTGGGAACTGGAGTAACTCTTCTGAGGAGCACTGAAAAGAGAGTCTACTCAGTGGCAGGCTGAGAAACAGGCTTGGGAGAAGAGGGGTGCCCGAGACTGAAGCTGGGTTGCCGAGAAGCCACAACACTGGAATCATCCCTGCGAGAAGTTTTCAGGGAGCAGTGGTGGCAGAGATGGGGCGAGAAGGCTGACACCTGCCATCTTTCCCAGCTGTCACTGCAGGGCACTTGGTTGATCAGGGACTGGGCTGTCTCCACTCAAAGGACTTGGGAGAAGGCAACTCACACAGAAGGCTGGTGAGGTGGTGGCTGGCTCTCTCCTGCTCCTCTGGCCCGCCTCCTTCCCTGCAGTGGCAGTGTTACATACATGGACAGTTTGCAGGTCTGGGTAGAGAGAGATGATTTACCTGTGGTCTCTGGGGTGCAGGACTGGTTTGAAAGGTGACAGGCATTTTTATCAGCTGCTTTTATAGACAGAACACTGTTCCTCCATTTATCACTTCAGCTTCTCAGCTTTAAATTGCATTCCGTTTTGGAAACCCATGCTAATTTGCAAGTCCCACTTTTCTATTGTTAAAACCAGATTACTCAACTTCCCTGGCTAAAAGAGTACTTAGTAGAGTCACATGAAGAAAGAACTATCATCGTTCCCTTTTTGTTCAGGCCACAGCAGAGCACAATCATGGAGGATCCAGGATTGCATAGAAGGAAGCAGCCAAGCATTGGAGGTCGACATGCCTGTGCCCAAATCCCACGTGTTATGTCCTGTGTGGGTTGACACTGGGATGGCTGGTGACCTGCTCCTTGTGTTCACACCCTGTGTAGTGGGGGTGCCTCCCAAGTGTGGGCTGGCCTAGCAACTTGCTTCTAACCAAAGGTGACAGGGTGTCACTTCTAAGATTAGGTTTCAAGAGATTGTAGCCTCCCTTACAAGCAGATTCTTTATTGCCTTCTCGGGTCACACACATTGATAAAGTAAGCAGGCCCATGTGGCAAGGAACTGACAGTGACCTCCAGCCAACAGCTGGCAGGAACTGAGGCCCTTGGTCTAACTGCTCAGATGGAACTGAATTCTGTCAACTGCGGAATGCCTTAGAGGCAGGTCCTTGCCCGGCTGAGCTTCCAGATGAGCCCCCAGCCCTAGCTGACACCTGGACTGCAGCCTCATAAGAGACCCTGAAGCAGAGGATTCTGCAGAGACACACCCAGATTCCTGAGGCACAGAAACTGTGAGATAATAAATGTGTTTTTGCTGTTGTTGTTGTATTTTCTTTTTCTTACCCTGTTGCCCAGGCTGTAGTGCGGTGGCAATCATAGCTCACTGCAGCCTCAAGCTCCTAGGCTCAAGCCTCAGCCTCCAGAGTAGCTGGGACTATAGGCACATGCCCGGCTAATTTTTTAAAATTTTTTGTAGAGATGGGGTGTTGCTATATTGCTCAGGCTGGTCTTGAACTCCTAGCCTCAAGTGATCTTCCTGCCCTGGCCTCCCAAACTGTCAGGATTACAGGCATGAGCTACGTTACTCGGCTCCAGTATGGGCTGTTTCAAGTTGCTAAGTTTATGGTAGTTTGCTAGACTCTAGTGGAAGATAAGACACTTCCCACCACACAACACTCAGTTTTCTCATCTGTCAAGAGGGCAGGATAATAGTAAAAGTGATGCTAATAATATATCTGCCTCTTGGGAATTAAATGAGCAACTGTGTGAAAGACTATACACATGTTGCAGTTGTCCTGGGTTGGAGCTTGAAGAATAGAGTGAGGGATGGGCGGAGTTACTCAGGAGTTGGCAGGGCTTCTCTGCAGCCATGAAGCTTGCAGAAGGGGGATTCAGACAGGACGTCAACGGAA
Organism: Homo sapiens; assembly: GCF_000001405.40. NCBI lineage: Eukaryota > Metazoa > Chordata > Mammalia > Primates > Hominidae > Homo > Homo sapiens. The sequence continues at coordinate 30,175,795 of NC_000007.14, read as the reverse complement.
GGCGAAGTTGGGAAACCCAGAGACCACCAAAGCAGTTCAGCCAGACCAAGCTGGACATTCAAAGGAAAAGCAAGGAGCAGTGCTAAAAATAAGACACAAGGAGTTTTTTATAGGTGCCAGTGATACCGGTGTGTAGGAAGAATCAGTTAGGACCCTATAGTTGTTTAGATTCGTAGCAGAAACTGATTTGTGTTAAAGACATTGGAATCCAGGGCTTGGGTGCCCACACACTTGGCTCTGGGCCCCACCCTATCTTATTAATGGGACTCTCCTCCTCATGCCCATACATCCTAGGGGACTTGTCTTCAAATGTGGTTCTCCAACCCGGATCTCCTTTCCAAACTGCAAACTCTTCAATCCATCTGCCTGCTCAGCATCTCCACTTAAGATTCTAATGGGCGCCTGACATTTAACACGTCCAAATCTGAATGCCTGGTATTTCCTGTGCACTCTGCTCCAGCTGCAGCCTTCCCCAATTCAGTCTAGTTCTGACAGCTTTACAAGAAACTGGGATGATAGAGGACAACAATAACCTTACAGTGTATATTGTAAAAAATGCAAAAATACAGATGTAAGTATATAGAGTACAGATGGTCTTACAATAGTTCAACTTATGATTTTTTCGACTTTAAAATGGTGCAAAAGCAATGCACGTCTCTGAATTCTGAATTTTGATCTTTTCCCGGGCTAGCGCTATGTGGTAAGATTTCAGCTGCCAAGTCAGCCACGCGATCATGAGGGTAAACAAGTGACACCTTACAGTGTGCTGTATTCGATAAATTACATGAGCTATTCAGCACTTTATTACAAAATAGCCTTTGTGTGAGATGATGTTGCCCAGGAGTAGGTTAATGTAAGTGTTCTGAGCATGTTTAAGGTAGGCTGGGCTAAGCTATGATGTTTGGCAGGTTGGTTAAATGCATTGTGACTTATGACATTTTTGCTTATGAAGTTGAGGGGCATCTGTATATGGAGTAAAAAATGAAAGTCTCCCTCCCTCCCTCCGACTGTCCTCACCCAGAGGTAACCACTGTGCACAGTGGAAAGTGCAGCCTCCTGGACCTTTTCCATGGCCTTACTTAGAAAAACGAAAATATACATTTTTTAATATAATGTGATTGGCCTACGTGTATTGTTCCCCTGATATATTCTTTCCAGATAACCATGTATATTGGAGTTGTTCCCATTTCAGAACCTGTAGCTCTACCTGCAATTACATGCTCATGACTTGGGCTTTCTGCTATTCTTTCCTTTTTCTTTTTCTGTCCTTTTATTTAAGATTACCAGCAATTTTACACTGACCACTATATCCATAACATGCAATTATTTCTCCAGGATAGATTTTGAGAAGTGGGATTGTGAAGTCAAAGGGTTTGCACATAAAATCTTTATAGAGACTGAGAAATGATCTTTTAATGTGACCGAGCCAATTTACGTTCCCACCAATAGTGTGTGCCAACGCCTCCGTGCCAGTGCTGGGCATTATCAATCTTGTAACATTTGCCAGGAATGAGGCCTTATTTTAATTTGCAGTTCTCTAACAGCTAGAGAGCTTGAACACATTTTCATATATTTATTGTCCACTTGTATTTTTTATTCTATGAATTGCCTCTCTGTGTCCTTGGTTCATTTTCTTATCGGGTTATTTAATCCCAAATTACTAGTGGAAAATCTGAGGACTGGACAAATTGAATTAACTAGCTCAGAGCCCCACAGCTAGCAAGTGGTGGAGCTGGGACTAAGGCTGGCTCTGTATTTCTCTACAGTGTACACTCAACCACCAGGCTGGTTACTCTGTCTTCTCAGGTATAGCCAGAGTTAACTAATGAATGGGAACCTAAAGGCTGCCTAAAGAAGCTAGTATCACTCACCCACAGAGGGGTAGCCCTTCCTGCATTTACCTGAGACAGCCCAGCTCTCTGTTGCAGCTCTCTCGTGGGTTTTGGGTGCCACCAGCTAGGCCTCGGGAAATGGGAGGATTCCAGGGGAGGCTGGGTCTTCAGGAAGGAAAGGCCTCCCCATCAGACCTCCTGGCCAGCCACTGTGACTGTGCCCTGCAATGGCCCTGGCTGCCCGTTCTACTGCCTTTTGTGGTTACATTCCCCTAACGACTCAGGCAGCCACTGCTAAATTACCACCTATGGCTTGTGGCCATTTCCTTACTAAGCCAACTGAAGCAAGACGGTCCTGGCCTCTTGGTGCAATTCATTTTCCAAAATCCAAACCTAAAACTCCGGACTGCTCCCTGGGTTTGGCAGAGCTCAGCTGTAAACGAGGAGAGGGAACGTACAGGCAGCTGCTGCTACTGTCAACTCATCTGACATCATGCCAGGGCCGCTCTACCATTGTGTGCGACAGAACAATGCCTTCTCTGGCAGAGGAGGCTTGCAGTCTTGCCCCTTGGTGTCTGTCAGGGACTTGGCCGACTTCTCAGCAGGCCAAGAGTGCTGTGTGTGGCCCAGGAATGCCTTCTCTATAAATAGAAGTCATTTGCTGTGCTTCCAATGGGCTGGCAGCCTGAACAGCATCAGCATCATGCTGTACATTCTGCACAGGCCCAGCTGTGGGCGCAATGGTGCAAGATAAATCCGGGAGAGGAGGTGGTGCTGTTAGCAGGCAGCTGTTCAAATCCCATAGCCTGGGGCCACCACAGACCAGCACTGGCAGCTGCAGCTAGCTTCACAGGGAGTCCAGGCAAGTCAGAGATTTTGTTTGCCTGGCAAGAAAATGAATTTGAATCATCACTCGAGACTCACTGACCCATCTTGGGCACAGATTCTAGTTGTCTGTGCACACGAGTTACAATGACTTGGGCTCCCTGAAGTTAACACACACCCTGCCAGGAGGAAGGACAAGTGGAATCTGGTCCCAGTCAGAACCCAGTCTGCCACCCAGACTCTAGGAAGGTGTCAGAGCTCTATTACAGTTCTCTCAAATCCAAATTCCCATTCCCATCTTTCAGAATAGCAAGGAAATGCCAATTTCCAATGGGGTTTGAAGCAGAAGGGTCAAGTCTATGGTTAGGGTGAACACACGTGGTCACTAAGGCCTGCCTGAACAGTCACCAGGGAGAAGGGCAGGCCTGCCAGTCAGTAGAGGGAGAATGTGTCACAGCAGTAATGAGAAGGGAGGTACGAACCCAGAAGTAGGAAAGGAACACCAATTAGAATGAAGTAACTGGAAAAGGAAAGCAGATGGAAGCGAAAAACAAATAGGGTTTTGTATTAGTCAGTTCTCACTGCTATGAATAAATACCTGAGACTGGGTAATGTATGAAGGAAAGAGATTTAATTGGCTCACAGTTCCACTTACTGGGGAGGCCTCAGGAAACTTAACAACCATGGCAGAAGGCAAAGGAAAGGCAGGCACCTTCTTCACAGGGCAGCAGGACAGAGTGAGTGCCAGCAGTGGAAATGCCAGATGCTTATAAAACCATCAGATCTCATGAGACTCACTTATCATGAGAACTGCACAGGGGGGCCGCCCCCATGATCCAATTACCTCCCCCTGGTCTCGCCCTTGGCACTTAAGGATTATGGGGATTATGGGAATTACAATTCAAGATGAAATTTTGGGTGGGGGACACAGCCAGACTATATGAGGTTCTGAAGGCACAGAGTCTCGAAGGCCAGCTGCACCAACCACTTCCATGGAGTCAGTGGCCCAGCGCCAGTGGACCGACCCCGGGAGATCTTCAGGAACCTGCCCTACTCCTTTGGGGATCATGAAATCGTGGTGCCTGATGGCAGATGATGAGGATTCATCAAAGATTCTTAGATAGTGTTTGAAAAAAAGCCTCATCATTCCAGGCTTCCGGTGACTCAGAGCAGTGAGCAGGAGCCTGGATGTCCACAGTTCTAGATGTGAAAACCTAGGTGACTTCATTAAAGAAATGCCACCCCAAGCTCCCACCTCTGCCTGGGAGGCACATGGAGCATTTTTCTGCCCCTAGGCCACCCCACTGGAATGGGGCAGTTTCGGAATCTTCCCAGAGATGGTGCAGAGGCAGGCAGCCTTGGAAAAGCTACACCAGTGACCTGAAAGTGCTCTTGTGCCTGGGACAGCCTCTACCTTAGGTTGGAAAGCAGGCGGGGACACAGCACATGTTCTTGCCTTCCCACTAGAATAGTCTAGGGCTGTGTCTGCTTCATGACTTTCCAATTGGCTGATGACACTTTCTGGATGGTCATCTAGGGATCATGGGGTGGGGGCACAGAGACCTGTACCATCCACCCCCTCCAGTTCCTATTCCCTGATATACCTGAGAATCTCAGAGACTTACCAACCACATGCCCCAATGTTGGAGACCTGAGGTCCAGGGAAGGGGCACAGGAGCTTGCATTTCAGATGCTCTGACTTCCAGCACCTGCCACTCAACACATGAATGAGAGTGCACTGATCTGAGAGTGAAGCAGCCTTCCCATGTCCCCCCAGAGAAAGAGTAACACTGCCTTTCATCTCCCCATGACCCATGCATTCATTCATTCGACAAAGGTTTCTAGAAGGCCAGGACTGTGCTAAACACTGGGGATTCTGTGAAGAACAGGACAAACAGAGCTTTGCCTTCATTAGGTTTATGATCCAGTGGATGGACTGACAAGAAACAAGCAAACAAAGAAATGAGTACAGAATGGCCTATTTAGATAATGACATCTGCCTTCTTCTGAAGTGTAATCCTCAACTGGCCAACCTGATGGCATAATTATATCATGAGAGTGCAGCGAATTTCTGGGAGTCCTCTGATTCAGTCTAGGCTCACTGTTCCCTTTGCAATACTTTCATCTCCTTCCTGTTGGGGCCAATAGATGTACCAAGGGTAGTGTCGTCATTTTTCTACGCAATCAAGCATGCAGCCAAATACAACTTGGCCTCTGCTCATTCATATCCCCTAAATGTCACAGAAGCAATGTGACATCCTATGATGAGAGACCATGCTTTGGAGTCAGGCACAACTAGCTGCCCCCAGCTCTGTCACCATGTGAGCTTAGAAGAGAGACTTTTTTTTCCCCAAGTTTTGAGATGTTAATGGAGATCACTGTGGCATCTGTACAAGGATTTTATTTTTATAGAATGAGATGTGTTAGGATCAGGAAGGAATTTTGCCCAGCTCCTGGCACCCAGTCACGTTGTGATGAATCTTGGCTCCCTGTAGACATAGTGAATGACATGGTGAGCCTGGAGGCCGGCTCAACCCAGAGTTTCTTAAAGTGTGGTCCATGAACCACCTACATGAGGACGGCCTGACATATTTGTAAACTGTAAACCTGGAGTATTTGTAAACTTGCAGCTTCCTGTGTCCAGATTCTGTCTCCAGATTCTGGAGCGCAGCCCAAGAATCTGCATGTTTCACAGCACCAACCCTCCGCTCTGGCCCCACCACCAGGTGATTCTTAGGAGCCTTAAAGTTTGAAACTTGCTGGCTTGATTGGTGGGCCAGGCTTTTGTTACCCTGAGGGTCAAGAAATCACTTTTTAATGGTCAACCCTAAGCAAAAGAGCTTTCATAGGTGTAGAGAGTCACCTCACCCACAGCCTCCTCACCAAAGTACTTCTGTGTGGGAAGGGAGACTTTCGGGACTTTAGCATTCCTCTGCCCTGGCTAAATCCCCTCCACTCAGCACCTTAGGGCCACCCAAAGGAATTACCCACCCTATTTCAGGGGGATGGCAAGACCCAGCTAATGTTGTTTCTGGACATATTGGTATGTCAGGAGGTTGGATCTGCCAGGAGCTTCCTTACAGGAGGACCCAAGGAGCCTCAGTGGGCAGAGCTCATCCTAAGAAAAACATGTCAAGCTCACAAACTGGGTTCATGGGTGACAATGGCAAGGCTGGATGAAAAGGAGATTCTGGCTCTGTTACTCAGAGCAATGTCCAACTGTTTGGACTCATGCCCCTTCGGTGAGTGGCTGGAATGAAAGATGAATAAAAATGGAGAGAGCTGTCACTGGGGCATCACTCATTGCTCATTGGTGTGGCACTCTCTGTGGTCACTGGCAACAGCACCCTGGACCACACACCCAGGTCCTCACTGCCTCATGCTGGCAGCCTCAGGGTAAACACTGGTGGGTAGTGGCAGGAAAGTGGGCTCCTCTGGTGGGTGACCTTGTGCCCCTCTGTGGGCTCTGGCAAACCCACTGCCATTATGGGGTTCTGCAGCATCAGAAGAGAGGCTGTGCACTAAAGCCAGGGAGAACACCCGGTGCCACAGAAGATGAACTTGGGAAGCACACGAGTCAGCCCCCTAGGACCACCTCCCGGAATATTTGGGAGGAATACGAGAAGGGCTGGGAATCCCCAAAGTACGCGTTACAGTCACAGAAATGTGAATTTGTGAGTTGATGTCACTCTCTTCTTACCCCCAGGCTGGTGTGGTTTCGGGAAGATGGATGATATCAGCAAATGTTCTGAGGTTGGGAAACAGGATTAGTCACCCGGCCCAAGAGGATGAATTCCCTAGTTTCTGTCTCCTTGGTGACATCACTGCTCCAAAGCGTACCATAAGATGGTGCCGGATGAAAAGTTCTATTTCTAGAGTTCTCATAAAAGTGCCATTATTTTGTTGATGGATTAAGAGGCCAAGGTCACTGTATTTCCCAGGAGCTTCCCTGTCCACTCCACATATGGAATGCTCTTCCTCAGCAGTGGGCAGGCAGGACTGTCCTCCAGGGAGACAAACTCCTAGCGGCAAGCAGCATACCCGGCTCGGTGTTTTACTTTTATCAAAATCCTGTCTGTAGTCACCAACACTAGCTTTCAGATTGAATTTTTCAAGAGCATGTGGCCAATTGTGTCTGTGTTCTTCCACAGTTTAGAGGTATGGGGTCAAATTAGGGTTTGAAAAGCACCCCAGGGAATATTCTTTCATGTGCTAAGCAAAGGCTTGGCCAGAGTTCTGAAGAGCCGAAACCCTGCGAATGGATTTGATGAGTTCATTAGCATCGAGCGAGATGACAGTTTTGGCTTGCTTCTGAATGACAGGTTTTTTTCAAAAGCTTGTGAGGTGAACATGGAGAAGATGCTTCCTACCCACCAGGGAGGCACTGGTTTGTGCTTCCAGAATCAAATCACTATCTCACTTAGCCTTGCTTGTAACCAATTACAGGAGCTATTTGGGAGCTGGCCAGGGTCGGAAACAGAGTCTTTGAAGGAAGGGGATATCAAGAGAGATCAGGATAACTTTAGCTGTACCATGAAGCATAACCCACTCCTCAGCCAAACCACCAGTTTTAGCCTGGGGATGCGAGATAGGCAGGAGAGTAGCAGACGATGGGAGAAAGCAGATCGGATCATGGCCCTTGTGAGGGTTTTGGTCAACTTTACATATACAGGACCAAAAGTAAGCGTGGCAAAGAATGGCTAAGCCATCTTCCACTGAGAAAACTTGGCCAGGTGAGCAACGTATGCTTCTACCCAAGTAAACTGGTTTGCCCGAGGCCCCTGGAGTGAAATCTCCACAAAACACCAAAGAAACAATCCATGTGCGTTGAGATGACTTCATTCATCCCTTTCCCTTTTTTGACTCCCTCTTCCTCACTCTCCCACACATCATCCTAACAGGAGGAAGGAAAAGGACTGCTTAAGCATCCAGGGTTCTCTCCAGCCAGAGCTGCCATGGAAAGCCAGCTGGCAAACAATGCGGGCTCAACAAGAGTCATTTTTCAGATGGGGATTTTTCTCTGAGTACAGTTTGAAAACTAAGGCCACTTGGAAATATGAAGGGCATGTTTTGTATTTCCCAGAATGTGTGTATGGGGATGGTATCTCATTCTTCTTCCCTTAGAGTGCTTTCTGTGCTGCTTCCTCCTACAGGAACGTCCTTCTGTGGGTCTTGCTTTTCCTCCTGTGCGCTGGCAGAGAGAGGATGGTGGCGCGGCCAACACACGTTTGTGACTGAAGACCATGGTGATTTTGTAGCATCCTGGGTATTTCACATCCATGAAGTAGGAACGGAGGCTCTGCCCTGGGTGCTGCTGCTTGGGTCTCCTTTTCTGGAGAGGGATGAAGACCTCGGCGAGAGGCATGTTCTTGTGGGGAGGTCATCGCTGCTGGGAAGGAGAGGACATGCTTCTTGTCTAGTAAAGGCCTTGATGACACCCCATATTAAATTCAGGGAATGAACCTCTTTATTACAAAGTGCTCCACATCAGGCAAGGTGGGAGAGGAGAGAAGGGGGGGAGCGTGGGGTCCGGTGGGACAGACAGACCCGGGCCAGCTCTCCCAGATGCATCTGATGAGGTGAAAGCATCCACCCAGAGTGGCATCACCCAGAGTGAGACTTGAGGGGGGACTGTACATTTCATGTCCTTTCCCGTTACTGGATTTACATTTCTGACTTTAGGGAATACTGAAGTAAAATTTTTAAATTCTGACTTTCCAGATCCATTCCAAAGTTGATTCTGCACAACAGTTTGTAGTTTTTTTTAGCCTCTTGTAGCCCCAGGCTCAAAATGCCCCCTAACATTCCTGAGTAGAAGAAACTAAACATCTAAATGACCAAAGTCATGCAGGAAGGCACGCATCAGATCCAGAAACCCAACATGCATTTACACATGACACTGCCTCCTCCTCTTTTCAAACCTGTGCAGCTCTATGCTCCTTATTTTTGTATTTCCAAAGGTTTGTTTTTGACTCACCTTTCCTGCGTTCCTTTCTCTCATCCGTGCATCATTTGGAAAACACAAAAGTGCTGCTCCTGAGGTTTAGCACCTTCTCCCTGTAGCCACTCACCAGCAAGCCCACTCTCCCATGGCAGGACCTGGAGCCTGTCATTCGGGAACCATGTGATAGCACTCAGAATCTTAGAAGCAAGAACAGCAGATTTGGAGTGCCTGCATTTCTTATGGGATACTGATCTGGCCAGCTTTTCTTTCCCATAGGAATGGAGAAAATCGTGGCAGAGATGATCCAAACAACCCGATGAGCTCAAAAGTGAATTGTGTTTGCCTTTGAAATGGGGTCTCAGATTTGCACTTATTCCTTCTGCACAATAGCACGACAGTCATCCAGCAGTGGCGGTGGTATTGAGGGTGTTTGTGCACGCTGCCTCTGCGTGGAGCAGGAAGGCAGGCTAGAAATGTATTTGGATGGCTGAGGGGTAGGGCCACAGACTGGAACCCTTGGTGTGGGATGGTGACTCAATGGCATGTTACCACACATCAGCAGACGAAGAGAGCTTTCTTCTTGCTCCCAGGCCTCCTCTTGACTAGACAATGCATTTCTGCTGCTGGTTGCTTCAAGGTAACTCTGAGTAAAAGCCCTTTCGCTATGAGGAGGGAGACACTTAGAGGAGTCTGTAACACCCTTGTAAAGAGCTCCTCAGGGAACAAGGTCTAGAAAGAAGGGTACAGAATGGAAAGCCAATTGGTTGTTTCCCCAGCCCTGCCCCCATCTGAGGATCCTGTTTTATAAACTTGTCGCCCCGGTTCTTCCAGTCACTTTCAAAAATCTTTGTAAGTACATGGATACCAGAAAAAAAATGTGTCTGCTATTATCCTAAACCACCCTGCGCGGCCAACCTGCCCACAGGCAAGGCAAATAGCTAGGGAAATGCTCTCTTCACTCCATCTGTTCCCAGGCAACCATGGATATTAGCAGCATGCACTGCGTGAAGTATACGGGCAGGCAGGGCCTCTGTGCTGTGGTGTGAAAAAAAATCATAGATTTCAGTAAATGTAAGACCAACACCCACGACATTCATTATTCAGCAGAGTAGTTAAGAGTTCTGAAACCAAACTGCCTGGGTCCAAATCCCAGCTCTGGCACTTACTAGCTGTGTGATCTTGTGAGAGTTACTTAGATTCTCTGTGCCTCAGTTTCCTCATCTGTAAAAAGAGAATATCAACCATAATATCTACCTTGTAGGATTGTTGGAGGGATTAAATGAGTTAAAAGAAACTTAGTACAGTGTGTGGCACTTAGCAAGGACTACATAAAAGTTTGTTACAAAAAAATTTTTATATGTAATAGCACACACAGGTGGGGCATATTTACTCAGCACTGTTGGCTTCATGACAAAACAACTGAAAAGTCATCAGAATCAGACTGTTCCATACTTGCAAAGAATACAGCCCATACTCACGAGGATCCAAACTCAGCATTTTGAAATCTAATAGTACTAGTGAAATCGCTGTTATGCCACTAAGTGCTAAGATGTTAAGACTGGGCTTCCATCGTGCCTGTGACATATTTGTTGTCCTTTCCACCAATGTATCTTCTCAGTGAGTGAAAGAACCTCAGGGTCCAAGGCTCATCTAATCACCCAGCAGAGTAATTGTCAATACTATTTGTGTTATGGGTCAAGCCTTCCTTAGTAGACAGGAACAGTAAACCCTGAACAGAAGGGGCAAGGGAAAGAGAAGGGAGGAAAGCCTTTGTATTGTTTCCCCTTCCTGTTCCTTGTTGGGCCAAAATGAAACCCCGGGGCAACACCAGGAGCCTCTGTGGCCTCCCAAGGCTGCCTGTCGTTTTGGACTTGAATTCCGGTGGTCTATGAAGCCTGTGGCCATCACTGCACAGTGCTCTTGGGTCTTGTACTTCGGGGATCCACAGGTATGTCTGCAAGTTTTTAGGGGCTCCCAACTATCTCAGTTCTGGCCAGACCTCCTGAAGATGCTCAAATCCTCCCCCAGCCCACCCCTGATCTGTGCAGGCTTCAGGGAGCCAGATATGGATTCTAGGTAGAAACCTGTGTTCCCTGATGTTCCACTGGAAGTTGCAGAGTTTAACAGGCTACGGGCTAACAAATATTTTGAAAGGCCTTGGAACACCCAGCATCCTCCCACCTTGCTCCAAGCAAAATGCAATGTGCCTTCCATCTCATCTTCGGCATTTCCCCAGCCCTTCTCAGCATGAGCTAAATGGCACACTTCATCGACCGGTCAATAAGTCATGTTTATCGAACTGACAGTGTGTGACGCAGGGGTGTGGGAGCTGCAAAGATGGGTGAGCAGGGAAAAAAACAACCCAGTCAAATGTTAGGGTTTATGTATAAAGAAGGCGGCTCTTCACTTCTCTTTCCCCAGCCTGGACATTCACCAACCCTCCTTTCCAAAAGCTCCACAAGGAGATGGGCATCATGATCACCCTGAACTCAAAAGCCCTTTCTTTATGTGGTGCTGACCTCTAGAGGCTTCTAATTAAAAAGCATCCGAAAGGGCCAACTTAATTTTACTGCTGGTTTTTACACTGTACATTGTTGCCCTATTTCCCAACAAAATAAGGATAAAATATGTTACTTTAAATGATCCCTAAAAAAATGCCTACCTTGTTCCTTGACTGCCTAATTAAAACTTGCCCAGATCATTACAAATGCCATTGTTTACTCCAAAAAGGAAAAAAGGAGGGTTAGAGATAGGGAAAGTACTTCAGTTTTTTGTTTTTTTTTTTTTTGCCTATTGTGGTCCTAAGAGGAAAGCACAGTGCCAGCTTTTTCAGGATGCATTTCTTGAGTTTCCAAAGGGCCAAGTCTGCTAAACAGAGACAGGAATGTTCATTCACTCTGATTTGGCAGGGCACAGGGCAAAACCACCCTGACACTCAGGTACACGGACAGCAAGTCCACTTTGTCCAGCCCCGGCGTGGCGTCCAAATGCTGGGTGGTGGGTCTGGTTCTGTTTATTTTGTTGTCCTTCAACCCAAACCTGTACACAAAGAACTCTATGACAATGGAGGATCCCACTCGGCCCAACTTCACTATGGAAACGAGGCTCATTTCTAAAGGGAGTGAGACTGTTGATTACATCCCTAAGCTGAACACCCCAATTTTACTTTGTTGTAGTTCTGACTCCTTATTACTTTCACGAAGGGAAGGAAGGTGTGGAAAGGCAGGAGAAAACACGCAGGGACATAAGCATTTGGGCTAACACACAGCCACGATATCAACTGGCGTCTTCAATTCTAAAAGGGATCCTAGGGGAAAGAGCTTCAGAATCCCAGGACAGTTTTGCCAATCCTGGCCGCCCCACCCTGGTTCTGTGAGTGTTTCCATTACAACTGTGCTTCATGTCCTCTCTACCGACTCCTGACTCCCCTAGACAAGTCAGGGCTAGTGCCCAAAGGGAACTCGGGGACAAGTCTCCCACTCTTTATTTTTACAGATGAGGAAACAAAGCCGGAAGTCGGTGGGGTGGGGAGGGGACATGCCTAGGGCCACAGTCAGCCCAGGAGGAGTCTGGGCTAGAACCTCTTGCCCTCAGCCACTGATTTCAGAATGATTACACGGGGGAAATGTGGGTATTTTTAACACCAGTGCCCGCACTTAAAGGGGCCAACCTGCATTTTATAAACTCTATCTGTGAGACGGATACAATAACTGTAACAAAGGAAGTCCATAAGTAAGACTTCGCCTGCCCCCGCTGCTGCACCACGAGCAGGGTTGGGACTGCTGACACAGAGCTCACCACTTGAGTACAATCTCTAACAGCCACATCGAAAACAAAGGACCACACACTATCTAACATACACACAAGCCTTTATGCTGTGCCTGTAAAGCAAAACTCAAATCTAATCGAATCTAATGGGTCTCTCTATGGAGACCCATTCATTTGGAGAAAGAAACTGGCTCTTAATCAAATAACAGAACTTACCATCAACTTCCAGATGAGTTATTTAAATGCCATGTTTGGTGAATAAATAACCGGGAGGAAGGTGGTGGAGACATGGTGTCATGTCATAGAATGACCACAGAATACAGATTTCTAATTAATGCCAAAAAGAATTCCTAAGTAGGCTAGAAAAAATAGGGTTCTCAAACACAAAACTAAAGTATTGGTTCAAAGAAGTAGAAAATTACTAACTACCAGTTATAGCATCACAATAGACATATGAATGCATCACACAGAAATGATTAATCTTTGAACAATGGCAGTGTTTCATGTTACCAGCTCCTCCCTCTCTTCCCCCAGCCTCCTCACAAACAGCAACCACACAGCGAGCTGCCGGTCCTTTACTCTTTGCTCTTCATTTATAAGCCACATTAGGTGTCCTTTGGGACCAAACATTGTGGAGGCAGAAAAAAAGAGGCAAACACCACCAGAGTTTGAAAGGCTCTTTAATAGCAAGCGAATGGTAATTACATGGTCGGATGAGGTCCTCACTCTCAGGGGAGGGAGGAGGGAGCAGAGGTGGACAGGGTGCAGTATAGGATTTACACTGTTTGAAGCATCTAACGAAGGGCAACAGTTTTTGGCAACCCAATTCACAGTTTTGTAATTTACAAGAGATTTCTTTGAAAGGAAATAGGAAGGCAAAGAAAGCACACATACCCTACCGGCAACACTTCTTGCCTAAAAAAAAAAAAAAACAACAACCAAAAAACAAAAACCCAACAACTATTCCTTGCTTTTGCTTCTTGTGTAGATGACTAAATTTTGCTCTCATGCTCAAATTAAGACTGGATCACGGATAGTGAAGATCTGCCCTAGCATTGAAGATTTACTTCCTCCTCTTCAGAGCTGACATTTGTACTGCGCACTACTCTTATCTTTATCTGCCTAGGTGTCAGAAGGGGCTTAGTAAAAAATGAAACTTGAGAAACAAAACAAAACAGAAAAACAGGGAAAGGCAGTTTACAAAGAACAGACTGTCAGCTTTCTGTCTGGTATCAAACAACTTGAATACAGCTCTAAGTAAATTAAAACATTTATTTTTATGTGGCCTGGCATCTACTTTTAATCGCTTGTGCCTATTCAGCCTTATAGTGCTTTAAATGGGGTTTCTAACATGAAATGCTCATGGGTACTATATTTTCGTAATCCAGATTTAAATAAAAATATAAAAGACAACATATTATGTTAAATAATATGTTGTCTTTTATATTTGCCCAGTGAGCAGAAGCTATAGATATTTTACCATGGACACCCATTGCCATGGACACCACAGGCTACCAGCATTCTGGCAGGTTTCAGAATTACTCTCTATAAAATCTAAAAGACTTCAGCTTCTTGTGTCATACCTGTTATCACTAAACTGGGAGAAGTGACTGGGTCTTTATGAAAAAGGATCAGTTTTTAATTCAAAGAAATTTTAGGCTTCTCCGAAGACTGGGTGATCAGCAATGGCATCTCTTTGGAGCTAACACCCACTGCAGGGGAGAGGGGTCTGTGATCGCTTAAGCATTAATTGTGCTCTTTCTACAACCTTGAAGCACAGTGAGGAGGTTGGCCCTGCCCTCTGGCCTGAGGGGGCACTCCTGCTTCCTCCCCGCTGCCAAGGACACCCAAGTTTGCTTTGTGATTTACCTGCCGGGTGCCTGGAGCCCCTCTCAGATCTGCCTGCATTTGGGAAAGACAGGCTTCTCAGGCTGGCAGCTGGTTTTACTGAAGGAAAGAGCCCTACCAGATGAGCAGGGTTCCTGTTGGTCTCCTTGGCTGGGGGGCACTTTTAAAGTGGCAAAGCCATGCCAACACAAGGCATTGCCTCTCAACATACAGTCAGTTCCTTTGAGGAAAGCAGGCCCCCAGTGAGACAGCCGTGAAAATGAAAACAGTTTTCCTGGGGCTCAGGTGGTAACTGTCAGACCCCAACTCTCCCATTCTCCCTTATTCATCTCCTCCCACCCCAAGTTAAGTCCTGCCTATTCCTTCATGCCTCTCTGTAAGAAATCAGATCTGTTCATACCAGTTTCCCAACTTGTGAATTTTAACATGCAAAGCCTATTCCTAAAATATAAATTCCAATGACACTTGGGACCACAGCTCCCCTAGGTCCATGTACATTGTGCTCTTATGAAACAGAAACAATATTCAGAAATATATTGTGCTAGAGACGGTTTCTGTTTATACATGAAAGATGACAGCAACTATAAAGGAGAGAGGTTTTCGTTGAAGTACACTGGAAATCTAATTCTGGCACCAGGACACAAGGAGGATCCCTACATAAGAGACTTTTCCATTGCACCATGTGCTGCTTTGGGCCTGGGAGACAGGAGTGGACACCTGAGTGCAGGTGAATCCACAGTGGTGACAGGCACTACACGGGGCCTCACCTCCCTCCCTGGCTCCGTACTTCACTCTGATTCCTTGACGTCTGCTCGATATGGTGATCAGGCTGCGGAAACCAGGCGGCCATAAGAACAATGTCTCTAGGATTCACTCAAACCCAGGATCACGGTTTTGTAATGTTATCAAGGCATGATTTTGGATTTCAGAGCTGGCCCAGTGAACAACAAGCAATCAAGCATTCCTTTCTCTTTCTTTCTCTCTCTCACATATACACACACACTCTTTCTCTCTCACGTTACTTTCACTGTCACTTTCTCTCTACTGGATAACAGGCCAAAAGTACTGGCACTCATCTTTCACTTTCTTCCAGCTATTCTTCCTACACATCTCTCACTCTCAGGTAAGTTAAACATACACCACTTCCAAAGCCCCAGTCTGCCACAGCACAAAGAAAAGCCATGTCTCCACAGGCAGAGCATGTACAGCTGAGATAAGTCCTCTGGGGCCTCACCTTTCCCTTTCCTCTAAGGAAGAGAATTTCATCTGCCCCATGAGATCGAGCCCTCAGGGGCTTGGGCACTCACAGATCAACATGTTCTAAGGTAGTGCAGGGGTCAGCATCCTAAAGGCAGCACCTTGGCAAGATCCCACATGTATTTTCTTCTCGAATCCCTAAAAGTTTCCTTGACTGTTGCTCCTTACTCACACACACACATAAGGCAGGCACAGAAGGGCAGTGTTTACAGCTGGAAGGGCAAATGCCCCTTGTTCACAGACCAGTTAGACTTGTCAAGGTCACACAGTCCTTGGCCGACTTGAACTAGAACCCAGGTGTCTCTCCTGCGTCCAAGGTCAACACTCCTCCTCCCACACCGCTGCCACCTCCTGGTGAGTAAATGTGTAAGTCTGTGAAGGGTCAGGGATGTGTTTCACCATGGAACCATTTCCATAACAGAAACCACAGGCTGCCAGGCTCACTGACTGCAGCTTTGCACCATGCACAGCCCTGCTTAGAGCAGCCACAGCGCAGGAAGAAGTGAGTGTGTGGGCAAGTGTGTGAGCACGAGAAGGGATGTGCACACATTCAGAAAAAGGAAGTCTTAGAAGAAACAATTCGATCTGCTAATGCTGTTTGGGATTTTGCTATGGAGATTAAGTAACATACAGACATGTTCTCTGTTTCCTACCCCTGGTGCAAAACAAAGCCCAGAATTCTCATCAGCCCACAGAATGGCCGAGTCTATCTATCTCCACTCAATTTTTATAAACAGAGAACATTAACATGATAATACCAACATGTATTTGGTCAAAGTCTAAACACTTTTTTGATAAAATACATTTTATGTTAATGTCCATTCCATTTCCAAACATACATAAATTTAGATTTTAAGCTTCAACGTATAAAATTTCAGTTTACCTTCCAATGGAGCAAGCTAGTGAAGCTTCCTCATTTCACTTGCAGAAGTCATTCTTGCGGCTTACTGCATTAAAGTGGAGGTTACGAAACCTGGGCGACACCTGTGTAATATACAGCTCACAATCACCTTTGCTCATGAATGGAGCCAATCAGAACACAGGCAGGGCTGCAAAGGGCAGTATATGCTCACCCCAATGGATGAAACACTAAGTTGTGTTTTACTAATAGGCTACTTGGAAGGAAATTCATTTTACTTGAAATTAACCTTTAGTATGACTTTTCAAGAAAAGAACACAAAGTGGGTACTGAAGCACAGATGGAAATCACTGTCCTATTATTTTACCCGATGACTTAAAACTGGAGTACGCTGTTTTACCACGAGCAGCCGAACTCCTCACAGCACCAATCAATTAAACAGAAAATGTCGAGACAATCAGGTTTACACCGACATGCCTGGAAGATATACAAGACTCCCATAAGTTCTGTGGCCTCTGCTGCTACTGCTTGTTTTTAATTCAAAACTTTCACAACCTAACAGGCACATGTGTGACTGTTTAAACGTACCCACCCCAGATGCTAGGTTTAATCTAGTGTTGTAAAGGAGGCATTCCGCATCCTAGGTTAACTAAAACCAGGGATGCAGAAGGGTCCAGGAATAATTCCATGTTAGCATTACAAAGGATGTCCCCAGTAAGTAATTGTTGGCTAAACGATAACAGCAGTATTTCCAGTTATTACAGAAGTTGTTTCTGTGAGTTGTCTGAGTATCTTGATTATTAAAACGTTCCCTGTTAACCAAGCTAACCCACGATTAAAAGATTCCTACCTTCGTGTCCCTTTACAAATACACCACAATTAAGTCCCTCGAAACATGTGATTAAATTTTTAAATAAATTACACAATGGAATCCTTTTTTTGACTTTTTTTTTTTAAATAAAAGACTTAAAAAGTAAAGAAGGATTCTACCATATTTTTAAAAACTTTTAATCCTGGTTTACTTTTCTAACAAATTTATCTATGGCTTCAAAGTTTAAGCGGCACTTGAATTCTGGATGTTTTCATGATTTAACAAGCGGCCATCTCATTAGAAAGAGAGAAGGTAAAATGTTTCATTTTATACGTGGGACGGCTTATAAACAGCTTTAAAAATCAATACATTATATCTTTCACCCCATCTATATTTTCCACTATAGACTTCAAAAGTGGCTTTGGAATTAGCATGTTTTGAAACAGTCGAACAAGCAAGTAACATTTACACCTAACCACGAACCAGTCGCTACATACCCAGGTAACTCAGTAATGGCAAAACACTTAAAGGCTTCTGGGCCTCTCTTACCCTCTTAGTCCAAAGCTAAGTGATTATCCTTTCCTGCCCTTGTATTTGCACTTGTGCAGTTTAATGACTAGATATTAAAATTCATGCTTTATAAGCAAAACCTTTCACTTACGGACACTTAAAAAGTACATAAAAAGTGCAGACTGCATTTCTTCTCTGCCATGCTTTCCCTCAGTAAGGTCACCTGTGAGGACTCAAAACCTATCCTTAATACATTCAGAGTTCTCTACATTCGAGTCAGCGAATGTTAATTCTCCAACATAAACTTAAGAGAATAGTCAGCCACAAAATGGACTCTAAATTCAAAATGGCAAAGGCTACCAAGACAACTCCATAGAAACCCCACTGAAGCGGGAGTGAAATTCAGGTCACTTCTGAGCAAAGCTCATCACAGATATTTTGTGGTCGTTAAAAAGGTATTTCATTTTAATTTGGATGCTGGGAGCCAGATGTCCTATTTCGAAGTGCTAATGCAAAATGCTAACCCAGGAGGGGCAGTGACCCCACCTAGGTTACTGTGGGGCTCACTCTCCTTCTCAGGGGAGCCCCCAGATTTACTGCTGGCTGACCCCCATCTGGGGGTGGTCCGCCTCTGGCTCCTCTTCTTCCACGTCAGCACTGTACTCTTCAAACGCATCGTCATCTGCATCCGGAAGCCCCAGTAACTACAGGGAGAGAACAAGAGAAAAGCAGCTGTGAGCGCCAAATGGCCCACAGGCAGGAAGACAACCAAAGGCATCGGATCCACATTAAAGAGTACTTAACCCAGCAGCTGCAGACTTCCCCGTCAACCACCCCTACAATGATTTTCATAAACTTGTTAGACGGAAATGTCAATCTTTCAATGGATTAGTGCCCAAAGGGCTAGGTTTTACTGGGGAGCCTGGAGAGTCTCTATTTTTAAGTATCAAAATGTGGCACCACATATGCACAGAGAGCTAGCTATGTGCCCACACACACATCTGGGATGTCAGCAGTCGTATGAAATGAACTGTGCTCACTGTCCCACCAAGATGTCAAAAACTGATTCTGTATTTTCTGTCCTAAAAACACACGGTGCTATTATTTATTGGTGCTATTATTTATAACACATTTCTAAAAATCTAGAGACAACTAAAATGTTCAACAGCAAAATGGTTATGGTGTTATTGAAATGGAATCTTATATATCCACTCAAAATGGCATTTTTGAATGACTTGATGACATTAAAAAGATGCACATAAGTGTAAAAAAAGCATGACAAAATTGCACTTTTATTATGACAGAGTTTTTTTTTTTTGAGAGGGAGTCTCGCTCTGTTGCCAGGTTGGAGTGCAGTGGCGCAATCTCGGCTAACTGCAACCTCTAATTCCCGGGTTCAAGCAATTCTCCTGCCTCAACCTCCTGAGTAGCTGGGACTACAGACGCACACCACCATGCCCAGCTAATTTTTGTAGTTTTAGGAGAGACAGGGTTTCACCATGTTGGCCTGGGTGGTCTCGATCTTCTGACCTTGTGATCTGCCTGCCTCAGCTTCCCAAAGTGCTGGGATTACAGGCGTGAGCCACCATGCCTGACCCAGAGTTTCTTTATATATGTGTGTATGTATATATATATTTTTAATAGAGACAGGGTCTCAGTATGTTGCCCAAGCTGGTCTCCAACACCTGGACTCAAGCAATCCTCCTGCCTCGGCCTCCCAAAGTGCTGGGATTACAAGCATGAGCCACCACACCTGACCCGGAGTTCTTAAAATTTATACACATATGCATAGAAAAAAGACTTCAGTAAAATACACCCCAATTTTAAGGTTTTTTTTAAGATTGTGAGATTATGGGTAATTTTTTCCTTTTTATCTTTTTGTATTTTCCAATTGCTGTATAATTATGTGGGACGTTCAAAATAAACATCGTTTTTTAAAGCACTGGCTGGTCTTTGGTTAGAAACCAAGTGCCATTTGCTAGGCCTGATCAGTATGAACACCACCTCCTGGTGCAGGCAAGAAGCCACAACCCTAGCTGTCGGACCTGCCTGTGATAACCAGGCTTCTGTCTCCTGGTGCCTTCATGAGATCTACAGTCTGTTTGTGGCCCAAGGACTTCTTACATAGGGGTGTCCAGGGCCATCAATTTCAAGCACCTTCACTGAGTGGCCCTAATGATCTAAACACTAACTGCATCAAGACAGTAAAAAGAAGACTGACCATTCTGTTCAATTGCATTGCCTCCCTGGTGTCCTGCCACCCCCTTCCTCTCTCACTCCCTCCACGGCTGAAATGGGGAAAGAGAAAGCAGAGTCCTGATGAAAATAATGCCTTCACTCTGAAGTTCTCCAGCTGCAGCTCTCCCAGGTCTCCCAGCACCCTATGAACACATTCAGGACAAAATCATCTGCTAGGCATTGTTGGTCACACTCTGCCTGTGGCTTGCCAAGGCGTACACAGTCAACTGCAGACACACGCTCGCCCCTTAGAGCTGAGCATGCCACAGCTGCCTCAGAGACTCTGCGGATGTAGAGGGGAAGGGCAGGAAGAGCGCTCTCAGCTCCCCGGAGAGGGTGCTCCAATCTTGAGTGTGCTTGGGAGAAGAAAGTCTCTTTTTCCGGCTCCTGTCTCCCTTGCAGATTTTAGTAAATGGAATAAAAAACCAAGTTTGCCTCTAAAGAGAGAAAAGATGACTAGTCGTAAGGCACGTCGATGACTACACTTGGTGGTCAATTTTTTATTTGGAGAGCTGCTCGATGACATAGCAAGGTAAAAGTGTCAAATAAGTGGTAACATTTAAATAGCTGGTAAAATATAAATACTATCGCCACCACCAGGAACTCCAAAATTACCTAAACAATATATATAATTGTTCATTGTATTGAAGGGATGTCACTAAAGAGAAATGACCAGTTGGTTCCCTCTCACTTAACAGACCTGACAGGGAGTGGCTGCCTGGAGTTTCAGGATTCTGAGGCCCCGTGGAAAACACTGTGGTCAACTAGCAATGGCTGTCCTGCATGAAAAGGGCGCAGCTGAGGTGTGCATCTGCATATTTGCCATCTTTATCCAAAAGAGATGTACCATGGGCGATTCTGTTCCATAACACCCCTAGGTGATTCATACTGACCCAAACCATAGGTAGCACTCAACACCCTCCCTCTCTTCAGCTTAGGGTACCTTATTGAAAAAGACCCAGGAAACCAAGCACATAGCCATGACCACCTCTCTTCTGCAGTTCCTTTTTCCAGCTCCCTACCTTACCTCAGATGAAACCAGCACATCTACTGACAGGTCCCCAGGCTGGAAGTTTTCTGACTGCTCTTTCAAGAGCTGCTCACTCACTGCCCTTCTGGAAAGGGGAGAGGAGAGGCAGTTCTCTGTGGCCTTCTGGAATTTGGAGGCACCTTAGTGTAGGGTCTACAGATTTATTGAGAGGGTGTGTGGAAAAAGACACTGGCACTAGAGTCCAGAGGCCAGAGCTCTAGTTAGCTGGAGACCTCTGCCAAGTCACCACCTTGCTGACCCTCAATGTCCTTCTCTGTAAAGCGCCATGATACCTGCTCTATCTCACAGAGTAACTATGGAGATGACATGAGAGATTGAAGGCAGCCATGATCTGCAAACTATGGAGCCTTATGTAACTACACGTGATGTGATGTGATGTAATCTAGCTATATTATCTCTAAGGAACTAGGGAAACTGGGAGTGGCCAAGAGAGTCACTCCTTATCTATAAGAAACACGTGAGCCTATGGCCTATCCCAGGGAACATGGGTCGTTATAGGGGATTAAAATCGGCCCTGAGTTCTGGGTTAAATGAATGTTGCCAGGTGGAGGTCATTAGCGGGAGGGTGTTGAGTGAAAATCCTATATACACTGCACACTGATTGCAGGAGGTTGGTTTTCCTGCCCAGCCCACCACCACGGGACCACGTGGTTCTTCTGTCCAGCCTGCCGCCACTGGACTGCATGTAAGGCGATTCTCCTGCCCAGCCCCTGCTGCTGGACTCTCTCCCCTGTATGTCAGTACGGTAAAACCCCGTGTCTCGTTTGCTGGCTCTGGGTCTCTTCTTTGGCCTCTTGAACCTGGTGCCTTCCCTACTGAGGTTAAAGGGGGTTTAGGCCAGGCACGGTGGCTCACATCTGTAATCCCAGCACTTTGGGAGGCCGAGGCAGGCGGATCACTTGAGGACAGGAGTTTGAGACCAGCCTAGCCAACATGGTGAAACACCATCTCTACTAAAAATATGAAAATTAGCTGGGCATGGTGGCGTGTGCCTATAGTCCCAGCTACTTGGGAGGCAGAGGTGAGAGAATCGCTTGAACCAGGAAGACAGAGGTTGCAGTGAGCCAAGATCGTGCCATTGCACTCCAGCCTGGGTGACACAGCAAGACTCCGTCTAAAAAAATAAAATAAAATAAAATAAAAAGGGGGTTTGGCACAGCAAATGCACTGTCTTAAGCAGAATTACACACATTAACTCCTTTGCTCCTCATAATGACCTTGTGTTGGACACTTTTATTGTCCCCCTTTTACAGATAAGACCTGAAGAGGTTGAGTAACTTGCCTAGAGTCACCCAGTAAGTGGCAGAGCCAGGATTCAATTCAAACCTGGGTGATCTGACAGCAGACTTCACACCCCTACCCACCAGGCCACCCAGGAGACTCCCATTCAGCTGTTAATGCTGTTCCTATTAGCTGGAGGTTTCAATGTTTTCCGCTGGGGAATAAATCTTTTTTAAAAATGCAATATGAAATGCTAATGTCTAAATTTGTGAGGAGGGACAATTTGGAAGCATGGATAGAAAGCACCAGAAATAGACTGCCTGGAATTCTAAGGGACATATCTTACAGATATGTAGTAATCTAGCATCCTCACCTCTATGCTTAATCCCACCTATGGTGGGCAAGTCTAAATTTAACTTCTGGATCCCAATTTTCAACAGTCAAGAAGAGACAGGCGTACACACAGACTGGGAAGAATTCTGGAGCCCTGGCTTTTACTGCAACCACACATTCTCATACCAAAAAGGTGGGCCAAAAAACGAAAGTGACTGGTATATTTAAATTATTCCTGACAGTTATAATCATTTATTCCTATTTCAGTGAATTTTTTTTCAGCTGACTGGGAAAATAGTTTATGCTCACTCTGGACAAGAGAGTTAGCATTTCCAGTGTCTCACTGTCCACAAAGCTTCCTGTGAGCTATCGGTGATCACATAAGCACTGCTGGGGCCCATCTATCCAAACAGGTTGCACCAGAAAGGCAGAGCTGCCAACTCTGGAGAATTCAGTTCCTCAGACCCAAGAGAGTATCTGTTATCTGTAGGGCCGACTACAGGTCTTTTGGATAATAGTGTAAACTATGTGAGGCCATATTGAGGTGGCATTTAGCAGCTACTGTCTCTGGAGGGGGCACTCAGCACAGTGGGCTAGAAGGTCTTCATAAAGGAAGGGGAGGTGGTGTCTGTACCCTGGAGAGCACGGCCAATCAACCATGGCTTTTGTGCATCGAGCAAGTGCCCTGTGGCTTCAGAGATCCTTGTATGTACCTTCCAGGGACTCCCCTTAGGCAGTCTCTCTTCTCCTTCACTATGTGTAGGTGTGGATAATGTGCTCAGCAATCTACCTCAAACGCAGATGATGATTCAACAGGTCTCAAGTGGGACCCAATTCTGCATCTCTAACACACTCCCAGGTGATGGGAATACTGTTAGTCCAAGAGCCAGGGGTGGTAGGACTCTAAAGCATTTGGGAAATGTGGCACCATATATCTTCATGATTATGATGCTGGCGGTATGGGGAAACCCCTGGTGGGGTCCTGGTCTGTCAGTCAGTCTTCTTGACCCTAAGGAAAAAAGGGTGGCAAGATGGATGCAGCACAATGGGCAGGAGGAGGCACTCTCTTACCTTTTGAGGCCATCATACTCTCTAAAAAAGAGAATGGTTTGAATGTTCATAACATGAATGAGAAAAAAAAAAAGGAAAAAAGAAAAAAAAGATAAACTGTCAATATTCCATGTTTATTATGAAACCCACATGTGTGCATAATCTTTTCTCATCAGACTTTCCCTGATCCACCCAGGCAGCTTCTGACAGGTGGATTCTTTCTCTTTTCCAGGCTCTTGACCAGACTCCATGAGTAGAGGCAAGAATTGGACTTTTTCTGGGACACAGGATTTTCCTGTGGGATTTAAGCCGCAGCTCTCCAGCCACTTGTGGCAAACTGAAAATATCAATCTTGCTTATGCCAGTGAACCAGAATTAGGGGGATTTTTCTGGCAGAAATGTCTCTTTCTTGAGAGAAGAAACGCAGAGTCACACAGCAAGCCCAGGAGAGGACTTGGGCCAACTGAGTGAGAATCTACAAGGACCACAGGACCCAACTCCAGGCCGGGCCATGGAAGCAACAACAACCAAACAGCACAAAAAACTGCAAGAGCAATAGGGGACTCAGGACCCTAATGTCCACAGCGTTGGTAAGGAGAAGAACACACTCGAGGAAGCAATAGTTCCTTGTTAAGCCCATAACACTTTGAGAGAATTCGAAAGGGCAAAGATAAAGTCTAGTTTCACTGCTAAATTGGAAATAGTAGGCTATTTCTTCTCTTGTAAACTGTTTTCTACCCAGCAGTAAGTCTGTCAGTTGACACTAAATATAAAACATGAAAAGATGGTGGGGAAAACTGAACGGCATGATCACCATTATTTAGGTCCGTAACCATTGTTTCATTCTCCAGCTCAATCGTGTATGACCAGCAACTGTCAATGGAGGGTCACTTAAGAAAAATGCAAGGTTCTGACGATTATCCAACTCACACTTACCAAAGTGATTGATGGGGGTTTCTGAAACCACTACAAGTAGCAGTACCTGCTCGTGGATGCCAACAACAGCCTGCCTGGCATTGTCATGTGCATACATGTGCCATTTGGATACGACATGCCAGTAGCAAGAAAAAATAGGTAAAAATCATACCTCTCTGAGCAATCAACATTAGCAAGTAGGAGGTCACTGGAGTGGAGTAGAATGTGGGTCACTCGAGGGAAGGTGGCCGGCTGCATCCACAGTCATTTACCCATCCAATAAACATTTCCTAATACCTGTTAGGAGCCAGAAACTGAGACTAAATTTAGCAGAGTGTCTGGGTTTTGACAATCCTTTGGGTTCTCAGTCTGACTTCAAAGTTCCCCATGAATCCACAAGACAGCTAAATCAGTATTGCCCCCATTTTAAAGCTGGGGACACTGAGGCCAAGTGTACCTGTTAGAGGCCACACAGCATGGGAGCAAAACAGGGCAGAGCCGATCTACCTTCCACCACATGGAGCCATTTCTAAGGAAACGGAGCTGAGGCAGCCAAGATGGACGCTTCCTGGACTTCCTCCTGGGCCAGCCCTGCCCCTGCTCTGAGCACGTCTAGGTCCGGCTATTCTTCAGTCCCACCTCCTCATGAAGCCACTGCCTGGCTTTGTTCCTCAATGAGCCTGCTCACACTGATACTCCTAGCCCTTCGAATACGCTGGAAGCCACAGTTTCATTAAAAAATATATTTTCTGATAATGTGATCATAGAAAACTTAGAAAATGTGGAAAAGAAGAAAATAAAAAATCATCCATAACCCTGAGCGCTTTGGCCACGTGCCCCTCTGGGAGGACAGGTGCATCCACTGGTCCTCTATGGAGTCCTAGCCTCTAGCACAGTGAGTCGTGTGGATCAGGTACTCAGTGAATGCTTGTAATTTTACCAAAACCAATGTTGATAAACTTTTGACTTACCCTTCTAATGCCTTTTCATGTTGAAATCACTTAGCAAATTGTTTTCTCTCTCCACCAATAATCTAAGGTTCCCCCCAACGGTAACCTGCTCACTTCTCCACAGTATTTTGTCTAGTATCCTCATCCTATCCACATCATACTAACATTGACTTAGTGCCTACCGTGGATAACGCACTGCACTGAGTACCCAACAAAAACTCCATTAATCTTCACTGCAACCCTAAGGGAACTATCATCATTAATTTTCTAATTTTACAAATGAACTGAGAAACAGAGAGGTTAAGTAACTTGTCTAAGGTCACACAGCCAGCAAGTGGTAGAACTGAGACTTAAATCCGGGTAGCCTGACAACAGACCTTGGGTTCTTCATGACTGTAGTACCTGTTCCCTCATAATTGGGTTAAGAGATGACAAGCAACCCCCTGCAGAACATGCTCACAGAAATAGCTCTCCCAAGAACCAGTAGAGTGCAGTAGGCAGAGCAGGGGACTGCTCTAAGATGAAGGTAAAAACACTCCTCCTGGGGCTGGCCCACGATAAACAAAAAAGCAGCTGCATGGATTGATCAGATTCCCATGTATTTTCAGGGAAATGATGTGCTGGTTTTACCCACTTGATAACCTGTAGCATTTGGGTAAGCGTTTCAACAAATACGTTCAACTGTGATGACAGCAACAAAACCCCTACCTATGTCTTATCTGTAACAAACCTCCCTTACGTAAAACAAACAGATAAATGGTGCCATTGGGAAGCAGTGCTCTATTTGGTGGAGGTGGAGAGTGTCAAAGTTTCTCCAGGGATCTCTGTGGTCCTTTATTCGGGTTTGTGACGCTCCCTCTCATTCAGTCTGGGGCGCATCCTGACTGGGAGAAACTTGAGGCCTTCAGCACTTCATCTTTACCAGTCCGGGAAGGTGCCTCCCACCAGCCTTGCCCTCAGGGGTAAACCGGCCCTGCCAGAGGGCGGCCCAGCCCACAAACCTCCTCACCAAAGGGCATGCTGTGCCACGTCAAGGCCTCCTCACCTGGGGAGCCACATCCCTGCCCACAAGGTAAAGTTCCACTTCAGAAAGGAAACCTGGAAGCCCAGCAACAGCACACCAAAGCTGTGGGCCCACGTGACACATCTCAGCGCCACCTGAAAGAACTTCCTCAACCAATCCAACTGCTTTCAGCTGCACATCCGGATTTCTTTTGGACCGCATTTGTTTCCTCATTTAACGTGGCTAGCCTGGTTGCCAAAATACAACCAGAGCCTCGGTAAGGAAAAACAGCACAGTGACTCCCGGCTGGAGCTCCCCTTCCCAGGTGAGCCAGTTCTGCAGGGAGGGGAGGCTGCCTGCCACCACAGACGACACCCACAGAGACCAGCTGGCGGCAGGTCAATGAGTGAGCCCCTGTGAGGAAACCTGCTGCAAAGCGAACCTCAGTTGCTAACGGGTATTCTTCTGGTTAAAATTTACAGGAATCCATTTCTTTTTAATTTTGCCTAATGTGATCTCCCTTCTTCGATGTCTAACAGGCATTTAAAACACTGACATGTCCAAAACTGAGCTCTGACATTACCAACCCCAAACTCCCCACCACCCGCCCCCGCAGCCTTCCCCATCTCAGTAAATGACTAGGCCATTCCCTTCACTGCTTGGGCAAGAAACTCAGGGTCAGCCTTCTCTCCCTTTTTCCCACATCCCACTTCTGATCCACCAGCAAGTCCAGCTGGGTCTACTCTCAAGGTATCTCCAGAATCCAACCCCTCACCCCGCCTCTGCCGTGACCGTCCCAGTCCAGGCCACCACTATCTCTCACCTGGATGACAGCAATGGCCTCAATGGCCTCTCTGTCCCTCCCCTAACACAGCCTGTTCTCAACACAGTCATCAGAGGGAGGCTTTCAAGATGTGAAGTCAGGTGACATCCCTCTTCTGCCTAACCCCTTGGGGGGCTCCCCATCACTCCAGAGTAAGAGCCCATGTCCTTCTGTGACTCCTGGAATTCCTCCAGCTCACCTCTCTCTAATTCCTTCAGCCACACTGGCCGCTCCTGCTCCCTGGACACAGGTGTTGTCCAACCCCGAGGCCTTCATACCTGCTGCTCTCTCTACTGAAAATGCTATTCCCCTAGATTTTCTCATGGCCCACTCTGTAGTCTAAGTTTTTCCTCAAATGTTACCTTCTCAGCAAAGCCTTCCCTGGTTCCCTACTCAAAAATTCCAGGACCCCTGACACTTTTTACCCCATTCCCTGATTTCTTTCCTTTCTCTTTGGCACTTAATTACTAGCATCATTTCACGACATTACGTGTGTCCTTGTCTATCCTGTCTCCCCCCACTGGAGCACAGGCTCTGTGAGATCTAAGCTTCTCATGCTTTAGTTCCAGTGCCAGGAACAATGCAGTACACAGTGCCATGTACCCAGTGGGTACCCAAAACATATTTATTGAATGAATGAATGTGGGACAGACTGGTACTTTTAAGTCAAGTATCTATTTTGAATGTGCCAAACTGGCTTAGAAAATTAACAAACAAAAAAGGGATTTCAGTGGTTTTTGTCACTCTATTTGATTTCTGTCATTTGCTTAAGCAAATCAGAGTGACAAAAGCCACTGAAATCTCATTTCTTACAATGGTGCACAAAGTGACTGGGTCCAACTCTTTCATTGAGAATGACTAAAAAAAGCTGAATTAAATATGAAAAATACCTTCTTAAATATAAAATATTAACCAGGAGAGGGTAAGCCAAACATAAAAAGCTGCTTTTATCCTGGGGGCATTTGCTGACCTGGAAGCAGCAGCTAGAAACTTCACTGCTTTCTCAGGCTACTCTAACAGTTTTCCAAAGGAGCAGACTATACACCATCCCCACTTGAAGCTGGGCCCCCAGAGGCCCACACCCTCAGAACGAGGAGGAGGCACAGGAGGCCAGACCCGCATCCTGCCTTCTCACCCCCGGGAGCCATCAGAGAACCACAAGACTTAAACTGTGCTAAGGTGTCTCAGACTAATAGGCCCCCAAGTCCTGACGGAAGCAAACAGAAATCCTCTCTGGAGTAAGGTACTGTCATCTCAGGCCTCACTTTATTCCTACATGTAAACTTTCAAATACAATAACTAGCACACAAAGATAATCCCACACACAGAGAAACAAGATACCAGGTTTGAGAACTAGCAGAAACAAAAGAAGACCAAACAGACTTACAAAATGAAATATCATCAGACATAGTCTACTATGCAACCAAGCTTACTATGTTCAAAGAAACAGAAGACAAGCTTGAAAAACGCAGCAGAGAAGGAGACAGCATTAGAACAGATTTGAAAAATAAATAGAAATTCTAGCAAATACCACTGAACATGTGCAGTATTTACAGTGGGCAGGGAATCGAACTTAGGGGAAACACTGAGACACTGGTGATGGGACTTTATCTTCCAATGAAGATAAAGGGAAGTAGGTAATCTTCAAAATAGAAGTGAGCATTCATTTTAAAGGTTTATCAGCTAGAATGAAAACAGACTGTCAGCTAGCCACAGAAATACACATTCCTAAATCCCAAAAGGGGAAAACAAAGCAACAGTAGCTCATAACAGAGACTTTTTAAAAATAGAAAAGAATAGAGCCAGTATCCAGTTTCATCCTTTTCCATACCCACAAACGTGGAGGTATTAATATAACCTGTATACAGCTTCCCAGCAATCCCCAAATATACGCCCCACTATTATAAAAGAACCTCCATTGGGCTTGCAAGTGCCATGGTTCCAAGTCTCCTAGAGGAGAACAGGAACACTCAGTTGTCTCATAAAGGATCTGTTTGCTTCCCCCCCCATCAGGGATTCTCAACTCAAGTGATGCTAGAAATAACCATCATCCCTGCAGCAAACAGCTGTGTCACATCCCGTCCCCCTCCTCCCGCCCTCGGCCTCCCTATACTGGCTGCTATCTCTAAGCCACAGGACAGACAAGAGAAAAACAATTAGTCATCCCAGGTTTTGCCCACCTTCCCCACCGCCCCTGTTATTCTAAACACAATCACCATAGAAAACAAGCTGTGGTGAGAAGCCAAGCAGGCACCTACAGGTCTGAAAGACTTGAAGACTTTTTCCAGGACTTCGTGGAGCGTCTTCTTGCCGCAGGAGGAGATGTAATCCTGTGCTAGCTGCAAGAAAGGCAGGCAGTCCTCGCTCTCACTCCACACGTGCTGCGTGCCCACGGGCGACGGAAGGAGAAAACAAAGACACACAGTCACTACACTCAGTGTGAAGTTCAGAAAAGCCAAGCAGATTTTCTTAATAACATCAATTTGAAGAAGGCCTCCATTCTACAGTAAAATTCATACATGCGTTCTTGATTTGTTTGCGTTGAAAGGGAAGAAAAAATGTCTAATCTATAGAAGCCCCCGAGCTTTTGGTCCATACCTCACCTGCTCTGTTCATCATCAGATCTGCTCCTACACAGTAAAGAGGGCAGTGGGTGGCCATTCCTCACCAATGATTTCCACTGTTCACCTTGTGCAGGCTAAGGGCGGTTTTCAGACATGGGGAAGGAGAAACCAGAGCCTTTGCCTTCAAAATCCTTAACTTTGCTTTCAGCTACGGCTGAAAGATTAATTAAGCATAGTTTGTAAGCATTAACTTGGAACAAGACATTCTTTACCCAGATCGGCCTGTGAGTAGGCGTGGTGGTAAATTTACTTCCAAATGCAAATAACTTAAGAGAACCCACCAAGTCACCACTATGTCACTGGAAAACAAAGGCTTTCTGAAAACTTCCCTTCCCTAAAATGCTTTAAAAGGACATCATACCGAAGCATCATTTCACAATCTAACACATACTAAGAGGAGATCGGTTTTAGATTTTTTGTTTCTTTTTCTTTTTCTTTTTCAGACAGGGTTTTGCTCTGTTGCCCAGGCTGGAGTGCAGTGGCATGATCTTAACTCACTGCAACCTCTTCCTGCCAGATTCAAGTGACCCTCCCATCTTGGCCACCCAAGTAGGTGGAACTACAGGTGCGCACCACCACACCTGACTAATTCTTTGTATTTTTGGTAGAGACAGGGTTTCGCCATGTTGCCCAGGCTGGTCTCGATCCACCTGCCTCAGCCTCCCAAATTGCTGGGACTACAGGCGTGAGCCACCATGCCCAGTCTAGGTTTTATTTTTTCTGAAGACTGGGTAAGGCTTTTTTCCATGTGAGGATATCCATTTTAGCACATCTTTAAGACTAGGCAAGCCTCTCTCATAAATGTTCAAAGACCTGGAACAAGGCCAAGAAATAGGTTTGAGCATTCTTAATGCAGAATACCCTGCCCTGCATATCTAAGCAAGTCAGGGACACGGGGCTTCCAGGGTAACATCAGAGTATCTGTCAGGTACCAAGAATCACTCTTTAGTGGGGACGGATCCAGGATGGCTAAACACTGGCAAAAAAAAAAAAAAAAAAAAAAAAGTATTGAGGTCTGGGAGAAAGAAAGACATCTGGCAGATAAGAACAAGATGCAGCGGCCAGATAGCAGGATAGAAGACTTATGTGGAGACATGGTCCATGCCAAGCACACACTGGCCCCATATCCCTATCACTCAATAAACACATTTCCTCTCCTTTCTTCTCATTGCAGGGTTTCTGAGAACTAGACCTACAGACTTAAAATACTGCTCAGATCCAAATGAGAATAACTAGGTGCCAATGTACCATCTTTATACCCCAATTATCTGTGTTTCATAGTTGCAAAGGTCCATTTTCGACACACGTTGCTCTCATGCCAGCAGACTTCTCTAGAGGCTTCCCCAACCCAATAAAGACAACGTCTGGGCTCTCTAGCTTTAGCGAACAGCTCAAATGCTCTTCCCTACTAATTAGAGACCCTTAAAGCTGTCAAACCACCACAATGTCATTTATGTAATAGTCTCTTCCATTGTACAAAAGTGTAATGGTACAAAGTACTTGTATATCCATTATGCCAGTTGATTCTTAATCAGTGGAGATTCTGGAAGAACAACAAAAGTTCTACTTAGTAAGTTCTGCTCAGCATCCATTTTCATACTCAAATGTGTAAAAGTTCCAGCTTATTTCAAATTATTATCCAAGTTAAAGAGGGGATTAACATCTACCACCACATTTCAAAAACTTGAAGCCTGTCCTCTGTAGACTTGTGAAGATGACAGAGTTAAAAGCTGAGTAAGTACCTGGCACAGTGCCTAGCTGACATGCAGTGAATATTCAGTAAATGGTGGACTTAAGTACCTTCTTTCCCCCTTTGCATCTGCAGGAGGATGGGGGAGACAGAGGGGAAGGGGTGGGCTTACCATCTGCCACAAGGCTATGGTCACACAATGAGTAAATCAGACACCCAATGTGACTCACTGAGAGCACTGCCTGAGGCAACTCAGGTTGCGGTTAATTCAGAAGCAGGTGCACCTATGAAAAGCTTGTAAACCTACTTTGTTAAAAAGTAAGTACATCTGGGCTTTAAATTACAAAGTAAACTTAGAAAAGTATATCACTCAAACAATAACAGAATCATAAACTGCAGTGTAGCCACCACTGCTTGGTAATCAGACAGTATATTTAGCTAAGTGTTTCTAAGGCATTTCTAACCTCATGAAGAGATTGTTCACACCACAATTTCCATTACTCTCCTTTTAGAGCAATTTAGGACTATATGTTGAAGGAAGACTTAATACCCACGAAAGGGCCTTCTGTCTGAACTTCCTTCATTTGGCTATCTCCACCTATTACCAGTTCTGTTAGGTTTTGGGGTTTAAAAAATGTTGTAACTGAATCCTTGTCCACATGATAGAGTGGCATGGGGTTTGGACTCAGATTCGGGTGTACACGGTCACTTAAAAGACATCATTTACTAAATGCTAGTTGTCTCATATCCATTGTATCTCATAACAAGGAGGTGTTCCATTTAAATTCCTTCCTTTCAAAATGAATCAAGGCAGCCGGCAAGGTATCACGAGATACAAGACAAAATGAACTAAAAATTAAGTCTGTCATTGGGAAAAAAAAAAAAAAAGGACAAAGGGAGGGAAATAAGATCCAAGAGTGAGACCAGGACAAACAGAGCAAGGTATGAGGGCCTGGCTACTTACTACAGACGGGACACAGATTTGCCAGCAAAGCTTTCTAAGTAGCCCATGCAAAGAAAGAGGCACTATCAATCTCACGAGGTAGTGTCCACAGATAAAACAGACGTGCTCTTCAGGAAAATTAACAGGCAGGGGGTTGGGGGCAGAGCGGTTATTCTCTTAGGAAGATACAGGGGCCCATTCCAAAACCAAGCGGAGTGGAGAGACCATCTATGGGCAGGGCTGGTGCTCCTGAGAACAGGATTTAGTCCTGTACAAAGACAAATGCACAACTGAAGGCCCGGAGTCCTGTGCCACTGGGCGTGGCCACAGTAACTTCAACTTGGAAAATATTTTAAGCATGTGTAACCAAATACTCATTTTGACCAGGAAAAAAACTACAGCAGGAATCAGAGAACCTCTAGCGCTGAACAATGCAACGCCCTGGCAAACATGAATCTGGGTACGGAAAGTACTGACTCTCTAATAAGGCGGTAGTCAGAGCGTCAACAGCCTGCAGGACTCCCTTGGACTAAAGGAGAAATGCCTGGAAAGGCTTCAGGGAGTAGAGGGAAGCGGTTCTCAAGCTTCAGTGTGGATCAGAGTTGCGTGCTGGGGGGGCAGAGTTTAAATTGCAAAGTTAACTGAGAAAAGTGTATCACTCAAACACAATGACAGAATTGCAATGTATCCACCTCTGCTTGGTAATCAGTTTATTTAGCTAATGAACTATTCAGTGAGCTGAGAATATGTATTTCCAACAAATTCCCAGCTGACGCTCATGTGGCTGGTTCTGGGACCACACTTTGAGAACCATGGGCACAGCAGAACTTTGGCTAACTACATATTTGAAGGGGGTTGTGGGTGGTGTGACATTTAAATATCTTTCCGGGAGAACTACAGCAATTGCCATTACTGACTATAGCCAGCTCCAAATCTCAGGTTGGCCTGAGCTGCAGTGAAGTGGCTGTCATCGAACCTGGCCTGAGTGGTCTACTCTTTCCTACAGAAAATCCGATAAGCACTTTGATTTGAGTATAGGCCATCTGCGACCCTTCTTCCTGTGAAGTCAGGCCAGAGTTTATCATAAAAGCTTGCCCAGCTTAAGAGAATATAACTATGTCACCTGCAAATAGGAAAATGAGCACCTTCCTGTTTTGTACAATGTAGATCGGAATATCCAGTTTATCAAAAAGTGGTCTCCAGTCATTAAAGTAGTCCAACCCTACAGACATTTTTGGGGGAGCACAATGTGTGCACCCCTACTATTCTAAATCCTGGTGGGTATGCAGCTGGACTTCCTGGTGCTTAAGCAGGGTGGGGGTGGCAGGGGAGGTAAGAACACACTCCTGTGTCTCCTCCCTCTGGGGCCCTTGCTCTGGGACTCACTCTTACTGGAGTACTGAAGTGGGGGTTTTCTGCCACTCGGTACCGAGGGAGTCCATTTTGAATTGGTGTGTCTTAATCCAAAATGGATCCCTGGCCAGGCCTGGTGGCTCACACCTGTAATTCCAACATTGTGGGAGGCCAAGGCGGAAGAGCTGCTTGAGACCAGGAGTTCAAGACCACCTGGTCAACAGAGCAAGACTCCAGTCTCCACAAAAAATAAGAAAAATAGCTGGGTGTGGTGGTGCGCACCTGTAGTCCTGGCTACTTGCCAGGATGAAGCAGCAGGCTGCTTCAGCCCAGGAATTTGAGGTTACGGTGAGCTCTGATCACACCATTGTACTCCAGCGTGAGCAAGAGTGAGACCCTGTTTCCAAAATAAAATACCAAAACAAAACCCTGATTCTTGTCCTGGAAACAGATGGCAGAAAAAGATAAAAGCCACAGTCCACCACACGCCTCCCAACATATTTCTTTTTTTCTCTTTTTTTTTTTTTTTTTTTGAGACGGAGTCTTGCTCTGTCGCCCAGGCTGGAATGCAGTGGTGCGATCTTGGCTCGCTGCAACCTCTGCCTCCCGGGATCAATTGATTCTCCTGACTTAGCCTCCCAAGTAGCTGGGATTACAGGCGCCCACCACCACGCCCAGCTAATTTTTGTGGTTTTAGTAGAGACGGGGTTTCACCAGGCTGGCCAGGCTGGTGTCGAACTCCTGACCTCAGGTGATCCGCCCGCCTCGGCCTCCCAAAGTGCTGGGATTACAGGTGTGAGCCACTGCACATGGTGGGAAGAGCACAGCTGGCCATACCTAGGACTAGCCCGATCTGTGTGTCAGCCACTGACCCATTTTACCAGTGAGGAAATTGAGGCTCAGGGAGGTTAAGTAACTTGCCTGTGGTCACACAGGGAACAAGGGCAGAGCCAGAATGTCAACGGAGGAGTGTGCACCCTTTCAACTACACTCTGTGCGCAATGTTTAACCGGAGCCTCGTGTATTCATTTGTAAGTCACAGAAAATAATTATATTTACAGGGGGAATCTAAAGATTTCAGGGGACAACCTGTAGACTGACTCTCATTTAGCAGGGGCCCAATAAGCGATTATGCCCATCCACTTGAGCTTGTATTGACGTAACTACTCTCCTCATGACTACCACTCAAAGAATATACAAAGGACCTCTCATTTTCCCAGAAATAACCTCTCTATATGAACAGGCACAGCCAATGTGGAATGGCCTTATGTCTACTGAGCACATCACATGCACAGCTCTTCATTTCATCCCCACACTAATCATGTAATACAGGCATGACTGTCCCTATCTGACAGAGGAGGAAACAGGGTAGAGTTTAAATCAACAAGAAAGTACTTTCTCTCCACTATACCAGCACATAAGCGGGACTCAATCTCATTTAAATAAGTTCTATTTTCTTTATCCAAATAAGAAGGCTGTTATTTGATCACATAGTTAATAATAAAGATGTGTTCAGACCACAAATGGGGATACACACACACACACACACACACCCCTCTACAAACACATGTAAAATTAAATCACAGTCCTGCCATAAATAAAGCCTTTTTCTTTAATAATATCATGATTACTACCTTTGTTTTTGTGCTGAGGAGGGATTAAACTATACAAAATTTTAGAGTCCAACGTGTCTTTGGGCTGACAGGAAAGGCTGGGCAATCTGGGAAATGAATCCCTCCCTCTCTCCCACAATCATCAGGATCCAGGCCCCCAGATGGGCTGGGCAGTGCTCTTTGTTCAGAGACCTCATTTCTCGTGGCCTAAGACAAGGAAGGAACGCAGCTGGTGCTCCATGCCTAGGAGTGCCCCTCTGTTTATCTGGCATCCAAGTGGCTGCTGACACCCCATTCCAAGCCTACCAAGCCCCGAAGGACCTTCCAAGTTGGCAGAAAGGACTCCTTGGACCCCTCTGACCAGGGCCAGGAGCCCTCCCTTATCAAACCTGTAGAGCCAGGCAGGGTGGCCATGCCCTTGAATTTCCTCCACACACAGGGCACTAGCAGCTTTGTTTCACCCCAGGCCCTGATCATGGGGCCCACAGAGAGGGGTCCCAGGTAGAGGGACAGTTTGGAAAGGGTCGGCATGGATGGGATGGCCTGTGGAGCGAGATAGAGAAAGAGTGTGCAAGGGACCCAAAATGGAGGAAAAATAAACAGGCGTCCTGTTTACTAAACATGGGCCCCTGGAACTACTGGCCTGACCCCACCTGTGGGCTGTTCTGCATGGTGGAGAGGACAGGCCTCTGGTCTCAAGTCCTTGCTCTGTCACTTCTTAGTGGTACAGTCCTGGATGAATCTCTTAAACTCCCTGAGCCTCAGTTTCTTTGCCTATAAAGTGGGAATAATAATATCTACCTCAATGAATTTCTGTGAGGCCCAATAAGAAGCACTCCCTGAACCCAGTCTAGATTGGGTCCCATGTTGTCACTCCTGTGATGCCATGCATTAAATACAGGGCTATAGTTGAAGTTGCTCTACCACTTATTAACTGTGGAAAAGTTAGTAAAGTTTGCCATGCCTCAGTTTCTTCCTCTGTAAAACAGAGATAATTATAGAGATTATATAATTATGTGAGAGTACTAAAGTTAAATGAGTTGGCATATGTAAAGTGCCGAGAGCAGCGTCTGCTACATAGTAAACTGAACATAAGTGATGGCTATTATTATTATTCTTTGAAACTGAATTCTTGACATTTGACATGTCTTTTACACTAGACTATAATTTATTCATCCTTATAGATATGTACTGAGCACCCATCATGTATGGATGCTGCTCCAAATGCCAGAACACAGTGATAACACAGACAAGGCCTCTGCTCTCATGAAGCTTAGAGTCTAGTGGCAGTGGCAGAAAACCAAAAAGAGAATGCCAAGTCTAACGAGTGCTATGGGAAGAATAAAAGAGGGTGAGATCTAAGAACATGTGGTCAGGAAGGCTTCTCTTGGGCCTCAGGAGCATCGAGGAGCCAGCCGTGGAAAGATCTGGGGCAAGAGGGTTCTAGGCAGACAGAACGCAAGTGCCAAGGCCTTGAGGCAGGAATGCGCTTGGCACATCTGAGGACCAGCAGGGTCTGTGTGGCAGGAAGGTAGATCA
Organism: Homo sapiens; assembly: GCF_000001405.40. Lineage (NCBI taxonomy): Eukaryota > Metazoa > Chordata > Mammalia > Primates > Hominidae > Homo > Homo sapiens. The sequence goes on along the minus strand of NC_000007.14, from coordinate 30,138,795 downwards.
TGTGGGGGCTTGGGGCCAGGGTAAGGGCTTAGGTTTTATTATAAAAGATGGGAAGTCAATTCAGCTGAGGTGGGGGATAGTGGTGACATGATCTGGCTTATATTTTAAATAGATCCAAAATGACTGCTGGGTAGACAGTGGCTTAGAGTCAGTCTCCCCAAGCAGTCATTTTGGATCTATTTAGTACCTCCACTTCAGTACTACAGTAAGAGTGAGGTGGAGGTTATAAGCAAGGAGACAAATTAGGAGACACGATGAAAAATGACAGTGGCTTAGACTATCTAAGCTGCCCCTACTTTAGATACCTTTCTCAAACAACTCTGCTCAGGAGGTACTAATATTATCATCCCGATTTTACAGATGTAGAAACTATGGCATAGAGGCCAGGTGCAGTGGCTCACGCCTATCATCCCAGCACTTTGGGAGGCCAAGGTGGGAGGATCACTTGAGCCCAGGAGTTCGAGACCAGCCTAAGTAACGTAACAAAACCCTGTCTCTACGAAAAATAGAAAAATTAGCTGGGCGTGGGGTGCACGCCTTTAATCCCAGCTACTGGAGAGGCTGACGCACAAGAATCACTTGAACCCGGGAGGCAGAGGGTGCAGTGAGCCAAGATTACGCCACTACACTCCAGCCTGGGCGACAGAGCAAGACTGTCTCAAAAAAAGAAAAAGAAAAAAAAAGTATGGCATAGAGGGGTTAAATAACTTTCCCAAGGCACACAAATACGGGGAGCTGAGGTGCAAACCCAAGTAGTCTGATCTACAGCCTGTGTGCTTAACCACCACACCACACTGCTTCCTAGACAAGTAAAAATTGCCCCAGGAACATGAAGGCAGAGACCCTATTTGTATTCTAGATAGCACTGGCCTGGCACAAAGTAAACCCTCAATAAATGTTTGTTGAATGAATGAATGAATGATGTGGAAATACTTTTGTAAATTGAGAAATGCTCATGTAGACATTCTTATTGCTAAGTCCTTCAACTAATAGAAATTCCATTGATCTCACACTTTTGTCTAATGCTTAATACATTTTCCAGGGAAAAAGAAAAGAACTAAGGCAGGACACTTATTAGAGGCAAACAGTAGCTTGACAAACCTGGCCTGGGACAGATTCAAGAGGTCCGGCTAGGAAAACTCCCGAGGTTGGCATCTTGTCCATTAGAGCCTCCAGAACTTGGAGAAAGTTCCATTCTACCCAAGGAATCATCTGCCCACCCCCATCCTCTATCTTTCTATCTATTCTATTTAAATTGTCAGTTTACATGACACTTTCAAGCATTTTTCTCATGCAGATGGGAAAATATTTAAAATCTGGGTGGCCTCAAGAGAAAGGCCTGATACAAATAATATAATACTTCTTACTTCTGAACGATGGTTGGATACACATATTCATGGCAAGAGAACAGCCTTTTGTCTTCCTGGCCCACTTACTGTCTTTGGAGTCATTTCTTTGGGTATGGCCTGGGCGGTCCCAGCAGGAAGGCTGTGTGGGCTTCTCCCCAGTGAAATCCAGAACCATGAGCCATTCTTGCCCTGTTTCACACGGTCAGGAGGGAGAAAGGGCGCTGGCAGATGAAGGAAGCCCAGAGCTGGAAGGGACCCTAGCCAAACCCTAACATTTTACAGTCAGCTGGATTCTGGTGCCCTTTCCACTGTATCCTGGGGGCTTTCTCACACTTTTGCAATGGAGTGAATCCCTTTTTAATGATCTCCCACTCCTTCCAAAAAGAACACTTATTTACTTACTTTACCTACAGTTAAGATGGGCTTACAGGCATTAATATTATTGTTCAGTTGGCTCTTCTGGAGGTATTCTGATTAGCCCCATTTTACAGGTGGGAAAACCAAGGCTCTTTAAAAAATGAGACAAGCTCTAAATTCTGGGAAACCCCAGGTCTCTAACCCCAAATTTGTGGGGCTCTTGCTGTGTGTTAGGGACTATTCGGTGCGTTACCTATATGAACGCCTGGGTGCTGGCATTATTATACCTATTTTTTTGGATGTGGAAACTGAGCTCAGGGTGGGTATTTGAGCACAGTCACAGAGCCAGAACTCAAATCTGGCTGTCACACAAGGCCATCCCTCTTCTGGAGTGCCACTTGTGGAATGCCCAGGTGGATCCCTGCCCTCCTCAGGGGGTGCGTGTGGGCGGAGGGAATGCTTTATCGGCCAGGCATACATAAGCCTTCACCTCTCCAGGACCAAGAAAGGCGGTCTTGCAGTCTCCCTAACTCCTTCGCGAACTTCCCGTAGGTGGTCAGGGCGCTCGGCGGCAGGACCACGGCCCAGCTTTGTCTCCCCCACCTGAGGAGCGTGCACCAGGCCGCGCCCCGCACCACCCCACCTCCGCCCACAAGGCCCGCGACCACACGGTCACCCGCGCCCACGGCCGCCTCCATCTTACATTTGGGGATCATTATTTATTCCCCGACCTTGGAAACACTTCATGAGCACCGTGCTCGCCCTACTCCACCCCTCCCACCCCGACTCCCCTGCCCTCCGCATCCCCTTCCTCAACTGCCAGAGTCGGGATCCCAGGTGGGTGCAGGATTCAAAGTGGAAGGTTTGGACACCGCAGTCCCAGTTCCCGGTCCCTCTGAGCCGGGGCTGAGGGGATTCCCCGTCATCTGGAAAAGCCAACGGGCTTCAGCAGGGCCAGGGCACCGCCTCGGCTGGAGAGAACCCGCCCGGGCCACACACACCTCTCGGGCAGCTCAGAGAGGCAGCGAGGGCAGCGCGGGGGCAGGGGGAGAGGCGTGCCGCGTGTGCGCGTGAGTGTGCGCGTGTGAGGGTGAGGGTGTGAGCATGTGTGTGTGTGTGTTGGGGTGTATGCGCAGGCGCGCGTGCGTATTAAGATCCGGGGTGTAATTCCGCAAAGAAGGTCCAGGAGATCGGGCATCGCTAGTATGGACAGAGCTTTGTGTCCAAACAGGCAGTGCAAGGACTAACCCGCGAGGGCGGGGAGTGGGGTTCTCCCGGGAGGGGCAATGCGAGGAGCCGAGGCTGGGCACCGGAGGGGAGCGGGATTCCTATCCCGGACGGGACGCCTGGATGTGGGAAGCTCCGGACCTGGGCTCCTGCCGGAGGGTCCGTGCGCCCCAGACCCGGCTGGTCCGACGCGGGTGACACCCACACCCCAGGGATGCTCCATGCCAGGCACCGCGCACGGGCCGCGAGGTCGGGTTCCCGAAACGGCGCCCGCAGCAGCGGGGAGAGGAGTGGCCTTTAGGGGGACGCCACACCTCCCGCCCCGACCCGGCTCCCCGGATCCTCCGGGCGCCTTGCCCGCCGCCCACCGGGCCCCACCCGGGCAGCGGAGCCCGCACCGCCCGGCCCGGGGCTTCCCCGGCGGAGCACGCGGGGCGCGGGGCGCGGGTTACGGCCCCCCACTCTGCGCCCACCGCCGCCCACCGCGCGGGAGCTCGGGCGCAGGGACGCACCGCCGCGTCCACACTCCCGCCGGCTCCGGCGGTCCCTCCTCCAGGCACTCACAAAATTGTCGCCGCAGCCGTTGTCCGGACACAGCACATAGAAGGAGACGCCGGGGTCGGCGTAGAAATCCATCCTGCGTTCGGTCTCCTCGGTGGCGATGAGCTCGAAGGGCGTGTTGGAGCACCATTTCTCCGCAACGTCGGCCAGCTGCTGGAAATCCATCGCGGCCCCGCGCCCGCCTCCCGCCGCCGCCCGCCCTCCCGCTCCTAGGCGCCCTCCTCCCGGGCGGGCAGCGCGGCGCTCGGCTCGGCCTGCGCGGGCTCCTCCGGGGCCGGGCTGGGCCGGCTGGGACTGTTTACATGCGGTGCGGAGTGGGGCGGGCGGCGGCCGGGGACAGCGCGGCGCCGCGCCCGCGGCTCCTCCTCCGCCCCGCCTCCCCCCGCCCCCTTGCGGGCCGCCGTGGGGGTTGGCGCGGCCGGGCCGGGACGCGGGGCGGCGGGAGGAGCGGCCGGCACCCCCGCGGGCGCCCGGATTTTCCTGGGCGCTCCCGCCCCCCCTTTATTTTTAAACAAACCCGGAGCATCCCGGGGCCCTGGCCATCGCGGTGCCGCCCCGGGCCGTGACGTCATGGGCCCCAGCCAATCACCGGAGCCTGAGACCGCGCCGCGGCTTGCGAGCCCGGTGACGTCACAGCGCGAGCCTGGAATCCGCAGCTCCGCGGGTTACCTGGAAGCGGTGCGAGCGCCCAATACCTGGTTAGCGTTTCTGTGGAGTTAGAAAGCCCAGGAAGCGTTTGCCCAAATGCGATTTAAATGCAAGGGAGGCCATAGAACTGCAGATAACTTGGACCTTGTCTGGGGCTAGCAGTGGAGGAGCTGAGAAAATCTAAGGAAAAGGGAGCTTTTCTTTTTGCAGAAACCAAAGTTCTGTTCTCCGATTGATTTAAGGGAATGTGTCTTCTTAATGCATTTATCAGACACTAATATGAATGTTCACTTGCAAAGGGCGTGTGTGATTTTTTATTTGCGTTACGTAAAGCTGAATATTTCTTAGAAATGAGCCTCATAAGACTGGCTTCAGTATTATTCAGCTTGAATTCACATTGCATAACCTAAAAAGGTCAAGAGGATAAAGCACATTTTAAAACAAGAGTGTGTGGCCCAACGATTGCACCTGTTGAGTGCTCACTGGCTGCCATATACTGGACAGGCATTACTGGATTGCAGAAAATGCACTAGGGTCCTCGCCCTCAGGACTTGAACACTACAAACACAGACACGTTATAAACATTCAGCCAGCTTTTTTCTGTAAAGTGTGTCTTCTGAACCAGGCACTGTGCACGAATTTACATTCCCACCAACACGTATATATGTTTCCTTTTCTCTGCACCCTCACCAACATCTGCTGTTTTTTGACTTTTTAATCATAGCCATTTTGACTGGTGTGAGATTGTATCTCATTGTGGTTTTAATGTGCATTTCTCTGATAATTAGTGGATGTTGAGCATTTTTTCATATGTTCGTTGGCCACTTGTATGTCTTTTTTGAGAAATATCTGTTCATGTCCTTTGCCCACTTTTTAATGGGTTTTTTTTTTTTCTTGTTGAGTTGTTTGAGTTCCTTGTAGATTCTGGATATTAGTCCTTTGTCAGATGCGTAGTTTGCAAATATTTTCTCTCATTCTGTAGGTTGTCTATTTACTCTGTTGATTGTTTCTTTTACTGTGCAGAAGCTTTTTAGTTTAATTAAGGCCCATTTGTCTATTCTTGTTTTTGTTGCACTTCCTTTGGGGTTTTAGTCATAAATTATTTGCCTAGGCCAATGTTGCAAGGAACTGAATTCTGCCAACAACCCGAATGAGCTTGAAAAGCAGATTTTTTTCTCAAACTTGTTGTCTTTTCCAGACAAGAACTGAGCCTGACTATTACCATGATTGCAGCCTTCGCAGAACCTGAGCGAGAACCCAGTGATGCCATGGCTGTGCTGGGACTTCCGACTTTCAGAACTGTGGGCTATTAAATGGGTGTTGTTTTAAGCTGTTAGGTCTGTTTAAATTCTTCATGCAGCAGTAGAAAACTAATACACAGGACAATGAAGGAGACAGGCACATGAATATAAAAATGCAATATGCTGTTGTAAAGTTACAAAATGGTCCTTAAAAAAAAAAAGTATGGGTGTCTCCAGATAGCACAAGCTTCCTTGCAGTTTTACCTGGCACCACCATTTAAAGCATAATATGTGTTCCAAAAATGAATTCCTTAAATTGGAGATGAAAATATGAAAAATACATTCCTTTTTTCCTTTTTCGGGAAAGAAGGAGTTTTTTTTTTAATCCATGTGTTTTAAAATGTATCAGTCAAATTTGCTCCAAGTGATGTGATCAGAATTATGAAGTTATGTTTATTTAACAAATAGTTTTTGTCAGAAAATGAAAAACTCTTATGAAAAATAAAATTTTGGGTACAAAGCAATTGGTCAATGAAATGGATACCGTTGGGTTTCCTTAGAAATGCACTGAGAGCAACAGCAAAAGCTTCAGAACTCCATGTCTGCATTGATTCCTCCCTCTGCCATTTTAAGTTTTATGTGCATCTGCAACTTCCTTCATTGCTCGGAGCTCAGTTTTCTTTTCTGAAAACAGGGACAACAGTGAGATAAAGTATATAAAGTCCTTATCCCAGAACCTAGCACATAGTAAGAACTCAGTAAATGCCATTATTACTCTTAATCTACTTCTTAGGGATGATGTGTAAGAAGATCAGCTAATGAATTTTTAAAGTGAAATTCAGGAGTGATATGACTGGTAATATTGGTCACAGATGAACCTAAATCTCATTTTTTTTTCCAAGTCTTTAGAGCAGGGTTTCTCAGCAGCAGCACTATTGATATTTGAAGCCAAAAATTCTTTGTTGTTGGAGGCTGTCCTGCACATTGCAGGATTTTTAGCCACATTCCCTGGCCTCCACCCACTGGATGCCTGTAGCATCTCCCTCTACCCTCCCCTCTCTCCACTGTGACAAGCAAAAATTTCTCCAGACATTGCCAAATGTCCCCTGAGTGCAAAATTACCCCTACTTGAGAACCACAGATTTAGAGAGAAAAGTCTTGCAACAGTCGTGTTTTGGTCATTTTTACTAACTAGTGGAAAGGGTATGCACATAAAGCAGCTGAAATTCATCCTGGAAAGTTCATCTGCAGAAGTTGCTTGAAATTTTGTTTCCTTAGAACAACTGGTAAAGCCACCAGTTGCTTAGCTAAGAAGATCATAAACCTTTGCCCTGCCTCCCTCCTGTTTGGGGAGAGTCCTGTGAGGCATCCCAGGTTGTAGGGGTGTATTTAGGCCTCATGCACAGGGCAGTGGTCATTTCAGAACTCTAGCCAGGTGTTTTGTGCAGCCAGTAGGTGAGGAAACACCAGGGCTACCCATACCCCCTTTCTTGTGTTCCCATAGCCTTTGGCCATGGTTTGGAAGTAGAAGGAAAATTAAAACTTCTCCCCAGCCAGGCGTGGTGGCTCACACCTGTAATCCCACCACTTTGGGAGGCCAAGGTGGGTGGATCACCGAGCCCAGGAGTTTGAGACCAGCCTGGGCAACATGGTGAAAACCTGTCTCTACTAAAAATACAAAAATTAGCTGGGCATGGTGGCATGTGCCTGTAGTCCCAGCTACTTGGGAGGCTGAGGTGGGAGAATCCCTTGAGCCCTCGAAGTCGAGGCTGCAGTGAGCCATGATCACACCACTGCCCTCCAGCCTAGGTGACAGAGGGAAACCCTATCTCAAAAAACAAAACAAACAGACAAAAAAACTTATCCCCACCAGTAGGCAGAGTTGTACAGTCTTCATTGTATTTAAGGAACGTTTCTGTTCATTTATAGAAATCTGGACTTTGCTGTCTCTGAAAATCACCATTTGCCTTTGGGAGATGTGTGTTGGCAAGAAGAGGAGACATATTCAAACCCCACTGGCTAGGACATCAGGAGCTCAGTATGGAATGCAAAGGCCACCCTAGACTGTCCTGCTAATGCTGACTCTTCTGCCCATCTCTGTTTTGAAGTTCTCCATGGCTTTTATTCTAGTGTAAGTTTGATGTTAACATATAATTTGACCTTTGATTCACTCCTATATTGTAAGTCCGTTAAATTAGCCCTAGTTTTTGATAAATCTGCTCCATCCACATAGCCTTGTGGTTATGCAGTAGGAGGAGGTAGGCAGAGAGGGAAGCGTAGCTGGTTCCACATTCACCCTTCACCTGAACGCAAGGTCGTCTCATTGTATCAAGAGGGACTGTAGACCCCAGGTTCCAGGAGACGGTGGTCAGGAGAGAGGTGTTTGATTTGTCACAGTTGTGATGGGAGAGGTGAAAAGACCATAGGATCTGGAGAAGTAACTCCCAGGAGAGCAACACAGGAGGGATGAGAGCTGTCTTCTCCCTGCACTGTGCTCCAGAACAGTGAGCCCAGCAGTGGGGCGGGGAGGATAAGTAGAGGGCAGACATGAGTTAAGCCTGCGCCATAGTTTATGTGTCACTGCAACTAGAGTCTGAAAGAAAATCAAGTTGGAAGATCAGCGAAAAGTTGAAGATCTATATAAATGAGTCATTGTGATTTACCCCAACTGCCCAGTAAAGCTCTGGAAAAGGATTTCCTTCAGCCTTCCTACAAAATTCATTCTGAATTTTGTTTCTGAATCTTCCAAACTTAGTTTTTACAAAATTATTTCTTTTTTGGACATTCCTCTGAAAGGTTTGGATGTAGAATTTGAGCGAGTTGGGGTTACATTTTGGCTACAATTGCCTTCAAAACATGCCTAGCTGATCACATTCACCTGGTAAACATTTTCCTTTTATATATATCAAAGAAACAGAAATACTTATGATTTAGTTTTTAGCTTCTTTATTCATTTGAACACTTCAATATTCTGTCTTCTTCAATGATTCCCCCTTGCCCGTATTTTCAGCTGGAACAGTTTCTCATTTTCCCTATTTCTGAACACTTTCAGGGGCTTCCTTCAGTGAAGCCCAACACACAAAACGTCCCTTTCAGCAAAATCTCAGCGGTGGTGCTAAGGGACTAACACAGACTTTAAGGTCACAAAACCATTGTTTTAACATTTTTCTCTGTTTCTTTTCTGATAATGATGACAGTTCTGTCTCTATTATATTTGCTGAAACTTACTAGGACCCAGTGATACTAGCTCATCCTCTAGAGAGAGGTCCCAAGAGCATTACACCAGATCTCCTACGAAGATGTGGGATTTCCTCTAGGAAAAGGTGTGTATCCAGGTAATTTACTAAGCCAGAAGCTGCTGTGATTCTATGGCAGCCTTATCTCTTATGACACGTCCATTTACTAAGATTTGGTGATCTGGATGATGGCACAGAGTGCTGTACTAAAGCCTGCCCCAGATGGTGGGTGTGCATGTCATCAGCTATGATAATGGGAAACTGGCTGATGGAAAGAGCACAGCTCCGATATGTGACACAATGGAAACATTTGGGCATTAGAAAGACTTCAAATTATGACTTCGCCACTAATTAATTGTGTGATCTTGGATAAGTTACTTAACCCCTGCAAACCCCAGTTTTCTCATCTGTAAAAATGGAATAAGGACATATGTCTTATGAACTTATAAGGATCTGAGAAAATAAATATGTGAGTGTGTGAGAGAGTGAGATGGGGGAGGGATGCAATGAATAAACAAGTTTCTAAAAATGTGAGGAATTTGACTATATACCCAAAGTTCTTATAGCAGTGACCTTTGGTCTATAATGCATGTAGAAGTATTGACTTAATTCTAGATTTTGTTAAATCAGGTGTACATGTTGAAAATTTTAAGGTGTATCAATTAGAAATTGCATTCATCTGATAATAAAAATCTTGACTAAAGTGACTTGAACAAGATAAAGTTTCTCTTTGTTTCACATGAATGAGATCTGGAGGTGGGCAGTGCAGGACGGAATTGGCTGCTTCTTTATCATCAGGGTTTCAGCTCTTCTTTCTGCTTTACCGTCCTTAGTGTGTGGCTTCCATCCTCAGAGTTGCCTCATGGTCCATGATGGTTTCTGGAGTTCCGTCTACACCCACATTCCTACACCTACACCAGGATAAAAGAGGGAAGGACAGAGGAACACAGGCCAACTGTCATTACTCTTTTAGTCCCAACCAGCAACTTCCTGTTACATATTATTGTTTCCTTTGTATCAGTAGTTTTTCAGCAAGGTATATTTTCCAGAATCTTATTGCTAAGGAAGAAAAGGAGAATGACTATTGCAGGGTGCTATAGTTTGAATATTTGACCCTCCAAGCCTCGTGTTGAAACTTCATCCCCAGTGGTGGAGGCAGGGCCTATTGGGAGGTGTTTGGGTCATGGGGGTGGATCACACATGAATGGCTTGGGGCCATCCCTGCAGTAATGAGTGAATTCTCACTCTGTTCACTCCCGAGAGCTGGTTGTTAAAAAGAGCCTGCCCCCTCCCCTACCTTCCTTCCTCTCTTGCCATGTGATCTCTCCACACAGGCTCCCCTTCTGTCTTCCACCTTGAGTGGAAGCAGCCTGAGGCCTGCACCAGGTGCAGATGTTGGTGCCATGCTTCTTGTACAGCCTGCAGAACAATGAGCCAAATAAACCTCTTCTCTTTATAAACTCCCCAGCCTCAGGTATTCTTTTATAGCAACATAAATGGACTAAGACACAGGGCATCTAACAGTGTCTGCCACAAAGGTAACCACTAAGTATTAGAAAAAGAATGAAAAATTCCAAATGAGTAGAAAGAAAAATGGGAAATAAAAAAAACTCCATCAATCCAGTAGACAGCGAGAAAGAAATAAAAAGAAACCAAGATGGAATAAATAATTCCAATTAAGTGTAATCATAATCAATGTGAATATAGGAATCAATGTGTGACTTAACCCACAGATGAAAACATAAGAGTGCCAGACAGAATAAACCAAACAGCCGGGCATAGTGGCTCACACCTATAATCCCAGCACTCTGGGAGGCCAAAGCAGGAGGATTGCTTGAGCTCAGGTGTTTGAGACCAGGCTGGGCAACATAGTGAGACCTTGTCTCTACAAAAAAATAAAAAATTAGCTGGGCATGGTGGCCTATGCCTGTAATCCCAGCTACTTAGGAGGCTGAGGTGGGAGGATCATTTGAGCCCAGGAGGTTGAGTCTGCAGTGAGCCGTGATCATGCCACTGCACTCCAGCCTGGGTGACAGAGCAAGACCTTGTCTCAAAATAAATAAGTAAAAAAAAAAAAAAAAAAAATACAGTAAAACTCATCTATATGCTGTTTACAAGAGACACAATTTCTAATAGAGAAAGTATGAAAGCAAAGAAATGGGAAAATATACAATAGGCAAATAACTTTAAAGGATACTTGTTTAAAAAAAGGTAAAATCATGACACAAAAATATAGGATGAAACATCAAAGATTTTATTTAACTTCTTAATTAACTCATAAGGGAACCAGTAAGATGCTATATAGGAGAATTCAATGTACTACACTTTTATCGTTGAATCAGGAATGCTGAAATGAATGTAAAAATAGATGTAAAATTGGTTAATATCCATGGGACAATAATCAATTGCTATTCACTGAACACAATTTTTATTTCTATAGACAAGAACTTTTTACATTCCTATAAGTGTTCTATATAGGAGCTCAAAGATAATGAAAGGCACATCATTTATAGAATCAGAAAACTTGGAAGGGGGTGCCCTAAAACAAGGCATAGTTTTCCATTGAAGACACCAGTCCACCTTTCGGTCTATTTCAGTCTTTCACAATTTTTCCCTAGCGTCTGCTTTCCTTTCGTGATCATAACAATTTCAAAGGAAGATTATTCTTAAGTTTGGCTTGCAAAATCCAGGTCCATATAGTATTAATCACTTACAAAGTTAACTTCTGTCTAGAAGTTTTAATAAGGAATCCCAAATGATCTTTTAGAAACTCTTACCAAAAAATATCACCCATAGTATCTATATGTTTGGGTGAATTTCTTTCTTCTTAAATTCCTCCAAATTTCTTGAGTTTCTGGCCTGACGGGAATAATATTCCTCACCTCCTGTAAGGCTGGGATCCTATAAGCCAGACACCAGCCAGTTTTCCTAGGAGGGCTTTGTATGCATTGGCTCCATAAGTAACGTCAACTTTAGCTTCTGAAAAGTGGCTGGTTACTTCTGATAAAATAAGCATCATTCTCAAAAAGGACACTCCAGGTAAGGCCCTGGTTGTACAACTGATTCATCCAATTATATCCTAGTAAGAAGGAGAAGATATTCTTATTGAGCTTTTACATAAAACTACGTTGCCATGAAAAGCAAAGAGACTCAGTAAGTTTCTGGATTCTGTAGGATCAGTGAGAATCAAATACAATTTAAGATGTTTCATTTCAGTTTATGATATGGTTTGGCTGTGTCCCCACCCGAATCTCATCTTGAATTGTAGCTCCCATAATTCCCACATGTTGTGGGAGGGACCTAGTAGAAGATAATTGAAACATGGGGGCGAGTCTTTCCTGTGCTATTCTCATGATAGTGAATAACTCTCACGAGATCTGACAGTTTTATAAAGAGGAGTTTCCCTGCATAAGTTCTTCTCTCTAGCCTGCTGCCATGTGAGACGTGCCTTTCACCTTCCACCATGATTGTGAGGCCTCCCCAGCCATGTGGAACTGTGAGTCCATCAAACCTCTTTCTTTTGCAAATTGCCCAGTCTTGGGTATGTCTTTATCAGCAGTGTGAAAACAAACTAATACAATTTACAAAAGTAGTCTACTAAATTTTATAGGTTGTAGATAGCTTAGAAAAAAAGAAATTGGTTTATTTATACAACCAGACTATAGAACAGTGAAACAAAATCAACAATATTATTTTAAAAAACACAATAAAATTTCCCTCATCAGTTCATTTAGCCTTATGTAAGTAACTCTTGTCCTGAGGATCTTAGGTTAGCAGTTCTCCAGACTAAAAGGAGTCCTAGAGATCTTGACTGAGTTTACTCATCTGAGCTGAGAGTTATCTAAGAGATACCAGCTCAGAAAGCTATACCCAAGAGTCTATGTTTTAAAGTGTCAACAGTTTGAAATATCCAATACAGTCCTTCTCCATGAAGCTCTGAGACTGTCTTTCTTGGTTGAAGACACAAAATCTGGCCTGTAGCTTATAGCAGGGCCTTCACACAAGCCTGAAACTGTCCTTGGCTGAAGACACAAAATCTGGCCTGTAGCTTATACCAGGGCATTCACACAAGCCTCAGAGTGAAAAAAAAAAATCTGTAGATGACAGAGACTTAGAGTGGCTGTTTTTAATTTATAACTGGTAACCCTCAAATGTGACAGGTCAGATGAGGGGTGCATAATTATAATGCAACCAGTAAAGAAATGTGGTTGCTTCTGTAGCATGCCAAAGATAATAAAGCCATTCCAAAAAATAAAATAAAAAAATAGGCAAGTTGTCTCTAAGGATAATAATTAAGTTTGCATTAAAAAAATCTGATTTATAAAAATGGAGGAACACAATTTTTATATAGAAAAATAAATTGAGATATAACAATTATGAGACATAATATACCAAATATATGAAGTAAAGAGATTCAGCAGTAGGGCCTAGGCATTTTATTTTTTATAAAACTCCATAGTTGAAAACAACTAGCTTAGGAGATAGTAAATTCAAATTAAAAATATAAGACTGTGGCCAGGCTAAGGAAACATTTTAAGTAATAACTGAAATTAGGATTGAGAACACTACACTGTTGTCTAATATCATCAGGCAAAGCATTGTCAGGACTCTGATAAATAAAGAAAACACAACAAACCAATTTCATAAGAGTTTGATCAGTGTTTTCCTTGAGGGTAAAAATAAATCATGGACAGCCAGGGTACTGATAAATCTCCAGGGATTTCCTCTAAAGTCCAGATGCTCCTTGGCTTCCAATGAGGTTAAATCCCAATAAACTCATTGTAAATAAAAAATGTCAGAAGTCAAAAATGCATTTACTACCCCAATAAACGCAGCTGAAAAATCATAAGTCAAACCATTGTAAGTTGGGGACCATCTGTATACCATTTCTGAAATAGTTACACTAAGAATATTTTATTTACACAAATCTAACCTAGGGAAGACTAAGTACCTTCTCTGGTTAGATAACTCTTCTCATACAAATCCTACAATAGTAACACATCAAAGAAACCTAGCCCTTATCTTTTTATGTGATGAAAGAAACAAGTTTGTGATTTTCAAAGGATACACTGGAAAATCCAAAAGATATTTTAGGTGTAAAAGATATCCTAATTTTCTGTACATTTAAAAATAGGGAAAATGTTAAATTTTATGTTCCATGTATTTTATTATCATAAAAAAGGTTAAAAAATTATGACGAAAGAATGGCAAAAAAAAATTCTGATTTTTTTTATTTTTTCCTAAATTTAAGATCTAATTTTTTTGGGAGAACAAAAATTTAAAAAAAAAACTTATCAGAACATATTTGAATGCTTGATTAAGATAGGATCATGGGTGCCTTAGAAACAATACTTTATTACTTATTTGAGTCACAAAAAAGCATTTTGAAATAAACATAGAAGGCAACATGATTAAAAAGAACCTTTGCTCTTTCATAAGTGAAAACCTTTTGTACTTTTTCTTTTTAAATAGTCGAGGATCTAGTAAGGTCAACAGAAAGCACAGGAAATTATTCTGGTAAGACCTAGAATCTTTGCTATCCAGGCAGATTACACAGCAAGTAATGAATAACCTTTTACATTGTCGGTGAAAGCATTAATCAGTAAAACAACGAAAAAGGCTTACCAAAATTAGGCAAACTTTGCTAAGATTTCAACAGATTATGGAGCTCCTTTTCTGACTCAAGTGTTATAAACGAAGGCAAATAAAACACACTTTCCAAGTTTGTCCTACATTTTGCTCTTTTTTATCCCACACAAACTGACATTTTTCTTTAGAACAGATCTCAGGGGGCCTGCAAGGTCAAAACTAATTTTATTATAATACTAAGATATTATTTATGTTCACATGCTTTCATCATTGCTATCTTCAAATGAATCACTAAATATTTTGAAGATTTTCAGTTTCTATTTTTAATACAGTAAATATTGATAGTCAGAACCCACATAACAAAAGTTCTTTGGGGTCCTCAATAAGTCCTAAAAGTGTAAAAGGGGTCAGAAACAACGAAAAAAGCCCATCTACTGCTTTAGGAAAAATTACTCTTCTTCCTCGGAAAACAAAAGCACACACACAGTTGTATTTCTTTGTCACTACTGCTCCTAGTTTAGTCTTAATAAGTCATATTAAATACATTTTAACCAAAATAGCTGACATCTGTTTACAACGACCCAAAGATATAGCCTCTCTGTAGCATATAAAAATCAGCAAAAGTATATAAAGTTAAACTAGGATTAGCCATCAATGTTTTGGTATTATACCTCACTTGGTTGCATATACTAGAAAGTCAAGTCAAACTAGCTTAAGTAGAAAAGGAAATGCACTGGGTCAGGTAACTGATAAGTTCAGGAATTGGATAACTTCAGGCATGGCTAAATCTAGGTGCCCAGGTAAAGTTATCGGACATCTATCTCTCTCCATCTCTTGGTTCTGTTTTCCTCTGTGCTGGCTCTGTTCTTCAGCAGGCTGTCTTCTCATGCTGAAAAGACAACCCCTAGCAGCTCTAAGCTCATGTGATCCTTAATTTCTCAGAGCTCAAAAACGAGAGATCCACATTCTCTCCTTCTGTCTAAGTGCCTGATTATTCTCCCTAAAAAGTCCTTAAGTAGTTCTAACTTGGAGCTGAAGCCCACCTCTGAGCCAATCACTGATGCTAGAGGTCTGTGATACTCTAAAAGCTCAGCCTGGATCCTCAGCCCCCCACTGTGTTTGAGGACGGGGATCCCTTGATTGCAGGATCTACCACATCATTCAGAAGAGGGAGCAGCTGTTCTCTGCACCAAGTGTGATGCTGAAATGTTTTCATTAAAAGGCAGATTTGTTTAGTGGAAAGAAAGCCAGATTGGCATTCAAATGACCTAAGGTTTAGTTTTAATCCTACTATCCCCTAACTGTGTGACCTTGACCTTGGGTAAGCCATTTAACTTCCTTGGACATTACTGTTTCATCCATAAAATAAATATGTTGGATTAGATTATTTCAGATCTAAATGTCTACAATTGTATTTCACTAATTCAGGAAGAATCCAGGTTCATTCTTCTGTTCTGGGACTCAAAACAGATGAGAAAATGGAGAGGTGGGTTCTAGTTGTCTTAGTCAATGGTCTTCTGGTTGTCAATAACAGGAACTCATTCAAGCTAGCTTAGGGGGGGGAAAGTCAGGAGACCTTTGTATAAAAGTCCAGAATATCTCACAGAACCCAAGGACAGGAGTGGGTTTCATGATAGCTGAGAACCAGGAACTAGAAAACTACCAGGAACTACTATTTCCAGTCCCTTCCTCTCTCTCTCTCCCACCCCTCCTCTTCTTTGTCTCTAGCCAGATCATTTTCCATCCTTTACTTTGCACATCTGTTCTGTTCTTCTCTTAAAATATCCACTTTCCTGCTTCTCCTGGCATGTGGAGGAGAATGCTTTTCTATGATGGCAGCTTCTGCTCATCAGTTTCCATTACCTTCATTCCAGTTAACAGGTTGTCTATTACTGAACCCCAGCTCCAATTTGATTGGCTCACCTCAAACTCAGGAGTCCCTTCATGGACAGGAGAGCAGAGTGAGCCATCACAAACGTTATGTCTTATGGAGATGGAGATATTCTCAATGGAAGGGGGTACTGAGCTGGGAAGACACTGCAAAAGGTATTTATTTCAACAGTTACATTGTGGTCGTTTTTCTATACATACAAGTGCAAGGTACTACCAGAAGGAAAGGAGAAATTTACAACTATAAGGCTTTTAGACAACCATGATTTTTTAAAAAACAACTTCTTGCAAGGGGGTGAATTCATAGAATATAGGAAGCTGAATGTGAGTCATAATAACCTTATTTAAGAAAGTGGGGGAAAAAAGCCCAGTGGAAAGTAAGCCAAAAGCATAACAGATAACGGTTTTAGGGTCTTGTATGATCTATGTATATTTGGCAGTGAGGACACCAAGAGATCCATATATAGATACAGTGGTATTTCTTTTCTGAAACAATTAGAATAGCCAGATGGGCCAGTTTTCTACAGCAGCTTCTAAGCCAATGTGTTCTGATTCTACCTCTTAGAAGAAAGGCCATCTGATGGACGCCCAGGCAGAATCACAAAAAGTTTCACACTGACATTCTCATTTCTTTAGTCATAGCTCTTACAGTGCTTTATATACACATATAAAAATCTAGGCATATTACTTTCCTTTATAGGTCTCTAAGGCCCACCTAGTTCAGCCCTCTTCAAAAGTTCTTTGTGGCAATCATACCAAGATAGTTGGATGGCACTTCTGTAGAATGAATAGCTCCAAGCAACTCTAGGCCTGGGCAGGAAAAGTGTGAACTCCCTGGTATGTGCAGGACAGAACCACATTGACAAGGCCAGCATCTTTTCCTGGAAATAGCAATTTGCTAGTTTTGGATCTTTGACCCTGCTTATTTATTGATTTGGAAATTTAAACAGCATCATCTCCAAAATGTGCCTCTGGGCAGAGATACAAAGATTAAAAGTCATACATGAAGGCAGCCAACTCTTTTTCCTTGTAAAGGAAAGGAAATCAATAAACTGTAGGGTTTTTTTTTTAGACAGGGTCTCGCTCTGTCGCCCAGGCTGGAGTGCAGTGGCGCAATCTCTGCTCACTGCAACCTCCGCCTTCTGGGTTCAAGCGATTCTCCTGCCTCAGCCCCCCAAGTAGCTGGGATTATAGGCTCCTGCCACCACACCCGGATAATTTTTGTATTTTTAGTAGAGAGGGGGTTTCACCATGTTGGACAGGCAGGTCTCGAACTCCTAATCTCAAGTGATCTGCCCGCCTCAGCGACCCAAAATGCTGGAATTACAGGTGGGAGCCACTGTGCCCAGCCAATAAACTGTAAGTTTTTCATCCCTTTGGCCACTCCTCTCTTATCATGGTGGCCCAAATCCCTCTCTGGGTCTGTTTCCGACCACTGTCTTCCTGACATCTACCCTGAGCTGCCACTTTCTGACCAACCTCCCATGGAAGAAAACGGAAGCATGCGTGGGTCAAAAAAGAGGCAAACCTGAAAAAGAGAAAAAGATACCTATTTTTTCACGTGGAACCCTGCCACTGCTGCTTCCTGGTAAATCACAGTATGTATCCTTTGGTTCTATCGTTGGGCCATTGTTACATTTTTCCCACAGATTAAATAGATTAATCGTAAAATCTACTATGATTGATTTGGTAAAGAAAAAGTCAGTTCTCTGGTGTCAATATGTTACTAGTATTCCTCCAGCAAAGGCAACCATGGGTTGGCCTTCTGTCCCACTGTCCTTTTTGTTTTAGCATTTGTCTTGGAAATAATTGTCACAGTTTGGATGATCAGTTACATGATCATTCTACCTGTGGTACTAATGCTCAGAGAAGCAGATCAGAAACCTACTTACGGTGTTTGAAGTCCCTTATTTGTATCTTTAACCAAAGCAAGGTGGCCACCAATCAAGCCAACTGAATTACAGGAAGTTTCAACTAATGCTCTCAAGTGAACATGCATTAATTTCACCCAAACTAGACCTGACTGGTGACTTTAAAATTGGTTCTTAGTTGTGTTTTTTCCAATTTCTCCACTTCACTGTGTTAAATTAAGTTTAGCCTGAAGCTGCCTCCTTACATATTTAGGTCCAACCTAAATGTTTAACTGAAACCTAATTGGATATGTAAACAGACTGTTGTAACCTACACTTGCACCAATCGCAGAGTTCTGGCCAATCATAGGCATATTGCTTTCCTTTACAGGTGTTAGTTTGGCCAATCACAGGCAGCCAACTGTTTAAATTGTATTCAAATAAAGCAAACGCTGAGCTGTAACCAATCCAGCTGTTTCTGTACCTCACTTCCGCTTTTTTGTACGTTACTTTCCCTTTTTTGTCCTTAAATGTTAGCCCACCATGTAGCAGCCCTGATTCTAGAGGCTGCCCCATTCTCAAATTGTTATTTACTCAGTTAAACTCTGTTAAATTTAATTTGTCTAAAGTTTTTTCTTTTAACACCTGCCAACATGTTATTTTCTGTTTTTTTTTTTGTTTTTTTTTTTTTAATTATTTGTATTACAGCCATCCTACTGAGTATGAAGAGGTATCTCATTGTGGCTTTGATTTGCATTTCCCTAATGACCAAGTTCTTAGCTTTTTGATAGCACAGAGAAGACTGTTTGCTCTCAGAGGCTTGCATTGTATCTTAGAGGTTTAATATTCTCAGAGCTGAGAATACAGTAGGTGTTAACAAATCTCTCATTCAGCAAACATTCACAAAAAGAGCCTGAGTTGTGTATATCAGCTGAGTACCAATAAGAAAGAGTTATATTTAGTGTCAGGAGGCCAGAAGATCAGAGCACATAAATACATCCTAAAGACTGTGACAACAGGCTCCTAAGGTGACAAATTCACACCTCAACATGAAGCAGGGTGGAAGCTTTAGAAGCTCTCGAATCTGATGCAGCAAAATGGTGGCTGAAGGTCAATTACAGTTAAAACAGGTATAAGCGGCTGTTTTCATCTCCCTTTTCATTGTAATAAAATGTGTCTTGGCAGAAACCTCTCCAAAGGAGATGGGTGCCCACTTCCCAGAGGTGTTTGGTGGATTAATGTGAGCAAAACACTGTGATGGTAAGACTTCTGCTGCAATTGAATGGAGAGTGCTCTTATTAATGAGACTTCCAATTCGGAGCATTTACTACATATAAGATACTGTCCTCGGCAGTTTCTTAATAGCTGAGAATGTAATGCACGGCTTTGAGACATTATCTCAATCTTAATAACAGCTGCCTCCGGGGCTGCAGCACAGGTTCTGTCTGGGTTTAGATCTGAGCTTTCATGTACTAGCTATGAGATTTAACCTCCGCATGCATCAATTTTCTCATCTAAAAAGGAGGAAATTAAAATGCCCACCTCTTAGGGTTGTTTTCAGGATGCAGATTCCTACATGGAAAGAAGTCAATACATGTTAATTCCCTTTGCCTTCACTTAAAATTAGGAATATTACAGATATTATTCCTTCTATTTTCTAGATGGGAAAAGTGAGGGATAGGTCCCGTAGTGACTCAGAAGTCATCATCTTTTGGGGTGCCCTCCCAGCTCACAGCCATTTCCAATTCCCTGGGAACTGTCCCCTGACCCGAGGTGATGAACCCACAGCAGTCATGTCTGTACCACGGGCCAATGCCCCTCAGGCCACCATTGATTGAATGGAGGAAGACAGACATGGGACTTAAGTGGGCCAATCAGATTCTTGTACAAGAATTTGGGAATGAGGCCAAGATACAGAAAGGTAGAATCTGCATGTGGCTAAAACTGTGTCACGTAACTTAGGCATTGATGCCACTATATTCTGTCAGATGAATGGGAGACGTGGAGAAAGATGGGCCTCAGACGGGCGGATCACAAGGTCTGGAGATCGAGATCATCCTGGCTAACACGGTGAAACCCCGTCTCTACTAAAAATACAAAAAATTAGCCAGGCGTGGCGGCGGGCGCCTGTAGTCCCAGCTGCTGGGGAGGCTGAGGCAGGAGAATGGCATGAACCCGGCAGGCGGAGCTTGCAGTGAGCCGAGATCGCGCCACTGCACTCCAGCCTGGGCGACAGAGCAAGACTCCGTCTCAAAAAAAAAAAAAGAAAGATGGGCCTCAGAGAGAGAAGACAGAAAGATATGCAGTAAGAAGCAGCCATGGCAGCTAAGAAAAGATCCCAATGGCTTTCAGCTCCTGGTTCTAGTCCTTTCTCAGCCCAGCCCATGCCTTTCCCCTTGGATTCCATGAGCTGTCCACCTACCTGCAGAGTTATTATAAAGCCCCTCATGTTGCTTCTCGTAGTTTGGTGGGCAAGATTTTCACAGGCCACAAACTCAAATAGGCAAGCAATTGAGCTTTATTTTCTTGTAATATAATTTAATTTCTCTTTTGAGACCTCATTCTATCTGATGGCAGAAAAACAATCAAATAAGTTCCAGATAGACTCAGTCATTTCAGGGTTTTCTCAGGCATTTTAGATCTCACTTAACTCAGGATACTCTCACATACTTCCTTCTCTCCAGGAGGCATCTCGGGGCTTGCTGGGCATCCTGGCCCAGGAGAGGCATTTAGTCCAGGCTGATCCCCTGGAGAGAGGCGTCACCCAGATGTGATGCATCCTGTCTCATGCTGGGTCATCATGTCCTGCAGGCCACTCTGCACCCGCCTGATTCTGAGTGACAGCCCTCCTGGGCCACCATCAGACATTTGTGTGTCCCTGTTAGAAATGAATCCACGTCTCAGTTTTTAAATTTTTTAAAAAATAAAAATATGAATAAAGTCTTGGCAATCTTTAATCTACAGGAAGTAGAGTTGTGTAGTTATACTTCTGTTTCTAATATCTTGTTGGCAACATAAGCTTTGTGCCTTCATTTTTTTAGTGTGCACACTAAACTTTTGAAACTTAAAATTATTTTTCTCATAAATTCTGGCAGTTGTAAATCAAAACTGTTGTTTTTTAAAGATTTTAATTTTTTTCTGGAGGGGGGTCTTGCTCTGTCACACAGGCTGGATGGAGTACAGTGGCATGATCATGGCTCACTGCAGCCTTGAACTCCTGGGCTCAAGTGACCCTCTCGCCTCAGCCTCCTGAGTATCTGGGACTACAGGTGTGTGCCAACATGCCTGGCTAATTTTTTTATTTTAGTGGAGATAAGGTCTCACTATGTTGCCCAGGCTGGTCTCAAATTCCTGAGCTAAAGCAATCCTCCCACCTCAGCCTCCCCAAGTGCTAGGCTTACAGGCAGGAACCATCGTGCCTGGCCCTAAATTTAATTTTTAATAAATTACATTTTAAGGCTATTATTTCTACTACAAATTTTAAGAAACTAACTTGGAACTAATTTAAGTCTCAAGAACCTAACTTGGAACTCAAATTCATTTGGCCAAGACATTGTATAGTGCTAACTTAAGTGGGAAGGGCCATGGGGTAACTTCTAGGAAATGCACACACACATATAATTTCATTGTATGGCATGAGTTTGAATCGATTTCTCAATTACTGTGAGCTGAGAACCCCAGTCTCCCAAAAATGCTTTCTATCCTTGACCCTGCCTGCCTCTCACAATTTCCAGGCTGTCTCCTTAATAACGTTCAATCTGCCTTCCACAGTCATTACGTCAACTGGGCACAGATGCTGGAAGGCAGACGGAAAGGCGGTGACAAAGTTAGACCTACATTTGCAAGACCAAGTGAAACACACACCCACTCTCCTGAAGCCAAACTGCTTTTGGAAGGCGGGCAGGGGAGTGCCATTCCCTCTAGCATACTTGTCATTCCCAGCCTAGGTTTCAGATCCTTTTTATACACTGGCCTGTGGAGAGACTTGCTGCTAAATTCTGTTATTTCACAGCCCATCTCTAGCAACTGTGTTGGGGAACGACTTCAGACATTCCAGGTTTTGCTCAGAGAGCAATTTTCAACAAGAAAGCCAGAATGGGGGAGTAGCTAAGATTTAGTTGCAGCAAATTGGAGACCGGAAATATAAAGTTATTCAGAACAGTCAATGAAAATCATTTATATGGGAGAGAAACAACATGATCTTGCTTTAAATGTAAGGCATCTATCAGCGGCACAATGTTAATTAGGATTCTAGGGCTCTTAGTGCAGCTATTCCCTTTTTTATTTCTAGGTTGCTAGGTGCAGAAGAGTAGATTTGCAGAACAGCTAATCAAATATATGCAAGAAGATGCCCCTCATTTATCCTTAAGCTTCTAAGGCAGAAGTTTTTCTTCAGTTGTTTGTTCTTTAATGAATTTTAATGATGTAAGAAAAATACAATACACTATTAGGTGAAAAATCGCACATGTAAACAGATATTCACACATGAATCAAGTTATATAGTACATATATACATACACACATATGTGTATGTATATATGTATACATGTATGAATACATACATGTATACATACATACATGTATGCATGTATACGTGTACATGTATACGCATACATGTATACGTATATACATATGTATACATGTATACGTGTATGTATGCGTATGTATACATATGTATACACATGTATACGTGTATGTATGCGTATGTATACATATGTATACACATGTATACGTGTATGTATGCGTATGTATACGTATGTATGCGTATGTATACATGTATACGTATGCATACGTATGTATGCGTATGCGCACATGTATGTATACGTATGTATGCGTATGTATGCGTATGTATGCGTATGCATACATGCATGCATGCACATGTATGCATGCATGTATGCGTATGTGTGCATGTATACATGTATGTACACGCACGCATGCATGTATACATGCATGTATACGCATGTATGCGTGCCTACATGTATGTGCACGTATGTATGCATACGTGTATACATGTATGTGCACGCATGTATACATGCATGCGTGTATACATGTATGTGCACGTATGTATGCATGCATACGTGTATACATGTATGTGCACGTATGTATACATGTATACGTGTATGCATGCATGCGCGTATGTATACATGTATACGTGTATGCATGTATGTGCGTATGTATACACGTATACATGTATGTGTACATGTGTGCATGTATGTGTACATGTATGTGTGCATGTATAAATGTATGTATACATGTCTACATGTATACGTGCATGTATACATATGTCTACATGTATACGTGCATGTGTACATATGTCTACATGTATACGTGTATGTGTACATATGTATACATATGTCTACATACACGTATACATGTGTGTATACATATGCATACATATATACATGTATATATGTATATCTAAACACATATAATACAAAAAGGAGAAAACATTTAAAACATGGCCATTTTTAGGTAGTGGTACAATGAGTAGTTTGCATTTTCCTCCTAACACTTCTATGGATGTCCCCAATTTTTAAATCAGGCTTACCAAGAGAAAATAATTAACATCATACTTTTTTTAAAGGGTGGAATGAGACTCCTAACTTTCTTAAAAGAAGATGTGGGGAAACAGTCTGAAAACTCTCCTGCCATACTGCCTTAAAATGCTTGACAAAATACAGCAAAAATTATTTTAAATGCATGAATGAACTGGCAACAGAGAAAGGAAGTCTCCAGGTGTGTCAGTAACAAAGAGAGAAGTGAGTGGTAAGGATGTGGGATGCTGCCACAGCTGGGCTTAGTTAAAAAACTGCAGCAGTTTTTAAAAGGCTACACCCACACTGAAAAGAGTAGATTAGGAGAACCATCGATGCACTGGCACGGAGAGACAAAAAAGAATTTATATGCCTCTGTCTGGATGGGGAAAAATGTCCTCTGAGAAATGAATTCTCAGGGTCTTTTTCTACCTCAAATTTGGAGGTTCAAATTTGCAGATGGTCCAGGAACCATGATGATAAATGACTCCCAAAATGATAAACAGCCAAAAAAGAGTTCCACATCTGGTGATCTTTCTGTGGCAAATGCAAAACTGCTCTTGAGGGACACATTTACAACCCAGGCCACGGGGATTCTCACAGAAAAACAGCCTTCTTTAAAGATAAGCTCACAAACACAAATAATGAAATGCAGGAGGACAAAATCCTGCTGACTTAAAAGTCAGCAGACACAATAAATAGCACTAAAAGATACCCTAAAACTTCATATAATAGAATGACAATTGGAAAGGGAATGTAAAATAAACATGCTTAAAATTATTAAAGCCCTAAAAGATGTAATTAAAACACCAAGAACGGAACAAACCTCATGAGAGGCACTGTTGCACGGTAGCTAAGAGCGCAGAAACTGAAGCTAAAGTGCTGGGTTCAAATCTCGTCACTATCACCTACCACCACCTGGGTGACCTTGGGTGTGTCACTTAATATTTCTGTGCCTCAAGTCCCTCATCTGTAAAGTAGGTATACTAATGGTATCTATATCAATGGGTTATTGTAAGGATTAAGTGTGTTAATATATGTAAAGTGATTAGAAGAGTACACATATGCTTGGCACAGAGTAAGTTTTAGCTACTATTGTAACAAAAAAAAGAAAAGTAGGGCAGGTGTGTCTCACTCCTGTAATCCCAGCACTTTGGGGGACTGAGGTGGGCAGATAACATGAGGTCAGGAGTTCAAGACCAGCCTGGCCAACATGGCAAAACCCTGTCTCTATTAAAAATACAAAAATTAGCCAGTCATGGTGGTGTGCACCTGTAATCTCAGCTACTGGGGAGGGTGAGGCAGGATAATCACTTGAACCTGGGAGGCAGAGGTTGCAGTGAGCTGAGATTGTGCCCCTGCATTCCAGCCTGGGCATTGGTGAGACTCTGTCTCAAAAAAAAAAAAAAAAAGTAATATTTTGAACAGAAACAAATTAGAATGTGTAGAAATGAGAACTAGCTACTAAAAGTTTGTAAGCTGAAAAGAAGTTGAAGGGAGAATTAGTAAATTAGAAGTCCCATCTGAGGAAATTGTGCTAAGTGCAGCAATATGATGAAGTGATGGAAAATGTTAAAAGGAGGTTATGAGGCCTAAGGAATGAGATAGTCCAATATGTATTTAATAGAAATTCCAGAAACAGTAATAGGGAGAATAGTGAGGTGGTAGTATTCAAAGAGATAATAACATAGACTCTACTAGAATTGTAAGGAAAGAATCTGCAGAATAAAAGCATGCACTGAGACCAAAGATAAGAAATGAAAATAAATCTACACTACACATAATAGGGAAACTGCAGACCACAAAACAAAGTGAAGATCCTAAATGCCACCAGAGGTAAAAAGGACAGACTACCTATAAAGAAGCAAAAAATAAGTTGACAGCACAGTACTCAATAGTCAGAGGCCAAGAGACAACAGAAAAAATATCTTCAAAATATAGAGGGAAAATAACTGATAAGCTAGAATTTTATAACTAGCTAAACTATAATTCAAAAGTCAGGCAGAAAAAAGACATTTTTAGGCAAAGACTGAGTTTACCATTCATAGGCCCTTCCAGAAAATGTTACTATGGGAACATTTTACTTCCAGAAGGAGCAAATCAAAACCAGAAGAAAGATGCAGAAAGCAAGAACTAATGATCTCCAAAGAAATAGCAAATGTGGGTAAACCAGAGCAACCACTGACTGTAGAAAACACCACTCCTACTGCTAATAGTAATGATGATGATGATGAATTTGAGGGACATAAGGAGGCACAAAACTATCAGAAGACAAAAACATGTCAGACAAGAGGCAAGTGACTGGTGTTAAAATGTTCTAAGGTTATTTGTATATTTTAGGAGAAAGGTAGAGATACTGATAAACTTTAGGCTTGTTAAGTCAAGCATATATGTTAATTTTTTTTTTTTTTAAAGAGACAGAGTTTCATTCTGTTGCCCCAACTGGAGTGCAGTGGTATATCACAGCTCACTGTAGCCTTGAACTCCTGGGCTCAAGTGATCCTCCCTCCTCAGCCTCCCAAATAGCTGGGACTACAGGTACATGCCACCACACCTGGCTAATTTTGTATTTTTTATAGAGATGGGCTTTTTTTTTTTTCAGACTGGGTCTGGGTCTGTCACCCAGGCTGGAGTGCAGTGGCACAATCATCGCTCACTGCAACCTCTGCCTCCCAGCCTCAAGCTATCCTCCCACCTCAGCTTCCCAAGTAGCTGGGACTACAGGCATGAGCCACCGTGCCTGGCCACTTTTTTCTTTTTGAATGTGTGCAGTTAAACCCACAAATGACTCAAGTTCTGCTTTAGCTACATCCCTCAGATTTTATTATGTATTGTAGTCACACTCTTTTAGTGCTAAGTATGTACTCATTTCATTTATGATTTTTTTGACATGTGAATCATTTAGAAGTATTTTTAAGGTTTTTTTTTTTTAAGGAGTTATCTTTTTGTTAACTAATTTCAAATTGTAGTACATTGTGGTCAGAAAATCTTGACTTTTTTGGTATATGCTGAGTCGTGAAAATCGTCTTGTTCAAACCTTTCATATTTTATTTTTGTCTACCCCATACTGACTGTGAATTTGCTCATTTTTTCCATCTCTTTCTGTCAATTATGCCGTTAGTTGTTGCACAGAAAATCAGAACTGTTGAATATTCCTAGTGAATTGTTCATGTTTTCATTTTGCAGTGACTTTCTTTATCCCTAAATACTTTTTAAGTCTTTTTTGTCTGATATCAACATAATTACACTGTGTTCTGGCCTCTGTTGTGGCTATAAAATTCTGTGCCATCAATTTTAAAAATTAATATTTGCCTGGTAATTATTTTGCCATTCCATTGTTTTTAGTCTTTCTAGATCATTAGATTTTAAGCATGCCTATTGTGAACAGCATATGGTTGGCTTTTTATGTCTTATATCTGAGAGTCTATTTTTAAACTCATGGATTTAAAAAATATATATACTTATACACAGTCATGTGTTGCTTAACTACAAGGGTATTTCGGAGAAATGTATCATTCCATACAAAATTAGCTGGGTGTGGTGGCATGCACCGGTAGTCCCAGTTACTTGGTAGGCTGAGGTGGGAGGACTGCTTGAGCCTGAGAGGCGGAGGTTACAGTGAGTGATGACTCTGCCACACTATTCCAGCCTAGATGACAGAACGAGACCCTGTCTCAAAAAAAAAAAAGTCCTAATGGTAATAAAATAAATGTCCATTTTTACAGTTATAAAACAAATATGCAAACCCAAGAATGTAGAAGCTAGAAAATTAAAAAATAAGACAGAAATGAATGATATAGAAAACTAAGAAACAACAAATAAAATCCCAAAACCAAAAGTGATTAAATGAAAAAAATTTAAAATAAGATGACACAGAATAGCCAAAACAATCTAGAAAAAGATCACAGTTGGAAGAATTACATTTTCTTATTTCAAAACTTGTTACAAAGTTACAGAAATCAAGATAGTGTGTCAATAATAAACTGCTAATATTAATAGTCAATTGATTTTTGACAAACATTTTCAAATATTTGAAAATATTTGAAAATCATATACATGAAGAGGGACTTGCATCCAGAATATATAAAGAACTCTTAAAACTCAAAATAAGGTCCAGGTGTGATGGCTCATGCGTGTAATCCAGTGCTTTGGGAGGCCGAGGTGGGTGGATCACCTGAGGTTAGGAATTTGAGACCAGCCTGCCAATGTGATGAAACTCCGTCTCTACTAAAAATACAAAAATTAGCCATGCATGGTGGTGTGTGCCTGTAGTCCCAGCTACTCGGGGGGCTGAGGCAGGAGAATTGCTTGAGCCCAGGATGCAGAGGTTGCAGTGCGCCAAGATCGCGCCACTGCACTCCAGTCTGGGCAACAGAGTGAGACTCCGTGAAAAAAAAAAAAAACAACCTCAAAATAAGAAAACACCACAATTAAAGTTGGGCAAAGAATTTGAATAGATATTTCTTTAAAGAAGATATACAAATTGCTAATAAGCACATGAAAAGATGCTCAACATCATTAACCAAAAGAAAAACTCAAATCAAAACCATGATGAGATATCTACTTCACACTTGCACTCACTAGGATGGCTATATTAAAAACAAAAGGAAAAACAAAAGCAGATGATAACAAGCGTTGATGGGGATGTAAAGAAACTGAATCCCTTATATATTGCTGCTGGACTGTAAAACAGTGCAACCACTTTGGAAAACACTTCGGAAGTTCCTCAAAATGTTAAACACAGTTACCATATGACCAAGCAATAAGCAATTGTGCTCCTAGGTACATACCAAGAGAAATGAAAACATATATCCACATGATGACTGGTACACAAATATTCTAGCAACATTATTAATAATAACCCCCAAATGGAAACAGTCCAAATGCTCATTAACTGGTGAATGGATCAACACAACACCATATACCTATACAATGGAATACTATTCAGCAATATAAAGGAACGAAGTACTAATAAATACTACACTATGGATGAATCTGCAAAATGTGCTAAGTGAAAGTAGCCAGACATAAAACACCACACACATTGTATGATTCCATTTATATGAAAAGTCCAGAACAGGAAAATCAATAGAAACAGAAAGATTAGTTGCCTAGGGCCATAGGAGGGAGGAATGGGGGGTGACTGCTTAATAAGTACAGGGTTGCTCTTGGGGGTAATGCAAATATTCTAAACTTAGATTATGGTAAGGACTACACAATCTTGTAAATATAATGAAAGGCACTGAATTATATATGCTAAGTGGGTAAATTTTATATGTTAATTTTTCTCAATACAATTGAGTTTTAAAAAATTAAATAGGATGACATTAAAAGCAATGTGGTATCTTGTACTGGATCCTAAAACAGGAAAAAGTTATTAGTGAAAAAACTGGTGAAATGTGAATAATTGCTTGAGCCCAGGAGTTTGAGACCAACCTGGGTGATTGAGACCCATCTCTACATAAAATTTAAAAATTAGCCAGGCATGGTGGTGCATGCCTGTGGTCCCAGCTACTTGGAAGGCTAAGATGAAAGGATTGCTTGAGCCCGGGAGGCGAAGGTTGCAGTGAGGCGTGATTGTACCACTGCACTCCAGCCTGGGTGACAAAGTGAGACTCTGTCTTTAAAAAAAAAAAAAAAGAAAAAGAAAAAGGAAAATCTGAATAATGTCTGTAGTTACACAATGTTAATCTCTCTCTCTTTTTTTTTTTTTTTTTTTTTTTTTTTGAGACAGAGTTTCACTCGTTGCCCAGGCTGGAGTGCAATGGCGCGATCTTGGCTGACTGCAACCTCCACCTCCCGGGTTCAAGCATTTCTCCTGCCTAAGCCTCCCGAGTAGCTGGGATTACAGGCATCCACCACCACGCCCAGCTAATTTTTTGTATTTTTTGTAGAAAGAGGGTTTCACCATGTTGGCCAGGCTAGTCGCGAACTCCTGACCTCATCCACCTGCCTAGGCCTCACAAAGTGCTGGGATTACAGGTGTGAGCCACCATGCCCAGCCATGTTAATCTCTTTTAACAAATGCACATAGTCATATGAAATGTCAACATTATCGAAACTGGGTGAAGGTTATATGGGAATTCTGTGTTAACTTTCCAACTTTTTTATACATCTAAAATTATTCCAAAATAAAAGTGAAAACAACCATGACATACCTTTAGTGCACTTTATAGAGAGAGAGAAAGAGAGAGAGTGAACAATTAGAGATGACTAACGGTATATAAACTACCATTTGATATGTAATCGCTGTCCTCCCATTGTTGAACGGAGGATCATGGCAGGACCAGGGTGATGAGCCAGACCCTCAGTGGGTTTGCATTTCATGGGTATCACTAGCCCCAGGCTCTTCTAGTGCCACCATGAGAATTAACTTTGTTTGTGGGAGGCATACAGACTGCTTAGTATGAATTATTTCTATTTAACTGCTTGTTGTTTACTGGAGTTGCTGTGAAAGCCCCACACCTGGGGTGCTGTGGAAAGCCACAGACCCTCCTGCCAAAGGAACAAAGGAAGGGAGCTACTGGTTCTGTGGGAAGCTGAACTTGGGTGAAGTCTCTCTCTCTAGGAGAAGGCGCAACAAGTCCTAGCAGGCATCTTGTCCAGACTGCACAGAGTAAGTTCTCAGGGTCATTTATGCACAATTCTACTTAAAACCCATAATCAATAAACTGAAAACATAGACAAACTGCAGTTTCTTAGAAATATACAACCTAACAGAACTACTCAAGAAGAAATACATTTTTTGGGTTAGATTTATAACTTGAATTGGGAGTTTTAAAATCTACCCTCCATACTAAAAAAAATAAAATTAAATTAAGATAAAAATAAAACCCATTAAACCCAGAAGGTTTACCAGTCATACCCAGACTTCGAAGAACAGATAATCATTATCTAAAACAAACTGTTCCAGTGAATATAAAATGAGGGAACACTGCCCACCTCATTTTACAAAGTATAACAATTCTGATGGCAAATCAGATAAGGATGGTATATGAAGGAAAAAATTAAAGCCCAATCTCAT
The DNA here is from genome assembly GCF_000001405.40 of Homo sapiens. Taxonomy (NCBI): domain Eukaryota; kingdom Metazoa; phylum Chordata; class Mammalia; order Primates; family Hominidae; genus Homo; species Homo sapiens. The sequence continues at coordinate 30,108,289 of NC_000007.14, read as the reverse complement.
TTCTAAATATAGATGCAAAAATCCTAAATAAAACAGTAGGCAACTGATTCCAGAAATGTCTATTAAAAATACACCATTACCAAATTGGATTCAACCTAGGAATGCAAGGATGGTTAAAGTTAGAAAATCTCTTAATGAGATTTACCATATTAGTTGGTTTAAGGAAGAAACCTTATGATCATGTCAATGAATGTAGGTTTTTTTTTTTTTTTTTTTTTTTTTGAGATGGAGTTTTGCTTTTTGCCCAGGCTGGAGTGCAATAGCGCGATCTCTGCTCACTGCAACCTCTGCCTCCTGGGTTCAAGTGATTCTCCTGCCTCAGCCTACAGAGTAGCTGGGATTACAGGCATGCATCACCACACCCAGCTAATTTCTGTATCTTTAGGAGAGATGGGATTTCTCCATGTTGGTCAGGCTGGTCTTGAACTCCTGACCTCAGGTGATCTGCCCACCTTGGCCTCCCAAAGTACTGGGATTACAGGCATGAGCCACCATGCCCAGTTAGAAAATTTTTTTGTAATATTAAACATTGCTTCATAATTAATATCACTAGTAAACTAGATGGAGAAAGCAACTTATTTAGCCTGGTAAATGGCAGCTACCAAAGAACCTATAGCAAAAATTGTATGTAATTATGAAATGTTGAAAGCATTCCATTTCAGATTAGGAACACAATAAGATTATCTTCTATGGCCACTTCTATTCAGCATTGTATAAAACCTTTTTGCTTATATAAGACAAGAAAAAGAAATAAAATTTATAAAGATTAGAAAGTAAAAAATACGAAATACAAAGGAACCTATAAACTACTACAAATAAGAGTTTGTCAAGGTTGTTGAATCCAAAACAGGTATATTAACAAATTCAATAGCAACAAAAATTAGAAAATGTAATTTTCCAAAAGATACATTCTTTAATGGCAGCAATAAAATACAAGGTACCTAGGAATAAGTTTACAATTTTATTGTAAAACTTTATGGAAGAACATAGTAATAGGTGGAAGTAATATTGTAAAACAAAAGTTTTACAATAAAATTGTAAATTTATTCCTAGGTACCTTGTATTTTATAACAAAATTGTAAAACTTTATTGAAGAACATAGGAGTAGGCAGAAAGATAAACTATATTCATTGGTAGGAAGATGAAATTTTGTAGTGACAGCGATTTCTCCCAAAGTCAGTCTATAAATTCAGTATAATTTCAATAAATATTCTAATAAGGTATTTCTCAAAATAGAAAAGATGATCCTTAAATTCATACAGAAGATTAAAGGAACAAGAATAGCGAACACAATTTTAAAGGAAAACACTATATAGTCAAACCCTGGTATCTGTGGGGGATTAGTTCCAGGACCCTGGCAGGTATCAAAATCTGAAGATGCTCAGAAGTCCCTTATGTAAAATGGACCAGCATTTGCATGTAACCTATGCGCATCCTCCCGTACATTTTAAATCATTTATAAATTACTTATAATGCCCAATACAATACCTACACATCACTTCATTTGCGTGCATTCAACGTAGTACTTGGCTCAGAAAAAATTCAAGTTTTGCATTTTGGAACTTCGTGAAATTTTTTTGCCCACATTCTTTTTATCCCGGGTTGGCTGACTCCATTTAAGTGCAACCCACAGATATGGAGGGCCAACTGCATTTATTTGTAGGTGCAGGGGAGGGGGCAAATCTCAGCAGACCCTGAGACCTCCTAATAGTGTGATATTGGTCCAGAGAGACAATTAGGCAAATGAATAGAAGAGAGGACCTAGAGTTAAAATCATTTATATATGATGGTGCTGCTGCTATTAAATTACAGGAAAAGAATAGCCTGAATGATTCCAAGACAAGTGGCTATTCATAAGGAAAAAGATAAAATTAACCCAAATTACATCCCATACACAACTTCCAGATGGTTTAAAGACTTAAAGATGGCCAGGCATGGTGGCTCATGTCTATAATCCGAGCACTTTTGGAAAGCCAAGGCAGACAGATCATTTGAGGTCAGGAGTTCAAGACCAGTCTGGCCAACATGGTGAAACCCCGTCTCTACTAAAAATACAAAAAAAAATTAGCTGGCCGTGGTGGCATGCGCCTGTAATCCCAGCTACTGGGAAGGCTGAGGCAGGAGAATCTCTTAAACCTGGGAGGCAGTGGTTGCAGTGAACCAAGATCGTGCCACTGCACTCCAGCCTGAGCAACAGAGCGAGACTCCACCTCAAAAAGAAAAAAAAAAAAAAAGATGTTAAAGACTTAAAGGTGAAAAAAACTACAAAATTATTAGGAAAAATATCACATAATGTTTAGTGATATTTGAATAGGGAATTCTGTTTCTAAACTAAACACAAGCACTAATCACCAAAAGGTGGATTCCATTTGATTAAATTAAAATTTAAAACACAACAAAAGAATGACATACAAAGTGAAAATACAAACCACCATCTAAGAAAAGCTATTTGCTACTCATATAACCAATGTATCTATAGTTGAAAAGAAAAAGATAACCAACCCAAGAGAAAAATGATATAAACTATGAACAAGCAATACCTGGAGGAAAACTCTTGAGTGGCCGGTAAACTTATGAAATGCTGCTCACCAGCCCCTGCCTACCCCTTTTAGCCATTTGTATTTCCTCATTTGTGAGTTACCTAGTCATATCCTTTGTATGTTTTCTATCATTTCTTTGTGAATTTTCTGATTTGTGGGCATTCTTCAAGTCTTGAACTTGCTGTTTTGATCTGGCTATTTGAACTGGATTGGAATGCCAACTTGCTGTTTTAATCCTGTCATTCCTGATAACTTTTTTCTTTTTTGAGACAAGATTTCGCTCTGTCTCCCAGAAAGGAATGCAGTAGTGCAATCACAGCTCACTGCAATCTCAACCTCCTGGGCTCAAGTGATCCTCCCACTTCAGCCTCCTGAGTACCTGGAACTATAGGCATATACCACCATGAATGGCTTTTTTTTTTTTTTTTTTTTTTTTTTAATTATAGAGATAGGGTTTCACCATGTTGCCCAGGCTGGCCTTGAACTACTGGGTTGAAGGGATGAACTTACCTAGGCTTCCCAAAGTGCCAGAATTACAGGAGTGAGCCACCACACTCGGCCCCTGAGAACATGTTTTTCTTAACTTTTAAAATAATTTACATACTGGGAAATGAGCAGATTATAAGTGGGCAGTCTGATGAGTTATGACAAATGCCCACGCATATAACCCATACCACTAGCAAGATATAGATCATTCTCATCACCCTAGAAAGAGCTGTTGTGAGGCTGGGCGCAGTGGCTCATGCCTGTAATCCCAGCACTCTGGGAGGCTGAGACAGGAGGATCATCACCTGAGTTCAGGAGTTCGAGACCAGCCTTGCCAATATGGTGAAACCCCATCTCTACTAAAAATGCAAAAATTAGCTGGGTGTGGTGGCATGTACCTGTAGTCCCAACCACTCGGAAGGCTGAGGCACGAGAATCACTTGAACCCTGGAGGTGGAGATTGCAGTGAGCCAAGATCATGCCACTGCACTCCAGCCTGGGCAACAAAATGAGACTCTGCCTCAGAAAAAAAAAAAAAAAAAAAAAAAAAGCTGTTGTGACCTTTACCACTCAACACCCATCCTAATAACCCAGGCAACCAATGTTATGATTTCTTGTCCCATAAATTAGTTTTTGCCTGTTTTGGAATTTCATATAAATGGAATAAGACACTATGCACTATTTTGTATCTGGCTTCTTTTGCTCATCATAATGTTTCTGGGGTTCATCTAAGCTGCTGGATATTGTCTATCAGTAGTTTTCTCCTTGTTATTGCTGAGTGGTATTCCATTGTTTCCACACACCAAAATTTGTTTATCTGTTCACTTAGCAAAGTGAAGAGACAAACCACAGTTTGCCTATCAACAGATAGGCAGAATGTATCTTCTAGGAGAAGATGGGTCATTGGGGCTATTATGGAAAAAGTCCTTATCTTGCAAAAATACCTAGCAGCGTTATTGCTGGGTCATGGAGTTTAAAAGAAATTACCAGATCAATTTCCAAAGTGGTTATACCATTTAAGACTCCAACTAGCAACATATGGTAATTCCAGTTGCCAATGTTTGTTGTTTTTGTTCTTTTAATGTTCACCAAACTAGTGGATGTATAGTGCTATCTCAGTTTAGTTTTATTTTGCATTACCCTGGTGACTAATGATATTGAACCCTTTTTCATATTTTACTGGCATTTGTATGTGGTCTTTTATAAAACAGCTGTTCAAGTCATTGTGCATTTTTTAAATAATTTGTTTTGGTCTTTTTATTATTGAGTTGTAGGAGTCTGGATACAAGCTTTTCTCAGCCATATGTGCAGGTATTGTGAATACTGTCTCTCATCTATGGCTTGTATTTTTTGTGAAGTTTTTAGTTTTGATGAAGTCCAATTTGTCACTTTTTTCTTTATAGTGCTTTTTGTATCCTAAAAAATAATGCTCTATGTTTCCTTGTAGGAGCTTTATCCGAAATTTTCACTTTTACATTCAGTTATATAATTTATCTCAAAAAATTTCACCTGTGTGATGTGAGGTAGGGGTTGAGGTTTATCTTTTCCATAGAGATAAGCAGTTGTTCTAGCACTATTTGTTGAAGTGATCTTCTTTTCACCATTGAATTGCTTTGGCATCTTGATCAAAAATCAACTGACTATATAAGTGGGGCCTGATTTCTGAACTTTCTCGTCCCATGGACCTTTACACCAATACATACCATCTTCATTACTACAGCTTTCGAGAAAGTCTTGCAATTCACTAATATATGTCTCCCAACTTTGCTAATTTTCAAGATTATTCTGGTTATTCTAGGTCCTTTGCATTTCTACATACATTTTAGGATTAGCACACCAATTTCTACAAAAACATTGCTGGCATTTTTTAGAACAACTTTATTGAGATATAATTCACATATCACACAATTCATACATTTAAAGTGTACAATTCAAGTATACAATTCAAAGTGCACAATTCATGCAATAACTTTTGGTATATTACATTATTAATTTTTTTAAATTATGGCAAAACATACATAACATAAAATATTCACATTGTTGTGCATCATTTCTTATGCACAATATCTGGAACATTTTTGTTCTGGAACATTTTTGTTATTCGAAACAGAAATTCTGTAAACATTATACGATAATTCCCCATTCTTCCTCCCTCCAGCACCTGGTAATCTCTCTCTCTCTCTTTCTTTTTTTTAAAGACAAGGTCTTGCACTATCACTCAGGCTGAAGTGCAGAGGGCCAATCAAATCTCACTGTAGCCTCCACCTCCTGGGCTCAGGCAATCCTCTGCCTCAGCCTCCTGAATAGCTGGGACTACAGGCATGAGCCGCCACATCCAGCTAACTTAAAAAATATTTTTTGTAGGGAAGGGCTTTTGTTTTGCATTTGCCCTGTGTTTGCCCTGACTGGTCTGGAACTCCGGGCCTTGGCCTCAAGCCATCCTTGCACCTATGCCTCCCAAAGTGCTGGGATTAAAGTGTGAGCCACCACACCTGGGTGCCCTCTGGTAATCTCTGATTTGCTTCCTGTCTGTATGAATTTGCCTATTCTAGATATTTCATATAAGTGGAGTCATACAATATTTGTCCTTTTGTGTCTGGCTTATTTCACTTCACATAATATTTCCAAGATTCATCCATATCAGCATGTTTCAGATCCTGATTCCTTTCCTATGGCCAAATAATATCCCGTTGTTTGTATATACCACATTTTGTTTACTCATTCATCTGCTGATAGGCCCTTGGGTTGTTTCCCATTTCTGGCTACTGTGAATAATGCTGCAATGGATATTGGCATACAAGTATCTCCTCAAGTCTCTGCTTTTAATTTCCTCGAGTCTATACCTAGGAGTGGAATTGCTGGATCATAACGTAATTCTATGTTTACCTTTTTCAGGAACTGTTAAAGTGCTTCCACAGCAGTTGCACCATTTTCCAGCAATGGACAAGACATTCAATTTCTCCACATCCTCACCAATATTCATTTTCTGCATTTTAAAAATTACTATTATAGCCATGCTGGTAGGTATGAAATGGTATCTCCTTGTTGTTCTAATTTGTATTTCCCTACTATGTTGAGCACCTTTTCATGTGCTTATTGGCCATCTGTATGTCTTCTTTAGAGAAATGTCTATTCAAGTCCTTTGCCTATTTTTAAATTGGGTTGTTTGTTTTCCTGTTGCTGAGTTATAAGAATTCTTTGTAGATTCTAGATACCAGTCCCTTATCAGATGTATGATTTGCAAATACTTTCTCTCATTCTGTAGGTTATCTTCTCATTTCTTTGACAATGTCCTTTGATGCACAAAAGTTTTTTAATTTGATAAAGTACAATTTATTTATTTATTTTCTTTTGTTGTTCATGCTTTTAGTGTCATATCTACCTGCTGGTATTTAGATTGGGATTGCACTGAACCTTGAGATCTATTTGAGAACTGACATCTTACCAATATCAGATCTTTTAACCCATGAATGTGGTATAGCTCTTTTCTTTAGGTCTTCTCTAACTTGTCGCAGAATGTTTTTATAGTTTTCAGTGTGTAAAGATTTTGCACATATTTTATTAAATTTTCCCCTGATTACAAATTTTGCTATGGTCTGAATCTCTGTGTTCTCCCCAAATTCATATGTTGAAATCCTAGCGCCTAAGGTGATGGTATCAGGAGGTGGGGCCTTTGGGAGGTGCTTAGATCATGAAGGCAGGACTCTCATGAATGGGACTGCTGTGCTTATAAAAGAGGCCCCTGAGAGCTTGTTTGCTCCTTCCTCCATGTGAGGACACAGCAAGAAGGTGGCTGTCTGCAACCTGGAAGAGAGCCCTCACCAGAACCCGACCACGGTTTCTGGCACCATGCTGGCACCACGATCTCAGACTTCCCAGCCACCACAACTGTGAGAAATAAACTCCCGTTGTTCATAAGCTACCCGGTCTATGGTATTTTATTACAGCAGCCTCAACAGACTAAAACAGACTTTTATTCTGTCTTAAACAGCATTGTCTTTCAAATTTCATTTTCTAATTGTTTTTGTTGGTATGTAGAAATGCATTTACTTTTCTTTTCTTTCTTTCTTCTTTTTTTTTTTTCCCCCAAGTCTCACTCTGTTGCCCAGGCTGGAGTGCAATCTCGGCTCACTGCAATCTCTGCCTCCCAGGTTCAAGCCATTCTTCTGCCTTAGCCTCCCGAGTAGCTGTGACTACAGGTGTGTACCACCACACCCAGCTAATTTTTGTATTTTTAGTAGAGACGGGGTTTCACCATGTTGGCCAGGCTGGTGTTGAACTCCTGACCTCAGGTGATCTGCCCACCCTGGCCTCCTAAAGTGTTTGGATTACAGGCATGAGCCACCATGCCCAGCTGCAATTTACTTTTCTACATTGATCCATCTTGCAAACATCCTACATTTAGCTATTAGCTTAAATAGTCTTTGCAGAATCCTCAGGTTTATTTGTATACATCATTTGCAAGTAGTTTTTATTTCTTCCTTTTCAATCTGTATACCTTTTATTGTCTTTTCTTGAGTTACTGCTCTGGCTATGACCTCAACTTCAATAATGAATAGAAGTGGTTATGGTGACAACAGATATCCTTACCTTGTTCCTTAATCTTGGGGAGACAATATTATCATATTCTTAGGTGTAATGATATCTAGTGTTATTATTTGAATTGTGTTCCTCTATAAGATTTATTTAATTAATTAATTAATTAATTTTTTTGAGACACAGTCTCGCTCTGTTGCCCAGGTTGGAGTGCAGTGGTGTGATCTTGCTCCCTGCAACCTCCACCTCCTAGGTTCAAGTGATTCTCTTGCCTCGGCTTCCTGAGTAGCTGGGACCACAGGTGTACACCACCATACCTGGCTAATTTTTTGTAATTTTAGTAGAGACAGGGTTTCACCATGTTGGCCAGGCTGGTCTTGAACTCCTGGCCTCAAGTGATCCACCCTCCTTGGCCTCCCAAAGTACTGGGATTACAGGTGTGAGCCACCGTGCCTAGTCCCAAAAGATATATTTAAATCCTAATCTCTGGTACCTGTGAATGTGACCTTATTTGGAAATAGGATCTTTACGGATATAGTCAAGATGGGGTCATACTGAATTAGAGTGGGCTCTAAATCCAATGACAGGTCTCCTTATGAGGAGAGAGAGATTTGGAGACACATGAAGACAACAGACACATAAAGATAGAGGCAGAGATTGGAGTGATGCTGCTACAGCCAAAGAATGCTAGGATTGCCGACAACCACCGGAAGCTAGGAAGAGGTAAGGAAGGATCCCTCCCTAAAGCCTTCAGAGGGAGATGGACTTGCCAACACCTTAGTTTTGGACTTCCAGTCTCCAGAACTATGAGAGGATACATTTCTGTTGTTTTAAGCGACCTGGTTGGTGGTGATTTGCTATTCCCTTAGGAAATGAATAACTAGCTTTGTTATACAAGCTGTTCATGAATTTTTTGTTATGTTATCTAGTTGTTCTATTTCATGTGGGAATTCAGAGAGAGTGAAGAATTATCCTGCTGCCACTCTCCATTTCCCAGAATTCCTCTTTGGATCAATGATTATAAATTTGTTTTACGGTCCAGCATATGGTATAACTTGGTGTATATTCCACATGTACTTGAAAAGAATGTGTATTCTCCCTGGATGTAGTGCTCTACAAAAGTCGATGAGGCTGAGCTGGTTAACAGCATTACTTAGGTCTTTGGTCATTTGCAGCCAAAAGAGTGCCAAGGAACACAACATTCATTATACATGAACTTCACTGCCACCTCAAGGGAGACTTTGTGCCTCGCCTTCACCTACAAGGACATACTCCGCACTCTGGGTTCCTAATGCATTTGTTTATACTTCTTAGAGAACCTGCATTACATTCTGTTTTATAGCATAGTTTTTCAAGAGTATGTCTTATGTCCATTACTACACTGCACATTCCTGGAGAGCAGAGTGTTTCTGATGTATTTCTGGGTCTGCAAGGCATCTAATTGGTGACTTGGATACCGCAGGTATTCATTGTTTGTGGTGTTTTGTTTCTTGCTTGGTGTGGAGACACTTCTACTGAAAGAACTGTCTTACAATGCAGGGAATTGATAAGGGGCTATATTAGAGAATTCTCTGTTTGGATGTGTGATTAAATATCTTGTTTTCTGAAATTTGAGATATTTAAGTACTTTATAAAAATAAAAACTTGTAAGAAATTGTAAAAAGAAAGAAAAGGCTGGGCACGGTGGCTCACACCTGTAATCCCAGAACTTTGGGAGGCTGAGGCAGGTGGATCACCTGAGGTCAGGAGTTCGAGACCAGGTTGAGGTGGAGCCAAGATGGCCGAATAGGAACAGCTCCAGTCTACAGCTCCCAGCGTGAGCGACGCAGAAGACGGGTGATTTCTGCATTTCCAACTGAGGTACCGGGTTTATCTCACTGGGGAGTGCCGGACAGTGGGTGCAGCGCACCATGCGTGAGCCAAAGCAGGGCGCAACATCGCATCACCCAGGAAGCGCAAGGGTCAAGGAATTCCCTTTCCTAGTCAAAGAAAGGGGTGACAGATGGCACCTGGAAAATCGGGTCACTCCCACCCTAATACTGCGCTTTTCCAACGGGTTTAACAAACGGCACAACAGGAGATTATATCCCGCACCTGGCTTGGAGGGTCCTACGCCCACGGAGCCTCGCTCATTGCTAGCACAGCAGTCTGAGATCAAACTGCAAGGCGGCAGCGAGGCTGGGGGACGGGCACCTGCCATTGCCGAGTTAGTTGTTTGATTAGGTAAACAAAGCAGCCGGGAAGCTCGAACTGGGTGGAGCCCACCACAGCTCAAGGAGGCCTGCCTGCCTCTGTAGGCTCCACCTCTGGGGGCAGGGCACAGACAAACAAAAGGCAGCAGTAACCTCTGCAGACTTAAATGTCCCTGTCTGACAGCTTTGAAGAGAGTAGTGGTTCTCCCAGCACGCAGCTGGAGATCTGAGAACAGGCAGACTGCCTCCTCAAGTGGGTCCCTGACCCCCGAGTAGCCTAACTGGGAGGCACTCCCCAGTAGGGGCAGACTGACACCTCACATGGCCGGGTACTCCTCTGAGACAAAACTTCCAGAGGAACGATCAGGCAGCAGCGTTTGCGGTTCACCAATATCTGCAGTTCTGCAGCCACCGCTGCTGATACCCAGGCAAACAGGGTCTGGAGTGGACCTCCAGCAAACTCCAACAGACCTGCAGCTGAGGGTCCTGACTGTTAGAAGGAAAACTAACAAACAGAAAGGACATCCACACCAAAAATCCATCTGTACGTCACCATCATCAAAGACCAAAGGTAGATAAAACCACAAAGATGGGGAAAAAACAGAGCAGAAAAACCAGAAACTCTAAAAGTCAGAGCGCCTCTCCTCCTCCAAAGGAACGCAGCTCCTCACCAGCAACGGAACAAAGCTGGACAGAGAATGACTTTGACGAGTTGAGAGAAGAATGCTTCAGAAGATCAAACTACTCCAAGCTAAAGGAAGAAGTTCGAACCAATGGCAAAGAAGTTAAAACCTTGCAAAAAAATTAGACAAACGGCTAACTAGAATAATCAATGCAGAGAAGTCCTTAAAGGACCTGATGGAGCTGAAAACCACGGCACGAGAACTATGTGACGAATGCACAAGCCTCAGTAGCCAACGTGATCAACTGGAAGAAAGGGTATCAGCAATGGAAGACGAAATGAATGAAATGAAGCGAGAAGAGAAGGTTAGAGAAAAAAGAATAAAAAGAAACGAACAAAGCCTCCAAGAAATATGGGACTATGTAAAAAGACCAAATCTACGTCTGATTGGTGTACCTGAAAGTGATGGGGAGAATGGAACCAAGCTGGAAAACACTCTGCAGGATATTATCTAGGAGAACTTCCCCAATCTAGCAAGGCAGGCCAACATTCAAATTCAGGAAATACAGAGAACGCCACAAAGAGACTCCTCAAGAAGAGCAATTCCAAGACACATAATTATCAGATTCACCAAAGTTGAAATGAAGGAAAAAATGTTAAGGGCAGCCAGAGAGAAAGATCGGGATACCCACAAAGGGAAGTTCATCAGACTAACAGCTGATCTCTCGGCAGTAACTCTACAAGCCAGAAGAGAGTGGGGGCCGATATTCAACATTCTTAAAGAAAAGAATTTTCAACCCAGAATTTCATATCCAGCCAAACTAAGATTCATAAGTGAAGGAGAAATAAAATACTTTACAGACAAGCAAATGCTGAGAGATTTTGTCACCACCAGGCCTGCCCTAAAAGAGCTCCTGAAGGAAGCACTAAACATGGAAAGGAACAACTGGTACCAGCCACCGGTACCAACATGCCAAACTGTAAAGACCATTAAGGCTAGGAAGAAACTGCATCAACTAACGAGCAAAATAACCAGCTAACATCATAATGACAGGATCAAATTCACACATAACAATATTGACCTTAAGTGTAAATGGGCTAAATGCTCCAATTAAAAGACACAGACTGGTAAATTGGATAAAGAGTCAAGACCCATCAGTGTGCTGTATTCAGGAAACCCATCTCACATGCAGAGACACACAGGCTCAAAATAAAGGGATGGAGGAAGATCTACCAAGCAAATGGAAAACAAAAAAAGGCAGGGGTTGCAATCCTAGTCTCAGATAAAACAGACTTTAAACCAACAAAGATCAAAAGAGACAAAGATGCCCTCTCTCACCACTCCTATTCAACGTAGTGTTGGAAGTTCTGGCCAGGGCAATCAGGCAGGAGAAGGAAATAAAGGGCATTCAATTAGGAAAAGAGGAAGTCAAATTGTCCCTGTTTGCAGATGACATGATTGTATATCTAGAAAACCCCATCGTCTCAGCCCAAAATCTCCTTAAGCTGATAAGCAACTTCAGCAAAGTCTCAGGATACAAAATCAATGTGCAAAAATCCCAAGCATTCTTATACATCAATAACAGACAAACAGAGAGCCAAATCATGGTGAACTCCCATTCACAATTGCTTCAAAGAGAATAAAATACCTAGGAATCCAACTTACAAGGGATGTGAAGGACCTCTTCAAGGAGAACCACAAACCACTGCTCAAGGAAATAAAAGAGGATACAAACGAATGGAAGAACATTCCATGCTCATGGGTAGGAAGAATCAATATCGTGAAAATGGCCATACTGCCCAAGGTAATTTATAGATTAAATGCCATCCCCATCAAGCTACCAATGACTTTCTTCACAAAATTGGAAAAAACTACTTTAGACTTCACATGGAACCAAAAAAGAGCCCGCATTGCCAAGTCAATCCTAAGCCAAAAAAACAAAGCTGGAGGCATCACGCTACCTGACTTCAAACTATACTACAAGGCTACAGTAACCAAAACAGCATGGTACTGGTACCAAAACAGAGATATAGATCAATGAAACAGTACAGAGCCCTCAGAAATAATGCCACATATCTACAACTATATGATCTTTGACAAACCTGACAAAAACAAGAAATGGGGAAACGATTCCCTATTTAATAAATGGTGCTGGGAAAACTGGCTAGCCATATGTAGAAAGCTGAAACTGGATCCCTTCCTTACACCTTATACAAAAATTAATTCAAGATGGATTAAAGATTTACATGTTAGACCTAAAACCATAAAAACCCTAGAAGAAAACCTAGGCAATACCATTCAGGACATAGGCATGGGCCATGACTTCATGTCTAAAACACCAAAAGCAATGGCAACAAAAGCCAAAATTGACAAATGGGATCTAATTAAACTAAAGAGCTTCTGCGCAGCAAAGAAACTACCATCAGAGTGAACAGGCAACCTACAGAATGGGAGAAAATTTTTGCAACCTACTCATCTGATAAAGGGCTAATATCCAGAATCTACAATGAACTCAAACAAATTTACAAGAAAAAAACAAACAACCCCATTAAAAAGTGGGTGAAGGATATGAACAGACACTTCCCAAAAGAAGACATTTATGTAGCCAAAAAACACATGAAAAAATGCTCATCATCACTGGCCATCAGAGAAATGCAAATCAAAACCACAATGAGATACCATCTCACACCAGTTAGCATGGCGATCTTTAAAAAGTCAGGAAACAACAGGTGCTGGAGAGGATGTGGAGAAATGGAACACTTTTACACTGTTGGTGGGACTGTAAACTAGTTCAACCATTGTGGAAGTCAGTGTGGTGATTCCTCAGGGATCTAGAACTAGAAATACCATTTGACCCAGCCATCCCATTACTGAGTATATACCCAAAGGATTATAAATCATGCTGCTATAAAGACACATGCACACGTATGTTTATTGTAGCGCTATTCACAATAGCAAAGACTTGGAACCAACCCAAATGTCCAACAATGATAGACTGGATTAAGAAAATGTGGCACATATACACCATGGAATACTATGCAGCCATAAAAAATGATGAATTCATGTACTTTGTAGGGACGTGGATGAAGCTGGAAACCACCATTCTCAGCAAATTATCACGAGGACAAAAAACCAAACACCTCATGTTCTCACTTATAGGTGGGAATTGAACAATGAGAACACATGGACACAGGAAGGGGAACATCACACACTGGGGCCTGTTGTGGGGTGGGGGGAGGGGGGAGGTATAGCATTAGGAGATATACCTAATGCTAAATGACCTAATGCTAAATGAGTTAATGGGTGCAGCACACCAACATGGCACATGTATACATATGTAACAAACCTGCAAGTTGTGCCCATGTTTCCTAAAACTTGAAGTATAATAATAATAAAATTTAAAAAAAAAAGGAGTTCGAGACCAGCCTGGCCAATGTGATGAAACCCTGGCTGTATTAAAAATACAAAAAATTAGCTGGGCGTGGTGGCAGGCGCCTATAATCCTAGCTACTCAGGAGGCTGAGGCAGAAGAATTGCTTGAACCCAAGAGGTGGAGGTTGCAGTGAGCCGAGATTGCGCCACTACACTCCAGCCTGGGCAACAAGAGCAAGACTCTGTCTGGAAAAAAAAAAAAAAAGTAGAAACTTGCTCTCCTACCAATCCCTAATATTTAGCAGATTAAATCAAAGAACTAAATGGAACTTAAAAGAAAAAGACATTAAGTATGAGTGATGACATTTATGAACAGTCTAAAGATGTCCCTTCGGATAATGTAATTTCCTTTGTGTCTAGGTACAGTTAGAGTGAGCTGAAAAGGAATTAGCTATCTGTCAGAAACAGGTACATATGTCCCCTAACCATTCCATCATAACTTAACTAGTACTAGCCATGTGCCAGGCACAGTGCTATATGCTAGCAATGTGTCATCTCAGCTAATCCTCATAACAACACCATCTCAGTCTCACTGACTAGGAAACAAAAGATCAAGGGGTTAAAGGATTTGTCCAAGGTGACCCAGTTTGTAAACTGAAAGGCAGACCAGAGTCCAATCTGACCATTCCAAGTCCAACGTGGTTTCCATGCTCACACCCAGGAAGATGAGAAGGAAGCAGAGGAGCTGCTTGGAGCTGAGTACCCATGCATGCGGCAGGCAGCTGAGCTTAGGAGACTCAGAAGTGGGTCATGATGGAAACACCAAGCTTTTGCCTGTCCAGGAGAGTAAGGCAACATGCCAGGCGATTTACATCCCCTGCCTCATTTAGTCCTTGCAAGAATCTTATGAGCAGGGTTGTGCAATCTCTTTATCTCAGTTTACAGAGGAGAAAGGGAATCCAGAGATGTTAACTAACATGCTCAAAATCCCATGGTGAGGGTGTGGCAGTGCTGGGATTTGACCCGTGGTCTGATTCCAGCCTCCGCTCTGTCTTACATCACAGGACATAGCCACATAGTGGTAAGGCTGTGGGCTTAGAGGCAGGCTGTCTGGGCTCACAGTCCTACCACTCATGTGCTTTCTCACCCACCTTGAGCAAGACAAGCAACATTTCCTCTTCTCACCTATAAATGGGGTTAATAATAGTGTCCACTTCACAGCTACTCTCAGGGTTAAGTGAGAACCTATAGGAAGTTTTTCACACAGTGGTTGGTAGTTCATAAGTATTCATAATTATTATTGTTATTTAGGAAAGAAGTAAAAGCTAACAGCCAGTGTCCTGATGCTGCAGCAGACCAAATAGTTATAACTGAAATTGGACCCCAGTTGGCCCCAGTTTAGGCATGTTTCTCAATTTTCTTCTGTTAACCCCACTGTAAAATAACGTGCCCATATGTTATGCAGAGGAGGAAAGCATTGAGAGAAAATCTGGTAACCTCACCAAAGGCATATCTTGGACTTATTTGAAAACTTATCAGGCTTCTTTTGGTTTCAAGTGATAGAATCCTAATTCCAATGAACTTTAAATAAAGTGGGACTTACTGACTTACATAACCAGAAAAAGCAAGCATGGAGGTGGCCCCAGGCATGACTTGATTCAGGACTAAATGTCGTATCTCTATCCTCACTTTCTCTCGATCTCACTTTAACCCTAGGGGAAAGGGATCGTCTCTCCCAGTCTCTAAATACATAGTCCCAGGGAAGTCCCATGATGGGCCTATTCTGGATCATATGCCCACGCTGTGGCCAGAGGCCTGGGGACTGTGACCGGCGGCCCAACCAGAGCTCAGAGTGGAGAAGGCAGTTCATTCAAAGGAATAAGAGTGTGCTCCGAATAAGGGGAGGAGATGAAGGCAGAAAAACAGATGTCCTCCGGAGTATGGAGAATGGGGTCCTATGGAGAGTGTCAGGTGCATCCTAATGCTCAGCCATTCTTCTGGAATCCTCCAACTGGGATACAGCTGTGGAGCACTGCAGCTGGCTCCGGGGCTCAGGCAAGGAAATGGTAGTGCCACATTCACATACAGACATGACTAGATGAGGGTCTTCTACTTGAAGGTGCCGTGACACACAGTGCAAAGTGGGGAGACTAGGGGCAGCAGTGAATCTTCTGTGAGGGCAGGGACAAGTGGAACAAATAAGAAAAGGCTTATTCCACCAGGTAAACTCCAGGCAGGATGGAGCCATACTTCCCTTTCAAACAATAACAACGACTATTATTACCACCACCGTTTTTGTAGCTCTTGCCTGGTGCTAGACACTGTGCACAATTCCCGACTTGATCCTTATAACAATCTTTTGCAATAGTTACTATGACTCCCACTATGAACGAAGGAGTCTTCCAGCTCCACAATCCTGTGATCATCTTTTCATACAAATCAAGTTGAGGATTTGGGATTTTATAAAAGTCTTGTGTAACACACAGAGACAGGGTCCTTAGTTGCTCACATACATGCCACAAGAGAATACAGGGCTTCCACGGGCTTCTATGAACATAAGGCTGAATGGTCCTTAAAACAAACGTGTGTGGAATAAAGTTTACTGCTCCATTCTCTCATCTGCCATCTCTGGATGGCTGGGTTTGATCAGCATAAGCTAATGCTGAACTAATGCTCTATGGCCCAGCAATTTCACTTGGGCAGAGAAAGGATTGACATTTCATTTCCAAACTCACAGAAGCACAAAGAAAGAAATCTTTCAGCTCCTTCGGTGAACTGCAGCCAATTCATGTGCAAAATCCCCATGTTGCTAAGAGTCTTTCTGGCTTCTTGTAAGATGACTGTCAACCACTCCAAATGGCTTTTTTTCCCTAATTTTCCATTTATTTCAGATGTACTGGGCAAGTCCCTAGGTATCATACTGGCATTCAGTCTTTCCCTTTAGCCCCAAAAGAATGTCCCAATCCTTAATGAGTTGTATAAAATGGAATGTTTGGATGAGCAATAGCTTCGTGTGGGTAAAGGAATAGCAGCTTATGAGAAAAATTAGCAGCGAAAAAAAAATGTAGTGAGATAAAGCTAGAAATTTTAAAGAACCTTGATAGGAGTTATGAAGCAAATGTCATTATAAGGAGCAGCACCTGCCGGGGGTCCACCACACTCTACAATGATTTTTAACCTTGTTTTTAGAAAAACACCTCCCATCCTCCATTAAAAAATAAAAAGATATCATAGGCATCAAACAAAAGTCAAGCAATATAGTAAAGTACAAAAAAAAAAAAGAGTAAAACAAAATCAATACCCACCTAAAAATAATCGTAATCCACTTTAGGTGAATATAATTCTTGATTTGTCTCTACAGAGATAGAGAGATAGAGGAAATATATATTTAGAGATAGGGTCTTGCTGTATTGCCCGGACTGGAGGGCAGTGGCCTGCAGCCTTGAACTCCTGGGCTCAAGCGATCTTCCCACCTCACTCTCCTGAGTAGTTGGAACTACAGGCATGCACCATCACGCCTGGCTAATTTTTAAAGATTTTTTTGTAGAGAAGGGGTCTTGCTCTGTTGCCCAAGCTGGTCTCAAACTCCTTGGCTCAAGCGATCCTCCTGCCTTGGCCTCCCAAAGCACTGGGATTACAGGTGTGAGCCACCATGCCGGGCTGAGGAATTTTTATAAACGTAAAATCATATTTATTTTTAATTTATTTCTTATCATATTTATTTTTAAATAAATAGCATTCAGCTAATTGGCTCGTATTTAAGACAAGAAACTAAAGTGAACTGAAACAATACGTATTTCTTTTTAGAAATCTGTTTATTTAAAAGATTACCAAAAAATTTAAGAAATTGTGTTTTTGAAAAAAGTTGAGACAGTATCAAGTCTCTGCTATGAAAATAAGAGGGCATTAGTGCTCTTATATCCTCCCTTCTCCCATTCCCAATTTATTAGCTATCTTAGGGTTTGTAATATTTATAATCTATATCTATACTGTGACTATAATTTCCAGTTTGACCTTGGTTCACCACCAGCTTTTTTTCTACCAGCTCATCCATCATTGAGTTATTTGGTTCATCTTTCCTATCAAATGGTTTCCTTAAGAAGGCACTCAGGTATTATGTTCTGAGTTCTTACCTGCTTAAGAGAACTTGACATTAGATTTGACGACTTGGTTGGCAATAATACATTTGAGTCATTCTTTTTTCCTACTCAGAACTTCGGAAATACTCCCCCATTGTTTCCCGTCACAGAATCTTGTGGAAAGGAAGTTTGAGGTCCCTTGGTGACTTGCTTTTTCTGCCTGAATGGTGAGGAATTCTTTCTTCATTCTTGAAGTTCAGGATCTTCATCAGGGTATGTTTTGGTGTCAAGTGTTTTCTGTTGGATTTCCTACAACATAGTGCACTCTTTTAATCTAAAGATTCCTTCCTTCATTTCAGGAAAAATCTTCTGTATTTTATCTCCAGATACTTTTTTAGTTCCTTTTTATTTTTGGTCACCAATTATTCTTATGTCAGAATATCTCGATACTCCTACATTTATCCTTTCAGGAATTACTCGAATCCCTGTTTTTAAAATTCTTCATTCACTGCATCATTTCAAGCCTTTTCTTCTGTTATCAATTCCATTTTCAACCATGTTTTTTGCTATTTCGAATATATTTATTTGTTCTATATTATTTTAGGGAAGTTTTCTTATCTCTGTCATCTGCCTTTTTATCTCATTCTGTTGTTTCACTGGCTCCTGAGTGCTTGTTTTATTGAGTTCATGTTTTCTAAGTTCTCTGAGAGCACAACACACCTGTGGGAACTTTTGTTTCTTGGACTAGCTTTTTTTCCATATTGGTTTCACCTGTTTCCCACTCCACCCCCATCCCCTTTCTGGCTGTAGCATACTCACACAGTTGCCAGGCCATCTTCCTTACATTTGCTCATGTTTAAGGTGAGCAGCTCTGTTCAGACCAGGTATTTGCTTTCATACAGTGTCAGTGTATTCTCCTTGACATATTTCCCATCTTGTTTGGCATCTATTTCGCTTCCCCTATAGGGTTGTGTTCTATGTACTTTCCTAATGGATGACACTGAAAATATTTAAGCATCAACATGTCACAGACATTGAGCAGACAGAACAGAGGTTGGTCATAGCTCTGGGCCACATGTTACTCCTGTAGTTGCTGGTCTGTGGGGGTGGTCTGGAGTGGGGGGGCGGGCTTCTTGTGAGAGGGGCTGGGGTGGCCAGAACAGCATGAGACACTTGGATAAGTGATTCTTTCCATCGTGGTGTGGAAGTATTTTGATATTTTAATAACCAGCACAGCCACATTAGTGTGTACCAGCCAAATATGAGCCCAGCCTGTTCGTGTCTTTGTGTCTGTATGGAGGAGGAAGGAGCTGTGTATAGAGGCTTTTACTAGAGGACTGGACTCTGCTCTGTCTTCTGATACTTGCGTTAAGTCCTGCACCACAGTGAATTCTGAATGGAGAGGAGACATATCTACTGTATGTACGGGGGACACAGCCTTTGGAATGTGGGTTTGTCTCTTAATTCAGGGATGAGCTAGTTCCAGTCCTCTGTTTCACCCATCTCTCCCCAGCAAACTCCATCCCACAACCCACCCCCACCCCACCCTACAACACCCCCACTCAAAATAAGGAAGAGATAAAGATACTCATCCTGCCCCTATTCACCAATTAACTTCTTTCCAAAACCCTAAATTTCAATGAGTGTTCTGCATCTTGCCAATCCCCTCTAGTGGGTGGGATTAGGAGCTCTTCTTTCTTACCAGAAAAATCTGGTCTTTTTGTTTGACTATCATCTTTTGAAGTTTAAGACACAAAAACAAGGTTGGGCTCCTTCCATTGCCTGGGTGCTAGTGAATTTTTTTTAACTGAGTTTTACTTTTTGAATTTTTATTTATTCTGGTTGTTCTTTATGTTCAGCTTTAGGGGATGAAGGGGCTGTGATCTGGCCATATTTATCCTAAAAGATCCCACATTACAATTTTAAAGGACTAAACCAGCAGCTCTGGGGGTTCTCACTCTGGGCTGCAAATTAGAATCACTGGGGAGATTTTAACATCAGTGACAGGCCACATTCCTAAGCCTGATTTTAGTGGTCTGGGAGATGCCCAGATATAAGTGATACATATATTTTTTCTTATTTGCTTGTTTTTTGAGTCCTTCCCGTGATTCTAATGCACAAACAGGGTGAGAACCATGAGCTGGACCTTGCATTCTAATCGTTCATAATTTGATATATATAAGCACCTATAAAATACAAACATTTTGCATGTGCATTAGCAAAGACAAAATATAAAAAAACACATAAATTATTTATACTCTGAGTGGTCAGGCACTCAAAAAGTATTTCCTGAGCAGCCAAGGGAGCAGGAGGGAATAGAAGTGTATGGTTTTGCTTCAAAAATATTTTTATCTAGCTGGCTAACAGAACTAACACATCTGGAAGAATCACAAAGCACATTGGTGGTGACGCCCAACTCCTAGGACAGTTTTGGAATTCTACGACGGACAAGGAAGGCACTGTCAGGTGCGGGGCACATTGACAGGAAAGTAAAGTTCATGATTTAATGAGAGAGGTGGCTACACCAATAACCAGAACCTAACACCAAAGAATTAGTCCAGTTACCTTGGAGTCACACTTCCCATCCTTAAGTTGTAATTCATAAAGTATCATTTAGAAATGCAGGGAATGTTTAGAGGTAAAATCCATAGCAGAGATGTGTTGAGTCTGGGAAGATTTTGAGGGGCTTCCAGGAATAAGGATGAGAAAAGGGCATACCAAGTTTGTGAAGGGACTTAAAGCCTGGCATAGAGTCACAGGGAGCATTTTCAGGTTTGGAAGGCCATGACAGGTTGAAGAGCAGAGAATCCAGAGATCAAGCATAGCTGTGCACAGCACTGGGAGTTTGGAGGCTGAGGCAGGCCTTGCTGACACAGCAGGTATAGAGAGGAAGTGAGAAAAGAGTTCAGAGTGTCTGAATTTCTTGCCTGAGAGACTAGAACAATGGTGACTCAACTGACTTGGATGGAAAAGCTGTAGGTGCAACCAAGTTTGGCTTTGGGGTTTCAGGTGAAGGTAGGGTCTCTAAGGGATGGTCAGTAGGCAGGTGGGTCTGGATTGGAGCTCTGAGACCACAGCCTAGATGAGTGACCTGTGCCTGAAGTATAATTGAAGGGTTATCCGCAGGGAGGAGAGCAGAGAGCCAGGTCTAAATTAAGAACAAGGTGGAGAATCATCACATTTCCCCCAGTAACCACAGAACTCTGGGGAAGAGGGTTGGTCACTGAAGCACAATTATCAAGGGAAGGGGAGGATGAGGGAATTCACTGTCTAAGGTGATCTCATAAAAGACTCTGAAGCAGAATTTGACTTCACAATATCTAAAAACCTTTCCAACAAGCTGGACTCTCAAGCCAAAGCAAAAGGTCCTAAAACTGGCCATACACAAGTGTCAGCAAAGATGCGACAACTTTGTTCTCTGAGGACAATGCATTCACACAGCAAATCATCCCAAACGTGATCTGTGTCCTCAGTGCTGATGTCAGACCATCATCGTTCATCAATTCTCCATCAACCCGAACCACACTGCTCCAAAGGTGGTTATCTCTATTTTGTGCCTCTGGAGAGGATGACAATAATAATGACAGTGGCAGGATGTGTGTGTCAATCCATGTGGACACACACAGGACATGTGCTCATATCATAAAAGAGCAGCTCTTCTAACCTACCAACAAGAGTGAAAGAAAAAAATAAAAATATCAACTCTAGGGTCATTCTATTCCTTCTTGCTCTTTCAGTTTCTCTACTGCAGCACAGATGAGCACAGATCTTCCAGGTGTGTCCAGGTTATCATAGAGTGATGGTAGAACAGAAAATGCACCAGTACCTGCAGATTCTGGAGTAATAGCAAGTGGCATGCACAGCCACACTCTGTTCTCCTTTGCTGGACCCTCATGACCACAAGGCAGCTGTACTCCTCTACCCACTGGAAGTTGGGACAGACATCCAAACACATTCTTTTTCTGAAACCAGCTCTGTTCACCCTCTGGACAGCAGTCCAAGCACCCCAAAGGGTACAGCTGAAGAACAGAAATGAACTCCCTTCATATACCTCCCATCTGAGCACACTCCTCCACCTAGGCACAGAGAGGCCAGAGGTAGATAGCTGGTCCTTACACAGCCTGCTCCAGCGGTATTGATGTTTTAGATTTATCAGAAGCCATTATGAGAAAGATCCTGGGGATCAGTGGGGTACTGCTCACAACTTAGAATAAGCAGAGCCCATACAGACTGACTTCAGGTCTGAAAGGCACTTCCTTTCTTACCCAGTGAGGCAGATGGTGGTGGTGATTCCTCAACATATCTCATTTGGGTTTTGCTTATGATTTGCCTATATTCAGTGTGGAACAATGACAGATAAGCTCGTCACAGTGATTGTTTGAAGGGATAGTGGCCCATTAAAATTAGTGCAAGTAAAAAGGTCAAGGCAGTGTATTGTAAAGGTACAGGTTTCTCAAGAAGAGGAACTTCAGGGCAAGGAACAAGGGCCTCCAGACAGCTGGAACTAGGAAAGGGAAGCCAGCCTTCAAGGAAACTTTGCTGGTGTCCCTGGCTACTACATGATTCTGCATCAGTGCTTCTCAGTGTGCCTACACCATCCTTCCTCTCCACCAGCTTCTTCTTCTTCCTTCTCTTGCACATGGCACAACATAGCCACCCCAGTCCCAACTCTACTTGACCCTTTTGCTCAAGCACCTACCACTCAACACTCCTGTTTCTCTCTTCTTTCAATCCCTCCCACTCTCAATTCTAACGGACTTAGCTGTTGTGTTTAAAGAGGTGGCTGGAGAGGGCTCAAGTGGGCAATAGTGGGAAGATTCCCTGAGACGTGGGTGGACAGGACAGCTCTCCAATGCCAGTCATACATATCCGTAGGTATCCTAATATGCACAAACAAGTGTGTGAGAGGCAAAACCTGACAGGTTCAACACTACTTTGACATCAAGTGATTTAGACAAAAAAGCGTCTGCTACAGATGTCATCTAATTAAGCACACAGCCATTGAAACATTAGGCTTAGCAAATTAATCTACTAATTGTTCTACATCTAGTGTCTCTGAAAACAGAATTAAACCAAGCCAAAGAACATAGCTACCTCTGAAAGGAGCGAGCCTTTCTCGAATGCTTAAAACACCCAGGGCAAGGCCATTCCAGAGGCTGTCTGATGCTTCAAAATGGTCTTCTGTTTAGGTTTTAAACAGTTTCATAAAAATTTTGGAGCTTGGGGCTGGGCACAGTGGCTCAAGTTGTAATCCCAACACTTTGAGAGGCTGAGGTGGGCGGATCACTTGAGGCCAGAAGTTCGAGACCAGCCTGGGCAACATGGTGAAACCCCATTTCTACTAAAATTAAAAGTCAGACATGGTAGCACATGCCTGTAATCCCAGCTACTCAGGAGGCTGAGGCATGAGAATCCCTTGAACCCAGGAAGTGGAGGTCACAGCGAGCTGAGATTGTGCCATTGCACTCCAGCCTGGGCAACAGAGCAAGACTGCCTCAAAAAAAAAAAAAAAGAAAAGAAAAAGAAAAAGATTTTGGAGTTTGGTTGCCTGGGTTTGTAGCCTGGCTCTATTCCTCCTAGCTGTGGGATCTTAGGCAAGGGGCTTCCTCAATATATGCCTCAGTTTTCCCAGCTGTAACCTGAGGATAACAACAGTACCTGCCCCATGGAGTTATTAGGAGGATGAAATGTTCTTATATTTGTAAACGGCTTAGACTGATGCCCAGCAAGTCATGTGTGTTCCATAAACGAGACTTTTTATTGACATATTCAATTAGGCAGAAAACCACACAAAAACCTTTAAGAACTTAATACTTTAAAAATAAGTTTATTATAACTAACGAATATAAAATCTGACAGATATTTTCAAACATTTTTGCAAAAAAAGTAAAACCCTCCCCTGTCACCCCTCCCCACAAGATAGAGAATAAGGACTTGGACAGAGAAACAATACAAATCTAAACATGAAACTGTCGCTCATCGGTTGGTCCCAAGAGGCTCCAACATATTATATTCTAAGTAAAGGTCCATTAAATTAAGAAGTTAACAAGCCACTTGACACTTTTATAGTTTAACTTGCCTTCTACTCTGATTATGATGCTCATTCAAAATGCTGAGAGACAAGAACAGGTAACATTAACACTGCACGTGACAGATATTCAAAGTGCATAAATCTATGAAACCACAAACATTCATAAGAATACTAGGCATGGAATTAAACAGTGACTTAAAAATTAATCCAAGGAAATCTATGTACATTTTAGCCTTTGGCATCTGGTCTATCATGTTTCTTCTTTATGTAGACATTAATTTGTTAAGTCTATTAACCAGATTAAATTTATCTGAACACATTTCTCATCTGACACAGATTGTCCACAGCCAATTTCACATGAGGTAGTTGGGCTGTTTAATGACATTCTAGTGAAATTCTCATGATACATGGGAATTATACATTAAACATGCCATGGAACTGGCTCATAGCCTTCTAGGAAACAACAGAAGTACTTCTAGAGCATCCTTCCTATCAACACTGACTCCATATACACCTATAAACAGACACGCATACACAGGAGTCTGTGTGGGTAAGATCGACTTTGTAAGGGGTATCAACCATCCCAGGGTGGTTTCTGTTTGTAAGGTACAGGGAGGAAATACTGACCACACTTTAAATATATGAACTATTTAGAACAAGCAGGATATTATTCTTACATTCTCACATAGCTTAGCTGAAAACATTTGTTCACTCTGGAACAGAAGTGATTAATACAGGAAACAAAGAATTTTGAAGACTTTTGCATTGCAGAGTAGTGGTATTTTTTTCCTTTTAATTAAAGGCTATATAAAAACAGCAGAGAAGAAAGATCAATGCATGCATCAACTGTACCAGAGAGGCACTGTTAATGACTGTTTAATCATGCCCTGGAGTGCCTGAATGCAGCAGTGCAATGAGAAATCATGCAAATAGTCACTGTACACAGGACTATTGACTGTCTGAGACAGGATGGGAATTGGGAACATTTACAGGGAAGGTCTAGTAAACAGTATATTTATGGAATTGTTGAAAGAACTCCTAATGACGTTGTGATACAGATAAACAGTCTTAAAATACCATTAGACAGCTAGTGAATTATTTTTTATGAAATGACTATGAAACCCCTGAGTAAGCAACTGCGGATTACAAAGGGACATACAGAAGTAGAATGTACTTCTAACGAAAGCATTCTATATACAATCCATAAGAATACAAATTTACCATACATAATGAAGTTTGTGTAGAGCCCTTACAAGATCACAAAGAGTATCTGAAGTCAGGCCCTCTAAGACCAAACACATCAGCTCAGCTAACAGAACAATGGCTAAAAATATATTTTACTTATAAACTCTACATCTAAAAATTTTAAAATTTAAAAAAGGTTGATAGATTATCTTAAAAAAAGAAATGAAACATGAGGGAGAGCTGAATACTTGTAAAACCTGTGACTAAAATCAGAAGCAACTGGTTTTAATCAGTGATTCAGAGACGCACCATTATATAACCAAGTTCTTGTAGGACATGGTAGTTTGCTAGGAAAAAAACTTAATTTTCCTCCAGGAAGCTCCCCAAATGCCTCGCATCATCGTCTATTGCTCATGACCCTCTGACTCTATTGCCTGATCTGATGTTTCTCCATATGTATGATTTTCACAATCAGATTAAGTTTCCTTAAAAAAAAATCTCTTACTTTGGCTCCTCTTTCCCTCACTTCAAATTTAGTGGAGAAAAATGTACTTTACTTATTTGGTCCCTATCACATATTTTTAATTAAAAACACTTTTCTGAAAATATAAAGTTAAAAGCATCAACTTTTTGTTAATATATTTGGAAAGTAATAACCAAAAGGAGAAGAGTGCAAATTTTTTTCCGCTGCACTCCTCTAATAATCATCTTTCCTAGGTGCCCCATGTCATGTCATTCACCCGCTTTCCAGCTACAAATGGGAATATGGGCTCCTTCTTAAGAAGCTCTTGCAGTCTGGGGGGTGGGGGAACAGAATCCCCACTGATCAGGCACGCAGCCCTGGGCTAAGGTGGTGCCAGATACTCTACATATGTGCTAGAAGCTGCTCCTGGGAAATGGGGCAGAACAAACATAAGTGGGGGTAGATTTGGTGTGCTGATGGCGGTACTGCTGGCAATTTTCAGTAGCAAAGAAGAGAGAAAAGCAACAACGCTGGACTATGGAGTTCAGAAATCCCTCATCATGGAATATGACATTGGGGGAAGTTTAATAATCAGAATAACATGCAAAAAATGATAAGAAGGTGCCTCAAGCCACTACTTATACATCCTAATGAGAACTACCCTTCGAAGTCAATGTCTTGGGCCCACAGGCTCAACATTCTGTGAGAGCTCCTCTTCTGGAACTCCCTTCAGAGCTACATCAAGAGCCAATGAGAAGACCATCTTCTCCTCATAGTTACAATTTGGTTTCACTCCCAAAAGGGATCTCTCCAATTTAACATTTTTCACCAGCATTAGCTATAAGGAATCTGACTTGCTTTCAAAAGTCAAGAGACTTGCCATCATTGAAAATATTTTGTTTAATTCAACAAATACACCCTGATCCCTACAAAGTGTAAACACTGGCTTTTACCATAGAGAAAAGTACAGGCACGATGAAATTGTGTGGAAATGTCTCATAAGGGGTTAGCCTAATGTTACTTATTTGTGTCTACAATACCTAGTAGACCAATTTCCTTTTTCTTCCAGTTCTCTCTAAAGGTTACGCTAGAAAAATAATCCTAAAAATGCTTTGAGCGATGAGAACAAAGTGATTACTCTGCCAACAAAATACTAGAGTTTTCTCACCTCCTCTCACAGTAATGGTGAAAGTAAATTTAGTTGTCCCAGAAGTCTTGGAGGGCTATGGAGAGAAAGCTTTAAATATCTTTTCTCATTGCCCTCTTCTTGGAAAGTGATTACACATCAGCGCAAATTATGACTTTAACTAAAACAGAGAGCAAATACTTTAGATGTAGGAGGAAGCTCTGACTATGCCAAGGTTCAGGTTAAGCTGAATTTACTGTTTAGTATTAGGTTCAATTTCTAATTTCTAATATTTTTATTTAAGGATCCTCAGTTCCTTAAGCAAACTTTTACACATCTTAAACAAACTTTTATACATCTTAGGCAAACGTAATATGCTCCAGTGGGGAAAATACCTATTAAAAAATATTACCCTCTTTCTACAGATGTGGAAAAAGGGTAATTGGAAAATGTAACTTATTCAAGCTATTCTGTCTGATCTGGGTTCTCAATGATCTCAGATAATATTAAGCCCCTCATTCCCAGCAAATTAAGTTGTGTACATCTAGTCACTACCTATACAAATGCAAAATGGCCATGCTGAGCAGCTTTCCTTTTGTGTGTATTCAGAGTTGCGGTGGCAAACCTGAGGTATTTTCAGAGTGCTACCTCTCCAAGAGACCACAGAGTTCACCTGAGGTGACAGGGAGCACCAGCAGCTGTTTAGAATGATCACACTGCACAATTCTAACAACCACCTGGTATCATCCCCGCTAAATGGTACAATGCCTAAAACATCTTCATTCAAAGTACAAGCAAAAACTGGCTTTTTCTTTTTCCGTTTTAGGGGGCTATGTCAAGGGCAGGGACTATCCCCGAGTCCTGCCATCATATTCATACTAATCAGAGAAGGAGATCTATACTCACTGCTCATGAGAGTGGGAGGGAAATAACACACACACACCTTGGCAAAATACAAAATAATCAACATCATTTTAATACCCCCCTTCTTTCTCCCTAGCTTTAAAACATGTGATGTTGATTTTTCAAGTTTAAGTATTTTCCAGAAGTCTTTATGTGGGCAAAATACCTAATTAATCTGAGCTAAATAAATGTTCATTTGTTTAAAGACACACAAAGGCAAAACCAATACCCCTCCCTACATAAACTTCTCTGACTAAAGAGAGAATTCTCTCCATCCTAGAGATCTGCAGCAGGAACAGCATCATCTAGAGATGATGCTCTCAATTCAACCAAGCCCCTCAAAGGACCTTCTACCCTGGATAACTACCTCATGCTGGAACTTCCCTTCCTGTTACTAGAAGGAAGTAGCCTCTAATGGGGAAGGTACCCATGGCTTCTCTCCGATGCACACTCGAGGCAGCATGGTCTACTGAGACTAGGGCCAGGGTTGGAGCATCACACTGTGCAGAAGAATGCCCACTCAATATTGTTTTATGAAACAATGTTTCTTAAGTTTTAAGAAGTTTAAGAAACTGTTTTCTTAAGTCTCATCTTTCAACTATGACACTGTCCCAAAGCTTTTGAGATTGATAAACAGCTGCATTTTGCCTGCTCTGCACTTTTGGTGATTAAACCGAGATTGATTGGTAAGCAGATTCAGAGTCATGGTCCCCGAATGCAATGCAAAGGCCTGCTGGCTGGGTGTCAATGCTGGCTCAATTAAGAATGCTGCTGAATGAACCTGCTCCACTTCTCACTCTCCATTTAGCTATTTTATTTAAATAGCAGCCTTATCCTCTTTGAAAAAAAAAAAAAGGACATATCATTTAGTTCTTGAAGAAAACTGGTAATTTTGTAAACTAGAATTTAATCTAGTTGCTCTTCAATACTGTGTGCAGAAGAATCACGTGTAAAGTTTACTGAAATGCAGATTCCTATGTCCCACCACCTAGACTCTGGTTCTTTAGGCCAAAATAAGGCCTGGGAATCTGCTGTTTGAACAAGCACTCCATATGACTTTGATGCAGAGGCAGTCCAGGTCACACTTGGAAATTATCTGGCTCCTCTGCTTAAAAACTATGTGACTGTGAACAGATCCCTCAACTTCTAAACCTTGCTTTTGAAGTGGAGTAATAATCCCTCTGGGTATCATTACTTGTGATGTCCAATTGAGATAATGCATGGGGAACATGCTGGTAAATGGTAGGCAGTTGGGAGGTGTCATCTCAAATGACCTGTCCCACCTCTCTCATATTCTCCCCTCCAACTTGGGGCTAGGGCACACCATTAATCTTCTCAGAGCAACGGTTTCATGCCTGTCAGCAAGGATGGGACTCCTGTCCACGTCTTCTTCGCCTCCCACAATTGCATGGTCATGTGAATGCCCTGAACATCTTTACTACACAGGCCCTTATCACTGACAGAGTTGCAGTGAAGAGGGTCCACTGAAGAACATCTAGGAACAGCAAACTCTACACAGCTTCAACAAAGCAGCTTATACTACCTCCAAATGTCTAGTCTAAGTTGGCTGAAACACTGGCTATGAATTATGGTACTTAATATGGAATTTGCTGATTTTCAGCTTGGGTTTGGGTGGCCCATTAGACTAAAATATAAAAACAATACAATACACAATAACAGCAAATTTGTTTGTTAAATCTGCTCTTATAACTTGCTGTTCAAGTCTACAGCAGCTTATCATTTGGTTTCCAGTAGGCCTGCTGAACTGAAATATATAGCACCTTGATCTTTAAACAAAACACATATGCATTTTAAAAATTATAAAAGCACTGGGTTTTGCCACCTCCTGTCCATCCCCCCAGGTGAAGGGGTTGGAGAGGGTTGAGGCTGTTGCTGGAAATTAAGTAGGGCAACAAAACACTTTAGCACTTATTCCCTGAAGTTAGGAGGTGCTGCCCAGCAGCCATCATACCACCTCATCAGATTCCAGCCCGTGGACCTCATATAAAGTGTCCAGTATGGCCAGCTGCTTCTCCATGGCAGGGAGGTAAAGGCTGAGGTCCCTCTGCATCCCAATACTGAAAGCTTCTTTCTGGTGGTCACCTTCCTTTACGGTTAACGCGGCCACAAAATCTTCATAGGATGGAGCTGCCCTTAAAGCTAACTGCAAAAGAATAACCCATGAGAATCTGCATCAAGTCTGTCTCTCACACTCTTATTTTTATGCATGTGCACATGCACACACACATACTTTCACACATACAAACAGCTGAGAAGAGCAAGAGTAAAGAAATATGACTACCCTTCTAATTTGTGGCTTCTCTAAAATTATGTTTCAAGGGCCAATTCAAATAACTTTAAGGCTAGAAGAAACAAGCATGTACTTGGGCCACCTTAAGGATAAATAATGCTATCACATCAGGGAATGCTGAGAGAGAGAGTCTGAGAAAAGCTCCCTTCTGATCCACAGTGTGATCCAGACTATTCCCCTCAAATCCTCAGAATCTATATGCATGTTGCCATCATGGTCTTTATTCCCACATGGCCTGTCTTCTGGGGCATCTCATTCTCTTATTTGTATCTCATCTCTATATATTTCTTTGCGTATCTTCTATTTTTCCCCCATAAGAATAATCTTTCCTTTGCACTCTTGAATGCTTTCTAGAAAGGAAGGGAGCTAACATTTATTGTTTGCTTGTGCGCTGATGCTTTAACATAGTTTATTCTAGCTGATCTTTATAAGAACCCTGTACAGTTTATATCTCTATTTTATATATAAACGTCATACAGCTAATGAGTGCCAGGGCTAGGATCTGAACTTGGATCATCTCTGTGTTTTTCAACCACACCACCATATTATGCCACTTGCCTAACAGATTTCCTAGGCATCTTATCCTTCTCTTCCTTTGCGGGCCAATATTTCCTAAGCTTGCTAAAATCTGTTTTCTGGCGGTCACTAGATCTCAGCAGAGGCTTTTTGAAGAATCTTGAATTATCATTCCACAGTTGCTTTCCTGATCTTCCTTATACTTTGAAAGTCTTTGAGAATCAGACCTCCCCATTTTTGCAGTAAGAGAGTGACTGGCATTATCATGCAGTGGCTAAAGCACAGACTTAGATGAAGCAGACCTGGACTTGAATCTCAGATCTTTCACATACCAGTTTGAGGAATTTATGCAAAGTGCTTAACTTCCTAGAATCTCAGTTTCCTTATTTATAGAAGAAGACTAATACCACTTTCCTTATTTTAAGCATTAATGGGATCTGTAGGAAGTGTTTAGCCCACTGCCTGGCACATGATAAATACTTAAGATAATGGTCAAAGTACAAGCGAGTGGGAAAACTGAAAATTAAGAGAAGGCAGTTATCCAAAAACATAACAAAAGAAAATCTCCCAGAACTGGAGGATAGGAGTCTCCAGATTTAAAGACCTAATCAAGTGCTCAGCATAATGAATGATAAAGACCAAAAGGGCACATCATGAAATTTCAGAATGTGGGGAAAAACAATCTAAAACATTTCGAAAGGGACAAGGAACAGATTATATATAATAGAATAGGATTTCACAATAGTAACAGTAGAAGCTGGAGGACAATAGAGGAATGCCTTCAAAATTTGGAGGGAAAATGTTTATTAACCTAGAATTCTACACTCAGCCATCAGCACTCTAGAAAAAAAAGGGGAGAACCAGTAATAGAGTTCAACTGTCTAGTCTGATTGAAGAGGAAACCAAAAAGGTCAAATGAAGGCTAGTTAGTGACCAAGATGGAGGCAGCCACCTTGCCTGAAATGGCTATCAGCTCAGTAGAGTATAACTGCTGAAAGATTAAAAGGTCACTATTTGGCTGATAAATAAGTCAAATTCCTTGGATGTAAACAATGTTTCCCTCAGCAACCGAGATTAGTTAACATGAATTTGGCTCTGCAAGTTAGCATGTTAGAAAACTTATAAACCTTCCAAAGTAGGCATGACTTGGAGAGTAATAGGGTGAAAAGGCCAATCTAGCTACAGAATTAACTCCTCTATTGATAAGGCTGTTGCCAAATGCATTACATAATCTATTTTCTTAAAAACCAGCACCTTTATTGGCAATAATATTTAAAGCCTTCAAGATGTTTTTACTCTACAACCTTGGGTATATTACCTCATCACTTTGTGTCTCAGGTTTCTCTGTCTATAAGCAGGGAAAATAATGGAATCTATCTCAGGATTATGAGACTTAGAAATTTATGTATGTCAAGCACTTAAAACAACATCTAGTGCATGTTAAGTGCTCAAAACTGTAAACTGTGGTTGTAGTTCTTAGTATTCGACATAGCAGTTCTACTAGGAATTTATTTTGAAGAAATAAGAATTTTATTCAAAAATGCATATAAACAGATGCTGTTTTATTTCTAACCTGTTTTATTCTAAACTTAGAAGCAGTTTAAGTCTCTCACACAGAGGACTGAGCAAATAAATTATGATATCTCCATACTAGGAAAATATTATACAGACACTAAAAATAGTGTTTTTTTCAAAGACTATTTTATGGCATTTAAAAATGATAATGATAGATTCTATTCAGTTGGGGGGATATAAAATTATACAAGCTAAAGGTAGAAAAAATGTATATACATATACAGAGTAAGTATACAAAATAAAGACAATTATACACATATACTATATGCATGTATAAACATCTATATTATATTTAAGTATATAAAATAGATCAATATTTAAAAGAATATGTAAATTAAAAAGCTAAGACAGTAAAATACAAAAATGTTAAAAAAGGAAAATATGGACAGTTTTAATTTCTTCTCTTTCTACCATGATTTCTAAAATTTTTTATGAGTCTAAATTAGTATAATAAAGTTAAAAAGTCCTCCTAAAGACTTATGCTTTGCATCCATTAAAGTACAGGGTAAAGGAAAAAAAGATTTATGCTGATAAGTTTTCTACTATAGCTGCATTCTTATTGACAATATCTCTGGGATCATCAATATTTCAGGATTAAATTTTGCATTCTATACTGAACCCTTCCCCCCACACTTGTTTTGGGGCAACTCAAGTGTCAGGCACAAGCTAGCAATCACAATAATCACAATATTCATTCAGGGAGATCAATGACCACAGTGAGCATCCATTGCCTAAGAACTCAGTAGAGGCCTCTCAGTGATTGTGTCTTCACTGCAGAGAGCTCTAATGGAGGTAAGCACTAGCACCTTGGAGATAACAGATCTGAGTTTAGACCTGGGCTCTGACATAGCCTCACTCTGGTACTTGGGGACTGGAATTAATTGTTCTGAATTTGTAAAATAGTGGGAGTTAATCCTGAGAATTAAGATAAAGAATATGAAAGTACCTGTTAAGAATGCCTGGTACACAACAAGTGTCCAATAGCTACATGGTAGCCATTATGATTATTCAAGGTGTATTGAAGGTAAGGGTGAGCAGTCTGTAGCTTCATTTGGTCCAGCACCTATCCCAGTGAACAGTGAATGGGATATGGAGCTTTAATCTCCATGCTTTCAAAAAATATTTCATTTTCATTAGAATCTGATTTGTTGTAGTGTACATTCTTCCCACTTTACCGCCCTCCCTAATAAAGCACGACCCAAACAGTTCTTTCTTTAGGCAAATGATGCATCCTTTACATCAGTAAAAGATACCATCTGCAAGGCTACTTTATTCCCCAACCTTCCAAAGAATGTGAGTACATTCTATGAGGTTTCCTGACATACAACTGCATGAGACTGCCTTTTCATGACTAGATTTGACTAAGACTGACCTTTTCCTGGATGGGAAGAATCACAGAGTGTATTGCTGACATAAAGGAGCCATCTACTCCTGCTATTTTATAAAGCAGTCTAAGTGACTTCCCCAGGAGACTAAGAGTCTCAGGTTTGTGTTCTTCCTAGTTAAACATGCTGGGAAGAAGAGGGTGGTGGGTAATCAGAGCCAAAACACATGAATACAAAACACCTTCACAATGAAAATAACTGGCTAAGAAGAGATTTCTAGCCCTCCTAGCCACTGGCACACCCAATACAGTTAATATTCAAGGACAAAATTCAATTAGTGAAAAAAAAATCAACTAAGACCTAAGAATTAAAAGGAATGAATACAATGGGCAGCAGAGGGAGCTATTAGGTTGACTTCATCACCTGAATGCATCATTTCCCTTCAATGATAAGTATTTAGGATCACTGCTTCCTACGTACTTCTGCTAGGATACTTAAGCTTTTTACTACCTTATCAGAAAGGCAACCACTTATGAGGCAAATCTTCACAAGGTCATTGGAATTGGCTAGAGTAATTAGAATTGGCTAGGGTAAAGCATCAACTCTTTTATTCATATTTCTTTAACAGTCTTTGCTATTCCAGACACTTTTTACTGCTGACATTTCCACACACCAAAGGCCTATAAACGTAAATGAAATAAATAACATTTTGTTCTTATCCTCAAAAACAAAGCAAACAAAAACACCACACATACACACACACACACACACACACACACAACTTTGTTTCTGACAATCATGACTAGATAAATAACTGGGTAAGAAGAGATTTCTAGCCCTAGCCACTGGCATACCCAATACAGTTAATAATAGGAGACAAGAAGGATCACTTACCGCAAAAACCCCTCGAACTACCCAGCCATGGTGTTGCCGCAATGTTTTACCATATGCATTATCTTGAAAAGAAGAAAAACTCCATGAGGAACACTTTCATCAGAATTTGATGTGCTATTTGTATAATGTACTTTTTTTTTTTTTAAAGAGACAGGGTCTTGCTCTGTCACCTAGGCTAGAGTACAGTGGTGTGATAATAGTTGCAGCCTTGAACTCCTGCGCTCAAGTGATCCTCCTGCCTCAGCTCCACGAGTAGCTAGGACTACAGGTGTGGATGACCATGCCTAGCTAATTATTTTTAATTTTTTGTAGAGATGAGGTCTCGCTATGTTGCCCAGGCTGTTCTGGAACTCCTGGGCTCAGGTGATCCTCCCACCTTGCCCTCCTAAAGCATTGGGACTACAGGTGTGCACCACCATTCTTGGCCATATTTGTATAATGCATAGTAGCACGATACTATTGGTATTTGGAAATTATGAAAAAAATCTAATTACAAGATTTTGGACCCAAAAAATCTAAAGCAGTAAAAAAGCTCACATGGAATTTTTTTTTTTTTTTTTTTTTTTTTTAAGAAACACAAATACTTCCACTCTTACTCTGGGTCAATCAATATATCTGAACTTCAGCTTATTATCATGGTGGGAAAAGGTCAATACATATAAAGAAACAAAGAGGGAGGAAAGGATATTGAAAAATTGAGACAATACAATTAGAAATACTTTGAAATGTTCTGTGACCGTGAGCCAGTCCCTTAGCTGCCCTCTCTAACCATCTGTTTCCTCCTTTGTAAAATAATCTCTAAGATTTTTTCCAATTTTAACATTCTATTCTGGGATGCCAAATGTTTGTCCTAAATGACCCTATGACCCTGGATATACAGTATTTAAGCTAGAAACCTTCAAAAATATTTATGGAAAGAATGGCTTGAAGTTATTAAGCTAAAGTAATTGGTGAGAACTATATTAATAAAAGCCATTCATGTTTCATACTTTAATCTATAATTTTTGTCCCAATGTATTTTAAAAGGAGATTTTGAAACTGGCATATCATAATTTTAATTATGAAAAAAATCCCAAGAACCAGATGGATGCATTTTATGCAAAGGATGCGTTCCTGAAATTTGAATAATTCAATATATGCAAAATTCAAAACTGATTTCTCCACAGGATTAAATGCATTCTCAGGAGGCACAGATCTACATCACCATGGTGCATTTTTATTTCAATGTTCCACTTTATTTCCTAAGCATCATCTCCAGTAGCAACAGAGCACTCATTTCTAAATTAACAGCACAGTGTACCATGGGGGCTATTTGACCTTCTTCATGTTTCTCCATATCTAAATTCTATTCCAAGCATATTTATTTTCATGTGCTAGTTTTAGCACCAGCACAAGTACTACCACCATTTCATGAATGCTTAGTGTGACATTCTAAGCCTACAAAAATATTTTCAATTCTAACAAGAGAAGATGTTAAAATAACAGATAAACAGACACTAAAACCACAAGTACAAGTTCCTATGCAGTGAAAAGCAACGTGGTTCACAGGACATTGCCAAGGGAAGTCAGGTATTTATTTGCATTTTACTGGCCAAAATGGCACTGCCATGTGGCTACAGCTTCAACCCAGTTTACAATCAACTCAAGCCTTCCAGCTTTGAAATTATGTCATTCTAGTCAACTTTATTTTAAAATTGGAGTGAGGCTTTATTAATACTTTTAGAATATCCTATTTCAATTTTACATATTCAAATTTTCACAA
This sequence comes from Homo sapiens, assembly GCF_000001405.40. Lineage (NCBI taxonomy): Eukaryota > Metazoa > Chordata > Mammalia > Primates > Hominidae > Homo > Homo sapiens. The sequence continues at coordinate 30,072,370 of NC_000007.14, read as the reverse complement.
AATGCAATTATATGTTATATAAAATACATACTCAATACATATTGCAATATATTTTATATAAAAGACTGTACATGTGAAATAGAACAACAGATTCCTTTGGCTCTCTAAAGCTTAGGAATATGCTGGAATGCCAGTATCCAGTGTGTTAAAGCTAAAGCAGAAGCAATAAGTGATAATTAATACATTCAAGTATGAAGAAGACTCTTAGAGCCTAAAGGAGAACCCAAAATTAAACTTTTTTCTTAGGAGAACAGTCTGAGTAAACTAGGGCATGATCAAAGATACATGTCTTCAATGTAAACCAAACAAAACGTAGGTGATTCCCTGTAAGAAGACATGGCATCAGGGAAATTTCAGATGGCATACAAGACCTTAGTGAGGATATCCTGAGAAATGTGAAGAAAGGGGTTGCTGATTCACAAAGCGTACAGTACAGATGGGCAGAGAATACTAGGTACAGCCTCTGATAAAAACCAGCAAGACAACCAAATTTTCAACCATTTGAGCAGCCATCTGGGCTGGCAAGAGGGTGTACAGGTCCATGGAAAACATCCTGAGGTAAGTTACCAAGGTAAGATACTGTGAATCCTTTCTTTCTTGTGTCAGTATTCCATGCAGGGCATTAAATGCCATTATAAATAAAGAAATACCATTAAAATCTGCTGGTGGATATCTACCATGAACACCTGCTCTATTCAACAAGAATTCAGGGCAAGTCTACCACACAGTAGTATCTTTAGGTGATTTAAATTCAGTCAATTCCCTGTCCTCAAGAAGTTGATGGTTTATAGAAGAGCCAGTCATTTAACAATCATTATTGTATAAGTCAATAACTGCTAGAGTAGCTATCTGTATGCAGTGCTACAGGAACAGTAAGAAGGGAGAAACTAATCCAGTCTGGGTTGGGGGTGAGGCGTGTGGACACAAAGAATTCTCAGAAGGAATCCCGAAGGCTGGGTAGGGTAGAGAGCAGAGTGGTAGATGGTGCGGCAGACAGAGCGAGCATCACAGCGTTGTGAGAGCTCATGGCATGCTGGGCGATGGTGAGCAAAATTCATTGGATCTGAAGAACACCAGAGCTTGCAAACTGGGTTGGGCCAAATTGTGAGGACCTTTATCCATCATGTCAAAGATTCTGATCTTCCACCTAAGGCACAGTGGAAGTTTTGAAAAATATAACATTTATCGCTTTTTTTGGGTTTCATGATTGATGTCCGTTGTTGAAAATAAGGAAAATATTTTAAAAGGAGAGAACTAAAGAAACCTATAATCCTTTCTCCCAGAGATAACCACAGTGGGTATTCAGGAAAAATATTCTGCTAGTTTTTTCCCCCTGTACAGAGAACATTACCTTCTTCTGTCAGCAAAGTCATGATCATTCTGATTCAGAATTGTGGTAGGGAAATAACAAGTTGAAATTCACACTTCTTTACAGTCTGTAGCAAGTAACAGCTATCCTGGTGCCTGAGCCTCCAGCTCCAAGGCCCACCTGGCTAGACAGAATGCTTGTTTAAAAGAGCTCTGGGCCAGGCACGGTGGTGGCTCACGCCTATAATCCCAGCACTTTGGGAGGCCGAGGCGGGTGGATCACAAGGTTGGGAGCTCAAGACCAGCCTGGACAAGACGGTGAAACCCTGTCTCTACTAAAAATATAAAAATTAGCCAGGTGTGGTGGTGGGTGCCCGTAATCCCAGCTACTCGGGAGACTGAGGCAGAGAATTGCTTGAACCTGGGAGGCAGAGGTTGCAGTGAGCCGAGATCACGCCACTGCAGTCCAGCAGCCAGGGCGACATAGAAACTCTGTCTCAAAAAAAAAAAAAAAAGCTCTGGATTCGCTGCTATGCCAACCTCAGAGACCTTATACCTTTCCTATACATTGCCATTCAAGTTAACCGTTCAAAAAAGCCTAGAAACTCTTTTCCATGCCCTCTTCTAAAAGACAGCAAAAAGACAAGGAAGACAAAGGTGCTGTGAGTCCAAACAGCATGGGGAGTCTGGCTTAAGGATGGGAGAGTGTTTGTACAGCAGCACATCTGTCTTCCCACTTGGCCCTAGTAGACAAAGAAGCTGTTCCTTGTTATGCTTATACCTTGCCAAAGGAGAGTTCCACCTGGCAAAATGTGGGCCAGATGACCTAATGGGAGAAGGTGTGTCAAAAGAATTTGGGCTGGGTCTTGACTGAGATCATTGCTGCAATTTAAAACCAACAAATGAAATAAAAGTCATAAAAAAAAAAAAACACTTCCCAAAGTCCTTAGCTGACTTCTACGCTGCAAATATCCCTGCCATGTGAGACTGATGGCATTAAAATAAGATGAAGTCTAAGCCTGACCTATTTTGGTTACCTAGAGAAGATTAGATAATGAAATACATTAATCTTCACTGTAATACCCATTCATTATCATCATGCATGTTCTATAATCTGGGAGTATTTTTGGCCTCTGAAAGACATAAATGATACCCTTCTCCCAGTTCTTTGAGATGTGTCAGTTCCCCAGAAACTGAGTCAAAATTTCTAAGTAGGAAGCCTTGACAATCACCTTGCCTAATTCTTTTCCTTTTAGAAATGAAGACATGGAAGACCCAGAAAGGTAGTGACTTTCCCAAGGTCACAAAGTTAAAAGCAATGAGACCTGGGGACACTCTTGTTGCATCACACCATTCTGTCAAAAAAACTGGTGTTTACTCTGTAAACAATGTAATAAAAATGAAAAATATGCCTTTTCCAATCCTTTTCTGAAAGAATTGGCACCTGGTTATGGAAACAGCACAGCTCTCATTCATTTACTATTAGTAACTCAGAAACTTGCTATCAGGTATTTAGAGATTATGCCTAAAGCTTTTATAGTAACTGAGAGAACAACCCTTCCATTACTGTTGGTGAACAACCATTCTGTCCAGGAACTTTGTATACAGGAAAGTGTTTTTCTACTGTAAACCTATAATTGGTAAAGTTATTTTGGCTTATAGAGAAGACGAGAGAAATGTCAATCTAAGTCTTAAGAGAAAGCCTGGGAAGTAGAGAACCAAAGCCAGAAAGGGCGGAATTACTCACTGGGCTGAGGAAATGACAATCATAGTTCTGCAAATGTGCTCAACTAGACAGTTCTGAGGCAAGAATTAGGAACCAGGAGATTTGAAAGCAGGTAGTCAAGTCTGGCAGGAGGCTGGTGGGAAACAGATAGGCACCGGGGAAGTGTGCTTGCCCTAAGATCCTACGAGTTCTAGAGAGAACGGTCCAGTAACTCACTTAGAATAGTAAGAACCTTCATCCTATAACTCATGTCTTTTTAAAGCATAGGTGGGCAAAAGAACAATGGACCAGAATATGGAGTCTAGAACAGATCTCTCTCTCTCTCTCAAAGTTGGTATTACATACAAGTGGGGAAAAGAATGGGTGATCCAATAAATGCTGCTAAGACAACTGGCTTTCTGATTGGAAATAATAAAATTATATCCCCACCTTACACCATTCACAAAAATAAATTCCAGGAAGATTAAAGACATAAATATGAAAGCAAACCTACAAAACTTCGAGAAGAAAATGTCAGAGAACATCTCTGTGACCTCAAGGGAGAGAGGGATTTCTTTAAGAAGTACAATCCATAAAGAAAGAATGACATGTCTGATTACATAAAAACTGAAACTTCTGTATACCAAAAGACACCATAGATAAAGAGCAAACGCAAGCCACAGACTGACAGAAGACATTTTAACCCATAACTGAAAAAGATTAGACATTTTAACCCATCACTGAAAAAGATTAATATCCAGGAAATATAAAGAACTCCCAGGAGTTGATAAAGAAAACCTAAGAGAAAGGTGGTCAAATACATGAACAGGCAACTCACAGAGAAGGATATCAAACTGCCAGTGAAGACAGGAAAAGCTACTCAACCTTACTTGTAATCTAAGAACAAAAACTTTGGCAATATTCTATCATTTTACAGCCATCAGGCACAAATTTAAAAGGCTGACAATGACAAGTGCTAAAAAGAATGTGGAGTATTGGGAACTCTCACTACTCTGCTGGTAATTATAGACTTTGGAGAGCAATTTGGCAATATCTAGTCATGTGGTTCAGCCATTCCAATTGTATTATGTACTACAGCAGCAATTCCCAGTGTAGTCTCCAAACCAGCAGCCTCAGCATCACCTGGGAACTTGTTAGAAATGCAAAGTCTCAGCCTCAAGTCAGGCCTACAGAGCAATCTGTGTTTCAAGGAGCCTTCCAGGTGAGGCTAATACAGGTTAGAGTTTGAGAACCACTGTTCTGGCAGCACAGCTTCTCAAGCAGTAAGGCCCCATGAACTACCAGTCTGTAGACAGCCAGAGTCCCTGGACCAGTCCCTCTTAGCTATGAGAAGCCTCCTCCTTTTTCTGGTGTGCTGTCTGGACATAATTTTCCATATGATAGAGAACATGTGTGAAAGGAACGTGTACATTGTAGAATTGCTTTTAATGGTGAAAATCTGTAATCAACTGTGTCCATTAACAGTATATTAGTTTTTCGAAACCATGGTCTATTCATACAATGAAATGCTAAACAGCAAGGAAAATTAATGAGCCAGGACTACAAGCCACTTCAACAGTGGCTAAAGTCTGAAAATACTGAGTGAAGAAGGAAGAATGTGCACAATATGATACCTCATATACAAGTTTAAAACATGTAGTCCAATGCTAGATGCTGCTTATGGACACATAAATATATAGCAAAAGCATAAAAACATGTATTACATAATGAACTACGCAAATTCAGGATGATGATCTCTGGAAAACGATGGGAGTCACGGGATTAAGGAGTGACACGTGGGCACTTAACTGTATTGAACTATTTTTTTCTATTAGGTCAAGTGGTAGATATTTGTTAAATGCCTAAATTATTTATAATTTTCTTTTTTGAGACAGAGTCTTGGTTTGTCACCCAGGCTGGAGTGCAATGGTGCAAACATGGCTCACTGCAGCCTCAACATCCCTGGCGCAAGTGATCCTCCCACCTCAGGCCCCCAAGTAGCTAGAACTACAGGCTGGTACCACCACACATGGCTAATTTTTGAATGTTTTGAAGAGACAGGGCTTCGCCATGTTGCCCAGGCTGGTCTTGAACTTGTGAGCTCAAGTGATCTGCCTGCCTTGGCCTCCCAAAGCGCTTTGGCATGTATTTTTAAAAGCAGAGCTACTAGGAGAGTAACCTCTGAATTCTTTATAGTGACTATGCTTAAGGCAAATTGACTTGTATGGACAATAACCAGTGGAAAGAGGTCAAACAAGCACCCAGAGATGCCCTTTGTTAATTTCAGGCACTGTTAAGACTAACGCTTGTGCTGCCAGCCAATCCTGCCAGTGGAGGCATATGCTGCAAATGGTTCTGGAAAGAGTATTACAATTCACATTCCATAGTATTTTCAGAATGGCCAACTTATGATTTGATGTCAAATATCTGATTATGAGTTCTGACTTTATCTCTCTCACTTATCTCTCCTTATCTGTGAAAGCCTTTCATATTAAATACATGACTGAGCATCCTTTTAAAATTTTTTCTATTCTGTGCCAGAAAAGGATCTTGGTTGGGTTAACTTTTACTGACATTTATGGGATCATTCTGAGATGAGATATGTGGCAATATGTTATCCCACTGAGCACAGAGCATATAACATTTAATACAATGGTGCATGAAATGCCAGAGCAACTTTTCTTCCTTCCACTTGCAAGGATGCTTTCCAAAACCTCTTTCTGATGTGGAATATGCAATGGAGAGGGGGACTCAGCTCTAAAGCAGATTATTAAACATATCTGCCTTGTGAACCCAACTCCCTCCTGAAAATGACCTCTAAAGAATGTTAGGACACTAAGGGAACACAGCAGCTCTTAGCATGAAACCACCCAAAATGTTCCACTCTGATTATCATTATGGGGAAGCCAAGTGATGGCTCAAGTGCAAAAAGGGGCAGTGTAAAGTCTAAGGCTCCTTCCAGATGCTGGAAGTATTCCAGGTCACAGAACTGCAGCAATACAATAACTAGAGATGCATTTTCCAGAAAGGTAAAGGAGACAAGGCTTCTACAATGTTATTTAGGACTTCTACATATAAATGTACTATTTCCAAGGCCATTAAGACCATACAAGTTTCATGAACATTCACCTCAAACCTTACTTAAGCAGTATTTTTATTGGAAAGCTGTCTAATTATGATGAAAAGGAGGAAAATAAACTGATGCTATAACTAATTTCAGCAGTTTTACTCCTGCTTATTAAAAATCTCTTAGATGCAGTCAAAATCACAAAATTATCAAGATGTAGACAAGTGACAGGTGAACCTCAAAGGCCTAAGTCTAGATGACTAGGTCTCAAACTTCAGCATGGATTAGAATCATCTGAAAGACTTGTTAAAACACGGACTGCCAGGCCCCAGCCTCAGTGTCTGATTCAGCAGGTCTGGGGTGGAACCGGATAGTCTGCATTTCTAATGAGTTTTCAGGTGATAAAGATGCTGCTGACCTTGGAACAGCTTGAGAACCACCGATGGAGATTTTGAGACCCTAGGGAAGGTATTTATCCTCTTTAAACCTCAGTTTATTCACTGGAGAGTATTTGGAAGATTAAATAAAATATTTATCAAAAACTTAGTGTAGTAGTTACACTGGGTGCTCTGTAAGTGATAGCTGTTTTTAAATTCAACTTTAGAATTTAAAAAAGCCAACAAACTTGCCTATATATGGCATATAAATTGCACACACTCTCTTTTACCTACTCACTCACCCTCCCTCATTTCAAACAAGGTATCAGTTCTACTTATGAAGGCTGGGACTTCAAAATGAGAAAAAGGAACCATTATCCCAGAAGAAATATGCATCAAGGAGCCTACAGGTTCTGAGTAACTATTGTGTAAACATTTCTCAAAAAACCGTTTACGCAGAGCTTGTTGTGTCTGTGTCTGTGGGAGGGGAGGGTGGGTTTAACAGGGGAACTTTGGAGGGAGGGTGGGTTTAATAGGGGAACTTTATCTCCTCATACTAAGCAGCAGCAAGAAACTAGGGATTTCCACAAAGATAGGATTTAAATCATAAACACCTTCTTTGAAATAAGCCTGAACATCAGGACAAAAATGTCAAATTTACAGCCTCCCTTCTCTTTTCCATTGAAAATTGTGCCGAAGGAGAAGAGAGGGAAGAAAAAGCTGAGACTGGCTGTGATTATTGCAGTCACAAAGCAGCATTTGCCCTTCAAAGTCTCCTCTTTCTTCACAAAGTCAATACATCCCCTGGGCCCAGTCTCCAAATCAAGTACAACATTTGATGAGAAACCTTGAGGAGAAAAGGAGAGAGAAAAGTGGGCAGAATTGGGGTTGGGACTGGATAGAAATGGTATATCCTGTTTCCTTTCTATGTCTAGGGGGGTCAAAGCCCATAAGCAGCTGGGTTCCGTTCCACCCCAGCTCTTCCAGTGGGCTAAATGGGATCAGCATTGTCCTACTCCCCTTCCATAGACAGCCCTAACAAAGTAATAGCAGCATGAGACAAGCGGAGTCCACTGGGCACACAGTGCTAAACCCTGTATCTTCTGCATTTCCAACAGGTGGAGAAGTCTTTCTGCTAGCATGAAAATTCCATACTAATAAGTTAGTTTGAAGTGAAGTTTCTGGCTTGGCACCTAAGCTTTGTAAACTTTCCATTACTGATGTGGGACAAATAAGTCTTATTTTCTGGCAGGTTATTAACTTCATATATCATGATTATGATAATGATGACAAAACATCATTATCACAACAATAGATGCTAATCTTGACGACTGAGCATTGTTTTTTTGTTTGTTTGTTTGTTTTTGAGACAGGGTCTGGTCTCACTCGATTGCCCAGACTGGAGTACAGTGCCATGATCACAATTCACTGCAGCCTTGACCTCCTGGGTTCAAGCAATCTTCCCACCTCAGCCCCCTAAGTAGCTGGGACTACAGGCACGCAACACCATACTCAGCTAATTTTTGTAGAGATGGAGTTTTGCCGTGTTGCATAGGCTGGTCTCAAACTCCTGAACTCAAGTGATCCTCCTGCCTCAGTCTCCGAAAGTACAGGCATGAGCCACCACACCCGGCCACACTGAGTGTTTTGCGTACCAAATACTTCTGTAATTTTTTCACATGCACATGCACCTACTTAATATTTACAACCACCTTGTTAGGGAAATAATATCACCATTCCCATTTTATAGATGAACAAAGTGAGGATCAGAGAGGTTAAATAACTTGCCTAAGGGCAGAGCACTAATAAGTGGCAGAATCCAGAGAGCCACTCCAGAGCTCCTGATCCTACACTCCACAAGCCATAAAGCTTGACAGATACTGGCTAGGGGGCATGAGTAGACATGCTGAATATACTTTTAGTACTTGAAATCAGGACACAGAGGGGAGAATATAACTGAGACCATCCTGAAATTCAGGGATGTATGGGGAATGTAAAAATGCAGGTGGCCCAGGAATGGTGGAAAAGACCCTTTGTAGGAGAAATGTGGACCTTCAAAGCAGGGGCCTCAAAGCCACTCTGCTTCAGACCTTATGCTGGTCTTAAGCAATATTTTAATCTTACAGTTCCCTAACCTGTAAAAATGGATTGAAATGAGGATTAAGTTTATGAAGTCTACATTGTTCACAAAGTGCTATAGAAATGTCAGCTCTCATTTTTATGGCAGATCAGCAGTTGCTAGATGGGGCAGACTCGGGAAATCACGTGGGGGCAGAATTCTTGAGGACTCATGGCCCAGAGAGAGGACTAACAGAAGGAGGTAGAACCCAACTGTGACACTGAAAAAAAGCCACAGAGAACACTAGCTCCCTCTCAAACCAGAAGCATCTAATTAGTTTATGTCACAGTTCATTTTTTTCTCCACACACGCCTCATGGCCCATGCTAGAAGAATTTCCTATAGATCAATGGTGAGAGTTCAGCCACTCCATTAGAAGCACTCTAAGGATGCTCCCCAATCTCAACATTTTCCAAAACTGGTCTGATAAATGGCTCTATCCACACATCCATCCATCTACCTACCTGTCCAATGTTTATTAAGCACCTACAATGTTGCAGTCACTACTTTAAGGTGCTGGAGATATAAGATGATCTCCTCTGACCAAGCCCTTCATCCCATTTTGGCTTTATGACTAGAAACTGGGACGCACACAGCATTATATATTTGAGGAGTTACACGACGACGACGAAAACCTTTACTCTTACTCCAGAACAAATCCCTGGGATTCCCCCACGCCAACCCGCTGTTATGGTGTTCAAGCTTTTCTTTGTATACTGATTTTCAAAGACTATAATATATTTGAAGATTTAGGAAAACTAACTTCTTGATAATATTAGGTCTTCCTATTATGTTTAAGAGATGGCTTTCCACTTATTCAGCACGTCTTTAAAATATACTGATTTTTAGTAAGTTACATCTAGATTACCAGGTCATTGTCTCATAGGTACTTTTAAACAAAGCATATAAGAAGCAATGAATAATAATGAAATAAGAAAAGAAACAAAATCAAATTCTGAAAAGCAGAAATATCCCCTATACCCTGTATCCTCCTCTAGGGGTCTCCATTCCACAGTCTATTGACTCATTCAACAAAACATAAAGAACACTTACTTAGGGCTGTCTGGATATCCTTCTCCCCATTTTTCACTTCTGTCAAAAATCCCTTCAAAAATTTGAGACCTCTAAAACAAAATAAAGGAAGAAATATTATTTTCAAAGTTCACTTATGTTGAGTGGGTATAAAGAAATGGCAGACATCAGCTTCCATTTCAGTAACATCTTAGGCACAGCAGTGAATAGGTCAAATCATATGGCAGTCCTTCCTGAACCTCTTCCCTTCACTTCCCTTTAGCTTGCTCTGGAGCCCATCTTTCATCTCATCTGATATACCTAAAGAAGTGGTTTTCAAAATGTGTCCCAGGACTAGTGGCTTTAGCATCACCTGGGAATTTGCTAGAAATGCAAATTCTGGGGCCCCACCCGAGTTACTGAATCAGAAACTGTTTCCGAGTCTAGTGTTTTTAACAAGTCCTCCAGATGATTCTGATGCCACTGAAGTTGGAGAGCCACTGATTTAAAGAGAAGCCAGTTGACTTTAATGCCTTTAAGATTCCTATCTTATATATACTTATCAACAATATTTATCACCATCAAAAGAGAGGCAAAAAAAAAATAAGGTGGTATTATTCATTAGGCCTTCTAGAAAAGGCTACACAATTCAACTAGATCCTTCACTCAGAAGTAGTCTCCTTTGTGTAACAATTTTTTTTGCTGGTAATTTTTTTTGAGCTAGATTTTAACTGCTGTCCCACCCCAGCTGCCTCACCTCTTCAGCCACAAGAGGGCTTCAGTCGCTGAGTTCCTAACCTGGGCTACATCCGCCTCCACTTCGTGCAGCACTATCTTCTGGAGAGTGGTAAACTCTTCTTTGTTGGTTATATACTTCTGATTTACTTTCTGGAGGGAAAGCAGGGAAACAACCTAAGTTTAAAATGCTGAAGTTATCAAGCAACTCAGTATAGTCTGGAGACTTGTAAGTTTGGCAAGCAGGCCTCTAAGAAAATAAATTAAGCTCCTATTACCTTCTTCCTTATGTTTTCATGATAGTATTTGTTTTGGAGAATTCTATGTAGCTTAAACTGGAATTAAATAGTCTCAGGGTTTAAAGTTTTGTTCTTAAAGTTATTTTTTCTGCCTCAGAACCTCTCTCATGCTTGTCTTTGGCAGATACTTTTCACTCTGAATATAAAACTCAACAATCATTTGTTCTAATGAGACTACTTGCAACTGTTCCACCTAAATACAATAAAGAAAGGTATACCTACAGGAATTCCTAATAGTGCTTCCTCAAAGACTAGTCTCCAATGACAAAAAAGATTTTTATTGGGCACTGTATCCTCAAGAAGGTAACATTTAATCTGCATTTAAAAGGGGACCCATCCCTTATTTTACCTGGAAGAAAGAGGCTCAGAGATTTGGTGAGTTGTTGATGGTCCCACAACTACCACTGGAAATGGGCCTTTTGAGTCCCAGACCACTGACAGCTATTTTCACTATATAACCTATCTTTTAGAAAAATATAACTTATCACCATTTAAACCTAAAAAAGCACAGAATCAGTGTGGACATTAGAGTGAAACCCTACTGATCCACACGGTGCACATGAAAAGGCAGTCCTGGTTTCATTTTAAAAATGAATCTTCTACTCCCCATAAAGCTTAACTCTAGCATATAATAAAGGCTTAGTAATTCCCTTACTGAGCATTCACAGTGTGAGAAGAAAGATGCTTGCTCTCTTAAAAGAACAGTGACACATTTTTCACTTTTTGATTTATTCTGGCCAAGCACAAAAATGTTGAGAACATTTTCCTTTATTTAAAAGTTTCCACAGAGACAAACCAGTATGCTCACCTTAATATTTCCAACAAGATCCATCTTAACAGGAGCAAACACTGTAGGGCCAAGTTTGTCTAGAAGAAAAGATTAAAAACATTTCTGAAAAAGCAATTTTTAAGTGGCAATATTTTTTATAATAAAGTAATAATAAATTTAGCAGATCCCCAACAACTTTAATTTTTGCTTCCAAATCATTTATCTAAACATAATCTTCAAAAGCTCCCAGGATACTATTACCATCTTTTTCTATTACACTACTCCAAGGTGAGTTATAATGAGGCCCTAAGTGACAGGTGAGATGAAGATAATCTTATAAGTTTAGGATTCATATAGTAATCCTTAGGGCTGCACTGTCCAATATGGTAGCCACCAGATATGTGGCTAGTTAGTACTTGCAGCGTGGCTAGTACTAACCAAAATGTACTGGAAGTAAAATACGTACCAGATTAGGAAGACTGAGTATGAAAAAGAGATTGCAAAATATCTCATTAATGATTCTTTCGGTTTGTTTGTTTTTTTGAGATGGAGTCTCTCGCTCTGTCCCCAGGCTGGAGTGGAGTAGCATGATCTCGGCTCACTGCAACCTCCACCTCCCAGGTTCAAGCGATTCTCCCTCAGCCTCCCGAGTAGCTGAGATTACAGATGCCCACCACCACGCCCAGCTAATTTTTGTATTTTCAGTAGAGACGGGCTTCACCATGTTGGCCAGGCTGGTCTCGAACTCCTAATCTCAAGTCATCTGCCCACCTCAGCCTCCCAAAGTGCTGGGATTACAGGCGTGAGCCACCATGCTCAGACTCATTAATGATTCTTTTTTCTGGGGGGACGGAGTCTCGCTCTGTCACCAGGCTAGAGTGCAGTGGCATGATCTCAGCTCACTGCAACCTCCGACTCCCTGGTTCAAGCGATTCTCCTGCCTCAGCCTCCCAGGTAACTGGGATTACAGGCATGTGCCATCACGTTGGCCAAGACGGTCTCGATCTCCTGACTTTGTGACCCACTTGCCTCGGCCTCCCAAAGTGCTGGGATTACAGGCGTGAGCCACCATGCCCGGCCCAATGATTCTTTTATATTTATTACATGTTAAGATATTTTAGATATTCTAGGTTTTAAAATAATTAAAATTAATTTGTGTTTACTATGTTAATATGCCTACTAGAAAACTTAAAATTACATATGTGGTTTGAATATTTCTGTTGGGCAAGAACAATGACTAAAAAATAAAACAAAGAGGTATAGCTAAAAAGCCAAAAGAGAAAAGATAGAGGAATTCTTAAAAAAAAAAAAAAAATACTTGATTGATCTAAAAGAAAGGCAGGGACAAAGATAGGTAGCTAAGAGGCCAAAAGAGGAAATAAAACAGAATACTAAAAAAAAAATTGATTAACTGGCTAGAGATCAGGAAAGGAGTAAAAAGGGAACAAAGAACATACAGAGAAAAGCAGAAAATAAGTAGCAAGATGATAGAAACAAATACCAAGATAATGAATGAAATTCATCCAAACAATGTAATTCATTACATTAACAAATTACAGGAAAAAAATGACTTCAGCAAATACAGAAAAAGCATTTTATGAAGTTAACTCATTCATGATTATAAAAACAACTCAGCATATAAACATAATTTGCATGTACATGCTATTAATAATCGGAAAATGAAATAAAACACTTTTTACAACAGAATAAAAAAATAAAATTCTAAAACTTATTCCTAACAAAAGAATATGATAGCTATACACTAAAAACTAGATAGAACATTCTTCAGAGAAAATTAAAATGACTTAAGTAAATAGATACAGCATCCTCATGGATTGGAAGACTCAATGCTTTTGTTTTTGAGACAGGGTCTTGCTCTGTCAACTAGGATGGAGTGCAGTGGTGCAGCCACGGCTCACTGCAGCCTTGATATCCCAGGCTCGTGTGATTCTCCTGCATCAGCCTCCCAAGTAGCTGGGACTACAGGCTTGCGCCATCACACCTGGCTAATTTTTTTCATAGAGACAGGGTCTTACTTTGTTGCCTAGGCCAGGATCAAACTCCTGGTTTCAAGCGATCCTCCTGCCTTGGCCTCCCAAAGTGCTGGGATTACAGTTATAAGCCAGTGAGCCCAGCCTTCGATGTTGTTTAAGATGTCAGCTTTCCCCTAATTGGTTTAGAGATATAATGTAATCTTAATCAAAATCCTAAAAAGCTTTTAAATAGGAATTGAACAGCTAAAATTTATCAAAAGGCCTAGAATTTCCATAACAATCTTGAAAAAGAAAAAACTGAGAGACTTACATTATCTGATTTCAAGCCTTATAATAATTAAGACACCATAAGATCATTGGAACAGAAAAGAGAGTCCAGAAACAGTCCCATATTATAAGCATTATAAGTTCAATTGGTTTTTGACAGAGCTGCCAAAGCAATGTAAAAAGGAAAACATATTTTGACCCACGGTTCTTGAGCAACCAGTTACCACAAGGAAAAAAAAAAAAAAAAAAGAACCTCAACTCCCTACCTCACACCACACACAAAAAATAATTCCAGTGGTTCATAGGCACAAATGTAAAAGTTAGAAGAGTCTAGAAGAAAACAGAATATCTTCATGACCTTTGGGATAGGTAAAGATTTCTTAAGACACTAAAAGCACTAAGTATAAAAGAAGAAACTGGACTTCATGGAAATTTAAAACTTCTGAAAAGGCATCATTAAGAAAAGGAGGAGGCAAGCCATGCTCTGGGGGAAAATATTCACATGTCTACAATGGAATTTTAATTAAGAATATATAAAGAACTCTCCCAACTCAGTAATAAAAAGAAAAACAATTAACTTTTAAAAATGGGTGAAAGATCTGAACAGACATTTCACAATGGAAGAGATAGGGATGGCCAATAATTATAAAAAAAAAGTGCTCAATATCATTAGTCATCATGGAAATGCAAATTAAAGCCACAATGAAATACCACTAAAACATTCAGGAATGCCAAAAACAAAATATTGACACTACCAAATGCTGGTGAAGAAGTCAAACAACTAAAATACTCATACACTATGAACAACTGTGCAACCATTATAACTGTCTGGCAGTTTATTATAAAGTTAAACTATGAACCAGCAATTCCAGTCCTAGGTATTTACTCAAGAGAAATGAAAGCATAGGCCCATAGGCACAAAAATGTTTAGAGCAATTTCATTTATAATAGTCCCAAATTGGCCAAGAGCAGTGGCTCACTCCTGTAATCCCAGCACTTTGGGAGACCGAGGTGGGCAGATCATGTGAGGTCAGGAGTTTGAGACCAGCCTGGCCAACATGGTGAAACCTTGTCTCTATTAAAAATACAAAAAAAATTGGCCAGGCATGGTGGCACAGGCCTGTAACCCCAGCTACTTGGGAGGCTGGGGCAGGAGAATCACTTGAACCCGGGAGGTGGAGGTTGCAGTGAGCCAAGATTGTGCCACTGCACTCCAGCTTAGGTGACAGAGCAAGACTCTGTCTCAAGAAAAAAAAAAAAAGAGTCCCAAACTACAAACTGCCCAAAGTCCATCCATAAGAGAGTGAATAAATAATTGTGGTATATTCATTTAATGGAATACTACTTAGCAATAAAAAGGAACGAACTACTGATACAGAAAACAAGGACGGATCTCAAAAACATACTGTATGAGAAAAGCCAGAGGCAAAAAAGTATAATATTCCAGTTATATCAAGTTTTAGAATAGGCAGAACTAACCTATGGTGACAGAAATCAATAAAATGGTTATTTCAGGCTGAGTGACACAGGGAACATTCCAGGGTGATGAAAACATACTATTTCTTGATAAGGATATGGATTAGAGAGGTAGATGCATTTGTCAAAATTCACTGAATCATAACAGTTAAGACCTACGCAAGTTATACCTCAATTTTTACAAAAGATGTATAGTTAAATGGGTCATAAAGCAAATTTCAACACATTAGCCATTGTTGGTATTACTGACTTTATACAAGTAAAAGTGAATTTGACCTAAATAAACTTTTTTATATATATAAATATATATTATATATAATATATAAAATTATGTATTTGTTAGATATAAATTACATATAATTTAAATGTTACATATAAATTTTCAGATATATTTATCTATTAAATATATATATAACATATATATACATAACATATATATACACATAACATATATATATACACACACACACACACACACACACACACACACACACACACACACTTTTTTTTTTTTTTTTTTGAGACAGGCTGTCTGTCATCCAGGCTGGAGTGCAGTGGTGCAATCTCGGCTCACTGCAACCTCCGTCTCCCAGGTTCAAGCAATTCTCCTGCCTCAGCCTCCTGAGTAACTGGGATTACAGGTGCGCGCCACCACACTCAGCTAATTTTTGTATTTTTAGTAGAGACGGGGTTTTACCATGTTGGCCAGGCTGGTCTCAAACTCCTCATCTCAGGTGATCCGCCCACCTCAGCCTCCCAAAGTGCTGGGATTACAGGCGTGAGCCACTGTGCCCAGCCATAACATACATTTTATTTATTTACATATATATGTATGTTATATATATGTGTTATATATATTATATATATGTTATTTATATATATATGTGTTATATATATTATATATATGTTATTTATATATATATATATATATAGAGAGAGAGAGAGAGAGAGAGAGAGAGAGAGAGAATATATCTTTAAAAATCTTTGAAAATATGTTTTGCAGGCCGGGCGTGGTGGCTCACACCTGTAATCCCAGCACTTTTGGAGGCCAAGGCAGGCGGATCACGAGGTCAGGAGATCAAGACTATCCTGGCAAACACAGTGAAACCCTGTCTCTACTAAAAATACAAAAAAATTAGCCAGGTGTGGTGGCAGGCACCTGAAGTCCCAGCTACTCGGGAGGCTGAGGCAGGAGAACAGCATGAACCTGGGGGGCGGAGCTTGCAGTGAGTGGAGATCCCGCCACTGCACTGCAGCCTGGGTGACAGAGCAAGACTCCGTCTCAAAAAAAAAAAAAAAGAAAATATGTTTTGGTTGGGTATGGTGGCTCACATTTTGGGAGGGAAGGATCACTTGAGCCCGGGTGTTCCAAACCAGTATGGGCAACATGACGAAACCCATATCCACAAAAAATACAAAAATTAGCCGGGCATGCGCATATAGTCCAGCTACCAAGAAGGCTGAGGTGGAAGGATTGCTTGAGCCTGGGAGGTGAAGTTTGCAGTGAACAGAGATCATGCCACTGCACTCCAGCCTGGGCAACAAAGCAAGAGCCTGTCTCAAAAAAGTTTTAACTGGTAAAACACATTTTTTCACAGTGCCAATATATTTGAAGGTCTATTCCTCAAATACTTTTTTTACTTTTATGTATGGTTTCTAGAAAGATCCCCCTTTTAAATTACATTATTTTGAGGTCAATATTTAATCATTATTAGAAATGAAATGGGAATATGCAATAATGCTTAAGGTCACACAGTTTTAACTGTATGTGTCTGGTGATTTGAACAAATAGCCAAGGGTCATCTCACTGTACACATAGTTTGGGGTATTTCTCCTGCAAAATAACTACAGTGAGGCAGATTCTAGACATGAATGAATGTAAGGCAACTGCAGGAATCTTACCTAATACTGGAACCACAGCATAACATGATGCCAAGAATGCTTCTGTGGGAATGCCACTGTCTTCCAGAAGTTCAATGTCACTAAAGCTACATAATTTGGTGATATGGAGGAGAAAAGATTGAAAATACAGTATCAGCACTCTGCAATTCAGAGGTAAGTCATAGACACAGCTGCCTCTCTGTAGGGCAAATCGTTTGACTTGATATGCCCCAGTAACTGTTTTTCTAATATGGTCTCATAAAATAAATTTCCAAAGATAATCCACCAAAGCAAGCTAACATTTGTTCACAGAGCACACTTCACAATGAATTCCTTCTTATTCATTGGTAAGAAAGAGTAAACAGTAAAGCAGGTACTTGGTATACCACATTCTCTATTCTCCTAGAATATGCCATCACCTGAAAGGAACACCATGACTGATTTTCCAGAATGGAAGTTAGTATCCAAGCATCAGTGATATTAAAGAGTCTAGAATACCTTGTGTTCATGGTACTAAAGAAAGTTGGGATAACTTCTTTGCCTTCCTCCCAGAGGCATTCCGGAGAGCAACTTGAGTCTGATCCAGACTGAGTCAAGTTATTGTCATGATTTTTCAGGTTTTCCATTCCATCTTCCTTCCTTATTTCACCTTGGACTGCAAAGTAGAAAATATCTATTACTAACCTATTATATATTTATTATAAAAATACATATTGATTGTTGAAAATTTCTAAAACACAGAAAAATACATAGAAATAAAAATTCATGAAACACTATTCACATATACATAAACATACATCTACACACACAAACAAAACTTGAAGTATGTGTAGATTTGAATCCTGCTTGCTTTCACTAAACAATGTATCATGAATATTTTCATTATCATTCAACCCTTCAAAAACATGATTTTAATGACCATGTTATATTGTATCATATCCATGAGGGGCACTTAGGTAGCTTCCAAAATTTTACAATTATAAATACAATCACTACTCATTATTAGCACATTCTATATGTATTTGTGAATTTGTCTACTTGCTAAAATTTATTTTGTAACCCCAAAATCAATACATGCGGCACTTTTGCAGACATTTGTGGACACGTGCAAAGTGGTGAAAACTTTGTTGCCGGACACACATATTCCTAGCTGAGGTAGAGCAATGTGATGTTCTGCCTTCTTGTTTCAGCTCTCATAGTATAGACAAATGTCCTTACTTAGTGCCACATTTTATGCATGTTTGTGCATTTTATTGTTTTTGCTGTTTAAAAGGGCTCCCAAGTATAGTACCGTCTAGCGTTCCTACCCACAAAAAGGCTGTGATGTGCCTTATGGAAAAAAGATGTGTGTTAGATAAGCCTCATTCAAGCATGAGTAATAGTGCTGTTCACCGTGAGTTCAATGTTAATGAATCAACAATACATATTAAAGTGTCTTTAAATGAAAACACACATAAAACAAGGTTATGTATTGATTGGTAGACAAAAATTTTGTGACCAAAGTCTTGCAGGAACCTAACCTTGTATTTCCCCCAGGAGCAAGAGTTTAGTATTTGCTAATTTAGTGCTCATGGTGACTCAATAACACCTAACTACTGCAAATAATGAGAACTGACTGTAATGCCACAAAGAACATCCCTATCAATAGGTCTTTCTCCTTAAATCTAACTATTCACTGAAGAACAATTCCTAGAAGCAAAATTATAGGAGCAAATAAATGACTGCACTGTTTTGACAGATATTTTCTTCTGTCTTTATTATTTACCCAAGAGATAAGGCTCCAATGATGTGTGGATTGTCTCTCTCAGATTAACAGCTAAGAATACACAGCTCCTTCCCTCAACTCCCACACTGCTCCCCAATTCATCGAGAAAAAATAAGGTCTCTTATTTCAAGGTAGATGGAAGGAAATTTTAATTTCATTTTCAAATTATTAAGTTCTTATAACACAATTAAAAGCTCTAATATAGTTGTCTTTGATCTAAAGTAGATTTCAGTGATTAGTGCCAAGGGATTAGCATATTTGAACTACAAACCTATTACCTGAAATGTGGGACTTTGGCTTGATAAACAGAGAAGACTGCGTAGAAACCTCATGGTGACTGGTGAATTCTGACATCCTCAGGCCCAACAGAAACCGGGAGGATGAAAAACTGAACTGCTGTAATTTTACACACTGTTACGTATAACATCATAATCTAAGTTCAAAGGACTTTTAAGATACAGGGTTGAAGGCCCTCTGCTCACTGCAGCCCATGAACACAGCCAAGAACACTGAGCAGGAATCTTCCTCTTTTCACTCTGCCTTCTCAACACCAGGTCAGATTGGATGAAAGAATGTTGTTCAGTCATATGACTTATCTTACCCAGCCAATATCCTCCTTAGCAGACACTACTACATGGTCTTGAGGTTAATCCCTATCATGGATATTCATCAAATTCCCAAATTTTCTATCATCTAAAATTGGTTTGTTTCAGACTTTACTTTTGTTTTTACCTGTTATATTATCATCTGTATTTTCCTCACTTGATATGCTGCAGTCTATCTCTGCAGATTTCAAATATAAGGAATTCTTATTTTTCATTAGGATTTCTTCCTCACCATTTATTTCCATATTTAAAGATCCATTTTCACAAGTGCTCAACTCCATTTGCCTGCAAATTTTTTAAAAGGAAAAAAAGCCAGAAGGTCGTTATTTGGTCTTTTTTTTTTTTTTTTTTTTGAAACAGGGTCTCCACTCTGTCACCCAGGCTGCAGTACAGTGGCACAATCACAGCTCACTGCAATCTTCTGGGCTCAATCAATCCTCCTACTTGAGCCCAGCACTCCACCCTGAGTAGCTCGGACTACAGGTGCCTGCCACCATGCCCGGCTAATTTCTAATTTTTTGTAGAGATGGGGTGTCACTATGTTGCCCAGGTTGGTCTTGACCACCTGGCCTCAGGCAATCCTCCCACCTCAGCGTTCTAAAGTGCTGGGATTACAGGCATGAGCCACCTCGCCAAGCTTGGTCATAAATTGACTGCCCAGGTAGATGTTATCCTTTCAACATCCACTGAAAGAATTGTTAAATCAAGCCAAACCTCCCAGTCTTCTGCCTCCAAGGCCTGTGATGGGAGCAGTCCAGCCTCAAGGCTGCAATTTAGAAATCAAAGAGCCATTAATGGCTTTCCCAGCACCTCAGCAGTCCCAATCTTCCTGCTCCCCAGCAGCATCAGGAAATAGTCATTGACAGCTCTTTGGTTTTCCATCAGTTTTCTCCGGTGCCACTTTGCACACTTTACTTTCCTCAACTTCTCCCTGGGGGGCTTCTTCTCTCTCTCTACACCACTGGCCATTTCTCTGTGTTTGCCCGGCCAGTAACTGTCTATTTATTTATTTATTTATTTTGAGATGGAGTCTCGCTCTGTCACCCAGGCTGGAGTGCAATGGTGTGATCTTGGCTCACTGCAACCTCTGCCTTCCGGGTTCAAGTGATTCTCCTGCCTCAGCCTCCTGAGTAGCTGGGATTACAGGCACCTGCAACCACACCCAGTTAATTTTTGCATTTTTAGTAGAGACAGGTTTCACCAGGTTGGCCAGGCTGGTCTTGAACGCCTGACCTCAGGTGATCCACCCGTCTCGGCCTCCCAAAGTGCTGGGATTATAGGCGTGAGCCACCATGCCCAGCCAGGGAGAGTACTCCTTATAAAGTATGTCTGAGAGAAAAAACCCAGGAGGACCACATCACATCCTGAGGGAAATGTCAGCACATTAGGGTAACAGAAAAAGCCAATTAACATGCAAGTAGAACAGGTAATTCTATCGGTTAAAGGAACGATCATAATATATTATCATTATGATTAGGTGATTATACCTAGCCTAATTAGAACAAAAATATTTTCTTCTAATAAAAATAAGAAGGAAGGGTCCAAGCTACATAGTAACTACAGGAAAAGTATTTGCTATTTTCTTAAAAAAAAAAAACCATATTTCAACCTAGTAATTCAAAATGTAGGAGCATATAGAGGCAAAGACCTCAACAACTGCAAAAAACCTACAAATATGCTCCTAGTAAGAATATTTAGAACAGGAGAAAACTGGAAATAACTAAATTGGGAACAATCCTTGTAATAAAGAAGTAAGCAATAGTATATAAAGAGATGAACTATTAAATAATTTGAGGCCGGGCACAGTGGCTCAAGCCTGTAATACCAATACTTGGGGAGACCAAGGCGGGTGAATTGCTTGAGCTCAGGAGTTCAAGACCAGCCTGGGCAACATGGTGAAACCCTATCTGTACAAAAAATACAAAAATTAGCCAGGCATGGTGGCATGCACCTATAGTCCCAGCTACTTGGGACGCTGAGGTAAGAGGATTGCTTGGGCCCACGATGTTGAGGCTATAGTAATTTAGCCCACTTTCATGGGTTAAATCATCTTAAAAATTGAAGGAGCATTTAGGGAATAGAAATAGTTTAGATTTTGATAGTAGGTTATTTTTCAACCTGCAACGCTACCTAAGATTTTTATTTTTAAACACAACAAAATAGCACTACTATCATTTCTAGATAAAAGCACCCTTAAAACAATGCTCAGAGAGAAGTTTCCTCTACAAGAGAAGTTTCTACCTTAAGTACACCCTAGAGAGATTAAAAGTTACTAGATGTGATGGGTGAGATCCATCTTAGGGAAAATGCCAACATCTTCCCTATTAGTGCTAAGTAAAAGGTCTGCTCTGGGTTGATTCAGGCTCACTCAAAAGAGGAAAGTCAGATATTGTTTACTTCCATATTATTTCAAATCCTGAGAAAAACCATTACAAGATCAAAGTATCTTTTTTTAAACAAGGAATAACAATATCCTTATTTTTTTTTAATTTTTAGCAAGAAGAAAAAAGCTACTGTACCTTTCCAATGAATTATGAATTGGTATAATAGGATGTTTCATCTTTAAAAGAAGCAAAGAAAGGAAAGTTCACATGTTAAACTTTGAACAGAGCATATTTATGATCTTATTACATACAAAATGGTAAATATGACCATATGACCATAAAATACACTAGCCCCACTAAACAAAAACAATTTTAGGTCTTCCCAAAAGAGAGTCATTGATTCCAACTAGTCCTTCTTATTTATACAAATGTATTCCTTACAAATACATTTCTAAGGAAAAGGAAGATGATCTTTTGACAGACCTAATTATCACAGTCAAACTCAGTGATTAGATTTCTTTGTAATTTCAGTTATGCTCATTAAACATTAATAAGCAGCAAACTATGACACAAGTATTATATCAAATACTAGAGGTATAAAGGTAGACACTATGGGGTTCCTGCCCTAAAAATCATTTCAGTACAAAACAAGGAATATAAATAAAATAGGAATATGTATAAGAGAGGCTTTTAGACCAATCTAGTGATTCAGGGAAGAAGAGACTAAGTCTTTGAGGATGTGTATGAGCTAATCCAGGAAAGAGAGGTGAAGAGCATTCCTGGCACTGGAAAACGGCACAAAGGAGTGGAAGGAATTATTAACACAAGCAATGAATATGTTCAAGCTAGGTGAAGACAGGGAAAGAGCTGGTAATGTGGGAAGGGGTTAAGAAGTTTTGACTTTAACCTACAGGCAATGAGGGAGCCACTGGAAACGCTTAGGTTAAGTGGTTCAATTTATACTGCATTAATAGAAATGTGGTTGACTGGAAGGGTCAGGCTGAAAGCAACTATTAATAGTTAGAAGACTATCACAACTTTAGGCAAGACTCACTGACAAGGGGTTGGAAAGAGGCTACATTAGAAACATGTTTAGGTGGTAAAATTGCCACAAATAACTGACTGGATATGGGGTGCTGAGGACAGATATAAAAAAAGGACGTAGAGCAAAGTCCATTAAAAAACTGTCTTTATAAGTCACTAAAGGGTAATAGAGAACATAACTCACTATAAACTTTGAAACTTTTCTTGATGCCTTGTTGCAGCCAAACTGAGCTGGACTTTTACCTTGCTGGACTTGAGCATGGCCAGCTGAGGTGATCCTGGTGGAGTGCGGTAGAGCAGCTCAGAGGTGAAGGCTGCATTTGCGATCTGCATGCATTCTTCCAAGGTCTTCAGAAAAGTATTACAGGTTGATTTCAGCAAAGTTCCCACATCAATTCCCTCCTACGAAACAACCAGAGTGGAAGACTCCTTTACCTTGCCAAAAAAGAAAAAGCCCAATTGTGGAATGTCCTTAGAGGTTGCCCACAAAATAATAATAATGTACCCACCTGCTGAAATATGTACATCAGTTATAAAAGAAAAGCCCAATTTATCTATTAATCAAGTAACTATCAGCACTATTTGACTTTCACCTACAAGCAATGAGGGAGCTGCTGAAAGCCTTAGGTAGTAAAGTGGTTCAATTTACATTGTATTAGTTGTAACTCCCTCAGTCATGACAACCAAAAGTATCTCTCCTTGAGAATCACTGCTCTAGACTATAAACTTCCCAAGAGCAGGACTGAAATGCTTTTTTGGTATCCTTCATCTTCCCTCCCCCTCCCCTCACAGTCTATCTCACACATATGAGGCAGCTGCTGAATGAGTAAGAGCACCCAAAAGGAAGTGAATGCAAGTGGGTTAAATCACCTTTTTTAGAAAAACTCGAAACACATGTACTACCAGTAGCATAGTGTTCTTCTACTACCTAATAAATGAAAATCTTTCATTATAATCTGCAGTTGCACTGTCAGATCGAAACTTCTTTGAAAGCAGAGCAGAGACTCTGGTTAATGTGAGCCATTCTATACATAGCTTAACACCAGAGAAATCTTTTAATATATGTTTTAAAATAAATGAATAATGACTGTATTAATAAATGCTAAAAATCACAATCCTTGCTGACAATGAAGAGAAAAAAAGCTGTGTCTCCATCTTTGAAAGCACTAGTCTATTCCAAAGCACAGTTATGATGGTAAAACAAAATACTGTTAGTCTCATAGATGCACATCAATGAAAGACAATAAGTTGGCATCTTAATAGCCATAGCTATAGAAATGGCTCTGCAAGACTGTAATTAACAAAACAATATAAACTGGAGAGAAACATATTTTAGTATGACAGTACTAAAGTTAAAGGTTCCAAATATTATCAATTAATTAATCCCTAATTTATTCCAGGAAGGAAAGCTATACACACGCATATGATGAAATGTACTATTGCTTCTCTTTGTTTAATTTTGTTACTTTTTTCCTCTATAAAATAGTAAATTCCAAGATAGTCAAAAAATTAGATGAGAGTAAACACCACCTGTAAGCAACGTCTGGTGCTTTTTAGGTATATTAGTAATATTAATAAAATAATATTTTACCTCAGAATTGGATATACTGGTAGTCACTTCTTTTATATTATTCATGTATATTAATAATATTAATAAATAATATTTTACCTCAGAATTGGACACACCAGTTGTGGTCACTTCTTTTGTTTTATCTACTTGCTGAACAAGGAGGTCACAGTAGAGTCTTAGTTCTGACATTTTGGTTTTCAAGTTTTCAGTGTTTTCAGCAAACTCTAAATGACAAAATGATGATAATGCAGTAACCAGAACAAACAACTGATTTACTAGTTAGGATACTATGCAGAAGAGGAATCCTTACTAGTTAGGATACCACACAGAACATATGCCCAAAGTCAAATCTTTAAAGTATGGGTTGCAAATGTGACAGGTGAAGACATAATAACAAGAAAAACCAGAAAAAGTAGATCTCCAGTCTTTCAAAGTAGTATACATTATTTATTAAGGCAATATACCGAATAATCACCAGTATACAAAGAAGGAGACAATATAGTCTGACCCACTCCTGTCAGAACTGGGAGCAGAGCTAAGGGGTTCAGAGTTTTGGCCTCAGTTCTGCCAGAGAGTTTTTCCTATCTATAAAATGGGGTCATAGCTGTTTACTTACTAATGCAGTGCTCTACTCTTACCTGGGAAAAACATTCTGCAGTGTCCAATTACCACTAAGAACACCGTTCATAATTTCAGCTGAGGACTGGTTTGGTATGCTGCCTTGTCAAGGCTAATGGCACCCAGCCATTATTATTAGCAATGCTCTCCAGTCACCCTGGCATCGAGGGCTCAGCTACAATTATTATCACTTTTCTGTTTCCTTCTTCATGAAAAAAAAAAGTGCACATTACTATCTGCTCTGAGTCAAAGCCAACAGCTTCTAGAATTTATTACCAATTTAGCATTAAAAGAAGAGGCCAATTTATGAATCTACGTGAAGAGTTAAGCACAACTGCCACACCTGTCATGAGAGATGTTCCCTGGAACACTTTTTCCCATTTCACCCCACCCTAGCTCATCTCTTCAGGGTACATTTAGGGCCATGGGGCAGGGAAGGTAGCAACTAGGACCCAGGCAGTAAGCCCTGGTATTCTTGCCCCAGTCCAAAGAGAAAGCTGGGCCACAGTTCTCTGGAGAACTTAACAATGTCCAGTGAATGAGCATTAAGCAACAGGAACCTGACAATTAAGCATCCATCCCACCCCAGAAAAAAAGGGAGGAGGAGCAGGGTGTTGCTACAGAAAACACCCTGATCCAAGGCTTATCTGGCTCAACTACTCCTCACCAAAGGTCAAGTTTGGCCACAGACTGGATACTCCACCATTTTATCATCACTAATTCTCATGGTAATCCTCCTAAGGTAGGATCTATTACCTCTTTTTAAAAGATGAAGAAACTAAGAGTAAGAAAGGTTAAGTGACCGATGCCAAGGTTATACAGTCAATAAACTGCAAAGCCATCATGTGTACCCAGCTGTGTTTGGCTCCAAAGCCTGCATTCTTTGCACTATGCTATGCCAAGAAAGAAGAGTTAGATATGGACCCTGGTTTAAATTATACTAAGATACACAGCATTTGCATGACACAAAAAGCTGGCTAGGTGGTCAGAAGCAAGATAACAAATAAGGGAAATCAGAGATGCCAGTGGGTGATTCCCAAGGTTTCCACAGCAAAGGACAATCAGTACTTGCCTTTCTCCTTCTGGGTCCTACTGTCAGTCAGGCAAGCCTTGGCTGATCCCAGGGCCACCAGCCACCGCTGTCTTTCAGCCACACTTCTGGCCTTCAGGTAGAAATACTGTTCCCCAGGGATTATCAGGTCCATGCGTGTATTATCTACAGAATGAACTGGGAGCAAGACAGAGGGAGATCAGAGACTCAGAAGAGCCCTGTCTGGGTAGCCTCCAACCCACCCAACTTCTTGAGCTTAATTGATGGCAGTCATTGAAGGCTTCTTCCCAAAGAGGATGCCAGTCATTACCTCTCCTAATTCACACAAAGTTCTGTTTACTTATCTCATCTTAGATGTCTCTGTTAATCAAGAGGGAAAACCTTGCAATTGCCTCCAAGGCATCACAAAAACTTCAGCCCAAACAAGAATCACCAATTTAACTTTTCAGTTAAACTGATCTCTTATCAGAATAGAGAAGGAATCTTTCTTTCAGTGGGTGTGTGTGTTAAGTAGGCTGCTCTGAGGCCAAGAAACAAGGGTATGTTTTTTATCTCCTTGGATTTATTGGGAAACAATCAAAAATACAATCTTTTCCATCTTCTACTTCCCTTGAAAAGTCAGACCAAAAGTGTGAGAATTTTCTCAGAGGCCTTTAGGAGAAGAAACAAGCAAACCAAAGTCTTTCACCCACATCCACTACCTAAATTCCCATTTAATCTGTTTTTCTTCCGAGCCACACCTTCTCAGCATGTCTCAAGACAAAAACAAGAAGTAAAGACTATTTGAAAGTCTGTTAAGTTTTTGCTTGTTTTGTTTTGGTGGAGGGTGTGTGTGTGTGTGTCCATCCTGATTTAAACACAAAAGTGTTTGATGCTGCAGTAAAGACTTTAAGTTTTGCTAATAGCCACTGGTCCCAAGTGAGCAGGTCACTAAGGAATGAGTGCTAGTTGAGTAGTGAAACACGTTGCTCTCATTTATTTTGACCACCTCTTAGCCAATCTCCTCATAAAAGCTGGCTACAGTTTTGGGTTGTATTTGCAAGGCTTTCTTTTGACACATAACACTATGTCCCTTGGTCTGTATTATGGGAGCAGCAGAGAAAGGTATGCAGGGGCCAGGGGCTTTTTTGTTTTTGAGGGAAAACAGAAAGAAAAATAAAACTTGCAAGTTGCTTGATTTCTCACCTTGAATTTCACAGACTGCCATTTGTATGCTCCCTTTGCAACCTTTCCAGGCATCTTCAGGAGAATCATAATAGGACAATATTCCCCCACAGAGAAGGAACCATCGAGGCTGCCAACCTGAAAACAAAAGCAAGAGCATCATTGCAATTACTGCCTGTGTATGAACTACCTCCCAAGATACAGAAATAGAGCCTAACATAGGATACTGGGTTAGCTCCAAGGAGCTTTACATTGCCAGGGATATTCTAAGAGAAAGAATTAAGTTAGAAAGACCTGTATGTTTTATCCCATTTTTGTAAAATTAAAAATGCCCAAAGAAGTATATATTTTTTAGTCACAGGATTACAGAAGTCTGGAAGGATAAGCAACAAGTACACTAATGACTCTCTAGGTAATAGGATTTACAGAAATAAATGAGATGTGTATTCTATTTCTTTCCTAATACAGTACCAGTAGTCTGTGATTTTTACTTTTTCTAAGACGAATAATTAGGATGTCCTGAACATACTGTTATCACATGCTTGCCTTCCTCTCTTCTAAGAAAAATTATCCAAAACTTAGAAATAAGGCAACAAAGATGACAAGGTCCTTTCAACAAATGTCATAGAGAGTGCCAACTAAGAAGCCTGTCTAGAATCCTATGACCCTTAGGAAAAGGTAACGTGTTTGACTTATTCTTTAGTATTGATCCATTGAAATGAGTTATCTTAAAACATTCAAGGCTTAACTACATTCACTTCAATATTGGAGAATTTCAGGGGACAAACCATGTGTAGTAGAAATACGCATCTTATCTAGTCCTCTCACACACCCTATGTTCTAGTCAAACCACTCATTTGCTGTATTTCTGTCTCTGAACTTTTGCTCCAACTGGATCTCTTCATAAAATGTCATCCTGGCCAGGCGTGGTGGCTCACGCCTGTAATCCCAGCACTTTGGGAGGTCGAGGTGGATGGATCATGAGGTCAGGAGATGGAGACCATCCTGGCCAACATGGTGAAACTCCATCTCTACTAAAAATACAAAAATTAGCTGGGCGTGGCGGCAAGTGCCTGTAATCCCAGCTATTCAGGAGGCTGAGGCAGGAGAATCGCTTGAACCCGGAAGGCGAAGGTTGCAGTGAGCCGAGATCTTTTTTGAGACTCCGTCTCAAAAAAAAAAAAAAAAAATCATCCCTGACTATCTCTGCGTAAACCTTGTTTTCTCAGTCCTCCTCAGTCAGATGCAGTTCTTTTCTTTCTCTGAAATGCCACAGCCCTTTAGGGATACATTTCTCTCATAGGACTGCCATGGCTAAGGAAGCCAGAGAGAAGGCAGAGCCCCAAGGGCTGCTCAGCTACAGACATCTGATGGGCCCTTGGGGTTTGACTCACACAAACCAAGTGGGCCGGACACCAATGGTATCACTTTATTACGTTTTAATAGGAGGCTACTGAACTTCCTGGAGCACCCCCAGCCCAAGATTATGGAACAAGGAACTACACCGTAATCAGAAGCCTGAATAGTCAGCACTAAATCTATGTGAAGGAGTTGGGTAGGTAGGCAACATATTTTGCTCATCATTTACTTAATCAGGGTCTGCTTTTCCAGAAAGTGCAATACTCAGGACTGCCAGGTACCATGTCTCTTACTTCTTTAAATAAAACTAAATAAACACTAATTCCCAGCATCCACTCTCCCATAATATCTGAACTTATCTTCTCACCAAAGATAAGTAATCTTTTCTTAAACTATGGCTTTTGCTCTTATTATATTTTATATGGAGGACTTCCTTCCCAGAGACCTAGACCCTTTATTGCAGGTCAGGAACCCTTAGGCCTTATCTCTACACTAGCACAAATCAGTTCCTGGCTGGCAAACTTCTTGGGATGAACTTGTAAATTTTTATTTCAGAAGGTGATGCTGGCAGGGCACGGTGGCTCACAGCTATAATATTAACTACTTTGGGAGGCCAAGATGGGTGGATCACTTGAGGCCAGGAGTTCCAGACCAGCCTGGGCAACAATGGCGAAACCCATCTCTAATAAAAATACAAAAATTAGCCGACAGTGGTGGCATACACCTGTGGTCCCAGCAGGAGGTTGAGGTGAGAGGACTGCTTGAGCCTGGAAGGTCGAGGCTGCAGTGAGCCATGACTGTGCCACTGCACTCCAACCTGAGTGAGAGTGAGACCTTGTCACAAACAAACAAACAAAAAAGGTGATGCTTCTAGACCTTGGCTTCAAGTTCTACAAAAACTCAACTGTGAAGGCCACCACTCCTGTACAAACATTACAACCTGGAAAACCAAATCAATCCTCAGACTGTATCTTGTTGGGCACAGAATCAGTGCTCCAGGAGTCAGACATTATTGGTGATGTTTCAGCCCTTTGCAAAAGTGTTTATTTATATCTTAGGCCACCTCCCCTCACTGAAACAGAAGAGTCAATTTCTGAGAACCTGAGAAAAGGAAGAGGTCTTTGAAATCACACAGTCCAACCAGCACATTTTATAGATAAGGAAACCAATCCCAGGTAAATTAAGTGACCTAATTAGGGTCACAAAGGAAGTACACAACAGAGCTGGGAAGAAAACTCTATCTTTCTGTACTGCCCCTTGAGGCACAAAAGCTCCCAAACCTTGGCTCCCCATTCCCAGAAAGCTGTCCTGGTATAGAACAACAGCATCTTTTCACTCCCATGACGCTGGCTGGTGTGAACAGCTCAACTCCCATGATGCTGGTTGGTGTGAACACTCCCCAAATCCACCATGACTTTTGTGTAGAAGGCATTTAGAACAGCCTCAATTACTGTATTTTATCAAATTTAAGACCCATCTGTATTTGTGAGTGTTATCCAGAGAAAAAGAACCAGTAGAGTGTCAGGGTGTCTGTGTAAAGATATTATAAGGGTGTGTGAGTGGGTATGTGTGCATGTAATGAAATTTTAAGTAACTAGCTCATGTGACTAGAGACTGAGAAGTCCCAAGATCTGCAATCAGCAAGCCAGGAGAGCTCACGGTTAAGTTCCATGCTAGCAGGCTCAAGACCCAAGAAGAACCAATGAAAGCTAGAAAAGGCCAATGTCTCAGCTCAAGGCAGTCGCAGGAGGAATTCTCTGTTACTCAGTCTTTTTGTTCTCTTCAAGTCTTTAACTGATTGGATAAGGCTCATCCACATTAGGAAGGGCAATCTACTTTATAAGGTCTATTGATTCAAATGTTAATCGCCTCCACAACATCCTTACAGATCCAACCAGAATAAACCATCACATCATCAATTTTAAGACACACCATTATTTTACATGACACAAGAAAGAAAAAAACTCTACCAATTAAACAATGACATAGCACAGGTTCTAAGATGCTTCTTGATTTCAGAGTTGTTGAAATGTGAAAAAAAAAGAGTGTCCTAAAACTGAAAAAAATGTACTAAACTAGTTTTATCTTACAAGAATCTGAAAAATGTTGAAGAGCAGCTCTCAACCCCACCCAAAGCACAGCTGCAGTAAATTTTGAAAGCAGCTTGAAGGCTGGGCTCCGTGGTTCACTCCTGTAATCCCAGCACTTTAGGAGACTGAGGCAGGACAACTGCTTGAGGCTGGGAGTTCAAAACCAGCCTAGTCAACATAGTGAGACCCTGTCTCAACAAAAAATTTTAAAAACTAGCTGGGCAAGGTGATGCACCTGAGGCAGGAGGACTGCTTGAGCCTAGGAGTTCGAGACTACAGTGAGCTATGATCACGCCACTGCACTCCAGCCTGGGTGAGAGTGAGACCTTGTCTCAAAAAAAAAAAAAAAAAAAATGTAGCTGGTAAATTATAATAGCAACTGAAATATTACCTTCCTTATAACAGGTTCTGTATTTACCTAGGGTAGGTTATAATTATACAAGGGATGTTCAATATATGGCAATTTTATTCTGTCCTTTGTAACTACACAAACTGTGACCAAGAAAAACTTTTCTTATAAGCACAAAATTCTTGCAGTTTCAAAAGGCACAGTAAGAGACCAGAGAAATCTCATTCCTATTAGACAAAATTTAAATGCAGAGTGATGGAGAGAGTTCAGATTAGTATTAGGACACACTGGTCTTTCATAATGTCCAGTGCTGGGAAACTGGGATACAGCCCAGGAATGATGAATTGTAGAGAAAAGAGGCATGGATGAAAAAGAGACCATTAATCCAGTTTCTATTTTAAATTAATCTGCAGTTATCTCAGAAATGATCAGTCAAGGTAACTAAAGGGCAGATGAAAACTGTTGGTCTGTACTACTCCCTGCTCCCTTAGATGACCACTAGACTATCTTCCTATCCAATCTCCACCCTCTTTTATGCCATCCTCTATTACAGATGCAATGTGGTATCACCCAAATTCCCTGCTGGGAAGGATTAGACATAAAACTTCAATGAGCAGGGGAGAGTTTTAGCTCGTATTAGCTATCATTGCCAGGGACGGGGTAGCGGGTAAAAAAAAAAGAGTATTTAAATACCAATTTCATACGCTTTGTATTATCCTGGATTGTTTCACTACAGAAAGCATACTTGACATTTATTTTTGGCAATCCAGCATTTACCTAGTACTTTTCCATTGATGAAAACTCCCTTCTTCACACTCCAACCATGAGGTTTGGGTGGGGGTGACCAGCTCCAGGGTGGGTATGTGATTTAGGCCTAAATGAAGCTTCACATCCCCTATCCTCAATGATAGTTCCAGAATGGGCAAGTGGCCCAACCGGAGACAATTCTGGGACTTTTGCTGGGACTGGGGAAAGGCATAAAGAAATGGGGACTGTTTCTTTTTTCTTTGGTCTTAAGAATGTTAGCCTGCAGCTGCCTGCAGCAGTTTGCCATCACATGGGACCTAAACATGATTCACACACAAAGGGAAATGGAACTGGAAGGATTTGAGGGACAGAAGGAGAAGGAAGAAAATCTGGATGACATTGTTTGAACCCCCTGATCAGCCCACATCATTCCTGAAGGTAAGACACCCCCTAGATTTTTCCATTAAATGAACCAATAAATATCCCTTTTTACTTTAAGCCTGTGTGAACTGGGTCTTTCTGCAAACACAAAAGCTCTAAACTATCACATGATCATCTCACTAAACGTACAAAAAGCACTTGACAAAAATCTAACACCCTTTCATAATAAAAACACCTAACAAACTTAGAAGAGAACTTCTTCAACCTGATAAAGGCATCTACAAAGAACCCATAGTTAATGTGTATAAGGTGAAAAACAGGATGCTTCCCCTCAAAGATTGGAAACAAGACAAGATGTTTGCTTTTACCACTTCTAGTCAACATTGTACTAAAGGTTCTAGCCAAGGCAATTAGTCAATAAGTGAAATAAAAGACATCTAGATTGGAAAGAAAGAAGCAAACCTAGCTCTTAGTCAATAAGTGAAATAAAAGACATCTAGATTGGAAAGAAAGAAGCAAACCTAGCTCTACTCACAGACATGCTCTTATATATTTAAACAAAAACAAAATGCAAGGAAGCCACTAAAAAAAACCTATTAGAATAAATGAGTTCAGCAAGGTGATAGGATACAAGACTAACATACAATTAAAATTGTATTTCTGTACAGTTGCAATGAAAAATCTGAAAATGAAAGTTAGAAAACAAATCCATTTACGATAACATCAAAAAGAATAAACTACTTAAGAATAAATCTTATTTTATTTCATTTTAGTTTACTTTGAGACAGAGTTTCACTCTTGTTGCCCAGGCTGGAGTGCAACAGCGTGACCTCAGCTCACTGCCATCTCCGCCTCCCGAGTTCAAGCGATTCTCCTGCCTTAGCCTCCTGAGTAGTGGGGATTACAGGCGCCCGCCAGCACACTCGGCTAATTTTTGTATTTTTAGTAGAGACGGGCTTTCATCTTGTTGGCCAGGCTGTTCTCGAACTCCTGACCTCAGGTGATCCACCCACCTCGGCCTTCCAAAAGTGCTAGGATTACAGGTGTGAGCCACCGCACCTGGCCAAGAATAAATTTTTAAAAATAAGTTTTTCACTGAAAACTACAAATCATTGTTCAAAGAAATTAAAGATTTAAAAACCACTATTCCAAAACTGCTACCAGCTTATTCTTTTCTCACATAGTGCAAACGCCTTTCTACACTTAATGAACAAACTGTGTAAAATTTACTTTTAAAAAATCTTAGCCAAAGGACTTTTCAGTTCAATTAATGTTGAACAACACGTTTTCAATGAGCATAATTTTCTTCAAGAAATGCACTTATATTTGGATCTAAACTGGCATACCTCATGTTAATTTTACACTAAAATTTCTTTTTTTTTTTTTAATTTCCCAACAGCAACCACCATTTTTAAGTCAAAATTTCTAAATGGAGATGTTCCTGTTCCCTTAAAGATCCAAACCAAAAGTAATTACTTGTGAGTCAAACCCACTTCTGACTAGAAAGTACTGTAGCTTCCCTTCATTTTTCTTTCAGCAGCCTTGTGACAAGTGGCTCATCCAAACACATCACTATGAAAAACTGTACTCCATTAAACAGACACTTAAAAGTTTTAAAAATTACATAAAATAAAATTCATTATTTGGCGAACAATTCTGAGTTTTGATAAATGCATAGTCCTTTAATAACCACCGCAATAATCAAGATACAGAAAATTCCATTCTACCAAAATTGTCCCCAAAATTCCCTTGTATTACTCCTTTCTGATCAAGCCTTCCCCTCTCCCTTTACCCTTGGCCAACCACTGTTGTGCTTTCATTTTAAGTTCAAAATATTTCCCAATTTTCTTGGAGACCTTCTCTTTGACCCACGAGCTACTCTGAAGTGTACTGTTTAATTTCCTAATATTTCAGGGGATTCTCTACATCTGTTACTAATCTGTAGTTTACTTCTATTAAAGACACAGAACATTCTTTTAACAAGTTTTGGCAAGGTTTCTATTATAGCTCAGAACATGGTCTATCTTGGTGAATGTTCCATGTGCATTTGAAAAAAATGCAATATTCTACTGTTGTATTTTGTTCAGTTTTTTATTGTAATCATTACAATGGGCTTATTACATCTTGGCCCAATAATGACTCTTAAATAAACAACTAGTAGAATGCCTACTAGTTAGCCTCATGCTAGAGTGTATCATTCTGCCTTTAAGTCCGCCACAGTTCCTTCAGAACTTTTGCCTTAAAAATTAAGGTGTTCTAGGAAAGCAGAAGTTCATAATCTTACTGTTTAACAGGAAAAACAATTAAAAATTTAACATATTGTGAATTTTTAAAATCCTTAAGAGGGGGTTGGGGGAGGAAGAGGATCAGGAAAAATTAATGAATGCTGGGCTTAATACCTAGGTGATGGGATGATCTGTACAGCAAATGACCATGGCACACATTTATCTATGTAACAAACCTGCACATGTACCCCTGAACTTAAAGTTCAAGACTAAAAGAAAAAAAATCCATAAGAACTACTGTTGTGTAGAAATGCAGAAAAAAAAAATGAAAAGGGACTATTTAAACTCTTTCTAGAAAAGTTAGCCAAAAGTAAAGAAAAAAAGTGAAGGAAAGGTGCTTTTTCATTAACAATAAGAGGAAAAATTAGTGACCATAATAAAGGGGGAACAGAATGGGAGAAAGAAAAGGTTAAGTCCCTAAACTTCTTTCAGCTTTAGTTTCCTTTTCTACAAAATTTCAGCTGGAGTTTAGATGATGCCTAGAAGTCTCTCTCAGCTTTCAAAACCTATCCTAATACAAAATAACAGAAAACTCCCATCTTTCCCAGAATCTGATTCAAGAGATAGTAACTGCCAGGTACAGTGGCTCATGAGGCAGAAGGATCAGTTGAGGCCAGGAGTTCAAGACCAGCTTGGGCAACATAGCGAGACCCTGTTTCCAAACAAATTTTTTTAAATAAAAACAGAGAAAGTAACTAATGCCAAGAAAAAAAAAGTGAAATTAAATGTCTTGATAGGACTGACAATCTGAAATGTTGAGTCAAGACAATTTATTCATTATAAATTATGGTTTCTACGTTCATAACCCATATATATTATCATATCATATATTATGTATGCTATATAGATATGTTAATAGTGAAATAATCTACCATTTTAAATTGAAGCAAAGCAGAGCAATTAATTTGCTACCCCTGACCTCCATAGCCTTGGTGTTTTCCAATATCCAACCTAAGCGCTCAGCCACACCTCATCCCATTAGAGCCCTCCCCCACTCAGCTTCTCTAGGGGAGTTCCAGACAGGGATGCGGACAGCAAAGCCTTGGGTTCCTCTGCCAGGTCAGTCAGTTAAGAGTTCTGTTGTAGCTAGGGAGGAGGGAAGAATGAAGAAACACTCCTCATTGTAACAGTTACCCAAGCATTAGCTAAATTATAGGCTTCTTAATTTACCATTAATTAATTCACAAAGCATTTTCTGAGCAGTTGTAGTTTGCCAGGTTTGGAGATTTAGAGAAAAGATCCCAGCCTCAAGGAGTGACAGACTACTGGAGAGTCTACCATGTAGATGGTAAGAAGACTATAATTACAATAGATTATATCAAATTCTCTTTAAAACCTTCTGCTAGAAGATGTAGGTCACCTCTCCTGTGCACTTTGAGCTACCAAACTAAATATTTATTTGTTCTGCACAGTGCTTCTCATATGTCCTACCAGCACCTTAAAACAACGGAGTGAGGAAACCATGGTTTAAGTTCAGACTCATAACATCCAGGTATGTCATCTTAAGGACACTACTTAATTCCTCTGGGCATTATTTCTCTATCTAATCTATCTATCTATCTATCTATCTATCTATCTATCTATCTATCTATCTATCTATCTATTCTATCCTATCCTATCTACCTGAGACAGAATCTTACACTATCTATTTGTGACAGTCTTGCTCTGTCACCCATCTATCCATCTATCTATCTGAGACACAGTCTCACTCTATCTATCTATCTATCTATTTATTTATTTGCAACAGAGTCTCGTTCTGTTGCCCAGGCTGGAACACAGGTGTGATCTTGGCTCACTGCAACCCCTTAGCTCACTGCAACCTCCACCTTCTGGGTTCAAACGACTCTGGTGCCTCAGCCTCCCAAGTAGCTGGGATTACAGTCGTGTGCCATCACGCCCAGCTAATTTTTGTATTTTTAGTAGAGACGGGGCTTCACCATGTTGGCCAGGCTGGTCTCAAACTCCTGGCCTCAAGCGATCTGCCCATGTCGGCCTCCCAAAGTGTTGGCATTACAGGTGTGAGCCACCATGCCTGGTCTACAATGGAATTTTAATTAAGAATATATGGCCGGGCGAGGTGGCTCATGCCTGTAATCCCAACACTTTGGGAGGCCAAGAAGGGTGGATCACGAGGTCAGGAGTTCAAGACCAGCCTAGCCAACATGGTGAAACCTCATCTCTACTAAAAATACAAAAAAAAATCAGCCGGGCTTGGTGGCAGGCGCCTGTAATCCCAGCTACTTGGGAGGCTGAGGTAGAGAACTGCTTGAACCCGGGAGGCGAAGGTTGCAGTGAGCCGACATTGTGCCACTGCACTCCAGCCTGGGCGACAGAGCAACACTCCATCTCAAAATAAATAAATAAATAAATAAGTAAATAAGAATATATAAAGAGCTCTCACAACTCAATAATAAAAAGAACAATTAACTTTTAAAAATAGGTTAAAGATTTGAACAGACACTTCACAATGGAAGAGACAGCAATGGCCAATAATTATATGAAAAAGAATCCATGAGGAACCACAATTTGCAAATAGAAAGCTGAATACACAGAGACTAAATTTTCTGGGCATCATTAATCAAAACAGTGATCTAATTAACCTACCCTTAAAGTGAACTATGAACCTGCCTGGTACACAGTGGAGCATGTCTGCAGAGTGTCTGACACTAATGGGCACGACCCAGAAACTGCTAACAGTAAGCTCAATATCCATTACATATTCTTAACAAACCTAGGTACAGCTATTATTATTGCTGTCATTTTAAAACTGAGACTCAGGAAGATTAAGTAACTTGCTCAAGGTATTAGCACTACTAAGTAGTGGGGCAAAAGTTCAAACTCAGGGCTCTCTGACTCCAACCTTTTACACTTAAGAATTGGTGCAATGCTGGCTTGTGACTTTATCACTGAAACCATAGATTACATCGTAAAGAGTTGAGTATTGAATATCTATGTGAAAAAAAAAAGCTGTACTCTTACCTCATATCGTACACAAAAATTAATTCAAAATGGATGAGAATTAAATGTAAGCACTAAAAACTATTTTTAAAGCCTTAAGGGTAAATCTTCATGACCTTAGGTTTGGCAATGGTTTCCTAAGATAATGTAACACCAAAAACAAACAAGAAAAGAAAAAATTGATAAATCAGACTACATCAAAATTTAAAACTTTTGTGTTGCAAATGATACCAGGAAGAAAATGAAAAAGACAACCTACAGAAAAGAAAATACAGTTGATCCTTGCATACCATGGGTTTGAATTTCAACCGTGCACATGCGGATTTTCTTCCACTTCTGCTACCCTGAGATAGCAAAACCAACCCCTCCTCTTCCTCTTCCTCTGCCTCCTCAATGTGAAGACAGCAAGGATGAAGACCTTTACAATGACCCACTTCCACTTAATGAACAGTAAATGTATTTTCTCTTCCTTATCATTTTCTTCATAACCCTTTCTTTAGCTTACTTTATTGTAGGAATGCAGTATACGACACATATGACATAACATATGTGTTAATTGTTAAAGTTATTCATAAGGCTTTTGGTTATTCGCAGGCTACTGGTTAAGATTTTGGGGGAATCGAAAGTTACATGCAGACTTTTGACTGTGGGGATTGGTGCCCCAACTCCTGCATTATTCATGGGTCAACTGTATTTGCAAATCATCTATCTAACAAGGAACTTATATCCAGAATAAAGAACTCTTGGCCGGGCACAGTGGCTCACACCTGTAATCCTAGCACTTTGGGAGGCCGAGGCAGGCGGATCACCTGAGGTCAGGAGTTCGGACCAGCCTGGCCAACATAGTGAAACCCCATCTCTACTAAAAACACAAAAAATTAGCCAGGCATGGTGGCACACACCTGTAGTCCTAGGTACTCAGGAGGCTGAGGCAGGAGAATTGCTTGAACTCGGGAGGCGGAGATCACACCACTGCACTCCAGCCTGGGTGACAGAGTAAGACTCTGTCTCAAAAAAAAAAAAAAAAAAAAAAAAAAAAAAAAGAAACCTCTTACAACTCTGTAATGAAAAAATAACCCAAACAAATGGGCAAAAAATGCAGACATTTTTCCAAATAGATATACAAATGGATAATCAGCATATAAAAAGATAATCAACATCATTAAGTCAGAGAAATATAAATCAAAACCATGAGATATCATTTCACATCCACTACTAGGATAGCTATACTAAGACGATAATGAGGTTGATGAGAATGTGAAGACGGAAACTTCTTTGATTACTGACGAGAATGTAAAATGGTGCAGTCACTTTGGAAAACTATTTGGTAGTCTCTCAAATTATTAAATAAAGAGTTATCATAGGACTCCAGCAATTCCACTCCTAGGTATTATAGATATCCAAGAGAAATGAAATCATGTCTATACAAAAACTTGTACATGAGTGTTCACAGCAGTGTTATTTCATAATAACCAAGAAAAACAAAAACAAAAAGAACAGCCCAATCCAAATGTTCTTCAACTGAAAATGGATAAACTAAATATGGTATACATATACAATGAAATATTATTTGGTAATAAAAAGGAATGAAGTTCTGATACATGCTATCCAAAAAAAACATTATGCTACGGGAAAGCAGCCAGCCACAAAAGACCACATATTATATAATTCCATTTATATAAACTGCCTAGAAGAGGCAAATCTGTGCAGACAGATTAGTGGTTGCCAACAGTGAAGGGCAGGTGTAGGTGTAGGAGTGACTGCTAATGGGTACTGGGTTTCTTTCTGGGATAATGAAAATGTTCTAAAATTGATCATGGTAATAGTTACACTTTTTATATATACTAAAATCACTGACTTGTACATTTTAAATGGATGAATTTTATGGTTTATGAATTATCTCCATAAAGATGTTAAAATGTTAACAACAACAAAAAGGGTTGACCAGTGGTTGTGAAACCAAGAATCCTCATACTCCAGATGTCTTCCTGGTACTGTTTACACAGCACTAGTATATATAGTATATAGGGCAAGAGTCACCTTCCTCCACCTGAGGGGAAACAAAATTATAGCACATCCTTAATGAAAACCATCTGGCCAGTATGATGCAGGCTTTTGTTATTTTCAGAATGCAGTAATGCAATGTGCTTGAGCTTTAACCTGCTGGAGAGGCACAAGCAGCCTTCGGCTGGCTGGAGTTCACAACAGCAGCCCTCCTATCAGCTGAGTGGGCAGGAAAAGGACCTAAAACTACAAAGTAGAAAGCACAGGTTAGAAAATTTCCTCGTGGCAAAACATATGCACAACATTGGGCAGTCAAAGCTTTCTTCACTTCTGAATTCCTCCCCACTTCCCACCCCCGAAATAGTCTGCTATTCTAGGTCAAACATACTTTAAATATAGGTACATTATGAATCAGCTAGAATTACATAATGATCAAGCAAGAAGGACCTTTAAAAGTATTGTCTAATGGAGCACTGACTCTGAAGCCACTTAATAAGTGGCTGTGTGACCTTCAGCAAACCCACGTCTCTATATCTCAGTGTCTTCATCTGGAAAATGGGCATAATAAAGGCAACTGTTTTTTGAAATTGCTGCAAAGACTGAGTTAATCCATGTAAAATGTTTAGAAAAGTGCTTGGCACATTGTAAGTACTAATAAATTTTTAACAGTTCTTACAATTATAAACTAGTAAATCCCATTATTTTAAATGGAGGAAGATACTAAGGCTCAGGATGCTAAAGTGACCCTGCAGTTGGCAGTAATAGGGCTGTTTGCCAGGCTTCAGGTCTCTCTGACTCCTGAACCAGCGTTCTAGAGTATTAATGTGTAGCCCTACATGTATAATACTCCTTGACTAAATTTTAGGTCTTGAAAGACACAAATAACAAACACAGTGCTTCTTTAGAAGTATGTCTCACACAATGTGGGAATCTGTAACATGTTTTTAATTTACTCTCTTCATCCCAAGTTTAATCTTCTAACATCTAAAGAAAGGTACTGGCACTAAATCCCGGAATGTCCAAAAGGCAGGATGAAACCAGACTGTAAACGAAAATACATGTAAACTTTTTTTTTTTTGTATTTTTCATTGAAGGAGGATAGAGTACCTGAATACGCTTAGCATTTAAGGGAAGAGACTTCTTTTCTCTTCTAGAAATACACTCACATAAACCTCAGACGCTATTATCAGGGCTTGATGAATTCTAACTTTCAGTAATTAATACCTATCGATTTAAAATTCAAGAGGCAAAAGAAGCTCACAAAATAATAATACATAGTATTTAGTGAAGTACAATAAATGCAGCAGGAGAGATATAAAGATGTAACCAGAAAATGTTCTACGCTACGCTAAAGCCAGAGTAAGCTTTTAAACAATCTCATCATTTCTCTCTCACAGACGCATGCATGCATGTACCCACATGCACACACACAATCACATCACAGTGTTTAAACCAGCCTATGAGGCCCTGAAATATCTAGCCTCCCGCACACCCCTGCATCTTTGTTGGAGCCTCACTCTCCTCAGCTCTCAGCCAGATGGGTCCTCTTTCCTTTCCTCAAACTCGCACGTCTCCATTCTGCTTTGGGGCCTTGACACTGGCATTCCCTGTGCCTGAAAAGTTCTTCTTTATTTCCTCTAACTACACCTCTGCCTTGGCCTCTCCAGCGAACTATTAACAGCTTGATTTATCCTTCAGACTCTGCTTAAATTTTTCCTCAAAGAAGCTTTCTCTAACAACCCGTACTAGCCTCTCTGCCCTCCCTCCTCCCCAATCAATCACACACAATGAAACATGGTTCTAACCACTTAACCAATAAATATCTTTCTTCCCCCACCAGACTGTAGGCTCAAGAAGGGCATGGGCTTTGTTCAACATTGCTTCCCCTGTGCCTAGCACAGTAGATGGTAAATGAAATTAACAACATCCCCTAAGGATTCAAAAGACCAAGTGATAAACTGATTTCCTAACTTCACTCAAATTTGACACAAGGCATCCCATATCAAGCTGTCAGCATGACAAATACACAAACCATACAGAGGCATGGGTTACGTACTACCTTTGGAGAAAAATTCAGAATGAACAAAAACTTGGATTGGGATTGTATGTATTTTAAAGTTAGTATGTGCAAACCTACAAGAAAAAAAAAGTTACTTTTTAAAACAAGCTTCAGAAAAAGAAAAAGTAACTTGTCACTAACACAACATGCTCACTTCCGAAGAACAAGTAGAAAAGTGGAGGGTGGAGGAAACAAGAATGCATGTGATCCTCCTAGGCTATTACCACTTCTTTCCCAAGTAAATTTATCTCCTAAAAGGAGAGAATATGCCGAACCATCATTCTATGTATATCTGGAAAATACCCAGTGGTGTGATGGGCTTCTATGAACAGTATGCCTACAAGGACGGGGCACGTGGGCTAAGGGAACAAGCAGCATCACGTAGAGACAGCTGTCTCTGGCAATGGCTCCAGTGCCCTCTTCTTCAGGGTTTCCACCCTAGCACCACTCACAGCATTAACTTCTCTTACTTTGGGAAGAAAAAAGTAGACTCTTTTCCAACAGAACAGATAGGAATCAAATAACAAAGATTCCAAAAGATCCTTCTAGAGAGTTCTGCTTTATTGAAGGATACACAAGGACAGTCAGCAACAACAACAGCAAAAGCATTTCACTACCAGGAAATAGTTACTGTATCAAGAGACTAAACTTTCTATATAGAAAGGAGAAGGAAAAGAGGGGGAAAAAACCCCACAAAACAACAAAAAAAGTTGGGGATGGGGAAGAATGGGAAAAAAAGAAGAATGTTGAAGATGAATGAAAAAAAGTGTGTGTAATGGAAAGGAGTGAAGGATCAGGAACTAAATTTTACTCAAGTATATGCATCTGAGAGCTTAGAGAGACCTCAGAAGGAAAACTGCCAGGTCGAGCCTCCTCCCCTTAGGTTAGCAGTGTTGATCAGCCTCTGTCATCCACCAAACCAAAGCCTAGCTTTGAGTTATTCTCATCTAATCTAATTGCAGACATCACTGAAGGTCCTTGACGCAAACAAGAAAAACCTCTTCTCATTTAGTCTCTATTAATGATTACAGAAAAAAAATAAACAGGTGAACTCACTGCTAATTACACTAAGCAAAGGGAAGAGATTCTGGGTACGCCCAATAGGGGCACCTTTGGCTGTGCTGTGTGACCTCCTCGAAGTTACTATGTATGCCAACTGATCCTCCCACACACACCCATTCTTAAAACACCCGGCGCATTACCATACTACAACCTTTTAAAAACTATCCCACAAAAGAAAGAAAACGTCTCTCACCCACTCTAAGGGATACTGGGAACATTTCTGCTTTCAAACACACTGCCTTTAAAATTTTAAAGACCTAATTCATTTTCTGTGATAAAAAGTTTACTTCCAAAAAAGTGGCTAGCACAGTTTCCAGCATATAGTAGGCTTGTATTAAATACTAGTTGCACACATGACAAAAATGATCGTTCTGAATAATTTTCACAGCTGTAGAACAGTTACAACCTTCTCAAGATATGAAGCTTTTACCTCCACAAACTAGAAAAAAAGGGCGGGGACTATTTTAAAGCCAATCTGTAAGGCACGGCAAGAAAGTTGCAAATATTTGCATTCATTTAACGGTAATTTCTGAGTCTGTAAAACAAAAGGAAATGCTCAACGAGAAAATAAAAAACCTTGTGCAGAGCTTTGAAACTGTGGAGTTGGGACTCTTGACACCCTGGTGTGCACGCAGATGACTCTGAAGGTGACAAAGGGAAAGTGTTTGCACTGAGGACTTTGATAAAGGATCTTTCCGCTGTGGAATTCCAGGTTACTGCTGGCATTCTTTTGAAACCTTCCAACCTAGCTGCGAGCCAAGGGAGTACGGTTCCTTCGCCAAAATTCAAGAGATTCCCAGAGAACCCCACGGCGGGGCGTCTGCGCCTTCCTCC
Source organism: Homo sapiens (assembly GCF_000001405.40). Taxonomy (NCBI): domain Eukaryota; kingdom Metazoa; phylum Chordata; class Mammalia; order Primates; family Hominidae; genus Homo; species Homo sapiens. The sequence continues at coordinate 30,029,094 of NC_000007.14, read as the reverse complement.
CGCTGACATCAAGAGCACCGTGCCTTTCAAGTCACCCAAAATCTCAGTCTTTGTAGCCTTCCTTGAAGCGAAAGGGCAGCCACAGCTCTTAACCAACCCCAAGAGAGGGCCGTGTCGTCCTGCACGGCGACACGGTCCCGTGAGAGAACTGCTTTGGGAAATACTCCCGCTCCGCGCTGGCCTCAGGAAAGGGCCGTGACCCCCTCCCTAAGACGGGTCCAGACACCGCCCTCCAGCCGCGCAGACAAAGGACCGGCCCCCGGCGCGCCCCCGGCCCGGCACGGCCACTCACCGCTCAGATAGTTGGTCCACTTGTACAGCACCCCCTCCATGGCGCCCGCGGCCACTCGGCCCACGCCCGCCGGCCCCCTCACTGCCCCAGGCCCCAAGAGGCGAGGAGCACCAGCAGCAGGGCCATCGCCTGGCGCTGCCCAGACGCCCACTCCCGGCGCCCGGGCCCGGTGTGGGGACGCCCGGCCCGCCTCACATCCTCGGCCCGGGGGCGGGGTCACTGCGGCGGCCTCGGCGCTTGAAGCCCAGCCAGCCGGTGAACCCGTGGGGCGAAGCCGGCACGCTGTTCACAAGGAGGCCCGGGTCCGGGCCCTACGTGGGTCGGAGGGGCAGCCGAAGCCTCCAAAGTGCGGCGAACGAGCTGCCGGTCGCAGGCGGCGCCACGGCGCACCACCTGAACCCTCGACTCGCCGGGCCCGGGACGCGCTCGCGCATGCCCAGGGCGCCGCTCGCGCGCCCCTTCCCAAAATCCACTCCGGGATTTCGCGGCAGCGGCGGCGGGGCGGAGTTTGCGGGAACGGCCCGCAGGGAAATTGAGTCCCGAGACGCGGACTGCGGACTAGGCGACGGGAGGAGGGAGGCCCCTGAGACAAGTGTGGAGCGCAGTTCTGACTGTAAATGGTGCCCGCCGTTTGAGGGTCTACGTGACCTCTCACGATACCTCCTGAGTTCTAGTCCCTATTCTTGTTCCAAAGCTGCCTAATTGATCTCACACACTTGAGGTAACCAATAACAGGGCGTAAAGAGATTATTGGAATTTCAGGGTAGAATACTATGAGGCCAGTGTAAACAGATGTTGTCCAGACTCTAAGGTCTCACTATGGAAGTGTTGATCTACTGACCCGGAGCACTGACATCACCTAAGAGCTTGTTAGAAATGCAGAATCTTGCACCCACCCCAGACCTCCAGATCAAAATCTGCATTTTAAACAAGATCTTCAGGGGGATTCCTATGCACATAGAGTGCGGATATGCACTGTGTTAAGGTTATTAGACCAGAAAAAATGTTAACTACAGATTAAGTGGAAAGAGGAGGTGAGAAAAGACTACAATACGATTTAAATCGCTTTAAGTATATGTCACAGAAGCATGCACCAAAATATTAAGAGGATTGTTTGCGGCTGGTGGTGGTATCGGCGAGCTTTCTTTTTCTTTAAAGTTGCCTGATTTAGTAAATAAAAATGCAAAACCATTATTCGTTATGTATCTGAAATTCCAACTTGATTCGACTCCCCAATATTATCTGGAAATCTTACTTTAGTGCTTTCCAATTTCTTCCAAAATGACTTCAATGAACATGCATTACTTTTGAACTTAGGCAAAAAATGTAAAACTAGAAAATGTAAACTACGATGAGGCTGTGTAATTCGTAACCATGATTACCATTTCTTCTTTAAAGCGGAAGTCTGCAAGTCGAAACTCATTATTTACCCTGTAAGGTAACTTAAGGGATAAATTATTAGCAGCCATAACATGACGTGGTGCTGTGGAATGAATCAGACCTGGTTTGAAGGCAGAGCTCATTTGCTTCGGGGCCAAACAACCTTAAGCAGGACAGTTAATATCTCCTGGTGTAAATTTACTTCTCTTTTAAATGGGAAAAAAGAACCTGCCTTACTGGGTGTAGTGAGGTTCATGCAACGGGAACGCGCTTTGTGAACCCTCAAGCAGTATGTCAGTCTTTACAGTTTATAAGCAATAGCAAAATCCTAGGATTGTGGCATCTTGGGGGGCCGCTCTCCAACGGCGAGAGTAAACGAGTCTTTCCTGGAACCCCGAAGATTTCATAGGGCCCCGGGACTCTTCCTACGTCTCTCAGCAGGGTTCTTCACAGAGATAAATCAGCCGGAGGAGTTTCCGGTTGGCTCTGCGCCCCGCCCCTCTCCCAAAATCCACGCTGGTTGAATGCTGAAATCCACCGGGCTCTAGGACCACAAGGGATGATCCGCCGCTTGGCAGCTGCCCGGCTCTACCGGGCTGTAAATTCCATCGTTGCAGCGTCATTGGCTTGAGAGCTGCCTGAAGGACAGCACCAATAGCCAATGGGAGGCTGCTATTCCCAGGCGGCCGCGTTATAAGAGCCAGTCAGGCCGGCATTTGGGCTTAACTCTTTAAAGGTAGGTTCGTGACCCTTGAGAAAAGAGTTGGTGGTAAATGTGCCACGTCTTCTAAGAAGGGGGAGTCCTGAACTTGTCTGAAGCCCTTGTCCGTAAGCCTTGAACTACGTTCTTAAATCTATGAAGTCGAGGGACCTTTCGCTGCTTTTGTAGGGACTTCTTTCCTTGCTTCAGCAACATGAGGCTTTTCTTGTGGAACGCGGTCTTGACTCTGTTCGTCACTTCTTTGATTGGGGCTTTGATCCCTGAACCAGAAGTGAAAATTGAAGTTCTCCAGAAGCCATTCATCTGCCATCGCAAGACCAAAGGAGGGGATTTGATGTTGGTCCACTATGAAGGCTACTTAGAAAAGGACGGCTCCTTATTTCACTCCACGTAAGTAATTATGCCCCGCAGGTAAAATAGTAATTAAGAATCCACTCACTTATGCCAGCTCTCCAGCAGGAAAGGTGGCCTGTACCTGGTTTTGCCTCTTTTACAAAACCGAAATATCTTATTTCCTTCTTTGGGAAAGGAAATTGTTTAAAGCCAGTTTTATATAGCGAGCGAGGCCTTTGAAGGTCTTGTTGGAAACATGTGGTCTGGAAAAGGCTGTTAATTTTTTTTATTATACAAATTAGAACTAGAATCTTTGAAATATTGCAGAAATATATCTGGGTGTATAATTGGCCAATAAGTAGAAAAAGCCCAAAAGAATTCTCATATCTCAAACTCCATTTCTTAAAGAAAATGACTTGATTCCATTTTTAATGTGGTGTAGGTGATGTTCACCTAAAACTTTTCACAGCGACTTCAAAAGCAAACTACACTATCACTTATTTGCCTGTTGAAGGATATACTAATGCCGTTTCACTGACCTACTTCTTTTGTTCTGACGAATGGTATTTTGGTCAAGGCACAGGACCATGATTTCAGTCATTTGCTTCTTTCTAGAGAGTCAGACTTCATTGATGAGGTGGGTGTGGTTTTGGAAGTCTAGGTGAAGGATTTTCAGGTGGTTACACTATCATTTCTGTTCTATAAACGAAGAAATTGGAACATGGAAATGGTTTACAGCCTAATGATTTTCAATTAGGCATCGGTTCCATTCATTCCATTATGACAGTATTTAGTGAGCATTTCCTTGATGTTAAGCCATGTTCTGGGTGCTAGGAAGATTCAGAAATTTTGGCTTCTAATCATCTTCATCTATTCATTAGTCTGTCCATCTATCAAACTCTTATTGAATGGTCACAAGTCAGGTCCTGGAGACGCAAAGATGGCTAGAAGCAGGTTCTTGTCCTCTAACAGTATACACCATCTACAGGTGGGAGAAAGACAAGTAAATAATGCAATGATATAGGGTACAGAATATTCAAAGTGCTAGCAAAGCGTAACTGGGCCTGAAGTAGTTAGGCTCCATGGGGTGGGGAAAGGGAAAGACTTCCCAGAGACCATAATTGAAATGAACCTTGGAAGATGGGTGGAGGTTTCCAGGGGGAAAGTAGGGAAGGATGTTGTAGGTAGAGGGAATAACATGAATTAAAACAGTAAATCTTCATAGCCCATCCTCCACCTGATTTTCTAATAAACTGCCTTTACTGGGCATTCAGACCTGGTCTGTCTTGAGGGTTGGGGAAATGAATGGGGCTCTTCTCTAAACTGTTAGCCCTGGGAAAAAGTTCCAGAAAAATGGCTTGCCTTAGAATTCTCAACAGCCCTTTCTTCTTGTCAACTAGGTGAGTGCCACGGTGGATATTAAATGATGTGATTTGCATTTTGAAAATTCAGTTATATTGTTATTTTTAGTCTGATCTCTTTTAGACTCAGCCTGACTTCTTTCAGATTTCTGAACCAAAAACCTGTGCTGACTTTGGTGGTAGCCATGGAATATTATTTAGCAGTTTGCTACTAAGTTCTAATACCTGATGAGGGGACTGTTATCATGCAGCCTCCATGTAAATGGTCAGAAGCTGCTAACTGTAAACTTCATGAAGAAATACCATCAAATTGGCTGGGCGTGGTGGCTCACGCCTGTAATCCCAGCACTTTGGGAGGCCGAGGCAGGCAGATCGCGAGGTCAGGAGTTTGAGACCATCCTGGCCAACATGGTGAAACCCCGTCTCTACTAAAAATACAAAAGTTATCTGGGCGTGGTGGGCACCTGTAATCCCAGCTACTCAGGAGGCTGAGGCAGGAGAATCGCTTGAACCCAGGAGGCGGAGGCTGCAGTGAGCCAAGATTGCGCCGCTGCACTCCAGCCTGGGCAACAGAGCGAGACTCCGCTCTGAAGAAAAAGAAATACCATCAAATGATCAGTTTGTAAGCACGTTTGCCATCTCTAGAACCATAGCCTATGGGATAAATTGCTTAGCCCTAAGAAGAACTGTGCTAAAATTGTAGTCAGTGATGAGTAGTAGAATGTTTCCTGCTTCTTTTTTCATTTCTAGCCTTCCCAAATTTTCTACAGTTGGCATTTTGTTACTTTGATCATTGGGCAAAATTACAGGAAAAAATGGCATTACCCAGATTTAGTAACCATGGTACTCATGAAGCGTAGTACAGTGACTTCTTTTTCTCACCTACAAGATATCCTTGAATAGAATATTTTCCTTATTGCACTGAAAGGGAGCTAGGTAGGGATCAGGCATTACTCAGCCCTTAAGCCTCCCTGTATGTAGTTCGGCAGGTTGGTTTTCCTAGGCTAGACTCTCTTCAACTCATGAGCCAGGACATTCTATTTCCCTCGTCCCCAGTTGATAGGGTTCCGCTATGGCCCCACCCAATTCTCATCTTAAATTGTAGCTACCATAATCCCCACATGTTGTGGAAGGGACCTGGTGGGAGGTAATCGAATCATGAGGGCAGGTTTTTCCCATGCTGTTCTCCTTGTGATAGTAAATAAGTCTCACGAGATCTGATGGTTTTATAAAAGGCAGCTCCTCTGCACACTCATTCTTGCCTGCTACCATGTAAGACGTGCCTTTGCTCCTCCTTTGCCTTCCGCCATGATTGTGAGACCTCCCCAGCCATGTGGAACCGCGAGTCCATTAAACCTCCTTTTCTTTATAAGTTACCCAGTCTTGAATATTTCTTCATAGCAGTATGAAAATGGACTAACACACCAGTCCTTGAGGGGCTACTCTTCCAGACTTTCCTATATAGCCCCACTGTAGACCCCTGAGGAGGAAACTGGGCTAGGGTCTGAGTGGGGATTTAGGGATGAAAAGCAGCCTTTTCTACCCGTCAGAGCCATCAGCAGGCCATAGCTAAGGCAAGTTTGTAGGCAGGATATAAGACACTGTGCTTCTCACTCTTCATATCTGTGTGCATATGGACCCACATATGTTGGCAGTAAATTCTCCTTAGCCTTTCAATCTCCTTCCCAAACTCAGCCATTTTTCCATTATTTTCTCCTTGTTCTGCAACCTAGTGGCCTTCCTGGGACAACATAACTTTGTGATTAAGACCTTGAACTTTGGAGTTAGGTTTAAAGACTGGAACTTAACCTGTGTTTCCTCATCTGTGCAATGGGGTAGTAATGGTACTTATATTATAGACTTATTGTAAGGGTTAAGAGGCAAAAAATAAAATAAAATTTAGAATAATTCCTGGTATACAACAAATGTTCAAATGGTTGTTGTTTTTATTATTTCCTCTGTCTTTCTTAAGCCCAGTCAAGTATGTGAAATTTGCATCAAGAAAGATGGGCAGTGAATTGAATTCCTATAAACTTGACTTGGAGGTGTGTGTGTATGTGTGCAAATACAGAATTGCTGTATTTATAAATTTTTAAACTAATAAACTTAACCACTTACTGGTGGGAAAATGCACTAAAGAAAATTTTTTAGAGTTAATAAGGAGTTCTAATGTGTTTTATTTCTATCATAGTCACAAACATAACAATGGTCAGCCCATTTGGTTTACCCTGGGCATCCTGGAGGCTCTCAAAGGTTGGGACCAGGGCTTGAAAGGAATGTGTGTAGGAGAGAAGAGAAAGCTCATCATTCCTCCTGCTCTGGGCTATGGAAAAGAAGGAAAAGGTAATAGTATTTCTGTATTTTTCTTACTATAGCACTAGAGTTGTTCTCTGGATTAGGAGACAGAAGTTAGAGTCACTATAACTTTTTTTTTTCCCCTGGAAGTTAATAGGGGGTATGTATTCCTTTAGCAACTGTATTATGTCTTGAGTATCAATTGAAATGGCCAGTTTAAGGCCGTAATGTCTAAATGGGCAACTATGCTAACAATAAAAAAAGAACATTGAGGTCTATTAATACTGTTCACAAATATGGTGGGTTGTTTTAATTGTGATAAAATATACATAAAATTTTTCATTTGAACCATTTTTAAGTACACAGTTCAGTGGCATTAAATACATTCATGTTATTGTGGAACCATCACCACTATCCATCTTCAGAATGTTCTCATCTTCCCAAACTGAAACTCACCAATTTACTTTAACAATGCAGAGAGAAAGATCCATTAACGTAAGTGTTTGGATGAGTTGAACATGTGAAATATAGATTATTAAAGTATTGAATGCATTTTAGATGTGGGTTATATATGGGTTGTACTTCATGAATATTAAGTCTCCCACAGCAAACTGGGAGTTCTTTTCATTCCCGTTTTTAAATTTATTTATAAAGTTTTTAACAATGTATTTAAAAAAAATCATAGAGTGACATGAAATGAATTTAATTCTCCCTGTGTCACAAAGCAGAAGCAAGCTGGCTAGCTGGTCCGGACAGCTTTTGTACTAGTTTTTCAGGGCAGACACATATCCTGCTGTTCAAGTGAGAACCCCTGCAACTTTCCAAAGAGCTGCTTTGTGATATATATCAAGAGGTCTGGGCCAGGCATGGTGGCTCACACCTGTAATCCCAGCACTTTGGGAGGCCAAGGAGGGTGGATCACTTGAGGTCAGGAGTTTGAGACCGACGTGGCCAACATGGTGAAACCCTGTCTCTACTAAAAATACAAAATTAGCTGAACGTAGTGGAGTGCACCTATAATCCCAGTTACTTAGGAGGCTGAGGCAGGAGAATTGCTTGAACATGTGAGGCAGAGGTTGCAATGAGCCAAGAACGTGCCACTATACTCCAGCCTGGGGGACAGAGCCAAACTCCATCTCAAAAAAAAAAAAAGAGGTCTGAAGATGTCTATATGCATTTATTCTATAATTCCTTCAAACCTAAGGGAATAATTAGATATCAGGAAAAAAATTTGTGAACAGGGATGTCCATAATTGCATTGTTTCTAAGCAAAAAATTGGAACTGTCGTAAGTGGTATACTGGTAAGAATTTAGCTAAATAAAATATGGCCCAGTTATTTAAAATGGCATTTCCAAAGAGTTTAAAAATTATATCTGAAATGCATGAGATACAGTATTATATATAAAAGTAGAAAATAAACCTATAGTATATATGATAGTAAATATAGGAAAAGGTACATATACATAGAAAGTTAATCATAAGGAAATAAATAAGAATGTTAAAAATGGACTGTGATACTGGGAATCATATTTATTTCTGGTTTTATCATCCAAGTATGTGCTCTACAATGAGCATGTATTACTTACATAATGAAGAAAAAAAAGTTTAAGTAGTCATCAGAACCAGACAGACAACTACTCTGATATAGTATAAATATAGACTTCATAGCATCCTGAAGTCTAAGGTTAACCACTGACAAAAGTGAGGAGTCAGGATTCACAGCCCATTTCCTGAGAAGGAAAATAGATGCCATATGGCAAGCATTATATATTCCAAAATATACAAATCTATACAAATCTTGTTCATAGGATAAGATTAACTAACCAAATTCAATTCTTCTTTTAGTCATAATCCTCTTTAGAGAAGAAAACCAAGTATCTAGAAAATTTTTTCTGATGCTGAGAATGTTTTCATTTTATCTTTATTGTCTCACCTTTAATATTTACATACAGTAGTTCCCCTTTACCTGTGGTTTCACTTTCTACCGTTTTAGTTACCTGTGGTCAACTGCAGTCTGAAAATATTAAGGTATTTTGAGAATGAGAGACAGATTGCATTCATATAACTTTTATTATGATATGTTGTTGTAATTGTTCTATTTTATTATTTTTAATCTGTTACTATGACTATTTTATAAATTAAACTTTATCACAGATATGCATGTATAGGAAAAAGCATTGTATGTATGGGGTTTGGTACTATCCATGGTTTCAGGCATCTAATGGGATTCTTGGGACATATCCCAGTGGGGACTACTGTACGTTGTATTAGTCCATTACTCTTTCTCATACTATATTTAACTCAAGTTTACTTCACAATAAGTAGAGATCTAAATTTGAGTCATTTCCTTCAAACTGAATGCCATGAAACTAATTTTTCTAATCTGTATTTAACACTAATTTTGTAGTCTTTTAGTACATGCTTGCATGCCTCTTTTGGAAAGATACCAGTTTTATCAACAACCTAGCGCATGTCACATCTCTGTCTAGATCTGAAATGGTAAGCTTCAGCACACTTTATAAGTCTTCTCTTTGGAATTTATGAATGTTCTTTCATGGAAATATGTGGGATGGGGGGAGGATGACTAAGAAATATTTAACATGTTTACACAGACCTGTATGTTAAATATAGTTATAAGGAAACAAGTTTGAGAAAAACAATTGTCCATACTCCACAGATGGGTGTGTTTGTTTGTTTGTTTGTTTGTTTCAGGTTCCTGGGATTTTAACAAAGCTCTTTTCACTTTTAAAGATTTTTAATTTCCCTTCTCAGAAATTCATTTTAATTTCTCCCCTCCCATGAAATGTCTTCAACATATATATAATGTTCTATATCAGAGGTAGTGTTTCCTAACTTTCTGAAATTGTTAAACCTTCCTGCATTATTTTTAAAGCCTGTGAGAAAATTATACCTCAATAACATGTATTGAGAGTTTACTATTTGTCAAGTTTAATGCTAAGTATTTTGCATGGATTTTTCTCCCTTTATCCTCCCAACAGACTCCTGAGGAGGAAATTTATTATCTGCATTTTATAGATGAGGAAATTGAGGCTTAGAGATGGGCAAATGTAAACTTCAGCCTCAGACAGTGTGACACCAGAGCTTACTCAATTATATGGGTAGAAATGCCTTCTAGTGGTAGAAATGGCAATACTGTATGTATTTCTAGGTCAGGACTTTCTGACCAAAAAGTTAGTTTATTACTTTTAATATACTTAACTCCGAATTATCTAAAACCCTTCAAGTCCTTCTTGACATATAATATGTAATATATTAATTATATTAGAAATGTAATACCTAAGCCATTAGGTACATCTCTATGTATGTATATGCATTGTGTGTATGTGTATTTACATTTTAATTGCTAAGCCAAAGATAGAATGCTTTTGCTCTGCTAGTGTATATTATTTCTTCTTTTACTCTATTCTATTCGAGTAAAATATAATATACATAATTTTCATCATATATGACAATCTTAGGAAGGCTCTTTAATTCAGTTAAAAAAAATACTTTGTCCATTACCATAAATTTTCTATTATTAAAACTTTTGGCTCTTTTAAAACTTTCTGCCTTCTTTCCTCACGTCAGGTAAAATTCCCCCAGAAAGTACACTGATATTTAATATTGATCTCCTGGAGATTCGAAATGGACCAAGATCCCATGAATCATTCCAAGAAATGGATCTTAATGATGACTGGAAACTCTCTAAAGATGAGGTGACCTTTCCTTCTTCCTACTCCTCTTTCTACTTTTCTTTGGTTGTTTGGGGTTTTGTTTTGTTTTGTTTTTGTAACTCACTTTTTAAATGAATATGTGTATATTTCAAATCTACTTTTATTTAGGTAACATTTATTTATAAGTTTTCTTAAAATACTGATGCTTTGAAAGTGGACTTTTTCATAGTGAATCACTGTTTTGGAGAGAAATATATTAAGACTTAAAAAGCACCATTCAATCTTTTGCTTTTTTCTTCCCAATGCTTAGGGTTCACTGTATCTTATGCTTACCCTTGGGTCTTTGAAAGAACAATTTTGCCAAGACAGTTTCCATCTGGAGTTACTGTATAAGAAGCTAGCTGTCCTGAGAAATATCTCATGTGGACAGTTTCTGTTAAAACTGTAGACTGGCTGTTAAATACATCTTGTAGTGTTTTCCTGGCAATTAACAGCAAGCAACTTACATGCTCTGTTTTGTTCAGGTTGCCCCAGAGAAAAGAGACCCCAGCCTGGGTTTTACACAGCAGGGCTCCAGCCCCATCAAAATCTGAGCCTTTGGGTAAAGAGAAAGGAAGAAGAGGCTTCTCCTTATAATTCGGCCATTGCTACACATACCTGTCTTAGTCTGGCTGCTGCGGGGAAAGAAGTGGAGGGAGATATTTATTCCTGTTTTTTATCTACTCACACTCCATTCTGTCCTGACTGGTCAGATATCAAGTCCCTTTCTATGCTTTGATCAAATTCATTCTAATGGCCAGGAAATGATTAAGTCTTGAATAAGCCAAATTGTTACGAACCAGGGGTTCATGATCCACAGCCACTAAATTTATAACACCTCATAGTATTACCAGTCACATGCCTTTTTCTTCCATCCAAGATAAATTTTAATTCCCTTTCATTAAATAATTTTGAATATATAACACAGTCACATGGTTCAAAACAAAAATCTATTTATTTATTTATTTATTTATTTATTTATTTATTTATTTATTTATTTCCTGAGAGGGAGTCTTGCTCTGTTGCCCAGCCTGGAGTGCAGTGGCAAAATCTCGGCTCACTGCAACCTCTGCCTCCTGGGTTCAAGCAATTCTGCCTCAGCCTCCCAAGTAGCTGCACCATCATGCCTGGCTGATTTTTGTATTTTTAGTAGAGATGGGGTTTCACCATATTGGCCAGGCTGGTCTCAAACTCCTGACCTCGTGATCTGCCCACCTCGGCCTTCCAAAGTGCTGGGATTACAGACGTGAACCACTGTGCCCAGCAGAAAGATATTTATTTAAAAGTCTTAGCTGGGTGAGGTGGCTCACACTTGTAATCCTACCACTTTGGAAGGCTGAGGCAGGAAGATTGCTTGAGGCTGAGACTTCAAGACCAACCTGGCCAACATAGGAAGACTTTATCTCTATTATTTACTGTTTTTTTTTTTTTTAGACGGAATCTCACTCTGTTGCCAGGCTGGATTGCAGTGGTGCGATCTCAGCTCACTGCAGCCTCTGTGTCCCGGGTTCAAGCGATTCTCCTGCCTCGGCCTGCCAGGTAGCTGGGACTACAGGTGCACGCCACCATACCCAGCTAATTGTCGTATTTTTAATAGAGACAGGGTTTCACCATGTTGGCCAGGATGGTTTCAAGCTCCTGACTTTGTGATCCGCCTGCCTTGGCCTCCCAAAGTGCTGGGATTACAGGTGTGAGCTACCGCATCCGGCCTATTATTTACATATTTTTAAAAGTCTTTCTCCTACCTACATCCTCTTCTATTCTATTATCCCCACATCCAGTTTTATTAATTACTTTTTTCTTTCTTTCTGTTTTTTTTTTTGTAGAGATGAGGTCTCGCTATGTACAAGCATGCACCATTGCACCCGGCTTAGTTTTATTAGTTTCTAATATATCCTTTCAGTGTTTCTTTCTGCAAATCCAAATACATAGTCTTATTTCCCCCTTTCTTACACAAAAAGAAGCAAACTATACATGCTGTTTTGTCGTTTTGCTTTATTCACACAATATATCCTAGAAATACATTCTACATTAATCCATAGAGTTTAATGGATTAATGGATCTCTCCCCCACCCCTTTTTTTAACAACTGCATTAAATCACTTTAACTTAAAAATAAATATATACTATATGTGTACTTCTTGAAAGCTGGGGGAGAGAGGATTTGAAATTGCTGGTCTAAACAGAAGGAAGAGAGGTGATATAATTAAAACTGAAAATATAGGCTGATTTTCATTGTGGTGAATCTTGTGGGAAATTGAAAACAATATTTATATTTTTAAATATCTGAATGAAATGAAAATGGAGTCCGGGCATGGTGGCTCACACCTGTAATCCCAGCACTTTGGGAGGCCAAGGCAGGCAAATCTTCTGAGGTCAGGAGTTCGAGGCCAGCCTGGCCAACTTGGTGAAACCCTGTCTCTACTAAAAATACAAAAATTAGCCAGGCATGGTGGCAGGTGCCTGTAATCCCAGCTACTAGGGAGTCTGAGGCAGGTGAATCGCTTGAACCTGGGAGTTGGAAGTTGTAGTGGGCCGAGATCGTGCCACTATACTCCAGCCTGCGTGACAGAGCAAGACTCTATTTCAAAAAAAAAAGAAAAACAAAAAAACAAATGAAAATGGAAAATTGTAGTCTAGGCACTTATCAGACCTGACTTTCTGAGATTGAAAGGTTGTGATTAGACTCAATCTAATCACATGATCATAACCAAAACCCAAAAGACCCACTACTTGCAGACATTTATTCAAGTCAAAGATGCCACTATTTAATCTAGTTTTAAGAGAAGTGTCCATGGGGTGCAGTGGCTCATGCTTCTAATCCCAGCACTTTGGGAGGCTGAGGGGTTTAGATTGCTTGAGCCCAGGAGTTCAAGACCAGCCTGGGCAACATGGTGAAACCCCATCTCTACAAAAAATATAAAAGCCAGATGTGGTAGCACATGCCTGTAAGTCCCAGGTACGTGTGAGGCTGAGGTAGGAGGATTGCTTGAGCCTGGGAGGCAGAGGTTGCAGTGAGCTGAGATGGTGCCACTGCACTCCAGCCTGGGTGACAGAGCAAGATTCTGTCTAAAAGGCCGGGCGCGGTGGCTCACGCCTGTAATCCCAGCACTTTGGGAGGCCGAGGCGGGCAGATCACGAGGTCAGGAGATCGAGACCATCCTGGCTAACACGGTGAAACGCCGTCTCTACTAAAAATACAAAAAATTAGCTGGGCGTGGTGGCGGGCGCCTGTAGTCCCAGCTACTCGGGAGGCTGAGGCAGGAGAATGGCGTGAACCCGGGAGGCGGAGCTTGCAGTGAGCCGAGATTGCGCCACTGCACTCCAGCCTGGGCAACAGAGTGAGACTCCGTCTCAAAAAAAAAAAAAAAAAGATTCTGTCTAAAAAAAGAAAAGAAATGCCTAGTATTTAGATTCAGATTAAGAACAAGTAGTATGCTCTCATTGGGTATTCTCCAATAATATAAGCCCTATATGAGGATTGTATACATGACATAAGCTTTATCTCTGCCTTTGAGCAATATATATATAGAGAGAGCTATATATATATATATATTTTTAATTTTTTAATTTTTTATTTTTTTGACAGAGTCTCACTCTGTTGCCCAGGCTGGAGGGCAGCAGCGCAATCTCGATTCACTGCAACCTCTGCCTTCCAGGTTCAAGCGATTCAACTGCCTCAGCCTCCTGAATAGCTGGGATTACAGACGCATGCCATCATGCCTGGCTAACTTTTTTTTGTATTTTTAGTGGAGATGGGCTTTCATTATGTCGGCCAGGCTGATCTCCAACTCCTGACCTCAAGCAATCTTCCCACTTGGGCCTCCCAAAGTGCTGGGATAACAGGCATGAGCCACCACACCTGGCCCTGCCTTTGAGCAATATTTTGTGTCTCCACTTTAGCAGTTTAGCAACAGTTTTTTTAAGGGAAAAAGTTTCTATTATTTTTTAATTATCATTAAAACTATGTCATAAAATGGCTGTTTAGAAGGTATTATATTTAGTTAATGAACTAAATATAATAACAGTCCATGTCTGTGATATTGATTGGCTCAATGTGGGTATCTTATGAATCCAAGTTATTAATGGGATCTGTTATTTTGTAGGTTAAAGCATATTTAAAGAAGGAGTTTGAAAAACATGGTGCGGTGGTGAATGAAAGTCATCATGATGCTTTGGTGGAGGATATTTTTGATAAAGAAGATGAAGACAAAGATGGGTTTATATCTGCCAGAGAATTTACATATAAACACGATGAGTTATAGAGATACATCTACCCTTTTAATATAGCACTCATCTTTCAAGAGAGGGCAGTCATCTTTAAAGAACATTTTATTTTTATACAATGTTCTTTCTTGCTTTGTTTTTTATTTTTATATATTTTTTCTGACTCCTATTTAAAGAACCCCTTAGGTTTCTAAGTACCCATTTCTTTCTGATAAGTTATTGGGAAGAAAAAGCTAATTGGTCTTTGAATAGAAGACTTCTGGACAATTTTTCACTTTCACAGATATGAAGCTTTGTTTTACTTTCTCACTTATAAATTTAAAATGTTGCAACTGGGAATATACCACGACATGAGACCAGGTTATAGCACAAATTAGCACCCTATATTTCTGCTTCCCTCTATTTTCTCCAAGTTAGAGGTCAACATTTGAAAAGCCTTTTGCAATAGCCCAAGGCTTGCTATTTTCATGTTATAATGAAATAGTTTATGTGTAACTGGCTCTGAGTCTCTGCTTGAGGACCAGAGGAAAATGGTTGTTGGACCTGACTTGTTAATGGCTACTGCTTTACTAAGGAGATGTGCAATGCTGAAGTTAGAAACAAGGTTAATAGCCAGGCATGGTGGCTCATGCCTGTAATCCCAGCACTTTGGGAGGCTGAGGCGGGCGGATCACCTGAGGTTGGGAGTTCGAGACCAGCCTGACCAACACGGAGAAACCCTATCTCTACTAAAAATACAAAAGTAGCCGGGCGTGGTGATGCGTGCCTGTAATCCCAGCTACCCAGGAAGGCTGAGGCGGCAGAATCACTTGAACCCGGAGGCGGAGGTTGCGGTAAGCCGAGATCACCTCCAGCCTGGACACTCTGTCTCGAAAAAAAGAAAAGAAACACGGTTAATAACATATAAATATGTATGCATTGAGACATGCTACCTAGGACTTAAGCTGATGAAGCTTGGCTCCTAGTGATTGGTGGCCTATTATGATAAATAGGACAAATCATTTATGTGTGAGTTTCTTTGTAATAAAATGTATCAATATGTTATAGATGAGGTAGAAAGTTATATTTATATTCAATATTTACTTCTTAAGGCTAGCGGAATATCCTTCCTGGTTCTTTAATGGGTAGTCTATAGTATATTATACTACAATAACATTGTATCATAAGATAAAGTAGTAAACCAGTCTACATTTTCCCATTTCTGTCTCATCAAAAACTGAAGTTAGCTGGGTGTGGTGGCTCATGCCTGTAATCCCAGCACTTTGGGGGCCAAGGAGGGTGGATCACTTGAGATCAGGAGTTCAAGACCAGCCTGGCCAACATGGTGAAACCTTGTCTCTACTAAAAATACAAAAATTAGCCAGGCGTGGTGGTGCACACCTGTAGTCCCAGCTACTCGGGAGGCTGAGACAGGAGATTTGCTTGAACCCGGGAGGCGGAGGTTGCAGTGAGCCAAGATTGTGCCACTGCACTCCAGCCTGGGTGACAGAGCAAGACTCCATCTCAAAAAAAAAAAAAGAAGCAGACCTACAGCAGCTACTATTGAATAAATACCTATCCTGGATTTTAAAAAAGAAAAAAATATATATAATTTTATTTTAAATTGGCTTTTATCTTTAATTCTTTTTTTTAAAGTTATCAAATCTTCATTTTCTAAGAGTAGCCCTTTATAGTGTACAAAATGATATTAAGTGCATTATTATCTTCGCTTTTCATGGCTCTGAGTCATAAAACAAGCTGGTGGATCTCACTGTACCTAATTTATAGACGAGGAAATTGTCATTCAAAAAGATTGACTGTTATGCCCAGGGTCAGCACTAACCTGCAGAACCAGTATTCAGTCCCCAAGTTCAGTGTCTTCTACTGCCCTCTACTAATGAAAAGTGAAAATTTCCCTGGGGTCTAATTCTCTCTTCAGTTTGCTGTGCCGTTGTTTATCTTTGAGTCTTCATTCTCTGAAGATGGCTTTCTGCCTGTTTCTGGTACATTAGAATTCTCACTATGATATAGAAATGGCTTCAGTTTCATAGCATAATCTTGCAGTTAGCTCTGAATTGCCTCAAAAACCCTGAACAACGCGAGGTTCCAGATGTGTTTTACTTCTTTCATTCATATTTACCCCCATTTGTTGTTTAAAAAGAATTATGAACAATTATTACATCATATGTAGACCACTTTCACTGATTATATGTTGACATTTTCCTCAGTAAAACATAAAGTTCTTAACAAGACTATACTGTAACACCTTTCTCCAACAAAATCAGCTGTATGTTGAAAACTATTAAGTCATTGCTAATGTTTTAAGCCATAATACAGACAGCCTTATACTCTATGATGGGAGAAGGGAAAGTAGTTTGTCCGATGGTGCTACTCTGTATAAACATTACTGATGCTATCTATAGTAGGGCAAGAAAAGTAAAAAGAGTTTTGATTATTCAGGCAGCATTTTTAAAAACCTGTGAATTTGTATCAGTTCTCATCTAAACATTTGGACACAAGTATAAAATGAAAACATATGCACAAGTTATGGTTTTTAAGTTATCTGCTCTTTTTTTTGGTTTCACTGTACCTTTGTACTCTTCTATTAGTGGGAATAATCAGACATGAACTGTGACTTCACATGTACAGTCATACCTCACTTAATGATGGAGATGCACTCTGAGAAATGTCTAATTAGGTTATTTCATCGTTGTGGGAACATCATAGAGTGTACTTACACAAACCTAGATAGTGTAGCCTGCTACACATGTAGGACATGTATATAGCCTATTGCTCCTAGGCTACAGCATGTTGCTGTTCTGAATCATGTAGGCAATTGTAACACAATGGCAAGTGTCTGTTTATTCAAACATCTAAACACAGAAAAGATACTACAACAATAACAATATGGTATAAAAGATTTTGTAAAAAATCTGGTCAGGTGCAGTGGTTCACGCCTGTAATCCTAGCACTTTGGGAGGCTGCCTCAGCAGGTGGATTGCTTGAGCCCAGAAGCTCAAGACCAGCCTGGGCAACATGGCGAAACCCCGTCTCTGCTAAAAGTACAAAAGCTGAGGTTGGAGGATCACCTGAGCCTGGCAAGGTCAAGGCTGCAGTGAGCCATGATCATACCACTGCACTCCAGCCTGGGTGACAGAGTGACTCCCCATCTAAAAAAAAAAATATATATATATATATATACTATATATATATATATACCATATATATGGTATATATATATATAGTATATATATATATGGTGTGTGTATATATATATATATGGTATACCTGTATAGGGCACTTACTAACGGAGCTTACAGAACTGGAAGTTGCTCTGGATGAGTCAGTGGTGAGTGAATGTAAAGGCCTAGGACATTACTGTACACTACTGTAGACTTTATAAACACCGTACACTTAGGTGACACTAAAATTTATAAAAAATGTTTTTCTTCTGGTTGGGCATGGTGCCTTATGCCTATAATCCCAGCATTATGGGAGGCCAAGGTGGGTGGATCACTCGAGGTCATGAGTTTGGGACCAGCCGGGCCAACATGGCTAAACCCCATCTCTACTAAAAATACGATAATTAGCCAGGTGTGGTGGCACATGCGTGTAGTCCCAGCTAATTGAGAGGCTGAGGCAGGAGAATTGCTTGAATCCAGGAGGTGGAGGTTGCAGTGAGCCAAGATCGAACCACTGCACTCTAGTCTGGGTGACAGAGGAGCAAGACTCTGTCTCAAAAAAAAAAATTCTATAATTTTTATAGAAATAATAAAAAACTAACCTTAGCTTACTGTAAATTTTCTAGTTTAGAAACTTATTTAAAAACAATTTTTGGACTCTTCTAGTAATAACGTAGCTTAAAACACACATTGCATAGCTGTACAAAAATATTTTCCTTATATCCTTATTATATAAGCTTTTATCTATTTAAATTTTGAATTTTTAAACTTTTTGGTCAAAAACCAAGACAAACACACTAGCCTAGGCCTATGCAGGGTCAGGATCAAGACATCCCTAGCAGGTGACAGGAATTTTTCAACTCCATTATAATCTGTGGGGCCACCATCATATATATATTGTACATTGACCGAAACATGGTTACATGACTATATAATTTGCGTCAATACTGCTCAGTGTGCCATATTTAAATTTACATGACTATATTGTGATATTCTTTTCAAAATAAAGTTTATTTGGGAGATAACTGATTTTGTGAAAAATTCTTCAACACCAATTTCCTCAGCAGTTGTACTGATTTTCTTACCTGTTATTCTAAATTTTATACCAAAAGTGAGGAAGATGGACAGGTAGTGGAAGGAGAGGGGTACAGTGACACTTTGTGCCTCTGATTATCTGCTCTGTATAGGTATATTTGTAAGAAAAGCTGTGGTTTGATTTAAATTCTTTTGAAATATGCATTAAGTCTTGACCTTTAGCATGATAGTTAATAGTTAATTCTTAGCACTGAAGAAAGTGTTTTTGGTTTTTCGAGGGGGAGGAGGGAGGGTGATGGTTATTATCACTGTTGTTTTGGTTTAGGGTTTTATCGTGTGTAGCAGGTGGACACACTGATTTATGCCTACTGCGTAAATCAGTGCTATAAAATACCCTCTGATTAAACGAAATGCGGGGTTGCCATGAAAATAACGAGAAACAATGATTTCTGATTCAGATGAAGAATCTAGCCATTTGGATCTTTCCTTATGGAAATGAATTTGTAGTTTTTATTTTATTAATGATGTGTGGGATATTGCTTATATTTCTTTTCTATTTTTTTTCTTTTGTTGTTGTTGAGACACAGTTTCGCTCTTGTTGCCAGGCTGGAGTCCAGTGGCGCGATCTTGGTTGACCACAACCTCCGCCTCCCAGGTTCAAGCGATTCTCCTGCTTCAGCCTCCCCAGTAGCTGGGATTACAGGCATGCGCCACCACGCCCAGCTAATTTTTTTTTTTTTTTTTTTTTTAGTAGAGACAGGGTTTCTCCATGTTGGTCAGGCTGGTCTCGAACTCCTGACCTCAGGTAATCCGCCTGCCTCAGCCTCCCAAAGGGCTGGGATTACAGGCGTGAGGGACCACGCCCGGCCTATTGCTTATATTTCTAATGCTACATAGAGGTCAGCATGCTATCTCTCCCCATTGAACTGTGTATATATGGGTGATTTCTCAGTGTTTGGAAATTGCAAGAGGAGAAAAAGGAATTTGGTGGCATGTTATGGGAAAATATATTCTCTTACCTTTTTATTAAAAAGGTAAATTATATGCCGAGTGTGGTGGCTCATGCCTGTACTCCCAGCACCTTGGGACGCTGAGGCGGGGGGATCACTTGAGGTCAGGTGCTCGAGACCAACCTGGTCAACATGGTGAAACCCTGTCTTTACTAAAAATGCAAAAATTAGCCAGGCATGGTGGTGCACGCATGTAATCCCAGCTACTAGGGAGGCTGAAGCAGGAGAATCACTTGAACCTGGGAGGTGGAGGTTGAAGTGAGCCAAAATTGTGCTACTACATTCCAGCTTGAGTGACAGAGCAAGATTCCATCTCAAAAAAAAAAAAAAATTATAGCACTATCGGATGCAGGGAGAAACAAAAAACTAAAAAAGTAAATTAGCATTATAATAATAACCCTGGGAAAATAAAAAAGAACTTCTTTTCCAGAGATGCAGAGCACTTGGACATAAGAATTTTTGTTTTTTGTTTCTTGCCCATTTTACCTTAAATTGAAATCTAAGATGTCAAAATGATTATAAACACATATGCCCATTTAAAAGCATTACTATGCATTACTATTATAGTATTTCTAGTACTTCTGTGTCTTAGCATCCTTAGCATTCTTTTTTTTTTTTTGGAGACGGATTCTCGCTCTGTCGCCCAGGATCTTGGCTCACTGCAAGCTCTGCCTCCTGGGTTCATGCCATTCTCCTGCCTCAGCCTGGGGCTACAGGCGCCTGCCACCACGCCCGGCTAATTTTTTTGTATTTTTAGTAGAGACGGGTTTCACCGTGTTAGCCAGGATGGTCTTGATCTCCTGACCTCGTGATCGGCCTGCCTTGGCCTCCCAAAGTGCTGGGATTACAGGCATGAGCCACCGCACCTGGCCGGCTTTTTTTTTTTTTTTAAATCTCAGCTCACTGCAACCTCCACCTCCCAGGTTCAAGTGATCTTCCCGCCTCAGCCTCCTGAGTAACTGGGACTACAGACACATGCCACCACACTCAGCTAATTTTTGTATTTTTAGTAGAGATTGGGTTTCACCATGTTGGTCAGGCTGGTCTCGAACTCCTGAACTCAGATGATCTCCCCACCTCGGCCTCCCACAGTGCTGGGATTACAGGCATGAGCCACCGTGCCTGGCCAGCATTCTTTTTAGTAGGTTTGTGTATTCCCTTTAGTACAATGAAATCAATACATTCTTACCTTAGGTTTGGAGCCTATTTGAAGATAAATGATTTTTTCTTTAAAATACTGTTTTGGTCTCCTTTACCTTTGCCTCATCTACCTCCAGCTCCTTGCTTT
Source organism: Homo sapiens (assembly GCF_000001405.40). Classification (NCBI taxonomy): domain Eukaryota; kingdom Metazoa; phylum Chordata; class Mammalia; order Primates; family Hominidae; genus Homo; species Homo sapiens. The sequence continues at coordinate 30,008,278 of NC_000007.14, read as the reverse complement.
AGGCTGACTGCAGAGGGAGGCCGTAGCAAACATTGCTGTCAGGGCTCCGTCCTGAAGTAAAATGAGACACACACCTTAGTTTTTAAAGGTTGCAGAAATGTAGCGGTGATTCACATTTTAGTGCATGGCAGAATCACATGGGGTGTATTAAAAGTGCAGATTCCTGAATCCCCAAAGATTCTCATTAATTATTGGATTGGGCCTGTGAATCTGCAGTTTTTGTTGTTGTTGAGACAGAGTCCTGCTTTGTCACCCAGGCTAGAGTGCAGTGGCACAATCTCAGCTCACTGCAACCTCTGCCTCCCAGGTTCAAGCGATTCTCCTGCCTCAGCCTCCCAAGTAGCTGGGACTAAAGGTGCATGCCAGCGTGCCCGGCTAATTTTTGTATTTTTAGTAGAGTCCAGGTTTCACCATGTTGGCCAGACTGGTCTTGAACTCCTGACCTCAAGTGATCCCCCCACCTCAGCCTCCCAAAGTCCTGGGATTACAGGTGTGAGCCATCACGCTGGGCCTGAGTCTGCATTTTAACATGCTTGCTGGTGACCCTGATGCAGGTGGTCCAAAAACCTGAATTTGAGGGACAGATAACTTCACTACTTCCCTGCCCTTGTAAATACAGTCTCCTATATTTGTATTTTCTATGAACATTCTTTTATGTATTCCAGAAAGCATTGTGCATTGGGGCAACTAATTGTGCCTCAAAATGAGTATATAGGCCAAAAGATAAGTTGTGTAGAGATACCATCCTCCCCAGGGTTAGAATTTTTTATGGGCTGGGCGCAGTGGCTCACGCCTGTAATCCCAGCACTTTTGGAGGCCAAGGCGGGCAGATCACGAGGTCAAGAGATCGAGACCATCCTGGTCAACATGGTGAAACCCGGTCTCTACTAAAAATACAAAAATTAGCTGGGTGTGGTGGTGCATGCTTGTAGTCCCAGCTACTTGGGAGGCTGAGGCAGGAGAATTGCTTGAATTCAGGAGGTGGAGGTTGCAGTGAGCCGAGATCGCACCACTGCACTCCAGCCTGGTGACAGAGCGAGACTCTGTCTAAAAAAAAAAAAAAAAAACAAAGGAACTTTTTTTATGACTGAATTCTTTTTTTTAATTACTTCTTTTTATTAGACAGTTCAAATTAAGCTTGAAGAACAAGAAGCAATACAACTCAACTATTGAAATATAAAGTTGAGCTTAATTTATTCAACAAAATGTACCCAGTATATCAGTGTACAAAGCATCCTGCTGGGCTGGGCATCAGCCGTGGCACAGCGAACAAGACAGACTGACTCAACCCCCAGGGGGCTTACATTCTAATGCAGAAAGCAGAAAATTTCAGTTTGGATACATAATACAAATTATCAAAGCAAGGCACAAAGTATTTTAAAAATAAGGGGTTTGGGAGGCAAGGATCTGACCTACTCTATAGAAGGTCTCCTTGGGGAAGTAACAGTTGAGCCGATCTAAGGATGCTAGATAGTCACTAGGTCAGTGGAAAAAATCAGTGGTTCTCACTGTGGTCAGTGGGTTGTTGGTGATTTCATAATAATTGGGGACTATTCCCGGCAATGAGTGGATGCAGCCAGGGAGAATGATGTCCTGCAGCATGTGGGTTAGTGCCACACAACGAAGAATTATTCTGTACGCTGTACGACTGTATGACTGAATTCTTACAGCAAAAAGTTAATGGTCAATAAATACATTTTTGTGAACATCTTCCCTACCAGAAAAAGGAAAAGAGCACTGAACTTCCCTAAAATTACTCTTCTATATATATTTTTTTCAGAATTATCTGCAACACACCCCTGTAGAAGAATGTTCAAGCAGATTTAGGAGAAAAAAAAAAAATGACTCTTCTAGCCAGCCATGGTGGCTCACGCCTGTAATCTCAACACTTCCGGAGGCCAAGGAAGGAGGATCACTTGAGCTCAGGAGTTTGAGACCAGCCTGGGCAACATAGAGAGATCCCATCTTTACAAAAAAATTATTTAAAAAACTAGTCAGGCATCATGGTGTATGTCTGTAGTCCCAGCTACTCAGGAGGCTGAGATGGGAAGATTGCTTGAGCCCAGGAGTCTGAAGCTGAAGTGAGCTATGATCACAGCATTGCACTTCAGCCTGGGTAACAGAGGGAGACCCCTATCTTAAAAAAAAAAAAAAAAAAAAAAGACTATCCTAAATATATATGTATATATATGTGTGTATGTACATATGGTGTGTGTATGTCATGTATATAGTAGATACTGTGTATATACACTGTGTAATTTTGTACCAAAGATAGTAATTGAAATGCTCTCTGTAGTACATGGTACCCCTCTGTGAAAACTTGTCTTTGCCATGCAGTTAAATTTCTTTTTGTGCATTTGGTGTCTGTCATTCTGTACTTTGCCCACGTTTCTGTGTTTCACTCATAATTTAAGTAAAATTTCCTAGCAGTTCTCCATTTAAAACTAAGTATAATCTTTTCCTCCCTTCAACGTGGGAATGAAGTAGCTCATTTTGACATACTTAAGGAAAAGGATAAAAACAGTTGGAAGACTCCGGGAGATCTGCAACATGTAGCACACTGTGGATTCCTTTGTTTCCCAGTCCTCTGTGCTCCTGAAGTGCTAATGAAGCCTTTGTTATAAAATGGATGGCTGTAGTGAGTATGTCAGCCCATAATCTATAAAACCAGTCTAAGTGCCTGTGAGCTAGACTAACGTCAATTTTGTTTTATGATCATCTAAAAACAAATGACATGAGATATTTGCTGAGATTTTACTCTAAAAATCCAGAGTAAAGTGGATCCCCTTGGTCTCTAGTAACAGTTAAATTATATCCCACTTGGGCATTTCTGGGAATTTATAAGTTTTTAATTAATTCAAAATTCCACACTGCAGTAGCATAAAGATAATTTCCTCTCCAGCAAACAATTGTAGTAAAAACAATTCCATGCACAAAGTAAATTGAGGTATTGAGAAACAGTTTTCATTATTATAAAGAATGAAATAAGGATAGGGAGACCCACTGGGGCTTAGTTCCAATTTCATGTAGCATTTTTCTCATTCATTTGTTGGACTTATTCTGCCAGAATGTATTTTATGTTAATATAACTAAATCTAATTTTTACCTCTCGTGAAGAGACTAGGATATTATAACATTCAACCACATATTGGTGATTCTCTTCTATTACGGTCATATCTGCTGAAATTGTTATATAGCTATTTTTTTGCAAAATATATTAAGACATTCCAGATTTTTAAAGTGGTTCTTTAGTAGTTAAATTTAATTAGACTTAGGTAGACTAACCAAAAGGAATAGTAGTACAAATACAAGGTGATTTGCCTTTAAATAAGAGACAGCATTGTACTTATAGGAAAATAGGGAAAAATTTAAAAAAGGTCTTGCAATGAAATTCCCATTTGGAATTGTCAAATTTCCCCAGATTATAATTGTTCTCTCCTGGTGTCTTTATATCAATAGTTCCTTGAGAATATTCACTTAAGTTTTTCCTTATATTATTTTGGCTAAATTTTATAAGATATTATCTTTCACAAAATGTCATGTACTTTCCTTGCCACATATGGTAATAGTCAAGGTTTTCGGTTTTGTATCATAAATTTTAAAGAAAACTAAGCAGCCTACTAACGTTAATTAACTCTTACATTAAGACTGTGCAGTAAATCAACTCTGCTCCTTGGATTTTTTTCCTAACGCTTTATTGCTATGGCAATAATATCTTCAAAACTGTTACCTCTTACCTGTTTTCCTCAGCTAGTGAGTGTTCAACTGTTATCTAATATTTCTTTTTTAGGGGGTGAGGTTATTTTATTTTTTATAAAATTAATATGTACTACAATGTTTTTTTTACAGTTCAATAAATTTTGGTATATTCAGAGTTGTGCAACCATCAACACAGTTACTGTTAGAACATTTCATCACCTCAAAAAGACATGCCCATGCCCATTAGCAGTTATTCCTCACCTTCCCTAACTCCCCCAGCCCTAAGCAATCACCAGACTACTTTCTCTGTGGATTTGTCTAGTCTGGACATTGTCTAGTACTTTTTTTTTTGAGACGGAGTCTCGCTCTATCGCCCAGGCTGGAGTGCAGTGGCGCGATCTCGGCTCACTGCAAGCTCCGCCTCCCGGGTTCACACCATTCTCCTGCCTCAGCCTCCTGAGTAGCTGGGACTACAGGCGCCCACCACCAGGCCGGCTAATTTTTTGTATTTTTAGTAGAGACGGGGTTTCACCGTGTTAGCCAGGATGGTCTCGATCTCCCGACCTTGTGATCCACCCGTCTCAGCCTCTCAAAGTGCTGGGATTACAGGCATGAGCCACCGCGCCCGGCCTGTCTAGTACTTCTTAAAGCTCAGTCCTTTCTTTGTATGCAGAGTAAAGCTAAAAGGGAGATTATCTGATAAATTCATTTGATGGTAAGATAGTTTCCACCTTTAATTTTTATTTTAATATGATAGGTGCTTTTTGAAATTCAAAGGTGAACAAGACACTGATTGCAGCTCTACAGGATCTAGAACCAGCGGTACAAGGGATATAATAATAATAGTAAAAATCCAGGGTTAGGTTTATGATTAAGGGTAGAAAGTCAATGAAAAGGAAAGTGAAAAATAATCAGGAATTTAAACACTAAAATATTTTCATGTATCTAGATTATTCCCAATTCTCTGAAAGTCAGGCGATTCATCTGACATGAAATAAACTAATACTAGTTTTTCTGTGGTTCATGGAAAATACAAGGATGCCTCAAACAAAATATTCTTTCTCTAGAGTCAGAGAAATTTCATACATGGAATCACTGGGGTTTTTTGTTTTGTTTGAAACTAATAAACTCTGTCTCCCAGGCTGGAGTGCAATAGTGCAATTACAGCCCCATTCCAACTTCTGGGCTCAAATAATCTGCAGGCACACACCACCACGCCCGGCTACTTTTAAAATTTTTTGTAGAGACGCGGGTCTCGCTATGTTACCCATGCTGGTCTCAAATTCCTGACCTCAAAAGCTCCTCCCACCTTGCTTTCCAAAGTGCTAACAGTTGTGAGCTACCATACCTGGCCAGGAATCCTTTAATCACTCATAGCATGAATGAAGTCTTCCTTTAACTGAACGCCAATCTACAGCAATTTAAGCAGACTTTGTTTAGTTCTCTGAAGAATTAGAAAATTGCAACTTTTGTTTAAAGTTTTATATTATTAATATCTTAAGTGAGCAGTGGTCTTAAAATTGCAGATATAAGAGAACCAACTTTTACAATTCTGGCTAAGCCTTCATCTGTTAAAAAGTAGCTTCAGATGTCACTAGAATATTAAAAAGCCCAATTTAAAAACTGCATAAAATGAAGTGGATGTTTTCCACACATGTAAACTAGAAAAAAAAAAAAAAAAAAGGAAGAGTTCGGTTGAAATTCCCAAGTCTGACCGTAGAATCCTCTAGGCAGCTCTTGGATGATCACTAGACCAGGTCTCAGCAATTCCCCTTTAAATTATCCATATAATTGGCTAAACCCACAGATGACTCCTAGAGGTGTAGGAATGCGTGTGAAGCATACATATTTGGTTTTAAAGCTAGGTCTAGAACATTCATGAACTCTATCTTATTTAAAATTTATTAGGAGTCATTCATTAAGATGACATATTTGAATTATTGAACTTATAAACCCGTCACCCAATAATAATGAATACGATCTTACAACTTCCCTTTGCCAAAATACAATTTATGGCTGTCTATATATCTAAAGGGCTTGATGGATCATTTCATTTCTAAAAATAATTTAAAAATAGATTTTAACAACCTAAAATCTATTTGTGTTGCTTAATATGAATAGTAATTCTGTAAATTGATTTAAGGACATTCTAAAGGTCTATTACTATGGTAACCAAATTCAGAAAACTAACCTCCTAAACACAGTTGTCACAGGATTAAGGCAGGTGGCTGACTAATCTTGACTAGTGCTTTTCTTTCTCATTTTCCCCTGGCTTCTCTGTCAGCTTCTTTGTTTGGTTCTCATAACATTATACATAAAGCAATTATGCAGGCTTTCTTACCCATACATAAGTGCCTAATTCACACAGCACTGTCTGTAGTCCATTCCCATGAGGTTTGCCCAGTGACAGGTCTTTTTTCCTCCTCCCATTATTATACACTGAAAGAAGTACTAAGTGGAAAATACCTCTATATGCAATGTGTTAAAGGCATTTCGCAATTACACCTACGGCACTTTAAGCTCCTCAAAATCTATGCATAGTGTTCTTCAGTCAATCAATAACACTGGTTGGAAGACAAGGCAAAATTGTCATATATAATTTTTTTAATGGTCTAGGTTTGAGTAACCCTCATTTATGGCTATTTAAGAAAATATTTTTAATAAAAGGAAGTTTTGAGAGAGATGGCCATCTTTTAAACTTGCTTACATTTCCTAATATGTCAGATCCGTGTATTTATTTTTGCATAACCTTTGTGTTACCCTGACAGCAACATATAATTAACGTCTAATTATGTTACCTCTATACTTAATTTCCTTGCTTGTCTCTGACATCTTGAGAGGAGAGGCTATGATATTCCTTTTTTTTTTTTTTTTTTTCTTTTTGAGATGGAGTCATGCTCTGTTGCCAGGCTGGAGTGCAGTGGCGTGGTCTCGGCTCACTGAAACCTCTGCCTCCTGGGTTGAAGTGATTCTCCTGCCTCAGCCTCTCAAGTAGCTGGGATTACAGGCACGTGCCACCACGCCTGGCTAATTTTTGTATTTTTAGTAGAGATGGGGTTTCACTAGAGATGGGGTTTCACCATGTTGGCCAGGCTGGTCTTGAACTCCTGACGTCGTGATCCGCCCACCTCAGCCTCCCAAAGTGCTGGGATTACAGGCGTGAGCCACTGCGCCCAGCCCCCTTTTTCATTCTTGTAGCAAGAGTGCAATTTTTGGTACATGTGTCAGATAAATATTTCTTACTGGTATGTTGAAGAGGTTCTATAAATAGACTGTACATTTGTATTTCCTAAATAATGGGTCTAGTTGAGTCTACACCAGGACATTTGGTTCCTTAGAGGCAATAAGATTTGTGCTCCTAGGCTTTCACATCTGCCTATGAAGGAAAAACTGCTATGGGACTTGCTGTTCTATTGTGAACAACTAGAAAACTGAGCAAAATGCATGAAACAATTGTTGTCAGACATTGGATGACAGGCAGAGCATTTGTTTCCTTTCTCTTGTGATCCGCAAGAGAAAGGAAACAAATGAGACAACCACCCAGCTTTCTGCTTGGAGGCAAAGAGAAGGGACAGTGATATGGTTTGGCTATGTTTCCACTCAAATCTCAACTTGAACTGTATCTCCCAGAATTCCCACCTGTTGTGGGAGGGACCCAGGGAGAGGTAATTGAATCATGGGGGCCGGTCTTTCCCTTGCTATTGTCATTATAGTGAATAAGCTTCATGAGATCTGACGGGTTTATTGGAGGTTTCTGCTTTTGCTTCTTCCTCATTCTTCTCTTGCCACTACCAGGTAACAAGTGCCTTTCACTTCCCGCCATGATTCTGTGGCCTCCCCAGCCATGTGAACTGTAAGTCCAATTAAACCTCTTTTTCTTCCCGGTTTCAGGCATGTCTTTATCAGCAGCATGAAAACGAACTAATAAAGTAAATTGGTACCTGTAGAGTGGGGCATTGCTGAAAAGATACCTGAAAATGTGGAAGTAACTTTGGAACTGGGTAACAAGCAGAGGTTGGAACAGTTTGGAGGACTCAGAAGAAGACAGGAAAATGTGGGAAAGTTTGGAACTTCCTAGAGACTTGTTGAATGGCTTTGACAAAATACTGATAGTGATATGAACAATAAGGTCCAGGCTGAGGTGGTCTCACATGGAGATGAGGAACTTGTTGGGAACTGGAGCAAAGGTGACTCTTGTTATGTTTTAGCAAAGAGACTGGCAGCATTTTGCCCCTGCCCTAGAGATCTATGGAACTTTGAACTTGAGAGAGATGATTTAGGGTATCTGGCAGAAGAAATTTCTAAGCAGCAAAGCAGTCAAAATGTGACTTGGGTGCTGTTAAAAGCATTCTGTTTTAAAAGGGAAACAGCATAAAAGTTCAGAAAATTTGCAACCTGACAATGCAGTAGAAATCCATTTTCTGAGGAGAAATTCAAGCCTGCTGCAGAAATTTGCATAAGTAGCAAGGAGCCTAATGTTAATCCCCAAGACCATGGGGAAAATGTCTCCTGGTCATGACAGAGACCTTCACGGCAGCCCCTCCCATCCCAGGCCAGGAGGCCCAGGAGGAAAAAGTGGTTTCGTGGGCTGGGCCCAGGGTCCCCGTGTTGCGTGTAGCCTAGGGACTTGGTACCCTGTGTCCCAGCCACTGCAGCCGTGGCTGAAAGGGGCCAATGTAGAGCTCGGGCTGTGGCTTCAGAGGGTGGAAGCCCTGGCTTTGGCAGCTTCCACATCGTGTTGAGCACTGGAAAAAGGCCCAACACCAACACTCTTTAAAGCAATACAAAAAATAAATTCATCACTCAACAACATAAAATTCACAAAGCCTGGCATCTGAATTGGAAGACTGGCACAGAAACAGGAGATCAATCAATCATCAACAACAGACTAAAAATTGACAGAAATTATGAAATTAGCATACATGGTCTTTAAAATAGCTATTAAAATATTATAAATATGATCAGGGATTTAAAGAAAAATACATATGAAAGGAATGGGTAATATAAAAAGAACCAAACTGGAGGCCGGGCACGGTGGCTCACGCCTGTAATCCCAGCACTTTGGGAGGCCGAGATGGGTGGATCACGAAGTCAGGAGATCAAGACCATCCTGGCTAACACAGAGAAACCCCATCTCTACTAAAAAAAAATACAAAAAATTAGCCGGGAGTGGTGGCGGGCGCCTGTAGTCCCAGCTACTCGGGAGGCTGAGGCAGGAGAATGTCGTGAACCCGGGAGACGGAGCTTGCAGTGAGCCGAGATCATGCCACTACACTCCACCCTGGGTGACAGAGCAAGACTCCATCTCAAAAAAAAAAAAAGAACCAAACTGAGCTTCAAAAAAAGAAAAATACTACATTACTGCTATAAAAATTTCACAGATGATAGCAGATTAGAGGCTACAGGAGAAAAGATAACTAAATTTGAACAAATACCAAGCAAAATTATTCAAAATAAAGCACAGAGAGCAGAGACTAAAAGCAGAAGAACAAGAACCTCAGTGATGTATGGAACAATATCAAGTGGCCTAACATACGGGTAATCAGAGTTCTTGAATCTGTGAGGGGAAGGATGCACTGGATAAAATATTTGAAGAAATAATGGCCCAAAATTTAAGAGGAATGATAAACCTACAGATCCGAGAAACTCAATAAAGCCTAGGTGGGATAAACACAGAACATACCAAGATACGTCATAATCATATTCCTCAAAGCCTGAGATAAAGAGAAAAATCTTAAAAGTAGCCATAGGAAAAAAGATATAAGCAGGGGAAGAAAGGTAATCAAACACAAACTTTTCTTCAGAAATTATGCAAGCCTTATGGCAATGTCTTATGAAAATTGAATGGTTCCTTTAAGTGTTGAAAGAAAAAAGTTCTCAACCAAAAACTACATACTCAGCAAAAATACCTTTCAAAATTGGAAGTGAATCAGTGAGGTGAGGAGACAACCCACAGAATGGGAGAAAATATTTCCAAACTATTCATCTGACAAGGGATTAATATTCAGAATATACAAGGAATTCAAATATCTCAACAGCAAAAAACAAATAATCCAATTTAAAAATGAGCAAATAACCTGAATAGATATTTTTAAAAAGAAGACATACAAATGGCCAATAAGTATATGTAAATATGCTCAACCTCTCTAATCATCAGGGAAATGCAAATCAAAATCACAATGAGGTATCATCTCACCCCAGTTAGAATGGCTGGTATCAAAAAGACAAAAAATAACAAATACAGGCAGAAATGCAGAGAAAAGGGAACTCTTCTATACTGTTGATGGGAATGTAAATTAGTACAGCCATTATGGAGAAAAGTATGGGGGTTTCTCAAAAAAACTAAAAAAGAGTCACCATATGATCCAGCAATCTCACTACTGGATGTATATCCAAAGGATTAAATCAGTGTCTCAAAGAGATATCTGCACCCCCAAGTTTATGGCAGCACTGTTCACAATAGCCAAGATGTAGAATCAGCTTAAGTGTCTATCAACAGATTAATGGATCAAGAAAATGTGGTAGGGGCTGTGCACAGTGCTTCACACCTGTAATCCCAGCACTTTGGAAGCCTGAGGTGGGTGGATTGTTTGAGCACACGAGTTTGAGACCAGCCTGGACAACATGGCAAACCCTGTTTCTACAAAAAATAGAAAAATTAGCCAGGCATGGTGGCACATGCCTGTAGTCCCAGCTACTAGGAAGGGTGAGGTGGGAGGATCACTTGAACCTGGGAGACCCAGGCTGCAGTGAACCATGAAGGTGCCGCTGTACTCCACCTGGGAAACAGAATGAGATCCAGTCTCAAAAATAAAAAATTATTGCTTGTAGGAGGCTATCCTTTCCACTGTAGAATGTTCAACAGCATTCCTGGTCTTTATAAACTAGATGCTAGTAGAGACTTCCTCAACCTCTGCCATTGTGACAACCAAAAATGTCTCCAGACATTGCCAAATGTCCCCTGGGTCCAAAATTGCCCCTATTTGAGAAACACTGATTAAAACACTTCAATTAAAAAAGTAAAAAAATGTCATATTGAATGAAAAGCAAGATCCAATTATATTGTATCTACAAAATCCCACTATAAAGACAAACACAGTTTAAAAGTAAAACGATGAAAAAATGTACTATGCAACCGCTAATCAGGAGGGTGACTTTGTTAGTATTAGACTAAGTAGACTTCAGGACAATAAATATTACCAGAGAGAAAAAAGAGACATTTTAAAATAATTCATAGCAATCCTAAGTATGTATGTACCTCCTAACAGATCCTCAAAATACAAGATGCAAAAATTGACAGAACTAAAAGAAATAGAAAGATCCACAAATACAGTTCAAGGCTACAGCAATCCTCTCTTAGTAACTGATAGAACAAATATGGAAAAAAAAATCTATACGTAATAGAAGACTTGAACAATGCTATCAACCAACTTGATCTAATTGATTTTTATAAAACAGTACCCTCAACAACAGCAGAATACACAGGTTTTTAACACACACATGGAAAATTCACCAAGATGGTCCATAGCTAGGCCATAAAACAAAAATACCCATGGGGAAAAGAAATATGAGAACTTAGAAAATATGAAAATGAAGTGAAATAAAATGAATGAAAATGCAAATACAACATGTGGTATGAGGAAAATGGCTTCCTAAAAGATATCTACATCCTAATTCCTGAAATTTGTGATATTATCTTATATGGCAATAAAAAGGACTTTATGGATATGATTAGGTTAAGGATCTTGAGATGGGAAGATTATCCTAGATTAGCATGGCGGTCCCTAAATGCAATCATATGTATCCTTATGAGGGAGGCACAGGAAGATTTGATCACAGAGAGTTTTGAAAGCTATGTGAAGACAGAACAGAAAGAGAGATTGGAAGATGCTGGCCTAGAAGATTGCAGTGATGTGGCTACAAGCCAAGGAATGCTAGCAGCCACCAAATGCTGACAGAAGCAAGGAACAGATTCTCCCTGAGAGCCTCTGGATGGTGCCAGATCCTGTCAATACCTTGAGTCCATCCCAGTAATACTGATTTCAGACATCTGGCCTCCAGAACTGTGAGGAAATGTTTGTGTTGTTTTGAGCTAAGCCACCAAGTTTGTGGTAATTTGTTATAGCAGCCAGAAGAAACTAATACATAACATATCAAATTTGGAGGATGATGCTAAAGCAGTGCTTAGAGGGGAATTTATATCTTTATATACTTATATAAAGTTTATTTTTAAAGGTAAAGGTTTATTCCTACATATACTTTGAAAAGACAAAGAATCTAAAATCAATGATCTAAGTTCTAAGAAGCTAGAAAAAGAAGAGCAAATTAAACTCAAAGTAAATAAAAGAAAGTTTAAACAATAGAGAAAATCAGTGAAACTGAAAACTGGTTCTTCAAAAAGATCAGAGGAATCAATAAATCTCTACTGGACTAATCCTTAAAAAGAAAAAGACACAAATTTCCTAGAGAAGTGCAGAGGAGGAGACACTGCTACAGATGCTATGAATAATAAAGGATAATAAAGAAATACTATAAATTATTTTTTCCAATAAATTCACCAACTTACATGAAATGGACAATTTCCTTGAAAGACACAATTTATCAAAATTGACTTAAGGACAAATGAAAAACCTGAATAACCATATGTCAATTAAGAAATTTATTCATACTTTAAGATATTTTCACAATCAAAACTGCATTCCAGGTTGATGAAGTCATTAGCAAACTCTATCAAATATTTAAGGAAGGAAAAATACCAGTCCTACAAATACTCAGAAAATAGAAGAGATGGGTACACTTACCAGCTTATATTATGAAGTCAGTATCACCTATACACCAAAACCAGAAAAGAATACTATGTATCAATCTATATGCCAATATCTCTCATAAAAATAGGCACAAAAATGTTTTGCAAAATATTAGCACATTCAACCTAGAAATATATAAAAAAGATAATTCATCATAACCAAATTGAGATTTATCCCCCAAATGCAGTTAAACATTTGAAAATCAATTAATGTATTTTATCGTATTTACAGGATAGAGGATAAAAAGCATTTCATCATCTTAATAGATGCAGAAAAAGCAGCTGACAAAATTCAACACTGATTCATCATTAAAAACAAATGAAAAAACAAATAAAACTATCAGCAAAGTAGGAAAAGAAGGAAACTTCCTCAACATGATAAATGGTATCTGTAAAAAACTCTACAAATAATATCATACTTAGTGGTGAATGACTGAACTTGTTTGTTCTCACTGTTCCTCTATAGCATTAAGTAGGTCCTAGCAAATGCAATAAGATATGGAAAAGAATTAAAAGGCAAATAGATTGAAAAGGAATAACTAAAAATGTATTTTTAGTCAACATGATTGAGTACAGAGAAAATTCTAACAAATGATGAAAAAGTTAATAGAATTCATAAGCATATTTAGTAAAGTCATAGGATATAAGGTCCATATACAAAAACCAATTGCATTTTTATATTCTAGCAATGAACAATTGAAAAATAAAATTTAAAATGATTAGTTACAATAACACCCAAAAACATGAAATAATTATTAAATAAAATATGTCCAAGACCTGTATGCTGAAAACTCTAAATATTTGCTGAGAAAACTTACAGACAACCTAAAAAAATGGAGAAATATACCATGTTCATAGATTGGAAGACTCAATATTATTAAGATGTAAATTCTCCTCAAATTGGTCTATAGATTGAATGTGATTCCAGTCAGCATTTTGTATAGGAATTGGCAAGCTGATTCTAAAATTTATAACCAAGTGCAGAGTACCTAGAATAGCCAAAACAGTTCTGAAAAAGAACAAACTTGGAAGACTTAAGCTGCCTGACTTCGAGACTTGATATAAATCTATAATAATCAAGAGAGTATAGTATTGGCATAAGAATAAATACATAGCCGGGCATGGTGGCTCACGCCTGTAATCCCAGCACTTTGGGAGGCCGAGGTGGGCAGATCGCCTGAGGTCAGGAGTTCGAGACCAGTCTGACCAACATGGAGAAACCCCGTCTCTACTAAAAATACAAAATTAGCTAGGTGTGGTGGCACATGCCTGTAATCCCAGCTACTTGGGAGGCTGAGGCAGGAGACTCGCTTGAACCTGGAGGGCGGAGGTTGCAGTGAGCCAAGATTATGCCATTGCACTGCAGCCTGGGCAACAAGAGTGAAACTCTGTCTCAAAAAAAAAGAATAATTATGTAGACCAATAGAATGGAAGAGAGAGTTGAGAAATATACCTACATTTACACGGTCAATTGACTTTTGTCAATAGCATGGTAAATCCTGGGGGAAAACAAATGGTGCTGGAACAATTGAATAGTCACATAAATAAACTTGGAATTTTACCTCCACTTATTCAAAAATTTACTTGAAATGGACCATGGTCTTAACATAAGTGCTAAAAAACTATACATCTCTGGATGTAAACATAGAAGAAAATCTTTGCAACCTTGGAGTAGGCAAAATTTCTTAGGACATAAAAAGTATTAACTATAAAAGAAAAAATATTGATAAATTGAGCATAACAAAATTAAAATCTTCTCTTCAAAAGACACCACTAATGAAAAGCGAGACATATACTGAAAGAATATATTTGTAATACATAAATATGATAAAGAACTTGTATCCAGATATAAGGAATTCTTAACATGTAATAATAATACTAATTAAAAATATAAAACTTTTTAACAGGCAAAAGACTTAAACACTTTCCAAAAGAACATATATGAATGGCTAACAAGTATAGGAAAAGTTGCTCACCATTATTAATCAGCAAAGAAATATAGGCTGGACATGGTAGTTCATGCCTATAATCCCAGCACTTTGGGAGGCTGAGGCGGGTGGCTCATGAGGTCAAGAGATCAAGATCATCCTGGCCAACATGGTAAAACCCCATCTCTACTAAAGATAGAAAAATTAGCTAGGCATGGTGGTGTGCAGCTGTAGTCTCAGCTACTCAGGAGAATGAGGCAGGAGAATTGCTTGAACCTGGGAGGTAGAAGTTGCAGTGAGCCGAGATCGTACCACTGCACTCCAGCCTGGAGACAGAGTGAGATGCTGTCTCAAAAAAAAAAAAAAAAAGGCAATATAAATTAAAACCACGAGGAGATTTCAGTACACATTTGTGAGAATCGATAAAATTTAGAAGATTGATAATAGCAAGTGTTGATAAGGATGTGGAGCAACTGGAACTCTCATATATTTCTGATATAATGTAAAATGGTAAAAACCACTTTGGAATACAGTTTGGCAACTTTTTATAAATTTAAATATACACCTGCCGTATGACTCACCCACTTCACTCTTAAGTATTAGGTTGGTTGGTGCAAAAGTGATTGCAGTTTTTGCCATTTTTAAAACAGTAATGGCAAAAACTGCAATTACTTTTGCACCAATCTAATGTTTACCCAAGAGAAATGAAAACCTACACTTACATAAAACTTGTAGATAAATATTATTAGCAGCTTTATTCATAATTGTTCCAAACTGAAAACACTATTAGTATCTGTGGTCATCACTGAGTGTACCCTCCAGACATGTTTAGCAGACAGCCTCTAGCTATAATCTCCTTCTGCCTCAGCTGCAGAGAGTAACCTCTGTAGGGATCATGTCCTTCTCAGGGCGGAAGAGAAAAAAGGAAATCTGTTATACTTGTATTTTTTAGCTCTTAAGTCTCTGAATATGACTAGATGGAATATAAATGACCGTGTAACAGTTGCAAGTCATTTAAGACATTTTTTTTCCTTGCAAGCTAGCTCATGGAAATCTTATAATTTACTCAAAGTTAAACCTCACATAATTGATAGAGGCCAATGATTAAAGCCCTTACTGATATTTCTTGGTGTTCTCCACATTTGTTGGACAGTTCTGTTCTCTTATCTCTATTTATGCAGCTCAAATAATAGTAGGGACTGTCTTTTGGATACAAAGCAGAGACAAAATAAGTGTATTGCTGCTGGTTTTTGTTTTTTAAGACGGAGTCTCACTCTCTCACCCAGGCTGGAGTGCAATGGCACGATCTTGGCTCACTGCAACCTCTGACTCCCTGGTTCAAGCTATTCTCCTGCCTCAGCCTCCCAAGTAGCTGGGATTATAGGCACGCACCACCACACACAGCTAATTTTTGTATTTTCAGTAGAGACGGGGTTTCACCATGTTGGCCAGGATGGTCTTGATCTTCTGACCTCGTGATCCACCCGCCTTGGTCTCCCAAAGTGCTGGGATTACAGGCATGAGCCACCATGCCCGGTCATTGCTGCTGTTTAATAAGCGTTCATAGTGCCATATAATAAGCTTCTCCATGCAGACCCTGGGGAAAGCAGGTGTCTTTCAATCTCCATGTGTTCCTGGGCTCCTGGCCTCAAAGCTCCTGTGGCTGTGTAGGGACAAACCAACAGGCTTCAAAGATCTCAGGCCAGGCAGGCAGGTTGGCAGTATCCCCTATCCGTGTACTGAGCATATGGCTGCCTCCAGGGGAGCAGCGTAGGGTGCAAGTGCCATCCTTTACACAACAAATGACATATACTGGCTATAGGAAGGCACAGGATTGCATTTGCCTTTCTAGTAGTGGTGTAGTCTTAAACTAGACATTTAAAACAGTGACTCTGGCTGGGCACGGTGGCTCACGTCTGTAATCTTAACACTTCAGATGGCTAAGGCAGGAGGATCATTTGAGTCCAGGAGCTTGAAACCAGCCTGGGCAACATAGTGAGACTCCATTTCTACAAAAATATTTTAAAAAGTAGCTAGGCATGGTGGCACATGCTTGTAGTCCTATCTACTCAGGAGGCTGAGGTAGGAGGATCACTTGAGCCTAGGAGGTAGAGGCTGCAGTGAGCCACTTCCCTCGAGGCTGGGTGACAGAGCGAGATCCCATCTCAAAACAAACAAAAAATAAAACAGCGACTCTGAGACTTTTAAAAAAAGTTTAATATTTATTTTAAGTTCTGGGGTATATATGCAGGATGTGCAGATTTGTTATATAAGTAAACGTGTACCACGGTGGTTTGCTGCACCTATCAACCCATCACTTAGGTATTAAGCCCAGCATGCATTACCTATTTTTCCTAATGCTCTCCCTACCCACACCTCACGGACTTTCAGACTTTAACATGCAAGAGAAACAACTAAAGAGCTTGAAAAATGCGGGTTCCCTGGCTCCAGCCCCAGAGACTCTGAATTCCATAGATCTGGGCTGGAACCCAGGAATAAGCCCGCTAGAAATTTCTAATATTGATTATTTAGACTCATTGGCTACAGTTTTCTTGGCTAGACTAAAAGAACAGTAAAGTACCTTTGTGCTCCAAGAGTCTACGAACCAATGCTCTATTCTGCAGTACCTACACCAACTTCCTCAGCCCTTCCCCACTATCCGTTTACTCATGTGTCAGACTGTAAGCACAGGCTCAACATTCAAAGGGCATGGAAAAAAGTCTCCTTCTCTCCCCAGCACCCAGTCTCCCAGTTCTGCTCCCTGGTGGCATCTATTACAGGTTCTTACGTACTCTTCCAAAGATACTCTGTGCATTTACAAAAATAAGTACAGACATACATATATATTTTCTTCCCACAAATAACACACACAACGTTCTGCACCTAGCTTTTTATTTTTCTTTAGTTAGTATAGGTTGGAAATAGTTTTGTATTAGCAAATAAAGATCATTCTCCTTTTTAAAGGAAGCTGGATAGTAGAGGCAGGCGGATTGCCTAAGCTCAGGAGTTTGAGACCGGCCTGGGCAACATGGTGAAACCCCATCTCTACTAAAAATCAAAAAAAATTAGCGAGGCTGGTGGCGTGGGTCTGTAGTCTCAGCCACTTGGGAGGCTGAGGCACGAGAATCGCTTGAACCCGGGAGGCGGGAGGCGGGAGGCGGGAGGCAGGAGGCGGAGTTTGCAGTGAGCCGAGATCCTGCCACTGCATTCCAGACTGGGCGACAAAGCAAGACTCAAAATGTTTTGATTTTTGTTAATCTGGCTGGTGGAAGATGCTACCCCACATATTTGATTTGCAGTTAAGTGAGCCTGAATATCTTTTCGTGTGCCAGGATAGAATTGCATTTATTTTCCTCTGAATTACGTCTTCATATCTTTTGAGATAGTCTTTTCTTATTTACTTATAAAAGATGGAGTTGACGCTGGCATCAACACACACACACACACACACACACAGACACACAACACACAAGTCCCTGTACATAACTTTATTAACCCAGATATGGAATCTTGGCTTAGTTACGTGCTGTGTGACCTTGGGCAAGTTACTTAACCTCTCTAGGCCACAATGTCCAAGTACCTGGGACAGGGTCTGGCTTACCAACATGGTACAGGACGGCACTTTTAAAACCAGGGACTCGACTTGGACGTGCGAGTCAACAAGGTACAGGACACATTTCTCTCCGGGGAAATCTTGTGTGGGCGCCGAGGCCCGGACGTAGCAACCAAACGTCGGGAAGAGGCGCCAAAAGGATGCTGGGCCTGGCTCCTTGAAGCCCGGGTTTTCCCTTTTGAGAGCCACAACCAAGAAATAAAAATCTAGCAAAGAGGGGGCCACTTTCTGCGGCGAGATACGCCCTCTCGGCCGCTCCTCCAGCTCCCAGGCCCCCTCCCTACTCGACGGTGAGCAGCGCCGCGGCCCGTGCAGCCAGACGCGCGGGGTGCGGCGGGGCCCCGGGGGCCGGGGTGGGGGAGGCGGAGGGTGGGCCCGCGGTCACGTGAGTCGGGCCAGCTGCTGCGGGGGGCGGCGGGCCCCAGCGCCGGGAGTCTGGGTAGGGGGAAGCGCCCGGCGGCCGCCTCCGCCACTGCAGCTGCAGCCCCCGAGGTCGCCGCAGTAATCCGGACCCGGCAGCACCCGCACCCTCGGCGGCCGCAGCCTCAGCACCGCAGAGCGGAGAGCGGAGCCCGGAGCCCGCCGCCCCAGGTGAGCCGCGTCTGGGAGCGCAGGGCGTTTGCAGCGCTGCTTTCCCGGCGGTTTCACCCCACCCGCCATCGCCACCTCCTGCGTTTCATCTCCTCCCGCTGTCCCTCCGAACCCGCGGGTAGCGTTACCCCAGGCCGATTCCCGGTGCTGGCCCGGGCGGGCTGGGAGCCTGGGGGCGGTCAGAGGAGAGGTGGCCTCGGCCTGAAGCCGGGGTGACTCGGCTCGGGGACTGCGGGGGTGCAGTGGAGGGATGCCGGCCCCGGGCTCCCGCACCGCAGCCGGGTTCCCCGCGCTGCTCTTCCTGGGTTTCCTTTTCCTGGCAGCCAACCTGCTGCCCACTGGGATGTGCCTGTGGGCCCCTGGCCTCGCCACCCTGGGGTCTGGGGCGAGCCGGGCACCTTCCCCGAGGTGCCGTACCTGCTGCGCGGGCGGGCGCCGCGAACATGGCTGCCCGGAGACGCCCGCCGCCTTCGGCCCGGCTCTGCCAGCGCGTCCAACTCGCCCGCGGCCGCCGCACCGTGTCCCGGAGCAGCCCTCCCCGCTAGGCCGACGCGCGCGGGCCGCCCCTGGGTTCTCCGCGGGCCGCGCGTGGGACTTGACACAACTTCCCTCGAGCCGCACCCGGGCGTTCTCCGCGGGGCGCCGGGCGGGGCTGCCGAGAGGCCGGCTTGGTCGGCCTCTGCCTCCTCGGCTCGCTCTTGAGGCGTCGAGTATTTGGCGACCTCACTCGCGAGGGCCGAGAGAAATGTGGTCTGCAAAGCAGGAGGGGCGCTTGAACTTTAGAGAATTGGCGAGAACTCGGATTTGGGAATAAAAATGTCCATGAAAACATCGAAGGAAACTGTTACCTGCTTTGACTCAAAGCTGACCTTGTAGGGTTCTGTTAAATAACGTGGCTTTTCTGGATTTTCTGTCTGATTCTAGCATGCAAGTCCTTGACTTACGCTTGCGTCCGGCAGCCGGGTGGGGTGGGTGCGTGCGTGTGTGTGTGCGCGTGTGCGCGTGTTGTGTTCCCAGCCTGGTTAGAAGATGCATCAGTTGCGGAGGAAACCTATGCTAATTCAAAATGGCAGCATGAAAAATAGGCCAGGCGGAAGCAGCACAGACCACAACCATCAGCTGCCCCCTGACTTAAGCCTCAGGGAGGGAATTAGTGTGAGTCAAGGCTCATCCGGGTATGGAGTAGAGAGTGATTCTTGGAGCTGGCTAGATTTTAGGGTGCTGCAGGGTCCTGGGAGTTGTTAAGTGGGAAGTTTGGAGAGCTGTAATTATTTTTCCTAACTTATCAAAAGATGATACAAAACCTAGTTAAAACTCTACGGTTTTGTATGATTTTCTCCAGGCTCAACTAAAGTTGACTCTGTGGCTGCTGATGTCTTTTTGATGCACAACCTGGAGGTCGTTTGATACCTACAAGCTCTTAAAAGAGATGTGTGCACATTGTAAACATCATCCAAGAGCAGTGCACATAACAAATACCAGGTTCTTAGATCAAGTTTCATTGGAAGAACTGATTTAGCGACACGAGGAAGCACCCAGGCATGAGGAAATGGGAAATTCTTGAAAGGTGACTCATTTTAGAATTTTTTTTTTTTAAACAGCCTTTCTTTCCCTTTTCACTTCCGTGCTGCCAGCCATCTTGTCTTTTGGGAAGGAGATACATGAGGAGGCAAATGCTTCAGGGATAATGGAATAGAGGAGGATGAGCTAAGGTCGGGGGGCAGAGGTGGAGGCAGTCTTAAGGAGCCTGCTGTCAACCCCCTTTTTACAGCAGGAAGGCTGAGGCCAGCGGGGCGAATGGACGCCAAGATCATATATCTGGCTGTCAACTGGCAGTGAGAACCCAAATCCAGGTCTCATAACTCCCCCGGGTTCCACATGCTACCTTTTAGAGCCTGGGGGAGAACAGCAAGTCTGTCATTATTAGGAAGGCAAACACTTCGAGCAATGGGAAGCCAAACTGTAATATGAATTACAAAGTCTATAGGTGTTTAAAGTCAATGACAACACCTTAATTTCCTAATTCAAGACTTTTAACTTCTTAAGCTGTATCTACCTCATGTTCACATTTTCCAGTGGTGAAACTGTTTCTATAGTTAAGAACCAAAAACATTATTTTAGTAAAGTCTTTGAGGCAAGAAGTACATTTTTTGATTAAAAATTGAGTTGCTTGTGTTTGTGGAGAACCATTAGGCCAGTTTATTTTGAAAAGGAACCAAAGTAGGCCATGCATTTCATTTTTTTCGACTGTTTCTAATTTTAAGTAAAAGTAAATAACAAGCCTATTGTAAACATAACTTTGAAGCAGTGAAGACAGGCTTTTCCTATGATTTGCATTTGACTTTTCTGAGTCATGAGTCAGTGACCTTAGATCTACTAAAGCAGAGCTAGAAATTGTGCATGGGTTAGTGTGAAGAGGTGGTGAAGATGTGGAAAACGTTTCTTCTGGGCATCTGAACCTTCACAGCCAGTGATGTGCAGAGGGAGAAGGTGGCAGGAGGCAGGGAACAGGGAGAATGTCTTGAGGCAGTGGAACAGATAGGAGCTAAATATGAATATATATATCGAAGTGAAGACAGATGCTGATGTGACATGTGCCATTTAGAAAACTAACTTGCAGCCGGGCGCGGTGGCTCACGCCTGTAATCCCAGCACTTTGGGAGGCCGAGGCGGGCGGATCACGAGGTCAGGAGATCGAGACCATCCTGGCTAACACGGTGAAACCCCGTCTCTACTAAAAATACAAAAAATTAGCCGGGCATGGTGGCACGCGCCTGTAGTCCCAGCTACTTGGGAGGCTGAGGCAGGAGAATCGCTTGAACCCGGGAGGCGGAGGTTGCAGTGAGGCGAGATGGTGCCACTGCACTCCAGCCTGGGCGACAGAGCGAGACTCCGTCTCAAAAAAAAAAAAAAAAAAAAAAAAATTAAAAAAATTAGAAAACTAACTTGCATTAGAGGATGAATGTGAAGATATGCCAAAGATATTTAAAATAGCAAGTTGTAAAAATACAGAAATGCATGCAATTTGTGTCTGTTGAAGAATAAGAATACAGATAAACAAAAGTTATTTTTTTTTAAATCCGTTTTCATTAGAGTCTAGATCTGTGCTGTTTCATCTGGTAGCCACCAGCCTCATGTGGCTATTGAGCACTTGAAATGCAGCTAGTTTGTATTGAGATATGCTGAGTGTAAAATATACACACAATTTCAAAAATTTAATATGAAGAAAGAATTTAAAATATCATTAATAATTTTATATTGATTTTATATTGAAGTAACATGTTGGATATATTGGGTAAAATATATTACTAAAAATAATTCCATGAGTTTCTCTTTACTTTTAAAAATGTGGCTACTAGAAAATATAAAATTGCAAATATGGTTCGCATCTGTCTTGCTCTCTCTCGAGACAGGGCCTCCCTCCGTCACCCAGGCTAGAGTGCAGTGGCACGATCTCGGCTCACTGCAACCTCTGCCTCCAGGGTTCAAGCGATTCTCCTGCCTCAACCTCCTGAGTAGCTGGGATTACAGGCGTGCGCCACCACAGCCCGGCTAACTTTTGTATTTTTAGTAGAGACAGGGTTTCACCATATTGGTCGGGCTGGTCTCGAACTCCTGACCTCAGGTGATCTGCCCGCCTCGGCCTCCCAAAGTGCTGGGATTACAGGCATGAGCCACCTCGCCCAGCCCTTGGATTATATTTCTAGTGGTTTTTAACAGGAACTGGAGGGTGGCTGAGCTCATAATGCTGTTTGTAGAACTGGGTATGTAAGGAGAAGTTAAAACAGAAACTGAAAAGGGGACAGGATGGACGGAAAAGGGACTACAAGAAGTGAGTGACCAGGGAAACTGTAAAGGGAGAGAAGGAGTATGTGGTGGGCTGGGACTGCTGAGTATGAGACTATGAAGCAGAATAAGCACACTACGTGGTGATCTAGGACATGGGGACAGTGGAGTGTCAGGGTCTATGGTGGTGGGACTTCAGCTAGGATGGAGAAATAGCATGGCTAACATAACTGCACAGTGCATTGGAAAGTAACTTCCTCATTCTGACACATCTGTGTTCCCATATCGAAATGAGATGAATACACCCCAGTACAGTGAGAGGGCCCTGGGCTGCAAGTTAGGGGACCTGGGACCTAGCTCTGGTCCCACCTCTAATTAGGAGTTTGGCCTTGAGCACACCACTTATCAGTCTCCTTCCTTTTATTTTTATTTTTATTTATTTATTTTTTGAGACAGAGTCTCACTCTGTCACCCAGGCTGGAGTGTAGTGGCGTGATCTCAGCTCACTGCAACCTCTGTCCCCCCAGGTTCAAGTGATTTCTCCTGCTTTAGTCTCCTGAGTAGCTGGGATTACAGGTGCGCACCACCATGCCTGGCTAATTTTTGTATTTTTTAGTAGAGACGGGGTTTCACCATGTTGGTCAGGCTCGTCTCAAACTCCTGACCTCATGATCCGCCTGCCTCAGTCTCCCAAGTGCTGGGATTACAGGTGTGAGCCACCGCGCCCAGCCCAGTCTCCTTCCTTTTAGGATGAGATGAACAAGAGCTGTCTACCAACTTCACTGGTTATGTTAATCTGTTAGATTTGGCCAAATTACCCAAAGCTACTTTCCCCACACAAGTCAAGACTAGATATTATCAAATTTTTAAATCTTTGTTCACCTTATATATTTAATTGGCTCCTTATTTTAATTTGTAATTCTTTTTTTTTTTTTTTGAGACAGAGTCTAGCTCTGTCACCCAGGCTGGAGTACAGTGGTGCTATCTCGGCTCACTGCAACCTCTGCCCCAGGTTCAAGCGATTCTCCTGTCCCAACCTTCTGAGCAGCTGGGATTACAGGCGTCTGCCACCACGCCCAGCTAATTTTTGTATTTTTAGTAGAGGCGGGGTTTCACCATGTTGGCCAGGCTGGTCTCGAGCTCCTGACCTCAAGACCTCGGCTTCCCAAAGTGCTGGGATTACAGGTGTGAGCCACCACGCCTGGCCCTTTAATTTGTAATTCTCTAATTGTGAGTGAGATAAATATTTTCTAGTAAATATTTTGGCTATTTATAATTGTTCTTCTTTTAACTGGTGCTTATATATTTTGCATATTTTTCCTTTGAGGTGGTCATCTTTTTCTTATTGGTATGTAAGAGCTCTACATATATTAAGGGAAATTATCTCTTTTTCATGTATTTCCTAGTTTCTCATTAAAAAAACTTTGCCTCACAAGAAATTTTAAGTTATTTTATAATCGAGTCTATATTTTCCTTGTTGAATTGAGTTTATGTTTTTGCTTGCTAATGTTATTTAAAAAATTTATCCATATGATTTGTATTTTTGTGGTTTTAATTGTAAAAATTTAAAATTCTAAATTATAATAATTTATTTTGGCTTAGGAGTGAATTGGGGATCTCAACAGATTTCTTTTTTTTTTTTTTTTTTTTTGGAGACTGTCTCACTCTGTCGCCCAGGCTGGAGTGCAGTGGTGCAATCTTGGCTCATTGCAAGCTCTACCTCCTGGGTTCAAGTGATTCTTGTGCCTCAGCCTCCTGAGTAGCTTGGCTCACAGGTGAGCGCCACCACGCCCGACTGATTTTTGTATTTTTAGTAGAGATAAGGTAATGCCATGCTGGCCAGGCTACTTTTGAACTCGTGGCCTCAAGGGATCCAACCACCTCAGACTCCCAAAGTGCTGGGATTACAGGCATGAGCCACTGCGCCTGGCCAATCTCAACAGATTTCATTCTTCCTTTCCCCATCCTGTTATAGTCAGTTATTCTGGCAACACTTATTCATCTCAGTTTCAAATTCAGTCTTCATCATATGCTAATTTCCTACATTATATGGCTATATTTCAGGACTTTCTACTTCTGATTCTATCAGTAACAAACTATCTTAATACTGGAACTTTATAATATAGTTTAATTCCATGCAAGTCTAGTATTTCCTCATTAATTTTCATTTCTGAAACTTGGCTAATCCCACATATCCTTTGCAGATGGACCTCAAGATCATTTTTTGTCAGATTTTCTCCAAAAGCCCTATTTATATGTTGATAGCTGTCATATTGACTCCACAGATTAATTTAGGGAGGGCTGACTTTTTTACATAACACTGAATCTTTCTAGCAAAGAACAGGAACATTCTCTGTTCTTTAAATCTTCTGCCATGTCACCATAAAGTCTTTTTTTTTTTTAATTATACTTCAAGTTTTAGGGTACATGTGCACATTGTGCAGGTTAGTTACATATGTATACATGTGCCATGCCGGTGCGCTGCACCCACCAACTCGTCATCTAGCATTAGGTATATCTCCCAATGCTATCCCTCCCCCCTCCCCCCACCCCACCACAGTCCCCACCATAAAGTCTTAAGAGTTTTCTTCATTGAGGATTTGTGCATCTCTCTCTCTAGTAAACTGACATAAAATGGCAGAATCCCTGTAAAGAAAACTATAGAACTCTAATGATGAACTTAAAAAAAAAGCTCACACCAAAGAAGAGACACTTCTTGGGCCAGGTGTGATGGCTCATGCCTGTAATCCCAGCACTTTGGGAGGCCGAGGTGGGCGGATCACGAGGTCAGGAGTTCGAGACCAGCCTGGCCAACATGGTGAAACCACGTCTCTACTAAAAATACAAAAATTAGCTGGGCATGGAGGTGCATGCCTGTAATCCCAGCTACTTGGGAGGCTGAGGCAAGAGAATTGCTTGAACCCGGGAGGTGGAGATTGTGGTGAGCTGAGATCACCATTGCATTCCAGCCTGGGCAACAGGGCGAGAATCCGTCTCAAAAAAAAAAAATGAAGAGACACTTCTTGCCCTTGATTGAGAAGATAGAGTCAGGGCAGCCTGGTGTTTAAGAGCATTTTGGAGTCTGAATTTTTACTCCACTACGTATTAATTATACAACCCTGGGCAAAGTACTTCACCACTTCACCATTCTTTTTTTTTTTTTTTTTTTTTTTGAGACAGGGTCTCGCTCTGTTGTCCAGGCTGCAGTGCAGTGGCATAGTCATGGGTCACTGGAGCCTTGACCGCCCAGGCTCAAGCAGTCCTCTCACCTCAGCCTTCTGAGTAGCTGGGACCACAAGTGTACACCACTACACCTGACTAATTTATTTTTATTTTTTTGTAGAGATAGGGTCTCCTTGGGTTGCCCAGAATGGTCTTGAACTCCTGGACCCAACTGATCCTGCTGTCTCAGCCTCCCAAACTACTGTGATTACAGGCATGGGCTATAGCACCTGGCCACTTCACCATTTGTAGCTTTCATTTTCTCAGCTGTAAAATGGACATAATACGTGTGTGATGGGTTATTGTGAGGATTAAGTGATTACACACACACATATATGTATATGTATGACTTAGCATGTTATTAAGCACATGGTGAATGCTTAATGTTCTAACATACAATTTTAGATGTTATGATTGTGATTATTTTAGCTACCCCTGTCAAATGAATCTGTAAATTCAGTATAATTCCAATCACAGACCCAGAGGAACACTGGAAACACTTTGTCAATTTTTTAAAAGTTTGACTTGGGAAACAAACCAATGGAAGAGCCCATAAGTGAGGAAAAGAGTCAGTGGGAGTGAGCTAGAGTATTGCTTGCTTTATGCCAGAGTATATCAACCACAGGCCTCCAAGACTTTGTGCCTAGCCTGTACTAGTGACAGGCGTGTCCTTTCCCGCTATTCTTTGCCTCCTTTCTACCCTCACTCCCATACCTACCCACAATCTGAGCCTTCTATGGAATGTTCTTCTCAACATCGCTTAGGCATGGTTATCAGGCTCTCATAGGTGGAAGGGATGGCAAAGACCACATACTCTCATTCATGAATTTTTTTGTGATAGGTGAGGTTCTTTATGTCCAAGAAGGTAAGAAGTGATGTATATGTTAGTCATTTCTAGCTGTCCTCCCTTCCTCAGAAGCTCCCAGTGTCATCAGGGCCCTCACCCAATCTTGTATGGGGCTGAAGGGAACTGGGTGGAATGTCAGTTCACTCAGTCAGGCTAGTAGATAGAGAGCCTGGGGCCTCCCAACTTGAACTTCACCTGAAGCTGGGAGAAGGAGCTTGAGATGGTTCATGATCTCTTCTTCTGTTCTTAATGATTATGTATTTAACCTAAATCTCCAAGTGCTTAATTTACTCCCCTGTCAGCTAGGCATGTTTGAAAGCTCTCATAAACATTTCTGATCAATATCCTAAGTTGGGTTACTAACTTTCTCTCTTGGTTGTGTTCATAGACAGCTCTTCCAAATGATAAAAACCTTGAGACATCTTAGCTCTGTTTTCCCTGCAGTTGAACATAGTGCTTGTAGGTGGTTAGGGGCTCAAAATATATTTTAGTAACTCATCTGACTTAAAAATCCTAACTAAAATTATGTAGTGATCAAAAGCTTTCCTGAGTATCTTTTTCACCTCTTTCTTAAGGTAAAGCTTTAGTGTATTTTTTTTTTTTTATTGCACTTAGCAGTGCCTTAGTGACCTGGAAGAATTAATGAAATGTCTTAAAGTGTTCTTCTTAAGCACTGAAATGATCAGATTTTAGAAAATAATTAAAAGACCAATAAAGCAATATGAGCTTGCTGTAAAGAATTTTAAAACTATATAACTAGATGAAGTAAAATTTAAAGTTTCTATCTCCCTATCCCCATCTTTACTCGCACTCTCAACTCCCAGTTAGATATTAATCCTTCTAGGTCTTTTAAAATCTATCTATCCATCCATCTATGTGCCTATCTTTCTATCTACCTACCTATACTTATATTTACATAAATGTATATGCACGCATATATAGGTATATACATATACATAATCATGTATTCATATATGTGTATATATTCCTTTTTGATAATAAAATGTTTTAAATTTGATAATGATAAAACACAACAAGTAGCTCTAGAATTAATGGACATTATTAATGGACTTTTACAAAGTAGTTTTAAATTCCACTTTGCCAGACATAAAGTAACCCTTTGTTTTTGGACCAGCAAGATTTACATCTTATTACCTTATTTCTTCTGTAGAAAATGAATGTTTGGCTAATTTTTTAGTGATGGAGAGTTAAATGGCTAACGACCATTTTAAGGATGATTGGGAAAATTTTTTTTAAATCCCAGTTTACAGAGTTAACAAAGTACATATCAAATCACATTAATGGGAAAAGATCAGAATACACAATGCACTGTTTTGATGGGAGAGGAAGACAGATGGTGGGAATAGGAAGGTCATAATTCAAAGCAACCTTGCCAAATTAGTGGACACAATGGCAGCAATGTCAAAAATAAGAACAGAAGGAAATGAAAGGACCTGAGATGTGGCTTGCTCAGTACCTCCCTATTTCCCACAGAGAATGCTTTTGGCAGCTCACCACAGCCTGCCTATTTCAAACACATCCTTCATCCTTTATGTCCATCATCATTACATCCCTGTTCTTTATGATCAAGTTAAAGGAACAAACCTTTCTTGAATTTATCTCTATTCCTGACACTCTACATATATTATCTCATGTAATCCTCATAACTGTACATGGTTGACATGGCCCCATTTTACAGATAAGGAGCTTAGTAAGTAGAGGAGCATCACCTGGAATCTGGGTCTATCTGACTTTTTTAAAAAGCCATAATATAACCTCTTAGAGTAATTATCCTGACTGCATAGGTCTAGCCTGTAGGGATAATCTTATGTAAATCGTTTTCTTCCTTTCTTTATATTTCTATGAAAGAAGGAAAATTGTTTTCCAACCTGCCATGTATAGGAAAACGTCTTTCTTACAGTGAACTTGATCTGACTATATTTTTCTAATTTGGCTAGCTTAAGTGAAAATGAATCCTACATAAGTTATCTGTTCCTTAATGCATTTTAAAAAAATGTATCCAAGAACAGATGCCATTCCATTAATCTCTCCTCTTTCCTTCACTTACAAAATCCCTAAAAGAGTTCTTACATGATAGATGTGCATGAAGACTGCATTTTTAAAAAGTGGGATCATATTTTGAATGCACAGCGGGGTGGATAGAGAATCACTGGGTATGGAGGAGTTCTTGCAGGTGGTCCTTGAATTCAAGTGTGTCCCAACATTGAATGGGCACGGCGTAATGAGACATGTATCTACACTATTATTTTTCAACTATGTAAGGATTCTATTGTCATTGCGTACCTACAGATTCATTAAAGGTGTTACTAAATTCATAACATATATTCATTACATATTTTCCCCAGCAAATTACAAGGACTGTTATGTGGAAATGTTCATGAATTTTTTTTTCTTTTTCTTTTTGAGATGGAATCCCACTCTGTCATCTAGGCTGGAGTGCAGTGGCGTGATCTCGGCTCACTGCAACCCCTGCCTCCTGGGTTCAAGCGATTCTCCTGCCTCAGCCTCCTGAGTAGCTGGGATTACAGGCACGTGCCACCACGCCTGGCTAATTTTTGTATTTTTAGTAGAGACAGGGTTTCACCATGTTGGTCAGGCTGGTCTCGAACTCCTGACCTTGTGACCCGCCCGCCTCAGCCTCCCAAAGTGCTGGGATTACAGGCGTCAGCCACCACACCCGGCGGAAAATTTTTGACATAAAAAAATTGGGAAACATCATATAAAAATATTTTGCATTATAGATAAATTCTGAAGTGACTTGAAGAATACTTTTGTAAAATGATTAGTTACCTATGAATAAATGTAGGTTTTGAAGCACAACATTCCGTTGAACTCTATATTTCCCTAGTTACTAATCTGCCACATGAATCACGACAATAAATTAGACATTTTGCTTTAATTCATATTTCTCATTATGACTGTATCTTGCAAATGAGGCAAAATCAGATGTGGCCAAAAGGTAAAATTAGTTCATTTGCCATGGCTGAGCTATGGGGTTCTCCCAGAGTCTCCGCCTTATTGCAGGGCCATACTTTTTAGCTGCAATTAATTGGATAACAGATTACTTTCATGCAACTCTTTCTTTTCTTTTTTTAAAAAATATTTTCGTTACATTCACAACACCATGCGATGTTGTGTATGGGGGGTTAATTCCATTTGTATATGAGGAAACTCTGGCTCAGAGTTAGAGAAGTCAGGATGGCTACTAGGGCCTGGTGTCTCTAAAGTGTGTCATTCTCTTGTACCTATACACATGGGGCTGCAGGGCTAGGCAGGCGGTATCAGTGAGTGCAATTACACAAAGGTGAGGAGAGGTGGCGCTTTCATTGGCCTCCGTGTCAGAGAGTGGAGGGGACAATAGGAAATACAGGCCCTGTTGAGAGGAGCCACTACCCAACTCCAGTCTTGCCATCATGCGGGAATGTGGATTTGGTGTTGCCAGATCTTTGAGTTTTTAGCAGAAGCCAAATATTTGAGTGTCCATAGGAAATCTCTGGATCTTAAAATATTAGCTGCTAATTCAGATTTCTAAAAACACAATCTAATGCAGCACTCTGGGCCAAACCAACCAAATCTGCAGTCTGTCACCCCTGTTCCACACCACGCTGCTGGGAAGTATGTCAGCTGCAGACTGGCACTGAAGACCACAGAGTTAACTGTCAGAAGTAGATATTGCCTTTGAAATTGGAGAAAGAGACTGTTAAGCAGCTCTTAAAAGACATGAAGTGACAATGAAGCAAATCTTCAAAAGGTGAAAGAGCATTTAGACACTTCAAGGAAAGTTTCTGAAGTCTGAACAGATAGGCTTTGACAAAGGGACCGCTTTCATCACGTATCCTTCTCTTGTTCTCACAATAATTGAGTCCTTGCTGTGTCCCAAATGGTATTCTGAGCACTTTGTAAGTAGGTATAAGCATTATCTCATTTAAATCTCACTGCAACCCTGGGAAGAATGAACTACCTATCATTATCCCTTTTTTATAAAAGCTTGGAGAAGTGACAGGGCTGAGATTTGAACCCAGGTGGGCTTCAAAGCCTGCTTACTCACTTAATAGCCCATACAGTTATTCTTCCATTACTTGGTTCCTCATTCAAGGCATTGAATATTAGGAGCTGGAATTCACTGGCTGTGGAGTCCCAAAGCTTTATGCTCTACTCTCATGAGCTTTCAATGAAACACTTAGTAAAATCTTTCTTTTGGGCAGAGCTT
The DNA here is from genome assembly GCF_000001405.40 of Homo sapiens. Taxonomy (NCBI): domain Eukaryota; kingdom Metazoa; phylum Chordata; class Mammalia; order Primates; family Hominidae; genus Homo; species Homo sapiens. The sequence continues at coordinate 29,977,555 of NC_000007.14, read as the reverse complement.
GATGAGTCTGAGCTAATTTATATAGATGACTTTCATCAGCTGGCATTTACATCCCAATTTTTAATTAGCTAATTCCTTTCCCAAACACTTCATTTATTCCTATTTCAATAGAAGGTTTAAAACAGAAAAAATCAATTTGTAAATGAGTATCATTTGTCCTGTTTTCAGTTAAGCAGGAATGGCAATCATTTAAAAATGAATTTATTAATGAAGAGTATAATAATTTCTCCTTTGCTTTTCTGGAAGGTGGTAATTCACAGTCATTGAATTTAAATGTATTCAGTCTGCTCAATAAAGCTGGTAGTGTGGAGAATAGGGAAGTCTAGCTGGACATTTGGGTTTCATTCTTTACGTAAGTAAAGGCAGTTGGTCATCGGTACTTGCAAGACGCTTAATAAACCGATAGCTTATATAGACAGTTATTTTCTTTCTCTTAGGCAGTCAAGGCTTTCTTTTCAATGGGTAAGGTAACTGATGAGGGATACTGTGTGCATCATTGAGATAAAGGTGCAGGGCAGTCTGGCAGTCATGCAGAAAAAAACCTTGCCTTGGCTCAGAGCATTCACGCCTTCAATAACTACTCACTGAACTTGAGGACAAAGACCTTTTCTCCCACACAGCTTCCTCCCTCCTCAGCTACACATTCTGTATGTGGTCTCCTAGTTACGAGAGTACAGTACTCCAGTCCCTCAAGCCTGAACTTGGGCCTCCTGCCACCAGTCAGAGGATGAATGCTGGTACATGCAGCTCCTTTGCAGTAAACTCCAGGGAAGCACTACTATCTTGTTCCCAAGAGGAAGTCATGAATCCTGAAAGAAGTTTGATAAGGAGGACAGTGGTGGTTAGAAACTAAGCTTAGGGATGCTTTATCATAGCCAATGGCACAGTAGCTAAAGCTGGATGGTCTAATATGGTAGCCTCTGGCCACATGTGGCTCTTTAATTTTCTAATTTTTACTTCTAATTGTGGTGAAACGCACATAGCATAAAATTTACCATCCTAACCATTTTTAACTGTAGAGTTCAGAAGTGTTAAGGACATCCATATTGTTGCACAACTGATCTCCAGAGCCTTTTCATCTTGCAAAACTGAAATCTGTACGCAGATTGTAAACAACTTATTCCCTTCTGCCCAGCCCTTGGCAACCACCATTCTACTTTCTATTTCTATGAGTTTTACTATTCTAGATGCCTTATGTAAGTTTTTTCGTGACTGGCTTATATCACTTAGCCTAATATTGGCTGTTTAACTTGAAATTAATTAAAAATTTGGTTCCTTCGTTGAACTAGCCACATTTCAAGTACCAGATAGCCCATCCGGCTGGTGGCTACTGTATTGGATGGTGCAGATAGAGACTATTTCTATCATCTCAGAAAATGCTCCTGGACAGCGTTGGTCTGAAGGAAAACTGGTGGCTCGCACTGAGAGCTGATTGGAGGGGGGACAAGGAGAAAAAGTAGCAGATATTTTTTTATACTCTGCCAACGTGAATAATCTGACTTCTTTTCTCTACCACAAAAATGTACCAGCTACATGATACCTTTACATTTACAACTTCCATCCTTATCCTAAACTCCAGTCTTTAATGTCTCCTCTCCTCCAATAGCATGCAACATTAAACTAATCAGTTGGAAAATACAGAGAACATAAATGTATAGTACAAACTACAGATAAATGCACTTTAAAATACTCTTAACAAGGACTTCTTAGGAAATGCTTGTCAGCTTACCCATCTATGGGAGTTAAATTAGAGTGTTTCATTAATTAGAACTGTCAGTGTATTGCTAACCTGGCAAGAATCCTAATGGGTATTTGCCACAAAGAAGCCTTATTCAGCAGACCTGCCCTTTTAGCCTGTTGCTTTTAAGTTTTTTCCTTAAGACTCACAGTAAGAAATGTTACATCTCAACATAGTACCTATAGACGCTTATATGTGCATGTGTATGGACCTAAACTTAAAATTAGAGTTTCTGGCATTAGTACTTACCCTTACTGTATGAGATGCATACATGCTTTCTAAAAATGCTTTTCTGAAAAAACTTGTTCCTATCCACTAAATTGATTTCATAAACCACAAAAAGGCCACAACATACAGTTAGGAAAACACTGTTTTGGATACACCCACATCCAGTTTCAGGCCTATAGTGTAACACTGAAGCCCCACCGCCATTTCTGGGTCCCCACGGCTCAGAAAGCAGCTTCAGAATTATGCCTCAAACAAGGAAGTTTTTTAAAAAGCCATCAATTATAGCTTTATTTCTGGACAAACTCTGTTCACTGATTTTAACACCCGTTTAAGTAGAATGTAGTTATGATGGAAAACCCCATCATCAAATGCTTATATTCTACTTTTCAAAGCTGAATATAAATAAGTTTTCTCATGTTCTAAGTTTTTATATTCGTGTATGTGATTGAGAGTTAATTGAATTTTAGGTTCTTTTTTTCTTTTTCTTTGTGAAGGAGAATATACATTTCATAACGTTGTATGAGATTATAAAGGAAAAGGAGAAAAATCTTAAAGCCAGTTTCTTGTGTCATGCATGAATAATTTAACAGTTTTTAAGAATCATGTAGGGCTGAGCACGGTGGCTCATGCCTGTAATCCCAGCACTTTGGGAGGCCAAGGCAGACGGATCACGATGTCAGGAGTTTGAAACCAGCCTGGCCAACATGGTGAAACCCCATCTCTACTAAAAATACAAAAATTAGCTGGGCACGGTGGTATGCGCCTGTAATCCCAGCTACTCAGGAGGCTGAGGTAGGAGAATTGCTTGAACCCAGGAGGTGGAGGTTGCAGTAAGCCAAGATCGCGCCACTGTACTCCAGCCTGGGCGACAGAGCAAGTCTCCATCTCAAAAAAAAAAAAAAAAGAAAGAAAGAAAGAATCGTGTAAACAAATATTTTAAAATGCATGTTTTATGTAATATATAAATGATGTAACTTGTCAGTTTTTTTTCATTTTAGTGTGAATGTCTGGTATGTTACCCAATATTTTGACAGATAATAGGAAGAGAATTGAGTTCCTTTGAATCACTTTCCGAAGGGTTTCGTCTCAGGTTCATGAGAGCTCTGGCTTCCAGACTGGCCAGTTTTTCTTTTCCCATGTGGACAACTGTAGGAGGCCAACTCACTATTTGTGTGAAACATAGTAATGAAACATTGTGTGCTCTCTGAGCAACTCTGAATTGGGCAGGTGTAAAAAAGGTAAAAGAAAGTATCAGAGAACAATGCCAAATAAAAAAATTCATCCTAGCTATAACTCATATAAGAATTTGCCACTTTTGAAATTTCAGATGTATTAGGATATAGATGCAGAACTAAAATTTTTCTTTAAAATTAAATTCCTAAATTGCTATTCTCTCCTGGGTTTACTTTAAAAATCATTTCTGGGATTATATCAGTAAAAATACTTATAGGAAAGTTGGAAATTAGAGGAAAAGATGAAAAAACAAAGAATATTTCATTGCTGGGCTCCCACTGTTAATATTTTGAATACATTTCCTGGGCAAGTATTTGGGCATAGTCTTTTTCTATCTATATTTTAAATAAGATAATTTATCTTGCCCCTCAAATCATTTCTTCATGCAATTAAAAACTCTTCACAAACATATATTTAATGGGTTTATAGTATTCTACCCGATAGATGTAGCAGACATTTTCAGCCAGTTCTCTGATGCTGGACAAGTAAGTTTCAGTTTTTCGCCTGTATGAATACCACTACGTGAACACTTATGCATACCCCTTGCCCATATTCCTGATTGTTTCCTTAGGATACGTAGATAGAAATGAAATTACTTATTCTATTTTCATCATTTCTGTCTGCTTTGTGGTTTCCTTCCTATCACAGGCAACTTCTTTGATATTGTCTGTATGCAATTTTCAACCTAAAACCTGACTTAAAAGCCTTCAGTGCTTTACTGTGTGTTGTGAAATAGACACTAAAGTACTTGATGTGACCTTCAAGGCTCAGTGTGGACCTGCCCATCATATACCCACCTCTCCAGGCCTCTACCCTACTTTCCCTGTCCTCAGTTGCATCAGCTTTTTAATTTCTTGGCTCCGTTCCTTTTCTCCAGTTGCAGGGCCTTCAGGCCTGCATGTCCTTTCTCTGAAACATTCTCCCTCCATTCACCTGTCTTTTGTGGAATAGAAAGTGAGACCTCTGCTTAGAGGAGGTGGTTGGAGATTTGAAGAAAAGTGAAGGTGTCAAAAATTCATTTAGGAAATAGAGGAATTGGCCAGACAAGTACACAAAGGATTCCCAGATAGTAATGAGGGCCACTCTCATGGTGTTTTCAGAGTCAGGATATGAGATTCGCACCAAGAGAAGTGTAATTGGCATCTACAGCTATGATTACCTTTAACTTATGTAATCTAAGTCAGCCTGGTGAGTTTTGTAGCTGCTTCCTAAAGTTTGTTTTCTTCAGTCTTCCGGAAGTGTCCCACCTCCTCTTTGCTAATTCAGTTTATATGGATGATAGCACATTTTGTCCTTAGAATAAGAGGACTTCACAAACAAGAACTTCTGAGATCACTGGAAGCCTTAATATGAAAATCTTCATTTCTGGGTTTCTTTGGGACTCTGTGTCACTGTCCCGTCCAATGGAGTTTCTACTAGCTACATGTGGCTATTTAAATGAAAATTAATTTACGTTTTGAATAAAATGGAAAACTGTGCTCCTTCATCAGTCTAACTACACTTCAATAGCTGCCTGAGGCTAGTGGTCACCATATTGAATGGTGGACATACAACATTTCCATCATTGTAGAAAATTCTTTTGGAATTTTCTACAGAAAATTTTCTTTTCAGAAAAGTCATCTCTGAAGCTAGTCAGTGCACACATGGTGATTCAGGAAAAATTAATGGACTGTTAGCCTGGGCTAGTTTGCTCCTAGGTCTGATGCACACTTTGCTGGTTCATCTAGCTTTTTAATTCTTAAAACAGACTTTGAAATTCTGCTCCCTGCTGGCATTCCCAGTCATTCACAAAATTTAGTGGAAAAGCCAGCCTCCCTTGGCCCACATACCCCTGGGCTTCTGTTGCCTATATCCTCATCATGATCATGCGACCCAGATTATTTGCTGACTAAGCAGGTGCCTTGGCCAAACAATAGGTGCTTGCCCAAAACCCCATGGGTTTTATTTATATTCTATAGATAAATCTCATAAATGCAAAATTGGTGGATTTCTACCATTTTTAAGGATCAAATAAAGTAAGGTTCTGCTCCTAGGCAAGACACTAGCTCTTTTGAAATGGCCCAGTGATGGGGAGAGAGGGAGCATATGAGATACTCGAGGCATCACACAAGATAAATGCATCCTTTCCCCATCTTATCTTCCTCTGGGTCTGTTTCACTTTATTTGTCTCCAGCAATTCCCCCGATGCCCAGATTCTAGTAGCACTCTATAAAGGCATTTGATTTCATAATTATTCTAGGTCTTTCTTGTGCATACACATTCTTTGTTTATCTCTCTCTACTCCTCCAGTCTGAAGATAAAGCCGTTTTTGTGAAAATGGGAAAGGTTAAGGGGAGAAAGAACTGGAGCCTCTTTATCTTTCTGGCTTTTCTTCCCAGAGGGAAGGGGTGATGTTCTACTGAGCTAGAAGGGAATTATTTTCAGAATTGTGGGGGCTCCTCCATTTCTCTGCACTCTGGGGAGGGGCCTGCCATAAACAATGCAGGGAAGAACTCTGAGTGTGCATGTAGAAATTAACCTGAAGTAGATTGGATATAGAAATAGCAATACAGTCCCATACAAAGAGGTTTCTAAACATAGAATATTGATGACTCTGCAATTTGGTAACTGCTCTAATTAGGAATGAGGCAAGTAGATTTTGATTGGTTTGCTTAATAGAAAATTTTAGATATTGCTCTATTTTAACAGTCAAAACCCAAATAAAGTTTTTTTTTTTTTTTTTTGAGACAGGGTCTCACTCTTTGCCCAGGCTGAGAGTGCAGTGGCGTGATCTCGGCTCACTGCAGCCTCAGCCTCTCCGGGCTCAAATGATCCTCCCTCCTCAGCCTCCCAAGTAGCTGGGACTACAGGTGCATGTCACCACACCCGGCTAGTTTTTGTATTTTTTGTGGAAACAGGGTCTCTCCATGTTGTCCAGGCTGGTCTCAAACTTCCAGGCTCAAGTGATCTGCCTGCCTTGGCCTCCCAAAGTGCTGGGATTACAGGCATGAGCCACCACACCCAGCCAGCAAATAAAGTATCCTATACTTATGCATCCTCCACAGTTTGCAAAACATGTTCTCAAGGATCATTTTATTTGATACTCTGATAAACCTGTGGGCTGTGGCAAAACATTTGCAAGAGGGAAACCTAGGCTCAGAGAGGTAAAGTGACTTAAGCAGGTCACACAGCTAGTAGGTGGTGGAGCTGAGTTTTGAATCCCATTCTTGTGCTTTTCTGAAAAGATTGCTGTACTTCTCACTTATATTTCAGACTTGTAAAATAAAACACATGGAAGTTGGATAATTGATGACACAAATACAATAGTTGGTACACTAGATAATGTTTCTTGAGTGCCTGTAATGCCAGGGGTTGGGGAAAGGGCTACTATGGTTGGATGGCATCAGTCCTGCCTTCAGGGAGCTTTCTTTGAAACAGGTAAAGAAATATACAAGCAACATATGTACATTATTTTATAACAAAATGGATGTATTAGTACCTGTGGGTGGTGAATAAATGAGAGTCCTTTATAGAAGTCTTTATGAAAGAAAGGGTTTTGAATCAGATCCTGAAGGATATGTACAAAGACTAAGGGCAGGGCATTCAAGCCAGGTGCAGAGGCATGGCGGGAGAAAAGAGAGATATTAGAGAGTCAGCTTCAGTATGGTGGACTATTAATAAACAAGAAAAGAACCCTTGTTTATCACTCATTTAAAATCTACTCTGCATAAGACATAGTGTACGGCTGCGGTTACAGCAGTGTGCAAAAGGGAAAGGTCCTTGCTTTCATATTGCTTAGATTTTGCTGGGAGAGACTAAATAATGATTGTTGGTAATAAAATAATCAAACAAGTATTTCAGATTATGATAATTACTTTGAAGGAAAAGGACAGGATTCTATGAGAGTGTATAGTACAGCAACACACATTAGAGTACTAGAGTGATATTTGAGCTGGTACATGAAAGAGGAGGAGTTAACCAGGCAGATTGTTTTGGTACAGGAAGCAGGGAAGGGAGTGGTGAGGACAAAGGATGGAGCATGTGCAGAGGTCTGGCAGGCACTGGAGGAGCTAGAAAAAGGCCTGTGTGCCGGCATTGTGAGAGTGGAGGGGTGAGTGGTAGAAGATGGGGCTGGGAAGGGGAAACAAACTTGATCATATTTTGGTCTTTATTCCAAGAGCCTTGGGAAACTGCTGAAGTATTTTAAGCAGGAATGGTGTGATCAAATCTTCCTTCTAAAAGGATCACTTTGGCTGCAATGCAGAGAATGTTTTGGAGTGGGGAGTGATAGAGGTTTTGGAGCAACCCCTCCGGAAGTTATTGTAGTGGTCCAGGCTGGAGATGGTGGTGGCTTGGTGCAGGGTGGTGGCAGTGGAGGTGGAGAGGAGTGGGAGGTTTCCATAGAGATTTAGGAGATGGAATGTACAGGACTTGGTGATATATTAGATAATGGAGAAGCAAATGGCAAGGATGGTTACCTTGGCTACCAAGATAAAGAACCTTGAAAAGGGAAGAAGATGAAATCAGCTTCGGATATCAGGCAGGCAGCTGGGTCTGTGGGTCAGAGGCTTAAGGTGAGAACCCAGCTGGAATTAAATGTGTAAGTCATCAGCATGTAACTGACAAGGGAAACTCTGAGCATGGATGCATTTTCCCAGATAGAAAAGATCATTAAATGAGGAAAGAAGGATGAAGCAGTGAGGATGTGCACTGGCCAGGTAGAACAAGCCAGTCCAGGAGCAGCTGGGGAGGTGGACGGAAAACCAAAAGGTGTTTGAGTGTTATGTCATCGAGGTGGAGTAAAACTACTAAAAACAACAAAGCAGGGTATCTGTCAATTGATCTGTAGACCCATTTCCTCATCACACCCCAAATCTGTTATGTGGTGGCTATGCATTTCTGGATCTGAGGCATTTGTGTAGTTAGTTTTAAGGTATGTTTATTTATTATTTTATTACTGTGAACAGATTGCAGTGTGTGTATGTGTGGTGTGTGTCTGTGTCTTCTGCCTAGAACAATAACCTCCTTTCCTTTCTCCCACATCACTGCACTTTTGGCTGCCGCTGTGGTTTGTTGCAAATCTGAGCTCATTTAATCCCACAGAGTATTAAACAATATCTGGTCTCGGTGGCTCTGTCATTCCACTGCAGGCGTCCCACCTTCATTTGCCAGCTGGGATCTCTTAATGAGCTAGCTGTGCACAGTTCAATAGTAAAACCCTTTTAGCTGGTGAAATATGTTTGAAGAACTCACTGTTGGAGTGTTCCATGTGAGGCCTGCTTCCACTCTTGCTGGCATTCTCTTTTCAGGATGGCTGCAGCTCCTCCAAGTTACTGTTTTGTTGCCTTCCCTCCACGTGCTAAGGATGGTCTGGTGGTATTTGGGAAAAATTCAGCCCGGCCCAGAGATGAAGTGCAAGAGGTTGTGTATTTCTCGGCTGCTGATCACGAACCGGAGAGCAAGGTTGAGGTAAGCCGTGCATTGCAGTCTCGCGAGTCACACTCTCTTTTCTCTGGCTTTGCCGCTAGCACAACCCTAACTTCTTGCTTGGAAGCTTGCTCACAAGTCAGAGCTATCATGTCAGTTCTGCTGATTCCTGTTTCCATGCAGGTTTGCTCATAGCCTTGAAAACAAGGTCATGGGAGAGCTCTATGCTCACTGCTATGGCCATTGTTTTATAATTAAGTGAAATATGTACATAGTTCTGAAATCAAATCTAAAAAACAAGATTTATTCATAGAAGTCTAACTTGTATCCTTGTCCCCTTTACTCCATGATCTTTTCCCCTATAGGTAATCATGTTTTGGAAGATCTTGGTTTATCCTTCCATTTGCAAAATTACACATATATATGTAACAAATCACACACACATGTGCATATTCATCCTGGTCCCTTTCCTCCTTTCTTCGATTAACAGCAGCATGCCATATATACTTTTCTCTACTTTGCATTTTTTTTCATTTTTATTTTTTTATTTTCTTCAATCAGCTTTCTCAGGTTGAATCTCTACTTTGTATTTTTCAACTCAAAACATATTCTGGAGATCACTCCCTACGGTACATGCAGGTCATAATTCCTCATTTAGAGCTGCATGGTGTTTCATTCTATGGATGTATCATAGTTAACCAGCCCCATATTACTGCTGGACATTTGGATTGTTTTCAGTCTATTGCTATTACAAACAGCACTGAAGTGGATAACAGCCTTATGCATCTGTCATAGTGTCTGGTCTCAGTTTATATATTTTTATCATAATAAAACATTATCCATTAATTCTTATTTCAAATCTTTTAAAAATACTATTTTTGTCAGTATTTCTTTGGGATAGATGCCTAGAAATGAAATTGCTGGGTCACAAGGTAAATAAAAATGTAATTTTATTAAATATTATCAAATTTCCTTCCATAGGTGGTGTACCGTTTTGCATTCCCATCAGCACTGTATGACAATGCCCATTTCTTCATATTCCCAGAATGTGTTGTCAAACTTTCACGATGGCTATTTTATGTTAATTATACTTTCTGCCATTTTACTAAATTCTTTTATTGGTTGTGTCAGCTTTTATCATTGCTTTTCTTGGGGTTTTCAGGTATATTTTTATATCACTTGCACATAGAGATTGTTTAGTTGTTGTTCTGTCTTTAATTGTTTTCTTGTTTGATTGCTTTGGCTTATAGCTCGGGTTTTATGTTAAGTAGTAGTGGAGATAGTGGGTGTCCTTGGCTCTGCACCTGACCTGAGTGGGGCTGTCTCTAGTGCTTCCCTATTAAGTAAGCTGCTGGTTTTGGGATTGAGATTTATATAGTTTTATGTGCCACTGCACCTGGCTTATGATAAAAAGTATACATCAGTCAGGTACAGTGACACATGCCTGTAGTCCCAGCTACCCTGGAGGCTGAGGTGAGAGGATCACGTGAGCCCAGGAAGTTGAGACCAGCCTGGACAACATGGTGAGACCCCATCTCTTTAAAAAAAAAAAAAAAAAAGTATACATGAATTTCTATTTTGAGTATTTCTAAAAACAACAACTCAAGAATAGATATTAAATTTTGTTAAGTATCTTTTCAGTAATTATGGAGATAATCACTTATTTATGTGATAAATTGAACCATCTTTGCATTCAGGGCATAACCTTCTTGGTTATGTTTTGTTTATAAGTGTATTTACCTGTGTGTGTTTGTGTGTGTGTGTGTGTGTGTGTGTTTAGATGGTAGTTTGTTAAAGGATGAAAAATCTGGAGAAAATAAATTAGGGCTAGTAAATGAAGAAGCTCTTTTCACTACATAACCTCTATTCTTTGGTGCTCTGTGCTTCACAAAATAAACTGATTTTTCTGATGATTGTGCTTGGTTTCAAATAGGCATTCATCAATTTGTATTTTCTTTTTTTTTTCTTAAATTCTTCCATTACATCCAATGTGTATTTTATTTTCATATCTAAATCTTAAATCACTGGCTCTGTTTCAGTTCTTTAAAAGCAGTAATCAGCACCAAAGAGCAACAGAACTCTATGAGGGGCTGCTTACTTTACATGAATTTAACAAAGGCACTGAAATGAACAGGCAGCTGGGCAGGGCTTCACATGGGCTGTCTGGATGGTCTGGTGGCAGACTGTCTCCTACTGGGCTTTCACCAGACCCACTTTCCTCTCTTACTGAGCCACTAACTTAATAAAAGCCCTTGCAACTTTAGTGGGATTTTCCTTTCGTATAGGTGAAGAAGAGTGCTAGGTTCCCTGGTGAGCATGTTAGGTTTTAAATGGGTATTCATCAATGAGTGAATGTCCATGTTATTTGGGTCCAAATGTTTCTCTCTTTTCCTGGAACAGAGTGGACTCTGTGTAGATAAAGTTTGCTGATTTGAGTTGTTACTGACCTTCCTTGTCTGTCCTCCCTGAACGTTTCTATCTTTTTTTCCCAAAAGACATACAAACTAAAATAATCTTTGATTTTTACATGGGCAGATTTAAGTTCTCAAAGGTGGCTGCACCAAATCCCATCCCAAGTGCCCTTCTTCCAGTGTGAAGGGCACTCCTTCCACGAAGAGGGAAAGGTGAGTCTATGCCCTTCACTCTCACTGTGAATCTTTGAGGGCTTGTGATTGCTCTGACCGGTGGAGCATGGTGGAAGTGATGCTATGTGACTTCCAGGGCTGGGCCATAAAAGGATACAGCTTCTCTCTCTCTCTCTCTCTCTCTCTCTCTCTCTCTCTCTCTCTCTGTCTCTCGGTCTCTCTCTCTCTGTCTCTCTCTCTCTCTGTGTGTCTCTGGTTCCTCTCTCTCTCTCTCGTTCCTCTGTCTCTCAGATGATTCCAGGCCCCAGACACTGGAGTGGAGACACATTATCCCTGCTGTTTGCTGTTCAAATCCATGAGCATTAAAAAAGTTGTTTTACACCACTAAATTTTGGGGTAATTTGTTAAGTAGCCATACTAACTTCAAAAATCACACAAAGCCATTTATAAACATGTCTGAAATAAATATTTCAAAAAAATTTGTTTTCTTTTTTGGAGGATAGGCTACATAACTCTTACTTTACTCTCATGGTTACAATTATTTTAAGGACGAGGCTAGATTCCTTTTGCTAGTTAACCTATGGTATATGATTACTCAGATATATTTAGGTTAAATCCTGTCCCCTTCCATACATAAGTATAGTGTGATATATACCATAATTAGCCTCTAAGGCAGCTCTGACCTCTCTTCTGAGTTCCATACCTGTGTTTTGAGCTGCCTCTTTGCGTTCCCACTTGCATATTCTGCAGGTGAAATAACCTCACGGGTAAGAAAGCAAATTCATTTCCCCCAGCTCATATATGTTGCTGTAACAACATATGCATTGTCGGCCACGTAGTTTATACTAGAAGCCCACGGGAAACGTCGACCCTCACTTCCCCCATCCCCAATGCACAGGGACAGCTGTCACTGAGTCCCGCTGCCCCCTCTCTTGTTTGTCCATCTCCTCCCCGCTGCCCCTGACTCGTTCAGACTGAGTCCATCTCTTTTCTGCTACAATCTTCTCATTTGTCCCTGGGTCTCTTTCTCCTGGGTTCTTCTCCCTACAGGGTTACCAGAATTTTCTTCCCAGAACATAGATAGCTCTACCACTCCCTTGCTGAAAAGTGTTTCGTTTTGTTTACAGGATGAGAGTCCAAGCTGATTTGTATGCCATTCAGAACTCTTCCCAACTGGCACCCTGCTCACTTTTCCTTTCTTTTATTCTCTTTCATTCTTTTCTATTTTAAATTGATAGACTATTTTTAGAGCAGTTTTATGTTTACAGAAAAATGAACAGAAGGCACAGAGAGTTCCCAAACAGCCCCTTACCCTGCCCTCTAGTTTACCCTGCTAGTAACGTCTGGCATCAATGTGGTACATTCGCTACAACTGATGAGCCAATATTGACACAGTATATATATATATATATATTTTGTTTTTTGAGACAGAGTCTAGCTTTGTCGCCCAGGCTAGAGTGCAGTTGCACAATCTTGGCTCACTGCAACCTCCAGCTCTCGGGTTCAAGCGATGCTCTTGCTTCAGCCTCCCAAGTAGCTGGGATTACAGGTGCCCACCATCATGCCTGGCTAATTTTTGTATTTTTAGTAGAAACGGGGTTTCATCATGTTGGCCAGCCTGTCTTGAACTCCTGACCTCAAGTGATCCACCCGCCTCGGCCTCCCAAAGTGCTGGGATTATGGATGTGAGCCACCGAGCCCGGCCTGATACAGTATTATTAACTAAAGTTCATAGTTTATACTCTGTGTTGGATATCCTGTGGGTATACCTATATGTATAATGACAAGCCATTGTAGTATCATAGAGAATACTTTTACTGTCCTAGAGGTTCTGTGCTCCACCTATTCACCCACCCACCCTAGCCCCCAGAAATCACTGATCCTATTGTGTCCATACTTTTGCCTTTCGTAAAATGTCACATAGTTGGAATCATTCAGTGTGTAGCCTTTTCAGATTGGCTTTTTTAAACTTAGTAATGTGCATTTAAGGTTTCTTCCTGTCTTTTCCAAGCTTGATGACACATTTCTTTTTATCACTGAACAATATTCCATTTTCTGGATATACCAGGTTATTTATCCATTCACCCACTGAAGGACATCTTAGTTGATTCTAAAGTTTGGCAGTTATGAACATAGCTGCTATAAATATTTGTGTGCAGTCTTTTGTGTAGACATAAGTTTTTAACTCATTTGGCTAAAGACATTTTAAAATGTAATTTTTCATTTTGAATAGGTAATCATATATTTATGTGGTTCAAAGATTGAATGATATTTAAAAGGTTCACAGTAAGAAGTCTTCCTCCCTTGTCTCCATCCTGTATAACTCTTATTAATTTCATGCATATCCTTCAAGTATTTTATGCAAATCCAAAAAAACTGAATATCAGGCCTTATTTTCTATTGTTTTGTGTGAATGCAGCACATTATGTATACTACTATTAAACATGATTTTTTAATATATAACTTTGAACTTACAGAAAAGTTCTGCACTTTCCTATTTTCACTTAACATTTTCTAAAGATTTTTCTATAGAGATTGTCCTTATTTTTTTCTTACAGCTACATAGTAATCCATTGTGGAGATGTACCATAGTTCATTTAATTAGTGCTCTATTGGTAGATGCTTGGACTCCTTCCAGTATTTTGCTAGTCCAGAAAGTGCAGCTGTGGAGAACCTTGTACATAAGTCATTTTGTGCATGTGTAGATACCATTGGATGTACTTCCAAATGTAGCATCATTGGGTCATAGGGTAAAGCTTTTATAAGAATTGACCTCCGTAAGGGTTATACAATTTCCTGCTTACTTTTCTATTCTCATTGTTAGCTCTGCCCTCTCAGCTTGTACCCTAGGCCCCAGCTACACTGAACTGCTTGCCTTTTCTTGAACAAATAACACACTTGCATTTTTCTGTGCTTTTGCTCTTTCTGTCCTTTGCTGAGAAGATCCTTCTTCTCCCCTCCTCTCATCTACTTGGTAGACTCCTGTTTATCCTTCCAGGCCTCAACACCAATATCCACTCCTCCCTTTAGCCTGATACTCCTCTATGCATGTCAATTGAAATTTACAACCACCTGAAACTAGGAGGATGAGTTCTGGCCCAGGAGAGAGGGGTCCTAGGTTCGTGTTTTGCCTCTCCCTTTATAGTGTCTTGGGCCTTTGAGCCTCTCTGAAACTCAGTTTCTTTATTTGCCAGATAGAGATCATAATACCCCCTCTGCCTGCATTACAGGCTTTAGTGAGACACACGTGAGCTGATGCATGAAAGCACTTTGTAAAGCTTTAAGGAGAACATTGTGAAGAAGGATTTTTTTTTTTTTTTTAAAGAATTGACTAATGAGAATTGCTGTGACTCCGGGTCTCAGTTCCAAAACTGTCTTTGGCACATCACATACTACTGAATCTGCTTTTCAAACTTACTCTTACCCCTTTAGTTCCCTTACAGTTACATCTGTCTCCATCTCCTATACTTGTACCAAGTACAGAATGATGGGTTCTTTCCATATTTAGGTCTAGGAGCCACAATTACTATCATGTAACTTTTATACAAGCAACTATTAAAATACAGACTTTTTTAAACTATGAAGAGTAAGAACTTTTCATAAAAACCCATCTATTCCTCAGCCATTTCATGACATTTTATGTTATTTTATGTTATTTTATTTTATTTTATTTTATGTTTGAGACAGTCTCACTCTGTCACCCAGGCTGGAGTGCAGTGGCATGATCTCAGCTCACTGCAACCTCTGCCTCCTGGGTTCAAGCAATTCTCCTGCCTCAGCCTCCCAAGTAGCTGGGATTACAGGCATGTGCCACCATAGCCGGCTAATTTTCGTATTTTTGGTAGAGACAGAGTTTCATCATGTTGGCCAGGCTGGTCTCAAAACTCCTGAGCTCAAGTGATCCACCCACCTTGGCTTCCCAAAGTGTTGGGATTACAGGCGTGAGCCACCATGCCTGGCCCATTTCATGACATTTTAAACATGTGTCCTGAGGTTTCCCTAGAAACCTCATACTTGAGTGTTGAGGTCCCAGGAAATCATTTTCTGAGAATATAACCCTCTATTATATAATTTATTATATAATAATTTAATTATATATAAACAATTATCTAATAATTATATAATTTAATTACATATACATAATTATATTTAATAATTGTATAATTTAATTATATGTAAATAATTATATTATTTAATAATTACAGTGTTTAATAATTATATGAAACTAATTATATACTAGGTGGTTATATTCTCAGAAAATGATTTCCTGGGACCTCAACACTCTCAAGTATGAGGTTTCTAGGGCAACCTCTGGACACATGCAAAAACCATGGAAAAAGTCGTGTGGACTCCTCATTCATCCACTCACCCACCTGCCAACTGATCCCCCTTTCCAGGCGGTTCTCCCTTCAACTTGTCCACTTAGCCTCTCTCCATCTTCTTGTCAGTCAGTCCCATCCAGCCATCATCTCCATATGTCAAGTTCACTGTATTTAAGACTAGAAGAGTAAGAAATAAGATCCTCCAGTGGGGGGGTCAGCCCCCCGCCCGGCCAGCCGCTCCGTCCGGGAGGGAGGTGGGGGGGTCAGCCCCCTGCCCGGCCAGCCGCCCCATCCGGGAGGTGAGGGGCGCCTCTGCCCGGCGGCCCCTACTGGGAAGTGAAGAGCCCCTCTGCCCGGCCAGCCGCCCCGTCCGGGAGGTGAGGGGCGCCTCTGCCCGGCCGCCCCTACTGGGAAGTGAGGAGCCCCTCTGCCCGGCCACCACCCCGTCTGGGAGGTGTGCCCAACAGCTCACTGAGAACGGGCCAGGATGACAATGGCGGCTTTGTGGAATAGAAAGGCGGGAAAGGTGGGGAAAAGATTGAGAAATCGGATGGTTGCCGTGTCTGTGTAGAAAGAAGTAGACATGGGAGACTTTTCATTTTGTTCTGCACTAAGAAAAATTCTTCTGCCTTGGGATCCTGTTGATCTGTGACCTTACCCCCAACCCTGTGCTCTCTGAAACATGTGCTGTGTCCACTCAGGGTTAAATGGATTAAGGGCGGTGCAAGATGTGCTTTGTTAAACAGATGCTTGAAGGCAGCATGCTCGTTAAGAGTCATCACCACTCCCTAATCTCAAGTAATCAGGGACACAAACACCGCGGAAGGCCGCAGGGTCCTCTGCCTAGGAAAACCAGAGACCTTTGTTCACTTGTTTATCTGCTGACCTTCCCTCCACTATTGTCCCATGACCCTGCCAAATCCCCCTCTGTGAGAAACACCCAAGAATTATCAATAAAAAAATAAATTAAAAAAAAAAAAAAAAAGAAATAAGATCCTCCAGCACAGAGTTCCTCAGTTTCCAAAATTACACTGGATTTTTTCTTTCAGCTGCAGTTTGCGATTGGAACATCCCAATTTTATATTCTTTAGTATTTCCCTTGTGTATTCAGGGCTTTTAACAACATCTCTTTTGGTTGCAGAGTAGGATGGATAAATAGGTATCAATATTTATAATACCTATTGATAAATAGGTATCCTCTCTGAGGATGCATCAGAGAACTCATCTCAACTTTACCCCAAATCCTGCCCTCCCTCTAGGTAGGCGTGTTGAGGAAGCAGAGGAATAACTTCCTGGATTATGGTGTGTGGATGTGTGTGTGTGTGGATGTGTGTGTGTGTATGCATGCATGCTCATGGATGGTACAGGTCCATTCTTACATGGTTGAACCTTCTATTTAGGAAAAAAATGGATCCAACATTAGACTACTTTTCCAGAAAAACAGTGGATTTTGGCTAAGGTTTACATTACTTATACTTGGTGTCCAAGAGGCTAATTATACCAGAATTTACAGAGACAGAATTCTTGATAACAAAGTTAGATTTGACACATAATATTTTTTAAAAGAGTCTTTCTTTGGTAATAAATATTGTCTCCATTATTTCCTTTCTTAAAGTCTTTATCATTTCCTCATTTTTTTTTTCAAATTAGCTTAAATTTTTGTCTGTTTTCCACTACATGAAATACCGTATGGATTCACTGTCGTCAATGAGTTTATATAACTTTCATGATTTGGGGGAGGCTTTTGGTAGATTATTTCCCCTTTCTTTATCATTGAAAATATTTACAAGAAGAATAGAAAATTACCAGTTAATGATGGCTGGTAGCATTGTTAGTAAAATTGTCCAGATGGAGGCTATATTTGTGATGTGTGGGGTGTGTGTATGTTGCGGGAGTCGGGGGAGCTGAATTTTAATTCTGAAAGTTATTTCTTACAATAGGAAAGTACAAGTCATTCTGGAATCAGAGAGAGCTGAGCAAAGCTCCATGACCACTGGACAGATTTCCTCCCTCCCTCCCTCCCTCCCTCCCTCCCTTCCTTCCTTCCTTTCCTTCCTTTCTTCCTTCCCTCCCTCCTCCCTCCCTCCCCCCACTTTCTTTCTTTCTTCCTTTCTTTCTTTTTTTGTTTTCTTCTAGTCAGCTCCAGAATCAGGAGTCCCCAGTCTTGTATGGAGTCAGAAGTGTCTCCCTCACTTCCAAGAGAACATGGCTTAGCAGAGGGCTTCCTTCCATAATGTCCCCTTTCCCAGATGCATTTCTGATCTCAGACCTTTGCATTGTTCCTCCCCAAAGATCTTATGCTTCAGTGAAATAAAAAACAGTTCTTCTAAAGTGTGGTTGAGGATGTTGCCCTCTGATCTCAGCACCTTCTTTTGTCTTTATTTAAACTTATATGAACCTTAAGAATACATTTCCTAAAACCAGTCAAATAGCAGGCAAGACACTGGGGTAAAAAAATAAAATAAAAACAAACATGGAGGGCATGGTGGCACACACCTCTAGTCCCAGCTACTTGGGAGGCTAAGAGGGGAGGATCGCTTGAGCCCAGGTATTGGGAGGACAGCCTAGGCAACATAGTAAGACACCATCTCTAAAACAAACAAACAAAATACACACATACACACACACACATATATAATTTTAAATAAATAAAAAACCCTCAGTGATAGTTATTAATGCTTCTTTAGAGCTACAAAGTTTTAAAAGCTAAAAACATCTCTCCAAAGCATCCCATTTTCTTTGCCATCTTCTCCCACCGTAAGAAGTTTGGCTGACTCATCAACTCATCTCACAATGGTTTTTGCTGGTGGTGCCAGGGTTGTGTTCACCATCTTGAGTACAGTACGAAAGGCACAATGGTTGTGTTTCATTAATTGAAACGTCTATTGTGTGAGTGTCTCTGTTTCCCCTTTCACTGGGTCATATCCAGAAATAGTGTGTGCTGGAATGTGGATGGGGTGAAGTGACGGCATGAAGCTGATCTTTCTTTTCATTTTCGACGTAATCTCACAAAATAATGAAGGGCTTGCTCTGTGGAATTGTTTTTGTCTTTGGCTCTAGGTTCTTTTCGAGGCTCATGTTTTCTATCCTCCAACCTAACCTGGCAGGTGGTCCCTGAGAGAGTGGCAAGCTCAGGACAGGCGGATCCTTGGAAACCCCCTGATTAGCACTGGGCAGTGCTGACATTTAGAAGAATGCTTGCCCACACTCCAGCTCTGGGCATTCTTATATTGTTATGTGACTTGGGCACCCAGAAGTCACACTAGCTGACAGATTTATTTTATGAAAGGCTGGGTGGGAGTGGCCATGGGGCAGAAAGACCAATTGCTCATCTCTTTCCACAGTTCACTTTAATAACCAAAGGTGAGACCAGCACCGTCTCTGTAAAGATCCATCTTTTAAGTGGTGAACACTTGCCTTTTTTCTTTTTCTTTTCTAATAGAAATTAAGCTAGGAATTTTGACTTGGGGAACTAAATTGTTTTTGCCACACTGAAAGAAGATGTCAGGTGCTTTTTGGATATTTGTACCTAGAGAAACCTCTTTTGCTTCCTCAAATCCCACTTCTCTGGCTCATTAATAATGTGGCAGTTGTAAAGGTGGGTGGATTTTATATTTAAAAGTGGCTGTGGAGTTCATGTTCTAGATGGCTGACTTTACCAAGTTGAGCTAATTAAATTTTGTGTAAGTGTTCCTGATTTTGTGAGATCTGCTCCCAAAGTGGGATTTTAAGTAGCCAGTCTATCTACATGAGACAAGTGTGTTTACCCCTCCCCAACCCCACCTGGTTGTGATTAGCCAGATTTAAAACATAATGGAGCAGGTGTGAATGGCTGTCATAGAAGAGCCCTTATGAGGCCCGTGCTCTGTGGCCCGTGACAAAGATGCAGCAAGGGGCATGTGTTCCAGGCTCGGGGCCTGTGAAGGGATCTGGCTGCCTGGCTTTCGGTCTGGTGCTTAGGAGGGCTGATTGGGCCCATCTGGCTACTTGGGGATCCCCTTCCTTCCTCACCATTCCGAGTTTGGCCTGAAAAACATCAAGTTGGCTGCATATATTTTGAACTCCTGCAAAGACCATCTGGTCTTTTTGATTCAATTGTCAACATTTTTTTAATCAGGCAATCTGTATTAAGCCCTTGTAGTTCTGTGCCTTAATGACATCATGGCAGCTCCCCCACATGGCACAGCAGGGACCTCTCTGGACCATAGAGACCCTTCACATGCCCCTTCCTCTCTTAAGCCCTTAGCTCTGTCTGGAGTACCTTGATGGCTGGCCCATTTTTTAAGGTCAACCCAGATTTCTCCCACGTGATACAGCCTCTAGCGGACCATGCGGATGTGTTTCCTCATTTCTTTGGACTTTTACCTTCTGTGCTCCCTTAGAGCTTTGTAATTTCTCCAGCCATCCATTCAGCCACCGATCCAACAAAAGGCTTATTGATGCCTGATATATACCAGACTTGGGGCATGTCAGTGAACTAAATAACAAAGATATCCCCCTTCCCTCTTGGGGCTTACACTCTAGCTGGGGGAGATAGTATACATAAACAGTACATGTAATAAGTCCATCAGTTCTGTAGTATTTCAGAAGGGGATAAATGGAATGGAACGGCAAAGAGGAAAAGCAGAGCTGGGCTGGGTGGATCAGAAGGGCAAAGCAGGAGGCAGTGGCACGATGCTTCAGGAATGAAGCAGGCAGGCCTGGGAGACACTGAAGCTGGCCTGGGCTCGTAGGAATTTGTGTGCGCGCCTTTGCCTTCCTCCCCAGCCAAAAGGACAGGGCCTGGGCCTCCTCACTGATTTTCTGCTTGCAGCATTTAGCACAAAATGCTTTGCATGTAGTTGGTGTTCTGTAAATAATTGGGGAAATGGAAATGAGTGTGTAAAAATGAATTTGAAGACAAATAAACCATTTCCTAATTTTTACTTTTTTTCTGCCCTTTTAAAAACCTGTATGATAAATCTGTGCTTAAGAAGCTGAGATTCTTTTCCTATTTACTCATTGTTTTCAAGACAAAAGTTGCCACTGGCACTCAGTGCGGACAGGGGTTTTGGAAAGTGTTGGTCAATGCCTGGACTACTTTTTGACATAGAGTGCAATGTTAAGATGTAAACGTCAATTCCATTTAGAAGAGCACAGAGGAGCAGAGTTTGATTACTGCTCTGGCCAGCTTCGTGCTCTACAAGAATCATTTTTTTTTTAAATAAATAACTTTTGGGAACTGCATAGAGGGAAAATCTTGAGTATATTTTATTGTCAGTTTGCCATGAAAAATTCAAGAGTCTCTTGAAAACCTCTGGATATAATTAGTTTTCAGTTTGCAAATATTTATCAAGTAAAATGACATTATCCCAGTGCAGAGCAACACCTTAACATGAATTGTGCAGACCCAAAGTCACCTGACCAGTGAGTGTGTGTGTCACACGGGTTTCAGCTCTTACCTGAGGTTTAGCGATTATGGGAAATCAATACAGAATAGCTTTGTGGGCTGCATTCAGTCGATATAGCTGGGTCTTGAGTTAAAAAAAGAAAGATCTAAGGCTGCTGTTGCTTTCAGCTGCCCCGTTTAAAATGTAAATGATTCCTGCAGCTGATAAAATTCTCCCTTGAGAGCTCCAGAGCACTGTGTAACTTAGAGACTTGAATTCAATACAGCGTCCACCACACAAAGGGTGTGTCATAGGCTCGTAGAATGTCAGAGTCAGGAGGCCCCCATGGGGAAGCTAGTTGCAGGTTCCTCTGCCGTGGGTCACAACGTGGGGAGGGGAAAGGGAAGCACAGGAGGGCGAGACTCTGAGGGTTACCCACATCCTGGTCCCGGGCCTCTTCCTCCCTTTGCCTGGACATACTTTGACTGATTTTATTGTGCTTATGATTCTGTGTAAGAGTTCGTGTGAAGAAGGTGTTCTGAGGTTAAAAATACTTGGGAAGAAATAGTTTGACTCAAATTAGCTCCCCCATTTTCCAGGTAAAGCCACTGCAGCCTGGAGAAGGTAAGATGCACCACTAAGTTGTGTGTTCTGCAGTTCTGACAGCAGCTGGAGATGCACCTCCATGGGACTGTTTCCTTCTGTGTCCACCTCACTGTCTTAGTGTGAGGATCAAATGGGACAGGCAGGAAATCCCACAGTGTAATGCAGTAGTTAAATGCAAATGTTATTATCCTTTTCTGTTTTCTACCACTAGAGCAACCATGTAGGTTATCAAACTGTGTTTCAGGAAACCCAAAGGGTCCTTGCAGGGGGACTCAGGGTTCTGCTTTCTTTAGGCAAAGATCTTCCCTTTTACCTGCTTTCTATCTTAGGCTTCTAGGTGAAGTTTCTTTTGAAGGTAGGGCTCGTAAATAGCTGTGTTCAATATTGGTGAATGCTGGCAGCCGCCTGTGCCTGTTGAAATGGGCAGGCTTAGGATGTTCAGGATGATGATTGGCTGAATACCTGGTTCAAGATGATTGCCCTATTACGTGAGCACCAGGAATAGATTGGCATAAGCCACACAGTCTGAAACTCACCATGGAGACTTTTGAGCTGCATTGTGAAGACTTAAAAATCAGGGTATTCCCAAGGCCTTTTATTTTTTGGCTCTGTTTGTAACTAATATGATGGTTCAGTATAAGTACCCAGGCAGAAATGAGGTGGTACCTGACAGGTGATGGCGCTTTCTTTCCTGTGTTTGTTTTTCAGTGCACTTACATTTCAATCGACCAAGTTCCAAGGACCTATGCCATAATGATAAGCAGACCCGCCTGGCTCTGGGGAGCAGAAATGGGAGCCAATGAACATGGAGTGTGCATAGCCAATGAAGCCATCAACACCAGAGAGCCAGCTGCCGAGATAGAAGCCTTGCTGGGGATGGATCTGGTCAGGTACTGCATGGTGATTCTTTGAAACAACTTCCTAGAAAAGGTTGGAAATGGGGACAGGATTTATTTCTCCCTAAACCTTGCATTTTTTAACATAATCCTTCCAAAGATGATGTGTGCCTTTTGATAGAAACTTTAAGATGATGAGATAAATGAGTGGATTACAATGGAATATTACTTAACAATAAAAAAAAATCAAGTGGCTGGGCATGGTGGCTCATGCCTGTAATCCCAGCACTTTGGGAGGCCGAGGCAGGTGGATCACCTGAGGTCAGGAGTTCGAGACCAGCCTGGCCAACATGGTGAAACCCCGTCTCTACGAAAAATACAAAAATTAGCCGAACGTGGTGCTAGGCGCCTATAATCCCAGCTACTCAGGAGGCTGAGACAGGAGAATTGCTGGAACCTGGAAGACGGAGGTTGCAGTGAGCCGAGATCATGTCATTGCACTCCAGCTGAGGCGACAACAACGAGTCTCCATCAAAAACAAATGAACAAAGAATCAAGTATAGATACATACTAAAGCATAATGATCTTGAAAACATTATACTGAGAGAGAAGCCAGACACAAAAGGTCACATATTGTGATTCTATTTATATGAAATATACAGAATAGGCAAATCCATAGAGGCAGGAAGTTAGATTAGTGGTTGCCTGGGGTTTGGGTGTGGGTGAGAGAATGGGGAGTGATTCCTAATGGGCATGAGCTTTCTTTTGCGGGTGTTGAAAATGTTCTAAACCTTAGATTGTGGTGATGGCTGCACAACTTTGTGAGTACACTAAAAACCACTGAACTGTACAGTTTAAATGGGTGGATTTTATAGTACTTGAAATATATAATATATATATAAAAATATGAAAAATCATAAACTAGAAAAGAAAAATAGAACAGAGATCACTTCCCTCCTTTCCTCTCTATGTCTCAGTTATTTTTTCTTCCTTTTTCCCCTCTCCCAGCCACTACACAGCAGAAGGAACCTGCTGTGCGAGCTGGATAGGGCAGGGATCTTTGTCTGTACACTGCTGTGTCATAAGCACTGGGAACTGTGTGCCTGGCCTGTAATGAGTGATCAATAACTGAATTTTGAATGAATGACTAAAGTAGAAGGTAGGCTGGAACAAAGCAACATTCTGAAATGCCTTTTTTTGTCCCTGAAATAGTGAAATGAAATAAAATCATGACATAGTTGAAAGAAGATTGGGCTGGGAGCTGGAGTTCTTGGCTTTCAGTGTGGATGTACCAAGTTACATCACCTCTCTGGGCCACAGTTTCCTCATTTTTTCAATATGAGGTCTAGATTGGATGACTTCCGAAGAACTCCCAAAGCTAACATCCTAGAAAAAGGAATGGGGTTGGATTTTGGTTTTGTAGGGGGAAATGGCACATTTAGACAGTGGTCTCGGGAACTCACTCCTCTGCCACCTGATGGAGAGGTCTGCGAGGGACACCCTTTTGGTAGCACAGTGACTTCCTGCCTTCCTTACCTTTCCTTACTGTTCCTCATTCTTATAAACTCAGGAGGAGCAGCTTCCCTGAGCTGGGGAAAAGGCAGAAAAAGCCAGTTTTTAAAAACCAGTTATATATAGCTAGTTTTCTCTTGATTAGCAAAATGAAATGTATAGAATAACAAGAAGTTTTTTTTTTTTTAGCTTATGTTTTGACAGCTCTCCAGTATTTTTTACTGTATTTGCAGTATGAGACTTATAGAACAGGCAAAATTACCATTTTAACAGTTGATTTCTAAGGGACAGTGGAAGAGGATTTTTTGCCTTTCTTCAGAGCACCTGATATATCTTTTTAAGATTATCAACCAATAAAGCAACAGGAGTTTACTGAATATCTACTTTGTTCTAGACTCTGTGGGTACATGAAGCAGCTCAAAGCTTCAAAGGGATTTTAGTCTGGTTGCAGGAAGAAGAAAATTGAGCAATGGAAATTTTAAGAATAATATAAGAAGATAGTAGGAGAGAGGTAACTCAAAGTGATCTGAGATTTGATGCCACGTGAATGGCACAGAATTCCAGGGTGTGGCCTTCAGCAAACACTGCGGGATGTTCACAGATTATCACAGACTGGTCATATTTGGGAATGCTTTGAGGGGCAGGTTCATTTGACCTGAAGCTGCAAGGCTGAGGGAGGTAGACACAGAAGATATGTTTGTCACAGACTTGGCATTGTGATAATTAGCAAGGTCAGGAGTAGATGACAGGGTGAGAGTTTAACCTTCACCATATAACGTTAACTCCATCTTGGGCTAGCCATGTCCAGCTATTGTAATAAAAAGGGTGTGAAGAGCACTGGTAGGTTCTTCAGGGTGGGGATGGAGTCACAGGCATCTGCACCTTAAGTGGATCTTTTGAGTTCATCTTTAAAGCAGCTATGATCAGTTCAGCCAAGCATAGCCAGATTTTGAAGGGTCATTTCATACCAACCAAATCCTAAAAGTAACTCATGCTCATTACCCAGCATTCTCTCTCTCTCTCTCTTTTTTTTTTTTAGACAAGTCTTGCTCTGTTTCCTAGGAGTGCAGTGGTATGATCTCGGCTGATTGCAACCTCCGCCTCCCAGGTTCAAGCGATTCTCCTGCCTCAGCCTCCTGAGTAGATGGGATTACAGGTGTATGCCACCACACCCAGCTAATTTTTGTATTTTTAGTAGGGACGGGGTTTCACCATGTTGACCAGGCTGGTCTCGAACTTCTGACCTCAAGTGATCCGCCTGCCTCAGCCTCTCAGAGTGCTGGGATTACAGGCGTGGACCACCACATCCCACCCCAGATTTCCTTTTTAATGATTTAATTCTAGTATTAATTTTTAAGAAGCTCCAGATGATATTGATACTACAAGTCAAAAAACCACAGTTTGAGTGGCAAGTTCTAGAGTAGTGGTTCTCAAAGTATGGCTGGTGAACAAGCATCACCTGGGAACTTGCTAGAAATGTAAATTGTCGGTCCCTATTTCACACCCAGGGGCCAGCAACCTGTTTTAACAAGTTCTCCAGCTGGTGCTGATGCACGGTTACGGTGAGAACCGCTGCTCCACAGGAAACTTTCTATCAGTTGGTTTCATTCTCTTAATTTGGGGCTCAGTGCCTCCCTAGGTATTGCTGTGTGAGGAACCACTACTTTCTCTGGCCTTGCTTGCACTCTGTGTCTAGTGCCAGTTCCTCCCTGGACAGCTTCTATGAGAGCAGGCTATGTCCATTTCACATGCTCTTTCAAGGGCCTGCTAGACTGTGGTTGATTATTCAATGAATACAGTAGTTGCCCCTATACTTATCCTGGTACTTTGCACTTTCCAGCAGCATGTGAAATCCAACCTCAGTTCAAAGAGACATAAGGGAATGACAGTAGCAATGTAATAGGCACTGATTTTAAGATAAAGGTATAATTTGTGTATGTTTCCTAGAGGCTTGTGGGAATGTAAGCATTAGGCAATATTGTTTTTATAATGCGTTTTCAGTGACATTTATCTCAAAGCTAAGCTTCATCTGTTATTTTTGATTCACTGTTCTCTGACCACTAGTCCCTTTCTCCTGAGGAAGAGGCATATAAAGACACGTACACATTTTTGCATGTTTCATGAAGTTGGTTCCAAGTAATGAGTAGCCAATAGAAGCTAACATAAAAGTGGGAATTTGGCCAGGTGCAGTGGCTCATGCCTGTAATCCCAGTGTCACACGATCCTTACGGTGTTGCTTTTCCAGCCGGAAACCTCTGTGGCTGGTGGCACCTTTGCCTGAGTTTTGGTCGGGCTGCTGGGCTTGTTCCACCACTTGGCCCTGCACACTGTACTCAGCTTATGCTACTGGCCTGGATCCCATGCCTTCCAAGCACAAGCCAGGCGCAGAGAGGAAAGGGGTGTGTGAGCAAGCATGGGGTCCAGCCACTGCACACAGCCAGGTGTGCCAGCTGTGGCGGGATGGGCAGCTCTAGGCGTTGGCACAGGCACTAGCTCTGTGCGAGGCTGCAGCTGGACCAGGCGTACTGCAAATGGCTTCCACTGCAGTCACCAAGAAACGTGGTGCCTGGAAGCTTGGAAATGCCAGGAACTGCAGAGCCCCAAAGAGAGTGTCACAGTCCTGGCTCAGGGAGCCCCTAGGTCTGGACTCCCCAAAGGGCTGCAGCTCTTCTCTCCTTTTCATCACCTGCAATTTTGCAAATGGTGGGGGCTGGGGGTGTGCTTCAGCACTGTTTGTGTTATAGCTCTTTCAGTCCCACCATTTGGCGGGTCCCAAGCTCTTGTCCCATGTTCAGGAAGAGTGAGATACATGGACAGCTGGAGAGTGAGCAAGGTGGTGAGGAGCTTCATTGAGTGACAGAACAGCTCTCAGGGGACCCAAAGTGGGTAGCTCCATTCTGCAGGCAGGTCATCCTGACGAGTATCCAGCTCTCAGCAGAGAGGAGACCTGTAGTGGGTAGCTCCCTTCTGCTGCAGGCAGGTCATCCCAACGAGTCAAGGAGGCCCAAACTTGGTAGCTCCTTCCTGCAGCTGGTAGTCCTAACGTCTGTGTGAGTCTGACTGAGTCTGGGGTTTTTATGGGCTCAGAAGGGAGGAAGTGTGTGCTGATCGGGTCATGGGCAAGCCTGGAAAAAGCACCATAAGTTCTCACTCTGGGCTGCGTACTCCACCCGGAACTAGCAGACCAGCCTCCGGGCTTCCGGCCATTCCTGGCTTGAAGGTGGGGTTTCACTGGGGACCTGCTCCTTTCCGCCCAGGAAACTGTCTGCCTCCTGCCATCAACGTGCCATCCATGATGTCCAGGTTTTTCATCTTGGGGGGCACTGGCAGGCCCACACTGAGCTGCCCTCAGCCCTCCCAGCCTCCCTCCTGTGCTCATTGATGCCCAAAGTCTGGAGAAGCCCGAGGCGGCAGGGGGCTGGTGTGTCAGCACCACCCTAAGCATGTGCACACCCAGCCAGGTTGCAATAGCACCTGGGCTCAGCCACAACTTTGCTCTGCACTGGAGCAGGTGCTGGGAAGCGGGAAGAGGTCAGGGAGCAGGAAGCAGGCACTTCCAAGCCTGTAGGGGCAAGGGCTTCCTGGGCTCCTGAGAGTGCAGGGATGCCCAGGTCCAGAGCAGCTGCAGCTGTGCCTGGGAGCATGGGGCTCCCACCCTGCCAACTTGGTAGGGGGTGGGGCTCCCACCAGCCTCGCAAAGCACGCAACCCAGACCCTGCCTCCCTGTTGCAGCCGGCATCTTCACAGTGGCTCCTCCAGATGGGCCACCACTGCTATCACCACTTTAGGAGGCGAGTCATGAGGATCACTTGAGCCCAGGAGTTCAAGACCAGCCTGGGCAACATGGCAAAAGCCTGTTTCTACAAAACAAATGCAAATTGTAGCTGGTTGCACTGTTGCATGCTTGTGGTCCCAACTACTTGAGAGACTGAGGCGGGAAGATTGCTGAGTCCAAGAGGTCAGGGCTGCAGTGAACCATGATTGCACTACTGCACTCCAGCCTGGGTAACAGATCGAGACCCTGTCTGAAAGAAGGAAAAAAGGGCCTGATGTGGTGGGTTATGCCCCATAATCTTAGCACTCTGGGAGGCCGAGGCAGGAGGATTGCTTGAGCCCAGGAGTTAAAGACCAGCCTGGGCAACATGGTAAAACTCTGTATCTACAAAATATACAAAATTAACCCAGTATAGTGGCCCACGCCTGTGGTCCCAGCTACTTGGGAGGCTGAGGTGGGAGGTTTGCTTGAACCCAGGTGGGGAGGTTGCAGTGAGCTGAGATCATGCCACTGCACTCCAGCCTGGGTCACAGAACGAGATCCTGTCTCAAAAAAAAAAAAAAAAGAGTGAAGGAAAGAAAGGGGAAATTACTTTCTGGTTGTTAGGGTGCCCTTTTTTTTTTTCTTTTTTTAGACGGAGTCTTGCTCTGTCACCCAGGCTGGAGTGCAGTGGCACCATCTCGGCTCACTGCAACCTCCGCCTCCTGGGTTCACGCCATTCTCCTGCCTCAGCCTCCCGAGTAGCTGGGACTATAGGCGCCTGCCACCATGCCCGGCTAATTTTTTGTATTTTTAGTAGAGACAGGATTTCACCATGTTAGCCAGGATGGTCATGATCTCCTGACCTCGTGATCCGCCTGCCTCAGCCTCCCAAAGTGCTAGGATTACAGGTGTGAGCCACCGCTCCTGTCCTAGGGTGCCACTTATAATCCAAGGTCTGTCAGACATGATAATGCCTCTGGGCCTCAACATGGATGAGAACTATGAAGCGTTTGGAACCTCTTTGTCAGAAGTATGCTGGTAAATGTTTAATAACCAGCCTGGTGGAGGGAAGGGGCAGCGCTGTTTGAGTCCTTTTTCAATTTCCATGGTGTAAATACTCCCACTGTGAGGGGTTTCAAGCTACCAACAGTTTCAGAACTGGCTCAAAATCCCTAAAATTTAACCATCTGCTCTCCAAGCTGGTAGCAGCTGGCTCCAGCAGATTGCTGCATTCTTTCAGTGTTTCTTGCCTCTTCTTCCCTTTGCATAACTACTTTATTCTTTTTTTTCCTGCATGCTGACTTTTGCTAGTCCCATTTGTGTTTAACAATGGCACTAAAACCTAGTCAATTCCAATATTTCAGAACATCTTATAATTCTGGACACATTCCATCAGACCTTCAGCATGTTAAAAATCACAAAAGTCCTTGGCAAAAGGCCAGTGTGAAAATTTGGAAAGGTCTGTAGTTTGTCTTTAGGTTGTTGGTGAATGTGAGGACTCAGGTGATTTAAAAGGAGGTTCAGTCACCATTTGTAGGCGGGAGGAACCTGTGTAATCAGAGTTACTATTTCCTGAACACTGTAGTAAGACATGCTTTGCACATATTATTTCATTTAACTCTCACAGTAACCCAATGAAGTAGGTCTCCTCCCCTTGAGAGTGAGGACACTGGAGCTTAGGAGGGTTGAAGGAGTTGCCCAAGGCCCCAGAGCTAGAAGGTGGCTAAGCCAGGGATCCCAGGGCCTGCTAGCCTCAGAGAGGCCACTCCTCTATGTAGTGGAGCACATTTTACTTCACCTGTCAATGACGCAGGAATTTCGGGACACTGAGAGATGGAGATAAGTCAAAAAGTTTCACACGCTCTTTCCCTGGATCACCTTCACATCCATCACCTGTGTTATCACTCGTCTTAGTCCATTTGGGCTGCTATAACAAACATACCATAGCCTAGGGGGTTGAAACTACACAAATTTATTTTTCACATTCCTAGAGACTGGGAAATCTGAGATCAAGGCACCGGAAGACCCAGTGTCTGGGGAGAGCCTGCTTGCTGGTTTGCAGACGGCCATCTTCCCCCGTATCCTCACATGGCAGAGAACAGAGAAAGAGGACGTGTTCTGGTGTCTCTTCTTTTAAGGGCACTAATCCCATCATGGTGCCTCCACCCCTCATGACCTCATCACCTCCCAAAGGCCCCGTGTACCATACCATCACACTGGGGATGAGGCTTAACATATGAATTTTTGGGGAAACCAGGGGGACAAGCAATCACTTCATAGCATTACCTTCCTGCTTCTAGCCCTCTGGCTGAAGGCAGGGAATTTCCAATTTCCAAAAGGTCCTGACCTCAGAAGGGCCTGGCAGACTGCTTGATTGTGGGGAGGAGGGAAGATTATTTGCACCTGAGTCCTATAAGAATACTAGGCCCACCTTTCTAAGGGGGCTGTGTTGCCTATTTTTATTACTTTTCCCAAGTCAGTGATTATATATCCATGGCAAATCTAGTTTTACCTGATTTGAGATAGAAAAGGACAGGGATCTCCTAATCCATGGAGGCACAGATGTTGAAAAGATAAGCAGAGTTTCTAAACAAACGGGCTTTAAGCAGGAGAAGTACAGGTGTGACCCATCTTTCTCAGTGAGATGTGTTAACTTTTCAGGAACGGGCAGGGTGAGCTTGACATACCTGTGAGAAGGTCATGGGCTCCCAGGGAAAGATTTTCCTATAAAACTAGGAATTGAATTCAGGAGCATCTAATTCCCAGGCCCAGAGCAAGCTGGACAAAGCACACACTTTGGAAGAATTCGAACTGCACAGAAGATAGATGTTACAGTGGAACTCTAACCTTGGCCCATTGAGTTTCTTCCCCTTCCCTGTCCTGGTCCTGCCCAGGCAGAGGGGTAGCAGCCAAAGTGAAATTAGGCATGGGGCCAGAGAGCACTGCCCTCTTCTGGAATCACATGAATCTGCCGCATGTAGGAGGTGAGACTGTTGGGAATGGCTTTAACATTGGCCTCTGGATGCCATGTGACTTGTGGCCCCAGGTCTCTCTGGCATCTCTTCTGCACCCAGTGACATGGGATTCATCTGCATTTCTCAGTTGCAGAGGGCAAGGGTGTAACCCTGGTGTTATTCACGGCCCATGTACTATGGAGCAGTTGGCCCTGTCCTCATGGCATGGTAGGAAGACCAGGTGGGAATAATCAGGTGGGACAAAGGGGTATCTCTGACCCATGGTCCTGGCACAAGGGATAGGAGGGTGAAATCAGAATTAGGTCTGTGGATAGTGCTGAGGTCCTGTTGCCAACTCTGCCAGAGGACATCAAAGTCAGCATGGGAGGGCAAGTGCAAGTCTAGGGCCTCAGTGTGGAATGCAAACAGGCAGAACATCAGAAGAGTACACTGGAAATCAAAAAAGATAAGTCACAAGCTCCGAAGACAGGGCTGTTACAGCTGGCTGTGTATTCACATGCTCCCAGCACATGTTTGCACGGGCAAGTTGGGGCCCTGCAAAGGCCCTGGGAACAGGATTCTGCCTGGAATGTCTGTATGAGGCATTGTGACCAGGGGGCTACCAGGGACCTGTGGAAGGGAGGAAGGAGGCCTTCGAGTGTGTACAACGTGGGGTTCTGAGAGGCACTCACAGCACCTTTGTTTGTTCCGGAGCCTCAAGGTAAGATGAGTGCCTGCTTCTGTTCCTTCTCTTTGGAGAAGATGACATTGACCAAAGGAAAAGTCAGCTGAATTCAGTCTTCTAGTGGGTTTGTTCTTTTATCCCTCTCCTAAGGTTTTAGGGTTCAGCTTTGTAAATCACTGCCTTGTAACCGAGTCTTGCTACATAAGCTTAAAATGAGAAATGTCAAATGAATTGTCATGTAATTATTTGACTATAAACATAAGCCTGTTATAATAATCAGCCTATAGATTAGTTGTATTAGCTTTTCTTCTCCCTGGCAGCACAGTGAAATATCCCTTTAGGAAGCATCAAATTAGATAAATTTGAATAGTTTTTACTTCTCAAGTTGAAAATTCACCAAGAACTGGCTTGTACCACCATTGTAGTAGCACCATTGCCCAGGTTCTAAGACTCCTGTGTTCCTGCCACCTGAATTATAATTTGAATGAACAGATGAATATGGACACTTCCTGAGTACATGGCATGTACCATCCTCTTTCATAACAGCCAGAGAGGGAGGTAGTATTGTTTTCAATCTGCAGATGAGAAAAATCAAGGTTTGGAAAGGTCACATTACTTAAGATCTTAATGCCAGTGAGTAGCAGAGCCATAGCTAGAAGCTGGGTCCATTTATCTCTGAGTCATATGTTTCTCTGCCACAGTGTTCTACCTCCAGAAATTTACTGACCACTTTCCTGGTCACAAGCACTAGCACTGCATATTTTCATGGATGTTATCTCATAAACCTACTCTTACAACAACTAAATGATGTGGGCGTTCATTTTATAGATGACATAAAACTGAAGTTCAAAATATATAACCTGCCCAAGGTCACACAGAGGGCAGTACTGTGCAAGAGAAAATGAGGAAGAAGCAAATGCGGGAGCCCCTGATAAACTCATCAGATCTTGTGAGTCTTATTCACTATCACGAGAATAGCACAGGAAAGACCGGACCCCCTGATTCAGTTACCTCCTTTTGGGTCCCTCCCACAACAAGTGAGAATTCTGGGAGATGTAATTTGAGATTTGGGTGGGGACACAGCCAAACCATATCAGTGCCCTCTTTAAAGGGTTTATTAATTGGAAAGGCTAGGGGGAGATGGATGTCTCACTTCAAAGGGAATACATATTCTTTTGATGACTGAAGCTGTAAGCCATACCAATAGACGTAGGCTGATAGGCAGGAGGAGAAATATGTAGAAAAGGCTGATTATGTCCCAACCAGCTGCCCATTCCTAATAAGGTCTCTGAGACAGAGACAGGACAACGTCCTCTCTGGACACAGGATAATGTCTGGCATTTGAACACTTTTAATAAGTAAGCAAAATACCTGGTGTAGAATAATAGAGATCAAGGCCAGACTTGGCCTTGGTTTCCTTTTGCCCAGGTTAGAGTCAGGAGGGAGTACATGCCACAGAGGGGTGGTTTTGTAAGGGCTAGAGCTGAGGTGGCCAGCTCTGTGGGAGACACAGTCAGAAGAGGGGAAGACACACAGGTGCCTTCCAAGAGGGAGAAGACACTGGGTTCCTGACTCTCCTGTGTCGAAGGGAAATGACCAAAGACAGAAAACACCCCTATGATTTTTTCTTTCTTTCTTTCTTTCTTTTTTTTTTTTTTTTTTGAGACAGGGTCTCACTCTGATGCCCAGACTGGAGTGTGGTGGCATGATCATGGCTCACTGCAGCCTCGACCTGCTTGGCTTAAGCGATCGTACCACCTCAGCCTTCCAAGTAGCTGAGACTGCCAGTGTGTCCCGCCATGCCTGGCTAATTAAAAAAATTTTTTTTTGAGGAAGAGGTCTCGCTATGTTGCCCAGGCTGGTCTTGAACTCCTGAGCTCAAGCAATCCTGCCACTCCCAAAGTGCTAGGATTATAGGCATGAACCACTGCACCTGGCCACCCCATATGGTTTTTTAAGCAAACATGTGAGAAGTGTGTTCTGGGATACAGTGCAGTTAATCAGTTTGCTTATTGTTCTGCAGACTTAACATGTTTACACATGTTGGCATGCTTCATAACTCGGCCTTGCCCAGTCTTTG
The DNA here is from genome assembly GCF_000001405.40 of Homo sapiens. Classification (NCBI taxonomy): domain Eukaryota; kingdom Metazoa; phylum Chordata; class Mammalia; order Primates; family Hominidae; genus Homo; species Homo sapiens. Next base: position 29,944,244 of record NC_000007.14, on the reverse strand, counting down.
GTTACTCTAGTAACAATCCTGTGGTATGAAATGACTGAAGTATGGTTCTGGTTTCCTTCCTGCAGGCTTGGTTTAGAAAGAGGGGAAACAGCTAAAGAAGCCTTAGATGTCATTGTCTCCTTGTTGGAAGAACATGGACAAGGTGGGAATTACTTTGAAGATGCAAACTCCTGCCACAGCTTCCAAAGTGCATATCTGATTGTGGATCGTGATGAAGCCTGGGTGCTCGAGACCATAGGGAAGTACTGGGCTGCCGAGAAAGTCACAGGTGAGTGGGTGTGGATGATGGAGAGTTCTGAGGACAGGGAAGGCCACAGAGATGGGGTGGCCTGCACGTACAGTGTCAGACCTGGAAGAAAGACGTGCCGTTGCAGGTCCTCTCTGTGTGGGACTGTCATGCTTTGGCATGCCTCTCATTTCTGGGAACCTCCAAGAAGAGAACCTGGAGTCTCCTGAACCTGGAGTGAAGCAGTCTCTTAACATTTCGTATTTTCTGTTTGCTTTCTGGGAAGAACCTGCTTTTGACTACCAGGAATTCCATGACTTAAACCATTACTCTATTAATTGGCCAAGAGAATGGTGACTCTTCTTGTGTAATAGGTCAACAAGTCCCTTCACTGGACAGTAGCTCCTTGTCACCCCCAACCCTGTAGATCTTTGTGCTTGGCATGTTCCTCTAAAATAGGAGTTTAGATCTGTGTGAGGACCGGTATACGCCACTCTGGGATTTCTTTGTGAGTGAAGTTCATTTATCTCACAGTGAGACAGTGTTTCTAGAAGAGCAGAGGACTAGATGATCCACCCAGAAGAATTTAGTGCCCATAAATTTGCTGCTCTGTGGCCCGTGCAGCATCTTGCTTCTAACACAGCCCTGGGGAAGTAAGTGTTAGGGGTGGGAGTGGTAGTTTTGTATCCCCACCTCAGCATCCTCATTTCTGGACAGGATGAGATCCCAGAATGGGTTAAAGGGCTTCGAAGAGAACTAAGTAGTCCTAAGAGGGAATTTTGGCCCGAGCAGCTCCTTGGGACTGGGTGGTGACCATGTGATGTGTGCACTGCCATTCTTCCCTCCTGTGCTAATGGTGGAGTAGTAGGTCACGACACTTCTCTTTCGTTGAACCTATTCTTGGCCTATGTATTTTTCTTAACTAAATTTACCAGGAAGTCTCTTCCAAGTAATCCAAAATGATGTTGGGGATGAAACTTGTGTGCCGTCCCTATCTTAGGGGTGAATTGAACCAAATTTGACCCGAGTTAGAAGCGGAAGATCTACCACAGTAGATGGGAATCAAGCCTGTTTTCTGTGCACAAAGTTAGTCCAGTGATCAGGGCTTCTCTGGATGATGGGTACGTTGTACTCTATACAAAATTGCCCCAGTGAGGCAGTGAAATCTAGACTGTGGCTTCCTGGCCAAGCTGTATGAAGGCTGTGTCTGTCTGGAGGAGGGGGTGGCCTCTTTCTATCTCAAAAGGGTGTAGAATGGGCTAGTGGTGTCCGTCAGCAATCACGGAGAGTTTCTCCACCTCATATGCCCAGCATGTACCCACCTACCAGTGTGTGTGCCTACTTGCCCAGCTCTTACAGTAGTTCTAGAACTAAGACAGCCAGTGCAGCCCACCAGGTCTCCAACTCTCCTACAATGCAGGAACTTAAAACTCCTTGATAAAAACCCCTCCTAAGATGAAGTCTTACTATTGAATGCTTCCATCAAGAGTGCTAGTAATCCATGCTTCAAAGCAGTCATATTGCTTTTAAGTTGAACCTAACACTTTTTGATCTATGACTGCGTTTCAAAAGCTGAGCGTCTCTTCAAAATGTAGCTTAAAAAATTACACAAAATGAATGCTTCCATTAGTTAACTAAATATTTAAATAAAAAAGAACCCCAGCCATTTCTTGGACTTACTGATTTCATGTCGTCTGATCCCAGCAGCGGTGTGATGGATTGCAGTAAGATTTAATGCACTCCGTCTCCCAAAGGCTAACATTCTTAAAAGCAAATGTCTACTATAAATCTGCCCACTGGGAAACTAATATCTGTAGAGTTGCTTACAAGAGTATTTTTTAAAATAACTTAGTAGGAATGATGTCAAAATCACTTGTTTAGGCCAAAACTGGTTTTTATTTTTAATTGTTTATAATTGTACTTTTATGGTCCTCTCTGAAAAGATAAATGACAAAGGACCAATGCCTACCAGCCAGGAATGCTTATTTCAGAAGTGTAAATCAGTGAAGCAAAACATACTGAAAGAACTTAGTCCAGCACTGATCCTGCCTCTAGGAACTGGTTTTCAGGCAATGATGGCTTTCCTGTAGCTTGTAGTTTATGTTCTTTATGTCACTTCATTCTCCAAGAATCCCTGGAAGCAGCAAATAGGAATGGCCCTTTTAAGCTAGCACTGATAACTTCCTAGTGTTTGTGCCCTAGACAGCATCTTGAAGCTGGAAGGCTGAGTTGTCCTGTGTGCATTTGCAGCTCAGGCTTCGAAGAAGACATAGCAAGCCAGCCAGCTGGTAGGAGAGTTTCTGGTCTAAGCCCTCATTCATCAAAGTGAAATGTACTCAGAATGCAGGCATTTCTAATTCTAGATTTATTTAGTCACACTTCTATTTTTATAAGAAAAAATTTCCCATAGATTTTTCAAACACATACACACACGCATGCACACACTTTATCTCACACACTCACACGCATGTGTGCACACACACATACCCAGACATATGTATATTCATGAATATATTCAATTATTTTAAAACAATTTGTTGTCATTGCCACTATGATTTTCTAAATGTTGAGACCTGAAAAAAAAGTTGAATGAAGTATTTGATTTGTATTTTTTAAAAAAAACCATATAGATTTGGCCAAGGAGTAGGGGTGTAAAGTGTTTTTCCAGGTGAAAAGAAATCAGACCAGGGAGGGGGCTTTCTATAGATGCGATAGAGCATTGCTGTAGAGGAACAGCATCTCTATTATAGAGGACTCCCTTGTGGATTGCTAAGTCTTGTTAGCTCAGTACCTCTTTCAAAGGACCTGTCCCTTTTTTTGCATGTAACTAATGAATGCTTGGGGCTTATTTAGCCAAAATGAAGAGCCTTACATATTTCCTGTTGATTATGCTTTTAAGATGGGTTAAGTGACTGTTGCTCATTTAAAATGTGATAATGCCCAGTCAAGACTGGTCAGACCTTTTAGGAGGTCTCCTAGAAAGAGACTCAATGATTGTCTGTTTCTCTCTTCAAAAATTAAATGGATTCCTCCCTGTAGTTAAAGTCAGTGTTTCAGGAAAAGGATTCCCTATACATTTCCATTTGTTGATTAAGTCTTTATAAGTATATTTTTAACTTATGGGGCTTTGCACTCTCTGCAGAGGGAGTGAGGTGCATTTGCAGTCAGCTTTCGCTCACCACTAAGATGGATGCAGAGCATCCGGAACTCAGGAGTTACGCTCAGAGCCAAGGTTGGTGGACGGGAGAGGGCGAGTTCAATTTTTCCGAAGTCTTTTCTCCAGTTGAGGATCATCTAGACTGCGGTGCTGGCAAAGACAGCTTAGAAAAACAAGAAGGTGAGTTAGTCTCTCCCTCACGATTCTCCTTCTCATACCCTTTCTCTTGCAGCTGTTTCTGAGAACTTGTCTGAACTTAGAAGGGTGAACAAAAAGGAATACAGAATAGTCCTTGTATGTAAAGACCAACTTCTGCTAAAAGTCCCTGATGTGCAGGCAAGAAAACAACTTGTATTTATTTTTACATGGTGCTTCCTCATCCCTGGAGGTTTCCTGCTCCTACCCATGTTATTCTCCTTTAATCTCTGATGTCATTGTGTTGCCTTTTGTAATGCTTACTGCAGCCATCCTCATACATCAGTAATTATATATTTGACTCATCTTTCCCTGCCCCGCTAGCCTGCTGGGACTTGAGGGCAGAGGTGTTGTCTCTTACTCATCTTAGGGTCCCTTTTTGATGCCTGTATAATTTTTTGTTCCATGGATACTTGATGAGTTGAATTCTTGCCACTCCGTCTGCCAACTAGTTACTAACTTATTTTATTTATTTATTTATTTATTTGTTTGTTTGTTTGTTTATTGAGACAGGATGTCACTCTGTTGTCTACACTCAAGTGTGTTGGCACAGTCTCGGCTCACTGCAGCTTCCACCTCCTGAACTCAAGCGATCCTCCCTCAGCTGCACCCCTGCTGCCATCCCAACAGCTGGGACTACAAACATATGCCACCATTTCTGGCTAATTTTTTTTTTTTTTGTAGAGACAGGGTCTCATTTTGTTGCCCAGGCTGGTCTGACACTCCTGGGCTCAAGAGATTTGCCCGCCTTGGCCTCCCAAAGTGCTGGGATTACAGGCCTAAGCCACCGCACCCAGCCCCTAGTTATTAACTTAAATCAGAATCCATGTTTAGGTATATGTGGCGACTAGATAGCTTCTTACTTTTGTGCCTATGTGGAAATCCTTCCAGAAAACCCACAACAGTCATTCTATATTTGTTGGTGATGCATGTATTTTATAAGGCGAAGTTTTGGATCATTTAGGACAGGGGTCTGCAAACTATGACCTTTTGGCAGCTGCCTGTTTTAAAAACAAAATTTTATTGGACTGTAGCCACACCCATTTATTTATATATTGTTTGGGGCTGCTTTCTCACTATAATGGCAGAGTTGAGCAGGTGCAACAGGAAAGTTTCAACGGAAATTCTATGGCCCATAAACCTAAAATATTTACTGTCAGGCCAGGTGCATGCTTGTAATCACAGTACTTTGGGGAGGCTGAGGCAGAGGATCACTTGAGGCTAGGAGTTCAGTTTAAGACCAGCCTGGGTAACTTAGCAAGACCTCATCTCTCCAAAGAAATAAAATTAGCCAGATGTGGTGATGTGGGCCTATAGTTCCAGCTCTTCAGGGGCTGAGGTGGGAAGATTTTTTAAGCCCAGGAGTTCAAGGCTGCGGTGAGGTATGATTGCACCACCTCACTCCAGCCTGGGTGACAGAGTGAGACCCTGTCTCTTTTTAAAAAAAACAAAAAAGAAGGAAAATGCTTCCTGACTCTTAATCTAGAACACTTTAGGACTTTTGCTATAGCACTTATGTAATATATTCTGGGTAGGAAGGTAAGAAAATACTCACTTTTAAACAGGAGCTTTTAAAAAATCAAAATTTTTTTAATTAAAAAAAAACTAGCTTGGTGAAAGATATTAAATAATGTTGCCAAAACATCAACTCTAAATCTGATAAAGCCTTTAGGTCTAGCTACTAATTTACAGAAAATACAGAGGATAGAGGAACAAATACGCTGTTTAATATAATAATTGCCGAGACCAGCTTGGTTGGGGAGACCCTAACCCAGTGGCGCTAGAGGAATGAAAGACACACACACAGAAGTGTAGAGGTGTGGAGTGGGAAATCAGGGGTCTCACAGCCTTCAGAGATGAGAGCCTTGAACATAGATTTACCCATGTATTTATTGACAGCAAGCCAGTGATAAGCATTGTTTCTATAGGTTATAGATTAACTAAAAGTATTCCTTATGGGAAACAAAGGGATGGGCCGAAATAAAGGGATGGGTCTGGCTAGTTATCTGCAGCAGGAGCATGTCCTTAAGACACAGATTGCTCATGCTATTGTTTGTGGTTTAAGAAAGCCTTTAAGCGGTTTTCCGCCCTGGGTGGGCCAGGTGTTCCTTGCCCTGATTCCGTTAACCCCACAACCTTCCAGCGTGGGCATCATGGCCATCATGAACATGTCACAGTGCTGCAGAGATTTTGCTTATGGCCAGTTTTGGGGCCAGTTTATGGCCAGATTTCAGGGGCCCTGTTCCCAACAAATAATGCCATGAGGATGCCATCTGCAAAGCTTACACTGTGCGAAACTACAGGAAAGATGACTCTGACAACTAAGATGCAAGCTGAGTGGGTGCGGTGGCTCATGCCCGCACTCCCAGCACTTTGGGAGGCCCATGGAGGGTGGATCACTTGAGGCCAGGAGTTCAAGAGCAGCCTGGGCAACATGGTGAAACCCCATCTCTACCAAAAAAATACAAAAATTAACTGGGCGTGGTGGTGCATGCCTGTAGTCCCAGCTACCAGGGAGGCTGAGGTGGGCGAATCACTTGAATCTGGGAGGCGGAGGATGCAGTGAGCCAAGATTGCGCCACTGCACTCCTGCCTGGGGGACAGAACGAGACTCCATCTCAAAAAAAAAAGATGCAAGGGGAAAAAACAAGAGGCAGAGACGTTTCCAATTCTGATTGGTTCCAATTCAAATCAATAGGCTCATTTATAAGACAATGAGGAAATCTGAACATTGGACAGTTGAAGCAAGCAAGGATTTGTTGTTAATATTTCTAGGTATGACATGTAAGTAGAGATTTACAAAGAGGATGTGAATGTGCCAACAAACCTCTCCGTGTGATGCTTCAATTCCATCATGGTGAACACAGACTGAAATAGTGTTTTAACAAATTATAACCCAGGGGAAGATGTAGAAATGGGATCTCATGTAATCAAGGATTTGTTTATCCATTTATCTGTGGTCACCGCCAACAGTCCTAATGGCTCTGAATATTCTAAATGCCTCTCTGTGCATATATTTCCCACCGCAGAGAGGACATTCTCCAAATAGAGTATTGACTCTGACCAGCAAGAGTTTATGGGAGCGAGTTTGGTGGACTGTGCGTAGTAGATTGTATGTACTTTCTTGTGGATATCTATTGAGTTATTGTACTGGTTGAGGTACAGCTAAATGCTGTAACAAAGACACCCCAAATTAACGTAGCTTAAAAAAAATAGTAGGTTATTTCTCTCCCATGTTATAGTTCAGGTATATACGGCCAGTCCAGGGCTGGTTACTGTGACTCAACACAGGAATTCCATTTGTGGTCCGCTTGTTTGCATCTCCTAGTTGGCAGGAAGGGAGAAAATAAAAACAAAAGGCAAACATACCTTGTTTATAGATGTGATGAGGAATTGCACACATTGTTTCTGCTTACCTCCTGTTGATCAACATTTATCACATGGCCACACATAGTCACAAGGGAAGTGGGGAAATAGACTGTAGTTTGGTAGTTACAGTCCCAGATGTAATTTCAGAGTTTTTATTACTAAAAAGAGAATGCAGTGAATGGATTTTAGTTAGTGGCCCGCCACGCCACAGTTTTGTGTTATAGCTACTCTTTTTTGTTTGTTTGTTTTTTTGAGACAGAGTCTCGCTCTGTCGCCCAGGCTGGAGTGCAGTGACGCGATCTCAGCTCACTGCAAACTCTGCCTCCCGGGTTCACACCATTCTCCTGCCTCAGCCTCCCAAGTAGCTGGGACTACAGGCGCCTGCCACCACCCCTGGCTTTTTTTTTGTATTTTTAGTACAGACGGGGTTTCACCGTGTTATGCAGGATGGTCGCGATCTCCTGACCTCGTGATCCGCCCGCCTCGGCCTCCCAAAGTGCTGGGATTACAGGCGTGAGCCACCGCGCCCGGCCTATATCTACTCTTTCCATTTGTCTGTCTTTTGTGTTTTTGCAGAAAGCATCACAGTGCAGACTATGATGAACACCTTACGGGACAAAGCCAGCGGAGTGTGCATAGACTCTGAGTTTTTCCTCACCACAGCCAGTGGAGTGTCTGTCCTGCCGCAGAATAGAAGCTCTCCGTGCATTCACTACTTCACTGGAACCCCTGATCCTTCCAGGTTTGTCCGAGGCCTGGTCACGTAGGCAGAACATAAGTGCTTCCCTTGAAAGCTCATTCAGCAAGTGCGTAGTAAGCGCCTGACCATGTCCTCCCCTTGGATAGCAAAGTCACGTTTTTCAGTCAGCTTCAGTGTGGGCAGTGTAGCACCAAGGGCTTTGATTAAGTGAATTCCTTGGTTTTAGTCACATAGTATTTATGACAGTCAGGGAATCTAGTAGTTCTTTTAAATTTATTAGGTTGGTGCGAAAGTAATTGTGGTCCTTACCGTTACTTTTGCACCAACCTAATACCAAATATTTACTCAGTATATATCATGGGCCAAGCATTGTGTGGTACATGAGGGATACAGAAATGAACAAAACACAGCGAGACAGAGAGATGTGGGAATGCTCATGATTTATCAAAACAACCAGTTCCTGTGAGTTAGAGAATAAAACAGTTCGGAGGCAATACAGATTGAAGCAACTTCAAGTGTACTGGCCCCTTCTTTAAGACATTGTGTTTTAGGGGGTTGCTTTCTGCCCATGTGCTTCAGCAAAAAGGCAGCATTACACAGGGATGAAGAATGCAGCCTCTAAAATGACCTGCCAGGATTGTGAATCCGACCTTTGCCACATAGTAGCTGAATAAGTTATTTCACCTCTCTAAGCTTCAGTTTCTGTGTTTGTACAATGGGGATAATATCAGCCCCTACCTTTACATGCTTGTTGGGAGGATTAAATGAGATAATCCAAGTCAATACATAGTAGATTTAACGATTATTTATGAAGACGATCTCTGATCTCCCAGGCAGACAGCAGCCCCTCTCCCCAGGAACATTCTGTCATGTATATCAGGAATCATATCATCAGTAGCTTAGAACCAGCCATCCAGTGGTTTCTAAACCTGTTCATTGCTAGAATCACTTGGAGGAGTTTTCAAAAAATACAGATTCCTTGACTGAAACCTATTGTATCAGAATCTTTGAGGTGGACCTAGGAATCTGTCAGGTAAGTCTGATCCTCAGCCTAGAAGGCTCTAGAAGCCTGCCCATTCCAGTAGGTTCTCTGGTGTTTTTTTGGGTGTTCCATTGGCTGAACATCATTATCAGTGTCTGAAAGTCAGCTTGTTAAACTTTGAATCTGCTTCCAAGGTATTTGCTGGTATTAAATTTCATTCCTTTTGCAGCTGAAAATATTTATTCTCCTTTTACTGTTTCAGGAATATAAGACAGTGATTGCATCTAGCTAGGGACTGGTTCTTAGATGACTCAGGGGAAAAGTGAAGCACCTCTTGTGACCCTTTGGCCTCATTTTTTAAACTACTGCCAATATCAATAGATGTTTCTAACCAGACCTGACTGCGGAACTCAGTATTAGCTGTTCTTAGTTTTTCATTCACTCGTTCATTCAACAAACACTAAGCACCTACTGTGTACCAAATATTGTGTCTGTTGTGTACCATGGATGAAGTGTGTACAAGGAAAGTGGTGGCACAAATGAGATGATGAAGGGGAAAACTTCACAGAGGAAGGAGCTCTTGAGCACTGGGCATTGTGAGAAGAATAGGGGTTCTTTAGGTAAAAAGCAGGAACAACAGTCTGGGTGGAGAGGACGGCACATGCAAAAGGCAGAGAGTCATGAAACCACATGACCACGGGCTAGAGCCGTGCATCCTCCTGTAGGTGATGCTGGTCACTAGGTGACTATTGCTCCTCTACCCCCAGCCCCTCTGTGAAACAAGCCCACCACCCTCCCGTGGCACCCGTCAGCCTTTATCTGTGAGCCTCAACTGCTCTACGCCGCTCCTGGCAGCCTCTCAGGAGGCTCCTCCTGTTTGAGTCCAGTTGCTATTCCCTTGATTTTCTCTCCCAGTTCTGAATGTTTGGCTCCATGGCCATACCTTCTACCCACTTTTTGTCCCACCAGATTTGGGGCTCCGTCTTCCCTTTGTGTCTGGGCCTCCCTCCTCCTGGACTGTGACCTAGTTTGCTCCCCTAATGCTGGTGGCTCAATAGCCCCTTGTGAGGACCCTGCTGGATGACAGGGGTACATATGGACATTTGGAGTTCTATTTTCAAGTGTCTGGAATGCTCTGCGAAGTATTTGGGCATGGCTTTTTAGGGAACAGGACCCTTCCAAAGAGTGAGTTGAGCTGAACCAACTCCTGTTGTCCCTGATGTCTCAGATACCAGCTCTAACTGTGCTCAGGAGACAGGGCCTTGTGAGCCCAGGACACCAACGTAAAGGAACTCCACTTCCTAGGCTGAAGGACATGGCCTAATCCAGTTATAAAAATGGCTGGGCAATAGCCTTCTGATAGTTAAAATAAAAAATTTTAAGTACTTTTAAAAGAAAATTATTCATGGTTAAATTAATTTTAAAAACCTTGTATTATAGAAGATTAAGACCCTTCTGGAAGACATTCGTTGTTATCTTCCATGGTAAAAGAGCTGCATTTCCTACCATGACTGTAGAACTTTCATAGGTTGTTATTCTTTCTATTCAACATTTCAGTTGTTTCTCTGTAATTGTGCTTGCTCGACTTACTGTCTTTTGTCAGCAAGAAACATAATTACCTTTTGTTAGGTTTTTAGGCAAGAAAGTTAGGGAGATTTTGGCTTCTGTTAATGCTAAAAATGTTAGAAATTGTTTCATAGTAGCAGACTTGGAAAAGAACAGCACTTTAGTCTTTATCCCTCCCAGTTAATGTTAAAACCAAAAAACGTGATCTTACCGTTGTTCTGCCTGCCTGGACACTTGTCTGTCCTTTTCTCACTGTATTAATTATAGATCTTGTCCTTGAAATAACTTGCGCTCACATCCTCTTTTCTACTCCCTCCCTCCCTCCTCCTACTATGTGCTAGGTAGTATGTAAGGTTGAGAAGTGGAAGGAGATGCTAAAGTCAGAGTTTGAATGCCTGAGGGAGATGCAGAAGTTCTTCACTTAATTATATTGAGAAGGCAAATTCCATCACATCAACATGTGTGCCACAGTCATTCAAAGAGTGACACTGATTGGCTTTAGTATACTGGTTCTGACTTTTGGAAACCATTTCCTAGGAAGCCAGCACTTGTTAAAGCTTCATTGATGTGAAGAATTGGAGAGGGGAGGAGTAGAGAGGTACCTTAGCATTGTGAGAGTGTAAAATTCGGAGTCTTACAGTGTGCTGGAGCCACGGAAAGCTGATTGTGAAGAGAGCCTCTCTTCCCAACTCCACATTTGGTGATGTCATTGGCCCCTTGAAATGGGCCACAGTGGGGGTATTTACACTACAGAAATTGGCAAATGCCATAAAACTGAGCTATTTTTTTCAGAGATATAGTTGTTAGACCAGTAAACCACTGAGAGGTCCCCACATGCAGGAAAATACACAAATAAATACTCAAGATACAGGCCAGGTGCGGCCGCTCACGCCTGTAATCCCAGCACTTTGGGAGGTCAAGGTGGGTGGATTGCTTGAGGTCAGGAGTTCCAGACCAGCCTGGCCAACATGGCGAAACCCTGTCTCTACTAAAAAAAATACAAAAATTAGCCAGGCGTGGTGGTGCACGCCTGTAATCCCAGGTACTCTGGAGGCTGAGGCAGGAGAATCACTTGAACCTGGGAGGCAAAGGTTGCAGTGAGCTGAGATTGAGCCACTGCACTCCAGCCTGCATGACAGAGTGAGACTCTGTCTCAAAAAATAAAATAAAATAAAATAAATAAGATACAGGATGGGTAAACCAGAAGGGGGAGAAAATGTAGAAGTTCTAGGAAAATAGGGTGTCTGAGCTACTTTAAGTAGTGGCAGGGTGCTGGAGAGATGCCAGGGACATTCCCCTCTACCCCACCTCCTTATTTGTATGTCTGTGTGTCTTTTGTTTCCTCCTCTTCTCCTCTCAGTGTACTAATCTTTTTTTTTTTTTTTTTTTTTTTTTTTTGAGATGGAATCTCACTCTGTTACCTAGGCTGGAGTGCAGTGGCGTGATCTCGGCTCACTGCAACCTCCACCTCCTGGGTTCAAACGATTCTCCTTCCTCAGCCTCCTGAGTAGCTGGGACTACAGGCACGTGCCACCACACCCGGCTAATTTTTTATTTTTAGTAGAGACGGGGTTTCACCATGTTGGCCAGGCTGGTCTCGAAGTCCTGACCTCAGGTGATCTGCCTGCCTCCGCCTCCCAAAGTGCTGGGCCAGTATACTAATCTTGAGAAGTTAAATTGGCTTGGGCAAGATATTACCATCTAGATAATTCAAATGTCAGAAACAGCTTTTTGTTACTGGAGCAAACATCATGAGCCTTGGTCAGCATGACTCATGCAGCCTTTGGAGCCACGTGGGGCACAGCCTGCACAGATAGACAGAGCCGAAGGCCCTAGGCAACATGGTGCCTACCCCTCCAATTCCATTCTGAATTCTTCCAACACCAGCTGTCTCCTCTCTCTGTCCTACACATCTGACTTTTCAAAACCCCCCAGAGCCGCCATCCTTAAGGCTGTTCGGTGCTTCAAAAGTACTGGCTCTCTTTCCCTTTAAAATGGAAACTCCCTTCATGGATTAGTTCTGCTCTCAGCCAGGTATGACTTTAAAAGTTTTTTTTTGTTTGTTTTAATTTTTGTGGGTACATAAAAGGTGTATATGTTTATGGGAGCCAGGTGTGACTTTGACTCTATGATTAAAGTGGCTCACAGTAAAGCTGGAATAAACATAGATGAACCACTCTGAGGGGCGCCTGCGTTTTTGAGAGAAACTTGGTATTGCAGGTTTATTTGAGATTGGTTCAAATTTGAGCAGCTTCCTCTGAACAGGGATTTATGTATTGTTCTTTCTGTGCTAACTCTCCTCAGTAGATTTGCCAGGAACTCCAGGTCACAGGAGCAGCCTGGTTTGTTGCTTGGAGAGTTTCTGCATCTTCAGTAAGAGCAGAGCCATGTTTGAGGACAACACTGTTGGCTAGCCAGTGATATTAAATTCTAAATTCTAAAGCATAAAAAGTATTTTATTTTTCTGCAGCAGTATAAGGTGTATGGAAAAACTAACAGAAGAATATAAGAGTGAGAGGTAGTGGGGAAAACTGACCTTGCATTTAGATCTGAATTTACTTCTAGATCTGCCACTTAGTAGGAATGTGATTTTGGACAAAGCACTTAGCTTCTGTGAGCCTCAGTCATCTCATATGTAAAATGGGACAGAAATGTTTGCCCTTCTTTGTTCACTGCTGTATCCCTAGTACCTAGAACAGCATCTGGTACTCAGCCAGGGCTCAACACATATTTGCTCAATGAATGAATGAATAAGAGTACCATGAGAATTGAATGCAGATGCTTTGAGAATTATGCTGTGCTATGAAATGTTAGAGATTTTCATGGTAATGTTGCTGTTCTTCCAAAATGAGAAAACAAATGATTGGAAAATAGTTTTTTTTGCATTGGCATGCTGCATCCCTCACAAGGCTTTAGAGGGAAAAATGGACAGATGAGGTAATGGTATATCCAGTGGAGTATGTTTCTTGGCTGTGCCTCAAATTGTCACTCAAGGCTAAAATTCTGCAGATCTCTGCAATGGAGTTTGGATGCCCACGCTGTGCGTCGTGTCATGGGACTGTGTGTCTCAGCCCTTGGATTTGTCTTCGTGAGAGCTGGATGCTGAGGGAGGCTTCCTTTAGTGTTGCTCATGGTCTCATTGATTTAACTGTCCCTCACAAGGTCCCTTTAAAGTAGCTCGGCCAGCTTTGAACCTCCTCATGAACTGGCTGCTGGGCTGTGCCTTGCCATTGGAAGCACTTTGTGCTTTTGGGCCCATCGTCTTGTATTCCTGTCACACCACACCACAGAAGTCTGAGTGACTGGGGCAAATTCCCAACCCAGGGTTTGGTGACTTTTCTGAAGGTTGGTCTGAGAGTCAGCCCTGAGGACAGAGGCAGAATCAGCCTTCTGGAACCTTCTCAGGTGTGTTCTGCATCCAAGCCATCCACGGGACACTCGGGGGCGTCCCATGCATGTGATGAAATGGGCCTCATCCTGGTCAGGTGGGCTGGACACGGTTGGGTGTATCTGCTAATTGTAGGTGGTGGAGACAGTTGGGTGTGTCTGTTAATGGGCTTATGTTCATTCAAGTAGCATTTAAGAAGCTACCGTCTGTGGCTTACCTGTGGGAAAATGTCAGAGTATCTCCTTATCTATTTGGAATTCTAAATGTGATTTTCTGTAAAGATTGATAAGAAATCAAAATGTTTGGGAACCACTGAGTTACCCCCATTCCCCTTTTCTGGGTACATAGACACAAATGATGAAACCTGAATTATAGATAATTTCCACATCCTGGTTTAAACAAATATTAATATTGCAATTATTATCAGCAATAATTTTTGTTAATATTTTATGTAATTATTATTTTTTAGATAACCTTATTTATTAGTTATATAATTTATTCAATCTCAAAAAAGCTTTTAACCACCTCAATACATTTAGGCTTTATATTTTTTATTAGTTGAGTATACTAAGCTTTGAAAAAATATTTGGAGAGCTTTGGCTGCTTTAGAATATTTTGGGAACCTCCTCATATTTATTATGTATTCTTTTTAAACTAAAATGGATAGATGAGAGGGACAAACTTATGGTATCTCTTCTCTTAGAAAAGCACCAGACACCCTCATTGATTAACCTCTCCATTCCAGTGAGCTTAGGGTGGGTTTAAAGTTACATCACATAGAGCATTCTGAGTTTTTACTATGCATTTATCCTATATTGAATACAGAAGACCCTGACTGTGGTTAGCATGAGCTTACTGAAGCTGGCATCACAAGTTTACAAGCTTCATGACAGAAATAGAAATAAACGAGTTGTAGAAGCTAGAAGGGACTGTTGAGATCACTGTAGTCAGATGAGAGCCAGAGAGGGAAAACATGGACCCACAGTGGGTCAGACGCAAAGCGGGGACTCACACCCCCGTTCCAAGTCCCAGCCCAGTTCCCTGCCCTGCTCTGTGGGAGGTAGCTCCGCCCAGCGGTGCTGCCAGGCTGTCCCCTTCCCTCACTTCTTGGCATGGCTCTCCCAAGGGGTCCTGTGTCAGAAGAGTCCTGAGATGCGCAGTAAGGGAAGCACTGAGGTTTTAGGAGTGAAATGGCAGGTTTCCTGATGAAGATACTGCTCCCACTTGGGTTTGGAGTGGGCTTTGGAGTGGCATGGGGATTGAATGAAGTAGCATTGCATGGGGCCTGCTCAGTAGGCTCCGCAGGAGGGCGTGGTCGCAGTTCCCTTGCCTGCCAGGTGTTGAGCCTGCACCAGTTCCACCGTGAAGCCTACCAGCCCAGGTGGGAGTCTTGGCTTTGCCCAGTTCTGCCCAGCGCAGAGCCCTGGAGCTGAGAAGATGTGAACCGAGCTGACTCTGGGCTGCTGGGTGGGAGCCCCGGGCCTGTCTACCACTGAAGGGTTTCTGTGCCAGTGAAAGAGGCTGATGCTGCTGAGGTGACATGCGCTGACTTCCCAGGAAACCCCGAGTGCTGTCTGGCCCTCAAGGGTAGGACGCCTGTCTGTAGTGAGACAGTCCTGCTGTCAGAGCCCAGAGGTAGCCTGGAGACAGCTGGTTGTGGATGGCTAGGCGTGCTCTCTCCTGGCCCTCCTCCTCCCCACTGCTCCATTGCAGCGAGCCCTCCATCTGCAGCCCTTTTGCAGAATCAACTGACTCACCAGTTAAAGAATTCAATTTCATATAGTAAAAATTGGTTTAAACAGTTTTAGGTTTTGCAATAATTCCTTTTTCATATTCAACAGCCATTCATTCAACACTCAGTAGAGGGGTATAGCAATCATCTATTTTCAAGGGGCTGTAGGAAGTGGAAGTGTGTGTTCCTTCTGTGCAAGGGTAGCTCCCCTATGTCTTTAGGGGGTCTTCTTTTGATGATGGCTAGGGAGGGTAGGTTCTTGGCAGGGCTTGACTTTGAGCAGGTGGGCGCAGCCTGGCATGCCTTATGCTTCCCAGTGGATCGGAGATGGGCCCAGTCTCCAATTATATTTGCGTCATCTATAGAGAACAGCAGAGTACCTGACACTAGTCCTCAACTAGTACCACTCAGTTCACCAGCTTGGGGTACGAAGGTCTCACTGCTTTTAATACTCAAATTAAATTAGTCTGGGCCCCAATTTTGCATATTGTGATCAGTGTCTTTCTTTTCTCACTTGAGACTCCTGTCCCATGGCAACATCAGGAAGCTAACCTAAGAGAGTACTTCTCATTACTGTTGTGTCTTTAGTAGTGCTCTTCAGACTGGGATATGTTATGAATCCGCAGGGATCTTGTTAAAATTGCAGATTCTGATTCAGCAGGACAGGGTGGGGCCTGAGGTTCTGCAGCCGATACTGTTGCTGCAAGTCCGAGGACAAAATTGGCTGGCAAGGGTTATTGGCTCCCAGTCCTTTTCAGGTCATGGCATACCTGAAAATAGTTTTTCTTTGTCTGTTTGTTTGTTTTTGAGACAAAGTCTCGCTCAGTCACCCAGGCCGGAGTGCGATGGCATGATCTTGGCTCACTGCAACCTCTGCCTCCTGGGTTCCAGCGACTCTTCCACCTCAACCTCCTGAGTAGCTGGGATTACAGGAGCACTCCACCACATCCGGCTAATTTTTTTTTATTTTTAGTAGAAACGGGGTTTTACCATGTTGGCCAGGCTGGGCTCGAACTCCTGACCTCAAGTGATCCACCTGCCCCAGCCTCCCAAAATGCTGGGATTACAGGTGTGAGCCACCATACCTTGCCCATACCTGAAAATATTCATACCTGTGTGCCATACTGGCAAGGCTGCCCTGGCTTCCTCAAGCTCCAGATGCCCCAGGGCTGAGGGAATCAACATCCTAGCTCACCTCTAGCCCACTTGAGGTACCCGAGGTGGGCCACAGTGCACCTGTTGAGAGGAGAAAAAAATGTCCAAATCTGACAAATCTGACCTATACATATGGGGCACATATGGGGAGTTCCTTCTCTCCTGCTGTTATTGCAGGTGCTGCCCCATGGTACAGCTGAAAACAGGCAATCCTTGGGACGCAGAGGTGCCCATGCCTGCCAGGAGCAGCCCTCTGATCCAGCAGTGTTTCCTCTGGATGTGGGGAGGGTAGGATAAGGCTCTCTCCCCGGCGTTACAGTTGGCCATAGTGGTCCCTTAGCCCGTTGGCCTGGGATCCCAGGCCACAGCTGTTTATATGCGTGGCTCTTGTGTGTGTGTGTGTGTGTGGGTGGGTGGGTGGGGGGGTGATGTATCCTAGACTTGTACAAGTACACACACATGCAGGCATACGCACAGCCATTTTCCCGAAGATAACATCCATCCTGCCGAGAGAACTGAATTGAAGAGAGCTGGGGGGCATTAGCTACCTGCTGTGCCCTGTGCTAGCTCTCTCACACAACCAGACTTCTGTGTGGTGTGCACCCTCCAAGGCCTCTTCTGTCATCTTTCTTACTCTGTCCCCTCCTTGGGTCTGTCAGAGATATTCCATAGATTTTTCAGTAAGGTAGAACCTCAGAAAAAAACTAAAAACAAACCCAAACCAAAAGGCCCTTCCTTTCCCAAAGGCTGCTTCTCAGACCACGGTATTAAAAAAAAAAAAGGCAAACCTCTCTCGCTCAGCTAGATGGCTCCTTGCACCGTTTCTCAGAACACTGTTTGTTTGCCTCACTTTTTATTGCTAAAAGAGTCCTCTCAAATGGTTCAGAACAAAGGAAGTCTGTTTTGATGTCTCTTTGCTGTAAGTAGAGGAATTTGCAGCTTGTAAATGGCTGCAGTTTTGCTAAAATAGCGACTAAAACATGCAGTTATGTCTCTCTTGGCACTCACCCACCCACCCGTCACCCACACCCACCACCCACCATAAGTTGGCTTGGGAAATGTTTGCTGAATAAAAGGACAGTCTCTGGGTGTTCCCGGGTCCCAGCCTCTGCCTGGCTGAAGTGCCTCTCCTTCCTCTCCAGGTCCATATTCAAGCCTTTCATCTTTGTTGATGACGTAAAACTTGTCCCCAAAACACAGTCTCCCTGTTTTGGGGATGACGACCCTGCCAAAAAGGAGCCTCGGTTCCAGGAGAAACCAGACCGCCGGCATGAGCTGTACAAAGCCCACGAGTGGGCACGTGCCATCATCGAAAGTGACCAGGTGAGCTTGCATGAGGGCCACAGAGGCGGAGGCGGAGGCGGGCGGGCGAGGTCAGCGAGGAAGGAGGCAGGGAAGCAGATGTCAAGCTAGACCCTACCCCCACCCATCCAGTGTGACCGGGCTTCTCCCAGAGACCAGGTTCCTGGGGCCTTTCCTAGAAGGCTGGTGTCCATTTTCCTGCCCAGGCTCTTGAAACCAAATAAGACAAAGCTTCTGCTTCTCATGTTATTTTGGAATTCAGCAGGCTGAGTATCTTACTTACATTTACTGTTTACGTAGGAATAATAGGAATATGCAGTACGTTAGGGATAACTGTTATATATTGTGTAAAATTCCTTATGTACTTTTGGGGGTAAAAAGTTGTTATTTGCTGGCAACATTTTATTAAAGATACAATCATATGTTGTTTCAAAAAAGTTCTGGAGTTGGCTGGTGGTGCTGGTTGCACAACATTGTGAATGAGCTTAATGCACTGAACTATACATTTTAAAGTTTTTAAATGGTCAATCTTATGTTATAATACATATGTTTTACCATAGTACAAACATAGTTTTAGAAAATATTCTCATATTCCTAGGGTTTTTTTTTTTTTTTTTTGTATTTTTAGTAGAGACGGGGTTTCACCCTGTTGGCCAGGCTGGTCTTGAACTCCTGAGCTCAAGCAATCCACCTGCTTCTGCCTCCCAAAGTGCTGGGATTACAAGCAGGAGCCACCGCGCCCAGACTCATATTCCTAGTTTTAAAAAAGAAGTCGTAATCCTTCAAAGTGCAGCTCTCCCCAGTCCCACACCTTTGGTTAATAAAGTGATAAGTCATCAATTCAAACAAGAAAACCACCCAAAGCACGTTCCACAGCACCCAGTGTGTCCACAGCAGCCACCCCGATGGACTTTATATAAATTCAAGCCTATATTTTGCTGAAGAGAGGAAGAAGGAACGTGCTTGTTAGACACTCATCAGTTTTCCCCAACTATTTATGTAACAACTTTTAATAGGTCCAAACTGGCCTGAAGGGCCCAAAAGGGGGACCTTTTGTGTAAATTGGTGCTGTGGACTGTGTGAGCCTCTTGCATTTGACATGGTGGACTATAGAAAAAGGATATCAAGAGAAAAATCCAAGCAATAAATCCAGATGAATTCAGAAAGCATCTCTGAGAAGGGCTGTCTCACTTTTCTGAGAGCTTGCCCTTCTCTTCCATAGAAGTGACCATTTGACACGTAAAGGTCGCACAGTTATTTTACATCTCTCCTCCCTGCCAGCCTAAAAAGGCTGGCAGATAATCGGAAGCATGCATGCTGCCACTGCATTCAACTGTGTTTTCTCCAGGGCTGTCCACATTAGTTCCTGATAGTGCTTATGTTCTTGGTGGATGACCATAAGCCCCAAGTAGATGAAAACTGTCGCTGTGTGGTGTATGGTGTTTTGGGTATTTGGTTCATTAGAATGAAGAGGTAGAAAGGGCTGTGTGTTCAAGATGAGGCTGCTGAGGCTGGTGGGTTTTGAAATTTACAAATGACTCTCAGGTGGAGTCACATGATGCTGCATGAAGCAGTGGTGGGCGGGTGGTGAGAGCAGCTTCTCAGTTCTGGGACTCATGGGGCAAATGAAAGCTTTCACTGTCATCTGCCATAAATGAGTGAGTCCCATGGAAGAAGTGAACTCACCATCTCAGAAAAAGAGTGAACAGGGGAGAGACATGGCACCTGTTTATTCATTGATCCATTTTTTTTTTCATTCAATGAACATTTTTTGAGAGTGCCCTCCCAGTCACTGGAGGATAGAAATGAGCCCAGTTCCCATCCAAGGGGCCACAGCTGCAGAGGCAAGCCAGCACAAGGTGGGAGACAGCGCCCATGGCAGGGGGAACGGTGTGGCACTGTGCGGGGAAGAGGAAAGGCTTTGCAAGGAAGCTGAAGATGGGTGCACGTCGACCAAGCGCTGAGAAAGGGGATGGCCCTCCAGAGGGCAGGGCCACCTGTGCAGGGGCGAGACAGCAGCAGAGGCTGGAGGGCTACAGTGAATTCAGTCCAGCTGAGGAGTGGGGAGATGCAGGGGAAGTGGTCTTGGATGTCAGAAGGGCCTTCCCTCAGTGTCACTCTGGGGTCTGGGCTTTGTCCTGAAGGCAGCAGAAAGCTGTGCAGGTGTTCTAAGCCGGGCAGTGACATAATCATACTGGCATTCTAGAACAATCCCTGCGGCAGTCGTGTGTGAAACGGAGTGTGGGGAGGACAGGACCTTGAGCAGGAAGCCAGCTGGCCCCCTAGAGGGTTTCAGTGTCCGCTGCAATGTCCCCTGCTATTTTGCTGACACCTAAAGCAGTCGTGTCCTTCCTCAGGAGCAAGGTCGCAAGCTGAGGAGCACCATGCTGGAGCTGGAGAAGCAAGGCCTGGAAGCCATGGAAGAAATCCTGACCAGCTCCGAGCCACTGGACCCTGCGGAAGTGGGGGACCTTTTCTATGACTGTGTTGACACGGAGATTAAGTTCTTTAAGTGAAGTAAGCGTTCCCTTTCCCCTTCTTATTTAAGACTTCCCACCTTACTAAATTACCAGCAAAACAAACCACTCTCCTGTTTGAGTAAAATGAGAAAGTTAATATGTGGCCTCCTTTTCTGAAGCCAGATCAAACTGTTACCTTGTGTTCCACCTTGAATCTCACAGCGTCCCCTTCTGCAATGTAGGTCTCCTTCCTGTGCAGTGTAACATGTATCCCGTTGCCTGTTGTTCGGTTGTGTGACTAATTGTGGATTTTAAGCTGCTATTATTGTATTTCAGTGGCAATGGACACATTAGCCTTTTACAAGAGGACTAGAGTTCATCAAGCCTTGAAAGGCAGGCTTCACAGTGCCGAGTTGGCGGGAAAAGCAAATTCTTTTGAAGTCTTAGTCTTTCCCTCAGTAGCGGTTTCTTTCAGGTTAACAAGAGGCATTTGTGCACACACACAGGGCTCTTGTGTGTGTTGTCAAGGGGACCCTCCGTGGCCTCCCGTGAGTGCATGCCTGTAGTGCACAGTGTCTCTACAGGTGTCTTCTGGGGGGCAGAACCAATTGGAAGGAAGAAAGGGACCCCTCTCCAGTCCTGGCTCCTTCCTACATCCTGGGCTCCTGAAGAAGCTGTCTTCCCATTTTCCATGCGCTGTGCTTATGTGTGGTGGACTGCAGAGCTGCTTCCACTTACAGGAGAGCTGATAATTTGTTAGCTGGAACCTATTCACTTCCGAGATTCAGACATAGCCATGCTGGTGGCCTTCTGAATCACTGCATGGATGTCCCAGGAGGCAGCTCTCCCCACACAGCAGCACAGCCATCACAGGATTCCTTGTGTAGAAATGATTCCCAGTCTAGTTACCAACAGCTAGTCTAGGAGTAATTGAATGGCCCTATGGCACAGTTCCACCCACAGAGTAGTGAATCTCTCAGCCAAGGAGGGAAAGAAAAGGAAGAACTCTTGACTATTTAGATTCTAGTTAAATATCTGGAATCCTAGCAGTCACTACATTATCTCAGCAGAGAGACTTTAATTAAACTGATTTGTTTCCAATGTCGGGTTCACTTAAAGGATTTGACTTACCACCAGAGCATAGAAAAGCATGCAAGGAAGACCAGATGGGCTTAGCATTGGGAAGACAGAGGGCAAGGAGGTGATAGATGGATATAGAAGCATTTCTCTGCAGGATACCAGTTCAGGCCCCACCATTCCTGCCAAGGCCATTACATCCCACAAACCCAAATACAAAGCAGCTGACTTCCCTGGATCTTCCCCCCACTCCTCACACCTCACATGTCCCAGGAGCTGCCTTCATTCAGGCGGGTAGCTGCACTGGGCATGGGGTGGTGGTGGGAGCTTACCGCCACCTATTCAAGCTCTCAGCTACTCCTGAAACGGGCAGAGATGATGAACAGAAGTGTATGTAAATACAGCAGCTAGTGGGAGAGCACCAGTTGGGCCTAATCCTGCCTCATCATTCTTGGCAGGAATCTGCAAATGGAAACATTGTGAGTATCAGCAATCTGGGAAGTGACAGGGTTAATAACTCCTTCCCAGAAGCTGTATCATGAGATTTTGAGGGGACCGAGCCCTGTTACATGGATGTGAACAGTGAGGATCAGAGGTTTTATCAGAACACATTCTTTTTTTCTACCAACTCTCCAGAGCGTGAGTATAGGAGTGCCATGAGCTTTTTAGTCAGCAGTTTTGTAAACTCTGTATATAAAATCATTAACCACACATTGTGGGTGATGGGAAGACGATTTCAGCTGACAGAGTTAATGGCAACCAATAATGGTGGCCTGTAGCTGCTAAGAGCTTCACGCAGGTTTGGCCTGGGCTTTCACTGTTGGTGAATTTAGAGTGTCCTTTTAGGTGGGGCGGCTATTCTAAAAGTGTCTTTCTATCACTGTTAAGGGGGGGGGAAAGTGAGGTTCGAGGATGACGTAGGTAACTCTCCCCTCCCAAGTCCATGTTCCAAGTGGCTATGTAAAGCAAGATGATACAGAAAGCTGCTCTAAAATCTCACTGAGTGATTTCACCTTCGCCTACTATGAAATGTCTCATCAGACCTGACATGTCTGAGATAACCAAGGTGATTCAGGATTTGATCAAAAGAAGTCTAGTAAGAATTAATTACACAGAAGCCTCCTTTCATTTCTATGGGCCAAACAAAGGCCATGGATAACCCTACCCGCTTTATGTCATTACCCATTGGGAAACACAATGGCTACTTCTGTTAGGGTACATTGACCTTGGTCAAGCATCTTAAAGAAGGCAACCCTAATTGAGAGCTGTCTTGGCTAATACTCTGCACCACAATTGTGATGTCCTAGTCCTACCACTAGAGGGCATGGTACAGCCTGGCAAAAGTTAAAAGGGGTGTGGCAGCTCCCATCAGGTCTGGAGGTGGTCTATAAGCACAGTTGACAGTTGTGCATTGGGATGGGTGGAGAAAGACGACAAGAGAGCAGAGAATCTGCTGATGTGGCTGCGCTTACTTTTAGTGACTTTATGTACTTATATTAACAGCTGGAAATAGGTTGTTGGGTTTTGAGCAGGCTGTTATAGTGAGGAATGTTCATTTTTAAATGTTCCTAACAGATTTTGCTTTTGAAAAATGCTTGTTACATGAATAATTTGTGGACCAGGGATTGCTTTTCTGAAGGCAGTATAGGGAACATGAATATTCAAGATGAAATACAAAAATTATGTTTAAGGGTCATAGTGTATAAGTAGCTTCCTAGGAAACCCTTTGTGTATCTTTTCAGACTGGGGTGGGGGCTGAGCATGCTTGTGCAGAAAGAAGCCATAGCCAGAAAGGACAGAATCTCTCCCCCACTCCCTTGCCCCATAACCAAACATAAGCTAGCTAGTCTTGTCTAATAGATGGGATTTACTATAGGTGAAGATAGCCCTCATATTCAAGGACAGAAGCTCTGGCAGGAGTAAATTAGCAAAGCAGAAATAGTACCCTTTCATTCTTGGAGGTGCTTTGAAATTTTAGGTAGAATATAATCGAAATTATGGAGGTTCCTTAGTGCTCAATAATATAAGACCTGGTGTTATTAGAACGAGTCTTTCTTATAAACTAACAGAGCAGGTATATGCCTGTTAGACCTTAGCTGTGGGGTTCCTTTACTATTGGGTGAATCATTAGGTATAAAAAATAATCATCAACCAGGCAAATTACTTTGCTTCCTAGCTGATGTCATCCCACATTGGTACAGGTGTTATTCAGTACTGGGTGGTTCAGCAGGGAAGCCGGGTGGGACCAGTGTGTCTGTCATGAAACCACTAACTGCATTCCTGACTGAAGAGCCATCTGTCATTTATTGGGGAAGGTCTTCAGTTGAGCTCTCAGCCTTAGGAAGGAAGCACGTGGAGGAGGGACGGAGGAGGTTCCCTTGCTGGGCATGCTTCGTAGAGGGCCAGGAGCAGCAGGTCATGTGCACATGCCGTTGCAGCACAAGCTTATGCTTCCCGTAGCCGTGGCTTTTCATTCTGCACAGTCCCAGGTCCCAGCTCCCCTCTTATGGTTTCTGTCATAATGTGCTTTATCTGATTGACTCCAAACATCCCGAAATGTCACCTGCAGATTTCTCGTGGGAACCAATATGTACATGTTTGCAATTATGCTGTGAGAATTTAAATGTGTTAGATGGAAAATGCTATTGGCAGGGAATAATAATAAAAAAAAAAGAAAATCATTCTGTTTCCTGCAGTGGGAACTGGCCATGTAGTCTTAACAGTCTTTTGTACAAATATCTACAAAGCAGATAATATCCCTATCCAGTGCTTGCCCTTGGAATTGTCTCTAAATGCATCAAGCATACAATAAAAAAAACTGAAATTAACATCCAGTGGAGTGGCCTCTTCTGTTTTGTGTCTCGTGAATAAACGTGGGCCTCAGTCGCAATATAGAAAATGTATGAGAATGGATATATTTTTCTGGCTAGAATCTTTAGAAAACAGTCAGTTCAGCAGTTTCTTGCATCATGTAATGTTCTGTGGATAAATTCAGTCTTTAAATATAAAACCACAACGAAATATCACCTCACACCCGTCAGGATAGCTACTATTGAAAACAAAAACAACAACAACAACAAAAAACCACAACCAGAAAATAACAAATGTGGGTGAGGATGTGGAGAAATTGGAACCCTTATGTACTGTTGGTGGGAATGTAAAACAGTGCATCCATTGTGGGAAACAGTATGGAGTTGCTCAAAAAATGAAAAACAGAACTGCTGTATAATCGGGCAATCCCACTTCTGGGTATACACAAAAGAATTGAAAGTAGGGTCTGGAAGAGAGGTTGCACACCCATGTTCATAGTAGCACTATTCACAGTGCTAAAATCTGGAAGCAACTCAAATATCCACAGATGGAAGAATGGAGAAACAAAATGTGTTCTATCCATACAATGGAATATTATTCATCCTTAAAAAGTGGAAGCAGATTCTGACATGCTACATGGATGAACCTTAAGGATGTTATGCTCTGTGAAATCAACCAGTCACGAATATTATATGGTTTCATTTCTATGAGGTACCTAGAGCAGTCAAAATCACAGAGACGGAAATTAGAAGGGTGGTTGCTAGGGGCTGGAGGTGGGGGAGAAATTGGGAGTTACTGTTTAATGAGTATAGAGTTTCAGAAAGTTTCGCAAGATAAGTTATGGAGAGGGATGGTGGTGACGGTTGTACAACAATATGAATGTACGCAACACGAATGAATTAAGCACTAAACATGGTAAGCATGGTAGACTTTATGTGTATTTTACCATAGTTATTAGAATGGAAGTCTAGATCATCAGAGTGGCTGGTACTCTGTGCCAGACATCTTGATTCCAAGGCATCAGCAATGCCACAACAGGAGAGGATGCCACTTAGGGAAAAAGCCAGCTCTCTTCACTCCTGTGACCCAGAAATGCCAGCTTGCTTTCCATGACTCTCCACTGTGACAGGTAAAACGCAACTGAATGTCTTGCTCGTGAAGATAGGACTTAGTCACCTGCAATGAATGACCTATTTCAAGGTCAGGGTAGATGACTGCTCTGTTTACATGATAAGGAGCTGCTAATTCTGAAATTTTATTCCCAGCTCTCTTTTCATAAACATTGTACCCTCCTGCAAAGCTCTGGGTGACAAAGCCTGTATTCTTTTGCTGGGGCTGCCGTCACAAAGTACCACAAACTGGGCAGCGTAACCAGGAGAAATTTCCTGGTTCACAGTTCTGGAGCCCAGACGTCCCAGGAATAAGACATCTGCAGGGTTGGTTCCTTCTGAGGGCTGTGAGAAAGAATGTGTTTCATGTCTCTTGCCCACCTTCTGGTGGCTTGCTGGCAATCTTCAGCACTTTGGGACCCATAGAAGCAGCATCCTGATTATCTCTGCCTTCATCTTCATGTGGCGTTCTCCCTGTGTCTATGTCTGTGTCCAATTTCTTCATTTTATAAGGACACCAGTCATATCGCATCAGGGGCCCACCCTAATCCAGTATGACCTCATCTTAACTAACGATATCTGCAATGGGCCTATTTCTAAATAAGGTCACATTCTGAGGTACTGGGGGTTAGGACTTCTTCAACCTATGGATTTTTGTGGGGACACAATTCGACCCATAACAGAATGGGTGGGTGGAGGATGCTGAAGCCTCCCGGGGCACCGTCTGAGAATTTGGAACTTGCTTCTGGAGTCCATGGCCCTTCCCATTAACTTGCTCCCTCTCTAGGAAGCACGTCTCTCACACTTAGCTCCATAAAAGGTGCTTACACTTCTAGCTACTTCACCACGGCCATGCTCAATGTGACTCTGAAGTTCATCATCCACTTTGTAGATTATCTTCGGCCCTTACTTTTTCTTCCCCATTCAGACTGGCCCTTTTGGCCATCAAAGAGCCAATCTGTACCTCCACCAATAAGAGAGCAATAAAACGGCCCCTTAACTAATTCTGATGCAAAGTGTGTAGTAACCAGCTTTGAAATTAGTTTCTAGATGAGATTTATTTCAGGAACATCTATGAATTTTAATGACTGCTCTCTCATTGTTATCCAGCAGCAGAGTTAGTGAAGTGTGGTCTGAGTAGCTCAGCAAATACTGAATGAAGTGCCTGGGATGCAGCCAGCAGAGCCCTGTTTGTGCCCAAGCATGGAACCAGCAAACTGGCTGCTCCCCGGGGTGCAGGGTGTGCATCACTGGCTCCGTTGTGATCCAAGGGTTGAGGGCTTGCCCATGTGTATTACATCATTGAATCTTCACCAATATACACTCGGGTACATATTTATGTCCCCTTTTGACAAATGAGGAAGCTGAGGCACAGATTGTAAGAGGCAACTTGTAAGAGGCAAAATGGAGATTCAGATCCTGGTTTGCCTTCTAAGCACTAGCTCTGAGATAGCTTGCCTAGCAGATAAATCTCACCTCCCCTGAACCCTGTTCCCAAAGGTCCACCTTAAAATACTACAGGGGGATTCAAGATGATTCTGTTCCTACAGGAGGCTTTTTTGGGGGGTTTGCTGAGTTGGGAGTGGGGACTAAGTGCACGTAGAGGGAAGGTTGTTCTATTTCAACACAATTTAGCAGAATTTATAAGCAATACACTGCCCATTCTGTGTTAATCAAACTGAATAAATATAGTGTTATCTACTTTTTAAAAAATGCACCTGAGAAATTTTTTTTTTCTTGCTTGTTTTTTCCAAATACCAATTAGGCTAGTTAGCTCAAGAAAGAAAGGCCCTGTTTCTAACACAGTATGTTACAGCAAGCACCGTATCCATGTAAATATCTATTTTTTTTCTATCATTCTTAGAACTTCAACTTCTCCTGATCCTTAAAAATGTTTGGTTTAGATTGATACTGGTGACCACCGATGGGTTTTAACAAGGAAACGACTGGAAGCATTTCCACTTACTAAAGTTTATTAAGTACAAAGAAATGAATCTGCGGAAGGAGACATCAATAAATATAAAATACACGTGAAACATTGGAGGAGTCACAGACTGCAGTGTCAGTGAGAATATGTGACAATGGCGGGGACTGTGTGACTCAGATGTCTCTAAGTCTGAGTTTACAGTCAAGGGGTTAAACCTTTACAGCGCCCAAGGGACTCAGTGCACCAGCATGAGCTCGAAGGGTTGTGAATTCAGTGATAGGTCTCAAGGGGAGATGGGATGCCACATTCCTGAGATTTCTCCCTAATTGCCATTTTTGGTTTCTGCTCCTTCCTCCCCTCTGTCCTTTTTTTTTTTTGAGTTAGGGTCTCGCTCTGTTGCCCAGGCTAGAGTGCAGTGGTGCCATCTCAGCTCACTGCAACCTCCACCTCCAGGGTTCAAGCAATTCTTGTGCCTGAACCTCCCAAGTTGCTGGGATTACAGGTGTGAGCCACCATGCCTGGCTAATTTTTTGTATTTGAGTAGACAGGGTTTCACCATGTTGGCCAGGCTGGTCTTGAACTCCTAACCTCAAGTAATCCACCCACCTCAGCCTCCCATGCTGGGATTACCTGCATGAGCCACTGCTCCTGGCCCGCTCTGTCCTTAAATAGTGTTATTTTAATTTCCATCCCAGCCATAGGAGACACGAATGTCTAAACACCTCATTAGGGCAGGCAGTCTACTCTGAAGGTGGAATTGCCTTTGTCTAGGGTCTTCTTAATCAGGATCATTAAAACTTCTATAATTATTTTACACAACTGTGAGGGCAGTGGAGTGGACACTGTTATAATAATAAATTCTGGCTTTTTGGAAATCTTCCAGAACCAATAAAACAAATTAGTTATGCCCAGAGCTGATGACCTGCAAAAACTTCTACTTATTTAGCTGTTACAGTTTGGGCTTGATTCATTCCCCTGGAGAAGGGAATTTGACCCTGGCTCACTTGCTTCCATCTGGAATGAGAAAGCACAGCACTGCTGCAGGACACCACCTGAGTCGTTACTCCAGACAACAGTGAGGCAGATGCAGTCATGTTTGCCCACACCCTCCTGACCGGCTGCCTTTCTGGATGGCTTGGTCTGTTCATGATATACTTCAGGGGTGAATGTGTGCGTGGGTTGTTGCAAAGCAAATTTCTTTTTCGCTGGTTTCCCTCCCCTCCCTGCCTGATTTCCTTTAAAGGGCAGCTATTTTGAGCACAGCCCAGGGATCAGTCTGTTTCCTTCTATTTTTTCTCCTTCCTCTGTCACAGTCTTCCCCGACCAAAGATGGGGAACATCAGGGGTCAGGCAGCAAGCAAAAACACATTTCCACTCCCTACAGGATCAAGAAGAGGGAGTGAAGAGCAGGACCAGCCCGGCCTGACCTTTTCCATATTCAGAGTGGCTGAGCTTGCACACATCTCCCCACAGACAGGTGCCCACCACAAGGGAATGAATGTGGAGTTGTCAGGCAAGGTTCTCCTTTAGCTCAGAAGGGAGCTAGGTTTTGCCTGACGGGTGGCTCCAAGGATCCTAAGATGGGGGCAGTGAGGCACTAGGTATTTGTGGCAGGTATTTCACACGATGTTTCGTTCTACACTTTTTCATGTCATATTTTCCATGGAAGTCCACACTCGAAGCAAGGGCAGAAGGGGAGACCTCTGAGATACAACTGGTAGTTTAGCATAATGATGAGTTGTGTATGTTTTTAATCTGTAGGGAAGAAATACCAAAATCTCATAAAGCTGGCTACTGGGATGGGACTGGGAACTTGGAGGGAACAGGATGAAAGTGACAGAGACTTGGGCACGAGGGACACTGTAAACAGTAGGAGCACTGGCTACTTGGAGGATTATTCAGTTACAAAAGGGGCCCTGTGGTTGGCATCGGAGGGCCAAGCCCACTCTTGCCTTTACTTTGTGATGTATTACATTAGGCAGCAAAAAAAAAAAAAAAAAAAAAAAAAAAAATTCCCTGTACTGCAAAATGGAAGCGAGACATGGCACCTCGTTCCCTGGAGGCTGCGCGGCACTGTCTGGGTGTGGGGGACACGCTACTTCCTCTGAGCTGCATCATTGATAAGGCATTATTTGGTTTGATTTTGCAGTTAGTGTGATGAGAATATGAAATTATGCCAATAAGAAGCCGTTGTGGATATTTATAACTTTGGGGCTACCTGCAAACTAAGGACTCTCTACAAACGGTTCAGAATCTAGGAAGGGCCAGCCTGCAAGCAGATTCACAGTCATGGAGTGGGCACTAGGTGGAGGGACAGGGCTCTATCTGTGCTGACAAATGCCAAGATGCAATGCAAAAAATGGAAAAATGAGGGGTGTTTTAAAAAATATTACCGAAATAAAAGTCAATTAAAATACTGCTTTAAAGCCCGTGCAAATCACATATTTACAATAAATAAATTCTCAATTCCAAGCCTGTATGCCAACTGAATTACAGCTTGAGCATGGGGTGGGTGGGGTCTGACATGTTGTTCTGCAACCTGGAACCCCAGGACCTTCGCTTCATCTGTCTTCTCACCGAAGAGTCTTTAGAGATAACTGTGGAAACATAACAGAACATTACCAGGTGGAGTTAGAAGACTCTTGCACATGAAAGCCTTCCTCCTCCACCCCCCCAAACAGGCTGGGCCCCGAAGCTTCTCATTCATGCAAGGCTGTCAAGTTTGGGGAGATGCCTATGCAAAGAGCTGACTTTTACCCAAGGGGCTGTGGGTGGAAACCAGATGAAATGGGGTATGTAGTTGATGGTATGTGAGGACCTAATACTGTCTTATAAACATTTATAGAACCAATCATCAGCAATTCACTTGACAGGAAGCTCAGAGAAATAAAAAAAACGTGCTGGAGACCCCAAGTTAAGGCAGTGGAAAAGCAAGAAACCGATTTAGGCATTCAGACTTCCAGCCCAGGGCTCCCACCCCATGCACTGACCACTCTAGCCATAAAAAAGAGCAGTCCCTGGGGTATTGTTTGCAATGTCTAGAACCCAGTGATTTCTCAATTGTTTTGTGTCTCACTGCAGTGAGAATTAAGATGGTATCCAGTGAGATACAAAGATCTTCTTGACTGTGGAATGCCCAAAGGAGACTACAATCCACTTTGAGTAGACTTGCAGGCGGAGATCAAAACCACCAGACTCAGGTGATCTGGGTGCATGCCTGCCGTGAGGCTGGAGACCAGATCCTGCACAGTGTGTGACACGTTGGTAGTGAGGAGGATTCTTGTCCCTGGAGATTCTAACATGCCAGGAAAAGCAGTGAGGCATTATGGAAGAAGCACTGAACAAGAGGTCAGAAGGTTTGGGCATTGTGACATGGGCAAGTTCTTCAAATTTCTAGAAAGTTTTCTCTTTTATAAAAATGGCATTAAAGGTATCTCTCCAGCTTCCATCACAGGGTTATTAAAAGGATTAGATGATATAACATATGCAAGCTAACTGAAAAATGTAAAGAGCCATACGAATATGAAGGAACATGATTATGATTATTACTATATTTTCCTGGTCACGGGAATAATATAATCATTGTAGAAAACTTGGAAATTGCATAAACGCCAAAAGAAGAAAGTACAAATCAGCCATAGTCTTCTAGAGTGAATGCCTATTAACATTTTTTCTCCATTTTTATTGTGGTACAATATAAATAACATAAAATTTACACTAGTAACCTTTTTTTTTTTTTTTTTTGAGACGGAGTTTCACTCTTGTTGCCCAGGCTGGAGTGCAATGGCGTGATCTCAGCTCACCGCAACCTCCGTCCACGGGTTCAAGCGCTTCTCTTGCCTCAGCCTCCCGTGTAGCTGGGATTACAGATATGCGCCACCATGCCTGGCTAATTCTGTATTTTTAGTAGAGATGGGGTTTCTCCATGTTGGTCAGGCTGGTCTCGAACTCCCAACCTCAGGTGATCCGACTGCCTTGGCCTCCCAAAGTGCTGGGATTACAGGCATGAGCCACCACACCCAGCTGACTAGTAATCATTTTTAAGTGTATAGTTTAGGGGTATTAAATACATTCATAATGTTTTGCAACCAATCATCAGTACCCACTTTTGTTTAACTCTTTTCATCTTGTAAAACTGAGACTGTACCCATTAAACAATACCTCTCAATTTTCTTTTTCCCTCTAATCTCTGGCAAGCACCAGTCTACTTGCTGTTTCTACTACCGTAAGTACTTAGGTAAATGGAGGCATATATGGTGTCTGTCTTTTGTGAGTGGCTTATTTCACTTAGAATAATGTTCTCAAAGTTCATCCATGTTGAAGCATATTTTAGAACTTCCTACTTTTTAAGCTGGATAATATTCCACTGTACATGCGTGTATCACATTTTGTTTATCCATTCATCTATCTATGATACTTGAGTTGCTTCTACATTTTACTTTATTTTTCCAAGTTCAGGTCAGACAGGTAATGTGCCAAGGTTGTAACAAGGTTCAGAGAGTGGCACATCTCACACATGCACATGAATACTCAATCATCACGCTCATGAACTACAAGAGGATCAAGTTGCTTCTACATTTTAGCTATTGTAAATAATGCTGCTATGAACATGGGTGTACAAATATCTCTTCCAGGCTCTGCTTTAGGTTCTTTTGGGTATATACGCAGAAGTGGAAGTGCCAGATCATATGGTAATTCTGTTTTTTATATTTTGAGGAACTGCCATACTGTTTTCCACAGCAGCTGTACCATTTCACATTCTCACCAACAGTGCATAAGGGTTCCATTTTCTCCACATCTTTGCCACCACTTGTTATTTTGTTTTGTTTTGATAGCAGCCGTCTTGATGTGTATGAGGTGGTATCTCATTGTAATTTTGATTTTTATTTCTCTAATGATTAGTGATGCTGAGCAACTTTTCCTATGCTCATTGGCCATTTGTTTATCTTCTTTAGAGAAATGTCTATTCAAGTCCATTGCTCATTTTTAAATTAGGTTATTTGTTTTCTTGTTGAGTTTTATAAGTTCTGTATATATCATGGATATTAATCTCTTATCAGATACACGATATGAAAATACCTCCTCCCATTCTGTGGGTTGCCTTTTCTTTTTTATATTGTCTTTGATATGCAAATTTTAAAGATTTTCATGAAATCCAGTTTGCTTATTTTTTCTTCTGTTGCCTATGCCTTTAGTGTCATATCCAAGAAATCATTGTCAAACCCAGTGTCATGAAGGTTTTGCCCTGTGTTTTCTCCTAAGAGTTTTACAGTTTCAGGTCCTACATTTAGGTCTTCGATTCATTTTGAGTTAATTTTTGTACATGATATTAGAAGGGGTCCAACTTCATTCTTCTATGTGGGGATATCCAGTGTTCCTAGCATCATTTGTTGAAAATACTACCTTTTCCCTATTGAATGGTCTTGGCACCCTTGTTAAAATCATTTGACCATACATGCAAGGGTTTATTTCTTTTTATTCTATTTATTTATTGCTTTTTATTCTATCCCATTGGTCTATATGTCTGTCTTTATACCAGTACCACACTGTTTTGATTATTATAGTTTTGAAATAGGAAGTGTGAGTCCCCTAGATTTATTCTTCTTTTTCAAGATTGTTGTGGCTATCTCAAGGAGTTCCTTGAGATTCCATATGAATTTTAGGATTCTTCTTTTAGGATTCTGGGTTTTTCTATTTCTGAAGAAAATGTCATTGAGATTTCGGTAGGGTTTACACTGAATCTGTAGATTGCTTTGGGTAGTATTGACATCTTAACAATAATGTCTTCTAACCCATGAACATGGGATGTGTTTGCATTTATTTATGTCTTATTTAATTTATTTCAGCCATGTTTTATAGTTTTCATTATGCAAGTCTTTCACCTGCTTGGTTAACTGCTAAGTATTTCATTCTTTTCTATGCTATCATAAATGGAATTGTTTCTGTAATTTTCGTTACAGATTGCTCATTGTTAGTGTGTAGAAATACAACCATATTTTTGTGTGTTGACTTTGTATCCTGCTACTTTGCTGAATTATTTCTAACAGTTTTTTTTTTGGTGGAATCTTTAGGATTTTCTACATATAACAACATATCATCTGCAAACAGAGATAATTTTACTTCTTGCTTTCCAATTTGGATGTCTTTTATTTCTTTTTCTTGCCCAACTTTGCTCTGGATAGACTTCCAGTACTATGTTGAATAGAAGCGATGAAAGCAGGCATCCTTGCCTTGTTCCTGATCTTAAAGCAAAAGCTTTCAGTCTTTCACCATTGGGCATGTTCACTGTAGATTTTTCATATATGGCTTTTATTATGTTAAGGGAGTTTCCTTCTATTCCTAGTTTATTGAGAATTTTTTTTATCATGAAAAGGTGTTCAATTTTGTCAAATGCTTTTTCTGCATCAATTGAGATGATCATGTGTTTTTTTCCCTTCATCCTATTAATGCAATATATTGCATTAACTGATTTTTATATATTGAATAATCTTTGCCATGCAGGAATAAATCCTACTTGGTCATGGTATATAATCCTTTTAATATACTACTGGATTTGATTTGCTAGTATTTTATTGAGAATTTCTGCATCAGTGTTTATAAGGGATATTGGTCTACGGTTTTCTTGTGTCTTTGCTGGCTTTGGTATCAGGATAATGCTGGTCTCATAGAATAGATAAAAAGCGTTCCCTCCTCTTCAATTTTTTGGAAAGCTTTTAGAGGGATTGGGTTAGTTCTTTGAACGTTTGGCAGAATTCACCAGTGAAGCCATGAAGCCCAGAGCTCTTCTTTTTTGGGAGATATTTGATTAATGGTTAAATGTCCTTACTAGTTATAAGTCTATTCAGATTTTCTATTTCTTTTTTTTTGTGGGTACATAGTAGGTGTATATATTTATGGGGTACATGAGATGTTTTGATACAGGTATGCAATGAGTGATCATCACATCAAGGAAAATCGGGTATCCATCCCCTCAAGCATTTATCTTTGGGTTACAGACAATCCAGTTATATTCTTTGAGTTATTTTAAACTGCACCATTAAATTATTGTTGACTATAGTCACCCTGTTGTGCTATCAAATAGTAGGTCTTATTTATTCTAACTATTTTTTATACCAATTAACCATCCCCAACTCCACTCCCCCGCTAGTTTGTAACCATCCTTCTACTCTCTATCTTCTTTTTCTTTTTTTTTTTGAGACAGGGTTTCACTCTGTCACCCAGGGTGTAGTGCAGTGGTGCAATCCATAGCTCACTGCAGCCTCAAACTCCTGGGCTCAAGCAATCTTCTCACCTCAGTCTCCCAAGTAGCTAGACTACAGCCACGCACCACCATATCTGGCTAATTTAAAAATTTTTTTGTAGAGACAGGGTTCGCTATGTTGTCTAGGCTGGCTCAGACTCCTGGCCTCAAGCAATTCTCCCACCTTAACCTCCCAAAGACCTGTGATTACATGTGTAAGCCACCATGCCCAGCCAGATTTTCTATTTCATTGTGATTTGGTCTTGGTAGGTTTTGTGTTTTTAGAAATGTGTCCATTTCATCTAGGTCATCCAACTTTTTGGCATAAAAGTATTTATAATACTCTCTTATAATCCTTTTTATTTCAGTTGGATTAGTAGTAATGTATCCACTTTCATTTCTGATTTTAGCAGTTTGAGTCTTCTCTGTTTTTTCCTTAGTCTATCTAACTAAAGGTTTGTCAGTTTTGTTAATCTTTTCAATAACCAACTTTTGGTTTTGTTGATTTTCTGTATTGTTTTTCTGTTCTCTATTTCATTGATCTCTGTTTTAATTTTCTTCATTTCCTTCCTTCTTGCTAGCTTTAGGTTTAGTTTGTTCTTCTTTTTCTAGCTCTTTACATTGTAAAATTAGGTTGCTGATTTGATAACTTTCTTGTTTTTTAATGTAACAATTTATAGCTATAAATCTCCCTCTTAGCACTGCTTTCAGTGTTCCATAAATTTTGGTATGTTGTATGTTCATTTCAATTAATCTCCAAGTGTTTTATAGTTTCCTTTCTGATTTATTCTTTGATCCATTGGTTGTTTAAGAGTGTAGTGTTTAATTTCTACAAATTTGTGAATTTTCCAGTTTTACTTCTGTTCTTGATTTATAATTTTATTCCACTGTGCTAGGAAAGATATTTTGTCTGATATCTATCTTTTTTTTTTTTTTTTTTTGAGATGGAGTTTCACTCTTGTTGCCCAGGCTAGAGTGCAATGGCACGGTCTTGGCTTACTGCAACCTCTGTCTCCTGGGTTCAAGTGATTCTCCCACCTCAGCCTCCCAAGTAGCTGGGACTACACGTGCCCACCACCATGCCCGGGTATTTTTTGTATTTTAGTAGAGATGGGTTTTCACCATGTTCCAGGCTGATCTGGAACTCCTGACCTCAGGTGATCCACCCACCTAGGCCTCTCAAAGTGCCAGGATTACAGGCATGAGCCACCATGCCTGGCCTGATATCTATCTTTTAAAATCATTTAAGACACTTAATTTGTGGCCTAACAAATGGACTCTCCTGGAAAATGTCTCATGTGCATTTAAGAAGAATGTATATACTGCTGTTGTTGGGTAGACTGTACTGTATATGTCTGTTATATACAGCTTTTTTGTGTTCTCTATTTCTTTCCTTATCTCCTGTCTGGTTGTTTCACCCATTATTAGGAGTAGGATATTTGATTCTTCAGCTATTATTATAGGTCTGTTTCTCACTTTAATTCTGTCAGTTTTGCTTCATGCATTTTGATGGTCTGTTATTAGGTGAACTAATATCTGTAATTGTTATGTCTTCTTGCTCTATTGAAACTTGTATTAACATATAATGTCCTTTTTGTTTCTTGTAAACTTTTTGATTTAATGTCTATTTTGCCTGATGTTAGTAGAGCCACCCCTGCTCTCTTTTGATCACAGTAGGAATATCTCTTTCCATCCTTTCACTTTCAACCTATTTGTCTTTATAGCTAAACTGAGTCTCTTGTAAACAGCATACTGTTGGATCAGATTTTTAAAAATCCATTCTGCCAATCTCTGTCTTTTGATTGGAAAGTTTAATCCGTTTGCATTTGAAGCAATTACTGACAAGGAGGGATTTACTCTGTCATTTTGCTACTTCTTTTCTATATAGCTTTTTTGTACCTCATACCCTTTCTTTTCTGTTTAGTTGACTTTTTTTGTAGTGAAATGTTTAAATTTGTTTCTCATTTCCTTTTGTATATATTCTATAGCTATTTTCTGTGTGGTTACCATGGTGTCTTAGTCTTTTCAGGCTGCTATAACAAAGCATCTTACACTGAGTAATTTATGAAAACAGCAGAAATTTATTTCTTAAATTTGTAGAGGCTGGGAAGTCCAAGATCAAGGCACCAACAGATATGGTGTCTTGTGAGGGCTCGCTGTCTGCTAGATGGTGCCTTCAAACTGCATCTTCACATGGTGAAAGGGATGAACAAGCTCCCTCATGCCTATTTTATAAGGGCACTAATCTCATTCATGAGGGCTCTGCCCTCATGGTTTATCACCTCCCCAAAGGCCCAACTTTTTTAATACTGTCACATTAGGGATTAGGTTTTGGCATATGAACTTTGAGGGACACAAACATTCAGGCCATAGCCCATAGGAATTACACTTAACATCCTAAAGTTGTAAGACTATAATTTGATTTTATAGTAGCTTAGATTCAATAACATACAAAATATCTGCTTTTTTACAGCTCCATCACCACTCCTTTTAGTTGTTGATGTGAACAAATTACATCTTTATATACTGTGTGCCCCAAAACATAAATTAATAAGTCTTTTAAATACACTAGTCTCTTAAATTATGTATAACCCTAAATATATAGTTACAAACCAAAGTTACAATAACACTAGCTTTTAAACTAAAAAATTTAAAAATGTTTTGTCTTTTAAATCATGTAGAAAACAAAAAGTATAGTTACAAACTGTTGTTACAATAATATTAGATTTTATAATTGGCCATATAGTTACCTTTAGTGAGGTCATTGTTTCTTCCTACAGCTTCAAGTTACTGTTTCGTGTCCTTTCATTTGACCCTTTAGGACTCCCTTGGGTATTCTTGCAGGGCAGGTCTAGTGGTAACAAACTCCCTCAGCTTTTGTTTATCTGTGAATATCTTAATTTCTCCCTCACTTTTTAAGAATGGTTTTGCCAGGTAGAAAATTACGGCTTGACAGTTTTTTCTTTTAGCACTTGGAATATATGGGCTCACCACCTTCTGGCCTTCAAAGTTTGGATGATAAATTTACTGATAATCTTACTGAAGATCCCTTGTATGTGATGAGTCACTTCTCTCTTGCTGTTTTCAAGATTTTCTCTTTGCCTTTTGAAAATTTGATTATAGTGTTTCTTTGGTGTGGTTTTTTAGTTCATCTTACTTTACTGAGCATTTTGGATGTTTATATTCATGCCTTTCATCAAATTTGGAGAGTTTTGAGCTATTATTTCTTCAGAGAGTCTTTTTTACCCTTTTTCTTTCCTTTCTCCTTCTAGAACTCCCACAATAAGCGTGTTAATCTGCTAGATGGTCTCCCACAGGTCTCTTAGGCTTTGTTCACTTTTAATTTTTTTTCTTTCTGTTCTTCTGACTCAATAATTTCAGTTGTCCTATCTTCAAGTTTGTTGATTCTTTCATCTGCCTGCTCAAGTCTGCCTTTTATTCCCTCTAGTAAATTTTTCATTTCATTTGTTGTATTTTTCAGCTCCAGAAAATGTTTTTTTCCTCTTTATTGATACTTCCATTTTGTTCATACATCCGTTTCTTGACTTTCTCCACATTTTCCTTTAGTTCTTTGAGCATCTTTAAGACAGTTGTTTTAAAGTCTTTGTCTAGTAGATCTCCCATCAGGTCTTTTTTAAGAGCAGTCTCTATTGATTTGTTTTTTTTCTTCCTTTGAATGGGCCATACTCTCCTGTTTCTTTGTATGATGTGATTTTTGTTGTTGTTGAAAACTCTACATTTTAATCTAATAATGTGGTAACTCTAGATATCAATTCTCTCTGTCCCCCAGGGTTTGCTGGTTTTTCTTATTGTTTTTGTTCATTTTATTTTTTTGATTGTTGTAGGCTGTCTCTGTGCTAAGAATCAGTCTGAGGTGTAATCTTAAGGTCTTCTTGGTCTTTTCTGAGCCTGTGCCTTTCCCTGGGCATATGTGGTCACTTTCTAATTTTCATCATATATGTAGTAGCCTTTGAATGTTCATCTTTAATGTTTGGCTCCCAAATGGGGAAAAAAAAAGAGCAAGGACAGGAGGAACAAAATGGCCACCAGCCCTTGAAATCCCCAGGAGGCCACTTCAGCCAGAGGGAAAGGGATTTACAACAATAAGAGGAGGTGCAACAATGGCTGCCCATCTCTTTATTTGTACCTCTGTGATCAGAAGCAGCAATAACCAATCAGAGAACAGATTCCCCAGTATCTGGAGGACAGGGTTTTTTTTTTGTGCCCACCTTGGCTCCTGCAAGCTGTATGCAAGCTGCTCCAGGAACACGTGCCCAGTTGCCTGCCATGGGGTGGGGGGTGGAGGATGAGTAGTTACTATTGTACTAAGAGCACAATTTACTGTCCAAGCTTTCCCATGGAAGTTTCAAGCCTTTAATGAATCCCAGAGTTCCAAAATACATGAGACAAATTACATCAGACAGATTCTGCCAATGCAATTGTTGTCCACAGATTCCTGGTGCTTTCTCCTCTGCCATCTTCTCAGAATTCTCTCTACCTGTTAACAATATTGTGTATATTCTTCCTGTCTTTTTTCCTGTGTATATATACTTCTTCCTTAACTACAATCATACACACAGTTTTGAACCTGTGATCGTCTAAGAATCGTTACTGCAATTCTTGCATCAGCTGTGGTTAGAAAAGGGGGATACTTATCTGCTAGAGGATGTACTTTTTCCTCTGAGGAACTCATCCTAGCTTCCAGGAACCTAGCCTCTTCCTTCTCAGGTCACTTTCCTTGATGTTCCACACAGTTGCAGAATTGCCTGGTTTAACTGCAAGTGACTCTGTAGTCTGTCACATAGTATTCAGAAATGGGGAGATTATTGTTCGACTGAATACATGTTTTCAAAGAAACAAAGGGCTTTTAAAGATGAGACCCTGTCATGTGCAGGGAAATGTGTCCAGGTTAGGAAATAATTCGGTTCAAGATGCCCTGGGTGAGATTAAAGGTGTTTCTTCAAGGACTGTCTTATCACAAAAGCAGCTGTCTGGCTTGCCTTCTAGTTCTGTTCATTTCTTGTGGGTACTAGTACTTGAATTGTGACTAAATTTGGCCAAAATCAATTATAACATTGGTGGGGGAAAAAAAAACTCCAAGTGTGCTAAAAGAAACCATGTATTCTACAGATGAGAGAGAATACTGAATTATGTTTTATACATGTTATTCAGTTTTTCTCACAGGCCATCATAACCAAGGAAGAATGGGAAGTGATTGGCATGATTGTTGCAGAATGTCAGAGTTGCTAAACTTGCTTCTATATGTAGTGGTGATTCCAGGGAAGCCCCCTTTTGTCACACTTCAGATTTTGAAATGGTGAGTGTTTCATTCTGGCTTGAAAAAAGGTCCACCAAATGGCTTTCCCTGAGGAAAAGGAGTGTGAGGAAAAATATAAAGCTGTTTAGGAGAAAGCATACCCTTACCATTTCTGTGCCTCCTGAGGAGAATTCCTGGTTTTACATTCAGAGACATGAGGCTTGTGTTACCTGAGAATTTCTGCCTTTGATGTCATCAGAGCTCTGCCCGACTGCTTCCGCTTGGAGCCAGGGACCAGGTGTACGGCCTGAAGGAAAAAAGAACAATCTCATTATCTATTGGCCCAGGGACCGGGTGTGCATGTTTCACAGAGAAACTTTCTCTAAATCAGCACTTAAAACAATGAAACCTTCAGGATCCTGGCCCTAGACTGTCTGTTTCCACCACTCCCATCTTCTATGTCAAAGACCATGGATGCAGAAGAGTCATGTCTAATACTCTGAGAAGAGAACAAATTATTAAGGCCCATCAAATAAATGCACGTTAGAACTTCTTTACCCAAATATACCATCTCCAGGGATGCTCATCCATTATCCACAATGTGCCCAGCAATACCAGGGCTGGCTAAAAAAGTAAAAGATGAGTAACTGCTGACAAATCAGGCCTCCCATCCATGAGGAACCAAATCATTCTCTCAAGTGTGCTGTGCTTAAGTATTACACAAGTTACATATGAATATCTTCTTATAGTTAAGAATTCAAAAAATAAAGGAGATAATGGAAAAAAACCTCAAAGTTCCTCTTCTCTTCTTGTTCCTCCCCCAATCCCAATTTTCTATCCCAGAGTCACCATGGCTAAAAGTTTGATGTTTATCTCTTCAATTTTTTTTTTTCTTTTTGGTATTTCCATACATACATCTGTATATATACAGATACATGTTTTGGTTGGTCTACCCAAGCTTAAATCCCCATTCCCAGGTGTTCCAGAACTCTCCCTTCAACTGGTTATTCCAAATGGTGTTTCCTCTGTTGCACTGGTAGGACACCTATCTATTCTGTTTCTGTCATGAACTAGGCATTAAATAATCATGTCCCAAAGTCTCCAGAACAATCCAGATTGCTGTGCTATTTAAAAAGCAACAGAAAAGCATGAATGTTCATTATAGACTATTTATAATAGTGAACAATTAATGACCTGTGTTCAACATAGGTTTTTAGGTAACGTAGGGTTCAGTATTACATGATGGAGTACTAAGCACCTGTTTTTTTATTATTTTATTTTTCATTTTATTTTATTTTTTAGACAAGGTCTCCCTCTGTCTCCCAGGCTGGAATGCAGTGATATGATCATGACTCACTGCAGCCTCAACCTTCTGGACTCAAGTGATCCTTCCACCTCAGCCTCCTGAGTAGCTGGGATCACAGGTGTGCATCACCACATTCAGCTAACTTTTAAAATTTTTTGTAGAGACAGGGTCTCACTATGTTTCCCAGGCTGGTCTTAAACTCCCAGACTCGAGTGATCCTCCCGCCTTTGCCTCCCAAAATTCTGGGATTACAGGCATGAGCTACTGCACCCTGCAGGAAACTGAATATTTACAAAGACTCATTTTGGAGAAATGAATTTGTATAAATAGAATGATCTCAACTATTTTAAAAATTCATTGAGAAATACATAATAATATTCTGAAATGTTTCCTTCTAAGTGGTAGAATCACCATTAAAAAAAAAAAACACGCTCTTTTTTGTTTGTTTGTTTTGAGACAGAGTCTTGCCACAGGCTGGAGTGCAGTGGTGCTATCTCAACTCACTGCAACCTCCGCCTCCCAGGTTCAAGCAATTCTGATTCCTCAGCCTCCTGAGTAGCTAGGACTACAGGTGCTTGCCACCATGCCTGGCTAATTTTTTTGATATTTTTAGTAGAGACAAGGTTTTGCCATGTTGGCCAGGCTTATCTCGAACTCCTGGGCTCAAGTGATCCTCCCACCTTGGCCTCCCAAAGTGCTGGGATTATAGGCATGAGCCACCATGCCTGGCCAAAAAACTCCCTTCAGAAATATTTTTTCAACTTTTCTACAACATATATAAGTCATTATAAAAACCTTTTAAGGTAAGGTACAATTTTTTAAATTGGACTATCACGTAGAAGGGTCTCTAAAACTTATAACACATTAATCAAATGGACACTGTAATTTTCATTAAAACTTCTTAATGAGTGCACTTGTCCTAGAATAAAGATATTTTAGAGCAAAATATATAGTAACTGCTAGATTTTTAGCTAGTTTATTAACTGAGCAAAAAGTAAAAAAAAAAAAAAAAGAAGAAGAAGAAGAAGAAAACACTAATATACAGCCCCTTGTCTAATTCCATGTGAGAGGGTAGCCTTGGAAATGACTGTTCTTAGATTTAAGAAACTCCTGTCCACTACAGAAAGACCTTCTAGGCCAGGGGTCTGCAATCTTGGCTTTATTGACATTTGGGCTGTATAACTCTCTATTGTGGGGGCGGTCCTGTGTGTTGCAGAATGTTTAATAGCATCCCCGGTCTCTACGCACTAGATGCCAGTTGCACACCCCAGCCCCCTGCTTATGGCCACTTGTAACAACCCAAAAATGGCTCCAGACATTGCCAAATGTCTCCTGGGAGGCAAAATTCCCCCTGTTTGGGAACCACTAGGCAATAAAATAGGCTTCACCATAGGTTAGCAATTCCCACTGGTTTTCTTTCTTTTCTTTCTTTCTTTCTTTTTTTTTTTTTTTTTTTTTTTTGAGACAGGGACTTGCTCTGGAGCGCAGTGGCATGATCTCAGCTTACTGCAACCTCTGTCTCCCAGGCTCAAGCAATCCTGTCACCTCAGCCTCCCGAGTAGCTGGGACTACAGGTGCACACCACCACACCTGGCTACTTTTTTATATTTTTGGTAGTAAAAAATGGGGCTTCAAATAGAAAAATAGAAACATGAAAATAGAAACATGGGGTTTTGCCATGTTGGCCAGGATGGTCTTGAACTCCTGAGCTCAAGCGATCCGCCCACCTCAGCCTCCCAAAGTGTCGGGATTATAGACATGAGCCATCGCACCTGGCTCTTCCCACTGGTTTTCATAAATATGACAAGAAACAATATTGGGGAGGTTAAAGGGGAATCAATTTCTCCCTAAAACAGAAAGGCAAACTCTGTCTTGTAAAAAAAAAAAAAAAAAAAAAAAAAAATCACTGCTGCTAGAAGTGAGTGGCCGGGACTTAGTCAGGGTTTGTCAGAGTGCTTTTAATCCAAATATTCCCTTAAAGGGAATTTCCCTTATGAGATGCCACCAGAATCT
The DNA here is from genome assembly GCF_000001405.40 of Homo sapiens. NCBI lineage: Eukaryota > Metazoa > Chordata > Mammalia > Primates > Hominidae > Homo > Homo sapiens. Next base: position 29,901,273 of record NC_000007.14, on the reverse strand, counting down.
CAGAATTCAAAAGCAGAGCCATTCTGCTGAAGTAGTCCTTCACATGGGCTCCCTTCCCACAGAAGGGCTTTGCAGATTCACCAAATCAGGGGTTTTCACACTTGGGATACTGTAACTCATCAGCAGAAATATTGTTTACCTCTCTCCTCAATCTCAAGCACCTACTGCACTTAAGAGCAGGCTGAGTGGACACTGCTTCCATCTCCTGTCCACAGATGGCTCTTCTTCCCTCCCATTCATAACCACCCAGAATAACCACCAGCCCTGGGCTGCAATTCCCTCCCAGAATAACCACCAGCCCTGGGCTGCAATTCCTGTGAGCCAGGGAGGGGGCTTTGAAGCAAACCTAACTGTCAGCTCTGGGCCAACACCGTCTGACTAAGCTATGGGCTGCCCTGGCATCAGAGTGGAGAGACAGTGCAATGTGGTGCAAGGAGTGCTGGACCCCAGGGCAGAGAACTTGGACTCTAGCCCCAGCTTTGCCACCAGCTGTAAACAGGGCAGGCCACTTTACTTCTGCTTTGGCTTCTCTAGCTGTACAGGAAGGAGTTGGGCTGTCTGACCTCAAAGGGCCTTTCTTGTTCTTACATTGGAGGCTTCTCATCATCTCTAAGTGAAGGAAATGACAAGTGTGATTGGAAATGATCATTCTAGTGTCTTCTAGGTTTAAACCTTAGAGACTGCATATCTGGCCTTTCCTCTCATCCCCCACTGTTGTTGTCATCATTTTGGCTGGTATGAGAGCCTCCATCACTCCTTCCTCAACCTCCTCTCCTCGCAGAGAACTGAGCCCGCTCAGTCTCTGAGAGAGGTCACCCTGCATACCAGCGGACCTCACTTCCTGTCCACAGGTGCTTGGGCCAGAGGTGAGCTAATCATATTCTCTCTCCTGACAACTTGCAATTTAAAAAGTAGATTTCAAGATTGTTAAGAGCAATGCACATGTATTATAAAAACTTGAACTAATTAGTAAAGAAAATTAATATCACCCAACTTTCACCATTGAGCGATAACCACTTTTAATATTTTCGTGTACAGGCTGGGTGCAGTGGCTCACACCTGTAATCCCAGCACTTTGGGAGGCTGAGGCAGGCGGATCACTTGAGGCCAGGAGTTGAGAACAGCCTGAACAACATGGCAAAACTGCATCTCTACTAAAAATACAAAAATTAGCTGGGCGTGGTGGCACACACCTGTAGTCCCAGCTACTCAAGAGGCTGAGGCAGGAGAATCACTTGAACCTGGGAGGCAGAGGCTGCAGTGAGACAAGATTGCACCATTGTACTCGAGCCAGGGCAATAGAGTGAGCCAGGGCAATAGAGTGAGACCTAATCTCTAAATAAATGAATAAATAAATAAATAAAATATTTTGGTGTACATATTTCTAGTCTCTTCTCTCTTCTATTTGATCAACTTCTCCTTTTCTGCAGATACACGAATTTATTTTTTACAAAATGTAGATTTTATTTTATATACTTTTTTGTATACATTTTTTGGTATTGTTTTTACATAACAAGGTGTTTTTACGTAAAAAGGTAAACATTTTCCCATGTCACTAAATATTTGATAGCCCCATTTTGTAATGGTTACATAGCGTTCCATTGTGTGGCTCTGCCTCCATTTATTTAACCCCAATACTGGAGATGTGTGCTATTTCCAAATTGTTTTATTATGTAAATGGTTCAGCAATGCATATATGAGTGAACATTTTAATTTATTAATTCAACAAATACGTAAGGAGTGTCTGTGTGCCTCACTTTATTCTGAGAGCTGGAAATAAGCCAGTGAATAAAAACTGCTGCAGTCTCTGCCATTCAGGGCCTTACACTGTACTGCGGAGGCAGACAAGTAGCAGGTAAATAATGTCTGGAGGTGATAAATGCTTTGAAGACAATTAAAAAACAGTGTAAAGAGAATAAAAAGTGATAGGGCAGGAAGAGCTTCTGTCTTATACAGGGTAGTCAGGGGAGACCTCTCTGATAAGTTACTGCCATGGATTGAATCGTGTTTCTCCAAAATTCATATGTGGAAGCCCTAGCCCCAGTATGATGGTATTTGGAGGTGTGGCTTTTGGCAGGTCGTTAGGTGCAAATGAAGTCATGAGGATGGGACCCTCATGATGGGATTAGTGCCCTTATAAAACAGGACACCAGGAAGCTTGTGTGGCACCAAGTGTGCACACAGTGAGAAGGTAGCCCTCTGCAAGCCAGGAAGAGAGCCCTCCCCAGAAACTAAATTGACCAGCACCTTGATCTTGGACTTCTCAGCCTCCAGAACCATGAGAAAATAAATTTCTGTTGTTTGTGCCACCCAGTCTATGGTATTTTGTTATGGCAGCCTGAGCTAAGACAGGTACCATTTGATCAAAGATCAAGAGAAAGTAGGGAGACGGTCACATGGATATTCGGAGAAAGTATACTAAAAAGTACACAAAATAAAACCTAAATTTTGTAAAAAATAGTTTGTATATTTAGGTAGAAAAGAAATTGATCAAATAAAGAGAGAAAAGACCAGAAATATGTACACCAATGTATTAAAAGTGGTTATCATCACTCAGAACCAGGTATCAGAAGGAACAGCAAATGCAGAGCCCAGGAACAAATGTGTACTTGGAATGTTCTGGAAATTGCAGGTGTTGTTAGAGCACAATGAGGTAGGAGGAGAGTGGTGAAAGGGGAGGGAGGAAGTTCACGTAGGTCTTATGAACCATGATAGGAATTTCCAGTTGACTTGGGGCGAGATGGGGATTCCCTGGAGGATTCTGAGCGGAGGGGAGTGACTGGACTTGGACTGTAGACAAATCACTTGGGCTGCAGTGTGAAGCAGTGGATCCTGTTAGCAGGTTCCAGCAACAATTCAGGTGAGGAATGACAGTGGCTTAGGGCAGAATGGGAGTGGCAGAGGAGGTAAGAGAGATCGGATTCTGGGTGCATTTCAAGGAGAGACACCCGAGTTCACTGGTAAGTTGGATGCAGGAGTAGAAGAGAGAAGTCAAAGACGACTCTGAAGTGTGTGGTGTAACAAAAAACTGAGAAGGAGTCAGTGTACAGTGGAAGGAGAAAGGAGAGAGCTGTCATAAAATCTAAATGAAGAAGTGTTTCAGAAAGAGGGAGTGACGGGCTGAGGCTAGAGCCTCTGACACTGTAGTTGGCAACATGGAGCTCCACTGGTGGCCTTGGTAAGAGCGCTTACCATGGTGCTGAGGGGAGAAAGCCTGGGAGGACTTGGCTCCAGAGAGAACAGGGGGTGGGGAAGTGGAGGCAGTGTTGGCTAAGAGAAGAGCAGAAAAATGGCTCAGGGACCAGAGTAGGTCCAGAGAGATACTTTATAGACATTACAGTACCTTCATGGGTTCAAAGAAACAAAGGATTGTCCTGGAAGGACAGAAGCTGTGGTAAAAGAGTGGGGTGCTGGAAGACAGCTTTTGAAGAGGTATGGTCAGCAGTAAAAACCAGGCTTCACCAAGGAAAGCTCATCAGGGCAGAGGTTCTTACTCCCCAGCTGCCTTCCGCAAAGATGGAAATAAATACCCTCCTACTGGCAGTATGTTTTGTTCTCTGTCTTGGGACATCTAATTCTTTAATTTTTATGACATGAACTATTCCATACTGTTGAAATTACTGCAGTGCCTAATGGAGAGTTTCCATTGCTAATGGAAATAACGGTGCGTGTTTTTACTGTTAAGTGTAAAGTAACTCTATTTTAAAATAGGAGTTCAATCACAAAGAGATACCACCTCACACCTGTCAGAATGGCCACTATACAACAAAAATAAGATAAAATAAAAAACAGAAAATAAAAATTGTCAGAGAGAATATAGAGAAATTGAAACACTTGCACACTGATGGTAGAAGTGTAAAATGGCCCAGTAGATATGAAAACAGTATAGCATTTCCTCAAAAAATTAAAAATGGAATTACCATACGATCCAGCAATTCTACTTTGGGTATTGAAAGCAGGGACTTGAACAGATATTTGTACTTCCATGTTCAGAGCATTCACAGAAGTTAAGAGGTGGAAGCAGCCCAAGTGTCTATCAACAGATTAATGGATAACAAAATGTGGTACATCCATACGATGGAATACTATTCAGCCTTAAAAAGGAAATAAATTTTGACATATGCTACAACATAGATGAATTTTGAGGACATAAGCTAAGTAAAATAAACCAGGCTTAAAAAAACTAATGCTATATAATTCCACTTACATGAGGTACCTAGAGCAGTGAAATTAATAGAGACAGAGAGTAGAAGGGTATTGCCAGGGGCTGGGGGAAGAGGAGAATGGGGAGTTGTTCAGGACTTGGGATATAACCACAATTATGTTTGAAATGTGAATTTTTCAAGCACATGTGAGGTACTTGTTTATCTAAATCTCTCCAAAGGGCAAGGGCCTCAGTGAGTATCTGTTGATAGGAAGATGATGTCATTCTTTATACCATCATTATGTTAACAAATATTTGTGACCTTTGCATTTTTCCCAAAATTCCTACTGACAGTTTTTGTTCACTTTCTTTTTATTGTTGTAAAATACACATAACATACAATTTACCATTAGTGACATTTAGTACATTTACAGTGTTGTGCAACCATCACTTCTATGTAGTTTCAAAATGTTTCTATCACCCCAAAAGGAAAACTTAAAAAAAAATTTTTTTTTTGAGACAGTCTTGCTCTGGCACCCAGGCTAGAGTGCAGTGGCACCATTATGGCTCACTGCAACCTCCACCTCCCGGGCTCAAGCAATCCTCCCACCTCAGCCTCCCAGGTAGCTGGGACTACAGGCATGCACCACCACATTCAGCTAATTTTTGTATTTTTTTGTAGTGATGGGGTTTCGCCATGTTGCCCAGGCTCGTCTCGAGCTCTTGAGCTCAAGCCATCCACCTGCTTTGGCCTCCCAAAGTGCTGGGATTAGAGACATGAGCCACTGTACTCAGCCTAAAATTTTTTCAGAGAGAGGATCTCACTGTTGCGCAGGCTAGAGAGGATCTCACTGTTGCCCAGGCACAATCATAGCTCACTGCAGTCTCAAACTCCTGGGCTCAAATGATTCTCCTGCCTGAGCCTCCCCAGCAGCTGAGACTATAGGAGCACACCACCATGCCTGGCTAATTTTTAAAATTTTTCTGTAAAGACAGAGTCTTGCTATGTTGCCCTGGCTGCCAAAAGAAAGCCTTGCATCCATCAGTACTCACTCACCATTCCCTTCTTCCTCTTCTCTCTGGAAACCACTAATCTATTTTCTGTCTCTGTGGATTTGCCTCTTCTGGACATTCCATCTGAATGAAATTATACAACATGTGGCCTTTCGTTTCTGGATTCTTTCACTTACATAATATTTTCAAGGTTTGATATAGTTTGAATACGTGTCCCCACCAAATTTCATGTTTAACTGTAATCCCCAATTTAGAGGTGGGGCCTGGTGTGAGGTGTCTGAGTCATGGGGGCAGATCCCTTATGGCTTGATGCTGTCCTGGAGATAGTGAATTCTTGCAAGATCTGGTTAAGTGTGTGGCACCTCCTCCAAACACTCTCCCTGTTGCTCCGCTCCGTCACGTGACACAAGTGCTCCTCATTCGCCTTCCACCATGACTGGATGCTCCCTGAGGCTTCCCAAGAAGCAAATGCTGGCATTATGCTTCCTGTACAGCCTGCAGAACTGTGAGCCAATTACGCCTCTTTTCCTATAAATTACCCAGTTTCAAGTATTTCTTTATAACAATGTGAGAACAAACTAACACAAGGTTTATCCATGTTGTAGCAATGTATCAGTGCTTCCATCCTATTTCTTGTTGAATCATATTCCATCGTATGGCTACACCACATTTTGCTTCTGTGTTCATCAGTTATTTCCACCTTTTAGCTATTGTGAATAGTGCTGCTATGAATATTTGTGTACAAGTTCTTGTTTGAACACTAGTTTTAAATTCTTTTTAGCCTATACCCAAGAGTGGAATTGATGGGTCATAATGGTAATTATATGTTTCACTTACTGAGGAATCTAATGCATTTTAAAAACATTAGGAAAAAAAAACTAGGCTGGGTGCGGTGGCTCACCCACCCAACACTTTGAGTTGCCGAGGTGGGCGGATCACTTGAGGTCAGGAGTTCGAGCCCAGCCTGGCCAACAGGATGAAACCCTGTCTGTACTGAAAATACAAAAATTAGCTGGGTGTGGTGGTGCATGGGCTACTTGGGAGGCTGAGGCAGGAGAATCGGTTGAACCCAGGAGGCAGAGGTTGTAGTGAGCCGAGATCACGCCACTGCACTCCAGCCTAGGCAAACGAGTGAGACTGCCTCAAAAAAATGAAACAAAACAAAAGCGAAAAACAACAACAACAACAAAAAAAAACAACAACACACACAAAACACAAAACTAAACAAAGCCATTCACTCAATGGAAGAAAATAGCAAACACCTGCAGAGTGGAGACAGTGATGATGGCTAGTGGAAGAGCTAAGCGTGTGTGCTCGTGTGTGTGTCGTGTGTGTGTGTGTGTGTGTGTGTCAGAAAGAGAGACAGCAAACAAGCAGGTGGGGACAGAGGGCACATAGGAGACCACAGGGTATGAGAACACACTCATCTGATAGAAACAACACTGTCTCCCAGACCACGAAGAACTCATCTTGGGGAGCCAGGTCAACAGTGAACAAGAAGAAAACTGGTAAGGAGAAATGTAATCAGACAGGCATACACCACATCTGATTCACACTAATATAATTTAAAAGGTTCTGCACTAGGGCTCACAGGGATGACAGGAACATGCATATTTAATTTTGCTGGGAGGCTAGTGGAGTACTTCGTGTCCACCGATGCCACATCAATCTAAAACAGTATCTTAATTTTGAAATTGCACTTGCCCTTTCAAGTCTGTACAATGTCAGTTCATTTAATAGGCTGTTTAAAAAACTGCTCTTTGTAAACATCAGGAGATTATTTTTGGTGCACAGACTGCCAATTGCACCCTCCTGGCAAGCTGTGTGCAGTGAGGGGGTGTAGCTTTTCTTCTCTTCTTGAGGACGCGAGTGAGCACCACGGACATAAAATGCAGCTAGCTGTAGATTAGCACTGACTGAATCTGAAGGTTGAGGGACCCCACAGCACATTACTGAGAAAGACTGAAGAGCAGAAAGAGGTTTTTAGGAATCTGTTTTCTGGAATGGTTTAGGGCAGATCAGCAAAACATGACCAGCAGACCAAATCCAGCCCACACCTGTTTTTGTAAATAAAGTTTTATTGGAACACAGCCATGCCGATTCATTTATGTATTATTTATGGCTGCTGATTGATTTAATAATCAGCAGAATTGAGTAGTTGTAATCGAGACCTGCATTACTTCAAATATGTATTCTCTGGTCCTTTACAGCAAATGTTTGCTGACCTCTGGTTTAGGGTATAGGTTACAATTAAAAAGCCTTCAGGGGCCAGGTGGGTGTAAGGGAAAGCTGTGGGGCTTATGGCATGAACGTGGCCAGTCAGCAAACCCTGCCTCAGGGGAAGGAAAGGAGCCTGAATGAGCCAGTAGCTGGGATTCTGTACATTTGCATTTTCCAAGGGCACAGTTATTTCAATACTGCCAATAAGTGTACTGAATTAAATTAAGAAAAACAGTATACATTCTTGATTTACAACTTGGTGACAGTATAATAAAAGGAATTCCTTACCTCCCCCCTCAGCTTTCTGTCTAGGTCACCAAAGTCAAGTCCCATTTATTAAATGCTTGCACGGGCCTGGCTGTCTGGGAGGGACTGAGTTGACCCTGTTCATTGGCAGCTTAAAGCCTCCTGTCACACAGACAGACCTACTTCACGCACCCCGGCCGACATCATGGCCATGTCCTTCATTGTTCTATATTTCCATCTCCAAACTAATGGCCAGCAAATCAAGTCCTTGCCCTTGCCCCACCCTATCAGCCCCAGACCTGTATACCCTGCGCTCCACCTGCCACATGGCATCTCCCCCTTGTAGCCCTTTAGCCACCTCCCCTCACCATAAATGACAGGAATCCCATCACCTCCCCCTGAAACCTCCAGTTCCTTCTTGGTGTCACATTCTCCAACCAGCCCAAGGCAGGCACTCCTGGGATGCTGGCTCCTCCACTTTCCTTGATCCCATCTGCACCTGGTTCTCCAAACCCTGATCACTCTGAGGACCTCCTCCATCCAACCTCCCTTGCACAGACTCTTTTTTTTTTGTTTTTTGTTTTTAGATGGAATTTTGCTCTTGTCACCCAGGCTGGATTGCAATGGCACGATCTCAGCTCACTGCAACCTCTGCCTCCCAGGTTCAAGCAATCCTCCTGCCTCAGCCTCCCAAGTAGCTGGGATTACGGGCGTCCGCCACCACACCCGGCTAACTTTGTATTTTTAGTAGAGACAGGGTTTCACCATGTTGACCAGGCTGGTCTCAAACTCCTGACCTCAGGTGATCTGCCTGCCTCAGCCTCCCAGCACAGACTCTTATAATAGCTGGCTAACAGGTTCCCTGACCCTGGTCTCTACCTCCTCTGATCAAGCCACTGGTTATCTGTCTCAACCTGCATCTCATCACGTCCGTTCTCAGAGTTCACCACGGCCAAATGGAACTGGCCCTGGGTTCAGACAGGTGTGGGTTCAAAATTCCTGGCTCTGGCTTTAATCTGCTGTGAGGCTTTAGGCAAGTCACTTGGCCTTTTCCCTGTCTGGAAACTCTCTGCATTAAGGACAAATGATAAGGTATGCAAAGCACCTAGAACAGTGCCAGGCATGAACATCCACAGCATCCACTGCAGGGTCCATGACGGCCCTGGAACTGTCATTTAGTGTTTGCACTGACAGTTCTTCCCTGCTTACAGGTTCACGCTCCAATGCCTTAGGCAGGACACAGACTGTTAGAAGGCACCCTTATCTCCTTGTCTCCATAGGTTCATGTGCAGGCAGCCCCGTGCAGCCTGGCTCCTTCCGGCCCACTATGAGATCCAGCTGCCTGTTGATGAAGGGGGTCCCTTGGCTCTGCTCTCCTTGCCATGTGGAAAGTCCCGTGAGGCACACTCTGTGACTGTAGGGGGCCAGGCTCAGTTTCCTCATGTGTGAGTCCTGCTGCCTGAGGGAGTAAAGGAGCCTAATTCTGGGGCAGTATTAGGAGGCCTGCTGTTGGGGAACCTAAGCTGTGTCCTCCAATAAGAACACAAACACTTAGGTTTTTATCGAGCTGATTCCTGTGCATATTTCACAAGATGGGGAAAGGGGTGTTATATATGGACACACACTCCCAACCTTGCACCTCCGGCAGTCTGTATGGTCTTATCTAGCCAGGCACCTTGGGCTCTGATGTACCACGTGGGACAGATGGTTCCTACATGCACCCAGCACAATCACACTCTCTCCTGGGTCTGTCCTGTCCTCAGCCTGGATGCCTTCCCACCCACGTGGAACTGTGACCCTCTCTCTCTGGCTTTCAGGCCCCCAGCATTCACCTGCACCCCCTTGGCACTCTAAACAATCATTGATTAAGACACTCTTATGGGGTCTAATTCTCATCTATCTCAGGAGGGTGGTGGGTGCGTGGTGGAGGAGAGCTTGTTTCTTACACTTTGCAGCCTCTGGTGCCTACAGGGTGCCTGCCGTATGACAGGCGGTTCATGTGAGCGCGCTGAACTGAGCAAGGATGGGAGATGGACACAGCACCTGTCTTCCCCCATTGCTGGCCCTTCATGTTCTATTTAACCTTCAGTGGGTGGGATTTCCCTCCATCCTCCTTCATACTGATCCCTTTCTCTCTCTCTCAACTCAGAGCAGTTGGTATTTACATTTTATTAGAAAGGGCACACAGGGTTATATCTCTAAATGTACAGCCACGCAGGCCAGCAGAGAGATGTCCCAGCGGACCCAGAGATGAACATCCACCTGAGCACAAGGCAGGCCTGTGTTCCCCTCACCTGAGCACAGGGCAGGCCCACTTTCCCCCGACCAGAGCACAGGGCAGGCCCGTGTTCCCCACACCTGAGCACAGGGCAGGCCCTCGCCCCCTCCACCTGAGCACAGGGCAGGCCCTCGCCCCCTCCACCTGAGCACAGGGCAGGCCCTCGCCCCCTCCACCTGAGCACAGGGCAGGCCCGCGCCCCCTCCACCTGAGCACAGGGCAGGCCCGCGCCCCCTCCACCTGAGCACAGGGCAGGCCCGTGTTCCCCCGACCTGAGCACAGGGAAGGCCTGTGTTCACCACACCTGAGCACAAGGCAGGCCCGTGCCCCCTCCACCTGAGCACAGGGCAGGCCCTCGCCCCCTCCACCTGAGCACAGGGCAGGCCCTCGCCCCCTCCACCTGAGCACAGGGCAGGCCCGCGCCCCCTCCACCTGAGCACAAGGCAGGCCCGCATTCCCCCCACCTGAGCACAGGGCAGGCCCTCACCCCTTCCACCTGAGCACAGGGCAGGCCCACATCCCCTCCACCTGAGCACAGGGCAGGTCTGCGCCCCCTCCACCTGAGCACAGGGCAGGCCCTCGCCCCCTCCACCTGAACACAGGGCAGGCCTGAGCCCCCTCCACCTGAGCACAGGGCCCTGGGTTCCCTCCACCTGAGCACAGGGCAGGTCCACGCGCCCTCCACCTGAGCACACGGCAGGCCTGCATTCCCTCTGCTCTGCAGGAAGTTGAGTTCTGCAGAAAGGACTTCACTAAGGTCCCTCTGAAAGAAGACGGGCAAAGAGCCTGGCTCACGATTCCTGGTCTTAGGCTAACCCTGGACACTGATTTTCCATCTGGGTCCACAGAGGTCTGGAATGGGGGCTTACTTAGGGTGTCGGGTGGGAACGCATTTGACACTCACTCTATAATGCTGACTCTGGCTCCTGCCCAATCTGATTGGCCCAGTACCAGACAAGAATTGGCTCTTCCACCTCATCACCTCATTCTCTCTCTCTCTTTTTTTTTTTTTTTTTTGTGGATACAGAGTCTCACTCTGTCATCAATGCTGGAGTGAAGTGGCACAATCATAGCTCACTGCAGCCTCCAACTCCTGGGCTCAAGCAATCCTCCCACCTCAGGCTCCCAAGAAGCTGGGACTACAGGTGTGCACTACCACACCTGGCTAATTATTTTGTAGAAATGGAATCTTGCTATGTTGACAAGGCTGGCCTTAAACTCCTGGCCTCATGTGATCCTCCTGCCTCAGCCTCCCAAAGTGCTGGGGTTACAGGCATGGATCATGCCTGGCTCATCTTTCTACTCTTAAGGCTGAACAGTTAAGCTGGGTTAAATGTCCTCTCTTAAAGTCTGACCACACAATGAAATCAGGAGGAGGAGGGCCCTTACTGGGCTATTATTCTCAACCTTGGCTGTATGTTGGAATGACCTGGCAGCTTTTAAAAATCCTGACACCTTGATATTCTGATTATGTGGTTTAGATGTAACCTGGCCTTCAGGATTTGTAAAAGCTCCTTAGGTCATTCTAATATGTTGCCAAGGTTGAGAACCATTGACCTGAGGACATTCTCCATGTCACGATTTGCCAGAGTTCTGAATTAGGGGTTTTCAGGTTCCTCCTCAGTGATTGATGCAAAATATCCTATTTTGCTGTTATCTGGGTTGGTTAGTTCCCTTATCAAAAGCCCCAGGGAGGAGAGAGATGAGTGGTAAGTTTAGGCATCCAAATCTGATGCCAAACAGTTACCCTTAGTGTTCTATAAAAATCTCTAAATGAACACTTAGGTATCAGGAGAAATCAATGTCCTGAAAGTTCCAGAACTATGCACAGCACTACATCCTTGCAGTGGTACAGTGAAATCATGACATCATCCTTTAGACAGTCTGTGACCAACTGATGCACAGTGGGCACCTAATTTTGAAGGGTCGGGAGATGCCAGGAGTCTTATCAAGGTGGTACTTACTTCTGGGGATCTTGCTGGGGTAAATCTTCTGGCATGGTTTATATTCATCCGGAGGGGGAAAGTCTTCCACAGAATGGAACGTGAATTTAGACTCGAAGTCATCTGCACACAAGCGAAATGGAAAGAGTTACTCAGGTTACTGTCATGATCCAAGTTTTGATCATTTCCAGGAGCACAGAGATTACTCTGACTGCATCCACCGTTTTCTGTTTGCCTGCTCAGTGCAAGGATTTTAACAACAGGGCCATTCTCCCTAAGACATCCATTCACCTCTCAAGTTTTACTGGTTGGTTGGGATGGAGGGAAGCAGGAAGAGGGAAATCCAGTCACTCCCTGTCACCCACCTGAACTTACTTCAACCAATAACACCGTAAGGAAGCTGCTAAAGGGGTGGAAGTGGCATGGGGCTCTCCAGGGTCCAGAATCAGAGGTGGGGACCCTGGTCCCAACAAGGAACTGGCAAAGCCCCAGCAACCTGAAGCACCTGAGAAGCTCCTGGGAGGGTTTTGAGGGGAGGGAGAGGTGGGCAGAATGACTGGGGAATGGAGGAGCATGGCCTGTGTCTAGGGTGGGACCTGAGCTCCACAAAGCAAACAGCTTCTGCTCTGGGATCTGTTGGCAGGAGGGGAGGGCTCCTGTGGCCCTTTCATGGGCTGAGCCCCTGCTTTGTGATCTGGGCCTCTGTCAGACACTAGCCCAGCACACAGAAGGGATCGAAAGATTCCACGGCTTCACATCTGACCCCAGGTGACTTTCCTTCCTACCTCCATACTTGTACTCAAAATGTCCCTCTACCTGGTGAGTCTTCTATGTATCTTTCTCCTTATCCATATCATTCTACTCTTTCAGGCTTATGCATTGATTTCTCCATAGACACACACACACACACACACACACGCACACACACGCACACGCACACACACTCACACAGTTTAAATGCTGCTTTTCTTCCCTTTCTCTAATCTGAATTAGAAGGCTAGACAGTGGGCCTTGAAACTATGCAGAAAGCCTTGAAAGGAACCCTATTTAACAGAACCTATGGGCTGGTTGGTGCTGGAGTGAGCCCCTGTTCATGAAAGAAGCATGCACCCTGAGATGGCAGCACTGTGGCCAGCAAACTCTCTCTCCAGAGGTTGGGAGAATCACTTTCCTACTGGCAGCCAAACCGGCAGAGGGTGCAACCCACTTACCAATGATGTGCAGGCTTCCATTTCGCAGTTGACCTCCAGGCTGCTGCGTCGGGGTCCAGGCTGTGGCCTGCTGGCTCTTGCTTGAAAGCTCTGTGGTAGGTGATCTCGCAGGGGGTGCTGGAGGTGGATTTAGCTTTCCCCCACCGGCCCCTTACAGAGAAGATGATGGTGTACTCAGAAACACGGATGGGAATGGTGGATGCTATAACCTTATGTGAGATATTAGGCATTTCTATCTTCAGATGTAATATGATACAGCGAGTAAAAGGGCAACCTCTGGAGTCAACCTGCTTGGCACTGAATTGCAGTTCTCCTGTTGGGATAAGTAGCATAGCCTCTTTGTGTTTTAGTTTCCTCATCTGTAAGATGGGAGTAGTAATAGTACACCCACTTCCCAGGGTTACTGAGAAGATTCAATGAGTTGAATTTAAGTTGAGTGGCATGTAGTAAGTCCTCAATAAATGTTAGCTGCTGCAATAATATTAATGATGGTGATAACCTTCATCATCAGGTACAGCCCAAAGCAGGGGAATCACTAGAGAGTGGTAAGAACAGGAAGGGCTGTCTGTAGAAGAGGCCCAGAGGGAGGCTTGAAGAGGGAGCGGCCAGGGGCTTGTTCTGCCCCTGTGTCCCTGCTCACACTGGTTCTCCAGCACTGCAAATGCTTGTTTCTCTTTCCGGTCCACCTAAATCTTACGTGCCCTCCAGGGCCTAACTTGAATCCAACCTACTTCCTCCAGCCTTCTCTGATCATGCCTGAGAGGCTCACTATCTCCTTTGCCAATACTTTCCTGTATGGTTCATCTGGCAACCCAAAATCTGCTATCCTGGCACATCAGTGCAGGGGTTCCACTGCTGCTTATTTCTTCAGTGGCACTGCAAACATCACTTTGCTTCTTGAAATGATGACAATTACATTATTACTATCTGTGCTAAGATGTTCACAACTACTACCTCTCTCTTTTCCCCCCATGTTGGGCTAAAGTAGAAATTGCCCTTATTTTGAACATGGACAAACCAAGTTTCAAATCCAAAGATGCAAACAAGAAGGGCAGATATGAATCCCCATCCTGGCCTTGGGCTCACTACTCTGGAGCAGATGAAGGGGCCCCAGCTGCAGCAGGCATTCTCAGTCATCAGCCGCCATCCTCGTGTCTCATGTCCCTTCAGCATCTGCTCATCTTCTTTTCTTCCTCCCAACTGCCTTCCTCTCCCTTTCTGGTCTTCCCTTTCTGGGCACAAGGATCTATGAGGAATTTACTTGCTCCCACATGCAGTAAAAGGACTGCAGCCCCTCTTCTGGGTGAACAGCTGCCCCACTGTGTGGTAAGGAAATAATGCTGCTGGAGCTGAAGTTACATGCAAGCCCTTTATGCAGATTTCTCATTTCATATTCCTAATAATCCTATGTGAAAGGTGTTATTAGTAGGCCCATTTGTCAAATAAAAAAAATTCAGTATTAATAAAAAACAAACCCAAGTGGTGTGAGTTTCCACAGGAGTGGGTGAGGAACCCAGGATCTGAACTCATAGCCCTCTGAATCAAAAGCCTTGTTTTTGTTGGCCGGGCATAGTGGCTCACACTTGTAATACCAGCACCTTAGGAGGCTGAGGTGGGCTGATCACTTGAAGTCAGGAGTTCGAGACCAGCCTGGCCAACATGGGGAAACCCTGTCTCTACTAAAAATACAAAAATTAGCCAGGTGTGGTGGTGCACGCCTGTAACCTCAGCTACTCGGAAGGTTGAGGCACAAGAATCACTTGAACCTGGGAGGCGAAGGTTGCAGTGAGCTGAGATCCTGCCACTGCACTCCAGCCTAGATGGCAGAGTGAAACTGTGTCTCAAAAAAAAAAAAAAAAAAAAAAAAAAAGCTTTGTCTTTTTCATCACATCATAAATAGATGAAAATAACAAATATCAGAAGGGGCTTATCAGCCCAAATGCTGGCCCTCATGGTGACCAGTCAATTGAAAAGAGAATGATTAAAACCTTACCTCTTGTAATCAAGAGGCTTAAAAATATCTTTGCTCTTTGCACCAGGAATTCCCTTTAAGACACCAATACTTTTAGAAAAATATCAAAAACGTGGATTAAAATTTCTACAAAAGTATTTCTTAAAATATTACTCATAATAACAAAAAATGGAATCAACTTAGATATCTAACATGAGGAATATGGAATATATTGTCATGCTTATAAAGACATTTTAACAATTTGATAAAATTGTTTTTAACATAATGTTAAATAAAACACAGAACACAAAACTGTATGTGAAAAATGGTATTAACCATGTAAACGTGTACATATATTCAGAAAAAAGAATTGAAGAAACCTATCCAAATGGCAGTTTTCATCTCTGGGTGATGTTATTATGGGTGATTGAATTACTTAATTTACTCAGAGACAGCAGCATCTGGCTCTGTCATCCAATCTGGAGTACAATGGCACAATCATAGCTCCCCACAGCCTTGAACACCTAGATTCAAACGATCCTCCTGCCTTAGCCTCCCAAGTAGCTGGGACTATAGTTGTCTGCCACCATGCCCAGCCAATTTTTTATTTTTATTTTCTGTAGAGATGGGGTTTCGCTGTGTTACCCAGGCTGGCCTAGAACTCCTGACCTCAAGCCATCTTCATGCATGGGCCTCCCAAAGCAGTGGGATTACCGGTGTGAGCCATCCGTACCTGGCCAGTTTGAATTTCCGTCTATTAGCTCTGCAACAAGCTTGCGTTATTTTTAAGTCAAGAAAATACTTTTAAGAAGCTTTCTGCATCAAAAGATTTTCTAAAAGACAAAGGAATATGTGTGTTGGGGGTGTGCATGTGGATGTGTGTGTTATGAGTGTGCATATGTTTGAGTGTGTCTGCCTGTGTGGATGTGGGTGTATCTGTGGACGTGTGGAGGTACTTTCCATTCACAGGGGCACTAAAACTGAATGAAGCCTCCTACTAGCGGGATCAAGGAAATCAGCCATGGGGCATGAACGCTCAATTCAAATAACCTGTGCTGCATATGTGAAGGAATTATTTTTAATATTTGGCTCAAAATACAGGCCCTCAGTTTTCTTGAGTCAGCCGGAGAACCTGCGAAAACTAAGGCAGAGTGGGAATCCAGTTTACTGAGGGCCGGCGAAGATTCTGGCTGGGATCCAGATAGGAAAACGCGGGCAAATATAAAAGGAGGCCTGGTTCTGGAAACAAGCCACACTCACGCCCCCTCCACCTCAGGGAGGAGATTGGGAGTTGGAAGGTTGGTAGTAAGAATAAATAATCCCTCTCAAGCTCACTGTTGCCCTGTTCCAAGCACCTCAAACCTAAGAACTCACTTAATCCTTAACAACAAACCCAGGAGGTAACAACTATTGCCATCTATCCCCATTTTACAGATGAATAGAAGGGAGAACAGAGAGGCCAAGTGGTCGCCCAGGGCCACAGAGCTAGTAAGGGCAGGGGATCAAGGCCGGGATCCCTTGCTTACATGCAGCATGATTTTGGGCAAGTCTCTCTGCCTCCCTCACCCCTGGTGTCCATCTCTGAAACGAATACCTCCAACAATAAAGTCCTGTGCAACGACGAGATTTTATCGCACTCCACCAGGGGCACTGGGCCAGGCAGCGCTCCTTACCTGGTCGGCCATGCCTCTTCTTCTGCAGGAACGGCTGGGAGCCCGGAGGGGCAGGCGGGGCGGGCAAGGCCTGCGCACCGGCCTTCTGCGGTGGGGCCTGGAAGCTGGGGGATTTAGGGGGTAGCGGGGGTGGAGTTTCACTGCTGCTATTAACTCCTGGCAAAGGGGGCGCGGGCAAAGAAGCCCTCGGGGAGCAAGAAGCATAAGGGGGGAGCGGGGGCGGCGGGGCGGGAGGCTCCTGCGCATCTTGCGCAGGGCTGGCGGGCTCCGCTTTGAGCCCCGGATACCCACAAGGTGGGAGCAGAGGGAGCGGGGGCGGGATGGGCGGGAGGTGCAAGGGAGCCAGCTGAGGCTTCACTGCCTTGTCACTAAGAACCGAGGCCGGGGGCAGCGGGGGTGGCGTTGGGGGAGGTGGCGGAGGTGGAGGTGGTGGCGCACAGGGGACGGGGGGTGCAACCACCGGGAGGTTCCCTTTGGTCAGTGGGCCGGGTGGGGACACAAGCGGAGTTTTGATGGGGGAGGAAGAGGGAAGGGGCGGGGGTAAGGGTGGAGGCGGAGGGGGTGGGGTGGGAGGGGGCGGGGCAGGCACGTTGGGGCGAGGCGGGGCTGTCCTGGCAGCGCCATGCGCCTCGGAGGTATTGCCTAGCCTGGGAGAGGCAGGCGGGATAAGCGGGCCGCTGATGGTTTTGTTGGGAAGCCTGGGAGAGGGCGCGCGGGAGCCAGGGCCCTGCCCTGTCTTGCCACCTGGAAGTGAAAGAGATTCTGGGTTAGCTCGGCAATAAAGAAGGAGAAAGCCCCCGCAGGTAGGCGGCACTCAGGACACTCAAGCCTGCCCGCAGTGAGCTGCACTGTAGACCGCTTTTTCTGCACGTGTCCACTGAGAGGCCTCAGGTGCCACAGCTGTCACCCAGAAGGACCAACTGGACCAGATCCAAAGTCCTTGCCAGCATTAATGACAAGCCCAGGTCAGGCCTCCAGCCCTCCTATCCATGCCACCTGTGCTGTCATCTGCCTTGGGCCTCTAGTATCCCAGCCAGGGCCAGGACTGCCCGGGTGTCTTTTGCCCTTCCTAATCAAGGCCACACTCACGAACTCATTCACTGACACCCGCTAGGTCCATCAGCCCTTATGCTCTAATTTGGACCCTCAGGTGTACCAACCAGCACTCCTGGCTAGGGAGGTTTTCTTCACTCCCAGCATTTTGTGAAATTTGACTTTCTTTGTTTCTGTGTTGAGAGCAGAAAATTCATGATTCCCTGAATACATAAGGTAAGACTGGAGGGAGACATTTGCCCTTGACAACCCAGGTCCAATGACCTTGAACCTCACAGTTCTATGACCTCTGGAAGTTCAAAACCTCCTTTCCCAAAGACTTATGCTAATTCCCAAGGGTTTTGGCTTTCTCATCCTATAGATCCTTCATTGCATCTGCCCCAGCTTGAAATTCAATTCCTCTTTTAAATTCAACAACAACCATTGGCTCTTGATAAGCATTTGCGTTTGGTTTTCATGGAAGACTCAGGTGGAGCACGTCCCCAGGAGGGGCCTCTATACTCCGCACAGCCTTGCACCTTTTTGCCAGTTCTCACCCTTTTTTCGCTCTGCCTCTCTCTAATAAGAAAAAGTTCCTCTCGTTGTTTACTGCCTCGAAGTTCTGCAATTACTGCTTAGAGATGTCCTTGGAGTATCACTGTCTACTCAGGAGGCAGATTAAAATATTTCTTCCAGATTTAGTGCTCTTTTTATAAGAATTCTGGGGGGTGTTTTCCCCTATATTTTATAATCACCATGACAACATGTGGACAACACTTGAAAAATGATGTTTTCTCACACCCACTACTTCCTGGGTGCTGCAGCATGGGACCTGCAGCTTTCATTTCAGATTAGAAATCCCAGCATCTGTTGGGGGTTCTGAGATTTGCAGTACTTGAGTCTCCTGTGTGTTTACCCCAATCAGGGGCTAAGCCATACACTTAAAGTACTGGATGTCAAAAGCCAGGCCAATCAAAGCACGGCCTAGCAGAGGTGACTCAGGTGAAGCTAAGTAGGCAAGACCTTGGTATCTGGCTTTCCAAATATGAGCCCCTCTGGCTATAATGTGACAGTCACCTAGACCATAATATTCCAACCACATTATGGAATGGCTGTTCTTAAGGTAGGGTGAGGATGGTATTAGCAGGTGTCAGCTCAGGGATTCCTGCCTAGAAGTTCTCAAACCTTTTTCCATATAATACAAAAAGATGACGAGGAGAACCTAGGCAGCTGCCTAAACAAGGCAGAGCCTACCTACATGCCCAGTGGCTGAATGAAATTGAAAGGGATAATGAAAGTTTACAAAACAGAGCAAAGCCTACCCTTAAATAGCCTATCCAAACCTTTTAAGTAACTGAGGACACCATGTCTCAGAGATTCAAAAACCCTTAAAGTGAGTCAGTTAAAAGTAGGGGATCCTGTGTTGATGAAGCCACCAACCAAATGAGAAATGTGGGCAAACTCATTTTTATCCTAACATGCGCAGCAGAAGCGAGGGCGGGCATGCCCCTCAGGGAGGAAGGTGAGACTGCAGAGGAGAAAGGGGCTGATGGTGTAAGTGCAGGCAAGTGGAGGAGGCAGGCCTGGGCCGACAGAGAGCTCCGAGGGAGTTGAAGGAAGTAAGGGAGGAGGCTGTCCTTCACAATGGAAACCCGAGCCCTAGAAATCCAGAGAAAACACAAAGGAGGCCAGGAGGTGGCGGGAAAGGCCAGATTGAGGGCATCAGGGATGCTGTGCCCATAGGAAAGGATTCAGCTTTTAGAACATGCAGGTTTAGCAAAAGATGAAATATTTCTTCTTCCTCAAATCTGAATGTTCTCCAGAAGACCTTGGAAGTCTCATTACATATTCTATTCAACCCAGAAATAATGTTTACTCATCATATCTTATTGTAATTCTCACTCCCTTAGAGCTCTAGGCCAAGGTTGCATTATGACTCCAGGGTCCCTAGGCACTTTTGCCTTTGTGGGCCTCTTCTCTATTAAAAAAATATTTATATTCATGACTGCATTGGTACAAAGACAAATACATTCTTTGATCCTAAAAGGTCATATGTTTTCTTCTGATTTTAAAAGAAATTTAAATATTTTCATGGGTCCCTAAAAGTACCATGAGCCCATGACACTGTGCTATGGTCCCTAATGAATGTCAGCCACCACACTACCATTCACACATGCAATTCAGCAAGTATTTACTGAGCACCTGCCATGCGCCAGGCATTTCTATGGCAATGAACAAAACATAGTCCCTGCCTTCACGGAGCTTAGCTTCAGATGGATCAGACAGACAATAAACAGATAAACCAGTGAATACATGATATGTCAGGTGGTGCCGAGTAATACAAGAAAAGTAAATTGAGGAAAAGGAGATATGGAATGAAAGGATAGGACTAAACCTTTATATGGGATAATAAGTGAAGACCTCACGGACACTTTGATCAGCTGCCACCTGAGCAGAGACCTGCAGGAAGGGAGAGACTGAGCCACGTGGACACCTGCGGATGAGCCTTTCAGGCCAAGGGAGAGTCGGTGCAAGCGCCCAGTGGCAGCAACATGCTGGTGTGTGAGAGCAGCAAGGAGGATAGTGTGAGTGGAGGGGATGGCATGAACCACCAAGAAAGGTAGGCCAGAAGATCAGAGAGGGAGCAAAGGCTCAAGTCCCTTCCTCTGATGAGAAGGGGGCTGTTGGGAAAGTGCTGGGAGCAGGGAGCCACGGCCTGCCTTGCCCTGACATGGTACCCAGTCCATGTGTTTATCTGGTGGCTTTCTCCTTGAGTTTCCATCCTGGAACAGGCATCATTAGTCACTTCCTTATGGACCTCCATCTCTAAAGAGATAAATTCTTGTCTTCCCCATTACAGCGGCTCAAACATCTGACACTTATGTCCCACTGGTGACAAGCAGACCAGTAGGACTCCTGCTGGCTATTTTTGGCTGCTTCCTATGAAAACCTGACTGGGGCCCATTTCTCCCATCTTCTATGAAGAGAAACTGGTGGAAGCCTTCTATTCCAAAGGATATTTGTTTGATAGCACTCGGGAATTTTGAAAAAGAAGAGGACACTGAAGAATATCCACTGTCTTTATTGAGGAAGACCTTGTACTCTACCTTTCCTGCTAACCCCTCAGCAAAAATGAGGAAATGAACATGGCCCCTGAGAAGGTTCAAGTTGGATCTCAAAATATCCTAGAGTCTTTTTCTTTGCTGGACTTTTATTGGTGAGTGAGGCAGCATAATCATCCCATAACATTAAACAGTCACAGAAGCCACTGAAAAAGTTAGAAAAGTCGCATGATGGAAGATCTGGTACGAGGAAGGTTTGGGCCTTTGTATTTCCTCCTGTATTAATGGTATTCCTGGAGTTTATTCAGCTTGCTGGTTAAAGAGAACAAGAATAGGAAAAACAGGTTTTTTTTCTCAGAGTAAATTTGTATTTGTTCAATTTTAATGCAATATTTTCAAAACATCTGATGCCCACTGAAACAAAAATCACTGAGGTAGACTGATTACAGACATGGCCTTCATTACCCACTTATGCTTGATTCCATAATCTTTGAAATATGATTTTACAGTTCCTCTCATCAAGAGGCGAAGTCTATTTCCCCATCCTTGTGACTTGTTTTGGCTAAGAGAATGTGGTAGGAAGTGATACTTCTTAGACTTCCAAGTTACATCCTAGTAATACTTCCAAGACTAAGCCTCAAGAGACTTTATTTATACTTCTGTCTTCTCTCTTGGAACCCTGCTGCTGGCATGAAAACAAGGCCCAGACAGCCTGCTGGATACTGAGAGACCACGTGATAGAGGTGAGTCAGGCCAGTGGTTATAGCTGAGGCTCCAGAGGTTGGAAAAATATGAGAAATATAAGATTAGCAAAGCTACCTACACAACCTGCAGTTCTTTATAGATGCAAGAGGGAGCCCAGCCAAGACTACTCTAAGCTGCTAACCCACAGAATTGTAGGCTAAAAAATGATTGTTTAAAGCTTTTAAGTTTTAGGGTGTTTCGTTACACAGCAGTACCTAACTGATATGATGACCGAATCATTACAACTCATGCATTGCTAATGCATCCACAGTGATGTCACTATGAAGTTCTATTACAATTTGGACCTTCTGTTTATATACACTTTGCAGTCTGGGCTACCATCACGCCATCACTAAGTATTACACACTATTACAAGTCATTTTTAAGCTATTACAATGGAATAATTTAAACAGGATGATGAATTAAAAGATTTCTCAAGAACCATTTTGTACTTTGGAAGTTTCTAGTGCTTAAGGTCCCAAGAACATGATCTTCTACTCTATCATGCCCGTTCAGTAAAACCATGTTGCTTACTGGCATGTGTGGATTGCCCAGATGGTTCCACAAGTTAAGGAGATACAGACCACAAGGGAGCCAGAATGAATTCTTCCTTACCTGCTACATCCCGCTGGCCTGCTGGTCGCAATACAGGAAAGCCACCAGCAAACAGATCTCCCAGGGTGGGAGGTGTGCTCGCGCCTCGTGTGTTTGCAGAACCTCCTCCTTCTTTGTTGGTTCCTTTAGAACCTTTAGAGAGAAGACACAAATAGGCAAGGACTTGAGAGCAGAGCTGAGCAGCCAGGTCTCATTTCAGACCATGGTCTAACACTGGTCTACCACTGCCCTTGTCAGCCTTCCCATTCTCCCACCTCCAATGTCATCCTTTCACTCAGCATCCTCCCCAAGCACCCTCTGCCTTGATACCCTGTAGACTCACATGCCCTGCCCTCTCCAGTCCTACCAAAGAACTAACCATCTGTGCCCAGCTCCCCTGAAAAGTGACCAAAACAAAGGGACCTGAACACTGCCATTTTGTAGATGCTAACAGAGCAACTGGCAGCACCTTCGAATTAGAAAACCCAAATGTGGTAGGTGTAGAGCTGCTCTTATTTTCAACTTGGCTATGGAGGACTAGACAAAGAAAACCCACAGATTTAATTCAGTCAGTCATTTTAACTTCTTGTCCACAGAGCGCTGACCAGAACAGCAGGCAGGAGGTAAAGCCTGCCATGACTGTGCCCTGGCAGTTTCCTTCCTGTCTCTCCAGCCCTCAAGCCCCCAGCCCCTCGCACCTCCCTGCACCTTTTCATCTATGGAACGGAAAGATCATGAGCCCCTGAGGAAAGGTGTCACTAACTCCAGCCTTCCAGACATGTGTGATTACCAACTACAGAAAACGAGAAGATACTCAGCTTAGACAAGAATTCCTGGCAGAAAATATTTAACAACTTGAAGCTAATATGCACAGAGAAATTAGGGCACAGTGCCCACTGGTGGATGAAAGTGGCCAGATTATTCTGAGTATTAATATTGTACATTACTTACTCATGAGAATGATTAGGAAGTGAGTGTTTCAATGAAATTGATTTACCTGTTAATTAGGCTTAACCAATTCGATCATGGGTTTAACCAGAAACTAATTTTTAATGTACTCAATGTTGAAAATATTTCTCAATGTTGAAAATATTTCTTTAAAAATTTGTCTATCCTTGTGTGTTGACATTTATAATTACAGATAGGAGATATAATTCTATTTTTAGGACTATCTTTAAGAATTACCATCACGCACATCATAGCAAAACATAGGAAGACATAATAATACCTTACATTACAGGGTGAGTATCCCTTATCCAAAATGCTTGGGACCAAAGTATTTCAGATTTTTTTAAAATTTTGAAATATTTACATATACATAATGCGATATCTTGGGGAATGGGACCCAAGTCTAAACATGAAATGTATTTGTTTCATATGTACCTTTACACACAGCCTGAAGTTAATAAAATATTAATTTCATGCAATATTTTAAAATAATTTTGTGCATAAAACAAAGCTTGCGTTCATGGAGCCATCAGAAAGCAAAGGTGTCACCGTCTCAGCCTCCCATGTGGACAATCTGTGGTTTGTCCATTACCATCATTCCTGACACTGAATTTCTATGCTACCAATAAGCAATCATTTTCCTACACTTCTTCACACATAAGTACTTAGCAGTTAAAAATATGGCATACCATTAACACAGCAAAAAAATAATGTGTTCAAGGTAACTAAGCAACACAGTAGTATCACCAGAATACCCGGATCAGCTGTTAGACAACGGCAGCAACAAACAAAGGCAGGCTTTCAGTCTCCTGCGATGCTGTGTTTTGATTAAAGGTTACTGGACACTGGATCTCATTGTTTTAGGTGAGAAGAAACATCAGAAACCACTGAGAGACCAGGAAGTAGGTCCTCTAGAGTTGAGGCAGCATTCTGCTAGCTGGCTTTTAAAAATGTTTCCTCCAGAGTCATCTGCTTCATCAACAATGGTTTTTGTCTCAGAAGCCTCTCTCTGATTTTGTAAACTGACATCATTTCTTGTTCTGTTATGAATGTATGCTACTCTTGTCCTTCAGTAAACACATCATACATTTCCACCATGTCACCTGGAGGCACATTTTCTTCAGGGTTAACGTCATCTTCATCATTCACATGAGGCATCATGTCGACATTCAAAAAGTTTCAGATTTGGGATTTTTGGATTAGGGATGCTCGATCTGTACTAAAGAGTTCTGCATATATTATTTCAACTTTCAACAATCGACCAAGAAAAAAAAAAGGAGCCAGGTATTGTCTCCCCATTTCACAGATGACCAAACATCCTCAAAGAGGCTCCCCGATTTGTCTGGTTGCAGAACCAGAACTCAATGTGGGTCGTCTGACCTGAGCACAGGACTCAATTTACTCTGTCACATTCTAGAAGACAGCAAGCTTCAGTCATATCATCCTCTGAAACAGAATTCTTAATAAATCTTTCTCCTTGTGAAAAGTGAAACAAAAATTTTGCATTTTTTACAAAGTGAGCCCTTCACTTTCTATCACTGAGTTTAAGGACCATGTTGACACAAGGTGAGTGATCTTTAAATGTTACCCTACAAAGAATACACAAAACGTGGTGTGTCCATACAATTAAATATTCAATGATAAAAGGAGTGAAGTACTGATACATGCTCCAACATCTATGAAGCTTGAAAACATTATGCTAAGTGAAGGAAGCCAGCCACAAAAGGCCATATATTGCATGATTCCATTTCTTTGAAATAACAGAATAGGCAAATCCAGAGAGACAGAAAGTAGATTGGGTTGGCAAGGGCCAGGGACTAATGGGGAATGACTTACTAATGGGTATGAGATTTCCTTTAGGGGTGATGTAAATGTTCTGGAACTAGATAGAGGTGATTGTTGCAACAACATTGTGAATATAATAATTGGCACTGATTGAACACTTTAAAATGGTTAAAATGATGAATTTTATATTATGTGTATTTTATCAAAATTTTTAAATAGGTGTCCCATTGCAGAGTTGTTCTTTTTAGCATATGAAAAGGATGGAAGTTATGCTCTAAACCATTTGCAGATTTGGAGGGAAAGCTCTGGTTCTCTCGCCCACTTGGCCTGTCCAATGAGCAGGTCTGAGATGGCTCCATATGCATCCTGGGAAGCAGCTGTGGCCCCAGCCAGGGGTGTCTGGCTGTGCCTCACATGCCTGTCCTGTCTTTGGCTCACAGGAGGCCTGGCCCGGCTGCTCACTTACTCTCGATCTGCGGGGCACTGCGGTCGTTGATCTGCGTGACTTTGCGCAGGCGAGTTCCTTGCTGGATATCAGCCAACAGCGCACTCCGGCCTTTCGGATCTGCCCTTCGCAAGCTGGAGGTGTCTGTGCTTACCTGTAAGGGAGTAAAAGGGATTTGACTATAGTAGCATTTTCAGATAAGCAAAATGTCCTGTCTGCTGTCAGTTTCTCCTCTTGCAGTTCTCTGTCTTCCCCGTCCCACTCCCAAGGCTGATCTCAGATTACCTATGGGAGAGACACTTTTGGGTCCTGCTCACACCTCTTTTCCTGGTGACCTAGAAGGGACTCTTTATTTTAGATGACCAAGTCCCAAGTGCCTATCTTGTGCACAAGCTCCTGGAGGTCTTAGGGAGCCCTAAATCATAGCCCCTCTTTCCTCTCTCTTACACTCCCCACCCCAGGGCTTCTGTCCTTGAGTACCTGGCCCCTGCTCTCAGGTTTTGAATGATCATCCTGCTTGGTGCCCCAGGTCCCCTCCTGGACCAAATCCTTGACTGATTCCCCACTTGACGATGGGAGTTGCTCCTGTGCCCTGTCATCCCCTGGACTGTTCTGCTGAGCAAGACCGAAGTCTTGCTCAGTCCTTAGGTACTCACATCCTCCTTGCTATTGGGTCCTGGGTGGCTCATGCTGGGCCCATTGTGTCTCTTAAGGGAAGCAGATTCATGCTCTAGGAGCTGGCTTTGAATGGAGGATGGTGGTCTTCATGTGATCATGGAGCATAGGGGAGAACTGGGGAGCTCAGGGGAAACTGGGACCCATAGAGGTCAGAAAGTTGTGGAGAAAGGGAATGCAGAAGATTACAATGAATGTCTGGTGACTGTCTTCTGTGCCTGGGTGTGTTACATTAGTCCTCACAAGACCTTGTGCGTTTAAAGTGAGTTTGCCCTCATCTTACAGATGAGGAAACTGAGACTAAGAAATCGTCTGTTTGAGGCTACAGGGCTGGGGTTCAAACCCAGATCAGCTGAATCCCAAAGGCCATGTGCTTTTCACTTTGCAACGATGACTACCAAGGATACATGCTCTTTCATTAGGATAAGTGTCTGATGGACTGCAAGATGCTTCATTAATATATTTGCAGGAAAAAGTTTTGTCCTATTTCTGCAAGTAGCCCTGAGATACACCTGCTTCACTTCAGCTGTAGCTTCAGCTGACATGGTGGAGGTTTCCACGGGTTAGTAGAGCCAGGGAACACCAGAAAGAACATTAGGAGATTGGTGGCAAATAAAGGAGGGAAGGGGTTGCCCTGGAAGCCACAGCCAGGAGGATTCTCCACAGTTATAAGGTTCATACCAGCCACGTGACCTTAGAAATGGCTGATCATTTCTCAAAGCAAGAAATACTTGTTAGCCCTACTGTACGGGGATACCATGTATCTTTGGGTTTCAGCTTAAATATCACCACTTCAGAGGCCTTTTCTGACCCCAAATCTAAATAAGGCCATTCACTGTTTTCTCTGAGGGTACCATATTCCTTTTTCCTCTGTCACATTTATCATAGGGTATAAGTTTATATTATCATTGTGGAAAATTTCCATTTGTGATTATGAGTTGAATGTTCATTAACCCCAAGGACTCCACATCAGGAAAAAATATTCTGTCTGTTTTGTTCACAAAAATATCCCCGAAGAGTAGAATTGGATCTGGCTCAATAACTACTGTATGAACGAATGAATAAATGACTTGAGTGAGTGAGTGAATGAATGAACTAGACCCAGGGTATCAGAGCTGTCTTTGCTCTTAAGGGCATACGCATGCACCAAGCAGAGAGGCATACACTATAGCGAGTTAAGCCACTGTGCAATGCACAGCACAGGACTGGGCAGCCATGCTGGTTCCCCAGAGAGGAAGGCCACCAAGAGGCCAGAAATGACCATGTTTTTCAGGCTGAGCAGGCTTCAAGGAAGACATGAGACCTTAGAGGATCCCTGGAGTATAAATAGTATTTATCAATCCTTGCTATTGCCATTTTCTGTTTAAAAAAGGACAAACCAGGTTGGCTGACTAGAAACTCATGGGCTCTCTGGTGTCACAGACTAGAAGCAGAGGCAGTTGCGGTTTTGGCTAAAATGTGTTGAGTCCACATTTTCACTGGCAGACTCCACTGTGTGGGTTATGAACCTTATGCAGGTTTTGAAGGGCATAGGCTTCAAAGTCTGATTCTTGCTGCCTGGAAACAAGCTTTTGAACCCCTGAGAGGGACTTATGAATGATGGTCAACAAGAAAGTGGAGAGCAAGGAGCCTCAATCCTGATTCACTGGAGATATTATGTATGTATTTATTTATTTATTTTAGAAAGGCAGGGCATTTCCCATACAATATGCTTTTAAAAACCCCATATAAACCATTAATATCATGAGTTCATTTTAAGCTGCAAAATTTTAAGATTTTTAAAGTTTCCTCTCATTTTATTTATAAATAATGAATGACAGAAATAAGGGACCAAAGAAATATCACAACTGTAGCTAAGAGGGTATGAAAATTTTTGTGTGAATTTGGCATTACAACTTCAGGTATGCATTATGGTCAGGGAATTTGGGGAAAAAAGCGTGCTTTGTAATTTTCCTTCTAGTATAAGAAGATAACCCACTGAATTATAATAATATTCACAGCCCAACTCAGAGGAGCCTTAGGGAAGGCAAGGGTGAGAATGGTGCATTCTTTTCTTTAAAAAAGCAACTGGAATGATGAGAAAACCCCATCCCTCACTAGCCCTTGGGGATTGGAGGGGAGGGTCATCTCATCCAATTTAGACTGTTTATTACCAAAAGGTATCCCCCACTCCTTGACCTCGCCCAGGCCAGGCATTTCAGGTGAGGGCTGTGAAGAACGTTGCATGTCCTTAAAATGATGATTTTAACTTTGGACATGCCTCAATAAGTTCTTGACAATTCCACAGGGCAGATTTGTTAGTAAACATCTTCCAAGTCAGCAGGAGGACATGGCAAGTCACAGTGTGTTTACTTACACGGTGCAGTTCAACCTTGTGGGCTAAATTTAACATTCCCTCTCTGACTTCTCAGCTGTCTTCTGCTCCAGTGTCGGCCCTGATGAGCGCCCCGATGATCTCCCGCTAGAGGTCTCTCTCACCGGATCTTTTTTTTTTTTTTTTTTTTTTTTTTGAGATGGAGTCTCACTCTGTCGCCCAGGTTGGAGTGCAGTGGCGGCGCGATCTCGGCTCACTGCAAGCTCCGCTTCCCGGGTTCACGCCATTCTCCTGCCTCAGCCTCCCGAGTTGCTGGGACTACAGGCGCCCGCCACCACGCCCGGCTAATTTTTTGTATTTTTTTTAGTAGAGACGGGGTTTTACGGTGTTAGCCAGGATGGTCTCGATCTCCTGACCTTGTGATCCGCCCGCCTCGGCCTCCCAAAGTGCTGGGATTACAGGCGTAAGCCACTGTGCCCGGCCTCACCTGATCTTAATATAGTGTTCGCCAATCCTCTCCTCTCCTGTGCGGCAGGAAGGAATTAACAATTTTGTGGCAAAAGCGACCATATACAGTATATTTAGACTTAATTGGTTTTGCACAAAAGGACATATCCATTTGCACACTGAAGGCCACTTTACACAAAACCAGTCATTTCTCCACTTCATCTGCAATATTTATTAACAATTCAACCATAATTTGCTGTCTTAAAAAACCTCCTGCCACCTCAAGAATTCTTGTTACTGTGGTTACAGGATGCAGAAACAGGAAAGAAAGGATTTTCAAATATTCACTGAACGTTTCATGTTGTGCAATCCTGATCATGGGCAACGTCACTAAAAAGACAGTCAAGGGAGAGAAAGCCATTCCTGGACACTTTTCCCACGGCAAAACTATGCACCAAAAACTAAAAACACACAGACAAAACAAAACAAAAAAGAAGCCAACAAAACATTACTTCCAAGTTCACTCTTGTTTTGTCTCATTAACATGGTGCTTGAGTAGTGACAATTTGTTGGGTTTCACATAAAGCTTTTGTTGACTCAGTTCTACAGCAAGCTTCAAAAAAGACAGCCCAGAATCCCCAAAAGATGAACCATCGTAGAATAGACGTTCACCTTAGCTCATCCCCTTGGTTATAAAGGATGCAGACCTGAAGTGTGCCTGTGAGATTAGAAATACAAAAATTGAACAACAGTCTTAACAAAGTCAAGGATAGAATAAAAAAAATACGGAGGGGCCTTTTCTCTCACCTGGATACATTATAAAAGCTTTCGCATGTCCATTTGTCATTCCAACAAATGAGTCAACTGCCTTACAGCATAGGCTGGGGAAGGGAGATGACAGTCCAGCCCAGATCAAAACTTTGACATACACATCTCCTGCTATTTGGCACCCTGTCACCATATGCCATCCTCACCTTTCCAATACTCGTAATTGTGAAAAATACTAATAAAAACCTTAGCTGGTTGATTCTAATCTAGCGGGTCATTTCTCTCAACAAGGGTCCAAACCCTATCGTTTTAATACAATTTCAGCCTTGCGGTCTCCTAAAAGTAGCTTCTCCAATGTGGCCATTGAACCGAAAATTAGTGCACAGGTTTCCAGGCATACAAGCCTGCTGATCACCCCAGCCCTCAGCCTACCCCTGTCTCCTAAAACTTGGGGGCAGACAGGCGTCAGCAGCCAGGGTGTTTGCAGTTCATTACCAAGTCTGAATCCCAAGGACAGCCAGAATGGCAATGTCTCCCTTCTACTGTTGCCATCTTTATGTAGGAGAACACAGAGAACCTGGAATCCAAAAGAGAGACATGAAATATTTGCTTAAAAAACTAACTTTCTCCTGTCAGGTCTGACACAGTGTTCCCTGCACCCCATATGTGCATAAGTCAAGTTGTTCTAGAATGAGGTACATTGAGATCTAACAGTTCCAAGTCTCATTTTTAGAAACCCAAATATCCAATTCCAATCCATGCTCAAAAAGAATGCACCTGCTAACCTTCTTTTCTAAAGCCTGATTCTTTTTTTTTTTTTTTGGAGATGGGGTGTCACTCTGTTGCCCAGGCTGGAGTGCAGTGGCATGATCTTGGCTCACTGCCACCTCCCTCTCCTGGGTTCAAGCAATTCTTCTGCCTCAGCCTCTGGAGTAGCTGGGATTACAGGTGCACACCACCACGCCCAGCTAATTTTTGTATTGTTAGTGGAGATGGGGTTTCGCCATGTTGGCCAAGGTCTGATATCTTAAACAGTACAGTGTACAGAACTGTGACTGTTACCTGGAGCACAGAGCTGATTCACCCTGTGCCCCTTTGCTTCCCTGGAGGTAAAGCAAAATGAGGGGGTCTTTTTTTGGGGCTATGAGTCTGGTCCTGTTCTTTACACCCATAAAACAAGCATACCCATCAAGGTTATCTCATCCACTTTCATAACTTGGTTACTATCTGCAGCTGTCACATCTTTGCTTAGGGATGTAAAGGTCACCTCATACTCATCCCTTTTCCTTATTCTTAACAGCCAATCCATTGCAAACTCCTGTTGTTTTTCCTGATTTCTCAGAAATCTGTCACCTCTTCTCCATCGCTGCCATGATGCCTTAAGCAGGCATTCATCACCTCTGGATTCCCTTATGTGGTTTTCATGTCTCCTTGCCCTCCCCCACACAACAGACAGAGTAATCTTTATAAAAGATGTATCATTAATTGTGTCATTCTTTGCTGCATCCATTTGAATTGAATCCTGAGGATTCAAATCCCCTCACGATGCATAAGGCCCTTAGTGACCAGCCCAGACTTTCCACTCCTTGAGCCTTCCATGCTGGTGCTCACCTCAAGACCTTGGCTTGAGCTGATCTCTGCTCTTTTTACACTTGCCTCTTGGCTGTCTCCCAAGAGGCCTCTTGATCCTGGAAGTCCAGATGAAGATCCCTATCTGTGTTCCTAGAGCAACATGCTTACCCTTAGCAGAGCATCTACTACCCAGATCATGTTATTCCACTCAAAATCTGCAATGACTTTCCATCTCACCCAGTGGAAGAAAATCAGAGGCCTCATTAGTATTGCCTGCTGAGCTTGCCCAGATTTCCACGGGGTACCATGAGTTTATGTATAAATGCCAGCTTTTTCCTACCCAAACCAGTGTTATCAAGCAGTTCTACTGTGTGCCAATCCCTTCCTAACTACAAACTGCACATCTGGCAATATATTGTAGTACTAATTTTTAGCAACAATGAGAATTTCGATTCCAGTATTAATTCTAAGTCTCTTTAGTAGGGAATAATCAGAAAAATATAAGAATAAATGTTAGGGATGGGAAGAATAGAAAGAAATATGGAGAAAGAGAGATTTGGGACATGTGTAAATTGGGCAGATACAGATGGATTTCAGAGGCAGGGATTAGAGACTCAACTACCCCATAACTAGCAATTCAAAAGGACATTAAACATATAAATGGTGGATCAGACACTAGACAAAAGCATGTCTTTAAATGCACATGATGGTTACTTTAACTGGTAAAAGTAGTTCACAGAAACTTCTGGAAAGAAGGGGCTTGAAAAGATGGTAAATAGAAATCAGTAAAGCGAACCCCTTGAATAGTAATATAACCCAATATTATTTAAGATTTGAGTGCTAACTCTGTGCTAGGCATGGTGTTAAGAGTGGGGATACAGGTGGGGCGCAGTGGCTCACGCCTGTAATCCCAGCACTTTGGGAGGCCAAGGTGGGCGGATCACCTGAGGTTGGGAGTTCGAGACCAGCCTGACCAACATGGAGAAACCCCGTCTCTACTAAAAATACAAAATTAGCCAGGTGTGTGGCACATGCCTGTAATCCCAGCTACTTGGGAGGCTGAGGCAGGAGAATCTCTTGAACCCGGGAGGCAGAGGTTGCAGTGAGCCAAAATTGCGCCATTGCACTCTAGTCTGGGCAACACGAGTGAAACTCCATCTCAAAAAATGAAAAAAAAAAAAGAGTGGGGATGAAGTATGGGTAAGATTGCCAGGATGTTGTGCTTGGGGGGTGTATGTACATGTGTGTGCGTGTGTGCACATTCTCTGCATAATGATGTATCAGTCAGTAATGCACCACACATACGACGGTGGTCCTATAACAGTATAATACCATATTGTTATTGTACCTTTCCTATGTTTAGATATGGTTA
Source organism: Homo sapiens (assembly GCF_000001405.40). Classification (NCBI taxonomy): domain Eukaryota; kingdom Metazoa; phylum Chordata; class Mammalia; order Primates; family Hominidae; genus Homo; species Homo sapiens. Next base: position 29,868,835 of record NC_000007.14, on the reverse strand, counting down.
GATACACAAATACTTACCACTGCGTTACAGTTGCCTACAGGATTCACTGAGTACAGTAACATGCCATACAGGTTTGTAGCCTAGAGCAACAGGCCATACCACATAACCTAGGTGTGCAGTAGGCTCTACCATCCAGGTTTGTGTGAGTGCACTCTAGGATGTTCACATGATGACAAAATCACCTAACAATGTAGACGCTTCAGAACATATACCCTTTGTTAATCGATGCATCACTGTATATATGTGTGTATATACACACATATATGTACATATATTTAATATATTTGTGTATGTGTGTGTATATATATATATATATACTTCTCATTATTTATACTCTAGACCCAGAGCCTCCTAGCTGGTCTCCAAAATTGGACTCTCATCTCTCTTTGAGACAGCCTTCAAATGATCGTTTTTAAAGTGCTAATTAACTCCTCTTCTCAAAATGCTTCAATGGCCCACTAATCTCTACCGAATCAAGGAATTCAGCCATACTGTCCCAAGATATCTTTCCTTGGCCAGTTGGAGCCTCATTTCAGCTGCTCTGGGTTTATCCCCTGTCTCTTCTTTCCCACTTCCAAGCCTGTGCTCAGCCCACCTCCTCTTCTGGGGATGCCCCACACCCCACTCTGCCATATCTGCCAAACCTTTCATCTCCCCGTGAAGCTCTTGACACCAAATACAGTTTACTTTAGAAAATGTATTTTTTCCACTTTCTCAACTAAACTTTTCCTTGTGTGATCTGCTTTTCCGCTGCCAAGGCACATCGTTTTTAATTCTCTACAGCACTGCTCATATCTTGCCCAGTATTATAGCTTCTACATATTGGTCTTGCTTCTTATTTTTGAGCACAAAAACTAAGCCACTCCACTTTCTCTTACCAGTGAATCCAGCTTAAAAAAACTGTGAGCAACCTATCAGTATTTTGTTGACATGAACTCTATAGAAACCTTAGTCCCTGGATCTTCGACTCTGCCTCCCCTGACATTTATCTGCTCCCACAAAGCACGCAGGTGTGGGAAGAGAAGTGGCTGTTTTTTGAGGTCACATTTCAGCCCTGATTCATCCTAATGTCTTCACCCTTTTTATCCTTTGGCCACTGTGTCCCTAGAGATGTGAATTCAATTCCGCACCATTCTCTCCTTTACAATGATGCCAATATTCTCAGGCTTTTAAGACTAAATTTTAAATTACGAGAAAATTTGATCTTCAAACTTAAGTTGGACCTAGAAAGAACAATCTCATGAACTCAAAAAAAAAAAAAAAAAAAAGCTGGGGTGTGGAGGGGGCGGGGGCAGAGCCAGGAGTCAAGGGCATGGCACCAGGAATAACTAATAAATAATACCTAGTTAGAACAGTGTGAGGTTTCATATCTTCTATTTCTTCTAGACAAAAAGTACTATCAAAAAGAAACATGCCCCCGCCTGGCAGATTAATTTGCAAACTAATGAAATAACATTACCGTTGTTATTTCCAACTCACAGTGCTGCTGGCCCTCAGTCTCTGTTAAGGGCTTCTCCCCATTCATCCAGGCTCGAAACCTCAAAGGTCCCTATGGCTCCTTGCTCTCTTTCTCATTTGAAATAACCAGTCTTTTACAGAGTCCCGGCTCCTTCTCTCTACTTAGAGTGCACACAGCGGTGACTTTGGCGTTTGGGTAAAGGAATTAACAAGACGGCTGCAACATGCAATGGGTGACAATGACAATACCAATAATAAAAAGAAATGGGAAGGCATTTGTATGTGCCAGGCACTGTCCCAACTGCTTTGCATGTATTAATTCATTTCAAAGGCCCTGAACAATTCTATAATGTAGGTGCTAGTTATGAGTATTATGTCCAGTCTACAGATGAGGCACAAGGGTGAAGCAGACCATCCACTGCTACCAAGTACAGAGCTGAGCAGTGAGTACAGGCAAGTTTGGCTTTCTTCATCACAACACAGCCTCTTATACCCAGGAAATACAAGACAGGCCTGAAGCTGGGAGAGCGGAGAGGTCCCACTGCTCTCTGGCTTGAGGCCAGGCTAGATGTTGCCTCACAAGCAGTGTGAGAGCCAGAGCAGGAAGGAGTGGGCAGGAAAGGGGCATCAGAGAAGGAAAAGGGAGGGTGGGTAGAAACAGACAGTGAGTGGAGCGCCGAAGAAGGCTGGGGCCAAAGGAGCTAAGTGCTAGGCTTTTGCCAGAGCCAGAAAGGACAGCCAAGGCTGAATGACAGGCTCTGAGAAGAGCCTGATGAGTGCATTAAATGCCAGCAGCCACCTTGGCAGGGGGACTGAAAGCACTTAAAATGGAAAGTGCACAGAGTAACCCTATGCTGTGTGGCTGATACCCTCAACTGTAAATAAGCTGTACCTGAAACTCCCTTGTCAGGTAACAGAGAACCTCTTATGGAGCAGCCCTGCTGGTCCACCTCTCTCTTGTGAGTGTTGGGCCTCTTCTCTCCTTGCTTGTCTCCCTATTGGCTGCAGGGCAAAATGCAGGGTCTTTGGCATTTGGCCTCCCTTTGTTGGCTCTAAAATAATAGTGGTTATGAACATTGCTCACATATGAAAGGAGACAAAGGTAATGAAAATAACTAAGCAAGGGAAAATTCCAAAATTTCTAGAAAGTTCAAGATGTTTCCACAGTATTGTCTGTTATACATGATAATGTAAGTGAATCTAGACTTCCTTTTTTTTTGAGACAGAGTCTTGCTCTGTCGCGCAGGCTGGAGTGCAGTGGCGCGACTTTGGTTTACCGCAACCTCCACCTCGCAGGTTCAAGCGATTCTCCTGCCTCAGCCTCCCAAGTAGCTGGGATTACAGGCATGTGCCATCACGCCCGGCTAATTTTTGTATTTTTAGTAGAGACAGGGTTTCACCATGTTGGCCAGGCTGGTCTTGAACTCCTGACCTCAGATGATCCACCTGCCTCGGCCTCCCAAAGTGCTAGGATTACAGACGTGAGCCACCATGCCCAGCCTAGACTTCCTTGTCTTACAGTCAGTTTCTAGGACCTTTGCATGAAAAGTCCAACAGACGCCTCTGGGTCCAGACTTGGATTGAATCCTAGAGAAACAATGACTCACAGCTAGCCCAAGGACAGTCCTGAAATGGTTGCATTGCTGGATCTAATGGAATTCTCTTCCATTCCAGAACCTTCTTCCAAATCTCTCTGGATTGGGCCCCTAGGTCACCAGACCAGGCTGCTGAGCATATGTGTTCTATAACTGTGTCATCCCTCGGCCTCACTCCAGTTCTAGGCCCTGTCAATGAAGAGTAGAGGCCTTTCCTTCCCTGTCTGCACCCAACAAGTCCTTCTTTGGTTTGCAGTGATCCTCCATACCCCTAGTGTCTCTGTGGTTCATGTTTTCAACATTCTTGGCTCTTCTCTGAGCCACTTCTTCCTGCTAGTTGGGCTGCCAAAAGCGTATTTACCCACTCGTTATTAAGAAGGCAGTGTGGTATAGTGGAAAGAGCTGAGTTCAGGGGTCAGTTCTTCAATTTACTATTCTGTTCTGGCTGTCTGCATTTCAGAAAGCATCTGGGTCCAGTCTGCCAGTGGCCAAGTGTGCTTGGTGGAGTAAGTCACCCCTAAAGACACCCAAGACAGCCCCTCTTTGCAGTTAAAAATGAGGGCTCCAGAGTCCCATCACCTCGGTTGGGATTCTGGGTCCACCATTTATTGGTGGCAAAACTTAGCCAGGTTACTTGACTTTTGAAGCCTCAATTTCCTCATCCATAAAATTTGGAAGAGAGTAATAACTACCACATAAGTTGTAGTGCAGATTAAAGGAGGCAATCCCTACAATGAGCTTAAAACAGGGCTTGGCACCTGGTAATTACTCAATAAATGTTAGCTATTAATATCAGTTCCCCCTAATAATTTTCAGCAGACTCCACCTTTTCCTGTTTTAAAGCTTGCATTCCCTGGAATAAAGCCAGAGATCCAATAAAAAGAAATCCCTGGAAGACAGCTGTGTAGCAGGCCTAGAAAATAGCCAGTTCAAATTAGAAAAGAATGGAACACATTCTGAGCAAGAGAACGTCTAAGAAGCTGGGCGATGCTGGGCCTCAAGGGAAGAAAGAATATGGCTCCCTTTCCTCAACCACTACTAAAAATAGAGAATCTGAAATGTGGGAAAAAGAGAAAATTGTCCAAGAAAGACATTGATTCTGAGTAACTTAATAAGAGTAAGAAAGGAGTTATCATATCTTACCCTATTAAAGCGTTGAGAGTATTTCGGTCACAAAGAGAGAGAAATGCAATCATACAATCCTATTTGTTTCCATACAGACAGTATTTGTACTTCATAACCCTAAAAGTATTGTCTTTCAGAGATTTTCAACTTTTAGAGACATTTGTAGAGACAAAGCAGGAAACACTTAATACGATTACACAACTGAACGCAAACGTTATCCTTAGCTATGAAGAACTGACAGAGTCCAGCAATATGTAGAAATAATAATAAACTACCACTAAGTGGGGTTTATTCTGAGAATACAATATAATAAAATCTGGTTCAAAATCAATCAATAAAATCCACCATATTAATAGTCTAAAAAAGAAAAATCACATGATCACATCAATTGATACAGAAAAAGCATCTGACAAAATTCAACATCCATTCATGATAAAAACTCTCAGCAAACTAGGAATAAAAGGGTACTTCAACAACCTGATTTAAAAAAATAAACAAAACTATAGCTGACAATACACTTAGTGGTAAAACATTTTCTCCCAAGATCAGGAACAAAGCAGGGACATTCACTCTCACCACTCTCACTGACCATCATAATGGAAATTCTAGCAAGTACAATAACATAAGACAAATAAATAAATGGCATAACAGATTGGGAAGGAGGAAATAAAAATTGTACCTCTTCTCAGACAACATGATTTTCTATGTAGAAAACTCATAGAACTGATAAGTCAATTTAGTCAGGTCATAAGATACCAGGTCAGTACACAAAACTATATACTGTACCAGCAAAAAACTGGAAATCAAAAATTTAAAAATACCTTAAAATATGCTCCAAGTACAAAGGAAATACTTACGTATAAATCTAACAAAACACGCACAGCATATGGATTCTTAAAATCAAAAAATGCTAATGAAAGAAAGTAGACCTAAATAAATGAAGAGATATGCTATGTTCATGAACTGGATAACTCAACATAGGAAAGATGTCAGTTCTTCCCAGGTTGATCTGTAAATTCAATGCAATTCCAATCAAAATCCCAGTAAGATTTGAAAATAGATATAGACATGCTAACTCTAAAATTTATATGGAAAGGCAAAGGAACTAGAATCATCAAAATGATTTTGCAAAAGAAGAGTAAAGTTGGATAACTCACATTACCTGATTTTAGGACTTCCTGTAAACTACAGTAATCAAGATGGTATGGTCTGGTTATGATAGAGAAATAGAGATTTATGTTCATATGAAAACTTATGTATGAATGTTTAGATCAGCCTTATTCATAATTGCTCAAAACTGAAAACAACCAAAATGTACTTCAGGAGGTGAATAGATTAATAAGCTGAGGACTACTACCCAGCAATGGAATAATAATGATAATAAAGGAAGAGCAGTGGCTGCCATGGATTATGGGTGGAAGGAAGGTGTGATTACAAATGGGTGGCACGATGGAGTTTTTAGGGGTGATGGAATTGCACTGTGTCCTGATGGTGGTGGTAGTTACATAAATCTATGCATGTGTTGCAATTTACAAAGTTGTTACCCTCCCCTGCAAAAGTCAGTCTTACTATATGTTAATTTCAAAATAAATAAATAAAAACAAACAAAATAAAAAATACAGTTGAGAAAAATTGGGACATGGAAGATAGAAAAGAGATGTAGCAAAAGGGAGAGGCACCACAACCTCATTTCACAAAACAGAGGGTGAAAGAATGCTGTCAAAAGCTGACCAAAAGCAACAGAGGCTTCAGTGTATTATTTAAAGTTACAAAGGTAACCACAAAAGGAAGTAAAAATAGTGCCATAAGGATAAAAAAAATAAGGAGGAAGGTGGGGAAGAAGAGAAGAGGGATGATTCAAGGAAGCTAAATCCTCATCACTCATAGTAGCAAGTCAACAGATGATGTCTCAGTGTGATAAATAAAGAAATAACAGTGTTGGCATATTATTTAGAGATTGCAACTTAAACTCAACACACTGCAATAAGCTTATTATCTCTCTTACACCCTGGCCAAAACAGTGAGCCCCATTAACGGACACAAACTACGCTTGCAATGTTGCTCCTTTCACTGCCGACTCTTTGCACAGCTCATTTTTTAACCATGGACACATAAAAATTTGATATGCCCACTGGGCCACTTGCTCAGTTCTAATTTCTTTTCATTTTCAGGACAGAGATGATAATATATCCCCAGGCCAACAAATGACCAGGCCTTTCCCAGCCCAAGTGACCATCCTTGCCGACTATCCCATGTCTTACTGACCTTTTATCATTTCCTGGCCCTACAGTATCTTTTATCATATGAGAAAGTTTAGACATCCGGAAACAACCAAGTCTGACATTTTCCCTAGGAAAAAGAAGGAGCATCTCCCCCAGCCTCATCTTGAACTCAAGCTGAGTTGTCTAATGGTCTAGTTTGTGTGTGTGTGAGGCCTTCACAGAATAAGGTAAGTGGGCCAGGAGGTGCTGCCAGCAAGGAATCTAAATGGATGTGTTCTGGGAAGAAAATGCCCCATGAATTATATGCCTCAGGGGACCCGTGGACACCATGGAGTGCCAGAATGACCTCCCCTCCCATGTCAGCAACCACACCAGGGCTTCCCGCTACTGCATGGCTGAATTGCTGCAAAAACACTTCCAGATAAATCTTCCCCAAATGCCATCAGTCCCTCTTCTGCGTAAGAATGGACAATGGCTCTGTCTGGCTCAAATATATCTTTTCCATGAAGTATGTTCTGAAAACTCTGGTGAATCTTTCTTCATTTACCTGATTTTCCCCAAATAACGATGACAACAACATCAGTGTCCTATGATTGCAAACATTTGCAGCTTATAAGTCTGTCCCTAGATATGATGGCATGTGAGTCTCCCAACAACCCTGAGGGGTAAATGTCAGTTCCTTCATTTTTCACCACATAAGCCCAGTGACCCTGCACGCCAGCCATTCAATCCGTACTTGTTTGACTTTCTTCTTCTATTAAGCACAACCATTCTGGTCTAAGTTCTCTACAAAAACAGACTCAGGCTGCTGCTCTTTAGAGGACAAATATCTATAATAAAGAAACAATAAACAAGCAATATATTAATAAATAAATAAATGGCAAATAGAAGGTAGTATAAACTACTATGCTAACAGGTCACAACGAAGAGAAAACAAAGGAAAGGAGGCAGGAAGGCAGGACTAAGACTGTGCAGTACCCCTGCCACCACCCCTTTGCCCTGTGTATTTAAGAAAAATCTCTCTTGTAAAGTTACATTTCTTTTCCTAGGAAAATATTTGTTATGTCCATATGTTCATGGACAAAAGGTCAAATATAAGCAAATATAGTAAATGAGTGCTTCCATATCATGATTTGCAAGTAAAGTATAAACTCTTCCACTCCCCCCAGAATCACCAAACTGAGGGTATTGCTCCCACTCAAACAAACATTCACTGAGAATCTCCTATGGGCAGGGACAGAGTAGGGGGAAATCCAGACACTTCCATATATTACTTCCATGGTGAGGCTCAGGAATGAGCTGAAACACCTAGAATCTACTCCATCTACCTCTGGGCTTTGCTGGCATTTATGCGACATAGATAAGTCATTTAAGAACGAGCTTAGTGTGCAGCCCCAGGCCTGCATTTCCAACTGGCTGCTGAACATCTCCATGTAAATATCCCACTAGTACCTCAATCTTAACACATCCAAAACCAAACTCATAATCTCTGCCCCACCCCCACCGCTCCCCACCGTGCACAAACACACTCCTATGCATCTCTTACTCCTATTGTGATACAGAGCTCAATAATATCTTTCAAGTTAACCAGACTTAAAACCAACAATTCCCTGTATCAATAATTTGTCAATTTTACCACCTATCAACCGTGCCTCCAAATGTATCTCTGATTCCTACCATCCTTTCTAGTTCTACTACAATTTCTTGTGTTCACTCTCTTTACTTCTCACCCATACCATTTGAACTATGGCTCCAATCTTAGCGATGGGAGTAGATCATCCTCCAGGGGTTATCTTAGTCTGTTTGTGTTGCTATAAAGGAATACCTGAGCCTGGGTAATTTATGAAGAAAAGAGAGGTTTATTTGACTTACAGTCCTGCAGGCTGTGCAAGAAGCATGGCGCAAGCATCTGCTTCTGGTGGGGGCTTCAGGCTGATTCCACTTATGGTAGAAGGCAAAGTGGAGCCAGTGTGTCCAGATCACATGGTAAGAGAGGAAGGAAGAGAGACAGGGGGAGGCACCAGGTTCTTTTTAACAACCAGCTTTGGAGGGAACTAATACAGCAAGAACGAACTCATGGGGAGCTGTCCCCATGACCCAACCACCATCCATTAGGCCCCACCTCCAGCACTGGGGATCACATTTCACAATGAGGTTTGGGGAGACAAGTATCCAAACTATAGTAGGTGTATAGGTGGAAGTGGGAAGTTTGAGAATCATGGATTTAAATGGTCTTCTAATGGGACTCTTGCTTTCAAAACTTTTCCTTACAAACTTTCATGTTGTTTCTCCAATTTAGTTCTCTAGATGCAGATCAGACATCCACAGACTTAAGTCAAAATTCACTAAGCACAGAGTTTAAGGCCTTCCAGAATCTGACCACGGTCCATGTTTCTACCCACCCACACACTACAGATGCCAACCACACATGCCTAGTTCTCCATTCCCTGTCCTGTCCACACAGTTGGTGTCTCAAGGCCAATTCTCAGGCATTCCCTCTACCTGACACAGCCTTCTCCAATTCTGTTTATTGAACTCACACTCAGCTTCCAAGGCCCAGCTATGAAGGCTCTCTCAGGGAGCCCTAAGTTAATCTGAGTCAGAATTAATTATTCCCTTCTGTGCATTTCCACTCTTATAAACTTATGTAAAATGGCCATGCATTTTAACAGTTTAACCCAGACAAGCAGATATCAGCTGGGGTTTCCCAAGCCCTTGAGATCGAGAGGAAACTGGCTCAGACCTCCCGCTTGACGCCCTCAGGAAGTACAATGCCTGCCAAAGACTTCTGCAATTTCAGGGGAGCTTGTGTCTCAGGGTCACATTTGCTTCCAGGTTCCTACTTTCATATATCCTGTCTCTGCTGTATTCCTCATGCTCTCAGAAATGCAGCTCAGAACCTTCTGGGATAGTCCCCACACCCAAACAAAACAAAACAAAACAAAGAAACCCCAAAACACTCACATAAAGCATTCCTGATAAGCACAGTAGATGTTATTGAAATGTGGTAGAGAACAGAAAGGCTCTCCCTCCCAAGCATCATCAACACCCTCACACTGAGCACTGGGCATCCCTGGCCCTCAGATGGCCTTTGATCTTCCCGACATGGAATGTCACCTGGTCCAGCGCTCCTTTTGTCCCAAACCTCAAACCAGTGTTCTGGATCTTCTCTCTCAGCTCCCTGCTCAACCGTCTTCTCCCTCTGCCCAGCCTCTTATGCATGGAACGAATTCTTCGCCTTGTCTCATGTGGTGTGGTTTATCCATTCTTACTGCTACCTTGTTCCTGCCCTCAAGTTCCAGCCCTACCTCCATAGTTCATGAAGATATTTCCCCAAAAACAGCTCCCTCCCTAAGAAGTGCCAACTGCAGACATCCTAGTTTCACATCTTGACATGTATCTGTCTTCTCCAAGTAAGTTCCTTGAGGCAGGAATTATGTCTCAATCAACCCTTCCAGTACTGAGCATAGTGTCTTATACATAATAAGCACTCTTAAAGCTTCATTAAAATAAAATAGGTTCTTCAATGTGAAAAATACAGTGGGAGCTGAAAATAGAAACAAGTATTTTTGTCATGAGAATCACAGAAGGGGCCCACTGGTATACTTAAAGTGTGACTCATACAACATACCCTCCTTAATGACACTCTTTGTATATTAATAAAATGGGGCCACCTCAAACTCTCCCTGAAAAGTACAGTAGCATCTGTTTAAGTGAATGCCAGCAATTCTAAAAAGGAGCAGAAATAAGTGGAAGGTCACGACAGCTGCAATGAATCAAAATAAAATGTAGGCTCTCATTGTTCTTAATCATCATCGAAAAGTCTTTATGACAACTATGATAGGCAGAGAATTTTGCTTAATGGAACAGACCAACTATCTGAGGAAGTACATTGTAACAGAATAAGGGGGGTGTATTTTTAGTTCACTTCTCTCGACTGTTTTTGTCTTGCACCTCCTAAAATTAGGCCTGCTGATTGAGGCTATATGTAATGAGAGTGGTGTGGGCTGATGTAACCATTGCTCTGAACCTAAGATATATCCTTACACACTGTCCTTCTTTTGTGCTGATGGGTCTCTGCCTCCTTGGTATTTCAGTGAAGTTAACCCACACGCTATGGAAGAGGCTACAGCCTTGTTGAGGGTGGGGTGAGGGGAGAAGCCATTTAAAGACCATGAAGCATCTGGAAGTCACAAGACTCTGAGAAATAGAATATCAATGTAGTTTAACAAACATCATCAACTGCCTTTGATGTGTCAGCTACTATTCTGATCTCTAGTATATTCCATTTCACTTTAAGAACCAAAAATACTTGTACTGGCAGAAAATATGGCTATGTAATATGAGAAAATATGGCTATGTAATATGACTGTAAGACACTTACCATAAAAACTAATACATAAACATTTTAAAGAAATCACATTAAAATGCCAATAATCTCTGGTACTCAGTCTGCTCATTTTGAGTAACAATAGGTTCATGCTGCAACAACCATGAAAAGGAGGGTTTTAAAGATGATGAATCTTTAAAAAATACAGAATGTAAGTCTTGATGTGCACAGTGGGAGAGGCTGTGCATGTGTGGCAGCAGTGGGTGTACAGGAACTCTCTGTACTTTGTGCTCAATTTTGCTGTGAACCTAAAACTGCTCTAAAAAAGTCCATTTAAAAATTAAATCACATATACACACAGAGATATATTCAATGTTTACATGGAATAGTTTAAAGAAAATCATACATTAAAGCTCCACAGTCATCAACATCCCTGGGAGAAGTCACTGGGTAGGAGGTGGGAGAATGTAGAAACCCCAGGTAACACCAATGGCCAACAGCAGCTGGGCCATAGGAAGCAGAGCTCTGAAAAGTGTGTCTTCTCCTTGAATTGGTGGACACCTGCACTGAGCTTTCTGGTTTATTTTGTCAAAAAATAAATCAGACATCTTATAAACCAGAAAAAAAAATCTGTAGAAGCCAAGTACTATGGAAAGGGTGTAGGAAAACTCTGCGGGAAAATCACTGTCTCAACTTTTTGTGGAATGAGTTGGGGCATAATCTACTAAAAATCAAGAAAAATAAATTCATCAATTTATATTTTCCAAAAGAATCAGGGACACGTTGCCATGATTCTTTTTAAGAGAAACAACTTAGTTTATCTTCTGAAATGCCAGATTATGGGGGAGCAAAGTTTAACTACCCTATGTCACAGGTTGGGGACAAGGTGAGGTGAGGGAGGTGGTTAGGGTGTAAGGTGAGGGAGGTGTGTGAGTTCCCAGTGAGGGCCCCAGCACTGTCTGCTCTGTGCTTCACGCTGGTAAGGAGGGCAGCCATTCTCATCCAATCCCTTAATCACCAAGGTCTCTTATCACTCAGTTCCCGCTCAGCCTACATTCTTTGCTACAATGAATATATATTACTTCATATTATCTCTTCATATGTCTTACCTGACGGCAGAGACAAATAAGGCTCCACTGATTTGGGTCTCCCATAGCTTAGCATAGTGATTTGCGAAAAAATAGACATTAGAGTAACTTGTGCCTATTGACTGGTGGATTTTGAGATTTGCTAATAAAATATGACAAGAGTGAAAAAATATTTATTCCTTAAACTTTCCATGTTGCCCAGAAGGTTCTTACATGACAAGTATTCTACCCCACCAACCTTCTGTCTAAGGGTATCATCCCATTTTCAATGACGAGCCATTGATCTGACAAGGTAAAATCAATATAAACAAATAAATAAGAATGACAATAAAATGCAAGTTCTGTTTTTAAAGAGATAGCTAGAAAGTTTTGTTTGGTTTTTCTTTTGAGACAGGGTCTCATTCTGTCACCTAGGCTAGTGTGCAGTGGCAAGTTCACACCTCATGGCAGGCTCAAGCAATCCTGGGCTCAAGCTGGCCTCCTGCTTTAGACTCCTGTGTATCTGAGACAACAGACAGCACACCAACATGCTCGGCTAATTTTTTTATTTTTTGTAGAGATGAGATCTCATTTTGTTGCTCATGCTATTCTCGAACTCCTGGGCTCAAGCAATCCTCCAGCCTTGGCCTCCCAAAGTGCTGGGATTGCAGGTGTGAGACACTGTGCCTGGCCTGAAGATTTTTACTTCTCAGAATTTTAAAGTAAGAAGGAAACTTAAAGTACGTATTAAATATGACCAATATTTAGGAGGAAATACCATAGTTTTTAAGGATAGATTAGGGAGATATACAATAGGGAATAGAATACAAAGGCATGAACAAAGGAAGAAGAAAAGATATGTATAAAAACCCCTAAAGATATGAATAAAGGTGGGAGATATGTAGGGTGGGGTAGGTTTACAATGGAAAAGGACAGATTAGCAAAGTCTGTGAGGAAGATAGCTATGTGTATGTCTATAGTCCTATCTACATATATACATACATATCTAAGAAACACACAAAAGTCATGTTGAGAGACATAGGGTTACCAGATAAAATACAGAATTCACAGTTAAATCTGAATTTCAGATAAACAACAAATAATTGATTTAGTGTGAGTTTGCTACACACTTATACTAAAACAATTATATGTCATTTAATTGAAATTCAAGTTTAACAGGGTGTCCTGTACTTTGATTTGCTCACTCTGGCAACAGAGACAAAATAATAAAGGGACAGTAGAGTGAGAAAAAATGGAGACAAAGAAAGGGCAGGAGTGAGATGATTTGTAAAAAGTGAGTTAACATTCACTTCTTGTGGTTTCTTTGGTACATGTTTGCAACTATCAGCCTACACTAAGTCCCCCTGAGGCTAACCCTGGGTCTGCTCGTCCACTCCAGCCATAACTGAGCCCCATCACTCCAGCAAGAATCAATTAGAACAACAGTGGCCCCCAAAAGGGAGCCAACAGCTGCTGCATGGCATGTGAGAGGGACAATTCACTTTGTGATTACTGAAAGACTGTCCTATAATGAATGCTGAGACCATCCAAGGTTGCAAGGAATTGACACAATTCTCCATATAAGCTTCTAGAAATAGCAGATATCTGTCCATTGATTCTAAATGCATTGCTACTGCAGCACACTCAGCAATTTATGTCATTAGAAGCAAAGCCCTAAAAGGCTCCTTCTAATCAGAGATTCTGCACTTTTTCTAAACAGTAGACAGAACAAGGCAAAACAAAGCAAGTACGACCAAAACAAAACAGCACAGACACTTGGGGGAAAGGATGTGCATCCACATCCATGTATGAGCACGGGGTGAAGATACAAGGTGCAGATTCTGTCCAGGAACACTGAATTCTGCCTCAAGAAAAATACGTTTACCCCTAAAAGCCTTTCCTCAGGTTAATGGCAGCATCTCAGAGGATGGAAGCTGGGACTTCATAGAGCTGAGGGAGCCTCAGTTGGTTTCTGCACACGCTTGCTAAGAAAGACATTGTGCATTAGTTTGTTAGGGCTGACAACAAAGTACAAAGACTGAGTGGCTTAAACCGCAGACACTTATTTTCTCAGAGTCCTGGAGGTTAGAAGGTCAAGACCAAGGTGTTGGCTGGCTGGTTTTTTCTGAGAGCCTCTCCCCTTGGCTTGTAGATGGCTGTCTTTTCCCTGTGTATTCACATGGGAAGTGAAGCACTAGCACTTCACTTTATCTTAATTACCTTTTCAAAGGCCCTCTCTCTAAATACATTCTGAGGCACTGGGGGTTAGGATTTCGACATTGGAATTTGGCCAGAGAAACATAATTCAGCCCACAAGAAGCTGAGTCTACGACCGAGTCACAGGCTGCGGAGCCAACACCCATCTCCCTCTACTGGGTGCCTCTGACATTTATCAAAGAAACGTGGTAATTGTGAACAAGCGACCTGGCCCAGGTCACTTCTGCTGCAGGGGAGTCTGTACACCTCAGTGGAAGGGATTCGTCATCTGTTAAACAGGACTCCTCAATTTGGCCCTGATGCATTTTCAGAGTGTGTCAAAGTCAAACAAGTGTTAAATGTAGTCCACCTGTTGGCATATAGTGCTATCCATAATAAAACATTAATACTGATCATCAGTGGTGGATGCTAATAGTGCATATTAAAATGCCACACTCCATATTTTAGCTTTCAATTTCATCCTACTTGGGATTAAAGAATCGAGCCACAGCTGAAAATACTTTTGAGGGTCTTATAATAGCATTCTATAAATATAGAGAAAATTCTGGGAGAAGTGCATCTTTTGTGCAGCCTTTAAAATTCTTCTTACATTAATGCCACCAGCAGCAGGTGGCTAGGCTGTGTAACATGAGGCTTTGGTGTCACTGGTGAACCTATGGAAGGATGTGCTCTCCTCACTGAGTGCGTATTTCCTGAGCAGCTCCAAAGGCCGGGTGCCTCACTGATTCATGCTGCTGATGCCAGGAACGGCAAGGCAAGTGCAATCTCCTTCCTTAGGGAGTTTACCAGCGTGCAGTGAAGGCAGGTGATACATAAATCATCCGAAGTGTAATGGTGTTTAAACTTCGTGAGATCCCTATCAGACATAAATGCTGCAATGAAATGTGAGCTTTTGTTTTACCGGTTCACATTAATTCCAAAGCCAGGAAAACGGTAGTAGAAGGAAAAAGAGCATCGCTATGCCCAACCACACCACCACCAGTGAACACCTGGATGGTCCTTATTCTCTACTAAGCTCTTCATATGTATTAATTCAATTAGTCTTCACATCAGCCATAATGAGATAGGTAGTATTTTAATAGAGAATGAAACTAGGGCACAGAAGATTTAAGTAATTTGCTCAACCAAGGCCGCAGAACTTCTGGGATGGCAACACAGGAAGTCTGGCTCAGGAATCTTAATCACCATGCTCTAAAAGAGCCTCTAAAAGAAGGGGCCACACCAGCCATGCAGGGCCCCTGTGTGAGAAACACTGTCAGAGAAGGCCATTGCTACTGGCCCTGTTGCTAGTCTCCTAATACTGACTGCCCTGGGGCTTTAGGGGATGCACTGTGGTGGAGGGGACAGAGGGCAGGGGATGGAGTCCTGTGGACTCTGAGCAAGCACTGGAGCTCACTGTGCCTGTTTCTTCCCCTATGAACCTGTCCCTGTGAGAAGCACAGCCATAGCAGATGCTGTGGGTCTCCCATGCACACCTGCTCAGCCTATTCCAGAGGATGACTTCACCTCCCCTCTGGGCTAGCTGCCTGTTGGACTCTGCCAGGGGAACTCCTAGAGGAGAAGGCACACCCCTGCAAGACAGATGGGGAAAGTGCCTGAGAGTCACAAGAGTTGGTGGAACGACTTGAGGCAGGCTCCACACAGTCTCTCCAGGATACAGCAGGGGTGCAGCCCCAGTTCCCCGTACACCCATTACTGGTTTTCCTCCCTCTTCTATTTCACTTCCTCACTCTCTTATCAGGGCATCCAGGAATCACCTCCCAAACAAACTACTTGCACCCAAAGCCTTGTCTCAGAATCTACTTTTAGGGGAGCCCAAAATTAGACCTTACCTGTCTCATGAAGGTGTTGAAAGATCCAGTGATATTCTATGGGGAGATGTTTTTTAATTTGTCACACTGCTGACAGCAAAATGTTAGAGGATTACTATTATGAATAATAACAGGAAGGTATGATTATAATTGCTGTGGAAAAGTCTCCCTGTCAATAAGTGACTTTGGACACACACTCCTTCCTTTTTCTAAACTTGTCCTCCCAACCTGAAACTCAGCCATCACCACTGGGTCTGTGTTAGAAATCCTGAGTTCAGGGTAGGGGGCAACTACATTTGGCAGCAAAGAGAACAAGTGGTTTCGCAATATGCACCTGTTTCTTGGGGAAGACATACAAGAAGTTCCAGCAGGTTGCATAGCCCTAGGGCTACTGCTCCAGGTGTCAAAGCAGTGAATCAGGGAACTGAGTGGTAAGATGATTCTTGTTGGTCTTGATTCTCTTGGTGTCTGGCTCTTGTTAAAGCAAGAATAATATGTCCTAATATAGCTGCCATATTTCAGTTCATTTCACTGAAGAACAAGGCTGTACATGATTTTGTATTTTAAAGAGTTTTCCTATGAAATCTCATTTTGTTCCTTCTATCCTCCTTAGGAAGCTGATGTGGTATGGTCATGGCACCTTCTACTTTTGGCCAGCCTCTCCCTGTTTTACTCTTGAGAACCCAGCCTTTGAAGAACATGTTTAAAGCTTTAGGCTAGGCATCGTGGCTCATGCCTATGCTTTGGGAGGCCAAGGCAGGAGGATTGCTTGACGCCAGGAGTTTGAAACCAGCCTGGGCAACAAAGCGAGACCTGTCTCTACAAAATAAATAAAAAATAAATTAGCTAGGCATGGTGTTGTGTGCCTGTAGTCTCAGCTATTTGGGAGGCTGAGGCAGGAGGACTGCTTGAGTCCAGTAGCTGGAGGCTGCAGTGAGCCATGATTGTACCACTGTACTGCAGCCTGGGTAACAAAGCAAGACTCCCATCTCAAAAATTAAAAATTAAAAAATTAAAAAAATAAAAATAAGTAAAATTAAAATAAAAAGCTTTAGAGGAGCCTTTCTCTTCAGGCATTGTCTAGCAACACTTTAAATGAAACAAAAGCAACATGAAACAAGAAAGAAAATCAATAGCACGCTCAAACCTCTCCCTATAGGACTGTCCCCACTGTGGGGCCTGAAGGGTGAAGGGCACAGAAATCCAAGGTTACCCAGAGGGCACTGATGAGGCAGATGTGAAAGAAGCTCAGCTCTCAGGGCACCCGTCTAGTCAGCCCAGCCTGCACCAGCATGCGGCCATGCAGCTGGTCTTGCCAATAGCCCTCACCATCTGTGCCAACAGCAGGAAAGAACGACATTGAACGTCATAAAGTCCACCGAGCCTTCCAGGTCCACTGCTTGACAATTGCTTTTATCTAAGCCAAACAGGCCAAGCCTGGCACTGTCAGTCACGGAAATTTTGTGTGCCTGGAACACAAAAGTATATTGTTACTTTGAATGTAAGTCAATGGTGAGGAGGGAGTGGTCTTGCATGACCCTGGTGAGGAGGAGCAGCCAGGGTTTTTCCCAGATGAGGGTCAGGATTTGATGATTCCATTGAAAAGATTCGGTCAAAAAAAGAAGAGGAGGTGGGCTAAAAAGTGACAACCCCAATAAGGTAAAGAGGAGCTGATGTGTGAACTTGCTTGTGGCCGAGCCAAGGAGAACATCGCAGACACCAGGAAGTGAGCTTCACATTCTGCTCTGCAGAGCCCTGGGGAAAGGGGGGTTCAATCTCCGTCCCCCACCTCCAGTCTCAGCACCCTCCTGAGGGCAGTCTCTCCTGGCACAGAAGCAGAAGGTGACATGGCCGGCAAGGTCGGGCCTGGCAAGAGCATAATACGACACAGGAGGGTTTGCTGTATTTCCAGAGAGGACAGTGCGAAACTCAGTGAGGCTGAGCACCATCCCGAGATGCCAAGGACTGGGGGAGAGGGGACTGCCACTGATATAACTGAACACTTAGTATGTTCCAGGATCTGTGCTGATGCTTTAAAGCATCATTGCAGTGAATTCCTTTACAACCCCATAAAGGTATTATTATTTCCATTTCACAGATGAGGAAAGTGAGGTCCAAAAGAATTGGCCCAGATATCAGAGATGACTAAACTCGGGAGCCAGGTCCACCTGACACACAGGCCTGTGGCCTTTTCTTTCTAGCTCAGGTATCCCTCCAACACATGGGGAAGGTGAGTGTGTGCCAGGTGGGGCATGGTGCTCTCTGGCCCCCTGGAATCATGTTTATTGGTGAGTCTCCATTGTCCCTCTTTCAATCCTCACTTTCTGTAGTGGTTCTCAATGGGGTGAGTAGGGGTGGCATGTTCCCCTGTGTGAGCCTGAATCTCTGTGGTGGACTGTGAGGTCTAAAGAAGTCCCCGGGTACCCATGTTGTGACGTCTTGAGAATCACTGAAGGGGCGCTGCCCTGCCCTGTGTAACCACAAAGAACCAGACCTGCTGTGCTCCTCCAGCTCGGGAGAGGCCCTGGAGTTTGGCTCCAAAACCTTCTCTTCCATTCTCCTTCATATTCCTAATTCAAGGCTCCTAAACCTTCTCTTCCATTCTCCTTCAAACTCCTAATTCAAGGCTCCTAAACTTTCTCTTCCGTTTTTCCTTCATACTCCAAAGTCATGGCTCCTGAACTTTCTTCCATTATCCTTTATACTCCAAAGTCAATCTCTCTAATTTTACATCAACCATTGCTTTTGGTTTTTCCTTTTAGGAACTACCTATCAATAAAATTTTACTTTTTTAGAACAAAAACTAGAGGAAGTTATGGGGAACAAGCATGGTGCCTCTTCACGAAATGAAGTTTCACATTCATGGAAAAACATGCTCCTTTTAAATGTAACTATCTGAGCAAGCAAGTATTAGTAAACAGATATAGTTTCTGATGACCCAAAAGGCATATGAATGAGTCTTGAGATATTTTAAATTTCCAATTATTCTTTTATCCCTAAAGACATACCCTTCCCTCTGACAAAAAGCAATTCCCAAAAGCAACCCAGAAGAAAATACAAACGATTGCTCTGATGATGCTAAGCCCTTAAATAACTATTCCACCACGGTCTTAGATTTAATTTTCTAGAAAACTCCATCATCTGACATGTTTCTGTTCTAGAACATACACTGACCTATGCTAAGGTCTAGCACAACCAAAGACCTCTTTTCCCTTTGATTGTCTCTTAATAGTTCAGATGATGGTCTTTAACAAATATGTATATATAAAGAAATACAAACACGTGTATGCACACAAATTTTTTTTTAAAGCCGCAACACACACTTTGTATGCTATCTCCATGACCAGAAGCTTTTCTCTTAGAGTTGGCTTTAAGGCTCCTTCCCCCTCACCACCTTCTGAAATTCTTCAACAATACAGTCACGAGAGGCATTTAGTCAGACTAGAGAACACTGAAGGTGAAAATTCTTCCATATCTGGTGTCCTTGGCATCAAGAAGAGTTGCCAACTGGGAACTTTTGATTTAATAATTGCCCCAATGTCCTCTGTGCTTTGTGGGAGAAAACACCAGCTAGTGATAGATGTCCTTGTACAAGGGCAGAGAACAGTAAATGCAACAGTTTCACAAAATATTGTTTGATATCTGGTGTTCCCATTTGGTCTGTGGTTTATTTACATAAAAAGTAGCAAGGAAGATTATGATGGCAAGTCCCACAGCTTCTCTGACATTCCTGTTGCTTGTATCCATTTCCACTCTTAGGAGAAAAGACCCAAACTATTGCATATGTCAACTCAACGATTAGGGCAGGAGAGCTTAAAAACAAAACAACACAATAAAACCTTAACGTTAATCCCTAGAAAAACAGGAGCCAGATTGGGCTAGGCTGGGGTCGAGATAAGGGGAATAAATCACAGTGACATACAGAATTTCAAGCAGATGACTTATGAACTTTTATTTTTTAAATTAAAAAGCATATAATATTTGATCTCAAATGCCCACCTGAATTAGTGAAAGCATGCTACATAACTCCTTCCTTGGTTCTGCCAAATCACTTATATTTTGCACTAAATGTGAGGTTGTTGATGTCCACTAAAGTTTTTTTACTATGAAAAATTGTTAGCATACGTGATGTGAGTAGTACAATTGAGCCTCCAGGCATCATCATCCACCTTCAACAATTATCAACTCCAGCCCATCTTGTTATGTCTTTCCACAACCCACGTTCCCCCTCCAAATCCCTGCTTATTAAAAACATATCCAACACTGTACGAAATCACCCACAAATATTTCAGTATATAGCTATAGAAGAAAAGAGCTCTTAAAATATAACAAGCATATTATTAAATAAAATTAGCTGTAAAATTATCTACAGTTCCTTTATATAAACCAATATCCCATCAGTGTTCAAATTTCCCTGGGTAGTAGAGTTTTAAATGAATGTTTGGCTCAGGTAGAGAAAGACCAACCCACAGCACTAGAATCTCAGCATCCCAAAGCTGCCACAAGGCCTAAAGAACTTCTTTCTTTGCTTTGGAGAGGGGCTTGGGCTCAGGTGATCCAGAATTCTTGCATGAGTATCACGATTAAACCTTCCAGGGAAACGCAAGTCTAGGGAAACCCACGTCCTTCCCTTCCCTCTTGGTCTGCTACTGGTGAAGCTGCTTGTGAAATGACGAACCAACGGCAGCTTAGAAAACAAAGTCCTCTCCAAATGTTTAAAATGTTTGAATGGAGCTGCCATCTCACTGGAGTGGATGCTCAGGATGCCCCCGGATCTTCGTGTATTTGTTGCTAGCTTTAGCAGTTACAGTCCTATAGCTGCACCCATGTGGGTCTAATCTGTGGCTGGTTCCAGGTACCTCCTGCTACACCCGTGGGCCCAAGTCCACTCAACTCAGCAAAAGAGGAGAGAAGACAAACCATTCCACTCCTAAGAATCATGCTGCAGGAGCAAGTACTGGCCCCATGGACTTGGAACCCCAGATGACCTAGAAATGGTAACATCTGCACATTGTTTGGAATTAAAACAATTCCCCAAAATGAAGGCCTCAGAAGTAGCCTCAGAGGCAAAAGTTTATCTCTGACCTTCACCTGACCTCTTGTCGCTCAGTCCCATTCTCCCCCAAGGCTAACCACAGAAACTAGAACCCCTCTTCCCCAAGGAGGGTCATAGAAACCAGAGCCCCTTTTCCCCAAAGCCAGCCATAAACCTAAAAATATTACTCTAACTCCCCACCGCCTTCAGTGTAAAAACTGGCCATAAAGAAATTATCTGACCTGTTTTGTTTGATTGTAGGTCATAAGACCTCATTCCAGAGAGGGTCTTGTCCCACACCCAGAAGGAAGGAATGCAGCTCAGGGAGGCCGAAGGAGTCTAGACAGACACACCTTGCTGGGTTTCCCCTGTTCAGTCTATTAGCATCGGATCTACCCTCTTTGTCTAATCATATTTCCACACGGCTGTCAATACTCTGTTCAACCTAAACATAAAATAGATAATTTCCGCTACATCGTTGGGTCTTTATTCTAAAGACTCCCAGGTACACGTTAATAAAATTTATATGCCTTTTCTCCTGTTAATTGGCCTCTTTTCAGTGATTTTTAACAAACCTTCAGAGGGCATAGGAGAAGCTTTCCCTTGGTCCCATACCACCTATTTTTGGGCTATTTTCAGACTGCCGGCCTGACTTCCCACTTGGATAACTCAGGTTCTCAATTTTGATCTTGGCTTCTAGTGTCTGACCTCCTGCCCTGTATTGACCACAAGGACTTTTGACCTGAACATGTCGGTCCAAGATCGGGTTATTTATCCAGTTGTTTTCCAGTCCCCAAAATGAAAGTAGGTACTATTTACTAAGGAGGCTCTTGGTAAGCAACAGCTGCTACTGCTATCTTATGGGATCCTCACAATAACTCTATGCCTGCTATACTCCTGTTCAGGGCATTAAAGATGCATTGTGAGCAAAATAGACAAAAACAATCCCTCTATGAAGTTTCCATTCTAGGAGCAATGTACCCTAGGAAGTGGCAATTATTAGTCCCATTCACAAATGAGGAAACTGAGGCTTAGAGTTATTAAGTAATTTGCTTGACATCCTATGGCTAGGAAATGGCACAGCTGAAATTCTGCTTCCAAGGTGTATGACTCTAGAATCCACGTTTTGTTTTTAATACACCAGGCTGCACCATTACATGATCCCTACTGAAGCAGACAGCTTAGCACAATGAGTGCTGATTGGACAACTGTGGGACACAAACGTGTTTAAACCTGTTTTTACACCCCGTGTTGTTTTTTGATTTTTGTTTTGAGACAGAGTTTTGCTCTTGTCTTCCAGGCTGGAGTACAATGTGGTGTGATCTTGGCTCACTGCAACCTCCGCCTCCCAGGTTCAAGCGATTCTCCTGCCTCAGCCTCCCGAGTAGCTGGGATTACAGGCGCACGCCACCATGCCCAGCAAATTCTCGTATTTTTAGTAGAGATCGGGTTTCACCATATTGGCCAGGCTGGTGTTGAACTCCTGACCTCAGGTGATCCACCTGCCTGGGCCTCCCAAAGTGTTGGGATTACAGGCATGAGCCAACGTGCCTGGCCACCATTGTGTTTTAAATACTCTATGTGGTACAGGTGGCATCCTGCTTTAACCAACTTGAAAACACATTCAGACTCCTCTATTGTGAACAGGCCTTATTAAAATGGAAATCTATTGCTAGCATGTACAAAGTGGGTACGCTGTGTTCCTTTCTGTGAATTTTTAAAAAATCTTCATGCAAAGCAAAAGGCACAGGGTCTATTCTCTTGGAAAATAATGAGTTGGAATGAGAAAGGCTGTGCCAAAAGATACTTTATGGCTTTTAAAATAATACCCAAGTATTAAATTTTGCTGTCCCTATATTTGTTACTTCTGATATAACTGCATTTGCTTTATAAAATATTCTTACTAAAATTTAAATGCATTGAGGGTGTTCTTTTTTAATTTTATTTCTTCTTTAAAAAATAACTTTCATATCACAGCCAGGTCCAATGTTGATGGTGTTCTCATACAACACAACGCAGAATGTTGTTCTGGCTTTCAAGGCTTAGGCTCACGGCAAATGGAAAATCGTGGTTGGTTAGCTCATAGTGGGTTTGCCTGGTGAATTACAGTATCTGCACTAAACTCACTAGATCAGGAAGAAAGGCTAGGAACTGAGTGCCTACTACGTCCTTCGGACTGACCTAGGCACAGACTCTCTGTCTTCAGATCTCTCATTAGCTGCTTTGTGACCATTGGCCCCAAGATCCTCCCTCATCCCTCATCCGACTCTGGTCTGTTTAGGAGAGAGCTCACAACATTATCTAGGCACATCTAATGCCTGATATGCAGAGAAGCAAGCTTAGGGATGAAAGGTGACTAATTCAGAGGGCAAGAGGGCTCTTTAAAGATGAGACTTCAGGATCCCGTATTCAGGAAATACTTAATGAAGAGGCAACATATGGTACAAAGTTTTAGTCTAGGAATAAGAAGCCAATTCTATACTCATCTTTCTCATGACCAAGCAGTGACCAATGTCATGCCCTGGTTTCTCTGGATTCAGGTTCTAAACTCTTCAGAGGCAGAGACTTAGTAATTTTGTGTGGCCAAAGCTCAGTTAAATTTGCATGATAGCCTGATCAAGGTTAAGAACACAGTCTGCTGTCACTGAGCTCAAGGGGCAGCCACTGTCCTCACTATGTGCCCCGCACTGCTAGCAGCAGAGACCCTATCCTTCTGAGCTCATCTGCCATTAGCTGTAAACGAAGACAAAACAAAACCGAGTTCCTTTGCACTGCATCTTCTTTTTCCATGCTGATTCTCTATCAGAATCTCTCTAAACCATGAGTTTTATTCCGAGGACAATATGCAATATGTTTTTTGTGTTTTTTTTTTTCCTATTAGAAGGGTGGAAGAACCAAAAAGCAAGTGGGGAAAACAATGGAACCACACAGAAAAAAAAAAAAAAGGAAAGAAAACAGCAATCTCAGGAGGCAGCTTGGAGGAAATGTGGAAGCTCTGGCCAAGGTATGGGGAGCCGAATCCATTGACTTCCTGGCTTTTAGATTGAGAGAAGTAGAAGTAATCCTTGAGAAGATCTGCATCGAAGGGCTTTTGGTTTAGCGCTTCAGAGCACAGCCGGGAGCCGTTCGGCCAGAGTCCCAATAATAGCCCTGCCCAGTAAGTGACGTGCCCCCAGTGCCTGAGTTAGCTCATCCTTAAAATGAGAACAGTACCTGCCTCAAAGGGTTACTGTGAAGAATAACTCAATTACTATGTGCTAGTCCACAGGCCAATGCAAAGGTCATAGTAAATGCTAGATAAGTGTTCATTGCCTAGTCATCAGTACCACTTACTGAACCCGTTCACGCAGCTGGAGGCAGTGGGGCACACGGCAGTTAGGCTCAATGGCCAGAAAGGCAGGGGAGGAATCCAGCCTCTACCCATGACTGGCTGTGTGACACTGGGCACGTAAGTAAACTTTCTGTGCCTCAGTTCTCTCATCCTTAAAATGGCACTACCGGTCCCTACCTCATTGGATTGTTGTAAATATTTAGATAATTTAGACAATCCATGTTAAGTGCTTAACACAGTACTTGGGGGCACAATAGCTATTTAGTAGATGCCTGTTATTATGAAGCATTATTGTTACAGGATCCAACTCAGCCAATGGGTAAGTGATAATTCATTCCTTTTTAAAAACCTTTTCTTCTAATTATAAAAGAAACAAATGTTCCATGTAGACATCTGAGGAGACGCAGACTCACAAAAAAAAGAAAATAAAAATCACCCAACCCTTTTCCACCCCAGATACCCAGTGATGACACGTTTTCCATGTCCTTACAGCCTTTATGTGAGAGTGCATAGGCAAGCCTGTGCACACACAGTTTTCTTTTACGTAATTGGGACTACACTGTCTACATGTATCCTGTTTTTCTCACTTCATGTTACCTGTCCTTTTATTAAACAATCTAGGAAACGTGACTTCCTGGCTGCCAAGCCAGCCCTCCACTGCAGAGATGTGGCGTGTTGGCTTGGCAGCCAGGAAGTCACATTGCAGAGTCCAGCACCACTAGATGTGGAGCTCAGCATGGGCCACCCCTCCTCACCCCACCTGATGAGAGCTTTTCCTCCCTGGGCAGGGCTGGTTCTCTAACCACCAGCAACAACCTGACGTGGGTGGAGTTTTTTTTTCCCTTTTATGACAAGAAAGGTTAAAGAAGGAAAGAACAGTTTGGGGAAAGAAGTAAGTGGCTCCAAAGATCCCAGCCTCCCAACGATGGTGACCTTCGCAAGCACAGCAGCGTACAGATGAAAAGACAAACCTGGTGGAGGGAGGAAAGGTTCGCTGGCAGTTTTCTAGGAATCGTTAGTTACCCTGGAATCTTAAAATATTTCCAAGGCAAAGAGCCAGAAGATTTGGGTATAACAGAAAGCTCCAGTTAGGAATCATTGCTCCAGAGACAAACCCTAGGGTCACCCTTTGGCATTGTACCCCCTGTCACCTTCCTGCCGTAACCCTCAGCTCAGACACCGCCTGCGAGCGGCTTATGCTCCGGGCTCCTATGAAACTCAACAAAGGCCCTTAACAAGCGCTCGCAGGCTTTTCTTGCCAAGTCCTGGGCATTATGAGTCTGTAATCGCTGCCTCCTGCACACCACTGCAAGCCCTCTCCTCTTTGTTCCTGCCACCCCTCCCACCTCACAGCTGTGAAAAAAGAAACACATTTAAATACCACCCTGAATGGCCCTTTGGAAGTATGAGTGGCAGGTCCTGCCACACCTCTTTCTCTTCCAGACCAAGGAAACCTGCTGCCAACACTAGCTCATTTTTCACTAAAGCCATGTTCCTGCTCCTGGTGTTCACCACCAAAGAAGAGAGGGAAAATCAAGTTTTTAGAATTGCTTAAAGACAAAGGTGTCATTTTGCAAACTGTTAAGCAGCAACCAAATGTCAACTTAATACTATCCTAACAGCTTGGCCTGATGCAAATGCCTTATCCTTATTCCAGTGGCCACTATCAGTTCCTGGTAAGCGTCCCCAGTCCCTCATTAGTGACACTAATCGAAGTACCAGAGTGTCAGGGGAACCTAAGTGAGTGACAGTGTGTAAGAATTTTTAAGCCTTTCATTATTCCAAATGAACCAGCAGACATGCAAATTACCTTTTCCAGAATATGGTGCAATATGCAATTCTACTAAGCACCCTTCCACCTAGCGACCCTCTGCCCCTGCATTTTTTTTTAACAACAGCAAACACAAAATTCCAAAAAAAGCTCTCATGAGACTTCAGAGGGCACTCCATTTTCTCCATTTTCTTTCACAGATTGGCATGTTTTTCTACACTGCATGCACCCCAGCATGTTAAAGACGGTGGGAAAACCTCCCAATATATGTCACAGCTTATATTTCCTACTCGAAAGCCCACTTTGCCGAGGAATCATGCAATCCTTAGACTACAAGGAGAAAAATCATGCCACTGAATTTCCTGAAAGCAAAGACTCTGGCAAACAGGAACGAGGGAGGAAAACAGCTAGGGGTGCGATAAGCCTCTCACTGTAATCTCCCTTCAGCATTCTATGAAACATCACTCCCGGAACGGGCAGGCAGAAATATACGGCACCTCAGTGTCTTCCTACTTAGAGCGTTGCTTTTCATGGTAAAAAGTGATTATCAAGCCAGTTTCCCCTTTGTATTTAAATAATAAGACATGGCCTGCCCTAGGTGAACTGTTTCTTCCTTAGGATATTGAAACTTGAATGGCAACATTAAATAATAATGGTATAAAAATCCACATTCTATTTTATAAATAAACACAAATGCTGTAGCCATAAACCCTACTGTCAGGCTTTGCCTGGGCAACCCAACTCCAAAGAATTTCTCAGCTGGTCAGTGACATGTAGGGAGAGTGCACTGCCCATGGTTAGGGACTGTGGCAAGAAAACCGAAATCACAGGCCCCCGAGGGGCTTCTTTGCTCATCTTGGAATCTACCAAGGGGTCAAAGTACAGTTGAAAGGAAAAGTTTGGTAAAATTCTGATGCATTTCAAATATCAAATCCATTCTATTTCCTTTAGATATATTTTTAGGTTACATCTTATAAGTAAAGCAACAGTAATAATTTAATTTTAAGTGGACCAACACACCATGTGGGCAATTTTGACATTGATATTGGATTTTATTTTTTATTTATTATTACTATTTTTTTGAGCCAGGCTGGAGTGCAGTGGTGTGATCTTGGTTCACTGCAACCTCCGCCTCTTGGGTTCAAGCCATTCTCCTGCCTCAGCCTCCTAAGTAGCTGGGATTACAGGTGCTCGCCACCATACCTGGCTAATTTTTGTATTTTTTAGTAGAGATGGGGTTTCACCATGTTGGCCAGGCTGGTCTTGAACTCCTGACCTCAAGTGATCCACCTGCCTTGGCCTCCCAAAGTGCTGGGATTACAGGCTTGAGCCACTGTGCCAGACAACATTGAATTTTAAAGAGATCAGACAAAGGAGCTCAAAAACTGGGGAACCAGAAGCAAGAAAAGAGGGAAAGGAGATGAAGAGAGCCCGTCTGGCTTTGCTTTAAGCCTGCTCCACAGCTTCAGCAGGCTCCATCAGCCCTTTTCTCTGTTCCACGCTCTTGAAAAAAGAAAAGATGCTCATCAGCGACGGAGATGAGGAGGAGCAAGAAGGGGTGAGGGGAGAGAGGTAGAAGGCTGAAACTAAAAAATGTTTAGCCTAATTTCCCCCTAACCTACTCCCCAGGTCTTCCAGAGCCGGTGTGAAGTTTGCATTTCGTTACAGAGGATCAGACATATCACACAAAATGATCCCCATCTTACAAAGATTACATATAATAAAACCTGACATGCTGGCTTATGCCACTGACAAAGGCTCTCTGCTTGACCAGAGAATCCTGACCTTGTAACCAAAATTTAACCAAGCTTCCAAAGCTTCTCCCAGGCCCATCTGTGCACTCCCTTGTAAAATCCAGTTTTGGCAAAACCCCCTGCTACGTCGGTTTAGCAAGAACGACCCCATCTCGATATCTGATCACCCTTGATATCCGATCAGGTGCCTTATCCTTCACCAACCACCAGGGTATGTCCGATCACCCTGGCTTGTCTTCAGTAAGAATCTTGTTAGCTGCATTCAGCCAGAATCTCCTTTAGCCCTGATGTTTCTTTTTAGTATATTCACTGACCCCCACCCTGCTCCTGGGCTATACATTCCCTCTTGCCCATGTTGTATTTGGAGTTGAGCCCAATCTCTCTCCCCTACTGCAAAATCCTATCCACCTGTTGTGATGGTCCTAAACAAAGTCTTTCTTACCATGCTTTCTACCTTCAAATATACTTTTTTCTTTCACAACATAGATGTTTAGAGTCCTGAACACTGATTATAAAAAGTTTTAACTCCATTTCTTAACCCAATTTACATAAATAATTGTTCATTCATTCATGTATTCATTCATTCAGTGAGTTGAGTACTTATTTCGAGCCAGGCATGAGTGACACAAAACATCAAATATAGACCCCAGTCAAATTTTTAAAAAAGTTAAAAACTACTACCTGCTCTGAAGTGGGGGGTTTGCAGATATAAAAGATATAAAAGCCAGTAATGTAGGAGGAAGGGACACCTGAGCTGGGATGACTGTGTAGAGCCTTTCCAGGCTCTCAATGGCTATGCAGAGGCCTTAAGTAGGAGACTCCAGGACAGGGGCACAGGAGGAGGTCTTAGAGACAGGCAGGGGCCAGACCATGCAGGATGGAGTGGGCCACAGCTCAACAGGGTCCAGGAAGTTCTCGAGAGGAGAAGCAGAGGATGTGCGCATGCAAGATCTCTGGCTACTGCAGTGGGTGGGTGGTGGGTAGTGGGAATGGGAGGCTGAATGAGCCCAGCTGACTGCGGGACAGGTGTTGGCAAACTTCTCTTGGAAGGGGCCAGGCTGTAAATATTTTAGGTATGTGGGCCAAGAGGCAAAAATCTAGAATATAATGTATATACTTATATAACAAAAGAGAAAAGAAACTTCCACAAAATATTTATTGACAGAACTCAGAACATAGTAATAATAATTGAGTAAAATTTTTAAAATTCAAGCCTACTAGTGAGAAGAATGGAATTCTTTGAGGAATAACATTTTGCTTAATTGGTGTTCTGCTGCTGTAGCATAAAAACAGTCATAGACAAATTGCATGAGTGTGGCTGTGCTCCAATAACACTATTTATGGATTGAAACATGAATTTCGTATACTTTTCATGTGTCACAAAATATTACTTTTCTTTTAATTTTTTTCCAGCCATTTGAAAATGTAAAAACCAGTTTTAGCTGGAGGACGATAAAAAACAGGTGGTGAGCTGGCTGTGGCTCAGGGGTCCTGGTTTGCCAGCCTCTGTTGCAGAAGGTCCCACATTCTGCATGTGTCTGATTGCTTGCTCATGAGGTCATTCATTCCGGGCAGATTACCACAGGGTGACGCTCTGTGCGCCTCCTTGTATCCAGCAGAGGCTTGTGATAGGAGGTCATTCCATTACACGTGACGGTAAGTTTGATCCATTTTAAAGAGACACTTTCCCCTTTGCAGTAAGAAGCATCTGTGGGTGATACTTCTGACCCTGAGAACATCTTTTTCCCCCACAACCTTTCACCCAGTGGTTTTAGCTTTCATAGATGATTCTTGTCTGAATCAATCACGACATTGGAAGTTACAAATTAATTTGGATATGATTTTTTTCTCTTTTAACCTTTTAAATTGTCCAGTGCCACAAATAGAAAAGCACATAAAATAATTTTGTACAGTTTAACGTATTTCTATAAAGTGATACTGTATGTCATCGCCACCTGTGTCAAGAATTAGAGTCTTGCCAGCACTCTAGAAGCACCCAGGGCCTTTCTGATCCTGAGTCCCCCACTCTCCTCCCAAAGGGTGCCATCTCCTGATTTTATGGTTATCCCTTTCTTGCTTTTCCTCATAATTTTACCAGCTTGTCTTGCATTCCTAAACACTGTAGTTTATTTTTTTCTGTTTTGGAGCTTTATATACATGGGATCATACAGCATGTATTCTTTTGTCACGTGGCTATTCCTCCACATTGTTGCATGTATTGTTGATTCATTTTCACTGCTGTATAATACTTTAGAGCATGACCATAACACACATTTTATCAATCCATTCTGCCATTGATGGACATAGGGGGTTGTTTCCAGTTTTGTGCTATTCATGCTGCTACAAATGTTCTTAACATGTCTTTTGGGTCATGCAGGCACATACTTCTCTTGGATATCTACCTAGGATGCACATGTTTAACTGTGGTAGGTGCTGTCAAACGGTTTTCCAAAGGGTTTATATCAATTTACACTCCCACCAGCAGTGTATGAGAGTTTCCATCACTCCACATCCTTGCCAACATTTGTCATTTTCTTCTTTTTAATTCTGATATGATTTTAATGGCTGCTTCATATACCATTTAGAGGATATATAATAAATTATTGAATCTGCTGTCATAAAAAATGTGGGTTGTTTTTTGTTTCTTTCTTTTTGGTTATTATTACAAGTAATACTTTCATTAATCTCCTATAGCTATATATTTCTGTATATCTATGATTAGTTACTTAAATAAAAATTACTTGAAGTGAAGCCATGTCAAGAAAATTACTTGAAGTGAAACTAGGTCCATTTTTTACTGACAAATTGTATCTTAGGGCATTTCACTAAGTTTTGCTCCCACCAAGAGTTATAAGTGCCTAGTTCCTAATACTCCAGCCAACATTTAAAAAGTATCTCACTAGGCTGGGCGCAGTGGCTCACGCCTGTAATCCCAGCACTTTGGGAGGCTGAGGCAGGTGGATCACAAAGTCAGGAGATCAAGACCATCCTGGCTAACACAGTGAAACCCCGTCTCTACTAAAAATAGAGAAAATTAGCCGGGCGTGGTGGCGGGCACCTGTAGTTCCAGCTACTCGGGAGGCTGAGGCAGGAGAATGGTGTGAACCTGGGAGGAGGAGCTTGCAGTGAGCCGAGATAGTGCCACTGCACTCTAGCCTGGGCGAAAAAGCAAGACTCCGTCTCAATAACTAAATAACTAACTAACTAAATAAATAAATAAATAAAAATATCTCACTAAACTGATAGATAAAAATGGTTTCTCATTATTTTAATTTGTTCTTATTAAACTGTAGTGAGGTTAAAATATTTGCATTTCTTCAATCTAATCATATCCTGTGCCCATCTTTGTATTCATCATTTCCATAGTAATCTGTAAGAGCTCTTTATATGCTAAAGACGTTAATTATTTGCCTTTAATATGTATTGTAAGTGTACACATTATTTTTCTACATAAATGTAGAAAATATGTTTTAAGAAAATATTAAAATTTACATGATTATTTTACTCCTAAATTGACCTGTTCTTCAGAAAGAGAAAGAGAGAGAGAAATGAAGGAGAGAATTCAAAAAATTTAACCAAATGTACAATTATTTTTATTATGCATTTAAGCATCTTTAAAGAAGAAATTCCCTAATAAAATATTAAATGTTATTGTCAACATTATCAAATTCTCTTCTGATTTTTGCTATTTATTACATATATTAAGTAGTTGATTTCATTATGCACAAAATGTGTTTTTCATTTGTTTGTTTGTTTGTTTTTTTGAGACGGAGTCTCACTCTGTTGCCCAGGCTGGAGTGCAGTGGCGTGGTCTCGGCTCACCGCAAGCTCCGCCTCCTGGGTTCACACCATTCTCCTGCCTCAGCCTCCCGAGTAGCTGGGACTACAGGCGCCCACCACCATGCCCAGCTAATTTTTTTGTATTTTTAGTAGAGACGGGGTTTCACCGTGTTAGCCAGGGTGGTCTCCATCTCCTGACCTCGTGATCCACTTGCCTCAGCCTCCCAAAGTGCTGGGATTACAGGTGTGAGCCACCATGCCCGGCCAAAATGTGTGTTGTTTCCAATCCATCATTTTATATCTACTTTTCCATATCAGCATAGATGTAAGTTGTTTTTGTTTTTGTTTTGAGACAGAGTCTCACTCTGTCACCCAGGCTGGAGTGCAGTGGTGCGATGTTGGCTCACTGCAACCTCCGCCTCCTGGGTTCAAGTAATTCTCCCTGCCACAGCCTCCTGAGTAGCTGGGATTACAGGCACCTGCCACCATGCCTGACTAATTTTTGTATTTTTTAGTAGAGATGGGGTTTAGCCATGTTAGCCAGGCTGGTCTTGAATTCCTGACCTCAGGTGATCTGCCCACCTCGGCCTCCCAAAGTGCTGGGATAACAGGTGTGAGCCACTGTGCCCCGCCAGATGTAAGTTTTAATTACCACCACTGCATAATGCAATTTTTAATTAACAGTATGACATAACACATTTCATTTAGTTCTCGTAAGCCATTTAAGATCTATTTTTTCGCTAGAATAAATAGCATTGTTGGACATATCCTTGCATAAATTCTTTTTGGTATTTTTAGGGTTAAATTCTTAAATCAGTCTCAAAAATAAAACTACCTGATTACCAGGGGAAAACTATGATACATACACATTTACTGTTTTCTTACAGAGAACACTCCAGAAAGACCTGTTCAACTTTTACTGAGTCCTAGACATTTGTCTGTCACCAGCAATGTTTAAAAAGGATTATTTTCTCAAACCTCCAATAACATGGATTTTGTTCAGTTTATTTATTCTGGCTAAATTTATGGGTACGTCAGTATTTGCAGTTATTCTAAGTTGTACTTCTTCAGTGCTTGCAAGATCCATATGATAGTTTCATGTGTGTTTACTTACAAACCATCACTTTGTGGCAATGACCTTGAATTTGACTTTGGGTCAAATTCAGCAGTGAAACTTCAATACCTATTCCTATTCTTTGTTTATATTGGTTAGAAAGCTCTCAAACGTAATTTATACTATGTGCTTTCTTTCTACTGTCTTGCAGGGCAAGAGCCAAGTTCCAGGCAGGTCTAAGCCCTTGGCACCTCAGATAGGGTCAGTGTCCAAACGAATGTCACGTGGGGTGACATCTCAGGCATACTCTCACCCTCACCAGGGCCTGTGGTCATGCAGCAGGGGCCGCAGGCTCTCCCTTCATAGCCAACACTCCTCAGGGCCATGTCATCTGCACATCTGAGGGAGGGTTGCATCCGGTGGGGAGGATGGCAGGGAGGTTCTGTTCCTGGCTTCTGCTGACTTGGCTCACACCATCTCTAAGCAGCCCTGTCTCTGTGTGCCATACCGTCATCTCGTTCATTTTCCACGGAAAACAGAAGCTGCGGAGCGGATGCGAGACGCCCCTCACTGAAGTGGTGTGAGGAATGGAAAATGAGTGTGAGAAGTGCTCCTGGTTTTCTTCAGAGGAAAAGTTTGCCATAAGCAGTAAGCACTAGCATTTTTCTGAAACCGTGTGTGCGGTGGTGATTTTTGCCCCACAAGGGGACATCTGGCAATATATAGGGCCATTTTTTTACTGCCACAATTGGGGGGTGCTACTGGCATCTAGTGGGTAGATGCCAGGGATGTTGCTAAACATCCTACAATGCATAGGACAGCCCAAACAACACAAATGATCTCACCCCAAATGTCAGTGGTGCCAAGGCTGAGAATCCCTGTTCCAAAACAAAATGACCACCCTCAGTGGCCCACTTCTAGACACAAACCAAACTATGAAACCAAGAGAGAACATTCAGCAACACGAACTGAAATAGCCTCGATTCAGTCTTGTGTAGATAGGGAAACTTCATGTAAGGATTTTATATCTCGTTGTGGCATTTCCTATTACACTAGGGGACTGAAGCTCAATCTCTCATTATCACCATCCAAATTCCACACTGGAACTTGACTTCACAAGGCCTCATTGGCCGTGCACTTTGGCATGGCCCATTGCGTGAGGTTTCCAGTGAGACAGAAAGTCACTCAGACTCGCGAGCCTGTACCAAGCAGCAGGAATGAGAAGAGAAATGAGGTAGACATCAGTAGACCAATGAGGTGGAGGTGGAAGCTGCCGAAGAATGGGGGAGAGAAATGGCTGAGCCAGGCTGGTTTGGAATCAGACTCTAAAGCTGCCAGATCCAGCCACCTAAGATGCCACCTGCCACAGGGAAGCTAGGCAGTGCTACTTCTGAACATTTAAAACCTTCTGCTCAAGTGTATTCAAGCAGTTTATGCTCCACAGTAAACCAATCAGAAAAAAAGGTCTTACCGGGGGTGCTGATGGTGGGGGAGGGGGAGGAGCCCCCAGAGGCGGGGGAGGTGGAGGCAGAGGAGGTGGGGGTGGCGGTGGCACTGGCATGTGTCACGGTGTTGATGTCTCCTGCTTATGAATGGTCCCAAGAGAGTGGCTTCTGCTCTGAAAAAGAGAAAAAGAATGGATTTAAACTTGGATTTCTTTACTTACATGCAGGAAATGTGTATCTTGCAGACATGCATATTATAGTCAGCTTGATTCTTTCACCTGTTCATTCATTCACTCATTTGTTCATTCATTTATTCACAGAGTGCCCACTCTGAGGCAAGCTTTGTGCTAAGTGCTGGAGATTGACAAAAGCAGCCAGATTCTAGAGATAATAGGTGTTAAAACTGATAGAATTTAGCTATTTGTGTCTCAGTACAAATAGAATATACATATATATGTATATATATATAGCAATCCTTCATTCCATAATAATTTTTCCAGATAACTGACTTCTACCTCTTTAGCATTAAATTTTTAGTTTTATCATTTTCAATCATTCTGCATAGACTCCCATTTTCCTAAGCAGAGCAAACAGAATGAAATGTAACCTTTTCTGAATGTCACAGGCTCAACATGAACTCATGATGCCAGCCTCGAGCAAGGCTTAGGGCGCTAGTCATTTTCCTGCCTCTTTCTCTCCTGTCAGCTCTTACTTTCCCTGCTATTCCTGTGTCATCATTTCTACCCAGCCATCTGGATGAGGATGGGCCACTCCTCTCCTCTGCCTAGACTTTCTATCTGGTATTTGCTATGCAGGGGGCTTTTTGGCATGATTCTGCCAATATGATTCTGTTTCAAATAGTTAATATTATAGGAGGTCTGATCTCTGGATAAATGTGTGGAGCCTGTATGTGTGCATGCATATGTGTGTATGTGGGCATGTGTCTTAGAACCCATAGCAAGGCACACTGCAAGGACTTAAAATCTGTATTAAAGAAAAACCCCATAGTTTATAAGAATTGGAAAAACCTATATAAGAACCTAAAAACAATCAAAGCAGAAACTGAAATAAACCTTACACTTGGGCAGGGGTGATTTTGTATTCCTGCTGTCCCTTTGGTTACTGGAGGACCAGAACAAGGCCTGTCCCTATGTTTTTTCATCTTTAAAATCCTGTGGCATTTATGTTTTTTCATGTTAATATTCTTGTCTCCACAGAGGCCAAAAGCATTTATGCAATGTGATGCTTTCTTGTTAGCATAGTCCACTGAATTTTGCTCACCTAATATGTTAGTTCTTTTTATCTTTTTATAAATGGCAATTATGTGACACACTAATCACACTTATTTCTACAAGAATCTTCTAAGGTCAGGGCTTCAACGCCCTAGCATCCCCATTTTTATAGATAAAGAAAAGGATGTTCAGAGACATTAACTCTTTTGCTCAAAGTCACCTATACTATAACCAGCAGACCTGGGATTGGAACCAAGGCTTAACAGGTTCTAAAGTCCAAGAATATCAGATTTATCATTTTAACTCCTTTTAAGTATACAATTCAGTGGCGTTAAGTGCATTCACAATGCTGTGCAACCAGCATCACTATCCGTTTCCAAAACTTGTTCATCATCCCAAACAGAAACTCTGTACCCATTAAACAATAACTCCCCACTGTCTCCTCCCCTCAGCCCCCAGTAACCTCTGTTCTACTTTCTGTCTCTATGAATTTGTCTAGTCTAGGTACCTCATATATGTGGAACCATACAACATTTGTCCGTTTGAGTCTGGCTTATTTCATTTAGCATAATGTTTTCAACTTTCATTCATGTTGTAGCATGGATCAGAAATTCATTCTGAATTATTCCATTGTACGTATACACCACATTTAGTTGAGCCATTCATCTATTGATGAGTGCCTGGGTTGCTTTCACCTTTGGGGTGTTGTGAGAAATGCTGCTATGAACATTGGTGTACAAATATCTCTTCAAGACCTTGCTTTTCATTCTTTTCAGCGTATATGCAAGAGTGGAATTGCTGGATCATATGGTACCATCTTTTTTCCCAGCAGGATTAATCTAAATTTGTACAAAAATTGAAAATGGCGTAAAATATGTGTGTCAGTGCAACTTTTTTGGGGAAAGAGTCCATGATAGTTTTCCTAAGAGTTCCAAGGAGGTGCATAAGCTGATTGTTGTACACAACTACACTTTTCTT
Organism: Homo sapiens; assembly: GCF_000001405.40. Lineage (NCBI taxonomy): Eukaryota > Metazoa > Chordata > Mammalia > Primates > Hominidae > Homo > Homo sapiens. The sequence goes on along the minus strand of NC_000007.14, from coordinate 29,832,630 downwards.
ACAAAGTATTTCAGGCTCCTTGAAAGAAGGAGCCTGATCATCACTGTGTTACTGCCTCATTCCTTGATATTAAAACAAGAACAGAAAGACCGAAAAGGAAAATACTCATCAGAGTCCACAGCATAAAACCATAGTAAAATTGAGCAGAGATCTCATGGGGTAGTACGTGTTTCTTTCAGGTAACATCAGTGTTATTTTATTACCAAAACTAAACTAATGGTGCACTAAACTAATACACACAATGACATAGGGTTAGACACAGTTAGCATTTTACAGGCTGGTGCTAAGGCAACTTGGATGCAGGCCCACAATTTAGTTGGAACAAGCACAAATTATCAGATATTTGTATTTTAACACTTTCTTTTACAGGAGGCACTGGGTCTATTTTTTATGATCTTTTATTCAGTGGCAAAAATATTTTTAGTCAAAAATTTATAGCAAAGATTAAAGAGTTGGTTGAAGTATTAACAGAACGAGAATATCTAGAGGTCTCATTATATAAGGATCTCATCTTTTAACTAAGACACATGACAGGAGACAGAAATGCTTCCCCTGGTGAAAAACTGGAAAAGGTGGGGAAGAATAACCTTTACAAACGGAAATACCACTTACCTAAGGGTTTTGTCATTTACCTAAGAAAAAATAACTGTATAAAGAGACTTTAAGGAGAACTGCAGCAGAGCTATTCCTGTAATCCCTCAGCACATGGCTAGACTGCATCTCCCAGCCTCCCTTGCAGCTAGGTGTGACCACGAGACTGAGTTCTGGTCAATGCAATGAAGGTCGAAGTGATGTGCTATTACTTCTGGGCTGGTTCAGAAAGACCTTCTGCCCACGACTTTTCTCTTTCCCCGCCCATTGACTGTAGCAAAGGTCCTATGTGTTGGCAGAGCCACAAGATGAAAGGAGTCCGGGTCCCTGACTCACCTGTAAGACTACCTGCCAAACACCTGATTAGACTTTACATATGTGAAAAATAAACTCCCATTGTGTTAAGCCATGAAGATTTTTGAGTTAATTTGTTTTATCCACTAATATTGAACCTATCCAATATAGGAACTAAATAAAATACAGTTGATTCTCATTATTCACTATAGTTATGTTTAGAAAGTTGTCATGAACACAGAGCGTGATGATTACTTTTATGTGTCAACTTAATTGGGCTAAGGGTTGCCCATCTGGCTGGTAGAACATCATTTCTGGGTGTATCTGTAAAGGTGTTTCCAAAACAGGTTAGCATTTGAATCTGCAGACTGAGTAAAGGTCTTCCTCACCATTGTGGGTGGGCGCCATCTAATCCGTTGAGGGCCCAGATAGAACAAGACAACCCATGGCCAACGGCACTAGGAGTCATGTCTGAACAAATCTTATCAAACACTTATATTTTCTCCATAAGGCACATCACGGCCTTCTTGGGCTTAAGAATACTAGGCAGCGCTTCAGCACTTTGCTTGGGGCCATTTTAAACTGCAAAACCACCAACAATAAGTACAAAATTTGGAAAAAATGTGGCATTACACAGACTGAGAGAGGAGCACTTGTTTATAGGATGAGAGCTGAAACAAGAAGGCAGAGTGTCCTGTTATTTCAGCTCAGCTGGGAACATGCTCGTCAGTGTCTACAGTTTTTCACCACTTTTCACATGCCTGGGAATGACCACAAAAGCACCGTGAGTACTGATTTTGGAGTTACAAATACACTTTCGTGAGTACACGTAGGTGAATTTGCAAATGTAGAATCTGCAAGTAATAAGGATTGGCTCTATACCTTTTTGACTCTCCCACCCGGTAGGTGCTCAGCACTGCACTGGGGACTTCTAAGACATTTTATGTAATCCTCTCAACAACCACGTGGTAGACGCTGATATTTCCATGTAGCAAATAACCCAACTTTGCCTCAGAGAAGTATGCAATTTCTACTAAATTTCAGAAAGATCATCAGAGCTGAGTTTAAAGCCCTGGTTTTTCTTATCTAAAACCTCATTTCTTTCTTTCTTTTTTTTTTTTTTTTTGAGACAGAGTCTCGCTCTGTCACCCAGCCTGGAGTGCAGCGGCGTGATCTCGGCTCACTGCAACCTCCACCTCCTGGGTTCAAGCGATCCTCCCACCTCAGCCTCCCAAGTAGCTAGGACTACAGGCACACACTGCCACCCCTGGCTAATTTTTGTATTTTTAGTATAGATGGAGTTTTGCCATTAAAACCTCATTTCTACTGTACCACATTACTTTATTAGCTTGATATGATTCAGGTCAAGTTATATCCCTGCTTCCATTTTGCAAAGATTTAAAAATATTTTTGAGACCCTTAAGTGAAAGAAACCCCATAAAGGTGGCTGTAATTCTTCTGCTTGCCCCTCCCTCACCTGAGCGGCCTTGGTTTCCGTCTAGTTTTATCTTTAGGAACCTGGGAATGCTTAGGTGCCACCGAGATGCTGCCTCGCTGAAGTCACAGGCAAGGATTTTTCAAAATCCAGGATTAGAGGATAGTTTTATATGTAGTGTTTGATGGCTGTGAAAGGCTTTTTTTTTTCCAGATACAATAATTAAGCAATTATCTAAAGAAGTATTTGTTAAAATCTGACAGTTGAGAATGCTGAGCTCCAGGAAGTCAGGGGCTGCACGCAAGAGCTCTTCGAGGCTTTGTGTTCTCTCAACCCATTTAAAAATGTTGTTTTGCTCTGAAGTGTATTTAAAATGTTTAGGATGTAAAAGGACAGATTCTCAAAGGCTTTTATACTTTCTCCCAATTCATGAACTATCGCAAAACAGCATCGAAATACACATCCAAGCACCATTAGAGGGTGGTGAGGGAAACAGAACTAACACTCACTTCCACGCGAGGCCCGAATACAGCACCTGCTCTCAGAACCAGGCGGCCCCAGGTTCCGCTTCCACCTTTCCCTTTTCCTGGCCGTGTGGCCTTGGTCAGGTCACTTTACCTTACTGGGCCTCCTTTTCTTCATTTGTAAATTAGGAGTGATAATGCTTAATTCTGTTTGTTTTCACTATTAAAACAAACACTGTATATGAAGACACAGTACACGTCCTGACACATACGTGGAAGTGACACTTATCATCACCACTACAAATAACTATGTTAAAAGCAGGAGTCAATTCAGGCACGGTGGCTCACGCCTGTAATCCTAGCACTTTGGGAGGCCGAGGCAGGTGGATCACTTGAGGTCAGGAGTTCCAAACCAGCCTGGCCAACATGGTGAAACCCCGTCTCTACTAAAAATACAAAAAAATTAGCCAGGTGTGGTGGCAGGCTCCTGTAATCCCAGCTACTTGGGAGGCTGGCTGAGGTGGGAGAGTGGCTTGAACCTGGGAGGCGGAGGTTGCAGTGAGCCTAGATTGCGCCACTGCACCCCAGCCTGGGCAACAGAGCAAGACTCTGTCTCAAAAAAAAAAAAAAAAAAAAAAGCAGGAGTCAGATAAATGCCCCAGGAGAGGTAGAGAGTGCTAAGGGATAGCATCATCCATTCAAACTTGAGGAGGAGGTGCAATAAAGAAACACTTGGTGGAAGTGATCTTATTTTTCACCAGGCAGAGAGGTGACTAAAGGAGTCTGTTCTAGTAAGCAGGAGCAGCAAATAATCAGAGATTTGGAAGTGGGAGAACACAAGCAGCCTGGGAGGCTCTGCATGTGTGGGGGAGAAGAGGAAAAGGCTGCCATGACGGAGGCTCTTCAATGACACTCAGCTACCCTGCAAGCATCTTCCTCCTTGGGCAGGGGTGCTCATCTGTCTTGTGGTTGCCCACCGTCTTTTGAACACTTACCCTATGCTGGAGGAATTTCCCACATTGTGAGTCCCACCTCCTCCAGCCAGAAGTAGGAACTCCTTCCCCAGCATCCCTTGCCAGCAGGGAGCAGGCTGTGACCACCCACTCAGAGGTGGGCTAAATAACAGGTGAAAGAGCGCAGGCGGGACATGGCTACAGGACATGGACCTGGGTCTGCAGTAGGAGCCCCTCTCAGCATGGGTTGGGTGATATTCCATGGGAATACGAGCCCAGTATTGGCCAGAACCCCCTACTTCCCTCTTCCAAAAGCCCCATATCTATCTAGATTTTTGCGCGAAGTTCAATTTTGAAATCTGGGTATGTAATTTAAAAAGCATTTTTAAAAGCCAGTGGGCCACAGAGCACAGAACACGTCTGCAGGTCGCACAGGACCTGCACTGCAACCTCTTTAGCGGGAGCTATTCCAGGGTGAGGGTACGGGCGCCCTACTTGATCCCTTTCTTTCCCTACATGTTCAGCCTGTCTGTACTCATTCAGAAGTGATGTGGACTGGGCTTGCCTCTCTTTTAATAAAAAATTATATATGTCTGTGTTCCAACCACACTTTGTGAGTTATTTCAGAAAGAAAGAACTCATGTAAGTAATTTTACACACTAGTTGCTCTCGTCAAACTCTTTTTTTTCTCCAAGAGTAGTCTGTGAGAGTACAGCTGTTCACACACAGAAAGTGTGCTTATGTTTTTAAATATAAGCAAGAAAGATTACTGCCACCATCTGACAAAAGCATGTGGGCTGGGTGCAGTGGCTCATACCTGTAATCCCAGCACTTTGGGAGGCCGACATGGGTAGATAGCTTGAGCCCAGGAGTTTAAGATCAGCCTGGGCAACATGGCAAAATCCCATCTCTACAAAAAATACAAAGAAAATTAGCCAAGTGTGGTGGTGCACACCTGTAGTTCCGGCTACTCAGGAGGCTGAGGTGGGAAGATCACCTGAGCCTGGGGAAGTCAAGGCTGCAGTAAGCTGCGATTGTACCACTACACTCCAGCCTGGGCGACAGAGTGAGACACCACCTCAAAACAATAATAATAGTAAAATAACACACTTGACTAGGAATCTGCAAATAAGGTACTCTGTGCAATCCTAACTTTGTATGTTTTGACACTGTTCCTCTTTCAAAGAAACACATCCCTTGTTTCTTTGGCTATAAAATGGGGCAGAGGGAGGAGAATAATGATTTCTCACTTCTGAACCAATGAAGGCTAATAAACCCCATGACGCAATATATATCTCACATTATGATCTCAGTAGGGTCCTGCCACCTCTAAGCGTCCATCATTCATCTATTAAAGGTACCTTGCGGCCAGGAGATAGCAGCCCACAAGCCCACGTGCAAACAAGGAACAAATAAAGGGTTCTCAACGTAAATGTAGTAAAGTTTCTAAAGCTATAAGTAAAATAATAAAAGAATTTTATTTTTAAACTTCTCTCCAGGTGATGATGAGAATGTTTTATGATGGTCACTTTCTGTTGTCACTTTCTTGTCATTTAATGAGCAAATTCTCTGTTCACATCTCTCTCCTTGGACTTCCAACCTATGAGACTGTCCTCTTTTTGGCCAAATGGAAGTTGCTGCTCTCACTCTTCTCAATGATATAAAAAATCTGTAAATATTTAGCTTTTGTGGGGAGGTGGGGCATGTTGGCCTGAGTAAGCAGAGAAGCCAGGAACAGGATTGGGGGAAATCTGATGAAAAAATCACTGAGCATGTATTTGTGCTCTAGATAACAGTGAAGCAAATTAGCCCTGACACAGCCCTTACTATGTGTCAGACACTGTTCTTAGAGTGTTTCATATATTAGCCCTTTTTTAAGCACCATGACACCCCAATGAGATAGATACCATTATTATCTCCATTCTCCAGATGAGGCAATTGAAGGATGGAGAGGTCAAGAAACTTGCCCAAGGTCACACAGTGTCATTAGTGGAGGAGTTGGTACTCAAACCCAGAGTGTCAGGCTCCAGAGGCCAGGCTCTTAAGCACCATACTAAGTAAGGCCACTTGTATACAAATGACTTTCGTGGTTTTTGTGACAGCCGCATACCTCCTAAACTCACATTTATTTAACATTTACTATAAATCAAGTCATGCTTTCAGTCAAGTAAGTTTATTTTGGAAAATAAACTTTATTATCATAAATGGAAAACCAATACCACTTGGTTTATAATAATGGAAAGTAATACTAAGAATAAATGGAAGGTAATAATAAGAATAAACACAGGATCTCAGGAAGAATAAACACTTGGAAGGTAATAAAAAGAAGGAAAGTAATAATAAGAATAAACACAGCCATTATTTTAAAATGTTTATACACTCTCTGAACTCATCTCCAGTTTCCCTAGCAATACCTAAACCAGGCTTTGGGGAACAGTGATCTAGGGTGGTATTTACCAAACTCCAGTGGAGGGTGAGTCACTGGAGATCTTGTTAAAATGCAGATTCTGATTCAGCTGATTCAGTAGGTCGGAGTTGGGGCCTGGGATTCTGCATTTCTAACAAGCTTCTGCGTAAGGCCGACACTGTGGATCTGGGGCCACACTGAGCAGCTCTCCAATGTGGAAGGCTGTAAGAAAGGCACCATCTCCACACAGACCTACTGAAGCACAATCTCTGAGAGCATCTTATCTACAGGGGAGTTTTATGCTCGCTAAAGTTTGAAGAACCCTGCTCTGGAACATCTAGGATGATGAAAGCATTCTCTCTCCCATAGAGTCAGAAGTTGTGGCCTTTGCTGAAAAGGCTCATTTTCATGTAGATTCATTTAATTTCAGCAGGCTGGGTCCATGCAAATGCTACTGTACTTGGAATTGAATATGACATACAAAGTGAAAGGGAAACCATTGCTCTCACACAGGCGACATGAACGATTTCTGACACCTGAGAAACACCAGCCCAGACATCGGCTCCAGAAACTGAACTGGCTCAGCCCTAACTGGGTATTAAAGTTAATTATCTGCTGAAGTGCTGAAAGGATTAATGTGGGTTTATCTATGTGAATTCTAAAATGGAAACACACTTTAACCACATCTAATATGAAACCTACTATGTACACATACTAAGATGAGCTCATACATTGGTTTTCTTTTATAGGACTCTTATTGAAATGCAAATTTGTTCCCAGATCATTCATTGAATTCACTCTAATTTTTGAACAGTATTTGGTGAAAGGAAAAAATGAAGATATTAATAATATTTATCACTGACTCAGGCATTTAAATGAGGGCTGAGTTCCATAAAAATTGTTATATGTGTGGTTCCCAAGGGTGAAAGGAGAAAATATTGATTTCCTGTCTTTCTTCTCTTTCATCCTTGAATTAATTAAGAACTGGATTTATTAAAAATACATGATATTAATCACACATTCACGAGTAAGCTGCATTTTATATAACAGTTATACTTCTAAAATAGGGTATCTCTAAGTTTTGGAAAATCAAGGTAAACCTTAAGCATAAAAAAGGAGCTTAATATTTTTTTTCCTTCAACTTTTATTTTAATTTCTGGGGTACATGTGCAGGGTGTGCAGGTTTGTTACATAGGAAAACACATACCACGGTGGTTTGCTGCACTGATCAACCCATCATCTAGGTATTAAGCCCAGCATGCATTAGCTAAAGGGAGTTTATTATTCAACGGAAACTTACAATTAATATCATAAAATAATGAGCCATTTTACAAAATGAATGACCACCTCTTTAATTTATGTTATGATGCTAGATTTTATACGAATGGTGTTTTTTGCTTTCTTAAGGCTAAGGTGGTAACTTTTCACGTTGTACGTACTCCAAAAATGCTACTATTCCAAAAATCATTGAGGAAATAATGTGCAGATGGGAGGTAGTATTGGGTACAAGAAGAAACAAATCCTTCCTTTCCAGGTTTTGGGTGCGACTTTAGGTTAGTTTAAGTGCTTTAACCTTATTCCTACTGTTCCAGGATAAGCAGATTCTGACGCCCTGGCTCCCTCATCCAGTTTGAAGTTAGGCTAAAACCTCAAACAGCCTGCAGCAAGGAGCCTCCCTCATCTCAGCTACCAGGCAGATTCCTTCCTGAGGCAGCCGGCACATCACTGACAGCCAAGTCTCACAAATCGACTACAGGTGTCACCTATCAGCGTCCATGACATCACTCCCAGGTTTAACATGTACTCCTCTCTGGGCTACTTACTATGAAGTCAGACTCCACATCTCATCCTCCACTGTGTTCTGGGCCTCCTCCGTTTTACCCACATCACACTGTTGACATTTTCTTATATCCTTTTTTTTCTTTTTTTTTTTTTTAAAAATACATCTCTAAGTCTGCCCATGGTATTCAGGCTGCAGGTCAGGGCCTTCACCATCTGGAAAATACCTGTTAACCTGCAAAACTGTGTTCAGGTGCCAGCTTCTCTGCATTGGCTTTCTTCTCCCTTTGGGAGGGCTAACTGCCCCTATAGCACTTTGCACTTTGGTCACACTTCTACTATGGTACTGAGCACTCTGGCAATTTTCTTCTTCTTTTTCATTTTCGTTTTGTTTTGTTTGAGATGGAGTCTCGCTCTGTCACCCAGGCTAGAGTGCAGTGGCATGATCTCAGCTCACTGCAAGCTCTGCCCCACCAGGGCCAACCAATTCTCATGCCTCAGCATCCGTAATAGCTGGGATCACAGGGATGGGCCACCATGCCCGGACCTATTTTCCTTTTATATGTCTCTGTGTCTCCCTTCACTGGACCATGGGCTCCTCAAAGGTTCAAAGATAGGGACTATGTCTTTGGGATACTGGTATTGCCAAAGCCAAAAGTAATGCCGAATGCCAAATGCCACTGCCTTGGTGTATTAGTCTGTTCTCGCGTTGCTATAAAGAAATACCTGAAACTGAGAAATTTATAAATAAAAGAGGTTTAATTGGCTCACAGTTCTGCAGGCTGTACAGGAAGCATAACGGCATCTGCTTCTGGGGAGGCCTCAGGGAACGTTTACTCATGGCAGAAGGCAAAGTGGGAACAGTGTCTTAAATGGCAGAAGCAGGACTGGGGTGGGGGTGCCACGCACTTTTAAACAATCAGATCTCGTGAGAACTCACTCAACATCACAAGAGCAACGATGAGGGGATGGCACTAAACCAATAATGAGAAACCGCCCACGATCCAATCACCTGCCACCAGGCCCCACCTCCAACATTGGGGATTACAGTTCGACATGAGATTTGGGCAGGGATACAAATCCAAACCATATCAGTTGGTATCAAGATATTTTTGTATCAAGGCAATGGCATATAAACAAGGAATCAGGCTCCCGCAAAAGATGGAGACAAACCTTGTTAGCAGAACACTGGGAAAGTTATATGTGAATCTAGAAATGAGATATCATCTTAATGATTATTAAAGAAAAATATTGCAAACTAGAAAAGGGAAGAGAACTGTCAAAGTTTCTGTCCAATGGTAGACCTCATTATCGGCGTGGGAATAAAATATATTCTGAATGTTGGGTTCTCCCAGGAGACGGAGGTTGCAGTGAGCCGAAATCGTGCCACTGCACTCCAGCCTGGGTGACAGAGTGACACTCCATCTAAAAAAAAAATGAATGTTGGGTTCTCAAAGCTTACAGTGCACACTAGAAAAGGCTTCTCTGGCATGACAAAAAGCAAGGCAATCAAAGAGAAATCATTTAATAGCTGGGAAAACTGGTTTCTAGTTCTGGCTGTAATTCCCATCTATTTGTTCAAGAAAAAGGTAGAATGTTTCTTCTTTCCTAAGTTGTATAAATATGAGGAGCAAAGGAGTACTGCTTTGAGATAAATAATAAAGAAATTTAAAATTGCATATGATCCTGTCCAAAAAACAAAGTTTTTCCAAATGTAATTTTTTAAAGTAAGGATATGGTGGCTTCTTGGAAATGGAAGTGGTCTCACTAAACTGCAGCAGAGAGGAGGCAGCTTGCTTTTAGATTTTTAGATTAAAAAACTCACTTTTCAAAATAAAGTTCAAGAAGGTCTTCCGGTTTTAAGACGGTAAAAATATCTGTTTCTTCCTTTTCTTGGAAATCATCTCAAGATAACAAAGAAAAAGAAAATTTTCTTTGGTAAAACTATATCTCCGTAACTCTGCACTTTAATGAATGAGACAGGACGGTTCATTGCTCAGGATGATCTGACACGGGTTGTGGATATGCTGTAGACGATACATTTGTGGCTGTAAGCCTCAGACAAAGCCTGCAGAGCCCTGCTCTCCAAAGTGGGAAACACTAGCTCCTTGGCAAAGAAAACCCATCAACTCTCGTTTAGAATAATGGAAAAGGGTGTGTAGGATGGCAGCAGAACTGATCTTAGACCCTAGACCCACCAGGGAGCAGAGAAGATGGCAAAGGCAAGGCATTTCTGTAGGGACATTCTAGGAATGAGGTAGGCCAAGAAGACAGTGAATCTTGGGCAGCCTCAAAGCTACCCACCTCTACCGGCTGGGGAAAGGAGGGTCCAAAATTATTTGCAGGCACAGATGCAAATGTGCATTTCAATGAGTCTTATAACACACATACTTCTCTCTCTCTGTGTCATAAGGAGTTCCTCCCTAAGCCAAAAAGAATTCTTGCTGGTCTAGAACTTGCCATGGTCATTTCCTCAAGTAAATCTGAAAATAGTTGGTCCAAGAAGAGTTGACCTCATTTTAAGATGAATAATGAAAAAGAGAACCAGTATAAGATCTATACCAAAAAAAAAAAAAAAAAAAAACTAAGAAAAAAGTAAGGAAAGGAATAGGAAAAGAACGATGATAAGTAAAGAACATTTATTAGAAAAAATACTGCTGTAAAGCAGATAAACACTGTGACAAGACATACAATTATTAACTTAAAGGATTTAATGAAATAATTAACCCTTTAAAACAAGGAATCAAAGAAAAGAGATAAGGACTCTGAGAATATCTAGCAAAATAATAGAGGATGAAAAATATCATGGCAGAAGTAAAAGAGAAAAATGAAGAACACACTAGAAGAAGCCCAAAGAAAACAGGTATTGTTGAAAACACACTGAGTACCATGGAGGATTGAGAAAAATGAGCAGAATGAAATGTAAATGGACAAAGAATTTGAAAGGATTAGAGAGAAACTGCTAGATATGGAAGACAAATGAAAAAGATAACTGGTTTTCCTGAGTAAAAGACATAAACAAATGGAAGAGAACAAATATTCAAACACATAATATCAAGCATATAATTTAAGAAAGCTTTTCAAAAGGAAGATTTAATTCTATACATTTAAAGGTACAAGGCAAGTCACAGTGGCTTATGCCTGTAATCCCCATACTTTAGGAGGCCAAGGCGAGAGAATCACTTGCACCAGGAGTTCATGAGCCTGGAAATATAGGGAGACCCTGTCTCTAGAGAAAAATTAAAAAATTAGTTGGGCATGGTGGCGTGTGTCTTGTCCCAGCTACTTGGGAGGCTGAGATGGGAGGATTGCTTGAGGCTAGAAGGTGGAGGCTGCAGTAAGCCGTGATCAAACCATAGCACTCCAGCCTGGGTGACAGAGTGAGATTCTGTCTCAAAAATAAATAAATCAATTTATTAATAAATAAAATAAAAGGTCTGTGATATCCAAAGGAAAATCATATAGTTTTGGAGACATATTAGCCATGCCATCATATCCCAGAGAAACAATGTGTGACCTAAAAGTTTATATCCAGCCAAACTGTCATTGTAGTAAGAAGGCAAGTGGCAAATGTTTTTAAACATGCAAAATGTGTGTTTCTTGAATTTGTATTGAAGATACCACTGTAGGAAAAATGTCAGCTAATCAAGAGTTGAGGAGAGAAAGTGGGGACAAAGAAATGGCAGTAAGTATTGAATTAACTGCTGAATCAAGACTGAAACAGCTATGGAAATACGCTATCGGAAAGGAATGGAACTACTATTAATCATGGCAAAATGGAAAAATGTAACTTGCAAAAGTTATCAGGTAAAAAGGAAGATAAAGTGGGAGATATATGCATGTTGATTCCTTAGCTATTATACTCAAGCATAATACCTTTAAAGTTAATAAATCAAAATATCTTTAAAGAGAATAAATCACGTCTATTTCTCACAGGAGTATAAGTCAAGCATATTAAAAGGTTTAGTTTTGGAAAAACTAAGAAAAAGTGATTATACCAACTAGAATTGAATGGTGGAAAGGAGGTTTGGAAAGGGATAGATGGGAGGTGGGAAGAAGTGGATATTCAGTATCATTTCTGTTGGGGAATCAGTGGATACTCTCTAAATTAAAAGAAACAACAACAGAGAATTATTATCATTATAAAGGGGATTGCTAGAAGAACTAAAGATAGGACACATCTCCCAAATGAATTACATGGGCACAAAGTAAGGAAAAAAACAGATCATGTAAAAAAGCAAATTAAGCAATAAAAAATAGAAAACAGAACACATAACAAAAATAATAACAAACATATCTGCCATATCAATACACATAAATAGGCAGAGCTCACATATTAAAAGAAAAAGCCCTCAAACTGGACCAAATTCAACTATATACTGTGTAAAAGATACACACCTGATTTGAAACAGAGAAAAGTCAAATCACCATAAAAACCATTAAACAAGGCAAAGAAAGATTCTTTATAATGGTAAAGGGAATAATATACAAAGTTTGAGTTAGCAGCCATGAATATCTATGTTCCAAATAGCAGTAACAAAATTAATAAAGCAAAGCTATAGGATATTATTCAAGGAAAGGAAGGCAAATGTATATTCAGATCAAGACTTTTATGGGTTCTCTCTCTGTCCTTATCATATTTAGTGGATCAAAAAAGTAAGGTTTTAAAATATATAAATAAAATAATTGCAAGGTACGGGGAAATATATGACTATACATTCTAAATATAGAAGACACATATTAAAGTGTCCCTAAACTAGCCACAGAAGGGACTATATATTAGCTGTAAATAGTGCAAAGAAAATCTCAACAAATTCTAAAATGTAGAAACAGAACAGACAATATTTTCTGTTCACAATCCTATCAAATGACAAAAATACAAAGAAAACTTTAAAATTCTATCACTTAGAAACTTTTAAACTTTATTTAACAGATCTTGGAACAAAAAGATGTGAAAACCAAACTTAATGTGTACTGAGAAAATAAGGATAATGAAAACATTGCATATCAGAACCTATGGAATGCAGCTAATGAAAAATTCAGAGCAAAAATCATAGCTGTAAGTAAACATATTTATAAAACAAGGAATAAAAAACTCTCAAGAAACATGAGTAACAATAATATGAACCTAAAGGAAGCAGAAGGGAAGGAATTAACATTTATTTGTGAATTTTTGAAACCAGATATTTAGGAATTAGGAAAAAGATAAATGTTTAAATGAATATATCTAAAAGCTTAGTCTCTGAAAAACAAAAAACAATAAAATAAGTAACCATCTTACCTTAACCAAATGAGGGGAGGGAGAAAGAGAAAGCACAGATACACAAAATAAAACAAGAGACAGGGAAAATAATGATAGATAGAGAAGACATTAAAAGATTTTGCTGAAATCTAGGTAAAGAAATCTGAAAACTTGAATTGAAACAGACAACCATTATGAAGAGTTGAATATGAAAACATGAGTTAATCAAGTGACCAAGACAAGAGAGAACATCTAAAGAGAAGAAATAGTGAAAGTTGTCAAAGATCCACCACCAAGAAGTGTGAAAGATAGATGGCTGAATTCTGCCCAACCTCTAAGAAGCAGTTAATTACCACTTAGCAGTCAGATCCAAACCTGAGAAAGAATAGAACAAATAAAAAAAGAAAACTACTGACCAATCTCATTTATGAATATGGAGGAAGAAAATAATAAGCATAAATGAACAGAATTCAGCAACACACTAAAAATAATACACGCCAACCAAGTAGGGTTTAAATGCAAAGATGTTTTAATGCTAAAAAACCTACTGATATGACTCACTATAGCAGGGGCATAAAACAGGAAAATCATACAATCATCTCCATAGCTGCCTCTAAATATCTATAACATAACTCAAAATACATTATGGCAAATGGAGAAAGACTAAACAAATTCCAATTAAAGTCAGGAACAAGACAAGCATGTCCACTATTGTCACTACTAGTTATCATTATCCTACAGCTAGTAGTCAATTCAATTAGATAAAAGAAAGAACTAAATTGTATAATAGTTGAAAAGAAGGAGGCTCAATTATCATGTTTTCCCCCCAAATAATATGGCAATATATATGGAAAACCTAACAGACTCCACGGAAAAATTATCTTAATTTTATATAATTAAATTAAATAAGTATACATATTATATATAATATTATATAATTTTAATTTATAGAATTAAATCAAATAATTTAATTATTTTAATTATTTTTATTTTTTATTTTAATTATTTTTTTTGAGATGGAGTCTCGCTCTGTCTCCCAGGTTGGAGTGCAGCGGTGTGATCTCAACTCATTGCAACCTCCATCTCCCAGGTTCAAGCGATTCGCCTACTTCAGCCTCCCGAGTAGCTGGTACTACAGGCATGTGCCACCACCCCAGTTAATTTTTGTATATTTAGTAGAGATGGGGGTTTCACCATGTTGACCAGGCTGGTCTTGAACTCCTGACCTCAGGTGATCCACCCCACCTCGGCCTCCCAAAGTGCTGGGATTACAGGCTTGAGCCACTGTGCCTGGCCGGAAAATTATTTTAATTAATAAGATAATTTAAAAAGGTAGCTCTTCCAAACCAATAAACTCCAAAAAGTATCCCTGTATATAAACAATAACTGCCAGAAAGTACTGTGAAGAAATAATTGTGTTCACAATAGCAACTTTAAAAAAGTATACCTAAGCATAAACTTAACAAAATATGCAAAGACATGAAATAAAACTTCAAAACATTACTGAGAAACAGTGAAGACGTGGAAAAACACACTATAGTCTTGGGTAGGAAGACTAAATATCATACAAAAGTTGATTTTTCTCTATATTAATGTATAAATTTAAGGTGATCATAATGAAAATACTAACTTGTTTGCTTTTTATAACTACTCAAGGTGATTTCAAAGTTTACATGGAAAAATAAAATCATTGGATAATAAACAAATAATAAAGCCATATTCATTAAAACCATTTGATATTGCTATATGGAGAATCAGTAATGGTAATAGACCTGAGAGCCTGGAAATTGACCTAGGTATTTTTGGAAATTTTGGTTATTATTTTAAAAAAAGAAAGACATTGGATATCAGTGGGGAAAAGATAAGTTATTCAACAAAAAGTATTGAGTAAATTGGGTAGTAATCTGGAAAAAAATTAAGTTAGCTAACAATGTAAGGATCTCATGCCTTACATTAAATTGCAAGGAATCAAATTTTTAATTTCTAAAAAAGGAAATTATAATCATACTAAAAATATGAGAGAATTTTTAAAATCTACAAGTCAGAAAGACCTTTCTAAAATGTATAGAAGAAAAGGTTTCTGCAAAGCAATAAATACATATCTATATACATAAAACCACATTAAATAAAGCCCAGTCATACTACAAATTGCAGGGAAATTACATTAAAATAAGTCATATTATAAACTGGGGGAAATTACAGTAAAATAAAAATTATAGTAAAATGGCTGTTTTATCTTCTCTATAAGGTGTTCCTACAATAAAAATCAATAACCCGATAGAAAATACACAAATAGGCCTAAACAGTTCACACATAAGGAAACATATATGGCAATTAAACACATTCAAAGACCCTCAATGTTATTCCTAATGAGAAAATGCAAGTCAAAACCACAATCAGATACCATTTTCACCTATCAAATTGGCAAAGATAAAAAGTTTGATATGTATGTGTTGGAGAGAGTGCAGGGAATCAGACAATTATTGGTAGGAATATAAATTTGTACAACTTCTGTGAAGGGTAATGGGAAAATGTAGCAACATTTAAAAATTCACATTTCAATTCTAGGAATTTATCTTACTGATCTTTCTCACGTGTGAGAAATAATTTGTACAGTGACAAAACTTGCAGCATTTGTTTTAATAGGAAAAGGCTGGAAATAGTGTATATACCTGTCAACTGAAAACTAATTATTAAATTATGGTTCATACATTATACTGACACACTAGGTAGCTGTCACAAAGAATATGGCAGCCCTGTATGTATGAACCTGGAATGATCTCCACATTGTGTTATGTGAAAAAAGCAGGCAGCAGAAAATGTATATAGAATGAGTTTGCAGCTGGGCAGGGCAGCTCATGCCTGTAATCCCAGCACTTTGGAAAGCAGGGGCAGGATTACTTGAGGCCTAACATTCAAGACCAGCCTGGGCAACAAAGCAGGTCCCTATCTCTACTAAAAAATAAAATAAAATAAAATAAAAATAAAAATTAGCTGGTGTACTTGTAGTCCCAGCTACTCAGGAGGCTGAGGCTTGAGCTCAGGAGATGGAGTCTGCAGTGAGCCATAATCAGGCAGGCCACTGCACTCCAGCTGGGCAACAGAGAGAGACTCTGTCTCTAAAAAAATGATGATGATGATGATGATGATAATAATAATAATAATAAAAGAACGAGTATGCCTTTTCTCTGGAAGAATGCATAACTAGGTGGTCTGAGGATAGAGTACAGGAAATATTTTACAGTGAACATCCTTTTTATACTTTTTGAAGTGTCATGTGCATTATTCCTTATTCAAAAAATTAATAAGCAAAAGTTCAGGATTACCACCTCAGAGAAACACTTTATTTGGGACAACTGTGAAGAAGTATTTTTAAAAGTATTTTGAACTATCCGAATTAGGAGATCTCTTTACACCTCAAAGGCAAATACAAATAAAGAAAAAGATTAAAATGGTCTTGACGATTTGGTCTAAAGGAGCAGCTGCTGGAGCCATCGAGAGTAGGACTCAGCACTAAGGGTGGGATTTGCTGTGCTGGCCTTGCACACAGACTTCCTGGGACAGCTGAAATCACCACCACAGCCATCCACAAGTTAGAGGCGACTGACCAGGTGCACTAGGAAAATAGGCAAGAGCAGAATAAAATAATTCTCCCCAAACCAGTCATAACCCCTACAGTTTAATTCTTCTGTTATCACACGGTTAACACACAACAAGGAATGGTTTTAAGACATGATGCTCTATTAGGCATGGATAATTTTAAGTTGGTTCCAGCTGTAGCAGACCCTGTCATTTATTAACTGTGAGAACACAAGCATGCTGGTGAGAAGGTGCACATGTCTGAAATAACACGTGGGGGCTCTGTTCCCCTAGCCACAAAATACTGCCTCCCTAGATCCTATGGACAGGTATCTTGGCTCGTCTTTTTTAGATACATGTAATTCATACGGATACTGTCAAAATGAGTGCAGATCAAACACCATCCCTTAAAACTCACTGAGCATCCATGCATGCCAGGAAGGACAACAAAAGGCATAAACCCTGGCTACTCTTTAGCCTTCCTTCTATGTCCGCAGGCAAATTTCTAACCTCAAGACATACACATTTGGGTGAAAACCAGAACAACAGCAACAAAGAGTCGAGCAAAAGCTTTTAAAATGTGGGGAAAGGGAATTTGAAACTCAGGAAAAATGGTTGCTTGCTTGTCTTGTCTTACTGTTTTTTTTTCCTTTTGTCTCCTCTGACTGTGTATTTCCAAATAGCCTGTCTTCAAGCTTGCTAAGCTTCTCTTTTTCTAGGTAGTTGTCTTACCTATTTCTGACGCTACTTTATTTTTTCTCTGAATCCCTGGAGAGAAGCATGACTGAAACAAAAATGTTTCATTGAAACGTTTAAACGAGTGTTAGAATAAACGGAAGCTTTAAGGGACATCGGAGACTTAAAATCGACTCCTATTGTTAAAAGGAAGAAGAAAGTACACTTTTGGTTGTTTTCCTTGGTTCTACCATGTGAGGGGAAAATGTCCCCTCCTCTAATAGGGCGGTAATAACTTACATCAGCCACATAGGAAAGGGGCCAGTTTCATTTTTGACTACACCTTTATTCCCTGGGCAGTCATGGTTGGTGTTTCAATACTGATGTACATGGTTGGGAGGGTGCTCAGTTAAACAGTTCACTGAGAAAAACAATAGTTCACATGTACTGAGCATATTCCCTACACTAGCAATTCTGATTGTCACTTACATAACTATCTCTCATCCCCCAAAACAACTCTTCACAACAGATGTTATCATCCCCATTTCACAGATGAGGAAATGAAGGCTCAAAGACATAAGGTAATCACCCAAGATCAAATAGCTAGGATGTGACAAAATCAGATCCAACCCAAGTGAATTTGATCCCAAGCCTGTGTGCTTTCCACAACTCCCCCAGCCTTCGACAAGCACATCAGTCTCTGCACAGTCCATGCAATGCAGCAAATATGTACTGAGCTTCTTCTATCTGTTAGACACTAAGCTAGCCATGCAACAAAACTATAAACACGAGTAGCAGGTAATCAATAAATGTTTGATGGATAAATAAATCCATAGCTACATGGTTCCTGCCCACAAATGATAGCTTGTAACACTTACTGAAGGTTACTATGTGCCAGGCACTTTTGTAGAAGGCAGAAAAGGAAGGGAAAAAAAGAAGTAATAATAAAGCACAGGGTATACAAGAAAACACAAAATAAGTTCCAATATATGAGTAATCATAATAACCGTAAGCAGGTTATTACATTTATTTTGGGAGGTGGAGGCAGACAGATCGCTTGCCTAGGAGTTCGAGACCAGCCTGGCCAACATGGCAAAACCCCATCTCTACTAAAAATACAAAAATTAGCTGGGTGTCATGGCACGCGCCTGTAGTCCCAGCTACCTGGGAGGCTAAGGCAGGAGGATCACCTGTGCCTGGGTGGTCGAGGCTGCAGTGAGCTGGGATAGCACCACTGGACTCCAGTCTGGGTGACAGAGCGAAACCCTGTCTCAAAAAAAAAAAAAATTCTCTTACCAAAAAGGCCACATATTGTAAGATTCCGTTTATAGCAAATATCTATAGAAATAAAAAATAGATTAGTGGTTGTCAAGGATTGAGGGGAGGGAGATGAGAAGCGACTATTAACGGGTTTCTTCTTGGGGTGATGAAAATGTCTGGAATTAAATAATGGCGATGGTTGCACAACTGTGAAAATTCTAAAAACCACTGAAATTGTGTATTTTAAAAAGCTGAATCTTATGGTATGTGAATTATAGCTCAATAAAACTGATTTTTAAGAAAAAAACTGCTGTAGCATTATTAATATCAGGAAAAAAGAATCCAGGGCAAAAAATATGAATAGAAATATAAAATAGTTTGGAAGCATACATGAAAATTTACTTAATTGTGCCATAAGTTACGGACAAGTAAAGTGTCAGAAAGAAATGTCTGAGCCAGGTCTTCCATGACTGAAGCAGGGGCGGGTATGAGCAGAGTCCTGCCCTGTGTGAGTGCATGGGTGCTGTGGCTTGGGGGTTGTGGCAGGAAGCTCACAATGCCAGGCTGTCAAATGCTGGGCTTTTGGACCTTATTTTGTAGGTTTTTAAAGAGAGGAAAGATGTTGTTAGACATCTGTGTTCTAAAAACAGCACCGTGGGGCTATGTGTGGAAACTGAATTGTAGGGAGAGGAAGGAGCAAACAGGTATATCAATTTGGGGACCCACATGAGTAAGGATGGGTATTTATTTAAATCAGAGTAACGGCAATGGGATAGAGCCAAGGAGGAAATCAGATTGGATGTCTGGGATGGGGAAGAAGAAAGAGCCTGGGGTGACCCCTTGGGTCCTTGGTGGTCAAGACAATGTAGTGTTAAACGAGACGGAGGAGAGAGTGGGAAGCGGTGGTCAATGAGCAGAGAGAATAGATTTTAATTCGAAACATTTTGAGTTTGAGGTGCTTTTGGCAAATGGAAATTCAGATCTGAAATTTAGAGAAGAAGCAAGGCTGACAATAGCGATTTAGGAATCTTTACACAGGCAGTTGGGTGCATTTCATTCTCTAACACTAATTCCATGAAGATCTAGAAGAGTACAACATTTAAAATTACTGAGTCACCTTCTGTAATTTCTAATTAAGTCAGACACATGGCTAATAATGGAAGTCAGTCAGGTGGCTGATACTGCTAGCTGCCTACTCAATAACCATTCCCTCTTCTTCCTCACAGCAGAAGCCCTAATTTGAGTGATGGGGTTGCAATTTACCCAGCTAAAAATATTTGATTTATCAGACTCTAATATATTTAGAACAACCCTGTGACACTGTTCTGGCCAATGAGATGCAGGTGGAAGTCCTAGGGAGTGCATCACTTCCTGAATAAAAAGGTAAAACCTCACTAATAGAAGGACATTAATTCCTTTATCTATTTGCACCTTCCTTGTCTTCTTGCCTAGACTGCAGATGGAAGCCTAGAGATACTGCAGCCATATCGTCATCATGAGGCAACCAGATTTAGGATGAAGTCCTATAGGCTAAGTGTGGTGAAGCAGGAAGATGGATGGATACTGGTCTCAGATAGCTCCTGCACAGGCCCCAGACTGCCTTTCTTAGGAGTCTAATTCCACAAGACAAATAAACAAATCCATGTAAGCCAGATTTGGGTGTGTGCACTGGTTTGGTTTTGTTTACTTTGGCAGCTGCTACAATTCACATCTGGATATATATACGGGAGTGGGGAGCTTAAAAGACATGAGCACTATTATTTCAATAATAAAAAATGTTTAAAAAATAAAATATTTATGCTTTCTAGCACTGGATTTTTCTTTTTCCAAGTAGGTAATAAAAATTTTCAGCTAAAGGGAAATTATGGACTGCTGGTATTAAGAAAATTCATAAATACATAATCATCTGTTAATGAGCACATGTGCACAATGACACCCTTTGGACTTTTCCTGGATGAGGTAAACTGATTTGGCTCATTTAAATGGCTTCAGCCAGAGCCAAAGTTCTTAAAGATGAGACTGTTCACTACCTGACTCTCATAAGAATTACAATCTTTGGAAGGAAGGCTCTGGCTCTTCCAGGCACTCAGTAAGCATAGCTAAGAATACAGAATGTCCCTGAACCACAGCATTTTGGCCCTGCAAAGAGCTTTTACTGAGCTGTGTGGGATTATGTCTCCGGAACTGCAGTCAATAAAGTTCTAGGAAACACTTACTTTTGCCTTCTACCACAGCACTTCCATTGTCTTTATGGCAGGGATGATGTTGAAGACTTAGGTCTCTATGGCAACAGTGAGTGCATTGAACACCTGCCAGGAGAAAGTTATCCCAGGTTTCAGGACCAGGAAAAGCTGTGTAACCAATCTGTTTTTATCTCATGGTCACTGTGGATCAGGTAACTATTTATGTTTTCTTTTTTGTTTTGGCTGCTGGGAAGCTCTGGCAAATTTTTACTCCCACCTCTGGAAACTATCCACAACTTATGATCTATTCTGGTTCTGTAAATTACCTCTGATTTTATCTCACTTTCTAACCCGTGTGTTCCCTTTACCTCAGTTTCATTATCTATTAATTTTATGTTGTTTGCTATTTTTGTAAACTCCTTGAACACTTTATGGAACACGGAACATTTAAGGCAAACAATTTTTAAAAGCATCAGATCATCATCATCATCATCATCATCATCATCATCATCATAATGGCTAATTGACTGAACATTGCTATGAATGAGGCACTGTCCTAAGTACCAAATCTATCTTATGGCTGGGCAAGGCAGATCATGTCTGTAATCCCAGCACTTTGGGAGGCTGAGGCAGGAGGATCGCTTAAATCCAGGAGTTTGAGACCAGCCTGGGCAGTATAGTCAGATCCTGTCTCTACAAAAAATAAAAAAAAATTAGCCGGGCATGGTGGCACGTGCCTGTAGTTCCAATTCCTCAGGAGGCTGAGGTGGGAGGATCACTTGAGTGTGGGAGTTGGAGGCAGTAGTGAGCTGTGATCAAACCACTGCACTCCAGCTTGGGCAACAGAGCAAGACCCTATCAAAAAACAAAAAAACAGAATAAATCTATCTTATTAGCCTTAAACATGAGATAAATACTATTATTATCCTCATTTTCTAGATGAGAAAACCAAAACACAGAGAGGTTAAGTAATTTGTCCAAGATCATACAGCAAATAAATGATGCATGTAAGATTCATGCAAAATAGTCCAGGGATTCTGACTTACATAAGTTATACAAAAGAATAAATAATTTCTTAAAGAAGCAGAGGCTTTTTGATTTTATAGGCTGAGCCCTAAAGGAGATAACTATTGGAAATCTCATCCATACAGTTATGCCTGATGGAGCCATATTAACAAAAGGGAATGAGACAGTGAAAGTTAAAACAACAGATAAAACACAACAAATAATTGTCTTTTGATCTTGGAACATACTTCCAGATATTCATTCATTCATTCATTCATTCATTCATTCACTCACACAATTACTGATTCCTCCACTTACACAGTCCTTTAATTCATTCAACAACCTTTAGGGAGTACCCCTCACTTGCCAGGCATGGGGCAGGTGCTATGCTGGGAATGGAGATGAACACAGTTCCTGCCTTCCAGGAGCTCAGGTGCAATAAGAGAGAGTCAGGTAGGTTGGGGACACCTTGGGGTTATGAGTGGGTTGATAAAAGACCACAGCAGGGTGCAACATGATCATTCTGAGAGTAAGTCAGCCTTCGGCTTCTGTCTCCCCTTTGATAAAGGAGTATGAAGAATCAGCTCCCTATAGGGCTGCTGTAGTGATGTCCTACATATAAAGCTCTTAGCCTAGCCCCGGGCAGGGCTAGCTAGTCATTAGCTCTTAAGGAACAGTGGATGGCAACCTGGGCACCTTGCTCAGACACACATGTGCACTCACACAGACACACGTCCTCAGAAACTCAAGCACTGAGACTGGCTACTGCCTCCTCCTAGCTAACCAAGAGCTGACTCTCACAGTCCATGTGCAGGCCTGGCACTCTCTCCTGGATGCCACCATCCTAGATGCGGTGTTAGCTGGAAAACACCACCCACATAGGATGAACATTCCTTCAAGATGCACTTGAAAATCTTCCTCCACAGTGCCTGGCCCACATAATGCCCGCTGGGCATTTTTGTCACGTTTACTCTGCTTTAGTTTACCTCCTTGGCACTTGAACACCGCAGTTCACTACACAATTCCCCTGCTGCATAATGGTCGGGTTCCCTCTTGAACAGGTCTAAGGAAAGACGCAGCTAGAATTGCAAAAGGGGAGTTTCAAGTGCCCTACTGGCTGAAGCCAGTGAGAAAACACGTGTGCTGCCCCTGCCCAGCATCGGCTGGGGAAAGGCATGCCTCTTCGGTTTTGTACAGTGGCTAAATAAAAAGCAATTAATCACTTTCTCACCAACCCTAACTCATATTTAATAGTTCCCCTCGAAGTTTGTTTTGTCATGCTGTCGGCAAAGTCAGTCAAACATTACGATTCTTTTCTAAATATTCCAGCAGCCAGATGGCAGAAGCACCACTGTGACAAGGCAAACTTGCCTAAAGATAACTTTGTGATGCAGAACCATGCTCGATGGCACTGGGCTGAGGGGACTCACCCAGAGCTATTTCTAAATTGCTCCCCTTAACCCACGTTCTTTACACCAAAACTTCCTAAGACAAACATTCAACTCTGCAACTTGAAACTGGTGGTAAAACAAAGACGTTTCTACCTCTTTAAGTTCGGAATATTAGGCAGAAAAATAAAATCACTAGAAGACCACACATCAGGACAAAGTTCTCAGGATTTCTCCGTAGATTTAAGGCTACTGTACCCTAATGTTTCAAATATTTCTGCACCAAAGTTCATATATATTAAATATTTATAACACATTTGCTAGAAAACACATTTCCTTCCTTTTGCTGAGTTATTTGTGTAGGTTTCTTTTTTAAAAACTTCAACATTAATAAACATATTTATAAATTCTAGAATGTAAAAAAGTTGACTGCCATCCTGGTGAAAATTCTATGTTTCCCTCTACTGTTAATCACATTTTGTTTTCTCGGATCTTTCCTAGGTTATATTCTTTATTCTTTGTGTATGTGTTGGAGTGACTGCAAACTCGCAACCTGTACTATATGGTTTCTGAACAATAAGTCTCCTAAAAAGAGCGTTGCCAGGCTAGACCAGCTGGCTTTCCCCTGTTCTTATAACTGTATGTTCTTAGACACACACACACACACACACACACACACACACACTTCCTCCATTCCTTCTGCTGCTGGGTAACTGCAATCTGTGACACAATGTCACACTCACAATTACGTGAAAACAGAGACTCCTAAAGGAACAAAAAGGGGGCAATGGCAGGAAGCCAGCCTACAAGTGTCTGTCACCCTGACCGCTCTGCCCCGATTCAGGTGGCCACAAATTGCCTGTTGAAGGTTGCCTGTCTAGAATTTGAAGTCTGTGTGCCCAGGCTGTTACCCTGAGTAAGTAATTTAACCTCTGTGACCTTTTATTTTCTCATCTGTAAAAAAGGCACAATAACAATATCTCTGTTAAAGAATTGCTGCGAATCACAGGAGGTGATGCACATAAAGGCATCTGCAGTGTATGTTTCATTTCCAGTTACTTCTTAACTTTCTTTTGCCCCTCCTCGCCACTTCTTTTCTGATTTGGTTTTTGTGGTTTTTAAATGTATCTTTGAAATGCATTAGCTGGAAAACTGCAGCAATCTGTGTGTTACCACAATGAGTGGACTTTAGCATCACATTTTTATTTACTTTTTCACTGAGGTAGAATTTACGTTAAGTGCACAAGTCTCAAGGGTATAACTTCAGTAATTCTTAGGTCAAGGTGAGAAGCATTTCTAGCATCCCAGAAGCCTCCCTCATGTCCTGTCCAGGTATTGACCTGGAGTTTATCTCCTTGCAAGGCCCAAAAACAACCTCTCCTCTGACCTCTTTCGTAATGATAAAGTTAAAAAAAATTGAAGGGAGGCAGGAGTCCCAGTGATAACTATTAATGCTGGGCACAAGAAGTGCACTCCCAGTCCTCCCTGTGAAGTGAGAAAAGATTCTGGAAAGGAGGAGGCGGAGGGGCACAAACCTTCTAAATCACACTGGTCATGCCAAACAAGGCCCTCATTTACAGCCAAGGACCCCAGGCACAGAGGCGAAGAGACAGCCTAACTTCCTGCTACAGAGTAACTTTCCTCCCCAATACAGCCAGTTACAAAGCGCCCTGAGTGTCAGGGATTGGCCACACTGTCCCAGGGCGCATGGAACCGCTCTCCTGGCCTTTCCCTGCAGAAACTTCTTTCCAGAGGGAGGCGCACACACGGTCCCCACGCCGCCCCGGCGCCCGCCACGGGCACACCCACGCGGCTGGCACGCCACCCTCCAAAGGCGCTGTTCCTGAGAGCCGGTGCCTGCCTGCCCACGGGGCCCGGGCGGCGCTCCTCCAGGTCCAGGGCGGCCGGGTGCCCGCCCTCCCCGCCACCTTCAGAGAGTGCGTGTCAGGGGCTGGGGGAAATCTGCTCTGCCACCTACCTACCCACCACCTAATCCTCCAAAGGACCCTAAACCCATTTGTGGCCAAATGTACATTGCTGGAGCACAGTCTGACTACTGACCCCAGGGGCTTGGAGATGAGCACGGGAGGGGTGTCCAGAGACCTGCGCTCTGTCCCCATGAGCTGTGTGACCTTGGACAAGTCACTTCACATCTCTGGAGTTGGCTTCCTCACTAGGGGGCTCCTTCTGTATTCCCCAAGCCACCTCCGGCTCTGCAATTTCCTAGCTCTCTTTTACTCCGCCCCAGCCCTTCCCGCGACAGCCCCCTCCCCAGCGAGACCCCAGCCTTTTGTTCCGGGGGCGAAGCGGAGAAGAGAGAGCGTCGCGAAGGACCAGGCCGAGGCGGCCTCGGTGCCAGGGGCTGCTCACCGGGGAGTCCAGTCCGGAGAAGTCACCAAGCAACCCCGTGGTGACCTCGCTCCCCACCCCGCGGTTTGTTTCCGCCCGGCCCGGCCCGGCCCGGCCGGGGCGGCGTGGCAGGGTGCGGGTGGGGGGCGTGAGCGCCGCGCGGCACGTCGACAACCTCCTGGGCCCGGGGCTGCAGCCCGGCGGGGGTTCCCCGGCCCTCCCACGCCCTCAGGATCTCTGTCCCGGGCCGGGCCACTCTGCTCCGGGACCGACCAGGGCGGCGGCCGCCACACCGCCCGTTCCTTCCACCCTCGGGCACCGACCCGCACCCGCGCGGGAAGCCGCTACCTGCAGGTGGCGGAGCCGGGGGCTGGACTGGACTCGAGCTCCGGCCGACGTCTCCGCCGCCGCCGCCTCCGGCTCCGGGCTCCGTCCCGCAGCGCCCGTGCTCCAAGCGGCGCCGCTACCGCCGAGCTGCGCTCGGTGCGCCCGGCTCGCTCCCCGGCCACCGGCTCTGGTGCTGCCGGGACGCGGAGGCGGGGCCGCCGCCCCCACCTGCTCGCAGGCTCCTGCCTGGGAGCCGCCGCCGCCCCGCGGCAGGGACACGGCCCCGGCGGGCGGGGTCGCTCTGGGACCCTGGAGGCGGGTCCCAAGTCGGCGGGCGCGCCTCCCGGGTACAGAGTCCCAAGTCTCAGCTGCGGAGAGACTGAGGCCTAAGGCTGGAATTCCCCAAATAGGAGCTGTTGCGCGGGCGGCACACGGCCCAGCACAGCTACTCTGGGGACACGCCACTCCTTGAATTTATTCCAAAATGTTGAGCCCTTACTAAGCTCCAGGCGGTGTCATAAGCGATGGGGACGAGAGAACAAGATTACCTCTTGCCCTCGTGGAGTTCACAGTCTAGAAAAGGAAAGCGACCAATGGGCGATTACAGCACAACCAAGAGGAGGCAGAGGCCTCCTGAGCCGGCTCCCAGAGGGAGCACCTGATCTAAACTTGGGGTGGGGAGTAGGTCAGGGAGGGCTTCTTGAGGAGCTGACGTCGACGAGAAAAACTGAAGACTGAGTGTGAATTAGCCAGGTGATGAGAGAATTATCCGGGTAGCCTGGGGAGGTAGATTGATGTCCCAGGTAGAGTCGAAGGGAGGAGAAAGCAGACTGAAAACTGAAATAGGGCCGGGCGCGGTGGCTCAAGCCTGGAATCCAAGGACTTTGGGAGGCCGAGGTGGACGGATCACTTGAGGTCAGGAGTTACTAGCCTGGCCAACATGGTGAAGCCCTGTCTCTACCAAAAAATACAAAAGTTAGCCGGGTGTGGTGGCGCTCTCTAGTCCTAGCTACTCGGGAGGCTGAGGTGGAAGGATCTCTTGAACCCAGGAGGCAAAAGTTGCAATGAACCACTGCACTCCAGCCTGGGCGATAGAGTGAGACCCTGTCTCAAAAAACCAAACCAAACCAAACAAAGAAACAAACAAAAACAAACCTGAAATAAGCTTGAAGAACGGAAAACCTTGCTTCTGTCACATTTCTTGTTCAGGCCCTTGGAGGATGCAGAAAGTTTGTGTCCGAGGCTGAATGCATTGCTGTAGGTGCTGAGATCATTGGGTGAGGATTCTGTATTGCCCATGTCCTGGGCATTCCTGCTAGTGGAGGAGCTAAGCGGGTACTCGTGGACTGTTCACTCAGCCTCGGTGTTTGAGTATCTGCCATGAGCCAGACACTCTGCAGGGCCTCAGGGCAAGGTGTCTAACTCTAAAGTTGCTGCTGGTCTGGAATAGAGGAGAAACCTGGCGCTCAGCGCTGTGCTGAGGCTTGTGTGAAATGTTGGGGACCCAGGTGAGGGAGCAGCCAATGCCAGCAGGGAAGATCTCACACGTGGATTGCAGCCTGTATTCAGGTTCAAGTTCTGTAGTGGCTGCTGTCAAAGTATGTTCCCCAAGCAGCCCTTAGCTGATCTCTTAATTACTCATGTTTGTAGCTGGGCAATGTGTCGAAAGCAAGGATTAATAATACACTTTTGATGTCTTTCACTCCAGTGTCGTCAAGAACATGGTTTTCTCTTTTGATTTAGGTGACGAAAGGTCTATGTGTAGTGAGTGGAAGCTGATGAGGCACTTGCTTTCCACCTGTTTGTCCTGAGTTCCTCTTGCCCTTTCCTCCTTTAGAATCATAATAGATGACCACAGGTATGGAACCTGAAGAACAGTTCTCCAACATAAAATTCATAAGCCCTCTTACATGGGTGATTGTTACTAAAACAAAAACAAAACCCAAAACCCCAAAACATGACCCAGCCACTCTCCTTCTCTGGACCTCCAGTGCTAAAGCTCACTAAATACATAACCACTAGTATTCTAATTCAAAAAGGAAGAAAAGTCAAACTATTAGAGAAGACATTGCCATGGGCCTAGAGAGTTCCCATCAGATCTCCTGAGCAGCCCAAGCATGAGCCAGTTGGATGGAAAGCCTGTTATTTATCTCAAGAGATGCTGGATTGGATCAAAGAATTTGTTTTTTAAAATGCCTGGTTGTAGGGATGGGGAGGTGGTGAGTGAGGAATCAATTTGGACATTTGGGGCTGAAAGCTTCAAGAGGCATTCCATTCAGGTGATCAGTGTTTTCTATCCATGTGAAGTAACAATACCATTAGCATCTTGTTCCTACGGACATTAGGGAGGGATTCATTTCCACCTAGCTCCACTAAGACAAATTGACTTCAAGAAGGCACTAGCTCTTCCTAGTAGATGGTACTTGTTCAGTGGCAGACACTGTGAATTGTCTTCCCAATTATCAGTCTATTCTCCACTTCTTCCTTAGTGACAGAACCCAGGATTATGATTGATCCAAGACGACCATGACAATCCCCTTCCTGATTTCCCAGTCTTTCTTACAGCTAAGGAAGTCATTGACCCAGTTCTAGCCAATGAGTTGAAAGAAGGGTCTGGTGGGGGAGCCTCTGAAAAATTTTTTCTGGTTCTGTCTTTCCTTTTCCCTCTTTTCTTTTTTCTTTTTTTTTTTTTAGACAGAGTTTTGCTCTTGCTGCCCAGGCTGGAGTACAATGGCACCATCTTGGCCCGCTGCAACCTCCGCCTACGGGGTTCAAGAGATTCTCCTGCCTCAGCCTCCTGAGTAGCTGGGATTACAGGCGCTTGCCACCATGCCCAGGTAATTTTTGTATTTTTAGTAGAGGCGGGGTTTCACCATGTTGGCCAGGCTGGTCTCGAACTCCTGACCTCAGGTGATCTGCCCACCTTGGCTTCCCAAAGTGTTGGGATTATAGGCGTGAGCCACCGCGCCCAGCCCATTTCCCACTTTCTTTATGATTTGAATGCAAATGAAATGCCTAGTAATGCTACAACCAGATTGCAATCAAGAGCCAAAGACTGTGAGGCCAAAAGGTCAATATAATTGGGACAACACACTGGGAAATAGAGTCAGTGTGGTATCACTGCGCACTTGAGCCAAAGTGTGCAACTGTCCACCTCTGGATGGACTATATCCTATGTGAGAAAAATAACCCATGTTTGTTTCAGCCTCTGAGAATTCGTTTTCTAATTTTGCAGCCAAATGTATTCCTAACTTATACTATGACCTGGTAAAGAGCAAAAACCTCCTCTTTTCTTCTCTTCACTCACCAAGTGTCTGCAATAGCTCACCTTTCACACCTTCCACTTGCAAACATATATTTATATCTGTTCTGTAACTTCTTGAGCTCTTCAGGAGAAAGGCACTCCAGAAATATTAAGTGTTTTGTACACATGTGCTCACTTCAATCTCTCAAATATGTACAGATCAGCTATTTTCTGGTGATACTGCACTGGTGCTAGGGGTGCAAAGATGAATTCACAGCCCTGCCCCCCAGGAAGCCAACAGCTTAGTAGAGAACACAGCTTGTGAAGAGAATATTGCAATTTTGGGTAGGAGAGGAGCTTGTGCTGTAGAGAGAGCTGATACAGGAGAAGAAATGATGAACTATCTGTAGAAAAGGAGGGAGCCTGCAAGACCTGAGTTGGGCATCCATTAATGAATGGAGTTTCTCCTGTCAGAAAGTGGGGAAGGGAGGGCATTTCAGGGAAAAGAAAGTCTGAAAGAGCTTGGTGGTTTAGGAGCCTCAAATGCTACAGGTCTGGAACCACACTTCAGGTCTTCCTTCCAAACCTGACCCACTCTGTTGCCCATCCCCCAATGCCCCCCACCCCCCGCCATCTAGTTGGACCACCCAGAAATTTTGTAAAGCTACTTTTCCCCCATCAACCCTCCTTGAGGTTGAGCCTGTTGAATCTGTCCAATTTTGCCCATCTGTACCACCAGCTGAGACTAGAGCCCATCATCACCTCTCTCCAGGACTTTCCCAGGAACCTGTTAGCTTTTCCCTCTGTAATCATATGCCACTTCTCTCTTCTAAAGCATTCTCCCCAGTGTGGCCGGGGAGAGCGTCTTGAAACCCAAAGCTGATCTTATCAATTCACATTATCTGTAGTTCAATGAATTCTCATTGCTCTGATGATAAAACCAAGATCCCGAGCTTTGTCTGAAGGCCCTCATGACCTGGCCTGACCCACTCTCCAACGCACCTTTCTCAGTCCTCCCCTCCATCTCTGTCCTCCAGCCATGTTGCCCTGCTTTCAGATCCTTTGACAGCAATATTCCTTCGTGTCACAGGCTTTTTGAATGTGCTCTTCCCTCTTTGTGAAGAAGACCCCAAGTGTCAACTCCTCTCCATCTTTCAGATCTCAACTAAACCTTGCCACAACTTATCTGAATCTCAGCTAGGTCACCCTCTTCTATAAGCTCTCAAAACCTCATGTACCTTTCTTTTGTGCATTTATTACAGTTGTATGATGACAATATCTGTTTAATGATGTAACATTTGTCCTCCAGGCTAGACTGTGGTATTCATGACCTCAGGAACCATCTCTGTCACCTTTGTATCCTTATCTCACAGCACAGAGGCTAGCACATAGTAGGTACTCAATACACATTTGTTGAGTTCTGAAAGAAATGAATAAATTAGGGTTGGGGACTGGAGCTACATATCTGAGGGTTTGTAACGTTTCTCAAAAAAAGTTTATATCAACTTTACTAAGGGATAATGTCATACAATAAAACGCACTCCTTTTAAGTGAACAGTTTAATGAATGCTGACAAATGTTTACTCTGATATAACCACCACCTTTATCAAGGTATAGACTATTCCATCTCCAAGAAAGTTATCTTATCCCCCTTTGCAGTCAGTCCCTATGCCCAGCCCCATGCAACTGAAATGAGAGAGCTCCCTGACCCCCTTGTGGGATGTGAGGCAGGGGTGTGGCTCATTTGTTTGGCCACTGCACACTCAAACTTCTTATGGGATGGGGAGCAGATGGGCAGGTGCAGGAGCCAGGGCAAGTGCTTTTGGGCTCTGGGCCCATAGTAGCATCTAGGGGTGGATGCCTGTGACTCCTAAAGCCCCAGTGGGCATATTACAGTGCTCTTTTAGCTCTGCTGTCTGCAGATGGCCTAAGTGTTAACCAGCTCAGTACCCTCTTGGTACCCAGGTTTTTGCCCAGCATCCAGGAAGAATCAGGTCACATGGACAAATTGAGGGACAGTAAATGTGGGGGATTTTATTGCTGGATGGGAGTGGCTCTTGGTGGGATGGATGGAGCTGGAAAGGGAATGGAGTGTGAAGATGATCAACCATGGAGTTTGGCCGTCCTGCAGCCGATCTCCTCTCCGACCGTCCCCAGCTGAACTCCTCTCGATGGTCAGACCCTCCTCTTATCTCCTTTGCTGCTCTGCTCTGCCGCTCTTTTGCTCCTCTGCTCTTTTGCTCATGGGGTTTGGGGTTTATATGGGTACAGGATAGAATGATGTGGCAGGCCAGAAGGCAACATTTGGGCACAAAACCAGGAATGTCTATTCCCATTTAGGGCCGCAGGTTTCCAGGCTTGAGGGTGGGGCCTTTGCTGGGGAACTGCCCTCTTTTATCCAGTACCTCCCTGCCTCCTGTCAGTATCACAACCACGGAGCTATTACTGTGGATTAGTTTTGTCTTTTCTGGAGCTTTGTGTACTAGAATCATACATGAAGAACTATTTTGTCCTGACTTCTTTCACTCAGCCTATGTGATTCACCCATGAGTTATGTGTTATATGTAGTTTATTCCTTTTTACTGCTGATTGGTATTTCATTGTATGGATATGCCAGTATTTGTTTAATCCATTTACCTTTTGGTGGACACTTAGTTTGTTTCTAGTTTTTTTTGATATTACAAATGAAGGTGCTTTGAATATTTGTGTACAAGTCCTTTTGCAGATAAATGCTTTTATTTCTCCATGGTAAATACTTAGGAATATAGTTTTAAGAATCATTAACATTTAAAACAAAGATAAAACCTTAGAACCACACTGAGATACTACTTCACACCCACTAAGATGGCCATAATTTTTGAAAGTGTTGGCAAGAATGTGGAGAAGTTGGAATCCTCATACATTACTGGGGAGAATATAAAATGGTACAGCTGCTGTGGAAAATAGTTTGGCAGTTCCTCAAAAAGTTAAACATAGAACTTCCATAGGACCCAGAAATTCCACTCCTAGGCATGTACCCAAAAGATTTGAACACAGGAATTTAAATAAAAACTTGTATATGAATGTTCATAGTAACACTACTCGTAATAGCCAAAAGATGAACACAATCCAAATTTCCATCAACAGGTGACTGGATAAACAAAATGGGATATATCCATACAATGGAATATTATTCAGCAATGAAAAAAATGAAGTACTGATACATGCCACAGCATGGATGAACCTTGAAAATATGCTAACTGAAAGAAACAGACACAAAAGACCACATATTATGTAATTCTATGTATATGAAATATACAGAATAGGGAAATTCATAGAGACAGAAAGCAGATTGGTGGTTGCCAGGGGTTGGGGAAAGAAAAGTGGGGAGGGATTGCTTAATGGCTACAGGATTTCTATTGAGGGGGATAAGAATGTTCTGGAACTAGGTAATGGCTATATTTGCACAAAGTTGTGAATGTATGCAATGCCACTGAACTGTACAGTTAAACATGGTTTAAAGATTAAATTTGAGACCAGGTGCTGTGGCTCATGTCTGTAATCCAAGCACCTGAGGAGACCAAAGAAGGAAGATTTCTTGAGGCCAGGGGTTCAAGACCAGCCTGGGCAACATACCGAGACCCATTCTCTACAAAAGAAAATTAGTCAGGCATAGTGGCGTGTGCCTGCAGTCCCAGCTACTCAGGAGACTGAGGTGGAAGGATCGTTTGAACGGAGGCATTTGAGGCTGCAGTGAGCTATGACGGCACAGCTGTACTCCAGCTCGGGCAACAGAGCAAGACTTCATCTTTCAAAAAATAATAGTTAGGCTGGGCGTGGCAGCTAACGCCTGTTAATCCCAGCACTTTGGGAGGCCAAGGCAGCAGGATTGCTTGAGCCTGGGAGTTTGAGACCAGCCTGGACAATATAGTGAGATCTTGTCTCTACAAATTTTTTTTTTTTGATTAGCCAAGTGTGATACAAGTGTGTATAGCAGCATGCCTGTAGTCCCAAGTGCTTTGAAGGCTGAGGTGGGAGGATTGTTTGAGCCTGGAAAGTGGAGGTTGCAGTGAGCTGAGATCACACCACTGCACTCCAGGCTGGGTGACAGAGCAAGACCTTGTCTCAAAAATAAATACATAAATAAATTTTATGTTATGTATATTTTACCACAATAATTCTAAAAGATAAAGCCTTAGAGGGGTGTGAGAGGCTGGGGCAGTGTTTCCCACCCTCTGTAAAAGCTATTCCTTCATGCACTACAACTGAGGGTGGGCATGTCTGTCAGCTCAAATGTAGCCCTGAGCCTTCTGTGCAAGTCTCTGTGCAGAGAGGAAGCTCCATCTTGCCATGAGGAAAAGTTAAGAGGCATGGCACTCCATCACTTAACATCAGGCCAGGGCCGTGCAGATTCCTGGGTTGAGAAACTTGACTTCACAAGAAGAGTACATAAAAGAGAGCAGGAAGTTCTATTCAAACACCCACACTGTGCCAAAAGGCAACCAGGGTGGCGATAGTTCAATATAGCTGTGGATGCATTTTAATCCCATCAGGCTGCCTCCAAAATTTCTCCTGCTCCAAAATGTGTTGCAAACACAAAAGGCTGAGATCTACTTTCTTCATTTTTTGGAGTGAGAAGAGAGGATAGTCAAGGCGTGTGGAGAATACAGGGCTTTACTGAACAGGCAGAGAAAGAGGAAACAATCCACAGGGCAGGTGGGAGAGAGGGGCAAGAGAGAGAGGAAAGAGCCCAGGAGAGTGAGGACACAGAAACCAAGGGGAGAGAAGACATGGCTGGTAGTGTCATGCTACACGGAAGTCACATTCAGCGGCCAAAACACGTGACAAAGGGAAGTCATCAGTGACCTTGGTATTTGCAAGGTCAGTGCAGTAGGCCACTCAGAAGGCTGATCTTACTGGGCTGAGATATGGGAAGTACCTGAGGAAGTAGAAACCACACTTCGAGTGTATTTTTCAAAAACCTTGACCTAGAAGAGAAACAGAGAGACAGGGCCATGTCTAGAAGAGGAGCAAGAATCTAGAGAAAGTCGAGACTCTAACATGTTGTAGGGTAAGAAAAAAAGATCCAAGACAGAAAAAAGTTTCAAGATTTAGGAAAGCAAGAGAATTGTAAATGGAGCAAGGCATTCTCTGAAATTCCTTCTTAAACCTGTTCTTTGAGAAACTGAGAAGAGCTTTGCTAAAGAATATTTTACAATATTTTTAAGACCTT
This sequence comes from Homo sapiens, assembly GCF_000001405.40. Classification (NCBI taxonomy): domain Eukaryota; kingdom Metazoa; phylum Chordata; class Mammalia; order Primates; family Hominidae; genus Homo; species Homo sapiens. The sequence continues at coordinate 29,798,243 of NC_000007.14, read as the reverse complement.
TGATCCTTCCAAGTAAATAACATAAAGTAGTATAGAAAGCCTGGATCTTGGAGACAAAAGACATAGATCCAAGCTGGTTTGTCTATATCCACATTGCCAACTGGCTGTGTGATTTTCATCTTTCAGTAGTTTGTTAGATCCTTAAATCTTAGTTGTTTGAGGTGCAAGGCAGGTGCAGTCATTTCTGCTGTGCCTCAAAATCACTATCAGAATACCTAGAGGTGAATTCTATGAAATTCTTTAAAGTGCAAACACTGCATTTTACTATGAAGGGCCACAGAAATAAAAGAAACTACCTGTTTTACCGTATCGTATTTTTAATTAATCTGCACTCCAAAAACACCTACTGAAAAATAATTATTATTTAAAATAAGGACTGTAACTGCCAACTATTCTCACCTTGCAACCTCCAGCCTGTTATTTCGGAGTACTTCCCTTTGTCTACACAAGGGCCACCTTTTTGCACACTGTGAATACAAAGGACTGTCACTGCAATGTAGGAACAAGGGGTGGTGCGCCTCCTGAGGCCACTCCCTACTTCTCTCCAAGCCTGTTGCACTGCTAAGATTGCTTTTCTTCACCAGTCTTCTCTTGTCTCTTCTTTGCCAGTATGGTCCATTATTCACAAGGCAAACTCTGCTCTCAGCTTCGTGGTGGAAATGGCCATTTGGTTTACAGTAATTGACAGTTTTCTAAGGGCTTTCCCCTCCATTGTCATAACGATCATCATCACAAGTGGAGGCCTCAGTCACTCTATTTGAGATGATGAAATGGGGGCTTAGAAGTGAATGGGCTGACAACAGTCCCAGGGCTGGTGAGGAGCAGAGCTGTGAATGGAGATGAATCCTACTGTCTTGCCACCATGCCACAGGATGGTCATCTCACTGCCAGCACAGGGCTTGTTGCAAGGCACCTTTATTGAATGTGTGACTGGACAAATGACTCATGAACATTTCAGCTTAGTCGTGCCCCCTGCACCCTCCATCCTGGTAAGAGCTATCCTGTCCTAATGGAAGCTCTTTTTAGAGGATTCTGTTCTCTTTCTGGCTTGTTTGTGGTAATAGCACTGACACTCACTGATTCTCTCAAGTGAGGAACCTGGGTCATCCTAGTCTTCTCCTTGATTTCTACCACCACCATCTAATCCATCACAAAACCATTGACCTTCTGCCTCCCAGACACCTTTCCCTGTTGGCCCCTGGAGCCACTGCTTTAGCTCAGGCCTGGTCTATTGCTGTCATCTGCAACATGATGTTATGGGCTCCAATGCTGTGTTCCCTCCTCCTAACTCTTCTCCACCCTGAAGCCATAATAATCTTTCTAAAGCAAAATTTTAATCATCTAACTCACCTGCTTAGAGTTCCTCAACCACTCTCTTTTGAGCTTAAGATAAAGCCTAAGTAACTTAGTATCATCTACAAAGACCCCCAAGATTGGCTTCATCTCATCTTCTGACTCTGCCACCCCACAACCACACTGTGCTGCTGCTGTCCCAGAGGGCTCGGAGCCCCTCACATTCACCTGACTCTGCCTTCCTCAAAGCCACTTCTTGTCCTGGTATACCTTTTCCCTCCTTATTTCCCGGTGAACATCTTATCCTTCAGTATCAACACTCACCTATTCTGAGAAAGCTTTCTGAACCCTCAAGGAAGACCAGGGCTCCATTTCTCAATATTTAACATCCTCATCCCCTTTGTTCTTAAGCACTTAGAGCATGACATTGTAACTGTCTATTTGTCTATATCCTTAAGGGCAGAAATGGTGCCATTGTCCCAGTACCACCAGCACTGAACAAAATAGGCTTCACATAATAAGTCAGCACTCAATAAATCTTGAATTGATGAATAAGTTAATGACAGAGTATCTAATCCTCTTTTTCTTGCCTGTCCAGGGAAAATTCTGCACCAGAAAGACTACAGCTTAGTGGTGATAAGTCAACAAAAGTGGATGCTTTACTTCTCTCTTGGTGAGAAAGGACTCTAGCTTCAACCTCATGGTGTGAAGTCACAGAGCCCTTTAGAACAGAATGATAGAATAAGAAAGCAAACAGTTTTTGAGCAATCCTGACTTGGCTCTCTTTGTAGCTTTGCTTTTTTTTTTTTTTTTTTTTTAAATAGTGGGGCAAACTTCTGAACAATCATCACAGACATTTCAAATATGAAAACAAAAAGTAGTTCAAGGCCAAGTAGACATGCTTTAAAATTTTTTGCCATTTTGGGCTATCTGTGCTCATACTCCCTAAATAGAGTCACATTGTTTACAGGGATGATCAAGGATAGATTGTTCTCAAAAGTCCTGGAGTTCTGCACATTAGGATAACACGACATGGCATGTGACATGGTGATAAATTGCCACTTACTGGCAACGAGGAATAGTGATGACTTCTGTATCTAGTCAACCAGGTGACATAGCCAGGCCTTGGTCAGTCAATTCTCAAAAAAGAGAGACTCATCTTCCACCCACATCTAGAGGGTAACAAGTTCAAATACAAGATAGCCATGTTTCCCTGTCATTAAAGAGATTATTTCTTTTTATTTTTCAATGCTGGCATTTCTTGACCACAGAAAGGTTGAAGAAAGACATTGTGTCATGTAGAAAAAAAAGAATAGCATGCTTGTCTGATGGCATTGCCTACCAGTTTTCTATAGCTTAGTAAGAATAAAAGACTGGGTCTTGAAAACACTTGAAAAGAGATGATCATAAATCAAAGTACACCTTAATCAGCTTAACGTATTAATCCTTCTTCTTGGCTATTCAAGAGAAATAGTCAGGAAGCACTTAGTGAAAATGGGGGAAGGCATGAGCCTGGAAAAGCTTGCTGACGAATGAAACACCAGCCAGATTATTTTACCAAAGGGCATGTGATCCAGCTCAGAAAAAAAAAATGCATATAATTTTAGTGTGCAACTCCCATATATCTCCACAAAGCCAAAATCTGCATTATAATATAGAAGATGTAAACGGGCAGAAAATATACTTGCAAGTTCCTTAAGGACCATAAAGAACTGCTCATTGTCTTGGAGAGGAAAGGAACTGGAGGGGTGGGGGTGCCAGAGGCGTTTGAACCAGAGCAACTCCATCTTGAATAGGAGCTGGTTAAAGTAAGGCTGAGACCTACTGGGCTGCATTCCCAGATAGTTAGGCATTCTAAGTCACAGGATGAGATAGGAGGTTGGCACAAGATACAGGCCATAGAGCTGGCCCAAACCCACCAGAACCAAGATGGCGACGAGAGTAAACTCTGGTTGTCCTCACTGCTACACTCCCACCAGTGCCATGACAGTTTACGAATGCCATGGCAATGTCAGGAAATTACCCTATATGGTCTAAAAAGGGGAAGCATGAATAATCCACCCATTGTTTAGCATATAATCAAGAAATAACCATAAAAATGGGCAACCAGCAGCCCTTGGGGCTGCTCTGTCTATGGAGTAGCCATTCTTTATTCCTTTACTTTCTTAATAAACTTGCTTTCACTTTACTCTGTGGACTTGCCCTAATTTCTTTCTTGCCTGAGACCCAAGAACCCTCCCTTGGGGTCTGGATTGGGACCGCTTTCTGGTAAAAGGGGGAAGCTACCATCTCAGAGTAATAATAATAATAGCTAATATTTATTAAACATTTTCTACCTGTGCTTACCAGTGCCTATAGGCACTGCTCTAAGCACTTTACTTGTGTCAGTTCACTTCATTCTTACAATAACAATTAATCTTACTTTCTGGCCTCTGCTCTTAGCCACACTATCTCTGAGACCAGAACTTGGTGGGTTCTTCCAGGTGTGGGCAAACAATTGCACTGTGGCAACTCCAGTAACAAGCCCCCTTTCCTTCTTTTGATTTAAATAGAAAACAGAAAAAAGTTTTATTCAAGGTTCCTTTTATTTTGCTTTTAATGCTAAAGGAATATATTGTCCTTGGTTCCCTGTTGAGATAATTTGGAAAATACAGAAAATTACCAAGAATAAAATTACGAATCACTCACAATTCTTCTACAGCACAAATAACCACAGATAATACTTAAATGCATTTCTCTGAAACACATGAACACAGACCCATCTATATGACATATGTATACACCCATGTTCTGCTTTTTTCACTTAACATCATATCATGAGCAAGTTTCCTTGTCATTACACAGTTCAGTGGAAAGAGTGAAGGGACCCAGGAAGCTGAAGGTTTGTTTTATGGTTCACTCCTCCTTTGATGGTTCGACCTGGGAGTGACATTACTTTTGAGGGCACCTTGATTTCAAAATCTAGTGTTTATTTGTTGTCAGATTGAGGGCTACACCCACTTGTGAATGGAAAGTCTGCATCTGTAAAATAAAATGACATTTCACTAGAGGTCAAATCACAAGGAAGCAAAGAGGGGATGGGCACGCAGCTCAGTTATAGCAGAATTGAATTCGTCCTGCTCTTTCTCTTGACTGAGGGACAGCACTGAACCCCAGCTGAGCAGTGGAATGTAGGAGGAAGGCTTGATGTAGCTCTTGTTTTTCTCACCTCTGTTATCTACACTTTAAAGGCCCATTAACTGCCTTTCAGTTGCTATCTAAAGGAGACAGAAGCTTCTTAGGGCTCCTCAATCAACTCCTCTTTCAGAGAAAGAATGAAAGGGAACACCTGGGTACATTGACACATGTAAAATAACAGTGCATACATGCTGTCCTGTCTTTGTCAGCCCAGTAAAATGCTTTTTTGAGTAGCTGGATTTCCTAGTGACAAACTTACACAAGGAGTTTTCAAATAATACTTATCTTGGGAGAAATATTTGTTAGCTGTCTCTTTCCTTGATTCAGTTTGACAGATTCCTTCCCTCTACAATTTATCTCATTAATGCATTTTGCGTTAATTTTTTTTTTTAAATCAACAGTTAAACTAGATTTCTAAGGACCCAGGAATTTAGCAGTCTGGTGCTTGGTAAACCATTCCAGTGGATCTTTTGTTCTAAAGTCTTCAAATTGAATCAGTGAAACATGGACAGAAATACTATGTGTGTGTGTGTGCGTGCGTGTGTGTGGTACCTGCTGCCTTCCTAAGATAAAATGTCATTTCTTATAGGTGCTGAGATTGAGATATATATACCTTGAGCACAGAAACCTTGATTTCTAGAATTCACAGGACTAGTTGATAGAGTTATTGAATCACAGATAAAGATAAGATTAATCCAGATCAATCTATTAATTTATTTCTTCTACTGTTTTATTTCTCTAATTCCAATGAAAGATGCCACTGAAGTAGTTTGGATAATTTAGTGAAGGAATGACAGGATTGTTTTCATTTTTCAAAAATGTATTTTTTATTTTTTATTTTTGAGACAGAGTCTCACTCTCACCCGGGCTGGAGTGCAGTGGTGAGATCACGGCTCACTACAGCCTTGACCTCCTGGGCTCGAGCAATCCTCCTACCTCAGCTTTCCGATTAGCTGGGACTACAGGCTCACCATGTCTGGCTAATTTAAAATATTTTTTTGGTAGAGACAATATATTCCTTTAGTGGACTACATAGCCCAGGCTGGTCTCAAAACTCCTGGGCTCAAGCCATCCTCCAGCCTTGGCCTCCTAAATTATTGGGATTACAGGGATCAGCCACCATTTAAAAACTGATTTTTAAAATATCAAAGATAATGCACCTATTTTAACCATAGTGCTAAAATTCTTATATGAAAAACAGAATTTCCTTGCTTCGGTTTCCCCCTTCCTCTTCTGCTGAGGCAACTTTCATGCGCGTCCGTGTGAAGAGACCACCAAACAGGCTTTGTGTGAGCAACATGGCTGTTTATTTCACCTGGGTGCAGGTGGGCTGAGTCCGAAAAAAGAGTCAGCAAAGGGTGGTAGATTATCATTAGTTCTTATAGGTTTTGGGATAGGCGGTGAAGTTAAGAGCAATGTTTTGCGGGCAGGGCTGGATCTCACAAAGTACATTCTCAAGGGTGGGGAGAATTACAAAGTACATTGATCAGTTAGGGTGGGGCGGAAACAAATCACAATGGTGGAATGTCATCAGTTAAGGCTATTTTTACTTCTTTTGTGGATCTTCAGTTACTTCAGGCCATCTGGATGTATACGTGCAAGTCACAGGGGATGCAATGGCTTGGCTTGGGCTCAGAGGCCTGACATTCCTACCTTCTTTTATTAATAAGAAAAATAAAACAAAATAGTGTTGAAGTGTTGGGGCGGCGAAAATTTTTGGGGGGTGGTATGGAGAGAGAATGGGCGATGTTTCTCAGGGCTGCTTCAAGCAGGATTAGGGGCAGCGTGGGAACCTAGAGTGGGAGAGATTAAGCTGAAGGGAGGTCTTGTGGTAAGGGGTGATATTGTGGGGATGTTAGAAGAAACATTTGTCATATAGAATGATTGGTGATGTTAGAAGAAACATTTGTCATATGGAATGATTGGTGATGGCCTGCATACAGTTTTGGATGAATTGAGAAACTAAACGGAAGATACAAGGTCCGAATAAAAGAAGGAGGAAAATGGGTATTAAAGGACTAAGAATTGGGAGGACCTAGGACATCCAATTAGAGAGTGCCTAAGGGGGTTCAGCATAATTACTTGCTTGGTTGGCAAGTTTTTGGGCTCTATCCTTGAGTTTTTTTATGTTGTCATACACCAAGCCAGATTGATTTAGGTAGAAACAACACTCTTCATTTAAGAATATGCAGAGTCCTCCTTTTTCAGCAGTGAGTAAGTCAAGGCCTCGGCGGTTTTGGAGGACAACTGCAGCTTAAGAGTCAACTTGGGCCTGGAGGACTGATAAAGTTTGTGTTATGTCTGTGATGCTAGCAGAAGTCATTAGACAGGCTACAGAAGGTCATAACAGAGGTTGAAATGCCTGCTATTCCAGTACCGAGAGCAATAGTGGAGGCAGAAAGTCCTAAACCGACCATCAAGGGAATTAGTGGAACAACTCTTCTTTGTCGTGTGGGTGTCATGAGGGGAACAGGGAGCTCTTTGGTCCTATTTGCAAATTGAATTTTGGGGGTAAGGAAGACTACTGTGCATGTGCCTGTCCAATTAGCAGGTAGACACATGTAGGTAGAGGATCCACAGAGGAAGAAGAGACCTTGTGCGAGGCAAAACTGGAGATGTAAAGTAAAAAGATGAGAAGGAGAGCTGAAAGGGGTGTCTTGTACCTAGAGTCCTAGGGATCCAGCTAGGGCGGCAGCTGTCAGAGGTTGTAATGAGGACTGATTGGGGTAACTGCTTAGAGGGGGAGGTTCGATTTTCATGGTGTATGAGAAAACGTTGAGTATCTACGAGCAATCTTTCACTGTTATTTTCGGGGCTGGGTATAAGTAAACAAGAAGAGGGCCTGGGAGGAGAGTCTGATGAGCAAGGGGAAGGTAGCCAAGGATGGAGTGAAATACAGGGTAAGTGTCTTCCTAAGCAATAATTACTGCTAATGTTTTTAAGTTTGTCAGTATTGATAGAGGGCTTGTCTGTAACATGGAGCGGGAAGGCTCCAATTGTTTCAGTGATGTGTGTAGTTGGGCTTCGGAGATGAGGAGTAAATGAACATTGAGAAGGTAAAAGGTTACCTAGGGGAATTCCAGTGGGTCTTTGCCGAGAGATACATAAAGGAGTGGCCACAGGAATAGTAGTTTGTGTTGTGAGAGGTCTGAATATGGGGGGAGTAGAGTTAATATAAGGAGAAAGGTTTTTTAAATAAGTGCGAAGGAGGGCAGCAGCTTGCTGATGTGAAATGTCTGGGGAAGTCTTGCTGGACCTGTCTAGAAAGTAAATGAGTTCTTCAGGAGGGTAAAGGTGAGGGCTGTTAAAGGAAGTTCGGAGGTGTAGGGAGATGGGAGATGTTGCCCAGTCTGCCTGTAAGGCGGGGACAGCTGTGTAGGCACTGGAAGAAAGGGAAATGCAAAGCCAGCAGTTGTTCACTAAGGAGGTATTAGAAGCGGCTAGGAGAGAATGGGTAAGGTTGATAGTGTGGTGGAGATAGCTGGGGAGAGGTAGAGGGTGGCATAAGAATGGGAATGAGAATAAGAGTGAGTATAAAATAAAGAATAGAACTTCATCAGGGTGGAAGTATTGGAGGGTGCCTTGCCAGCAAAGATCATCTATCCACTCTAAGAGGGAGTTAAGAGTGGCAGTTTGGGGATAGCACCAAGAGATATCAGCTGTGATGGCTTGAAGAAACAGTGTAAACCAGTGGTGTAAACAAGAGTAGGGCATTTATAAGTAGTTGAGAATGGAGAATAGGAGTATGACCAGACAGAAGATAGTAGGGATGACTAGTTTTTTGGGACTCGGCCTAAGTGGTGGGGGTGACTTGGTAAAGTCCTGCTGCAAAAAGTAAGGTAAGGACGAGCAGACCTAATAGAATGAAGGGATGTATTAGGCTCATAAGGGTTATTACTGTTCTTCAGAAATACGAGTGAGTTTAAGGGAAGTAGGGGAGAGTACTTGCAACTTCCAGGAGGAAGAGGAGGGATTAGGCTGGCTGTCCTACGGACACAGCTTTATTCTGGAATGGTGAACCTAGTGGGGAGGATCCTGCAGGCAGACGGCAGTCGGGGTACTATAGATGATGAAGTGGGGTCCGGTCCATCGAGGTTGTAGAGTTTGAGGGGTCAGATTCTTAACAAGAACTGATCGTCCAGCTAGGGTGTCTTCATGTGGCTGGGGATCTGGAGTAGGCAAGAGAAGATTAGCAGCCTGTCTAGCCTGCTGGAGGACTGGAAGATAGTCGCCTAGAGGGCTGGTGTCTGGGATGAGGTTGGGGCCAAGCAAGAAAGTGCGTCCATATAAAAGTTCAAATCGACTGTACCCTGTAGCATCTCGAGGACAGGCTCTAATTCTGAGAAGAGCAAGAGGTAAAAGTACTGTCCAATCCTTTTTAAGTTGGAGGCTGAGCTTGGTGAGGTGTACCTTTAAAAGACCATTAGTCCGTTCTACCTTTCCTGAAGATTGAGGATGATAAGGGATATGAAGGTTCCACTGAATACCAAGAGCCTGAGAAACTGCTTGGGTGATTTGACTAGTAAAGGCTGGTCTGTTATCAGACGTATAGAGGTGGGAAGGCTAAACTGAAGAATTATGTCTGACAGAAGGGAAGAAATGACTGCGGTGGCCTTCTCAGACGCTGTAGGAAAGGCCTCTACTTATCTAGTGAAAGTGTCTACTTAGACTAAGAGGTATTTTAGTTATCTGACTCGGGGCATGTTGAGTGAAGCTAATTTGCCAGTCCTGGGTGGGGGCAAATCTTCAAGCTTGATGTGTAGGGAAGGGAGGGGGCCTGAATAATCCCTGAGAAGTAGTAGAATAGCAGATGGAACACTGAGAAGTTATTTCCTTGAGGATAGATTTCCACGATGGAAAGGAAATGAGAGGTTCTAAGAGGCGGGCTAGTGGCTTGTACTATAGCATAGCCTGCCTTTGCTGGTGTGTGGCGATTAGGCCTTGGAACTGCCATCAATAAATCAAGCATGATCAGGGTGAGGAACAGGAAAGAAGGAAATATGGGGAAATGGGGGGAACGTCAGGTGGATCAGAGAGATGCAGCCATGAGGGTCAGGTGTGGTATTTGGAATAATGTGGGAGGCTGGATTGAAGTCTGGGCCAGGAACAATGGTAATTGTGGGACTTAACGAAGAGTGAGTACAGCTGAAGGAGCCAGGGAGCAGAAAGTATATGTGTCAGGTGTGAGTAAGAAAACAGATTTTGGAAATTATGAGAGCTGTAGAGAGTGAGTTGAGCATAGTTTGTGATTTTTAGGGCCTCTAAAAGTATTAAAGCAGTGGCAGCCACTGCCTGCAGACATGAGGGCTAGGCTAAAACAGTAAGGTCAGTTTGTTTGGACAGAAAGGTTACAGGGTGCGGTCCTGGCTCTTGTGTAAGAATTCTGACTGCACTAACCATGGCTAGGAAGGAAAGGAGCTGTTGTTTTGTAAGGGATTGAGGTTTGGGAGATTAATCGGACACGATCAGCAGGGAGAGCACGTGTTTTTATGATAATTATGCCGAGATAGGTAACAGATGAGGATGAAATTTGGGCTTGACTGAAGTAATGGGGGCTGTCTATGAAGCCTTGCAGCAGTACAGCCCAGGTAATTTGCTGAGCCTAATGGGTGTCAGGGTCAGTCTAAGTGAAAGCAAAGAGAGGCTGGGACGAGGGGTGCAGGGGAATAGTGAAAAAAGCATCTTTAAGATCGAGAACGGAATAGTGAGTTGTGGAGGAAGGTATTGAGGACAAAAGAGTGTACGGGTTGGGCACCACAGGATGGATAGGTGAAACAATTTTGTTGATAAGGCGCAGATTCTGAACTAATCTGTAAGACTTGTCCAGTTTTTGGACAGGTAAAATGGGGGAATTGTAAGGAGAGTTTATAGGTTTTAGAAGCCCATGCTGTAGCAGGCGAGTGATAACAGGCTTTAATCCTTTTAAAGCGTGCTGTGGGATGGGATATTGGCGTTGAGCGGGGTAAGGGTGATTAGGTTTTAATGGGATGGTAACGGGCATGTGATCAGTTGCCAGGGAAGGAGTAGAGATGTCCCATACTTGTGGGTTAAGGTGGGGGGGATATGAGAGGAAGACGCGAAGGAGGCTTTGGGTTGGGGAGAAGGGCAGCAATGAGATGTAGCTGTAGTCCAGGAATAGTCAGGGAAGCAGATAATTTGGTTAAAATATCTCGGCCTAATAAGGGAACTGGGCAGGTGGGGATAACTAAAAAGCAGTGCATAAAAGAGTGTTGTCCAAGTTGGCACAAGAGTGGGGGAGTTTTCAGGGGTTTAGAAGCTTGGCCGTCAATACCCACAACAGTTATGGAGGCAAGGGAAACAGGCCCTTGAAAAGTAGGCAACGTGGAGTGCATAGTCCCGGTTTCGATTAAACAGGGGATGGACTTACCCTCCACTGTGAGAGTTACCCAAAGCTCGGTGTCCGTGATGGTCTGTGGAGCTTCAGAGGCGATCGGGCAGCGTCAGTCTTCAGCCGCTAAGCCGAGAAGGAGTCAGTCAGAGAGCCTTGGGCCAGAGTTCCAGGGGCTCTGGGAGTGGCTGCCAGGTGAGTTGAACAGTCCGATTTCCAGTGGGGTCCCGCACAGATGGGACACGGCTTAGGAGGAATCCTGGGCTGCAGGCATTCCTTGGCCTGGTGGTCAGATTTCTGGCACTTGTAGCAAGCTCCTGGGGGAGGAGGTTCTGGAGGAACGCCTGGCCGCTGCAGTTCAGGCCTTTGGAAGTTCTTGTGTGCTGGAGATGTGGCTGGGGTTTGTCTCACAGTGGAGGCAAGGAATTGCAACTTTTTTCTATTATTGTACACCTCGAAGGCGAGGTTAATTAAATCCTGTCGTGGGGTTTGAGGGTCAGAATTTAATTTTTGGAGTTTTATTTAATGTCGGGAGCAGATTGGGTAATAAAATGTATTTTGAGAATAAGACGGCCTTTTGACCTTTTAGGGTCTAGGGCTGTAAAGTGTCTCAGGGTTGCTGCCGAACAAGTCATGAACTGGGCTGGATTTTTATATTTGATGAAAAAGAGCCTAAACGCTATCTGATTTGGGATAAAGAAAAAGGAGTGTTAACCTTGACTATGCCTTTAGCTCCAGCCACCTTTTTAAGAATAAATTGCTGGGCAGGTGGGGCCTCCCACAGAACGAAACTGTAAGCCAGACCTGGTGTGAGGAGGGGAGGTGATAGGATTATAGGGTGGAGGAGCGGAGGCTGAGGAAGAATTGGGACCTAGCTCGGCCTGGCAAGGAGGGGAGAGGTCAGATAGGTCTGTAGAAAAGGAAGATTAGAAAGACTCAGTGACGCTTGGGGTTGGGACTGAGGGGAAGGAAGATTTGGGACGAGTTGCACTGGGCACAGAGACTAGGAAGGGACTGATGTGTAAAAGAATGCCTGGACGTCAGGCACCTCAGACCGTTTGCCTATTTTATGACAAGAATTATTTAGATCTTGCAGGATGGAAAAATTCAAAGTGCCATTTTCTGGCTATTTGGAACTACTGTCGAGTTCGTATTGGGTCAAGCGGCATTGCAGAAGAAAATAAGGCATTTAGGTTTTAGGTCAGGTGTGAGTTGAAGAGGTTTTAAGTTCTTGAGAACACAGGCTAAGGGAGAAGAAGGAGGAATGTAGGAAGGTTGCCCATAGTGAAGGAGGCAAGCCCAGAGAAAAGGGAGCATAGAGACATGGAGGGAAGGGGTTTGGGGGTTCTTACCCTCCAGAAAAGCGGGAAAGGGGTTGGGGCATGGAAATAAGGGATTGGGGTGCAGAGATACAAGGTTGGGGTACTTGCCCCTCCCCCAGAAAAGCAGGACTTGCTGCTAAGGGTGAAGGAGAAGGGGTTGGGGGGTTCTTGCCTCTGCCCCAGAAAATCAGAGAAGGGGTAGAGACATGGAGAGAAGGAGCTGGGGTACTTGCCCCTCCCCCAGAAAAGTGGGACTTGCTGCTAAGGGTGAAGGACCAAGGCAGGCATCCCTGCGTGGTCTGACACCGCTGAAACGTGGGTGAATGATCAGAGAGGCGTCCCTGCAATGGTTAAACACCAAGGGAAGGCTGCCTTCCCAGTCCGTGACCAGCGCCGGAGTTTTGGGTCCACAGATAAAATGTGTCTCCTTTGTCTCTACCAGAAAATGAAAGGAATTGAAATCAAGAGAAGGGAGAGATTGAAGTGTGGCGCCAAGAATGAAAGGAGAAAGAGGTTGAGGGATAGTGAGGGAGGTTGGAGAAGAGAGTAAAAAGAGGCCACTTACCGGATTTGAAATTGGTGAGATGTTTCTTGGGCTGGTCGGTCTGAGGACCTGAGGTCGTAGGTGGATCTTTCTCATGGAGCAAAGAGCAGGAGGACGGGGGATTGATCTCCCAAGGGAGGTCCCCCAATCTGAGTCACGGCACCAAATTTCATGCGCGTCTGTGTGAAGAGACCACCAAACAGGCTTTGTGTGAGCAACATGGCTGTTTATTTCACCTGGGTGCAGGTGGGCTGAGTCCAAAAAGAGAGTCAGCAAAGGGTGGTGGATTATCATTAGTTCTTATAGGTTTTGGGATAGGCGGTGAAGTTAAGAACAATGTTTTGCGGGCAGGGGTGGATCTCACAAAGTACATTCTCAAGGGTGGGGAGAATTACAAAGTACATTGATCAGTTAGGGTGGGGCGGAAACAAATCACAATGGTGGAATGTCATCAGTTAAGGCTATTTTTACTTCTTTTGTGGATCTTCAGTTACTTCAGGCCATCTGGATATATATGTACAGGTCACAGGGGATGCAATGGCTTGGCTTGGGCTCAGAGGCCTGACAGCAACCACTCTCTATTTTTGTTTTTTTTCTTTTGTTGTCTGCATCTATGTGTTTATAAATATGCATAAACTTCTATTTCTCAATCGTTTCTCAAACGTTTTAGACGTTATCATCTAACTTGTATCATGGTAGATGAAGATTTGCTTTTGTAATTGCTTAAATGTTTTTTTTTTATTTTTGAGACAGGATCTTGCTCTGTCACCCAGGTTGGAGTGCAGTGGTGTTATCATAGCTCACCGTAACCTTGAATTCCTGCGCTCAAGCGATCCTCCCACTTCATCTTCCCAAGTAGTTAGGACACACGTGGGTGCACACCACGACAGCTGACTATTTTTTTTTTTTTTTGAGACAGAGTCTCACTCTGTTGCCCAGGCTGGAGTGCAGTGGTGTGATCTTGACTCACTGCAACCTCCGCCTCCTGGGTTCAAGCAATTCTCCTGCTTCAGCCTCCAGAGTAGCTGGGACTACAAGTGCACACCACCACACCCAGGTAATTTTTGTATTTTTAGTAAGATGGGGTTTCATCATATTGGTCAGGCTGGTCTTGAACTCCTGACCTCATGATCTGCCTACCTCGGCCTCCCAAAGTGCTGGGATTACAGGTGTGAGCCACTGTGCCCGGCCAGCTGGCTAATTTTTTTAACTTTTTGTAGAGACGAGGTTTCACTATTTTGCCCAGGCTGGTCTCAAACTCCTGGGCTCAAGAGATCCTCCTGCCCTGGCCCCTCAAAGCATTGTGATTACAGGTGTGAGCCGCTGCTCTCTGGCTTATAATTGGTTCATTTATTTAAATTGGATTAGTTTTATTTGGATCTATTGCTAAATTTTCTTCCACCCCTAGTTTTACAGTGTAAATTTCAAATAATCTATCCATTATTTTCTCCTACTCTAAACTGGGCTGGCTGCTCCCTAGGCCTGCTAAACAGCTGCCATCCTGGTGGAATGGGAAGTTTCCTTATCCCCCTGGCAGAACTTGTGACAGGGCGTGGCTCTCTTCTTTGGTGCCCCCCTGCTCAAACCCCTATGGGGAGCATGCAGACAGGCAGGTCATGGGAAGCATGGTCTCCAACTCCATGGCAGTGTCTAGGGTTGAGTGTTTACAACTCCTGAAGCCCCAGTGGGCATGTGTTAACAGTGTGCTCTTTCAGTTTTGCCGTCCACAGGCAGCTTGTGTTAATCAGCTCAATTAGATCTTCTGTCTTATTGCAAGGACAGAGGGCTTTCTGTGTCCTGGGTTCTTGCCCTAGTGTACTGGAAAGCCCACATGTGGGCTTGGAGGATGGGTACAAGGTTTTATTGACTTTTATTGTCCTTTACTGGTGGAAGTAGCTCTTGGTGAGATGGATGGGGAGGCTAAAAGGGGGATGGAGTGGGAAGGTGGTCTTCCCTGGAATCAGGCCGCCCAGAGCCCAGACTTTCCTCCAACCGCCCCCCACTGAATTCCATGTCGCCTGCCATCGATGGCCTCCAAGTGTCTGCTGGTGCCTGTTGGTGTGCTCTTCTGCTCCTCTGCTCGTCCAGCTGCTTGTGTCTATGCCTGTTACTGTCTTGAGTTTGTATAGACACAGGATGGGGGGCGTGGCAGGTCACAGTAGTCTTCGAAAATGCAACATTTGGGCACAAAAACTGGAGTGCCTGTTCTCACTTAGGTCCGTGGGCACAAACCCGATGGTGGAGTCCTCGCTAGGGACCCTGCCCTTCTCTACCCAGCACTTCCCTGTCTCCCTCCCATATCACTGGGAATTCCTTCATCCTTCCTCCCATGTTGGCTCCACTGTTTCCTAAATTCCACATTCTCTTTTTTCTTAGTTTCTTCTCAAGAACATTTTTCAACAGTTGAGAATCTCTGTAAACTTGATTATTCATTTTTCCAGGTGTAGAACTCATGTTCCTGAGAAATTTTTTTTTTTTTTTTTTTGAGACAGAGTCTCGCTCTGTCCCCCAGGCTGGAGTGCAGTGGTGTAATCTCAGCTCACTGCAAGCTCTGCCTCCTGGGTTCACGCCATTCTCTTGCCTCAGCCTCCCGAGTAGCTGCGACTACAGGCGCCCATCACCACGCCCGGCTAATTTTTTGTATTTTTAGTAGAGACAGGGTTTCACCGTGTTAGCCAGGATGGTCTCGATCTCCTGACCTTGTGATCCACCCTCCTTGGCCTCCCAAAGTGCTGGGATTACAGGTGTGAGCCACAGCACCTGGCCGTTCCTGAGAATTTTAACGGTGCTGTTCCACTATCTTCTAGTTCCCAGGGGTGCTGCTGAGAGTCCCTTGCCATCCTTAGCCCTGATCCACTGTTTGTGAACTTAGCCTGGATCTTCTCTTTGTGTCCAATAATCTGAAATCTTATAAGGATGGGCCTTGGTGGGATCCTTTCTTATTCATTATGCTTGATCCTTAGCAGTCCATCCATCTGGAAATATATTTTCCTTATATGAATTCTGAGTAATTTCCTCCTATCCATTTTCTCTAGTCACTCTTCACAGACTTCCTGTTAACCAGAAATGGGACCCTGTAATAAAGACTGCTATTGCCTACCTAAATATATTTATATCCTCCCTTTCTTCCTTAGTAGGAAAACACTTATTAGTTGGCTGTGGTAAAGTACCCAGATAAAAGAATACATTTCCCAGACTCCTTTGCAGCTAGAGGGAACCAGATTACTGTTCTGGCCAATAAGACATCAGTGGAGGTATTGGTATAGGATTTCTTGGAAAATTGCTTTTGGCACTGACCTGGCCAGCTGTCCCTATGTCCTGCCTGGCTTCCTCTTTCCTGATACTGGAATGCAGACAGGATGGCCAGAGCTCCAGCATACTTTAGACTATGATGTGAATTTGAGGATAGTAGCCACATGCTGAAAAAGGCAGAATAAAAAGATAGAGGCAATCTCTCTGGAGCTGCCATATTAACCTTAGCTTGCCTATCTCCATTTGAGAGAGAATAAATCCTTGTGCATTTAAGCCACTATTATCTTTGGTTTTCTGTTATATGTACCCAAACCTAAGCTTTCTGACACAGACCTCCTAGACTGATACTCTAATTTTAATATTGTTGGCTGAGCGCAGTGGCTTATTCCTGTAATCCCAGCACTTTGGGAGTTTGAGGCGGGAGGATCACTTGAGCCCAGGAGATTGAAACCAGCCTGGGCAACATAGTGAGACCCCATCTCTACAAATAATAAAAAACAATTAGCTGGGCGTGGTGGTACATGCCTGTAACCCCAGCTACTTGGGAGGCTGAGGTGAGAGGATTGCTGAAGCCTGGGAGGTTGAGGCTGCAGTGAGACATGATTGTGCTACTGCAGTCCAGCTTAGGTGACAGGGTGAGACCCTGTCTCAAAAATAAAAATATTAATAGTTTTAACATTGTTTTCTCTGATTTGCTTTTTGGTGAACTTTCTTGGACACTTACTTGACATTTTCTTCTTTGGTTTGGCTTTCAGTTTTATAATTTTCCAGGGTTCTTTGTTTTGTGATTGCTCTTATCTCATAGTTGCAATATCTTCTCTTACCACTGTTTTTTGTTTATGGAGAAGTTTTCTATTTCCAGCACTGTTTCTGGCCTCCAAGTTCCTTTTTGTTATTTGCTTGTATCTCTGTTTTGCATGTTAGAAGCTTTCCCCAAATACCAGGTAATCTTTCATTGCCAATTATATTGAAAAAGTCCATTCTCCGGTTGGAAGCTCCATGTCCCTGGATGAGCCTTGTTGATTGGTAGGCTCCTAGCGGGGATCAGGAAGTTGACAGTCCTTTACTGGATAATCCCCTGATGTCAACATTTGAAGATGTTTTTCGCTAAGTCTATTGAGTTTTTCCAGAGAAGAATCTTCTAACCTCCCATGGGAGTATAGTCAACCTGATTGTGGAAATTCTGGGATCTGAGCAGGAGAGTGATACCTTACTGTTAAGTATGCAGATTTATAATCCTGCAATTTTCAGTCCCTCACTCTCTCCTCACCCCTCCATGGGGCCTGTTGTCCCAGTGCTAAAATTTCTCTGGTTGACTTCTTGGTTACTAAAAAACAAAAAGTAACAAAATTAGATATTGTTTACTGCACTCTCTTGACTTGGCTCTGGAAGTTAGTGAACAACGATTTAACATGAAATTTCTAGAATGCACTTGGTAGGTAGAATGTGGACAGGTTTTCTCTCCCCACCCAAAGATATAAATAAGCCATAAAATAAAGAAATTGGGACAAAGACCCATAGCAAAAGGCATGTGTGCCATCTCTCCATCTGCCATTGGCACATGCCAGATGGGCTGCAGGCAGTTGCCTTCTTTCTTCTTCCATATAACTATAGGCTCAGCAATTCCCTTGCTGCTTCCTTTGTGGGTTAAGAGAGAAGGATGGAGAAACCAAAGTTCTAGTTCTCACATTTCATGTGTGTAATGCTACTGATGTTTGCGATTGTAGTCAGCTTTCCATTATATTTGCCAATGAAAGTAGGTCATGGCATGGTGATACTCAGGTCACAGAAATGTGAACTGAGGAGAAATGACATGATGACAATAGTAAGAATAGCTGGCCAGGCATGGTGGTTCATGCCTGTAATCTTAGCACTTTGGGAGACCAAGACAAGAGGATCATTTGAGGCCAGGAGTTCGAGACCAGCCTGAGCAACTTAGTGAGACCTGTCTGTACAAAAAATAAAATAATTAGCTGGGTGTAATGGCTGTGTGCCTGTAGTCTTGGCTACTTGGGAGGCTAGGGTGGGAGGATTACTTGAGCCCAGGAGTTCAAGGATGCAGTGAGCTATGATTGTGCCTGGGCAACAGAGAGAGACCTTCTGTCTTAAAAAAAAAAAAAAAAAAAAAAAACTAGCTAATTGCTTGATAGCTAATTGCTTGATACTATATACACATTATTTATTTAATTAGTACAGCAATACTATGAAGTATACACTATTATAATTATCCCTGTTTGTCAAGTGACGAAAATGAGGTGCAAAGGGCTTAAGTAACTTGCTCAAAACCATACTGTGGACAGTGGAAGATCTGGGATTTAAAAAAAAGTCTGTCTACACTCGCTGCACAAAGGCTCTGTAATGTGTTTTATTCTCATTCATTTTGTTCTTTTTTAATCACGTGTCAGACATTAAAAATCTGTTGTATGTTTTTCTAGATTTCTTATCCATATGCTAATATTTATATTTTTGAAATTGGGATATAATTTTATCTTAGTTATGTTTTAAAGTAAAATAACGATGTTTTATAATAACTACCCAGAAATTCATTCATTTGTGAAATATCAATAGATCACCCTCTTTGTGCAGGGAACTGTGCTAGTCTCTGGGTAGGATAAACCCCATGGTATTCCTCCTCTCTTAGGCTTTAAATTTAGTAGTTTGCAGACACGCATTCTACCTGTTAAGGAATGAAACCAACTATCAATATACTAGCTTGAAATTTTTTAAAGTGGCTTAAAAGCATCTCTCATTAAAGAATTTTCAAACAAGCTGAAGACCCTATCTGACTTAGCCCATGTAATAGAGAGTCACATGTAGAATCAAATGTCAAAGCCTAAACTTTGGTCTCTGTCTTAATTTGCATTACTGCTATGAACCTTGTTTTTCTCATGTAGAAAATAGGGATAATAAGATAATAGGAAAGCTAGCCTATGTACAGTTACGATAAAGAAATGAGAGAATACACATGAAGCATAAGTGAAATGCATTGCAGAACCATATCGTCTTGGTGTTAATTAGATAATTGAATTAGTGCAATGAGAAAATTCTAAGCAGTTGAGGAGGCAACAGCTAATTAACCAAACAAATAATCCACTTCTCCTTTTTTAAAAAAGCACAAGTACTTGCTTAGGATTGGAACTGCTGGGCTTCCATCTTGATAATATAGTTATGGTTGCTTGGTGGGGTATAGATTTGCAAATAATAATTCAAAAACCATGTAAGCTTGGGTGCTTTAGTAGGTTGAACTCAATTAATCTAAGAATCTTCTCTATTCCTTCCTCACCCATCCTCCAGCATCAAGTTTTACTTGGTTGAGGTAACTGTGGCAAGTAAAAATTTGCAAAGTTGCTAGACTGTTGCTGGGTTTTGAATTCACTGAGGGGTAGGAGGATATGGCATGGAATCCAGTAAATAGTCAGGATTTCTCTTTATCTATCCTTTTAAGGAAACAGGGCAGGAGAAAAGATCTTTGGAGCAATCCAAAATCTTCAGGATTGGCTATTGGGCAGCACTCTGGTGATTTCAGCACAAAGGAATCAGAGACATTATTGCAATTATCCATAAATTGCACTTAATTTAAAGCTTGATGAACAAAAATGATTATGTCAGGTTTTATATAACTCCGAAGACAAGACTGAGGGAGGGAAAAGCAAATCGAAGCACTATTCAAGCTCAGAACATTAACTTATTGCATTCTATCAAGGATTTTTCTCCTTGGAATTACTGGGGAGAAAAACGGGGAGAAAGAGAGAGACAGAAGATGGAAATCTGTATTGTGTCCCTATATGAATTTGAAAAAGAAAATGTTCCCTAGAGACTGAGCTTCAAATGCTGCCCAATTTGACATTTATCAATTCTCCTGGGACATTTACTGCACTATCTGGGAATAAAAAGTGTATTCTAGAATACTTTTATGAACCCCTAAGATCACAAGTACTTGCTGGCACCACGATGTGTAAGGAAACAATAAGTCAAGAAGTCTAACCTTCCTCTTTCTTCCTGGGTATCTTATTATCCTCCCTCTGAACACCTTAGCCAAGGCTCCCAGCTCTGACATCCATTTTTATTTCGCTACTATTGCTGTTTGGCAGCCCTCAGAAGATGGAATCATGGTTCATTTTTGGTTTGAGTAATGACAGGTTTCGCCATTTCTCACCACACATTTCCAGGAGTTTTTAAAGAAATTGTCGCAGGTTAAATAACCATGGGCAGGCACCTTAATGCACTTGTGTTGGCAGCTGCTCTTTTTCCAGCCTAGAAAGTGAACAGTTCTCTCTCTCCCCTTCACAAGAGCATTTGAGAATATCTTCTATATGGTCAGGTAATGTCAAATTTAAAAAAAAAATCCCTAGAAGAGGTGATGAAAGAGAATCCATCTTTGCTCTAAAATTGAAAGTTTTTCAGATTTAATAAACTTAAACAGAAGGTAAAAATCTCATTAGTCCATAAAAAATCTCTTCCTCTTCTCTTTAAGAAGGGATTGAGGTTGCCCAGGGAATGATCCCTAAAGAAGCTTAGTGTCCTGGCCTAAGGAAGCCCCACCCCCACAAAGCAGGCTCTGCATCTGCCTCAAATTTCCACAATATCCTCAGAAAGAATTTTGAAAGCTCTCCCTGGGACTGTTTTACTGGGTGGGACTAGGGAAAACCATAGGTTTTGGAACCTTAAACCCTGAGTTCATGTCCTGGCTGCCACCTACCTGAGGTGGGATCTCAGGCAAGTAACTTAGCCATTGGGTAAGTTTCCTTTGTCCTTATCTGGATTTCTGGGCTTGATGACAGTACTAATACCCAGTCATTTCATAAAGCTGAGTGTGAAGCACAGTAACACTTACGAGGACACTTGCGTATAGCAGGTGCCCAATTAATTGTTGTTACCTCATTTAACTGCCCACTCAACATCTCCACGGGATGTTTCATAAGCATCTCAAACACAGCATGATCTAAAGGGAACTCTTAGTTCCCAAGTCCTACCCCCTTCCACCAGGCCCTCCCCGAAGTGATCCACCTTAGTCCTCTCCATCCTAGCAAATGGAGCTGCCAGCCCACCAGAATGATTTTGACTCCTCTTTCTCTTAACCCCTATAATGAATCAAAATCAAGCCCTGTTAGTTCTGTCTTCACAACTTACCCCTATCCCACCACTTTTTCTGCTGTTTACCACCCTGGTCTGAGCCACCATCTTCTTTTGCCTGGATTACTGCAATAGCCTCCCAACTGGTCTCTCTGCCTCCACTTTTAACCTCTGTACAGTCCATTCTTTACACAGCTGCAGAGTGGTCTTTTTAAAAGGTAAATCAGATCAAGTCACCTGCCTGAGTAAAACCCTCCAATGCCTTCCAAACTTTCCTCCACAGCTCACAAGACCCTACACATTGCTGCCTCTCTGACTTCATGTCTTACTTCCTGGCTTATTATGCCCAACTCACTGCCGTACTTGAGGCTTGCTTGCATCTCAGGGCATTTGCACGTGCTGTTCCCAGCCTGGAACACTCTCTGTCAGATCTTTGTGTGGTTGGTTCATCCTTATTATTCAGGACTCTGCTCAATTATTTCCTTCTCAAAGAAGTTTTTCTGACTTCCAATCTGTAGTCACTAGGGTCATTCTCTAGTTACTATCTGTAATTCTTTTTAATTTTTTCATGGTACTTATCATTATCTGAAATAATAATAAAAAAACCCAAACCACCAAATGCTCCTACTTCACTATCCAAAGGCTCAAATTTTAGCCAAAATAGGGCAAGCTGCCATCTGCCCTTCCCAGCAGTATGGTGGGATAGGAAGAACTGGGGTAGTAGAGTCAGATAGGCCTGGGTTTCATCTTGGTCTACCTTTTCCTTAATCTCTTTGAACTCAGTGCCCTAATCTATAAACAAAGATGCTAAGAGCTACTTCATAGGGCTGTCTGAGGAGCCAAGGAACTAGCATATGCAAAACAGCTCAATCCTTGATGCATGGAAGCTGCTTAATACATATTAGTTACCTCATGATAATAATGGAGGCATCTGCTAGGAATGCTTTTGGCTGCAAGTAACAGAAAACAAAATAGACAGGCTTAAACTATTAGAGGTTAATTTTTCTCACATAACAAGTCCAGAGATGGGATGTTGCCTGCTGATTGAACAGCTCAACAACATTAGGGCTGATGTCTCTGCATTTCTCTTGATTGTTCCCTTTTGGTCACATGGTGATTCCTATAGCTCTAGTATCACATTTGTGTTCCAGGAAGGAAGAATGAGGACAAGAGAAAAGTAAAGGTAAAAGGGCAAGGAGCCAGGACAAGCAGGCTTTTTCCTTCCCATCAAGAAAGCAGCCATTTCCTCTGAGGCTCTAACTGGCAGATTCTGCATACATCTCAGTGGCAGAACTGGGGCACATGCCATCCCTAGACCCATCACAGGTCGGGGGAATGAGATTGCTGTTCCAGGCAGAGATGCATTGCCTGGTATTCCCTGGAGAAAAATAAGGGTGGTGCATTCAGAGGAGGAATAGGGTGGTGGTAGGGGGAAATGAATACTGAGTAGATGATAAATGGTGTCTGTCACAAGGGTAGAGCCCATCTATATAATTCTGGTTAGAACAAAGGAAAACAGGAAACTTCCGCTTGGCACTGCAAGTTCCAAATGTTGATGGAGATGAGCAGAGTTTAGGAGATTTAAAAATTACTGATATATTTCCTAGAAATGGTCTTGCATACAAATCTGTCCTTCCTGCAATTGCTTGAATTAGATACATGGAAGTATTTAGGAGTCTCAATGTCAGGATCTGCTCAGGAAAATAATCCACATGAACATTAATGTACTATGTACTAAATCTAGGAAAAATTGAGATTAGCTTGTATTCATTTATTTTTTAAAATTGATTAATTAATTAATTTTTTTGAGACAGAGTCTCACTCTGTCACCGAGGCTGGAGTGCAGTGGTGTGATCTTGGCTCACTGCAACCTCCACCTCCTGGGTTCAAGTGATTCTTCTGCCTCAGCCTCCCAGGTAGCTGGGATTGCAGGTGCATGCCAACATGCCCAGCTAATTTTCATATTTTTAGTAGAGATGGGATTTCACCATGTTGGCCAGGCTGGTCTCGAACTCCTGACCTCAGGTGATCCACCCACTTTGGCTTCCCAAAGTACTGGGATTACAGTCGTGAGCCACTGCGCCCGGCCAATTAGCCTGTATTTAAAAATTTACTTTCGACCGGGTGCGGTGGCTCACGCCTGTAAATTCTAGCACTTTGGGAGGCCGAGGCAGGTGGATCACGAGGTCAGGAGATCGAGACCATCCTGGCTAACATGGTGAAACCCCATCTCTACTAAAAATACAAAAAATTAGCTGGGCGTGGTGGTGGGCACCTGTAGTCCCAGCTTCTCGGAAGGCTGAGGCAGGAGAATGACATGAACCTGGGAGGTGGAGCTTGCAGTGAGCCGAGATCGTGCCACTGCACTCCAGCCTGGGTGACAGCGAGACTCTGTCTCAAACAACAACAAAAAAATTTGCTTTCAAAAACTGTGTCTCTAACTCCAAGCACAGAACATGTTCATAGGCTGTGAAAAGAGGCTGTGATCCAATATTCTCAAATTGTCCTTGGCAAATGGTACCATTGGCTGAATGAAGAATTCACGGAACTGTGAGCACTGGTAGGTTGTAAAGACCTCAGCAGGAGGGTGTCAGGAACCGAAGGAGAAATCAGGCACTTAGAAGCACAATAAAATGACCAAATGATGGGCGTGAAGAAGGATCAAGGATAGTTTACTAAATAAGATGATAATCATGAGCATTCATGTTTAAGAAAGAAAAATTATTACACTAAAAGACTACATTTCAGTCTACAGTAATCCTGAGTATCTTTTGACAAAGAACCCGTATCAATATGGGAAGAAGCTGCTTAGGCATGCATTTTGCAGCAATGGGAAGTAAATCCATTCACCTGCTTGTCCATTTATTTGTTTATCCCCCCAAAAGTGAAAAAAAAAAAAGAAAAATTGTTGGAAACTGGAGGAGTTGGTGGGGGAGTGTGGCTGAAGCAGATCAATGGCTCCAAACCCAGAGATCTAAACTCAAGAGAAAGGAAGAAAAAAAATATACAACAAGGAGAGAAGGACTAAACAAAGACAAGCTGACATCTCCAAGTGCACCAACCAGTAGCTAAGGATGGCTTCAAGTGAGCTCAAGTGTAAGAGAGACTTGATATTCACCTCCTCAACCATGGCTCACTTAAAAAAAATACTCCCTACTATCCTGGTCATTGCAGGCTGCCATAACAGAATACTATAGATTGGGTGACTTAAACAACAAACATTTATTTTTTCACAATTCTGGGGGCTGGGAAGTCCCAGATCAGCTGATTCAGTGTCTGATGAGGGCCCTCTTCCAGGTTTGCAGATAGCTGTCTTCTGGTTGTATCCTCACAGGACCAAGAGACAAATCATCTCTCTTGGGTCTTTTCTTATAAGGGCACTAACTGCATTCATGGGTGCTCCACTCTCTTGACCTAATCATCTCCCAAAGGCTTAACTTCCTAATACCATCACATTGGGCATTAGGTTTCAACATATAAATTTGGGGAAGACAAAACATTCAGTCCGTAACACCTACTATTAGGTGCTTTCTTCTCTTTCAGCACTCTCCATCTTCACAGGGATCACACATAAAGATGTTCAAAGAAATTTACATTCCCACCAGGAGCATGTGGGGGCTCCAGTTGTCTGCATTCTCTCCCACTGTTGGTACTGTCAATCTTCTTTATTGTAGCCATTCTGGTGGGTGAGTAGTGGTATCTCACTGTGATTTAACTTTCATTTCCCTGATGACTGATGGTTTTGAGCAACTCTCTTCATGCACACATTGACCATTTGGATATTGTCTTTTGTGAAGTGTCTGTTCAAGTCTTTTTTTTTTTTTTGAGACTGAGTCTCATTCTGTTGCCCAGGCTGGAGTGCAGTGGCACGCTCTCAGCTCACTGCAACCTCCACTTCCACCTGAAGCAATTCTCCCTGCCTCAGCCTCCCGAGTAGCTGGGATTGCAGACATATGTCACCATGCCCAGCTAATTTTTGTATATTTAGTAGAGACGGAGTTTCACCATGTTGGCCAGGGTGGACTCGAACTCCTGACCTCAGGTGATCCATCCGCCTTGGCCTCTCAAAGTGCTGGGATTACAGGCATAAACCACCGTGCCCGGCCCCCTGTTCCAGTCTTTTGAACATTTAAAATTTTATTTTTATCTGTTAAAACAATTTAAAGGAGTCTTTCATACTATTTATTTATTAGATATGTGTATTGCAAATATCTTTTCTCCCAGTTCGGAGTGCAGTGGCATGATCTCGGTTCACTGCCAACTTCGCCTCCCAGGTTCAAGCAATTCTCCTGCCTTAGCCTCCTGAGTAACTGGGATTACAGACACGTGCCACCACGCCCGTCTAATTTTTTGTATTTTTAGTAGAGATGGGGTTTCACCATGTTGGCCAGGCTGGTCTCAAACTCCTGACCTCAAGTGACCCACCCACCCCAGCCTCCCAGAGTGCTGGGGATTAGAGGCGTGAGCCACCGCACCCAGTCTTAACTCTCTTAATGGTGTCTTTTGATGGACAGAAGGTTCTTCATACTAAAAAAAGTTTATCAATTTTTTTCTTTTATGGTTAGCTCTTTTCATGGTCTGTTTAAGAAACTTTTGCTTACCCCAAGGTCATTGCTATGACCTTGCAATGACCATTGCAATGAAGGGTTTCTGTTCCTTCAAAATTCATGTTGAAACTTAATTCCCAATGCAACAGTATTAGTAAGTGTGGCCTTTTGGAGGCAATTGAGTCATGAGGACTCTGCCTTCATGAATGGGATTAGGTGTCCTTATAAAAGGACTTGACAGAGGGAGTTTGCACCTCTTGCCTTTCTGTCCCTCTGCCATGTGAGGATACAGCATTTATCTCCTCCATCCGATTCAGCAACAGGGCCCCAACTTGGGAGCAGAGACTAGGCCCTTACTTGACAATCAAAGCTACTGGTGCATTTAACTTGGACTCTCAGCCTCTAAAACTGTGAGAAATAAATGTCAGTTCTTATAAATTACCCAGTCCATGGCATTTTGTTATAGCAGCACAAACAGACTAAGATAGTGATAAAAATCTCTCTTCTATATTCTTTTAGAAGCCTGATTAGTTTTGTTTTCACACTTAGATCTATGATGTCTGAAAATAACTTTTTCTCATGTAATCATCACAACTTCTCTTTCTAGTAAAACCTGTCAAATGCTTTAAAATATTTTGAATCTTTTAATTCAAAGATGTACAGTGTCACTTTTTTTTTTTTTTTTTTTTTTGAGACGGAGTCTCGCTCTGTCACCAGGCTGGAGTGGAGTGGCACAATCTCGGCTCACTGCAACTTCTGCCTTCAGGGTTCAAGTGATTCTCCTGCCTCAGCCTCCTGAGTAGCTGGGACTACAGGCATGCATCACCATGCTTGGCTACTTTTTGTATTTCTAGTAGAGACAGGGTTTCACCATATTGACCAGGCTGGTCTCAAACTCCTGACCTCGAGATCCACCTGCCTCGGCCTCCCAGAGTGCTAGGATTACAGGCGTGAGCCACTGCGCCTGGCCAGTGTCATTTTCAAGTTGAGATTTGAAGGGAGGCTATATGCTATTTATTTCATCTTGGCAGAGTTTCAGAAGTGCTCTAGGCAAGTTTCAAGGCTCTCACTAATGCACAGACAGCATCCTTCCTGCATTTCCACTCACAGTTTGAGGTCAGAACATGTTCACAGAAGCACCAGAAGCAGAGGGTAATGGAGATAAACAGCCAGTCATTATGCTCTTTGAAGCTCTGACCTTCCAATTTAAAGTAGTTTTAAAAGCCTTTCAATGTAGAAATACAATTGTCCTTAGGTTGCATTTTTTACCAAGGACTTCAAATAGTGCTTTTAAGCAAATCTCTCTGGGCTTCTTCAGCTTTTTGAGGCTCCAGAGGCCAGTGTAACCACAAGTGTGTTTTTTTCTGGCATATTGTGGAAGGTGTACTGCTCTGCCTCAGCTCACCCAGACCCTGTTGAGTGAGGCAGTGACCTTGCTGAGTGGGGCAGTGACCCTGCTGTCAAGTGGCCAGCAGCCATTGAATAAATGGGCAAAGAGGGCAAGGCTCCTCTTAATTTGGATTAAAACACATAGACATCTCTTATTCTGAGTAAGAATTGCCACTTTTAGAAGTCCCTCTGCATCCCAAATCAGAGTGATACATTCCTCTACTATCGATTGCATGTCTGCTTCCTGGCAGGTACCTTCATGTACTTTACTGCATTTAATCCTTGGTGCGAGCCCACAAGGTAGGTATCACTACTTCAGAGAGGTTAAGCAAGGTGCCCAAATTCATGTCCTAGCAATGGCAGATGTGGGGTGTGAATCCAGACCTAACTTTACATCAAATGTCCTCTGCACCTCTCACTTCTAGACAATTTCTTGAGCATGGCTCTTTTATGCTTCTATTGTGTGGATACTTTTAAGTCTAGGGTCCGTTTTTCATGGCCTTGGGAAAACTGTGAACCCTGAACTTTTAAGGAGTCTGTGTTTTCTTGCGTGATTGTGTGCACAGAGGCCTTCCCTTTGCTCAGATTCAGATTTTCGAAAGGTTCCATGAAATTGAAAAGTTTCAGAGTCACAGTGCTGGATGGTGATGAAGGAGAAACCCTGAGGTGGCCTTGCTCGCTGCCAGGCGTGGGCAGCCCACCTGGAGGTGGTGGGAACATTGGATGCAGCCTTGAGCTCTCAGTCTTTATCAGTGGGACACTCCTCCTGTTCCTGCTGTGTGGGGGCCCCGGAGCCTTCCCTGGGGCTCTGCTAACATCCCTCAACTTCAATAATACGCTTTCTTTTCTCTTGTGATTATAGGGAAGAATAATGATGCTCATAATAAATAATTAAGGGCCTTTGTAAATAAAACATAAAGTACAGAATGTTCTTCCAAGCTTTTTTCTGATTCTCTTCCCACGTATTTCCTCTTATTGTGATACACGCATCCCACAACAGTGTGCAGTCTTCAGACTGGCTAGAAATTGTGTGCAGACATTATTATTGTAATTACAGAATCTCTGGGTAGCAAGAAACGCATGCTACAGTTATTTAACAGGGAGCACCATGACAAGAACTGTAGTAAAGATTACTCCACTGAAGCTGGTATGGGTCAGAGGGAGAGGGAAAAGAAGGAGGGAGGGAGACGACATGAGGGGAAGATGTGAGCAAGCAGAAGGAGAAGGTATGAAGCGCAATTGGAATTGCAGATTTTTTGCAAGTGAGAGGGTTTCCATAGGTGTATTGGGTGATCCAGGAGGGGACCTATCTAGGGGGAAGCCTCATAATTGTGTATCACCTGGAAGAAGGAAAAAGAGCTGGCATCTGTTATGCCAAGTTAGGCATGATGTTAAGTTTGCTCAAAGTTTGGTCCGTGAACTAACAGCATTGGCATCACCTGGCAGCTTGTTTGAAATGCAGACACTCGGGCCTGACTTAGAAGTCCTAAATCATAATCTCCAAGTGATCCACATGTATATTCAAGTTTGAGACTCACTGAACCAGGAGACACCCAGACACCCACGCAGAGGGGCTGGTAATGGTGGTTACAGTGAGACATTAGTGGAAGAAGCCAGAAACCAAAATGATTGGACAGATGTTGTTGACAGGCAAATAAAGGTTTCTGTAGGGGGTGGAAATGGTTCCATCAAACTCTGGAGGTTTTATTAATCTATTTTTCCAGAATATCTTAAAGATTTTACCTCTGTAAAGGATTTTATATTTAAGTCTTTAATCTACCTTGAGTTGATTTAATGTATGGTGTGAAGAAGGAGTCCAGTTTCAATCTTCTGCCTATGGCTAGCCGGTTATCCCAGCATCATTTATTGAACAGGGAGTTCTTTCTCCATTGCTTGTTTTTGTCAGCTTTGTGGAAGATCAGATGGTTGTAGGCATGCAGCCTTATTTCTCAGCTTTCTGTTCTGTTATGTTGGTCCATGTGTCTGTTTTTGTACCAGGATCATGGTTTGGGGCCATGCCGTACATATCTACGGTGTATATGCACCGGATTTTCTTTTTTTTTTTTTTGAGACAGAATTTCACTCTTGTTGCCCAGTCTGGAGTGCAGTGGCACGATCTCAGCTCAGCTCAGGATCTCCGACTCATGGGTTCAAGCGATTCTGCTGCTTCAGCCTCCCGAGTAGCTGGGATTACAGGCGCCCACCACCATGCCTGGCTAATTTTTTGTATTTTTAGTAGAGACAAGGTTTCACCATGTTGGCCAGGCTGGTCTCGAACTCCTGACCTCAGGTGATCCACCTGCCTCGGCCTCCCAAAGTTCTGGGATTACAGGCGTGAGCCACTGCGCCCAGCCAGTACCGCGTTTTGTTTATCCAGTCTACCATTGATGGGCATTTAGGTTGAGTCCGTATCTTTGCTACTGTGAATCCTGCTGCAGTGAACATATGCGTGCATTTATCTTTATGGTAGAACTATTTATATTCCTTTGGGTAAATACCAGTAATGGGATTGTTGGGTCGAATGGTGGTTCTATTTTTAGCTCCTTGAGAAATTGCCACACTGCTTTCCACAGTGACTGAACTAATTTACATTCCCACCAACAGTGTATAAGCATTCCCTTTTCTCCGCAACCTCGCCAGCATCTGTTATTTTTTGACTCTTTAATAATAGTCATTCTAACTGGTGGTAGATGGTATCTCATCGTGGTTTTGATTTACATTTCTCTGGTAATCAGTGATGTTGAGCTTTTTCTTCATATGTTTGTTGGCCACATGAATGTCTTTTTTCGAAAACTGTCTGTTCATGTCCTTTGCCCACTTTTTAATGGAGTTGTTTTTCTCTCTTGTAAATTTGTTTAAGTTCCTTATAGCTTTTGGATATTAGAACTTTGTCAGAAGCATAGTTTGCAAATATTTGATCCCATTCTGTAGGTTGTCTGTTTAATGTGTTGATGATAGTTTCTTTTGCTGTGCAGAAGCTCTCAAGTTTAATTAGATCTAATTTGTTAATTTGTACTTTTGTTGCAATTGCTTTCCGAGTCTTCACCGTGAAACTTTTGCCTGTTCCTATGTCTTGAACAGTATTACATAGGTTGTCTTACAGGATTTTTATAAATTTGGGTTTTACATTTAAGTCTTTAATATAGTTTTTTTTTTTTTTTTTGAGACAGAGTCTTGCCCTGTTGCACAGGCTGGAGTGCAATGGCACAATCTCGGCTCACTGTGACCTCCCCCCCCAGGATCAAGCAATTCTTCTGTCTCAGCCTCCCAAGTAGCTGGGATTATAGGTGCCTGCCAAAACTCTCAGCTAATTTTTTATATTTTTAGTAGAGATGGGGTTTTGCCATGTTGGCCAGGCTGGTCTCAAACTCCTGACCTCAGGTGATCTGCCCACCTGGGCCTACCAAAGTGCTGGGATTACAGGTGTGAGCCACCGCACCTGGACTTTAACCTATCTTGAGTTGATTTTTGTGTATGGTGTAAGAAAGGGGTCCAGTTTCAATCTTCTGCATATGACTAGCCAGTTATCCCAGCACCATTTACTGAATAGGGAGTCCTTTCCCCATTGCTTGTTTTTGTCAGCTTTGTCTAAGATCAGATGGTTGTAGGTGTGCAGCCTTATTTCTGGGCTCTCTATTCTGTTCCATTGGTCTATGTGTCTATTTTTGTACCAGGATCATGCTGCTTTGGTTACTATAACCCTGTAGTATAGTTTGAAGTCAGGTAATGTGATGCTTCCAGCTTTGTTCTTTTGTTCTTCCAGCTTTTGTTCTGAGGATTGCCTTGGCCATTTGGGCTTTTCTTTGGTTCCACATGAATTTTAAAATAGTATTTTCTAGTTCTACAAAGGATGTTATTAGTAGTTTGATAGGGATAACACAATGAATCTGTAAATTGCTTTGGGCAGCATGGCCATTTTAATGATATTGATTCATCCTATCCATGAACATGAAATGCTTTTCCATTTGTTTGTGTCATCTCTGATTTCTCTGAAGAGTGTTTTGTAATTCTCATTGTAGAGATATTTCACCTCCCTGGTTTGCTGTATTCCTAGGTATTTTATTCTTTTTGTGGCAATTGTGAATGAGATTCCATTCCTGATTTGTCTCTCAGCTTGGCTTTTGTTGGTGTATAGGAATGCTAGCAATATTTTGTACATTAATTTTGTATCCTGAAACTTTGCTGAAGTAGTTTATCAGCTGAAGGAGCTTTTGGGCTGAGATTATGAGGTTTTCTGGGTATAGGATCATGTCATCTGCAAACAGAGATAGTTTGACTTCCTCTCTATTTGGATGCCCTTATTTCTTTCTCTTGCCTGATTGCTCTGGCCAGGACTTCCAATACTATGTTGGATAGGAGTGGTGAAAGAGGGCATCCTTGTCTTGTGCCAGTTTTAAGGGGAAGGCTTCTAGCTTTTGCCTGTTCAGTATGATGTTGGCTGTGGGTCTGTCATAGATGGCTCATGTTATTTTGAGGTATATTCCTTCAATACTTAGTTTATTGAGGGTTTTTAACATGAAGGGATGTTGAATTTTATCAAAAGCCTTTTCTGCATCTATTGAGATAATCATGTGGTTTTTGTCTTTAGTTCTGTTTACGTGATGAATCACATTTATTGATTTGAGTATGTTGGACCAACCTTGCATCCCAGGGATGAAGCCTACTTGATTGTGGTGTATCAGCTTTTTGATGTGCTGCCGGATTCGGTTTGCAAGTATTTTGTTGAGCTTTGTCCCAGACACAAGAGATAGTATGGGAAAGTCGGGTATTCCAATGAGCTGGAGGTGAGGAGGAGAAGGGGTAGGTGACAAAGGCTGAATGTGCAGGGATATTGAGTGTATATGTAAGTTCAGAGTTCAGAGGTTATTGACTAGATCCATTTGGCCAGGGTGTGATTTCCTGTGTCAAAGGGGTCGGAGATCAAGTTGTGTATGTAAGATAGGTAGTAGAATGAGGTCAGGGTGTGAAAGCACTTTACTTCTGGATTGAAGAGTATGGACTCTGTTCAGTGTGAATTATGGATTCCTTACACACATGATAAAAGCAAAGTTTAATGAGTCTAAAACATTAAGGTAGTACATCAAAGTGTGTAGGAATAGTATACAGATTTAAATCCCAGTCCTGCCACTTATCAGCTGGGTGATCTTAGGCAAGTGATTTCAACTCTTTAGGCTTTAGGGCCCTCATCTGTGAAACAGTGACAACAACAGCACCTCCATCAGAGGCTGGTTGTAAGGAAAATAAAGTTTACATATATGATGTCTTAGAATTGTTCCTGGAGTGGTTAGTTCCAACAGTTATTATTATTGTATACCTGGTTGCAGAAAGTAGACTGAAGATGGGGAAAGTAGAAATAGGGTTAAAGAAAGTCAGATTAAGTTGGGAAGAGAGTGGAGGCAGTAATTGTTGGAACTTGCCTCAGTACAAAAACAGCTGATTTCATCCCTGTGTAAGCAGCTCTCCTGTTTACCAAGGGCACTAATAATAACCGGCCCTTGCATCTGTTCTTCATATCACCCTGCCTCCCCTCCAGCTCACAGAGTGCTGTCCCACGCATATCTCCTCTTCCTCCTCCTTTTTCCCTGCTCCAGGCATGGGGTCAGGTCAAGCACACACTGAACAGGTGGGTGGTAGGGTAAGCAGGAAAGTATGTGTCCCCACTCCAGGGGTCAAAGGAAGTCTTGGCTCTGCCTGGGTCCCTGAGACTGCAGGCATTTCACTCACCTGCTGTGACCAGCTGTGTCAGTAGAGGAGAATATCACGGGTCGGCATCAGCCCTCCCTGGCACTGACCTGCCCTGGAGGCTCGCCTGTATCCTATCTCCTCCAGCTCTCACTCTTGAATTTATGGGGATTTAAAGGGATTGACAACTTTTCCAAAGTTGTTGGCTCTGGGACGTTTAACTGGTGGCTTTATTAGTTTGAGGATAAGGCATGTAGCTCAAAAAATTTACCTCCTTCCTTCCCTCCATTGTACTAAGTAGAATGGGTTAACACGCACCTCTTTTATTTATTTTTATTTTTTATTTTTTAATTATTATTATACTTTAAGTTTTTGGGTACATGTGCACAACGTGCAGGCTTGTTACATATGTATACATGTGCCATGTTGGTGTGCTGCACCCATCAACTCGTCATTTAGCATTAGGTATATCTCCCAATGCTATCCCTCCCCACTCACCCCACCCCACAACAGTCCCTGGTGTGTGATGTTCCCCTTCCTGTGTCCACGTGTTCTCATTGTTCAGTTCCCACCTATGAGTGAAAACATGCGGAACGAGCACCTCTTTTAAAATGGGAATATCTCTTGAA
This sequence comes from Homo sapiens, assembly GCF_000001405.40. NCBI lineage: Eukaryota > Metazoa > Chordata > Mammalia > Primates > Hominidae > Homo > Homo sapiens. Next base: position 29,764,986 of record NC_000007.14, on the reverse strand, counting down.
AGTAAATGTTAAACTTAGAAATAACTTACCCTTTATTATGAATTACTATAACTGAGTAATTTCCTATCTGCCATCAACAACATTAAGGGAAGAGCAATATTGTTGGATGGGTGTGGATGCCAGAAAGAACAACAGGATGATTTTGTAGAGTAAGGAACTTACTGCAGGGTTAGGAGGAGAGTGGGGGGGTCCTGAATGGAGCCAAGAAGTCAAAGGGCTTTAGGCAGAGGGGAAGAATGTTAAAGGGAAGGCAGCAGAAGGAGGAATATAGGTCACAAAGTGAAACGGAATGGTCCCAGTGGAAGTCTTCTTGACTATGGAACTAAGTCAATAGTGGATGGAAACAACTACCTGAACGTAATTGCAAATAATCTCCTGGGATACTTTAGGCATTTATGGCATAAACAGACAATGCTTTTTTGCAGAATAAACTCAAGGTATCTCACTGGAGACCCATACTCCTCCCCAGTTGAGTGGAGCCAAACTTTATGCTTACCCTCCTTCACTTCCCTGAATGAGCTTTCTGCTCCAGTCAGAATGTTCTACCTCCACCCTGTGGGCAGGCCCCCTTCCTGCGCTGGGAGTGCCCTATTCCTTCCTCTTTGCCCAGTTACACCTGCTCATACTTCAAGCCCAGCAAAAGTTCTGTCTCCCATAAAGTCATTCCTAATGCACGGCCACAGTGAACTTCCTTGCAATAATCTTGCTTATTATTGGAACTGGGTGGGTTTTTTTTGTTTTTTGTTTTTTGTTTTTGGCATTTGCTGCCTTATTTGTTTACCATTTATTTTTTGAAAGAGAGTGACTTTTTACATTAAAAATTAATATATGCTCTGCTAATCACAGAAAATTTGGAAAATACAAAAAGCCAGAAAGCAGAAATTAAATCACTCAGGAACCATTAAAATTCTAGTATTCTTCCTTCCTGCTGTTTTTCTCTTTATACATTTCTTCTTCACTTAGTTAATATTATGGACATATATAAATTGTATGTTCTGATTTTTGTAGAAATAACATTCATTTTTAATAAAAAATGGTCATTTGAAAACACAGAAAAGTGGGAAAAAACCCTCAAATCTCCCAGATTTCCAATATCTAGAAATAATTACTTCATACATTTTGATATATTTCTTCGTAGTCTTTTTCTCATATATTTTTACATGGTCAAGGTCATATTGTCAAGATCATGCTGCATGTATTTTAAATTCTAGTTAACCTGGAAGTATTAACAGATCCAGATGCTATGAAGAAAGATCTGGTGAAAGGTAATATTTGTCCCTGGATGGTTTACTAAATTTTCCAAAATTAAAGACTCTATGATCATTTAAATTAAGTTTTGAAGATGCAAAATATCATTATTCAAATTGCTCAGCCATAAAAATGTCCATTATGTTGTTCTGTGTAATTCTGCTTCTATAAAGGGAAAAAAAGACTTTTTGTTAAGTATTTCTTCTGGCATAGTGTTCCAATCAAGTGAAAACTTAGCCATTGTTAGCAAGTCCTGGAAGAACAACAGTAGTTATTGTTTTAAATAGTCATCAAACAAGTCAAGACATTCCATCTGATTTGTTGGGTGGAGACTGGTTCAAGAAACACGTATCCTTATACCAAGAAAGGGAGAAAGGAATATGACTAGTTAATTAAAATGACACAAGGTCAAACTTTGTCCCAAGACCTCAGGATCTATCTGGAAATACATAATTCAAAGAGATTCCTGAAGTTGGGGTGCAAACTGAATAAGAAGAGACCTTATCCTTTTGAACTACAATTTTCCCTTTCTTGCTATACTTTCATTAATCATTGATTTGGTTAGAGTATCTTCAAATAATTTTTTTCCAAAAAATCTACAGTAGAGGTTTCTCATGAGTAGTTGAGCATCTATTCATTCAAAATATCTATTGAAGTCACCATATGGTGACTTTATCTTTACTCCTTCGACCTGAGAATACTTAAAGGGTGCAATACTACTTTTAGGCAATATATGCTCCACCTTAACATGGAATGTGGAAGCAAGAGGCCTCAAAATAACCCAATTATTTTTTGTTTTTGAGACAGGGTCTCACTCTGTCACCCAGGCTGGAGTGCAGTGGCACAATCATGGCTCACTACAGCCTCAAACTCCCAGGCTTGGGTGTTCCTCCCACCTCAGCCTTTTGAGTAGCTGGAACTACAGGCATGTGCCAAGCCTGGCTAATTTTTTGGTATTTTTTGTAGATATGGGATTTCGCCATGGCTTCCAGACTGATCTCAGACTCCTGGGCTCAAGCAATCTGCCCACATTGGCCTCCCAAAGTGCTGGGATTATAGGCGTGAGCCACTGTGCCCAGCCCCAATTTTTTTATTTTATTTTATTAATATTATTTTTAATCCATGACAGCAAAAACAGAGACATAAAGGGATTGTATTAGTTAAGGTTTTTCAGAGAAACAGAATCTCTCTCTCTCTCTCTATATATATATATATATACACATATACACTATATACTATATATACAGTATATATACACTATAGTATACTATATATAGTATATAATATATATGCTATACATATTATATACATACATATATATATATATATATATAAAAGTAGTATTGCACCCTTTAAGTATTCTCAGGTCGAAGGAGTAAAGATAAGGTCACCATATGGTGACTTCAATAAATATTTTGAATGAATAGATGCTCAACTACTCATAAGAGAAATCTCTACTGTAGATTTTTTGGAAAAAAAATTATTTGAAGATAGTCTAACCAAATCAACAATTAATGAAAGTTAGTTTAGCAAGAAAGGTATATATATATAATATATATATCTACCTTATAATATATATATAGTATATATAATATATATAGTATATATATAGTATTAACAGATACTGATGTTATGAAGAAAGATCTAGAGAAAAGTAACATTTGTCTCTGGATGATTTACTAAATTTTCCCAATTTAAAGACTCTATGATCATTTAATGTAAGTTTTGAAGATGCAAAATATCATTATTCAGAGAGAGAGAGAGAGAGATTATTATGAAAGATTGGCTCCTGAGATAATGGAAGCTGTGAAGTCCCATAATCTGCCATCTACAAACTGGAGGCCCAAGAAAGCCAGTGGTGTCATTTGTAGTTTGAGTCAAAACCTGAAGGGATAAGGGTCAGGTGAGAAAATAGTATAAATCCTGGTTCAAGTCTGAAGGCCTGAGAACCATGAGCACCAACATCTGGGAGCAGGAGAAGATGGATATCCCAGCTCGAGCAGAGAGCGAAGTTACTTTTTGTCATACTCAGGCCCTCAATGGATGGGATGATGCCCACTTGCGTTGGTGAGGGAGATCTTATCTTCTTTACTCAGTCTAAAGATTAAAATGCCAGTCTCTTGTGGAAACACCCTCACAGATACACCCATAAATGTTCTACCAGCTATCTGGGCATCCCTAGCCCAGTCAAATGAACACATACAATTAACCATCCTGGAGATATGCTGCACCAGCCTTTGTTGCTGTCTTCTGGGGCTGAGTTCAAGCTCCAAAGCATCCCTCTGGACAGATTTTGTCTTATTCAAACTTAAGGAGGACTAGGGCTAGACCCTGTTTCCCAACTGCCTCAGAAAGCTTTTTAGGCTTACTCCATGGTAAATGAATCCCTCTGTCAGGATTCAGGACTAATATTACTTTTAGTTGAGAGCCCTGGGTCACAATTTGTATGGATGTTTGCCTATTTGATTGGACTACACTGTGGATTTCTTTGTCAGACTACATGGATTGGACTTTTTTTTTTTTTTTTTTTTTGAGACAGGGTCTCATTCTGTTGCCCAGACTGGAGTGCAGTAACACTGTCTTGGCTCACTACAGCCTCAACCTCCCGGGCTCAAGTGATGTGCCCACCTCAGCCTCCAGATTAGCTGGGACTACAGGTATACAAAATAACATCTGGCTAATTTTTGTATTTTTTTTTTTTTTTGTATAGATGGGGTCTTTTCATGTTGCCCAGGCTAGACTTGAACTCCTGAACTCAAGCCATCTGCCCACCTTAGCCTTCTAAAGTGCTGACATTACAGGTGTGTGTCGCTGAGCCTGGCTGGACATTGTAAAATATCAGCCCAATGAAGGGGCACAGATGCCAAATGAACACCCACATTTTTTTTTTGCTACTGCAAAAGCTATAAAGTTACACTCCTAGGAGTTACCTGGTTTTACTGTGCTAGAAAAGATTTTTCTGTTGAAGTAGAATTACATACCAGGAGAGGTTAAATGTAGGCAAAGATTAAATGCCCATTATCTACCGATTCAACAGTACAGTTTGGCTGGTCAAAAAAGCTGGAGGTAGGGACTGGGCTTGATGCCTGACTGTGGATAACAAGGACTAAATAAAGAGGTGGTTGTATAATAGTTATTGAACTGATTGAGGCTACTATCTACACTTGGTATGTTACTCTAGGTCTGCTATTGCCTCTTCTTCCTGATTCTTTAAGAAGTAGTTCAAGAGCACTTTGCTTTTGCTTAACATGACATGTAGTACCTCTTTATTATTCTGTTGCAGGGATATTTGAACTCACTAGAAATAGGGTCTTGATCCCTAGCACAATGGGAACAGCTCATTGAGATTCAAGTATTTTATTAAATTTATGACATCTTAATCATGGCTCCAACTAAGAAAGTGGCTTTTACTGTCCTTCATGCTGACCAGACAATGCTATTCACAGTCAGCTGGGCCTTGAATCAGAAGAGAGTCAACAGCCCCACTTCCCAAATGTCTTTCTTGAAGGGTACTTGGGCAGCAGTCCAAAGAGCTACTTTACAACTGCCAAAGACACATTGCTAACCTTATAGCTATAAGCTACAAAGAAAGACCCCTAACGCTTAGTTTGCCTCTTTGGATACAGTGAATCACACACATACATTTTATCAAAGCACTTGTGATACTTCACTGGACAACCAGGCCGATTTAAACACCTCCCCCACCCCCACCCTCTAGTAAGAAGCTTTGGAAGCTGTCTAGGGTACATTAACACAATCTCTGGCCTTAGGCCCCGTATCCCCTTCAGACCCTGAGAAGTTACATGTATTCATGACTGATTGCCTTGGTTCATTCCATCCTGCTGCAACAGAATACCTAAGACTGGGTAATTTACAAAGAAAGGAAATGTATTGGCTTACAGTTGTGGAGGTTGGAAACTCCAAGATTGAGGGGCTGACATCTAGTGAGGGCCTTCATCACATAGAGGAAGGTGAGAGGGCAAGAGGGGTCGAGAGGTCAAGAGGTCGAGAGAGAGAAGAGAACTGAACTCTTTCTTTTGTAACAAGCCTACTCCTTCAATAACAAACCCACTTCCATGATAACAGCATTAATCCATCCATGAGGGCAGAGCCCTCATGGCCTAATAAGCCCTCATTAGGCTTCAACTCCTAAAAATGTTGCATAAGGGTTAAGTTTCCAACACATGCTTTTTGGAGAACATATTTAAACCATAGTGCTGATCTCATAGATTATTGAAAATTTTTGGCAATGAGATTCTGTTAGTATTTTTTGATCTTTAAATTTTTGCACTTTGAGACTTCCTTCCACTGCTGAATATTTCAACCCTGTTTCTGAGCTCTAACAGGGAGAGATTGTCTCACTAAAGAAAAAATGTGACACTCTAACCTAACAACCCACCTCACTCTCTCTGAACCAAAGACCTTTGAGGTGGGAAAATGCCAAGAAAACTCCTATGAAATGGAAATGGTACATCCAATTGCAGGTCAAATCTGGCCCTCAAGTCCTGAGCAAAATTCATGAGCAAGTGGCTGTTCACATCTGGTGGCTTATAGGAAGAATCCATTGAGTGTGTTAGGGCCCTTGTGTCTCTATAGCTAACCACTTTCCTTCTTTTTTCATCCCCACCTTGACTCCAGTAGGTGGCTGGCAAGGTTAGCCTGGGTTGGGAAGAACTTCATGGACATAAATTTGGATGATTTCTGCCCTGTGAAGTCATTTCATGGTAATTGCCACAAAGTAGGTGACTGGCATTTTTGTGTGTGTTGACTTTTCAATGCTTCTTACATGTTCTTCTAGGATGGGGATGTGGTTGTGGCATTAGGCCTATGTAGCAGGTTCCCTCTTCTCTGTAGTAGACCCTCCTTGATCTGTGAAGGTAGCCTGGTGGCCTTTGGTGGCAGAATGATGACTTCCTGTCTGCACATAGCTTTTGCTGAGGGAAAAGGAGGGATGGTTTGGATCAACTCAGAGTTGTATTGGGTGTGGGTGGAGCTGAAGGTATGGATTACCTTTCTTCCATTCCATTCCAGATATAAGTAGGGAATAAAGAACAGCCTTCTTTGGGGGACTCAGGCAATGGCCTGTTGTGTAAACTTAGTGTCACCCTTAACTTGAACTGGAGGCAGGGGATTTTATTAATATTCTGCTCTCTCAGACAATGGTACAGGAGTAGCTGTCATCTAGCAGTGGTGCAACTACTTCCCTTGGTTCCACACAACCATATTCCTATCTTCTGCCCAGATGATGCCACTGGCAACTTGATACAGAAGGTCACCTTAAACCAGACTCAGATTGGCACCATGTGACCCCAGGACTGATTTTTCTGCAAGGCAAGCAGGCCCTTCCTTGCTTTTTCCTTGGACCTAATACTGCCTGTTCCCTGGGAGTTATACATGACCCTTGACAGGGACCCAAGCCCTGATAGCAGCAGCAACGTCTTAGCCTCTGGTGCCAATGGCAACAATTCTCTGAGGAAGACAAGGACACGGTTTTAGCCATTTTACCCAAGTTTTCCTCCCAAAGGCCTGATACAACATCTTCCAGTCACCCAAGGGAGATATTGCCAATAAGACAGTTAAGCCTCTTAATTTTAAGAGACTAGCTTTGACCCCAGAGTTTAGTTTTATTACTTAAACACTAGCTCTGAATTATTTGCTGCTTAGCCAGTGTGTGTATATGTAGTGGTCACCACCTTCCACTGCTTCTAGATTAATATATTTGGCCCAAAGTCTGGCCTTATTTGTAGTACTGCAGGGCCAGTCAAATGGTTGCAAACCCCCTCAGGCTGATCCTTGGGATTTTTTCCCTCCTGGATTGACCTGGGATCCATGACCAAACACTCTGGGAGGCCCTACAGGCCTTCACAAAGAACTTTTACTGGTGTTTTACCTGTTTATGAAACTGTCTCATTTGGTGATGTCAACAAATGCTGAAATCTCCACTGAAAATTTCATGTTTCTGCCCCGAATGGGCAGGCTTATGTTTCATGGGTCTCCAGGGTCACTGGGTGGATTGTTGGAGAGAGGCAAGCAGGGCTGTTTGTTGAATGACCCCAAGAGCTCAGGCTGACTGATAGTGGGAACACTGGGATGCTAACTCAGTTGCCCTTGGAACTGGGTGGCCCTTCTTCTACCAGCCTGAATCTAACTTCTCACAAGGTTGCCAGGCACTGAATGCCTGAGTTTGCAGATAATTCCCTGCAGGGGTGCCTGTGCGTTCAAACTGCTTGGTGCTTATGCCCCAATAGTTTATTCTTTACCTTCAAGGTTGTTCTCGTATTTGCATTATAAGAAGATGAAGAAGCAGAGAGGCAGAGTTCCTCCTTTGGGCCATAAGTGTGCCGTGTGGCCCGCAATATTGCCTCTCTGCATGGGATGATGAGGGAATGTGTGGGGAGGGGCAGACTGATGCCCTTTCCAACTGGCCATGTAAGTGTCCCCCAAGAACCCCTGTTCCGTTGCCCGCACCACAGGATACTTGGTATTTGGCTTCGTCCACCTTGCCACAATATCCTTTCCTTTATTTCACAGTACCTTTATAGGCCTGATTTTTTTCCCTTCTACCCATCTTTAAACATTCTCTGCTTAAGTCCCAGAATTTAGCAGAGATGCTTTTTTTTTTTTTTTTTTTTTAAAACAGGGTCTTGCTCTGTTGCCCAGGCTGGAGTGCAGTGGTGCAGTCTCAGCTCACTGCAACCTCTGCCTCCTGGGTTCAATTGATTCTCATGTCTCAGCCTCCTGAGTAGCTGGGACTACAGGTGCATGTCACCACACCTGGCTTGCTTGCTTATTTATTTATTTGATGTAGAGATGGGGTTTCACCATGTTGGCCAGGCTGGTCAACTCCTGACTTCAAGTGATCCTCCCTCCTCGGTCTCCCAAAGTGCTGGGATTACAGGTGTAAGCCACTGCCCCCAGCCCATGTATTTTTTTATGTATATTTTTTCTGTCCTGAGGAGAGATCCCCTACCTTCACTGCCTGGTTCTCTATTGGAGTCCATGAAATACGTAATACTCCTGCCTCGAATCCTGATTCCTCCTGATCATCTCACAGCTTGAATGTCATGCCAGTGTTGGTCTTCCCTACTTTTTCTGCTGTTTGTTTGTTCTTTTGGAATTGCAATCTTAAGTGCATTTACAGACAGTGCTGCAGTGGGGGAAATGTGAATGGCACTCTCATCAATACCAAAGGCACCCAGGAGAGACAGCTGCCTAGATCCCATGGGGTTCCTGACCCTGTTTCTCTGGTTCTTTGAGCAGAGGAGAAACATCTTTCAGGTGGACTGGCTTTGCTGTTTTATGCTGTAAAGTATAAGAAGACAAATAAGTACTTTTCTAAATATAGCTTCACTGTTATTTTCTGTGACTGGAGAATCATATTCTGGAAATTTTTGGTTTTCCTTGTGTTACAAGTTTCCACCTTTTTCTGCATCTTCATAGGCATTTTAACTGGAAGTTCAGAGAGACTTTCTCAGGGACTGCCATCCTGACAGCTGTGAAAAAGGAGATGTCCTGTTTCCAGCTCTTCATGTGCACGTTTGATTTGCCAGCTTACACTGGAAACTGTTCAAGGGAGGGGACCATTGCTTCGTTGAATCTCTTGCACAGAATAGGTGTGTAATATACATTGAGTGATTAATTAATTGGCTATTTATTGGCCATTTTTTTGTGATGGATTATGTTTTTCTAGAAGCTTTTCTAGTAAATCTGTAGCCTAGGTGCAGTGAAGAAAACATAAAGGCAGACTTCAGGACTGAGAGCGATCCCCTCTCAGTTCACCCTTCAGTATTCAGATAAATTTTTACTATAATTAGCTGAACAATAAAAAAATTTCCTAGTGAAATCTGGCTTTTCCTATTTGTTTCGTACATAAATCTTGACTCAAACATCACATTATTATAAGTTCCAGAGCAATGTCCTATTCCCCAGTCTCTGGAAATATTCATATAATAAATATCCCTAACTATTCAACTCTACAATTTAGAAAAATCTTGTTCCAAAAGCACATGGAGTATCTGTGCTCCAGAGTGAAAGAATTATGACATGTCCATATTAATTCACTGTGACTCAATTGAATATCATGTAGGATTATGTTCTGTTTAGGCAGCTCATTTAAACTTGTTTAACTTTTAGAGAGCTAGCTTAACTTCTGTTCCTCAATCAGGAGTAGTTCTAAGTTCTATTTCAATGTTGGTTATTCCAGAGCTGTCAGAAAAATAGATGTTTTATGGTCTAAAAATAAATATAATAAGTTCCCTTCTTCAAAAATGGCAGAACAGATTTTATACAACTGTTCCACCAAATTTACTGCATGACACTGGGTTTGGAAGGTCTCAGCAACCAGAATAAAACCATGGAAACTTTGGGGTTGGAAAACAAGGGCAAGAATGGAAAGTACTTCATTTCCTTCATTGTGCGAAGAGAGATAACATTAGCTCGGTGTGCTGGCCAAGAGGTGTGCAAATGTATACAGTGTTTCTGCAATCCACATTGGACCACCACCACCATAAACAACAAAACCCCAAAACAAAAACAAAGAAAATCCCCCACAACCCTCAGGAATGCAAAGACAATTTGTTTGCAAAGTTTTCCTTGGCATTTCCCCAAATTTATCAAGAATGACCTCTATTAGTAGCCAGACTCTGTTACTTATTATCACCATTTAAATCATTAGACCAGTGTTTCCTAAAGAACATTCCAGGAATTACTAGCTCTTAAAGATAGATGTTACTGGCTGGGCACAGTGGCTCACACCTGTAATCCCAACATTTTGGGAGGTCACGGCGGGCAGATCATTTGAGGCCAGGAGTTGGAGAGCAGCCGGGCTAATATGGCAAAACCGTGTCTCTACTAAAACTACAAAAAGTAGCTGAGCATGGTGGCATGTGCCTGTAGTCCCAGCTACTCGGGAGGCTGAGGCAGGAGAATCACTTGAACCTGGGAGGCGGAGGTTGCAGTAAGCAGAGATTGCGCTGCTGCACTCCAGCCTGGGCAATAGAGCAAGACTCTGTCACACACACACACACACACACACACACACACACACACACACACACACACAAAAGATAGATATTATTTAAAGAAAAGCTTTCAAGGTAAAAGAAGTTCAAGAAATACTGACTTAAACATGACTTTACAGGTTTATTGATTTCAGGACCCCCCCAATGTGCTGCTATGCAATGCAAATATCTAAAAGTGAGATATGGAATGTAGTCTGGGGACTCCATTTTCCAGCAACATAGTGAACCAGCATCTTAAAAAGAAAATCATCTTCACAAAACACCTCAGAAACTTTGGACAAAATACAGAACTGTATATACGTGCTTGAGCAAAATTAGAGGAATCTTCATGGGAAAAAACAAAGAAGAAAAAACTGGACCAGTAAGCTAGTTATGCTTCTGCCTGTCTAGTGGCAGGCAGGTTAAATAGGTCTAATCTCTCTGATTTGCAAGCCCACATTTTTCAAGAAGAGGGTTATAATAATAAACTCTATATGTGTAGTGCTTTTTAAATTTACAAAGTACTTATCACTAACATTAGGAAAGTGGCAATCAGGACATAACTTTACCTGGAATGCAGATGTCCTGCCCCCGCTCCTTCACATGATGTTATTTATGTATGCAAAACACATAAATGTAAATGGCACAGGAGAAGAATAAACATCTACTGGTTTTGCCAGGCCAGCATTTGTTTCTTCTTCCTTCTGTTAAAACCTCCCAGTTTTGCTTTGGGGAGCTGTCCTTTTGAATATAGTGTTGTTGGAACGGTCAATCATAGTGCTGAGGGGCAGTCACAGGAGCCAAGTAGAACCTCTTACCATGGGTTTGAATCTTGGAAGCAGGATCTCAAAGTGGGGAAAGGCAACATCTTTAAGCTGTTGCATCCTTGATTCTTATGGGCACCTTGGTTCTTATCTTTTCTGAGGTTACTGCATTTCATTGGATTCTGTGATCCAACCCATATGCTTTCATTAGTTTTATTTCCTCAACTTAGCCAGTTTGTTTCTGTTGCTTGCAACCAAAGATCTCTAACAGGTTAAAGTTATATCTATACAAATGTAGATGATGATGATTATTATATATTGGTGTGAGCCACTGAATTTTTTCCTATTTGTCTTACATTTTACAGAGTGGTACTATGTGAAAAACAGGGTCAGGATTAGGGTGAGTCAGGGTGGTGTCTAGGGTGCAAAACTGAAGGAGGTGTGTACTCTCGGATTCTTGCAAGAGCAGAAGTGGTACTTAGGGTCAGTTTTTTCTTAAGGGCCTGAGAGAAGCACTTACCTCTGCATTAAAGTGAGCCAATCCTACAATGTATGCATTATAAGCAAGTAAAAGGTTTGGAAATCCCCCATGAAGTATCCTTACCTCCACTGCCTGTTCAGAGATTGCCCCTTGGAGAGGAAGGAGCAGATATTATTCCAAAGAGACCTTTGATATGAGGGTCTTCGGAATTTCTTTTTAAAGTTTCATATATTCATTGAGAATGGCTTTAAGGGGAGTGGGTCTCAACTCTGGCCACCCAGTAGAGTCATCCAAAGAAATCTTACAAAACATCCAAAGCTTTGGTCCCATCCTCCAGAAAATTGAATCCATGTGGTCTGGGGAGGACCCGGTGGATCATCTCCCCAGGTGATGATCTCACATGCAGATGGAGTTGAGAACCAGTGCTGTAAGTGTACTGCATCATCTACATTTCCTGGAAGCTCTGAACTAGGCCCATAGCAGAAGCCTGGAGCCATAGGGTCGGGGCAGCTGAAGAGTTACTTCCATATCATAGGATAGAATTAAAAATCTAATTCCTCTCTTGCCAGATGTATGACTTGAGTCAATTACTTAGATTCCTTTTCTGTACAATAAGGATAATGATGTTATCAAAACTAACAGTATTGGCTGGGCATGGCGGCTCATGCCTATAATCCCAATACTTTGGGAGGCCAAGGTGGGAGGACAGCTTGAGGCCATGAGTTTGAGAGCAGCCTGGAAAACATAGTGAGACCCCATCTCTATAAAAAAGTTAGCCATGTGTGGTGGCACATGCCTGTAGTTCCAGCTACTTGGGAGGCTAATGTGGGAGGATCACTTGAGCCTGGAAGGTACAGGCTGCAGTGAGCTACTCCATTTTAGCCTGAGTGACAGAGCAAGGCCCTGCCTCAAAAAAACAAAACAAAACAAAACAAAAAAAAACAAAACCAAAAACCTTACAGAGACACTGTCCCAAAAAACAAACAAAAAACCCAAAAACGTACAGTATTGTTGTAGGGATTAAGTGAGATGACATGTGCAAAGCACGTAGTGCAGTACCCAGCATGTTAAAAAATGCTAGCCTTCAGTGTCATCACAGGTACCCCTAGGATTAAGTTAGGCTAGGCACCCACTCCCTGACAAGACACAGAGGTTCTCATGTATTTCTGGCCACTTATGAAGTAAAGGGTGTTCCTTTAACCAGGTACCACTGAGATGGCTGCAGACCCTGAGTGTCAGTGTGCATTGTTTCCTGATAGGTACGAAGGCTTTTCCTGGGGTAGCAGCCCCAAAAGCAGAGCACCTTCTGACCTGGGAGTCTGGCACAGTTCCAGCCACCCAGCTCTGTAGAGTTGAGAAAGCGAGGGCCAGTGGGGCTACTTATGCTTCTTTCTATCTGCTCCCTGGGCTGTGGGGCAGCCTTCCTCCCTTGGTTTCACTTTCTTAATTTCAGTCTCTAAGGTTCAGCCTTGAAACTCCAAAGGATACTGAGGCAGGTCACCCTCTCTAACCCCTGTCGAAAATTTTGCACAGGGGAAGGGAGCTGAGGAAGTCACAGAAATTCATGGGGGTGCCAGGCCCACACATACCTGCCTGTGGGGCTGAGTGGATTGGCAATGACAATGCTGACAGCTGACATTTACTGAGTACGTGCTATGTTCCAGATGCTGCGTCTCCGTTTCTCAGATGAAGAATCTAAGTTTCAGGGCCTCATCCAAAACCATACAGCTAATAAGCAGTAGAGTTGGGATCTAAGCCCAGGGAATTTTACTCTAGAACTCACAGTATTAACCACAGTGCTCCCTTGGCTTATATTTCTAAGGCACATGCTGTAACCACTTTTTTTTTTTTGTTTTTGAGATGGGGTCTCACTCTGACACCCAAGCTGGAGTGCAGTGGCGTGATCTTGGCTCACTGCAACCTCTGCCTCCCAGATTCAAGGGATTCTCCTGCCTCAGCCTCCTGAGTAGCTGGGATTACAGGCACGTGCCACCATGCCTGGATAATTTTTTGTATTTTTTAGTAGAGACGGGGTTTCCCTATGTTGCCCAGGCTGATCTGGAACTCCTGACCTCAGGTGATCCGCCCGCCTTGGCCTCCTAAAGTGCTGGGATTACAGGTGTGAGCCACCGTGCCCTGCCTATAACCATTCTTTTTTAGGGAGGTGTGGTATATGGCGCTACCCTGAATCTGTAGTCAGGATTTGAAGAGGGGAGAACAGACCAGTATAATTCTTCAGTGTTTGCTTGTGAAGAAGGCACCATGCATTGTGGTTGGTAGTGGTGACTGGAGAGAGAGATAGGAGGGGCACAGGCAGCAAGGTCCCTGCTTAAAGACAGTTATCTAGTTTGGAGAAACTTAGCTGGATAGTCAGTTCTTACATGCATTTGGCAAGCACTTATCATACACTGTAAAGAGGCAATATGTCTAGCTTGTTAGAGGGTGGGCTGTGGAGTCAGACTCCTGGCTTTGAACCCCAACTTCCCTGCCATTTTCAAATGACACTGGAGAAGTCGCAAAACCTATTTCTGTCTCAGATTCCTCCCCAGTAAAAGTGGGATATTAATAGTACCTCCTTTGTCTTGATATGAAAATTCAATGAGTTGATATATGCAGAACATCTTAGAACAGCAACTAGCTTAGAGTAAATCTTCAGTAATTGTAAACTGTGATTATACTATGTTTTTGGCACTGAAGCCACGTCGTGGTGAGTAAGACAGTGCCTGACCTCAAGAAGCTCAGTCTAGTACTGGAGAGAGGTAAACAAATACTTGCAAAGTGTGTGGTGTGAGAGAGGTGTGACAGGTGGGCGGGAGCCTGCAGCAGGCACATCTGACCCATCCTAGGTGTGTATGGTGCAGAGAAGTTAGCCTAGGCTTTCTAGGGGCACTGATGTCTGGGCTGAGTCTTGCAGGCCAGGGAGCTAGTCAGGGGGAGCTGTAGTGATCCAGCTGGGGGCTGAGCAGGAGCTGAAAGTGAACAGCTCACATCTGTAGGGTTGCCAGATTTAGCAACGGAAAGTACAGGATGCCCTATTAAATGTGAATTTCAGATAATGAACAACTTTTAAGAATAAGTATGTGTCATGCAATATTTTTAGTAAAAGTATGTCCCAAATATTGTATAACCACACACATTATTCACTGTTTATCTGAAATTCAAATTTCACTGGGCATCCTATGAAAAGTCTGGCAATTTTACCTTTCCACATTTAGGAAGGTGCAGTGTGTTTCAGAGTAGCTGGAGTGATGCAGGGAGGAAAGGCAGAGTGGGCGGGATGGGGCTCATAGGCACACAGGAGGCAGTTTGTAAAAGACCTATGCTATGTTAAGGGATTTGGATTTTATCCTGAAATTAACGATGAGCCCTTGGAGAGCTTTAACCACAAGGACATGAAACCACGGAGATAGCAGTGTCAGGTACGATGAAATGAGTGTTAGTTTCTATGGCCGAATAGCAAATTACTCCAAATTTAGAGTCTTAAACAGTAAACATTTATTATCTCCTAGTTTCTGTGGCTCAGGAATTCAGAGGCAACTTAGCTGGGTGGTTCTGGCTGAGGTTTCTCATGAGATCGTAGACAAGATGGTGACCAGAGTGGCAGTTATCTAAAGGATGCACTGGAGCTGGAGAATTTGCTTCTAGGGTGACTCACTCTAATGGTTGGGAAGGCACTGCTGGCTGTCAGCAGGAGAGCTCAGTTCCTTGTCACAGGGACCCACCACAGGACAACTTGAGCCTCCTCACAACATGACAACTGGCTTAGTGATCCGAGAGAGCAAAGTGACCTTAACTTTGGAAGTCACATGCCGCCTTGTCATTGCCATATATCCCAGTGCTAACACAGCTCAGCCCCGCTGAATGCAGGAGGGTCCTACACAAGGACGTACACACAAGGAGGTGGGGATCATGGGGTTATCTTGGAGGCTGGTTTTCTGGGATGGGAGGCTTACATGGTGATGCCTGTGACCTTGGAGGTGGAGGAGAATGATGGGCATACAGAGGAGTGAAGAAAGGCTGGGAGGAATAGAGATGTGGGAGAGGAGGGGAGGCAAAGAAAAAAAAACAGGAGGAAGGGGTGTTGGAGCGGAATGTAGTCTGTCCGCAGCAAAGGGCATCACCAAAGCCATTCCAGGAGGAACTAGATCCACCTCCTTCTCTCCTGGGCATGCTCCAAAGATGGTTGTGACCTCCAGAGAGGACCCCAAAAGAAAGCACAAAAACTAGACAATGGGAGGGCAGTACCCAAAAGCCCTGAGTTTCTGAGCAAAATATTGAACGTTTCTATGGTGAAATAGGAAGTTAATATGCTTAGGAAGAAAAAAGTGGTAATGATTCAAGGAAATATAATCACACACGATTTCAGTTTTAATGGACATGGGAGGAGCCATAAAAGTAATCTATCATCTATCAGTTATCTATCTATCTATCTATCTCAACTATCATCTATGTATCTACCCATCTATCAATCATCTATCATCTATCGGTTACCTATCTATATCAACTATCATCAATATATCTATCATCTATCAATCATCTATTACCTATCAATTATCTATCTATCTATATCACCTATCATCTATATATCTATCCATCTATCAACCATCTAATTATCTATCATCTATCAATTATGTCTATATCAACTATCATCTATACATCTATCCATCTATAAACCATCTAATTATCATCTATTAATTATCTATATCAACTATCTGTCATCTATATATCTATCTATATATCAATCATCTAATTATCTATTATCAATTATCTATGTCATCTATCATCTCTCATCTATCATATCTATCATCTATCTCTATCATCTATCTTCTATCTCTATCATCTATCTTCTATCTATCTGCCTATCTATCTATTTATCATCTATCTAATCTGTCATCTATTTTTTAAAGGGCCATAAACTTGTTAACATATATATATACACAGGCATTTTAACAAGTGTTTTCCCTGGAGAAGTGAGGATAGAAACTAACCCGTAGGAAGAGTGCCCTCTGCTGCTACTTATTCAAAATAGCTCCTCTGTCTGGCCATACCAAGGAAAACATCCTAAAAGGTTCTTTGCCTTCTGGCTGCTGTATATAACAAAAAATTAATAACTAACATCTTTACCTCTTAAAATACCTTTAAGATTTCTTTTCTGTTTTGTAGACAGCCGTGTTGCTACATTTTTCCATTTGATTTTATTCTTTCCATGGTTAACTGTAAAGCAAACATAATAAGAAACAGACATTGGATACTTATGCAGTACACAGAAAGCATTTCTTCCAAACTCTTAACTAAATAAAGTAAATCCTTTCCTAGGTGCACAAATCCATAGGTCAGAGGTCAAGATTACCCAACCAGGAATAGCTCATCACTGTAGGCTGGAGGAAATGGCTTTATTTACTCCAGAGCACCCAGGAAAATGTACTGACCTTTACAACCAGCTCTGCTTGCTATTCCAGGGGAAAGCAGGAAGGGAGGGGCGGAAGGACAGACCCATAAATGTTCTATGACAATTACTTGGCAGCACCGTTTCAAAGAAATAACGGAAGCCTTTACTTGGCATTCTGTACTAAGCAGTGCATGGAAATGGGTTGGTTTCAGCTCTGGACTGCCCACCCACACCTGGCCCCTCTGGGCATACTAAACACAGACAGGAGTGACACCGCTACCCCAGGTGTTAGCCTGGAAACTTCCCTCCCTTCCATGCATCATCCCTGCTTTCATCTCCGTAGTTGACAGATTCTCTGGGTCTGTTGTGTGGACTTTGGGATCAGCTTCTTAGCCCTTGCCCTTCTCTGAAACATCACTTTTGGCTCACTCTTTAACTCAGGACTCTGCAGGGCTCCTGATTCTGAAATACTTGCAACTTTAGGGAGAAGACACTCCCTTGGCCAGCTTCATCCCAGCCTCTAGCTGAGGAAAGAGGATTGGACATGCTACATTTTTGGGCAAGGTATTTATCTTCTCCAAACCTGTTTCCTCATCTGTAAAATGCAAATGATAAAATAACTCACATCATCAAGCTTTTGTGAGAATTATAACTGATAAAGGATAAATGTCGATTATTATAACATAGCAATAAATGTCGATTATTATAAAATAGTAATAAAACAAGTATTATGGAATATTATTAAAGTTTTCTTTTTCTTTTTTTTTTTTTGAAACAGAGTTTTGCTCTTGTTGCTCAGGCTGTAGTGCAATGGCACGATCTCGGCTCCCTGCAACTTCTGCCTCCTGGGTTCAAGCCATTCTCCTGCCTCAGCCTCCTGAGTAGCTGGGATTACAGGCGGCTGCCACCACACCCAACTGATTTTTTGTATTTTTTAGTAGAGATGGGGTTTCACCATGTTGGCCAGGCTGGTCTTCAGCTCCTGACCTCAGGTGATCTGCCCACCTCGGCCTCCCAAAGTGCTGGGATTACAGGCGTGAGCCACCGTGCCCGGCCCTGGTTAGAGGACAAATATTAATATATGGGTATCTAGTGGCTGCGACCAGGCCAGAGAGAGGAAGTTTAAAAAATCAAGGGAAGGAGTTTTGTCCATAAGTTAAGTTTAAAAATACATAACATGAAGTCTGGAGATAAATAGACCAAATACTAACAATGTTTATCTTTGGCTTTTTTGTTTTATTTTCAGCTTTTTTATTTTTTGTGGATACATAAGGGGTGTATATATTTATGGGTTACATGAGATATTTTCATACAGGTATGCAATGTGTAATAATCAGATGAAGGTAAATAGGACATCCATCACCTAAAGTGTTTATCCTTTGTCTTACAAACAATTCAATTATACTGTTTTATTTTAAAATGTAAAATTACATTATTTTTGACTATAGTCACCCTGTTGTGCTATCAAATATTAGGTCTTATTCATTATTACTTTTTTTTTTTTTTTTGAGACAGCCTCACTCTGTCACCCAGGCTGGAGTGCAAAAGGTGTGATCCCGGCTCACTGCAACCTCTGCCTCCCGGGCTCAAGCGATTCTCCTCCCTTAGTATCCTGAGTAGCTGGGATGACAGGCACATGCCAGCATGCCCAGCTAATTTTTGTATTTTTAGTAGAGACAGGGGTTTCACCACGTTGGCCAGGCTGGTCTCAAACTCCTGGCTTCAAGTGATCCTCCTGCCTCGGCCTCCCAAAGTGCTGGGATTACAGGTGTGAGCCACCACACCTGGCACTATTTTTTATACCCATTAACCATGTCCACTTCCCCCCAATACCCAACTACCCTTCCCAGCCTGTGGTAACCACCATTCTACTCTCTGCCTCTGTGACTTCAATTGTTTTAATTTTTAGCTCCCACAAAAAAATGAGAACATGCAGTTTTTCTTTCTGTGCTTGGCTTATTTCACTTACCATAATAAACTCCAATTCCACAACGATGCTTATCTTTGAGTGAGGAATTTATAGGTGATGACTTTTTTTTCTTCTCCTATTTTTCAAATTTTCTGTAATGAGTACTTTTTAAATAGAAAATACGAAATTTTGTTGTTAAAAAGCCATCAT
This sequence comes from Homo sapiens, assembly GCF_000001405.40. Taxonomy (NCBI): domain Eukaryota; kingdom Metazoa; phylum Chordata; class Mammalia; order Primates; family Hominidae; genus Homo; species Homo sapiens. The sequence goes on along the minus strand of NC_000007.14, from coordinate 29,745,986 downwards.
TTGTTCTTTCTTTTCACTGACTTAATACATGATTTTATTCTCAATCTAAAGCTTACAAGCCAGAGGTAAGGCTAAAACCCCTTATGGACACACACACAAACACGACTGCTGCCACACCAAACGCAGTCACTTCCCAGAGGTAGTCATGATATTAATTTTGTGCCGACCCTTCTAGATATTTTTCTATCCACTTATGTGTTACTGGCTCATTGATCAAGGGCAATTTGTGACATGATTAAACATGCTTTATTTTTCTTCCCTTCGTCTCTTCAGAACTTGTCTAGTGGGGGGTAATCATCTCTTGCCACTAGATGAAGAATAGGGCCATTCTAGAGGCTCTCTGGTCAGTCATAGGTGATGGACACTTCCACATTTTCTTCCGTCCATTTGGAAATTTTGAATATCCAATGTAAGGTATACAAGAAACCGTCCTATGCCAGAGGGGAAAAAACTGAGCCTAAATATGATCAAAACTGTAGATCAGTGGTTTTCAATGTTGGTTGCATACTGGGATCATCTGAGGTAGTTTAAAAAATTCCTGTGTCTCAGTTCCCCCCAGAGTCTCTGGTATAATTGCTCTTGGATTTGCCTGGGCTTCAGGGATATTTATTTAATTATTTATTTATTTATTTATTTATTTATTTAATTTTATTTTTTTGAGACCCAGTCTCACTCTGTTGCCCAGGCTGGAGTACAGAGGCGTGATCCCAGCTCACTGCAACCTCTGCCTCCCGGGTTCAAGTGATTCTCCTGCCTCAGCCTCCTGAGTAGCTGGGACTACAGGCACCCAGCAACACACCTGGCTAATTTTTGTGTTTTTAGTAGAGTTGGGGTTCCACCATGTTGGCCAGGCTGGTCTCGTACTCCTGACATCAGGTGATCCGCCCGCCTCGGCCTCCTGAAGTGCTGGGATTACAGGTGTGAGCCACCGTGCCCGGCCGGCTTCAGGGTTTTCAAGAGCTCCTCAGATAATTATAGTGGGCTACCTTTGAGAATCACTGCTCCGGATTTAACATCCAATTTATAGAAAATACATGGGAAAGCATAGAAGAACAGCATGGAGTGCAATAAGCAATAGCCACACTGGGACACGCTATAGGAGAAACACTCAGTTTCTTTATAAAAAGTTGTAAGAAAAAAAGATGAGGAGGAGAGAGGAACCTACAGGTTAAAAGTGACTTACAAGAAATTACTAATTGCAATGTGTGAAGAGATCTTTTTGGATCTTCAGGTGAACAAAGAAAACATATGAGAAGTTTTACACATCAAACAGGAATATTTGAACATTCAGTAGATATTTGATGTTAAGGGATTGTTTTTAATTTTGAGGCTACAATAATGTGGGGTTTTTTAAATTTTTGTTTTTTAAACTTTTATTTTAGGCTCATGGGTACATGTGCAGGTTTGTTATACAGGTAAACTCGTGTTATGGGGGTTTGTTGTACAGACTGTTTTATCACCCAGGTACTAAGCCTAGTACCCAGTGGTTATTTTTTTCTGCTCCTCTCCCTCCTCCCTACCTGAGACCTCGCATAGGCCTCGGTGTCTGTTGTTGTTTTATTTTTAAAACAGTTTTTCTCTTTCAGAGACATGTTGAAATAACTGAATGAAATATCTCCAGATTATATATCTGGGATTTACATGAAAAGAAGCCTATGAGAGGGAGGAGTGGGTGAGGGTGTAGATTAAAAAAAAATGATTGGCCTTGAGTTGATAATTGTTGAAGCTGGGCAATGGGTACATAGGGAACTCGGTATTCTGTTTCCTCTAGTTTTGTATGCTTAAACGTTTCCAAAATAAGAAGTTTTTCTGGAATGCTTAGTCCAAGATATTAATTAACAATGTAGTGCTTAAAGACAGAACATCTTTTTCCTGCTACAGAGTGCAGTCCTTGGCTGTCTGCTTTTGGGGAGACAGGTGTGACCATCTGTCTTGCTCCTTGCCCATCCCCACCGCCTCTCCCTTGCTGAGCGTTGCTTCCCAAGGCCAAGGCCAGAGGGCGGAGGAGACGTGGGCATTAGACCATTAGACAGCTCTCATCTACTGGATGGCCTTGGGCTCCCACCCTGGCTGGTTTTACAGCTGGCTTTTCCTGGGTTTGGTCACTTTGCTTGTGTTATGCATCAATTCTCTTCTCCCAAAAGACTTTTTTTTTTAACAGAGTCTCGCTCTGTTGCCCAGGCTGGAGTGCAGTAACATGATCTCAGCTCACTGCAGCCTCTGCCTCCCAGGTTCAAGCAATTCTTCTGCCTCAGCCTCCTCAGTAGCTGGAATTATAGGCGCCTGCCACCATGCCTAGATAATTTTTTGTATTTTTAGTAGAGATGGGGTTCACCATGTTGGCCAGGCTGGTCTCGAACTCCTGACCTCAGGTGATCCGCCCGCCTTGGCCTCTCAAAATGCTGGGATTACGGGCATGAGCCACTGTGGGCAGCCCCAAAAGACATGTTGAGCTTCTAACCCCAGTACCTGTGAATGTGCCTTTATTTAGAGAAGAGGTCTTTGCAGATGTAATCAAGATGAGGTCAGACTGGGTGTGGTGGCTCACACCTGTAATCCCATCACTTTGGGAGGCCGAGGCGGGCAGATCATTTGAGGTCAGGAGTTTGAGACCAGCCAGACCACCATGGTGAAACCCCATCTCTACTAAAAATTCAAAAATTACCCCAGTGTGATGGTGTGAGCCTGTAATCCCGGCTACTTGGGAGGCTGAGGCAGGAGAATCGCTTGAACCTGAGAGGCGGAGGTTGTGGTGAGCTGAGATGGTGCCACTGCACTCGAATGAGGTCATACTGGAATACGATGGGCCCTAAATCCTATGACTGGTGTCCTTACAAGCAGAGAAATTTGAGAACACAGAGGAGACACAGGTGAAATAAGGCCATGTGAAGACAGAGGCAGGGCTTGCATAAGCCAAGGAATGCCAAGGTTGGCAACCAAAGGAGTTAGAAGCAAGGAAAGATTATTCCCTAGAGACTTTAAATTCCCTAGAGAGCATGGCTCTGCTGACACCTTGATTTTGAACTTTGAGTCTGTAGAACTGTGAGACAAGTTTCTGTTGTTTTAAACCACCCAGTTTGTGGTACTTTCTTACAGTTGCCCTAAGAAACGAATACACTCGATCCAGACCTTCCCAGCTCTGGGGATGTCTCTTCTGCTGCACACTGTGTTATTTGGTCCCCAGGAATGCCAGCTCCAACTGCAGCTCCCAGGAGCCCAAGCAACACATACTCCTGCAATTGGGGTCCCTCACCTTTGCCGCTGGGTCCACTTGGGCAGGACTTTGCATTCCTCTGCCCTAAGTGGTTCAAAGAGTTTGAGCGGGTACACTCTGGTACTAGAGAAAATCTGAAGCAATTCACCTAGGTGGATGAAAAGGGACTTACGTACCCTTGATTTATTAAAATTCATTGTTCTTTTATATACATTTCTCTTTAAAACTCTGAAATGAACATTTGTTTATGCAGTATGACATGATTGAATAATTTATATGACAAGCTTAATAAGGCTGACATTCAATGAACAGAAAAGTAATTTACCTTTTAGTAATCAGAAAAACTTTCAATCCATTTTTATCTTATTTTTAAGTGTCTGTTATTAAAGCTTGTGATTTTTATTAATGTAAATAAGCCAAAGGGTGATTGTTTTTGACACACGGCATTGTGCCATAGTGTAATGGGTAGTTTCCTTCTCAGTTAACCTTCAATACTCTGTACACACTATTCTGAAATACTGGCATCTTCGAGCCTGGCATCTTCGAGCAGGATGCTACGTAAGGGAGGGTTAGCTGCATTGGAAGGGTCTTCCACATCCCAGATTTCAAGCATACTGCAACCAGGCCTGAAAAAAAGACATATATATCCATATTAGAAATGTATTCCTGTCTAGAGAAAATAGATACATAACACACATCTAGATTTTCAGAGACAAATTTATTTAATGTTAAATATTTTAAAGCGTCATTTCAAAAAACATAATTTCAATGTTTAGAAATTTAAAAAATAGAATGAAATTAAGTATGTTGCCTTTTCACATCTCATTTAACCAAATGAAAGACATATCCTAATAATAAAGCTTCAATATACATTCATAAATACGTATTTAAAAGCTCACTTTCAAGATGAAACAAACATAAAAATACTTTCCAAGTGCCATCACCATCTAAACATAAGGCCCATTTGCAGTAAAATAAGATAAATTAAAACCTAATTCAATTCCTGATGAATTTCATATTTTTTTAGCATAAACTGCCTTGGATTAGCATGAAATCATCCAAGGCAGGGACAGGAGACTCTTATGGCAATTTGTTTTCTTCAATTCTTTCCCATTTTGGGTGGCTCTATGACTGGGCTAAATGAGACACTCTCCTCCCTAGAGAGTAATCCTGGATGGCAGTCATTAAAGGGAAGGAGTCAGACAAAATTGATTTCTAATTTTTTAACATTTATATTGAAGTATAAGTTATACACAATAAAATTTCACCTATTTTATGTGTAAAGTTTGCCAGGTATGGGCAAATGTGTATAGATGTGTAAGCACTACCACAATCGTAATACAGAAAATTTCCATCACTCCCACAAGTTCCCTGTGCCCTTTTGCAATCTACCACCTTCCCCAAACATGGCCTCAGGCAACTACTGTGTTTTCTGCGCTATAGTTTTCTTTTTCTAGGATTTCATATAAATATATTATGTAGTCTTTTCATTTTTGGCTTCTTTACCATAGCATGTTTTTGATACTCATATCTGAGCTGTAGTTCCTACAACTTCTGTTGTGGTTCAGTAGTTCCTTGCTTTTTGTTGCTAAATAATATTTCATTGTATATAGAGAACGCAATTTGTTTATCCATTTGCAAGTTAATGAACATTTGAGATGTTTTGAGTTTTTGGTGACCATGAACAATGCCACTATAAACATTCATGGACAAGGCTTTTTGTGGACATATGTTATCATTTCTCTTAGGGAAACACCTAGGAGTGGAATTGCTCGGTTGCATGGTTATGTATGATTAAATGTGGATTTATCTTTATAAGCAAGTTCAAAACTGTTTTCCAGAGTAGATGCACCATTTTTCATTTCCACCAACAATGCATGAGAGTTTAAGTTGTATCAGTTTTTGTAATTTTAATCATTATAGTATGGTTATGGATGATTCAAAATATCTTCTTTGGTGGAATGTCTATTCAAATATTTTGCCAAATTTTGTGTTGTTTCTTATTGAGGTGTGAGAGTTCTTTGTATATTCTGGGTAAAAGTCTGCCAGATTTTTTTTAGCAGATGTATTAAGGCATAACTGTTCAATAATTACTCAATAAGCTGCACATATTTAGTATCCACTTTGATACATATTAACATATGTATACACCTGTAAAACAGCAGCCACAATAAAAATCATGAACATATCCATCTCTCCCAAAAGTTTACTTCTGCTTGCTTGTAATCCTAATTATTGCATGCTTTCTTTTTTGTCTGGCTTCTTGTCCTCAGTAGAATTATTTTGAGATCCATCCATATTGCTGTTCAATAGTTTGTTCATTTTTATTAGTGACTAGTATTTACATTGTTTGGATATTCTAGTAGTGTGTTTATACATTCATCTGTTGATAAATAAGTGGGTTGTTTCCAGTTTGGGGCTATTACAGAAAATAAGGTGCTATGAACATTTGTGTACAATTACTGGGATGGATATATGCTTTCTTTTATCTTAATAAATATAGTAGTTGTATGTTTAACTTTTTATAAAATTGCTAAACTGTCTTGCAGAGTGGTTGTACCATATTACTTTTGCACCACTGGTGTATGAGAGTTCTAAGTCCTCCATAGTGTCAGCAACACTTGGCATGATCAGTTTTTTTTTTCAATTATAGCTATTTTATTGTTTAGCGATATCTCACTGTAATTGGCATTTGCATTTCACAAATCACTAGTAACATCAAGCATCTTTTTGTGTGATTATTTGCCATCTGTCCTTTTGTCTTTTTTTTTTTTTTTTCTTTTTTGAGACAAGGTCTTGCTCTGTCACCGAGTGGAGTGCAATGGCACCATCTCGGCTCACTGCAACCTCCATCTCCTGGGTTCAAGCGATTATCCTGCCTCAGCCTCCTGGGTAGCTGCGATTATATGCGCCCACCATCATGCCTGACTAACTTTTTGTATTTTTAGTAGAGATGGGGTTTCGCCATGTTGGCCAGGCTGATCTTGAACTACTGACCTCAGGTGATCCACCCACCTCAGCCTCCCAAAATCCTGGGATTACAGGTGTGAGCCACCCACTGCACCCAGCCTATTTTGTCCATTTCTAATTGGGTTGTTTTATTATTATTGGGTTTTGAGAGTTCTTTATACATCTAGAGAAAGTCCTTTATCAGACATAGGCTTTGAAAATATTTTCTCCCAGACTGTGGTTTATCTTAATTCTTCCTAACACTGTTTATAAAAAAGCAGAGGCTTACAGTTATGAAGTCCTATTTATCAATATGTTCTCCTGTGGATCATGATTATGTTACTGTATCTGAGAAATCTTAGCGTAATCCAAGGTTACAATAATTTTCTTCCATATTTTCTTCTAGAAATTTTATATTCTTGGATTCTTAGTAGCAAGTTACCTTCTACTCCTAGTTTGCTGAGGGTTTTTAATCAGTTATGGATACTGAATTGTGTCAAATACTTTTTCCTGAATGTACTGAGAGGATGATGCGCGATGATGCGGTCTTTCTTTTTCAGTTTGTTACTGTGGTGAATTCACCTGATTGGTTTTCAAATAGTGAGACAACTTTGCATTCCTGGGATAAACTCCACTTGCACATTATATATTGTCTTTCTTTAATATATTGCTGGATTCATTTGTTGCAATTTTACTTAAAAATTTCACATATGTGTTCATGATAAATTTTGATTGGTTGTTTCCTTTTACTATAATGTTTCTCTCATGTTGGTATCAGGATAATGCTGACCTCACAGAACCAGTTGGGAAGTAATCCCTCCTTTTGAATTTTCTGGAATAGTTTGTAGAACTGGAATTATTTCCAGTGAAGATATCTGTCTTAAAGTTTTCTTTGTGACAATTCTTTTTACTATAAGTATAATTTTATTAACAGATATAAGGTCATTCATAATAAGGTAATAGATATAAGATTTTCTGTTTCTTAAGTGAGCTTTGGTTTTGGATCTTTCAAAGAACTTGTCCATTTTATCTATTTTGTCCTACTTAGTGCAGTAAAGTTGTTCCTAAAACTCCCTCATTATCCTTTTCATTTCTTCAGATTCCTGTAGTGATAAAATCTTTCTTATTCCTGATATTAGTAATTTCTGCCTTCATCCTTTTAGTTTGGGTAGAAGTTAATCAATTTTAGTAATCTTCTCAAGAATCGGTGTTTGGTTTTATTGACTTTTCCCTGTTTTGGGGGTAATTCACACTGATTTTGATTCTAATCTTTATGCTTTCTTTTCTTCTCCTTACTTTGGAGTTTACTTGTTCTTTTTTTCTAGTTGCTTAAGGTGAAGCCGAGTGACTGATATGAGGCCTTTCTTCTTTTTCTATTATAGGCATTCAACATAAAAACAAATCTCTCTACTGCTGTATCTGCATCCCAAATAGCGGGATGGTGTTCTCATTTTCCCTTAGGTCAAAATACGTTGAAACTAACCCTCCTTTTGTTTCTTCTTGACCATGGATTATTTGGAAGTGTATTACTTAGTTTCTAAACATTTGAGGGAATTTCCATACAGAATTCTGTTACTGATTTCTAATTTAATTTCATTGTAGTCAGATATTGTACTTTACATGATCTAAAGTATTTTAAATGTGTCAGTACTTGTTTTGTGGCCTAGAAAATGGTCTTTTTTGATAGTCTGCGTGTGCTTGAATGTCTATTTTGCTGTTCTAGGGTGGTGTGTACTATAAATGTCAATTAGGTCATATTGGTTGATGGCGTTATTCAAGTCTTCTGTATTCTTGCTAAATTTCTTTTTATTCTACAAATTATTTAGAGAAGGCTATTAAAATTTCTAACTATACTGTAGATTTGTCTATTTTTTCGTAAAGTTCTATCAGTTGTGCTTCATATATTTGAAGCTGTTATGTAAGTGCATAAATGTTCAGAGTTGCTACATCCTCTTGAAATATAGATCCCTTCTTCATTTAAAAATCCTTGTTTAACCTTGATAATATTCTTAGCATTCAAATGTACTTTGATGTTATTACAGCCACACCAGCTTTCACTGACTAGTAGTAGCATCACATGTCCTTTTCCTATCTGTTAACTTTTAACCTCTTTGTTTCTTTATATTTAAATACATTTCTTGAAAGTAGCCTATAGTAGGGTCTTGCTTTGCTATGCAATCTGACAATTCTTGCTTTTCATTTGTGGTGTTTAGAGCTATATTCATTTCCTATTGCTGCTATAACAGATTACCATAAACAGTTGCTTAAAGCAACATGTATTTATTCCCTTTCAAATTTTGGAGCTCATAAGTCTAAAATCACGGTATTGGCAGGGCTCCAATCCTTCAGGAGGCTCTAGAAGAAAATCCACTTCCTCGCCTTTTCCAGCCCTAGAAGCTGGCCTCCTTCCTTGGCTTGTGGCCTTATATCACTCCAACTTCTGCTTCTACCATCACATCGCCTTTTTGATCTCTTACTCTTTTGCCTCCTCCTTATAAAGACTTTGTGATTACATTTGTCCTACCTGGATAATAAGGATAATCTCCACATCTCATGAGCATTAACTTAATCACATTTGCAGATTTCCTTTTTCCATGTGAGTAACGTAATTCACAATTTCTGGGAATTAGGACACAGCCATCGTGGGCGGCTCATTATTCAGCCTACCACAAGTCCATTTACACTTAATGTGATAATTGATATGGTTAGATTTAAGTCTGTCATCTTGGTGTTTTCTCTCTGTTCCACCTGATCTTTGTCTCCCTTTTCCACTTCTTCTGCCTTATTTTGGATTGAGTGATTTTTATAATTCCATTTTAATCTTGTTTGTTGCCTTTTGGGTTCTGTCAGTTTTTGCTTCATATGTTTTGATATTCTAAGTTCATATGCACTCAAATTATTGTATCTTTCTCCTGTACTGAACTATTTTGCCTTATAAAACATAGTCGTTTGTAGTAATATTCTTTGTCTTAACATCTATCTTATCTGATATTTATACATTTTTCACTTCAGCTTTCTAATGTTTACTCACATGCTATCTTTTCCATTCTTTTTCCTTCAGCCAATATACATATTTGTATTTAAAATGCACCTCTTGCAGGCAGCCCATAGATAGGTTTTGCTCTTGTGTTCAATTTGCCAATCTCCGCCTTTTGTTAGGAAGAATTTAGTCCTCTTTCACTTTGAAATTACTGATATGGTTTGATATAGGCTTGCTATTGTGCTCTTTTTAAAAAAAAATTTTTATTTCAAGACATTTGGAGATCCACATTAAGTGAGAGATAATACAAGTAGCTCTTGTACAGTCTTTAGACAGTGTCCTCCGCCATGGTAACATCTTGAACATTTGTATAATATCACAGCCAGATAATTCACATTGATAGAATGGTGATAGAGAGCATTTCCATCACCACAGAGATCCCTTGTACAGCCACACATACTATACTCCCCCCACATTCCCACCCCACCCTAACCCCTCGCAACCACAAATCATCCATATCTATAATTTTGTCATTTGAAGACAGTTATACAAATGGAATCATACAGTATGTAACCTTTGGGGATTGTCTTTTCTTCATTCAAACAATTCTCTGGAGATTCATGCAGGATCTTGAGTGTATCAATAGTTTGATCCTATTGCTGAGCAGTATTCCATGGTATGAATAGATCACTATTATTTAACCATTCACCTTGCGAAAAACATCTGGGTTGTTTCAGGTTTAGGCTATTACAAATAAAGCTGCTATAGACATTTTTCTACAGAATTTTGTGTGAACACAACTTTTCACCTGTCTGCGAAAAAATGCCCAATACAATTGCTGGGTCTTAAGTTGGTTATATGTTTAGGTGTTTTCCCCTTTTATTTTTAGTTGGCAAGTAATACTTGTACATATTTAGGGAGTATAGAGTGATATTTCAATGCATAATTACAATGTGTAATGATCAAATCAGGGTAATTAGGATATCCATCACCTCAAATGTTTACCACCTGTTTGTGCTGGGAACATTCAGAATCCTCTGTTCTGGCTTTCTTGACATATACCATAAGTTACTCTTAACTAATATTCACTCTACAGTGCCAGAGAACACTAGAACTTATTCCTTCTATTTATCTGTAGTTTTGTATCTCTTAACCAACCTCTCCTTATCTTCTTCTCCTCCCTACCCTTCCCTCTCAGCCTCTAATTACCACAATTCTGCTCTACTTCTATGAGCTACTTCTTTGAGCTTCCACAAGTGACAACATGCACTATTCATCCTTCTGTGGCTGACTTATTTCACTTAATGTATCCAGGCTCATCCATGTCTAGGCTTGCCATTATGCTCTTTTTTTCCCCCACTGTTTTATTTATTTTTTGAGTGGTTTTGATAGGGATGACAACAAGCATCTTTAACATATCATGATTTACTTACCATTTAAATTGGGTTATTTCTAGTAAATCATACATTTCCATTTACTCAATTTTTGTGCTATTGTCATGTATACTTAATTTCTGTCATAAAGTAAAAAATATAATGGTATCACCTTTGCCTTAAATAATGTCTTTTAAAGCTTTTCAGAGAAGAAAAATGTATAGTGATTAATAGCCACATATTTACCATTTCCAGCACATTTCAGTATTTCTTGTATATCTGAGTTACCATCTGGCATCATTTCTCATCAGCTGACAGAACTTCTTGTCCATCCTGAAGTATAAATTTGTTACAATCAAATTATCTTAGATTTTGTTGATCTGAAAAATGTATTTTTGGCCTCCATTTTAAAAAGATAATTTCATTAAATATAGAATTCTTGATTTTTCATCTTCAGCACTTTGAATTATCATTCCAGTGTCTGTTAATTTCCACTATTTATGTTGAGAAGTCAGATGTTTATATAGCATATCATTTTTTCTCTTATTTTCAAGATTTTCTCTTAATCTTTGATTTTACCGTTTTGACTATAATGTGCCTTGCTTTGGTTTTCTTTGGGCTTCACCCAGTTGGATTTGTTGAGCTTAGCAGATCTCTAAGTTAGCAGTTTTTATCAAACTTGAGAAATTTTTGGACAACATTTCTTCAATGTTGTCCATGAACATGGACAGAAAAGAACATTTTTCTGTCATGTTCTTTTTTTCATTACATCTAATACTAAAATTATGCATGTGTTGAACTACTTAATGTTACGTAGGTCTGTGACTTTGGTTATTTTTCAACCTTTTTGGTTCCTGTTCTTTTGATTAACTATTCTCTCTTGATCTATCTTCAAATTCACTGAATTTTCTGTTCAAATGTTCTGTTTACATCTCAAAATTGTTGAGCATATTTAAATAATTTTCACTTCATTTACTATACTTCTCAGCTCTAGAATTCCCATGGGGGCTGGAGTGTTTCTATTTCTGCTGAGATTCCATATCTCTTCACTCATGGATACCATGTTTTCTTTTAATTCGTTGAATATATTTTTCTTAAGCCTTTGAATGTATTTGTAATAGTGGCTTTGCAGTCTTTGGCTGCTAAATCCAACATCTGGACCTACTTGTATCGGTTTCTATTAACTTATTTTTTTCAGAGTGTTGGTCATACTTTCTCATTTTAGTTTGCATCTCTGAAACTTTTTGCACATTGTAAATGATATCCTGAAGTGACTGTAGAACCTGTTTTGTTCTTCTGATTGCCAATGTATCATTCTAGGAGACAATTAATGTGCCTGAATTTCCTGTCATGTGCAGCAGCTAATATCTCTGCTTAGGAGTCTAAACAAAGGACTCAAAAGATCCATTACCCATCTTAGAATTTTATGATTTTTAGAGATTCAAAATTCAGAAATTAAAAAATTTTAATTAGGAAGTTTTTCTTATTATGTCATTTTGGTTTTTGTCACTTTCAAGTCTTACAAATCCAATATAATTCAACTATATAATACAGAATGCCAATATCTCACTTTGTTGTGAATTCAAATCCATATTTCAGATATCTAATAAAAATTTTCATAAATATTTCAAAAATTATGAAAAAAACTAAGTAGAAGATGTTAAATTGAAAAATCAGGATATTAAAATATACTATAATGTTTGGAATTAAATTCTACTTCATTGATAGTATAATTTTACTTCTCTAGATGAAATAATTTAAACTAAGATACCGGGATAATATTTTAATGAATTTAAATTAAAATTTCTTAAAGAATCAGGACTACTGTAATAAAGTGAAACATTTGTTGCTTAAAAATATACCATATCAGATAGCATAGGGTTAATACTCACTTAGTTCTCACAACACACCATGCCTCTTCTAAAACATAATAATTCACATGTAACTCCAACAATTTATCTCTTACTTCTTTGGCAGATTTTCGACTATATGTAGAATAAACTATTTTTGTCTGGGCCCTTTAAATTTAAACAATAGTTTAAAAGATTTTAAAATGAATGATAATAGAATAGACTAAAAAAATCGTACTAGCAAATTGAAATCTCAGTACTCACGGGATGGAACACTGATATACATGACTCAAAACAGCATCAACTATTTTGGGGATGGCAGTTTCCACATTCCTACTTATATTTTGAATGTAATAAAACTTACAGCAATTTTAATTTTGCATATACTGCTCATTAGTATATAAAATAGTCTAAAGCTGTCCTGGGAGCAGAGAACAGCTTAGGATATAAAATTTTCTTCTCATAATTCACCAAGTTTTCAGAGAATATATTCTGACAGAGACTGAATGTAGTGAAAACATATCTTTCAATGCTTAATTTCATCTAAAGAAGCTCTGACAAATACATGAATTGAAATTGAGTGTATCAAGTAGAACACTTAGACAATGGGCATCCAGGGTGTCAGAAGAGGTAGGAAAAGCACCTTCACAGAATCTTGAGAAATGGGGATGGTCACCAAAATATGGTACAATAGGTGATTTGACCGTAGTGGGAGTTCTTACAAAATCCTGACAAACTATCACTTATGCATTGGATGTTGCTTAGAATTTCAAGCATATGGGATGCTCAGTCACCACAGTGGTTTCCATGCCAGTTCACCACAGTAGAACAGAGAGAGCATCAGGTACATTTCTAAGGTGTCTGACTCCAACCCTGGCTCCTAGACAGCAGACCTAAAACTTATAAATAATTTAAAGATTTGCCTCTAACAATAGGCCAAAAATCCACTTTAAAAAAAGATTACCCTGAAAATTACTAGAATATCCAAAATAATTTTTTAAACCAGCCATTTAAGGAAAGCAAAACTTTTAGCCATCAATGGAAACTAGAGTTCTCATAATCGGCTAGCAAAAATACTCTAAATTTTCATGAAAGCACGTAGTGTATAATAGCAACTTTCATGTACTTTTTCTACCTGTCACAAAAAGCTAGTCATTGGCCACCAGTAAGATCTAGAAATCATTTCTTAAATCAGAGTGGGGCTTGTGGTGTACAGCAGGGGTTGGCAAAACACGACTGCGAGTAAAATCCATCCTACCTCCTCTTCCAATTACCTAGTAGTTTTACTGGAATACACACACACATCATAAATATGTGACACAATTGTCACTTTGGGAAAAACTGGCTTTTGCATTTTTCAGTTTTCAGAGGTCTGCTTGCTCCAGAGGCAACAGGTACGTATTGTCATTTCTGGATGGTTATTGTCATTTTTTTTTAACTTCCAGCATGAAAATGAGGACGAGTTTGTGTGTGTGTATGTGTGTCTATGCGTATGTGTGTGTAAAAATTTCCCCAATTCCTAAGAATTGGGAGTCACCAAGTGAGTCTTGATGAAATACTCATCGGCCGCCAACCTCAAGTCTGCATCTTCGTAATGTGGATGATTCACAATGGGATGAAGTGTAGACAGCTTCACGCTTGCCATTGTAGGCATGGCACTGCGAAGACAGCATCTGAAAAAAAAAAAAAAGGCTCTCTTCTTCAATGAAATGTTTTAAAGAAAATCAGAAGTTAAACTTACCTCTAATATGTAAACCCGAATTAAGAAGGATGATGCCTATTTACAAGACCATGGACCTCATTCTTTTATTGACTCAATAGTTATTCATTGTCTACTATAATAATAGCTGACTTTTGTTAAATGCTATCTTGGTGCTAGAAATTGTGCTCCATATTTTAACAAGAATTAAATAACTTAATTTTCACGATTCTAAGAGGTGGGTCCTCTGTTCTTTGTAGAATCTACAAACCGAGCATGTGAGGGGTCTGGGTTGTGCACTCATTAGAATCTAATGCCTGATGATCTGAGGTGGAACAATTTCATCCAGAAACCACCCCCCATCCCCCAGTTCTGTGGAAAAAAAAAGGTCTTCCAAGAAACAGGTCCCTGGTGCCAAAAAGGTTGGGGACTGCTGTTGTAGATGATGAAGAGACACAGCCAAGTTAAGTGACTTGCCCAAGACTGCACAGCTAGGAAGTTCCAGAGCCTGCCCTCTTAGCTGCTTCACTGAAGCTTCCTGCTATGCTAGAGCACCATGCTAACAGCAGGACTACAGACACACATGAAACAAAAAGAATGTAAAATGTCACATCTGTTCCAAGAATGTGAAATGCCAGGACCTGAGAGACTGCTATGAAGGGCAAGTCTCATGGGACATTTTTTCCAATGACTTTTGTGGCTGGTGAACTGTGGTCCTGTGGATGTGCCATAAAAAAAGGAAAACATTGTTTTCTTCCCTCAGATCACCTTTAATTAAGTTCTCAGAGTTACCATTTGACTTGACACCATTTATACATGCCATGAAATCATTTCACTACTTGCTGCTAGTACTTTTTGGTGTAATGACATGTATAAATTTGGTCATAACTAGAGATACATCAAAATCTACTATCTGGCTTCCATTTCATCTCTTGAAGCACCAGAAGACCAAATGCTTACTTCCTGGTACTTTTGTATAAAAAACAATTACATAATTGTGAAGGTTATTATTTTTAATCAGCACAATAAAATCAGTAACAAAGACAAGACATATTATTCAGCTCTACTGTAAAAAACTGTATGTTGGAGAGGAGGTGGAGCATGACGACCAAGTAGAAACCTCCACTGTTCATCCTCCCCTCAGGAACACCAAATTTGATAATGATCTACACAAAAAGCACCTTCATAAGAACCAAAAATCAGCTTAGGTACCAGCTTGGCCACAGTGGGGAGCAGCACCAAGCAGGCTCTTGTGGTCCCCGATTCCAGGCCTTGGCTCTTGGGTGGCATTTCTGGACCTGCCCTCGGCTGGAAGAGAGCCCACTGCCCTGAAGGGTGAGTCCCAGGCCTGGCAGCACTCACCACAAGCTGACTGAAGAGCCCTTGGGCCTTAAGTGAATGTTGGCAGTAGCCATGCAGTACCTCCCATGGGCCTGTGGTAGTGGTGGAAATGGAGAGAGACCCCTCTGCCTGGGGAAAGGGGAAGGAAGGGTGGGAAGGACTTTGGTGGTTTCAGCACCAGCTCAGCTGCAGTAGAATAGAGCATCAGGTAGATTTCTAAGGTGTCTCACTCCGGGCCCTGGCTCCTGGACAGCAGCATCTCTGGACCTGACTATGACCTGGGGAATCTTGCCACCCTGAAGGGAAGGTCACCAGCCTGGTTTGCTTTGCCACCTGCTGACTGTTGAGCCCTACACCTTGAGCAAACATAGGTGGTGGCCAGGCAGTAGTTACAATGAGCTTTGGGCAAGACCCAGTGCTGTGCTAGCTTCAGGTCTGACCCAACACATTCCCACTAGTGGTGGCCACAGAGATGCTTATGTCACCCCACCCCCAGCTCCAGGCAGCTTAGCACAGAGAAAGAGAGAGAGAGAGACTCCATACGGGAGAGAGTAAGGAAAGAGAACAAGAGTTTCTGCCTGCTAATCCTGAGAATTCTGGATTTTATCCAAGACCACCAACGTAGTAACTCTAAGAGTCTGTAATAGCTTCAGCGTTACTGGGCATGGGGTGTCTCCTAGTGCAGATACAGCTGCAGCAACCAGAAACTTAGATCACAACACCAAAGTCCCTTTGAATACCTGGAAAGCCTTTCCAACAAGGATGGGTACAAACAAGCCCAGACTGCAAAAACTATAATAAACACCTAACTCTTCAATGCCCAGACACTGACAAACATCCACAAGCATCAAGACCATTCAGGAAAACATGACCTCACCAAACAAAATAAATAAGGCACTAGGGGGCCAATCCTGGAATGACAGAGATAGGCGGCCTTTCAGACAGAGAATTCAAAATAGCTGTGCTGAGGAAACTCAAAGAAATTCAAGATAACACAGAGAAGGAATTGGTAATCCTATCAGATAAAGTTAACAAATAAACTGAAATAATTAAAAAGAATCAAGCAGAAATTCTGGAGCTGAAAAATGCAACTGCCATACTGAAGAATGTATCAGTCTCTTAATAGCAGAATTGATCAAGCAGAAGAAAGAATTAGTGAGCTTGAAGACAAGGAGTTAGACAGAGAGATAGCAGTAGGAAGTTTATTCAAAAGTATAACAGAATTTCTCAAAGCTAGAGAAAATATCAATATTCAAGAACAAGAAGGTTCTAGAACACCAAGCAGATTTAACCCAAAGGCTAACTCAAGTCATTTAATATCAAACTCCCAAAGGTCAAGGATAAAGAAAGGATCCTAAAAGCAGCAAGAGAAAAGAAACAAATAACATACAATGGAGATCTAATAGATCTGGCAGCAGACTTTTCAGTGAAAACCTTACAGGCCAGGAGAGCATGCCATGACATATTTAAAGTGAAGGCAAAAACCTTTTACCTGAGAGTAGTGTATCCAGAGAAAATGTCCTTCAAACCTAAAGGAGAAGACTTTCTCAGACAAACAAAACTGTGAAATTTGATCAACACCAGACCTATCCTACAAGAAATGCTAAAGGAATTTCTTCAATCTGAAATAAAAGGACATTAATGAGGAAGAAATAATCGGAAGGTACAAAACTCACTGGTAATAGCAAGTACACAGAGAAACAGAATATTATAGCAGTGTCATTATGGTATATGAACTACTTATATATGACAAGTAGAAAGACAAAAAGATGAACCAATAAAAAATAACTACAATAACTTTTCAAGAGACAGAGAGTACAATAAGATATAAATAGAAACAACAAAAAGGTAAAAAGTGGGAAGATGAAGTTAAAGTTTAGAATTTTTATTAGCTTTCTTCCTTTGGCTTATTTGTTTGTTTATGCAATCAGTGTTGTCATCAGTTTAAAATAATGGGTTATAAGATATTATTTGCAAGCCTCATGGTAACCTCAAGTATAAAAACATACAATGGATATACAAAAAATAAAAAGCAATAAGCTAAAACACACCACCAGAGAAAATCACCTTCAATGAAAGAAAAAGAGGAAGGAAGAGAAGACCACAAAACAATGAGAAAACAAATAACGAAATGGCAGGGGTAAGTCTGTATCAATAATAACACTGAATGTAAATGGACTAAACTCTCCAATCAAAAGACAAAGAGTAGCTGAATAAGAAAACAAAACCCTAAGAATCTGTTACCTACAAGAAACACACTTTACTTGTAAAGGCAAATATAGACAGAAAACAAAGGGATGGAAAATTATATTCCATGCCGAGGGAAACCATAAAAGAGCAGGAATAGCCATATTTATATCAGACACAATAGATTACAAGACAAAAACGATAAAAAGAGACAAAGAAGGTCATTATATAATGATAAAAGGGTTAATTCAGCAAGGGTATATAACAATTGTAAATATGTATACACCCAATACTGGAGCACACAGATACATAAAGCAAATATTATCAGAGCTAAAGAGAGAGACAGAGAGAGACAGATCCCAATACAATAATAGCCTGAGACTTCAACACCCCACCTTCAGCAGTGGACAGATCATCTAGACAGAAAATCAACAAAGAAACACTGAACTTAATCTGCACTGTAGATCAAAAGGACCTAATAGATACTTACAGAACATTTCACCCAACAGCTACAGAATACACATCCTTCTCCTCAGCACATGGATCATTCCTCAAGAATAGACCACAAAACAAGGATAGGCCACAAAACAAGTCTTAAAAAATTTTTTAAAAATTGAAACAATATCATGTATCTTCTCTGACCACAATGGAAAAAAAACTAGAAATCCGTAGCAAAAGGAATTTTGGAAACTCTACAAACATAGAAATTAAAGAATATGCTCCTGAATGACCAGTGGGTTAATAAAGAAATTAAGAAGGAAATTGAAAATGTTCTGGAAACAAATGATAATGAAAACACAACATATCAAAACCTATGGGATACAGCGAAAGCAGTATTAAGAGGGAAGTCTATAGCTATAAGTGCCTACATCAAAAAAGAAGAAAAACGTCAAATTAACAACCCAATGATGCATCTTAAAAAACTAGAAAAGGGCAAACAAAACCCAAAGTTAGTAGGAGAAATGAAATAATAAAGATCAGAGCAGAAATAAGTGAAATTGCAATGAAGAAAACAATATAAAAGATCAACTGGTTTTCTGAAAAGATAAAATTAACAAACCTTTAGCCAGACTAAGAAAAAAAGACAGAAGGCCCAAATAAATAAAATCAGAGATAAAAAAAGGAGACATTACAACCATATCGCAGAAATTAAAGGATCATTAGAGACTACCATGAGCAACTGTATGCCAATAAATTGGAAAACCTAGAAATGGATAAATCCCTAGATACACAAAACCTACCAAGATTGAACTATATAGAAATCCAAAACCTGAACAGACCAATCACAGGTAATGAGATCAAATCTCTAATGAAAAGTCTCTCAGCAAAGAAAAGCCCAGGACCTGATGGCTTCACTGCTGAATTTTATCAAACATTTAAAGAGAGCTAATATCAATCCCACTCTAACGATTCCATGAAATAGAGGAGGAGGGAATACTTCCAAACCCGTTGTATGAGACCAATATCACTTTAATACCAAAACCGTACAAAGACCCATCAAAAGAAAACTACGGGCCAAAATCTCTGATTAATGTTAATGCAAAAATCCTCAACAAAATACTAGCAAACTGAATTCAATAACATATTAAAAAGATTATTCATCATAACCAAATAGGATTTATCTCAGGGACACAAAGATGGTTCAACACAGCAAATCAACATGATACGTCATATCAACACAATGAAGGGGAATAAATCATATGATCATCTCATCTCCATAGATGCAGAAAAATCATTTGATAAAATTCAACATCCTTTCATGATAAAAACCTTAAAAAAACTGGGTATAGAAGGAATATTAGTGAACATAATAGAAACCATATACAGCAAACGCACAGCTAGTATCATACTGAGTGAGGAAACACTGAAAGCCTTTCTTCTAAGATCTGGGACATGACAAGGATGCTCACTTTTTACCACATTATTCAACATAGTACTGGAAATCCTAGCTAGAGCAATCAGACGAGAAAGAAATAAAGGGCATCCAAATTTGAAAGGAAGACGTCAAATTATCATTGTTTGCAGATGATACGATCTTATATTTAGAAAAACCTAAAGTCTCCACCAAAAAAAACTATCAGAACTGATAAATTCAGTAATGGTGTAGGACACAAAATCATACAAAAATCATTAACATTTCTATATGCCAACAGAGAACAATCTGAAAAAGAAAATTTAAAAAGTAATTCCATTTACAGTAGCCACACATAAAATTAAATATCTAAAAATTAACCAAAGAAATGAAAGATCTCTAGAATGAAAGCTATACAAAACTGGAGAAAGAAATTGAAGAAGACACAAAAAAATGGAAAGCTATTCTACGTTCAAGCATTGGAAGAATCAATATTGCTAAAATGTCCATATTATTCAAAGCAATCTACAGATTCAATGCAATTCCCATCAAACTACTAATGATAATCCTCACAGAAATAGAAAAAACGATCTTTAATTATATGAAAAAACAAAAGACCTAGAATAGCCAAAGCTACCCTGAGCAAGAAGAACAAAACTGAAGGAATCACAATACCTGACTTCAATTATACTACAAAAGTATAGTAACCAAAACATCACCGTATTGCCATAAAAACAGACACACAGACCAGTGGAACAGAATGGAGAACCCAGAAAGAAATCCATACATCTACAGTAAACTCATTTTTCACAGCAGTCTCAAAAACATACATTGGGGAAAGGGCAATCTCTTCAATAAATGGTGCTGGGAAAACTGGATATCCCTATGTGGAAGAATGAATCTACACCCCTATCTCTTGCCATATACAAAACTCAAATCCAAATGGATTAAAGACTTAAATCTAAGACCTCAAACTCTGAAATTACTACAAGAAAACTTTGGGGAAACCCTCCAGGACTTTGGATTGGGCAAAGATTTCTCGAGTAAATACCTGGGAAGCACGGGTAACCAAAGCAAAAATGAACAAAAGGGATGACATCAAGTATAAAAGCTTCTGCACAGCAAAGGAAACAATCAGCATGGAGTATGGGGTTCATGGAAATTCTCTCTACTGTCTTCACAATTTTTCTATAAATCTAAAACTATTCTATAAAGTAGAAGTCACAAAATAAAATCAAATATTCTACTTACAAATATAAAATGTAACTTGAAAACTACTATTAGGTACTATGCTCACTACCTGGGTACAATATACCCATGTAACAAGCTTGTACATGTGCCCCCTGCATCTAAAATAAAAGTTGAACACTAAAAAACATGTCATTTGAGATCATATTTCCCTCAGAAGGAAATTTTCATCACAATTTACTTCTTGGGTCCTATAGCAATTTACTTATGTGTGACTGATATGATACATTTTGCTGGCATCTGCTTATGCTAGTGACATTACTAAAGCCATCCAAAAATGTTATACAATAAATAGTTTTAACAATAAGTTTAGAAAAAAATTCATAAATATTCAGAAACACAAATAATTATACTCCCTCTGAAAGATAAAAAAGAGAGAAAAAGAAAAGCCTGACCAACATGGTGAAACCCCCTCTCTACAAAAAAAATACAAAAATTAGCTGGGCATGGTGATGCACACCTGTAGTCCCAGCTGCTTGGCAGAGCTGAGATGAGATGATCGCTTGAGCCCAGGATGTCCAGGCAGCAGTGAGCAGAGATCATGCCACTGCACTCAAGCCTGGGTGACAGAGCAAGACTCTGTCAAAAGAAAGAAAAAAAGAAAAGAAAAGAGAAAAGAAAGGCAAGGCATGGCAAGACAGAGAGAGAGAAGGAAGGAAGGCAGGAAGGAAGGGAGGGAGGGGGGGAATTCCAAAAATAAATCTTTAGCTTACTGACTTTAAATTCTAATGATAAATTATAATTTATCAATTTAAACTTTGAGTTATTTCACAAATATAAATATCTCCAAAACAAGTCCAAATACATATAAGAAATCTGTAAGAATAATATTTTTAAGAAAACATCTGTTTGGTTCATATCTCCTGTCTTAATCATAATGCTAAAGTTTAATGCATATTCATTTGAAAAATTAATGTTACAGTAAGTTATTTAATAATTGAATACAGTATGTTTTAAAAATGATGATATAATTACCTTAGATAAGTGTTTGTAGCTAAAACACACGAAATATCACGAACAGTCTGTGAATAGAATCAAATCAATGAAACTTTTCTAAGGAATACTGCAATATTTAAAATGCTCTGATTCATTAATGTAAACACTCCACCAAAGAAAGAAGTATTTTTTAATGTTTAAGGGAGTTCTCAGTAACAGGACGATCATACTATATATGCCTTCCTTTTCTCCTTCCGAGAAGTGACTTCACATCATTGAAAACTAAATGACCATCAGAAGTATCCTTGGGGTGAAAAATAAGCCACAATAGGACAAATAAAGACTGAGGGGTTTATAAGAAAGCAGCAAGGAAGGAGTGAAACTTGGCTGGCTGCAGGGATGAGAGAGGGAGAGAGACAGAGAGAGAGTTGTGTGTGTGTGTGTATGAAACTTGGCCGACTAGAGGGATGTGTGTGTGTGTGTGTGTGTGTATGAAACTTGGCTGGCTGCAGGGATGAGTGTGTGTGTGCACATTTGTGTATGTGTGTATGAAACTTGGCTAGCTGCAAGGATGTTTGTATGTGTGTGTGCGTGTGCGTGTGTGTATGAAACTTGGTTCGCTGCAGGGATGTGTGTGTGTGTATGTGTGTGTGTGTGTGTGTGTGTGTACGTACATGCCCCTGCTAGTGCACATGCATAGTTCAGGTTGTGGTGTGTTTGGAGACTAGGAATGTATTTATAAGTCTTGGATCTTAATTTTTTAAAATATAGGAGTTGCGGATCTAGCTATCAGTTTCTCTCACATTGCTGACTCTCCACTGAATAGTTAATTCATGCATTGGCCCCTCTAAGTGGAGCCTTATAAGGATAACTCGACATTTTGCCTTGATGGAAAAGAAACAGGCCAGTAGAGAAAATCTTCATTCTAGGCCAGCATGGGCCGAAAGAATGCAGGGCGGTAAACCTGCTCACATTTTACTCATTCCTCCTGGTTTCCTTTATCCTGACCCTTTCCACGTGGTCCGCAGGGAACTGGATCAAGGGTGAAACCACAGAGATGTCGAGGGAGATGCCTTTCTCACTCCTAAATTACTCACATCTCTGTGTAAACAAAGGAGTGAGAAGTGTGGCAACTAAAACTACATAGAGAAGATATGCAATTTGACTGTAAATACAGAAAACTTTCAACAAGAACACAACTGGTATGGTGGTAGGGAAATCGCGTTATTGTTATCTGCTTAAAAGTATACAATAAATACATACTGGCTTAAGACTTGATAGCTTGTAAATAATATAAATAAAGATAGCTCAAGACTGCTAAAAAAAAAAAAATAAACCCACTGTCTTTAACCATGCTTTTAGAATAACTCTCCCAGACCAACAAAACCTGCCAGTGGTATTTTAAGGATTGTTTCTTTTATTGAGATATTATTTTCTTCTGTCATGAAAACAGTGAACATGTAGAAAAATATTTTTTAATTAGCTATACAGAATTCTTCTACGCAAGCCCACTCAAAATAGATCAAGACTTCACTGTGCTTTATATTTGAAAGATACTAATGTAGTTGTCACTGGACTTTTCTTTCATAGCACCTATAAAAATTTTAATTCTTTAGACATTTGTGCGATTATCTGCTTCATGTTTGCACCCCCACCCCCAATAATCCAGGACTGTAAGTTCCAAGACAGGAGTGGCTACGTTTTATTTGTCTGGGTGTACCTACAATGTTAATGTAGTCCTTGATACACAGTTGGTGACTGGTATATATCTTTTGAAAGAAAAAATAAGAATACCTTTTATCATGGCTTTTTATAAAAAGATCGATAATGAAAGATCTAAATAAAAAACAAACTTTTAGAGAAAGAAAGAGTTTCTCCTAAAAATAACATGAAATTCTGAGCAATTTGCATGATTATAGTCCTTATATTGATGCCAAAAACAAATAATAATTTGTTTAAAAATACCTTTTTAAAGATAAAACATGTAATCACCATAACAACTGGAAGCAATAATGTCTTTGTGTATCTCAGCGGAGTCTGAAATACACCAAATTATTCAAAATAGTTACTTACGATTTTTACATTAAATTAGTAAACATCTATGTCAAACTAAGTGCCATGATAACATTCCTTAAAAGTAAAAGGTAAAATTTGTCATCAGCAGAATATATATTTATTGTCTTCCATGCCTTAATGAAATAATTAAAATTATAAAAATAGTTATAAAAAGTATTCCAAAAATTTAATGAAAAATTTATTATTTTAATAAAACTAGAATTGCTATATCTATTATGTTTTTCTTTTCTTTTTTTTATTTACATAATACTAAGTTTTAAAATGCGTGTTTACCGATCCCTGGGTCCTACATTGTAATTTTCTATACTACACAGCTCCATTATTTTCATTAGTGAAACTAGAGCTAAAAAGAAAGCTAACCAAAGTTAATTACTAAAACTATGAATAAGTACAGAAATAACATTGGCTAACTAATTCTGATGACCTGTTATTGTGATGATAAGGAGTAATTTACCATGTAACTAAATTATACATTTCTTAAAAGCAAGAAACCAGTTCATTTTCCTCTTTGCCGTGCTATAGCAAACTGCCTCATGGATAACTATAGTCAATAATAGTTTTTGAATGAATGGATGATTGGTTGGATGGATAAGAGAAGAATGTAAAATTCTATTACTTACCACTAATTCAGAATTCATAATAATTACACAAGGAATAATCAATCCAGTAGCAACTTTGTTATGTTCCATGAAAAAAATTAAGCTACAAATAGAGGAAAGCCCTGGATTGAGAGTTCTAGAATCCATTAGAATCCATGTCCTGATCTTGGCTTGTGTGTGCTTTAGGCAAATCTCTTAAGTTTTTCTTTATCTGCAAATGAAAGAACTATATGGCATGGTCTCTAAGAGCCCTTCCTGATCTTGTGTTCCATGATTCTACAAAGAGGCCAATTTTTTTTTCTTTTTTTTTTTGATACAGAGTCTCACTCTGTCGCCCAGGCTGGAGTGCATTGGTGCGATCTCAGCTCACTGCATCTCCGCCTCCAGGGTTCAAGCAATTCTCCTGTCTCAGCCTCCTACTCAGGCTGGGACTACAGGCATGCACCAACATGCCTGGCTAATTTTTGTATTTTTAGTAGAGATGGGGTTACCACCATGTTGGCCAGGCTGGTCTCAAACTCCTGACCTCACGTGATCCACCCGCCTCGGCCTCCAAAAGTGCTGGGATTACAGGGATGAACCACCACGCCCAGCCTATGTTTTAAAGCTTTATAGCATGAACTTTTTAAAAAGAATAATACCTTGCATTTGTATAATTAAAAATGAATTTTTATATGTTCATTAAAACTCATCAGTAGCATACCTTTCTTGGTAACACCTTGTTAAAAATGTTATAATATTTGGGGTGTTAACTGTAATAAAACTGAATTTCTTAAAAACAGAAACAAGCATTTAGACTTTTTCCTGAATGGTCCCATACTTCCAAGTGGCCTAGATTATTAAAAGTAGTTGACTGGTAATAATAATTATTACGGGTCATATAGTATGTTAAACACTCTTCTCAGATTATCTCATTTAACCATCATCAATAACTCTGTAAGATATGAGACTATCTTTTTTTTATTTTACAGACAAAAAAACGAGGAAGGTGGATTAGCAAGTTACAGTAAAAAAAATAAGTTGACCATTTCTGAGTAAAAATTTTGAGTTTCAGATTAAAAAAAAACTAGAGCAAAAACTCATAGTAGTAGAGAAGGAAAAAAGAAACATTCATACCGCTTTTTCCATGAAGTCAAATTTGGGAGCACAGGTGTATATTAAAGTATCAAATTCTGTATACCTTAAGATTCTGGCTGCTATAAGATCACTCAGGCAAATTTGGGAGAAAATAAAGTAAAATGAATTAAAATTACACAAATGATTATAGCCTATAGCCAGTAATACTTTATTGATGTAAGAATAACAAAGTTTATAGAGCAAATAAATCCAATGTATTTAGACATCCCTCTAAGAAAACAAAAAACTACAGTGAACCAAATATACGACGTGCTGACTTCTCAAGATAACTGAAAATTAAGAGAAATATCATGAAAAATGAAAAGTAGAAAGAAGTCAGAAAAAAATAAAGAGAAGATGATAAAGAGTGAGCTAAAATCAATATCTGCTGAGAAGAAACCACCATGTAGTTAATTACATTTTATAATAAGACAATTTATCATGAAAAACTATTTTACTTAACCTCTTTCAACATACATTGTAGGTCATAAGCTTTCTGTGCATTGTCAATTTCACAAAGCCTCACAGACTGATTACAATATTTGGGTATTTCTTGATGTTTTACAGACATATATTCAAACCACTGAATATGAGATCTGATCCTCATAAGAATTACAACAATTATACATACCACTTTGATCTTTGACTTAGCTATTTGATCTCCAAGGCTAAAAATAGATACCAACAACCAAATCCAATGCAGAACTTCTATTTTTCTACTGATTATTTACAACCTGCTCTTGGTGAGACAATTATTTTTCCACAGCATCCTCAGAAGGCCAGAAAAAGGAAAATATTTGGCAAGTAAACTCTTAATTCAAATTATTTTATAGGGACAGAAATTATCTTATAACAAGTTTGATGATTATAAGTGGTTTTCATTCAATTATTTTTCCTAATCTACCAGTACTCAAGGATAATTTAGAGTTGCAATTTATTTTTCTAATTTAGAGTAGGCCTGGTGACTAACAGTAATTTAACCAAACCACTATAATTTCAGGTCTTCCTCATAACTGTCACATAAAGGAAGTCACTCAGGACTACCAATGAAGTGTGTTTGTATTTTTTTTTTTTTAAGATTTGTAGGGCAGACATGGTGGTTCACACCTGTAATCCCCGCACTTTGGGAGGCCAAGGCAGGCGGATCACTTGAGGTCAGGAGTTTGAGACCAGGCTGGCCAACATGCTGGAATCCCATCTCTACTAATAATACAAAAATTAGCCAGGCGTGGTGGCACGTGCCTATAATCTCAGCTACTCAGGAAGCTGAGGCATGAGAATTGATTGAACCCAGGAGGTGGAGGTTGCTGTGACCCGAGATTGGCCACTGCACTCCAGCCTGGGTGAGAGAGTGAGACTGTGTTTAAAAAAAAATAATAATTTGTAAAGAGCTGGGGGTCAATGTGAAGTAAGTGTGAAGTAAGGCAAGAAACATAATCATGAACAAACTTAACAGATACATAAATAACTTAGAAGCTCTAAATAAAGTTTATCATAAGACATATATAATAAAGTTAAAAACAATAAAAAGGAAAGGAGAATGGGGAAATGTGTCAGACATACCAGAGAACAGCAGCAACAAATAAACTAATAAACCACCATGCAAAGCTAGCAATAAACGGCAAACGCTTACATTTAGAAATTTTATTTAATATAAACACGTTGTATGTTATATTGCATAGAGATAGCATTTGACCTTTTAGAGAAGTAATACTATAACCCCTTGTCAAAGTACATAATTTCAGCATCAAACAGGGCCCTAATTGGATAGCATTAAATGAGGTAAATTTCAACATTGATTATTGTATGATATACTCATGTAGGCTTATTTCTAAACAGAAAGTGCTAGAAATAAAAAGTAGATTCATGCATTCTTTTCTATTCCCTAAACCAGTTAGTTAAGCAGGGACTTAGGCCTTGAAGAGGGCTACTCTTTAAGACATTAACAAACAGAAATACCACATGAGAGATAAATGCTCTGCATGTATTTCCTAGAAAATGAAAAGATCAAAATTTTTTAACCTTCTCTTTTTATATAACGAGAAAGGCCTTAAAACATCAAATCATACATTGATTTTAGTCCATAGTTATAAATAAATAAAACAATACTGAGATTTTAAGAGCTCTGTATTTTCAAAGCTGAGGACAGCCTCCCATATGTTAACATCTGCAATAAATGGATAATTTATGATGTAAACAACTAATTATTTGTATTTTAACTGAAATATAAACAACTACTTAACAAACTTTTTAAAAGTTAGTTAAAATAAAAAACAAAGTTTTTTTTTTTCCTAAAAGTCCAAGTCAGCCTTCACGAATATTCTTTTTAGTGGGTTGCAATGATCACTGAACTGCAAGACTTTATTATTGACTCTGCCAATAACTCGTCTAGAGACCTTAAAGAAGGCACTTAACCTCTGTGAAATGAGAGAAGAATAGATGGTTTCAAAGTTTTCATTCAGCTACATGTTTATAAGAACTTTTATGTTTTAACTAAAAGTACTTACGTGGTCTGAAACGCCTAAGATTTTAGATGTCAGAAATTTCAAAATGATTGTTCCACACCACCAGGCACTACCTTGAATTAGTTAGAAAATAAAATAGAAGTCCAGTATTTAAAACTACAAATCACCCAGTTAAAGTATTCAATTATATCTATAAATGACATAGAAAAATTTTAATTATGTGAGGTATAAATGGTGAGGTTTTTTAAAAAAGTTCCTTTAGAAAATCTTGTTTAAAAGCAAAGAATTAAAACTGATGACACTGGTATAAAATATATGGCAACACTAGAATTCTACATATCCTAAATCTTTTTTTTTTTTGTCTTAAGGAGTGAAAAGGTTAATAGGCAAGAAAGAAAGAAGGAAGAAGAAAACAGCTCCCCGTACAGAGACAGAGGGAGGGGGGATTTGAACAAAGAGAAAACCCTGTGTGCGTCAGAAAAGTGGCTGCTCATACATATCCTAATCTGAAGGAAGTTTTAAAAGGTTACTTCCTTTTGATTTCTGTTAAGAAAAGGGAGTGTTTATGTGTTTGTTTCCAAATATTATTTCTCAGCTGAAAATCCATTTTTCAAAACACTACCTTAAAAGTTCTTCTACCACTCCTGTGGAAATATAGGCGCCCATCTTCAAGAAATAACAGTTTGAAATGTGAAAATTTAAGGTTTCCTTTAAGAAAGAGGAATATGAACTAGAACTGGCAATGAGGCTTCTGTTTTGTTGTTGTTGTTGTTGTTTATTTTTTGACTAGCCTTGATTAAAAAGGGAACAATTGTGTACTTCTGGTTAGCCTGGGGAAAGTTAAGCAACCTAAATTCAAATCTCTGCATATATCAACCAACAAGTAGAACAATACAATCACATATATGGATAAAAGGTAACAGCACAAACTTCAAATTACCTATGAATCGAAAAGGAAGCAACGAATCTATAGAGTTATACCTCAAGTCCCTGACCTATGCCTTTGCATAGAATGAGGGGAGACCCATAAAAGGATAAAGA
This sequence comes from Homo sapiens, assembly GCF_000001405.40. Classification (NCBI taxonomy): domain Eukaryota; kingdom Metazoa; phylum Chordata; class Mammalia; order Primates; family Hominidae; genus Homo; species Homo sapiens. Next base: position 29,717,060 of record NC_000007.14, on the reverse strand, counting down.
AGAAAAGGAAAGACAGGGGTCAAAATTGGAACTAAAATAACCCAAGAAAGAGACAAGTCTATCATATGTGTAAAAAGAGCCCTGGGAGATTGGTAAATGGGAGTACAGAGCAGGGCCTAACAGTGAGTAGAGACAAAAACACTGATGTTAGAAAGGCATCATTTCTGGAAAGAAAGGAGGATAAAAAGGGGAGTGCAAGAAGGAAAAAGTATCCAGCAGGAAAAATGAGAACCCAAACCAAAAGACTATCCATCACTACTGCCATCAAGCACAAAAAAAGAAAAAAGTTATTCATTGAAAAAAAATCACACTATGCTACATTTTCAGAAGAGGTTTGCACTTGGACTAGAAAACACAAAATAATTAATAGATGAAAAAATGCCTATATAAATATCCAAAGCTTCTTTAAGAAGATAACAAACATGAAAGTCAAATATTTCAGCTAATGAAATCCACACCACTGAACGATAAAATCTCACAAAGCAAAAGAAAATTATGCAGAATTAAAAGTTGAATTAAATATCCTCAAACGAGCATTCAGAAATATTAAAAAAGCAATTTAAACAAGAAATTCAAAAACCAAGAACAGAAATGGGGAAAAAATCAGAAAGAAATAAAGAGTTTATTAGACACAGAAAGGGAATGAAAGAAAAGGAGAATATTATCAAAAATAAAAACGAAATCACAAGATGATTAAAAGAAAAGAAATTCAAATAAGTTAATGAAGGAATTGAAGTAAAGGCACTAAAACAATGATGAAGAATGAAAATGTTACCAGAGAAAGAAGTGAGAAGTATCAGAGAAAGTGGTAGAAATGGAAGAAAGGCACATAATTATAACTGGAGTGCCTGAAAAAAAAAAACACCACAGCAATGAATCAAAACTAGTGTTTAAATTATAATCCAAGAAAACTTTCCAGAAATAAAAGAAGACCTGAATAGGGATTTGGAAAGGATCCAGGGGGTACTGGAAAAAAATTAATCTGGTATGGTAAACTAACTCAAGACATCTTTCAGTAGAACTATGAAAAATGAAGAAAAATTTCTCAGAGCCTCCAGGCACAAAAGTCACATAATTTATAAGGGACAGAAGAATTTGGCTAGCATCAGACTTGTTAAAAGAAACATACAAACCAAAGCAGTGGTGTAGACGCATTTTTAAGAAACTTTAAAAAGTGAGAACCAAGGATTTTATATCTAGCCAATCTGTCATTCAAGTATAGATGTTATAAAAAAGGTTTCAAATATGCAATAATTGAGGAAATAATAGTAACCTTCTTAAATACAAAAAGTTTTAAAGAGAATCATATACAGGAACAAAGCAAATATAGTCAAATACACATAAAACTTACAACAAAGGTTTTCACATTATCTCACAAAGCAAAGACAGACTCAACTTATGCTACACAGGGAAGACAAATAAAAACAGATTCAGAAAGGTGAAAAATAGAATGATGGCAGCAAGCATGGCAGGCAAATACCATTTCCATATGGAAACTAAGGAAGACATTTAAAGCAAGCATAAGAAGCAAATTCATGGCCTCAAAAGCTTTATCAATAAAAATGAAAGAGTGAAAATAAATGAATTAAATCCTTGACTTAAAAATCTAAATAAAGAATAACGAAATAAAGTGAAAAAAGTACACAAAGGGAAATACTCATGAGAAGAATAGTCTACTATATTAACCCCTCTGTGTATCTGTTTTGCTGTTTTATATTTCTTCCCTATATTCTAGGATTCTTTCTTTCATTTCCTTTTTGTTTTCAGAAGTTTTTAAATTTTAAGTTCAGGCGTACATGTGCAGGATGTGCATGTTTGTTACATAGGTAAACGTGTGTCATGGTGGTTTCCTGCACCTATCAACCCATTACCTAGGTATTAAGCCCAGCATGCATTAGCTATTTTTCCTGATGCTCTCCCTCCCCACACCCTCCCCTGACAAGCCCCATTGTGTGTTGTTCCCCTCCCTGTGTCCATCTGTTCTCACTGTTCAGCTCCCACTTATAAGTGAGAGCATGTAGTGTTTGGTTTTCTGTTCCTGCATTAGTTTGCTGAGGATAATGGCTTCCAGCTCCATCCATGTCCCTGCCAAGGACATGATCTCATTTCTTTTATGACTGCATAATATTCCATGGTGTATATGTACCACATTTTCTTTATCCAGTCTATCATTCATGGGCATTTGGGTTGATTCCACACTATCAAAAAAGAGCTCATATAGCCAAGACAATCCTGAGCAAAAAGAACAAAGCTGGAGGCCTCAGGCTACCTGACTTCAAACCATATTACAAGGCTACAATAACCAAAACAGCATGCTCCTGGTACAAAAACAGGCACATAGACCAATGGAACAGAATAGAGAATTCAGAAATAAAACCACATATCTACAACCATCTGGTCTTCAACAAACCTGACAAAAGAACTTCAGTTAACCATTCTTTAAGGTTCTCTGCTAGCCACAAACTATCTTAATTTTCCTTGATTGGAGAATGTCTATTTCCCCTTCATTCCTAAAGGAAACATCCACTGGATATGTAATTCATCTTGACAAATGTTCTGCCACAACCTTCTGGCTTCCTTACTTTCACATGAGAAGTCTGCTACAATTTAAGTCAGTTTTGCCCTGTAGGTGATGTGTCATTTCTCCATACCTGCTTTCAAGATTTTTTCTTTTAGTTTTAAAAGTTAACTCATAATGTATCTTGGCATGGATTTCTCTGGGTTTGTCTTACTTGGGAATGGCTCAGGGTCTTCACTCTGCAGGTGTGTCTTTCACCAAATTTAGGATGTTTTTAGCAATTACTTCTTAAAATACTATTCAGCCCCACTCTCTTTTTCCACTCCTTCTGAAATTTTGATGATACAAATATTAGATCTTTTGATACTACACCATAGGTCCCGGAGGCTCTGTCCTTTTTCCTATGATTTTCTCTCAATTTAGATTGGGAAATTTCTATTGTTCTATCTTCAAGAGCACTGACTGCTTCCTCGGTAATATTCACTCCACTACCAAGTCCATTTACTGAATTTTAATTTCAGTTATTGTATTTTTCAGTTCTGTAATCACCAAGTTGTTCTTTAAAAAAAAAAAGACAATTCTTTGGTGACATTTTATAGCCTTTTCATTTGCTTCCAGAGTATTTAAAACTGCTCATTGAAGTGTTTTTATGATGACTGCTTTAAAACCCTTGTCAAATAATCCCCACATCCTATTCATCTCAGTGTTGACATCTGTTGATTGTCTTTTCTCATTCAAGTTGTTATTTTCTCCATTCTTGCTATGATGAGTGGTTTTTCTATTGTGTCCAGTACATTTTTTATATTATGTTAGAGACTGTGGATCCTATTTTAAATTTCTATTTCAGCAGACAGTCACTTTGTTTTTAGGTTTATCATGCAAGTCCTGGCCTACTTCTGTGTGCTATAGTTACAATGACAGTTTAGTTTTCAGAGTCTTTGCAGTGCTAGTGCTATTCTGGTCAGCTTGATTCATCTGGTGCCCTTGTGGTCCATCTCTGCCCCAAATCATGCTGCCGATGCAGGAAGAATGTACTTCCCATGTCCTGTTGCCATGAGGTGGAGGGTGAGAGACACCAGGATTGTGGGGTAGGAGGTCGGCAGAGAGCAGAGGGCTCTTTCCTGGGCTGCCTAGTCCTGGCAGGGCACCTGTTAGATCCCCGCTGCTGCTACCTGCATGGGCAGCCTCCCTGGAGGAAATAGTAGATACCAGACCCACAGCATGGAGAGTATTTCCCCGGACCCTCTTTCTGAGTGTCTTCTGCCACTGGATGGAGTTTCAGGAGATGGCAGCCTGTGGTTTTCTGTGAGTTCTGAGGTACCTAACTAGTCTGCCTTTCTATAGCATTGGGCTGGGATTGGAGCTACAGTTATGAAATCATGATTTCATACACACACACACGTGTGCACATACGTGCAGTGAAAGGGCCTAGAAACAAGGACACACTGGTAGTAATGAGTGCACATACCACTCAGGTCTTGGTTTCCAAATACCATTCTCCTCTAAAAGGAACCAGGGCTCCTTGGAAAAAATGGCTGATTCCAAGGCTAGCACGAGGAAAATCAAGAAAAGCCTGGAGCATTATAAATTTATAAAGACATGTCAAAGAGACATCCAGCTTAGGAACATTCAAAACGGCTAGGCCTGGAACTGATATTTGTGTATAACATATGGTTTTTCTCATATAGATAGACTATTCCAGCATCATTTAGTGAAAAGTGACCTGCAAGACAATCTTGCTGAAATTGCTTTGAATCTGAACATCAGCTGGGGAGAACTGCATTACATGAAACTTCATACACATAAATGTGTTTTATTTTTCTATTTGTCTTAGAATTATTAAAATAAATTTTCATACAAATACTATATGTATTTTGTTAGATTCATTCAGATTCTATGCATTTTTCTTCCTAATACATAAGGCATATTTTTAAAAAATGTTTTCTGTTTGTTGCCAAAGAATAGAAATGCAATTGATTTTTGAATATTAAACTTATATCTAGCCATGGTATTGAATTCTTCTAATTCCTAATAATTTGTCAATTATTTTATTCTTTCTAGGTAAATACTGATACTATAATAAATTTTCCTTCTGTTTCTTTCCTTTTCCTATTATTTACTTTTCTTGAATTACTAGGCTAGTTTGGACTTTAATAAAACGTGAAAAAGCACATTTATCTTTATCTTGATTTTAAACAGAACACTCTAAATACTTTATTATAGGTAAGACTAATGACTGCTGAATAATTTTACAGGGTTGAGAAAACTGTTATTTCTACTGTGTTACATGTTTTCATTACAAATGGGTGTTCAATTTTATCAATTTTATTTTCTGCATCTAATGGGATGATCATAAGATTTTTTCTCTTTTAATCTGTTAGTGTGATAACTTACATTTTTTGATTTTCCAGAAATGTCTTTGGATTCCTAGAATAAGCCAGATGTATCACAAGTGGATTATCTGTATCACATATATGGCTGTTCTTGAGTTACTAATCTTTTATATTTTGTGTGTAAGGAATGTTTTTAATCTAGGTGAAATTTTGAATCTATGCTCACAAGTAAGAATATCCTTTCTCAAACTATCCTTATCTGGCCTTAGTACTGAGCTTTAGATTATCTTGGAGGTTCCATCTCCCTTCTTGTAATGATTCTTATGCCTCATGGCACACACAAAGTTCCCCTTTGTAAATTTCATACGCGCTCAATTCGATAATTATCTTGCCACCAAAAACTGGAGTCTCCCATTAAACAGTGAATTTGCTTCTATTGATGTTAAACTCTAAAATGAATCACTTAGCTCTAAAAATACCTTGTTCAGGTTGTGTGTAATAAATACTTACCTTTGCCAAAGATATACAGAGCTAAAAACAGAAAATAATACCTAGGGGGCTTAAAAAACATGTAAGCTGAACATTTGGTTAAATCTCAACTTTTCTCTCCTTAGATTTTTTGTTTCTTTGATATTCTTGAATTTAAAACTTACTCAATTCATGTTCTTTCCAGTCTACTACTGAAAATATTGTTGAAAATGAAGACAGTAAATTTTCCTTTGAGTGCAGCCTTGGCAGAATTTTTTTGATGTTTATGGACACCTTCTGTTTACTGTCATTTTTCAATAGTTTGCAAATGAAATTCTGAACTTCTTTTGAGTTGAATTATTAAATTGCTCAATTTTTCTGAAGTGAAAGAATTATATATTACAAGTGTAATGTCGACATGTGAATTTCTACAAAGTCTGCATGCCTAAGGACAGGTGGCCTGGGTAAAGAGTCAAATTGGTAGAACCAATAAAGAATAACAAAAAGACAAAAAAAGCATCATGTCATTCATTCAACAACTTAGTGGACATATCTTTCTATATTTTCACCACCTAAAGGATGGGAGAATGCCTCCAACAAGGAGAAAATAGCAACTCCTTCCATTTTGTTCTCTTGTATTGTGGGTAGGAACCTACCTCCTCAACTTGTAACATTTCCAGACTTATCCTCTCAATATATAACATGAAAACATACAGTTCATTTCTTCTGTCACCTAGGGTGGAGTGCAGCGGGGTGATCATGGCTCACTGTAACCTTCCTGGGCTCAAGCGATCCTCCCACCTCAGCCTCCTGAGTAGTTGGGATCACAGGCTCATGCCACCATGCCCAACTAGTTTTTCTATTTTTTGTAGAGACAGGGTTTTGCCATGTTGCCCAGGCTGGTCTCAAACTCCTGGGCTGAAGCCCTCTGTCCATGTTGGCCTCCCAAAGTGCTGTGATTACAGGCGTGAACCACTGTGTGTGGCCCAGGGTTTATTTTTTAATAGAAGTACATCACAGACCAGAGAAAAAGAATATCATCTGTCTCATATTAAGAGAATTTAAGAGTTGCACTACCTGCCTAATAACTTATATTACTAGGAAACCATGGAGGTAATACGGGCCATCCATCTGCATATTTGGGAAGAAGCCAAACAAAGATTAGGTAGTGGCTGAGTTCAAATTAGAAGGGGCTGGGAGACTGCAAGGAAAATGTTAAAAGGACAAAAGTAATAGAGTCTAAAGTTGGAAGCAGAAGGAAAGAGAGATAGACGATGGATAGATGCAGAGGAAAGAAAAGGAGAAAAGTGGAAAGAAACTACAAACCTGAGTTATGTTGAAGGAAAGTTTAACTGAAGCTAAAGAGAGAAACTCAAGACATACAAATTTTAAAAAGCAAGACTGTATGGATATAGCAGAATGAAACATAGAGGAAAAGTGGTCTGAAAGTTAGTTGTGAAATACGTGAGCTAACTTCTTGAAAATGATTTCTAGTCTTTGCTAAGGACTATTTCCTTACATATCTATCTACCTTAGATAGTAGCTATTTTTAAGACAGTAGCTATTTATTAAATATGTCATTAGCATTTTAAAGCATATTAACTGTGTTTAGTTTGTAGAAATAAAAAGTAGAATTTAAATAAACTGCATTAAAAACACTGAATCTTACCCAAAAGTTGAGTTCAGATACTCCCAGTTTTTAAATTTTATTTCCTTTAGAATTATTGCCTAAAATGCACATAAGGGAAAATGAAACAATTCAATTCAATTAACATTTATATTTTATATAAATGGTACATTCCAAAAATTACATAGTCACCCTGTTCCATCTCAGCTATCACCAGCCATTTTCCTCCTTAACTGTTTATTTTTCAAATTCTGGACATGGCAAATTTCCTTGAGGTAAGAGTTAAATGGTTTATGTGTCAAAAAGCTGCCTCTTGAATCAAGTTATTTCCTCACTTAGACAACCTGGCCATTTTCTGCAGGATAATTCCTCTACAAAGGTAAATGGTATGTGAGCAGATGAGAGCATCCATGCAAGTCTGTATGTGAGTTATCCAGCAACATTAGTGAACTAAACTAACATGTAAATCCTTCCTCTCCAAACTGCCAAATAAAATATTTAAACATGTTTAAAAAATGTATACTCATGTGAAAGAGAAGGAACTTCTGATGCTAGAAAAAAGATGAATTTTTAAAAATACAATATTCATTAGCAGAGAGCCACCACCCCTGGCAGTCTTTATAAGTGCCTGTAGAATAAGGTCACAACTATAGGCTTGTATTGTAAAGGGAGGGCAGCAGAAGAGGCCTTGGGTCTATGCAAGGTAAGAAGTTGGAATTGAGACTAATACATAAAGCTAGGGTCCTCAAAAACTATACCTGCAGTGCTATGGACTTGAGTATTTGTGTCCACCTCAAATTCATAGACTGAATCTTTAATCCCCAGTCTGATGGTGTTTGGAGGGTGGGCCTCTGGGAAGTAATTGAGTCATGAGGGTGAAACCCTCATGAATGGGATTAGTGTGTCCATATTACAAGAGACTAGAGAGTTGAGGTCTCTCTCTACCATGTGAGGACACAGTAAAAAGGCTTCTGTCTGCAAACCACAAAAAGGGCTTTCACCAAGAACCAAATCAGCTGGGACCTTGATTTTGAACAGCTCAGCCTCCAGAACTGTGAGAAATAAATTCCTGTTGTTTAAGCCATCCTGTCTGTGGTACTTTTGTTATAACAGCCCAAACTGACTTAAGACACACAGTGACTAAGAATACTTCACCTACCATCTCTACAAGTTGATAGGTTATTTTTTTATTCCCAAGTTTGGGGTGAAAATAGTGCTCACATGAGAAACTGAATTCTTGGACTTGTATATTATTTAGACTTGGATTCGAATTTTGTATCATTTAGTTGGTGTAGAAATTCCCAAAGTGAGCCAGGATTACTAAACTTCCAATAGGAAAATATAAATGTATCAGATTATTCATTGCAACATTGTTTGTAAATGCAAAATTTAGGAAACAACCTAAATGCCCAGATATAGGAGAGTGACTAAATTACAGTAAATCCAAAGCAGAACACTAGGAAACTACCAGAAAGAATGAGGAAAATCTCTACGAACTGATATCCAGAATAGGTTGTTAAATGAAAAAAAAAGTGCAAAAGACTATCTTTAATACAAGAAGAGGAGATTTAAAAAATATACATGTAACAGTTATTAGTACTCAAAAAAGCCCAACTAAATGAGGTCAACCAGAAAACTAGTAAGATTTCTTACCTACAGGGAATAGGCAGTAACAGGGTGAAAAGAAAGGTGGAGAGAATGGGCTGGAAGGAATAGTGGGGAATATTTTCTGAGTATAATTTTATATATATATATATTTCTTGGGAATATTTTCTGAGTATAATTTATATATATATATATATATATATATATATATATATATATATATATATATATATATATATATATATTTCTTCCTCATTGAAACATGGTAATGTTTCACCCAAAGTAACTAAAATCAATCAGAATGAAACTTCAGCTTCTGTCCAAGTTTGTATAACAGAAACCACATTTACTTTCTCACCCTAAAAACCTAAAATACCAAGCCAAATAGATTATAGAGACAGCTATGAAGAATTATATGCCAACAAATTAGATAATTTATAAGAAATAAATTTCTAGAAACGTACAACCAACCAAGAGTAAATTATGAAAACACAAAAAAACTCAACAGACCTATAACTAATAAATCAGTAATAAAAATTTTCTCAACAAAAGAAAACCTCAAACCAGATGGCTTCACTGGAGAATTCTATGAAACATTTAAATAAGAATTCACACCAATCCTTCTCAAGCTCTTCCAAAAAACTGAAGAGAACACTTCTATACACATTTTATGAGGCCAGCATTACTCTGATACCAAATCCAGAAAAAGATACTACAAGAAAACTACAGGCCAGTATCTCTGATGAATATAGCAAAACAAAACAAATATTTCTATTAAAAATGAGCAAAGGACTTGAATAAACATTTCCCCAAAGAATAAATACAAATGTCCAACAGGTATTTAAAATGATGTTCAACATCACTTATCATCAGGGAAATGTAAATCAAAACCACAATGAGATACCACCTCAAACCTGTTAGGATGGCCATTATAAAACAAACCAAACCAAAACTAAACCAGAAGTAACAAGTCTTGGCAAAAATGTAGAAAAATTGGAATGCTTATGTACTGTTGGTGGGAATATAAAATAGTGCAGCCAAAGGGCACACCAGGTAGTCTACACAGAAGAGTTTGTTTCAGAGTGCAGCAATATTAGCCACAAACTAACCACTACTTTAATTCCAGCTAACAGATCTTAAAAGCAAGACCCGAAAAGATCAGCCTATGTTCAAGCAACTTAACTGCATCACAGAAAAAAGCTCAAGAGTATCTATAGGAATAAGAAAATATCCAGCAGCTAAGAAGGTAAAATTCACAAAGCCTGGCATCCAAGTAAACATTGCCAAGCGTGCAAACACTCAAGAAAACACAACCTCTATATGAGGAGAAGAAACAATTAATTGAAACTGACACAGATGACAGAATTAGCAGGGGGAGGCACTGGGGCAGTTACTGTAACTGTATTACACATGGTGAAGAAGTGGTAACAGAGAGAGAACAAGTTAACTAGAGACAAAAAATACTTCAAAGATACAAAATGAACTTTTAGATATGAAAACTACAATGACTTAAATGAGAAATACACTGGATGTGATTAACAACAGGTTAGATACTGCAGAAAAACAACCAGTGAACTCCTGAAGACACAGCAATAGTAACTATCCAAAATTAAATAAAGAACAAAAATAAACATAGGCTCCATGAACCACTGAACATTTTCAAACAGCCCAATATGCATTTAATGAGAGTCCCTAAATGAAAGTGAGGGGGGAGGCAGAAAAAATTTGAAGAAATAATAGCCAAAATTTTTCCAAATTTGATAAAAATTGTAAACCTAAAGATCTAATGATCTAGGATTCATTTCAATGAATCCTAAATACAAGAAACATGAAGAAAGCTATAGTAAGGCACATTATATAAACAAACTGCTCAAAATCAGTGGTAAACAGAAAATCTTATCTCTAGCTGGGAACAGCTAGAGAAGTAACATATTATTTACAGACAAAAGCATAGGGATGTCAACAGATTTCATAAGAAAAAAATGCAAACAAGACAAGTCAAGCAGCATCTTTTAAATTCTTTTTATTTTATTTTATTTTATTATTATTATACTTCAAGTTTTAGGGTAAATGTGCACAATGTGCAGGTTAGTTACATATGTATACATGTGCCATGCTGGTGTGCTGCACCCATTAACTCGTCATGTAGCATTAGGTATATCTCCTAATGCTATCCCTCCCCACTCCCCCCACCCCACAACAGTCCCCAGAGTGTGATGTTCCCCTTCCTGTGTCCATGTGTTCTCATTGTTCAATTCCCACCTATGAGTGAGAACATGTGGTGTTTGGTTTTTTGTCCTTGCAATAGTTTACTGAGAATGATGATTTCCAATTTCATCCATGTCCCTACAAAGGATATGAACTCATCATTTTTTATGGCTGCATAGTATTTCATGGTGTATATGTGCCACATTTTCTTAATCCAGTCTATCATTGTTGGACATTTGGGTTGGTTCCAAGTCTTTGCTATTGTGAATAGTGCCACAATAAACATACGTGTGCATGTGTCTTTATAGCAGCATGATTTATAGTCCTTTGGGTATATACCCAGTAATGGGATGGCTGGGTCAAATGGTATTTCTAGTTCTAGATCCCTGAGGAATCGTCACACTGACTTCTACAATGGTTGAACTAGTTTACAGTCCCACCAACAGTGTAAAAGTGTTCCTATTTCTCCACATCCTCTCCAGCACCTGTTGTTTCCTGACTTTTTAATGATTGCCATTCTAACTGGTGTGAGATGGTATCTCATAAAGAAAATTGCTGTTAACCTGCAATTCTACACCCAGGAAACATACCTTTCAAAAATGAAGGCAAAATAAAGACTTCATGACCAGGTGATTTGCACTAAAAGAAATGTTAAAGGAGGTCTTTCAGACAGCAGGAATACAGTAGGTCAATCTGGCTGTACACAAGTAAAGGGCACTGAGAATTGTAACTATGGGGTAAATATACAACATTTTAAAAGTTTTAATTATTTTTAAAAGGTAATTTACTGTTTAAATAAAAACAAATTTATTGAGATTTCTATTTCATATGTTTAAGTAAAATGTATGACAATAACATGAAATAAATTTAAAAATGCACTTTATCAAAATATGTGGGATGCTGATAAAGCAGTACTTTGAGAAAAGTTTATAGCACTAAACACCTGTGTTTAAAAAAAAAAAAAAGAAACAAGAAAGGTCTCAAGTCAATGACTTTGCTTTATACCTTTTTTAAAAAAAACCTAGAAAAAAAGATCAAAACCCAAAGTAAGCAGAAGAAATGAGGTAATAAAGATCGAGTAGAACTCAATGAAACAGAAAACAAAAACAATAGAGCAAATCAATGAAACCAAAAGTTGGTTCCTTGAGAAAATTAATAAAATTGATATACCTCTAACCAGACTGATCAGAAAAAAAAAATAGAACACAAACATCTAATACCAGGAATGGAAGAGGAACTATCACTACAGATACTATAGATACATAAAGAAAGAAAATATTATGCCTTTGACATCATAAATAAAATTTAAAAATTCCTTGAAAGATACAACCAAAGTTCACTCAAGAGGAAATGGATAACACAAATAGCCTTATATCTTATTAATGAAATAGAACGAAGCTTTACTAACTTTTTATGTTTTTAAGGAAGCTATGTTTGGGACCTAAGCCAAAAACAAAATTGCAAGAATATAAAATTTCAGTTAGAGTGTCATATTCAGGCAAAATGCTAAAAATCTCATGTCTGAGAAAGAAAAGGCAGTTTTAAAAGTAGTAATAAGTAAAACATAAAAACAAAAGTTTTAGACAGTAAAACACATATACAGTCTAGTTGAAAGTATAATCTGTTATAATATGACATGTATAATATACATTTCCAGTTTTCCTTCTATATATCACCAATACCATATGTATTAAATATTACCAAAGAGGAGGTACCCTATAAAACAGAATCGCTTCGATTTTATAAACTCTGAGAACCTATCTTAATATTTGACTTACATAAATTAAAAATGTTACCATGTTCAGATAACTGATCTTCTGAAATTTGCTTGGTTTAATGTATCCCACAACATACATGGGAAATAATGATGCTATCTGAAATAATATAAAAAAGCAAAAGTAAAAAAATATAGAAAACTAACACTTTACTATTCACAGGCAAAATAAATATAAGAGGAGGGCTACAGTTCTAATAATGGTAAGCAAAGGAATTTGAACCAACCTTCCCACTAAGAACTAGAATGGCTAGGAAAAATATAAATATATAAATAAAAATATTTTAAAAATATGTATAAAAGCCACAGATTATTAACAAAACAAATGAGGAATTTAAAAGATAGATGGCAATCTATACCGATGAGCATGACATTTTGGGCCACTTTTCTCCCAGAGGTATCTGCCAATTTCAACAGAGGCAGATACCTGCCAGCTGAGAGGCAGTTGGGAGACCAACAAGCTGAGCAGGCATTTCAGCAGATTCAGCAGTCAGAGTGCACCAAGAAGGGTGCTTTAGTTTGGAGTTTCGAAAGGCCATACTATAATAGTGAACCAGAAATCAAGCAGCCCTGAGAAAGACTGAAACCCATCTGCGGATCATCTCAATCTGATTGCATGAAGGTGGTTCAAGATTTATTAGTGCTTTTTACTCGCCTCTCCAATTTTTCATGTATAATGTCCAGCACCAAATCAAAAATAACCCAGCATAGATGGAGATAAGACACTATCACTAACACAATAGAAATAGATCCACAAAAGATTTAGATCAGTGATTAGCACATTTGTTATATAAAAGGCCAGATAATAAATATGTTATGCTTTGTTGGTCACACACAGTCTCTTGTATATTCTTTTTCTATTTTTGTTCTATAACCCTTTAAATATATAAAAACTATTCTTAGCTTGGAGATCACTCAAACACTTGTCTGGCATAATCAGATATGTCTTTAGTTTTGCTTCCAATGTTCAAGGAAGTAACTGATAGGATTGAAAATTCCAGGAGAGCACAGAAGTCATAAAAAAAAATTGGGCCAGGCATGGTGGCTCACGCCTATAATCCCAGCATTTTGGGAGGCCAAGATAGGAGGACTGCTTGAACCCAGGAGTTCAAGAGCAGCCTGGGCAAGACGGTGATACCTCATCTTTACAAAAAATTAAAAAATTAGCCAGGTGTGGTGGCACAATGAACTAATTTTAACCTTAATCTATGAAAAACACAATTAAGAATAAAATCTTAAAGTACTCCCAGAAAATAACAAATAACATTGAATTATTCCTCTGTAAGCATGAAATGCACACATACAAACAAAACTATATACATTAGTAAAGAAAAATAAAAGCCTAGTATATATGCAGAGAATGGCTAGAAAATCATCACAGCAATATCAAACTTACCCAATAGCTGCTTCTTCTTCTTCTTTTTTTTTTTTTTAACTGAGTCTCGCTCTATCACCTAGGCTGGAGTGCAGTGGTGCGATCTTGGTTTACTGCAACCTCCGCCTCCCCCTCGGTTCAAGCAATTCTCTGCCTCAGCCTCCCGAGTAGCTGAGATTACAGGCACCCGCCACCATGCCCGGCTAATTTTTTTGTATTTTTAGTAAAGACAGGGTTTCACCATCTTGGCCAGGCTGGTCTTGAACTCCTGACCTTGTGATCCACCCGCCTCAGCCTCCCAAAGTGCAAGAATTACAGGCGTGAGCCATCGAGCCTGACCCCAAAGAGCTCCTTAGTTTCATCAGTACCACTGGATTAATAAATTTGCTTGCAATGAAGTGATGCTCGTTAAAAATCTATTCTACTCTGTTGGCATGTGCAAATAATGAAAACCATAGAAAAATGTCCGTGTTATAACCTGAAAGGGGCCAACTATCATGAAGTAAAACAGAGGGAATACTTTAAACATGCAGCACCAATTGAGCTGGGGTTATAATTTCGTTCTTTGTAGGCTACTGGCAGCATGAGACTTCTTGGCAGAATTTCTCACTTCCAATATAGAATATTGTTATTATCATCAGTATTTGTTATGCAGGCAGGAGCTCTGATGGAAAAATCTTAGTATCATGAAATTTCATCAAAATTCTCCATTTACTCTCTGCTTCCCCAATTCAGTTTCTTGGTACTAGTTACATAGTTGCTTTGGAAACAGGATGTAGGCTCAGCTCACTTAAGGAATGATGAGCTTTATGATTAAAGCTCACAGAAATGGTGCCAGGAAAAATTCTGCTCCACAGACAAAACAGCCAACATTTAGCTGGATTAGCAGCAGAACTTCCTGCTGTGAAGAGTAGGATTGGCCCTTAGCATGCTGTGTAGCTTGGCACCCAGAATGATTCCCAGGACAAAAGGAAAATCTATAGGTAGATATATACAGATATTATCTCAAACACCAAAAATAACATTTGTGAATAAAAATAATAGAAAAACTCTTTCACATGTTGAGCCTTAAAATCTGTCAACTAATCAATACAGTAAAAGAATGTGGAATTACATTATTTCATAAAAATCATACCTTTAAGTAAACTTTATTCCCTATTTTGAAAATCTTTTAGGGCATAAATGTAACCATATTTAAAAATTTCTATGGAAACAACCAAGTACATCTTGCATTCAATTTAATTAATACATGCAAAGGAATATAAATCATTCTATTACAAAGATACATGCACCCATGTGTTCACTGCAGCACTATTCATAATAGCAAAGACATGGAATTAACCCAAATGCCTATCAGTGATAGACTGGATAAAGAAAATGTGGTACATATACACCATGGAATATTACACAGCCATAAAAAGGAATGAGATCAGGTCCTTTGCAGGGACATGGATGGAGCTGGAGGCCATTATCCTCAGCAACAGGAACAGAAAACCAAACACCACATGTTCTCACTTATAAGTGGTTGCTGAACAATGAGAATACATGGACACAGGGAGGGGAACAACACACACTGGGGCCTGTCGGGGGATGGGGTGGGGAGAACATTAGGAAAAATAGCTAATGCATGCTGGGCTTAATACCTAAGTGATGGGTTGATAGATGCAAAAACCACCATGGCATACATTTACCTACATAACAAAGCTGTACATCCTGCACATGTACCCCATAACTTAAAATAAAAATAAAAATTAATTTAAAAAATCATCTTACCTGTGTAAAAAGTATAAACTGAGCAAATTGCCAGGGAAGCATAAAAGCAACATTGGAAAGACAGAGTGCAATGAAGGGCCTTCTATCATTGCTCGAGGTCCTTAATAGAGAGAAGTGATACCAATAAGTTTCACCCTAAAAGTAGTCTGTCACTGAAAAGAAAGACTACTTGCAAAATGATAAAATCTAAATTATTCCATTACCTTTACTATAATACAACAAAATATAGTTAACTTTTTAAAGTATACTAAAAAGAAATTGCAATATTTCATGGCTTGCATGAAGCAATCAAAATTAGAGTTTTAAAAATAACATTGTACCAAAAAAGAGCCCCCATTGCTAAGTCAATCCTAAGCCAAAAGAACAAAGCTGGAGGCATCACGCTACCTGACTTCAAACTATACTACAAGGCTACAGTAACCAAAACAGCATGGTACTGGTACCAAAACAGAGATATAGATCAATGGAACAGAACAGAGCCCTCAGAAATAACGCCTCATATCTACAACTATCTGATCTTTGACAAACCTGAGAAAAATAAGCAATGGGGAAAGGATTCCCTATTTAATAAATGGTGCTGGGAAAACTGGCTAGCCATATGTAGAAAGCTGAAACTGGATCCCTTCCTTACACCTTATACAAAAATTAATTCAAGATGGATTAAAGACTTAAACATTAGACCCAAAACCATAAAAACCCTAGAAGAAAACCTAGGCATTACCATTCAGGACATAGGCATGGGCAAGGACTTCATGTCTAAAACACCAAAAGCAATGGCAACAAAAGCCAAAATTGACAAATGGGATCTAATTAAACTAAAGAGCTTCTGCACAAGCAAAAGAAACTACCATCAGAGTGAACAGGCAACCTACAAAATGGGAGAAAATTTTCCCAACCTACTCATCTGACAAAGGGCTAATATCCAGAATCTACAATGAACTCAAACAAATTTACAAGAAAAAAACAAACAACCCCATCAAAAAGTGGGCAAAGGATATTAACAGACACTTCTCAAAAGAAGACATTTATGCAGCCAAAAGACACATGAAAAAATGCTCATCATCACTGGCCATCAGAGAAATGCAAATCAAAACCACAATGAGATACCATCTCACACCAGGTAGAATGGCAATCATTAAAAAGTCAGGAAACAACAGGTGCTGGAGAGGATGTGGAGAAATAGGAACACTTTTACACTGTTGGTGGGACCATAAACTAGTTCAACCATTGTGGAAGTCAGTGTGGCGATTCCTCAGGGATCTAGAACTAGAAATACCATTTGACCCAGCTATCCCATTACTGGGTATATAACCAAAGGACTATAAATCATGCTGCTATAAAGTTTATTGCGGCACTATTCACAATAGCAAAGACTTGGAACCAACCCAAATGTCCAACAATGATAGACTGGATTAAGAAAATGTGGCACATATACACCATGGAATACTATGCAGCCATAAAAAATGATGAGTTCATGTCCTTTGTAGGGACATGGATGAAAATGGAAATAATCATCCTCAGTAAACTATCGAAAGGACAAAAAACCAAACACCACATGTTCTCACTCATAGATAGGAATTGAACAATGAGAACACATGGACACAGGAAGGGGAACATCACACTCTGGGGACTGTTGTGGGGTGGGGGGAGTGGGGAGGGATAGCATTAGGAGATATACCTAATGCTACATGACGAGTTAATGGGTGCAGCATACCAGCATGGCACATGTATACATATGTAACTAACCTGCACATTGTGCACATGTACCCTAAAACTTAAAAGTATAATAATAATAAAAAAATAAAATAAAAATGTTACTGTTACATGAAAAAAAAAATAACATTGTAATTTACCATTAAATATTCTAAATACAAAAGCTCGTTTTCCTCTACATCTGCATGACATTAGAAATTTAATACTCCAGCAAGGAGGTCAGAAAATAGGACACGGCGCTGCCCCTGCACACCTCAACATGCTTCTCGTGTATGTGTAGCAACAACTTTTATATACCACCACTTTTCTGTTTCAAAAAACATTGAAGAGAAATGTAAGTGCTGACAAAGTAATAAGTTAACAACTATGGGAAAAATTTAAGGAAAAAGAATCTTAAAAAATTAAAAAATCATTCTAGAATTCAGCTGAAGCATGTGGAAGTTTAAATTGTCCATTCTGCATTACTGAGATGTATTGGGAACGAATACCTTTTACCACAGAGAATTATAGTAACTTTTAGATAAGAAAGAAGAAACACAAACATATTACCTAAATAATAAAACTGTAACTGCTCCTTTTATAAATGCTGTATTGGATTTTGATGAATCTTTGTACAATCGTATATAAATTTTCAAAAACAAAATTCTAAATGTTCATATTGTTTATTAATGTTATCATAAAATACTCATTATGTACTTTGTAATCTTATATTTTTCAAACAAAAATTAGTTCTGACTAAGATACAGAGTATAGCACATGCACTCAATGATACAACCCTAAATGTTCTCATTAAGACATTTTATTCCATGAAAGCCCTGACTGACCAGACTGATACCACCTCAAAAAAATAAAAATAACCCACCTTCCTAGGAATTAAACTGGGAATGAATAGCAAGGGGTGATGAAGAATGGTCAGCTTCCATCACCTAATCTTTGAGAGAAGGCAAAGTGTAGAGCAAAGATATAGAAATCTGAATGAGGAGGAGGTTCCTAAATCCAAATTCAACCCCAGAATATACTTGTCAGGTTGGTAAGAAATCAGAAGTTAGCCTGCTCCATCCTCAAGGTTTGTGCCACTCCAGTACACTACTATTTACCACTCTTCAATTAGCTTTATCTGAGTGCCACAAATATTTGCATGGACGTGTGCAGTATTCTGTGGTTAAAGAGATAAATATGGCATGGTCCCTGTTTCCAGTGGTATTTTTAAATACATATAATTGGCTGGGCACAGTGGCTCACGCCTGTAATCCCAGCACTTTGGGAGGCCGAAGCGGGCGGATCACTTGAGGTCAGGAGTTCAAGACCAGCCTGGACAACATGGCAAAACCCTGTCTCTACCAAAAATACAAAAACTAGCTGGGGGTGGTGGTGTGCACCTGTAATCCCAGCTACTTGGGAGGCTGAGGCAGGAGAATCGCTTGAACCCGGGAAGCAGAGGTTGCAGTGAGCCGATCATGTCACTGCACTCCATCCTGGGTGACAGAGCAAGACTTCATCTCTAAAGAAATAAATAAATAAAAATTTGTGTATGTGTGGATGATTCATAAATTTACGGTTTTAAAAAACAAGGAAGAAAAACAAATGATTTTTATATAAGGCAGAATCTGCCAGGGACTAGTAGGTGAAGAATGGGGTCCTCTGGGAGTTTGGAGGAGATAGTGATCATTATTTCATTCAGTGAGAGTTCTCATTAGTATTCTATCAAATCTATTTCTCTGATAAGGCTATTTATACTATTCTACCACATATAGTTTTTTTTGTTCATTTCTCAGACCTCTTATATATCTAAAATGCTTATAAATGTAATCCCTACAAAAAAAGTGTATCCAAAAAAAAAGTTTGAAATGAAACTGGTTGTCCTGTTAGAAACATTGGTTGTTCAGAAATGCTTCATAAATATGTGAATATATGTACTCTTTATCCATCTAACTCCGCATTTCCCAAATTCGTTTGCACACAGAACACTTTTTTCATGGCACATTCATCAAAACCACAGGTTAGAAAACAACGTCAGGGTACCTAAACTTTGAAGAGAAAATGTAATTGTTTCTCAAAAACTTCTGAATCTTGGCAAACTATATACAAACACATAACTTTTGGTTTATTAAAATATAATGTAGTTATCTAAAACCTGTAGCCTACACTCTGAAATGGAGAGCAATTTTTACGTAGCAATTTTGAATTATTTTCTTAACTCTATACTCAATTTACTTTTAAAATAACTAAAAAATGGTCAATTTGGTAATTACAACTTCATAGGTTGAAGTATATATATATAATATATATATTTACATATTTTTTTTAGAGGGAGTCTCGCTCTGTTGCCCACGCTGGAGTGTAGTGGCACAATCTTGGCTCACTGCAACCTCTGCCTCCCGGGTTCAAGCAATTCTCCTGCCTCAGCCTCCCAAGTAGCTGGGATTACAGATGCACACCACCATGCCTGGCTAACTTTTGTATTTTAGTAGAGACAAGGTTTCACCATGTTGGCCAGGCTGGTCTCAAACTCCTGACCTCAAGTGATCTGCCCACCTCAGCCTCCCAAAGTGCTGAACTGAAGCATATTTTAAGACACTAAAATTATAATTTATTTGCCTTTGTTTTATAAATCGAAGTTACCTGAGAATCAAAGTTAAAATATACATCTGAAGTACAAGAAATGGATAGGAAAAACTTTCACGGAGAGGTGGTGTCCACATCACACGAGTGACCTGAAATCAACAAAATGCCCACTTTACATCATGTTTACTACAACAAACATATTTAAAAACCAGGGGTGAGTTTTTTTTCGTAATTTCAATACTAGGCTCACTAGATCCCATTTCTGAGTGTCTGGCATAGCTTCTCAGTTTTTGAAGCTCTCTTAACGCATGAGGCCATTAAGTAGAGAGCAATTAACTACCATGTCCAGAAACCAGCAACAGATATATCAGACCGAGCAAAATGAAACCCAAGGGACAAACAAGATTGTACGTATAAGAGTTGTGAGAATTCTGAGACTGACCAACTAGATACATAGTCCAGCCCTGCAGTATGATCCTGGCACATGATCCTGGCATCCCAGGCTTTGGGATATATGCATGCCAAGACAAACACCTAAACAAATGTCACCTAGGTCATTCGCAAGCACCATGAGAGTTTCTATGTAACAAGTATGAACGAATATAAATACACACTTTAAATAGCTAAGATTGCCTCAGATTTTGTAAAATGTACCTTAAAAAAGGTTAAGTATATATTTTAAAAACAACTAGAAGTATTTGGGAACTACAAATGTGATGCATGTAACAAAAGTATTAAATTTTCACACAAACTTTAAAATTACTTCTAAGACATATGGGTCAGAGTATTAGAAAAATTTTCCATCAAAAATTCTGAAATTCTAGAAAGAATGTGAATTCTTATTACTTTGCAAGAGTCTTAAAAGTTATTGCTCCTCTTCCAAGATACCAAAATTGTAAATGTTAGAAGAGGAATTGTGATACATAAAAGAAAGTCAACTTATACCAACAGTTGTCTGGCACACTCAGAGAAAAAGCTTTGTCTTTAAATCAGCACATTGCTGAATGTCAATGCATTTGTTTGCTTTAAAATAATATATATGGCTTTTATGTATAATTTTTATGATTCCTTTATCTAACTGATTTTTAAAAATTAACCCAACAGCAATGGATAAAAGTACTTCTACCCCGGCCGGGCATGGTGGCTCACGCCTGTAATACCCAGTACTTTGGGAGGCCAAGGCGGGTGGATCACGAGGTCAGGAGTTCGAGACCAGCCTGGCCAACATGGTGAAACCCCATCTCTACTAAAAACACAAAAATTTAGCTGAGCATGGTGGCACATGCCTGTAATCCCAGCTACTCAGGAGGCTGAGGCAGGAGAACTGCTTGAACCCGGGAGGCAGAGGTTGCAGTGAGCCAAGATCATGCCACGGCACTCCAGCCTGGGTGGCAGAGCAAGACTCCATCTTGAAAAAAAAAAATACTTCTACCCTATGAAACCTGTGTCATAACATATTAAATATTTTGCTCCCAAGAGCTAGGAGTCAGAATCTCTCTCTTTTTCATTGCCATATCCTCAGCATCTAACAGAGTATGGACATGGTATATACCAATATTTTGTTGAATGTATCCATCATATTTGAAATAAGCTTCTATGGGCTCTTTTTTAGGTGGACTATGTTTCACTGGGCTGAATTAGTAAGTTAATGTCTATTTTGAATTCAGCATTTTGCATTACTGAACAGACAGCATGATGTAACACAAAGAAGTGAGGGAGCAGGTGGCAGTGTCTTAACCGTGTCCCTGCTGTCAGGCCTGAGGCCTCTTTCATTATTGTTAAGGGGAGTGCAATGCATACAAAGTTTCAGTTAGTCAAGATAAATAAGTTCTAGAGATCTGCTATACAACATTGTGTTAACACTGTATTGTACACTTACAAATCTGTTAAGAGGGCAGATCTCATGTTACTTATTCTTACCACAATAAAAAAGCTGAATATATATGTTATACATATAAAATATATAAAAGTTTTTATAAAATATAACTATAATTTTATAATTAATAAAATATAAATTAATATATATGTGAGGTTTTAGAGGCAGACATAGAATGGGAAATCCAGCTTCATCATGTAGTAAATGTAGAATGTGGATAAGTAACTTAATTTTCTCTAAATTTAAATTTCATAACTTGTATGGTGAGGCTACCACCACCCACAAAAAAAGTTTAGTGGGAATAAATCAGATAATGTGCATGACATGATTCAACTCAACAAGTACAGTATTTCCTTTTCTCTACAGAATATATGTATATGTATATATTTACTAAAAATAAGGCAAGAGATTTCATGTTTGAAATTCTAGCTATTTAAACATTTCAATCAGCATGATTAAAATATCAACTTATAACACGAGGGTCTCTGAAATACTGTGAAGTCATAAGTAGTATACAATTATATATTGTTTCAATGAGTATATTTCTTTGTTCCTCTAAACCCCTTCTATTTCTTAAAAATTGCTTTCTAGAAAACAAACCTCTCCATGGTTGAAAAAGCAGCACAGTACTGTAATAAGACCTCCTAGTTGAGTCCCACTGTAAAAAATAATAATAATAAGAGTATACAATCAAAATTCATGTAAAATATAGTGAGTTTTTCACAAAATTACCTCAGAATTTTAAACCATAGTTTAAATCATATTTAAAACATAATAGTACTAAACCATACCCATGTGGTTGATGTTTAAATCCTGAATGTACAATCCTAAAAGGTGTACATATAAAGTAATCTCAATTTTATAATTTATCATAGCTAAAATACTTTCTAAATGAAATACATAAGGTGTGAACATAAATTTTTTTTGAGATGGGGTCTTGCTCTGTCGCCCAGGCTGGAGTGCAGTGGCGAAATCTCAACTCACTGCAACCTCCGCCTCCTGGGTTCCAAAGATTCTCCTGCCTCAGGTTCCCAAGGATCTGGGATTACAGGCGTGTGCCACTATGCCCGGCTAATTTTTTTACTTTTAGTAGAGATGGGGATTCACCATGTTGGCCAAGCTGGTCTCAAACTCCTGGCCTCGTGATCCACTCGCCTCGGCCTCCCAAAGTTCTGGGATTACAGGCGTGAGCCACCGCGCCCCACTGCATAAAGTAATTTTTAAGAAACAGGCTAGCACTTTAGAGTCTAGATCACATCCTTTGAATAACCTGAATAAAGGCAACTTTTTATTTTTGAAATTGGATTTAAGGGATTGAGAGATAAAGACAAGATTCAAACAGTTTCATGTAGCATTAACTTAGAACTGTCTAAACTACTGCAAATATTCTTTACTTGAGTCCCAGAGAAGCAATAATGCAGAATACAAAAATCAGATGAAAGATAAAAACCATTTCTTTTGTTGTTGTCTTTTTGTTTTTTTGTTTGTTTGAGAAGGAGTCTCGCTCTGTCACGCAGGCTGGAGTTCAGTGGCGCGATCTCGGCTCACTGCAACCTCTGCCTCTCCAGTTGAAGCCGATTCTTCTGCCTCAGCCTCCCGAGTAGCTGGGATTACAGGCGCCTGCCACCATGCCCGGCTAATTTTTTTTTTTGTTTTTTTGGTAGAGACGGGGTTTCACCATGTTAGCCAGGATGGTCTCGATCTCCTGACCTCATGATCCGCCCGCCTCGGCCTCCCAAAGTGCTTGGATTACAGGCATGAGCCACTGCGCCTTGCCCAAAAACAGAACTTTTTTAAAAAAAATAGAACATTTTTAAACCTGCCCAAACAATCTCAAAGCAATCCTTTTCCCTCAAAGTACTTTAATGAGCTTATATTTTTCTACACGGCATATAGAAAAGTGCATAAAATTTCTAGATTATAGAACTACTGTAAAGGGAACGTCCATGTAGTCACCATATAATTAATTGAAATAGAGAAATGATTATACTCAGTCTTCACTTGCAAGCCTCCAAGATAAGAATCAGCTACTGACCTGATTTTTGAGATTATCAACATAACTCTTTCTATACACATATCAAACTATGATTTACTTTAATCTGTTTTTAAACAACATACAAATGGAAGAATGCAGTATTTTTTTTAATTTTGTACCTGGATTCACTCATTCAAAATTATATTTGTAAGATTCAACCATGTTGTGTGTAGCTGCATAGTTCATTCATTCTCATTATTGTATACTGTTCCACCATGTTAATAAACCAAAATGTATTCATTTCTCTGTTAATGGATATTTGGGTTCTTTCCAGTTTGAAGCTATTGCAAATAATGCTACCATATTATTGTATGTACTTCCTAGTACACATGTGCAATACTTTTTTGGGAATATATATGTTAAATTAGAACTGCTGAGTTATAAGGTATCTATACCTTCAACTTTACCAGATAATATACACTGTTTACCAAAATAGTTGTACCAATTTATATGTCCACCTGTGGTGGATGAAAGCTCCTTTATCAATCTATTAGATGTGAGTTGGTATTTCACTGTGGTTTGAATTTACATTTTGTTTATGACAAATGATGGTGGTCAACTTTACATATGTTTATTGACCATTTGGTGTTCTTCTGGGAAATATCAGTTCATAAACATTTTGTCCATTTTTCTATCAAGTTGTCTTTCTTCTTTGTCTTTATCTTCCCACTCTAATATAAACTTCACAAGGACAGAGATTTCTCTTCTGTATTCCAAGCACCTAGAACAGTGCTCCTGGTCACAACAGGCTTTCAATAAATATTTATCAAATTAATGAATGGAATTTCTGGATAGTAGGTGGGGCGTACACTTTGTAAATATCTTCACTCACTTTCAGGTTTTTTTTATCCTACAGTTCTTCTGAGGTAAAATTGATAAACTCATCAAATTTATCAGTTTCTCTTCATGGCTGGATTTTTGTATCTTGCTTATCATTTCTTATTCCAAGTGATTTTTCTATATTATATGCTGAACACTTTTATAAATCTGTCTTTCATATTTGAGTGTTTAATCCAGCTTGGAGTATTATTTATATAGTTCCAAGTTTTCTTTGTTCCATATGATCTCCCAATCATTCCACGACTATTTTTTAAAATGCCTGTCCTTACCCACCAATCTGCAATACCCGCTCTTCCATATATCAAATGCTTTTAAATGTACATTTCTGCTTCTGGGCTGTACTCTATTTCGGTTATCTATTTGTCTATTCCTGTGCCAATATCACAGCGTCTTTTTACATTAGCTTTATAATATAGCAACAGTTGATAGTGCAAATCCTCCTTTTTCAAGAATACCTTGACTGTATTTGGCCCTTTGCATTTCTGAGTAACTTTTAAATCAGTTCATCAAAGTCAACAAAAAATATGTTGGAATTTTGACTGGTAGAGCATTGAATCTACAAATCTTTTTAATATCAAGTCTTCAATCAATCAATGTGGAATATCTCTCCACTTAGATTTTCCTAGACATATCTCAGGAATGTTTTAATCATTTTCCCATAGCTATCATATATATTTTTTGTTGGATTTATTCTGAGGAACGTCATGCTTTTAATGCTATTCTAAATAGCATCCTTTCAAAATTTCATTTTCTATTTGATCCTAAAGTATAAAATTTATAATTTTGAATTTTAATATTAATGTTTACATCTAGTAACATTGTATATTTTCTTATTGCAAATACTGTATCCATAAACTTGTAAAATTTTTCTAGATATATGATGTAATCTACTTTTAAGAACACTTATTTCTTTTTTTTCAAGTTTTCTAATCCTTATACTTATTACTAATTTTCTTTTTACGTACCATGCTGGATAGTATCCCTGGTACAACACTGACTATGTCACTAGTTTTCATTGATTCTATGCTAGTCTTTTTTATGCTGAAAACTTCCTAAAACAAAGAGTGTGTATATTTACTAATCTCTATATTGACATAAGCCCTATGAAAACTCAACAAATATTTGTTGAAAGAGCAAAACTATTAATTAATTTTAATTTTAATTTTAAATGTTTTACACGACAAGAATAACATTGTAAAGAAATCTGATGATTCAGCTAGGAATATGTTCCACTGAAAGAAACAGAAAACCTAACAAAAGTAGCTTACACAATATGGATGTTGTTTACTATATCATTCAACAAGAAAATGAAAGATAAGTACCTGTTGGCATTGGTTCAGCAGCAGAAGGATGGTAGGCCAGATATATCTGCTATTTTTATGGCCTTTCCCTTATGGTCACAAGATGACCGCTACAGCTCTGGGCATGACATCCTAGTGTAATAAAAGCAGGAAGAAACAGAGAAGGGGCAGCTAAGTCTGTCCTTTGTGAGAAAGGCAGATACTTTCCTAGATGTAACCAAAACTGACTTCACCTTAGTTTTCATTGACAAAAACTCGCTGATTTGGCTATCTCAGGGAGCAATTAAGTGTGGGAGCAAAACACATGACCGTTGAAATTAATTTCAACTTATCACCTGAGACCGGTCTCACTGCTTCTTCATCGTGGTACTCTTATCAAGATAGGCTAGTAGATGTAAGTGCCTGCCACATGTGATACAGTTTTTCCTACTGCTTTCTTAATTTCATCCTTAGAGAATACAATTAGAAATAAGCTGCTGTTACTGCTAACCAAAGATCTCCTCCAATGTTTTATTAATTTTACACATGAACTAGGAGATATTCCATTAAAGCCTTTGTTAGGAAATCTTAATTAGTCAAAAAAAAATCCTTAAGGGATAAAAGGGATGCCTTTGAGATAGAATTTTAGTGACATCTCCAGTTTCTGGTTACATGATATTGGTTAAGCTTCTGAAAAAATCAAATAAATCCACAAACTTTCCTGATATGAATCTAATCTCGTTAATTTTCCTTTTCATTCAATCAAAAAATATCAGCCGGTCTGTATAAGCCCACTGAAAGGTGTCTTAATTCAGTAGTAGTCTTTCCTCAGGTATGCTCCATACACGAAGAACAATCCCATCATTAGTCCATTTAAAATAAAGACTACACCAACATAAAAGCAAGCAGGATCTCCCAATCCTTTGAAAAGATACAGATAATCAGTGTTTAATGAATATATGACTCGAAAGCAATTGGGCATAATTATCTCAGTGCTTTGCAATCAAGAGCTTATGAATTTGCTCAAAGCATTTGCTTTCCAGATTGCCGCTGTGTTTAATTCTTTACCCTTATAAGAGTTTGTGTGTGTGTGTGTATGCAAACACATATATGTATGTGTGTATATATGTGTGTATATATACACATACACATATGTAAGCTCACCCTTAATGAGGTATTATATAGTTACACTTTATACTTTTTATAATTGCATTTGTACTTTCATCTAATGAATTACTATTATACTGTAATGATTTGTTGGGGATTCACATTTATTTAGGTGATGCTGCTAGTGTTCAGTGTCTGGAACTGTCTGTAGAACCACTTAATGAATACAAAAGAAAATCCATTGCATTATTTTTATCTTTTGCTAGGCTCTAGGAAGAGTTAAGATATGGTTTTGACTTCAGGGTACAGCTTTAGTCTATATGAAATGATCCAGTCATTTGATCCATTATTATGTATAGCTAGAATCTTAGTATATTCCATATAGAAGATCGTGCGTGTGTGTGGCAATATGTACTTTACAACCATCCCACATTTTTCTCAGAACAAGTTTATGATATTAGCTGATATAAAAATACTTTTCTTATGATTAAGAAAACAGAACATAGAATATTCAACTTGTCAAAGGTTATTTCACTTTAACTGGCTGGAGCCAAGGTCTGAAGGCTGGCCTTCTGATTCCCCCTGCCTCTCTGGTCACTCCTTTCAATCAGTTCCAGTAATTTCTCTTGTTTTATGTACCACTCTTTAATACTGGACCACCTTAGGCTCTGTCATATGCTCCCTTCATTTCTCCATCTGCACATTCTCCATAAAGAAATTCTTCCACATCCATGGCTCCAATGATCTATATACAGATGACTCCAACTCTACATTTAATCCAGAACTTTCTCCTTATTCTTATACCCAGATAGCCACTTGATGCCCCCACTCTGAGGTCTCTCGAGTACCTCAAATTCAAGCATACACAATGAAACATAACAATACAAACCTGCTGCTGTTCAAATGTTTCCTACCATTCAAAGGAGCTCAGTTACTTAAGCTAGAAACCAAACTGTGTTTCACATGATTCTTCACTCACCTTCCCCTCTCTTACCAAACAATTACCAAGTCTTGTCCATTCTACTTCCAAAATCTCTCTCAAACCCACATTATCCACATTATCTTTCCTGCATATCCACATTATCTTTCCTGCAATCACTTGCTGAGAATATAATAGTCTCCTACCTGGCCTCCCTGAACCTACTTTTGTCCCTTTACTAATATTCTTTCCATACCATTGATTAAATAATGTTTTAAAATGAAACTCTGTTAAAATTCTTCAATGGATAAAGTATAAAATCCTTCACCAGTGCACGCCTTTCATGATCTGATCCTTGCTTATATTCCCAGCACCATTTCACATCATTTTTCTTCTCCATCACTTCCAGGAATTCTAGCCTTCTTTCAGTTCTCTCTTGCTTCAGGATATTTGAATATGTTATTCCCTATTCTTAAAATACTTATCCTCTTACTCCTAATGTCAGTAATCTTATTTTCTTATTTGTAGTATCCCTCACAGTTGTAACTGCTAAAAGACCTCTTACAGCATAAACTCTATGAAGGTAAGGCCCCATGTCTAGCTGGTTCATCTCTGTGTCCCAAGTGCCAAACACTAACTTATCACTTATTGGGAATGTAATTAATACCATATTTAGGTGATCATTTTCACCACTCAGACAGGGTCACACCTTCTAGCTGATTGAATCATTGCAAAGTATCTCATTTTATGAGGCATTTTCTCCAATCCTTTACATTGTACACAAAAAAGTATAATTGCCCCTCAAACATCCTCATCAATTCTATTTTTACTGAGGGAATCAGTAAAAAATGTAAGGAAAATAGATTTAGTTTATATTCCAAGAGTTGAATGTTGTTACAGACAAGTCTAAAAATTTATTCATAAAATATAATAAGTCATGTTGTTAAGAATTTGAAGAAATGCAGAAAAAACAACAGTGTTAGTGTTATAAAAAGAGATACATGTGGCTCTCAACAAGAGTCTCAAGGGACAGCACCATATTTGAATTATAAAAGTGCTGAAATGCAAACATCTTAAATGGAAGTGACCACTATGTATCCTGGAACGCTGTTGGATGACTCCAAAAGTGGTTCTTTGACAAAGAAACCAATGTAGAAGATAAATAGGAAGAGTTTTATTAATACTACTCACGGACTATGAGCATATATAAAAAAGTAATGTTTCTAAATCAATCTATTATTGCATATCCGATTTTTAAATATGTATGCATAATTAAATTTATACATTAGCTATTACAAATAGATATTTGACTCTTTAATCTATCCTCAAAATTTATATATTGAAGCTACCCCAAAAAACATCTGTCTGTATCTTCGCATTCTGAAATAGAAGACTAACTTATAGTCAAGGTTGCCTTACAATGGGATATGTTAATACTCAAATTCCAAAATTTATACTCAAATTTGTAAGTACACAGCCTTCTCAGAAAACTACTTTAAAATGTAAAATACTCATTGAGGTGAGCCAGTTCTAATTTTTTTTTAAATCAACAACAGTATTTTACAATAATTCTTTAAAGTGAATCATAATATTATTAAATGTTTATGAATGTTTACAAATGACAGCATTTTTGGAAGAAACATGCCTTCACAGCTTTGAACTTCATTAAGAGGTTCTATTCTGGTGACATTCCAGCAGGTGTTAGTTTCTAGTCCAAATAAATTCAGTATTCCCATGGATGTGCGATACCAGGAGGCTATGATTACCTTTAAAAAGATAAAAACAAAGAGATAATGGAGGAAAATATATTCTCTTCATAATAATAATCTTTCCAAAATACCATTTTGTGATGGTTGCCTTAGACATTATAAATTCTGACAAATTTATTTAGATCATTTCACTTAGGAATCAGTCACTTCAAAATTATACATTATGCCTCTATATAGAAAAATATTATATATGTGATACCCAATTCTGTAATATAAATAATAGTAAGTCAATATAAAAGTATATAATTAAAATATGGTGATAATAGAAAAATACAAAGATTTATAGAAACATTTCATAATTCACTTCATTTAGATCCTTGAATTTATTCCTTCATAAAATATATAAAATATATTATAAAAACTGGAACAGAATGGAATAATAGCACCTGTACCCATTACAATTTTAACCAAGCAGAAGATTTAATTGACCAATTGTTTCCAAACTGCAAGCTATTTTTAAAAGTTCAAAGACAAAGAAAAAATAACAACAGAAAAAAATTTCCAACAGAATGTTCATGTCTCAGAGGTTTTTTAAAAATAACACTATACATTCTGGGAAACTAATGTGAAATCACTGGGGGGAAAATGTCAAAAAATAAAGAGTTGAAAAGAGAAAGCAAGCACCTCTTAGAGCTAACCATTTTTAATATTTTGGTAATTGGTGCGGTGGCTCACACCTGTAATCCCAGCACTTTGGGAGGCCAAGGCGGGCGGATCATGAGGTCAGGAGTTCGAGACCAGCCTGGCCAACATAGTGAAACCCCATCTCTACTAAAAATACAAAAGTTAGCTGGGCGTGGTGGCAGGCGCCTGTGATGCCAGCTACTCAGGAGGTTGAGGCAGGAGAATCACTTGAAATCGGAAGGCAGAGGCTGGAAATCGGAAGGCAGAGGCTGCAGTGAGCCAAGATCACAGGACTGCACTCTGGCCTGGGCGACAAGAGCAAAACTCCATCTCAAAAAAAAAAAAAAAAAAGTTGGTGATTATCTTTCCAGTCCTCCCCCTAGGCATTTAAAGCATGAAATTAGAGTTACTCAATACTACCTAATGAGATCATATTATCAATGTTAATGTAATATACATCACTAAACATCAAAAACATCTTGCCTCGTCTCAGAAGTGTAGTTTTATTATGCAGGTTGACACAGTAGGAAAAGCATAGCTTTGATGTCAGAATTGAACTCAAATTCTGACTCTGCAAGTTATAGTTTCCATGGTCTCAAGTAATCCTTCAACGGCTGTCAATCACTTCACCTCTCAAATAAGTTTAATAATAACCATTCTACAAGAGAAGTGAGATAAGCGCTCACATATACAGTCGTATATGTCCTATATGTCCTAAGTATAGTGCTGGCATATAGTATGCAGTGAATGCTTTTACCTTGTTAAAACATTCTGTTCTAAACTTACATTTTTATTTGTAAATGAGAAATTAATCCCCTGTGAAATTAATCTCGCAGGGGGAGGGAAGCGACGGTTGCCGGGAAGCGCGGGCCACCCCTCCCTCCCTCCCATTCTTCGTCCTCCCCTCGCGCGCCACCCGTTTTTCCTCTTTCTCCGTTAATAACGGCTGGGTGGCTGGGGGAGGAGGGAAGGTGGCTCCGGCGGAGTCTGGGCGGGCGCCTCCCACTCAGCCGCCAGCCGCCGTGGGAGCCGGAGGATGGCGGCGGTAGCAGCGGCCGCCGGAGACTAGGCGGTGCGGAGGCCCGGGGCGCCAAGCGCGGCGGCAGAAAGCGGCAGCGGCCCGTCATGGCGCACCAGAACCGAAACCAGCGGCAGTCGCACCGCCACCTGAGTCGCCCCTTCCTGCTGGAGACAGCGAGGGGTGCCTGCAGCCGGGACACCTTCTTCTCCGCGTCTCCTCGTCTCCCGCGCCCGCGTCAGGCCGCCAGCCTTGCCCACCGCCCCGAGAAGAGCGCGCCGGGCGCCGACTGCCCCTCGGGGCGCCGGGCGGCGGCCCTGGACGTGCGGGGGCCTCTCTGGGCCGGCCGCAGCGCCTCGGCCCTGCCCTCTAGCTCCCGCGTTCGCTCCTGCCTTCTTGGCTCTCGGGGCACAGCGCGCGGCCCGGTCCGGAGCAGGGCGGACATGAGCGCCAAGCAGAGCGGCCTGGCCGCCGCTCACGGCGCACGCGCGCGTACTCGGCTCGGATCTACCTTCCAGTAGCAGCGGAGTGGCCAATGGGACCGGGACCAGAGCCGGGGGCCGGAGGCCGCCGCCGCGGGGAGGTTCCCGGCCCAGGTGCCCAGCGCTCACCAGCCCGGCGGCGCCGCGGCGGCCCCGCAGCTGTTTCCTCGGGGGGGCGTGGCGTCGGGGGCCTTCGCGGCGCAGTCCTCTTTCAGCATCCCGAACAGCAGCAGCGGCCCGTAGGACTCGCAGGACTCGGTGCACAGCAGCCCTGAGGATGGCGGCGGCGGCCGGCACCGGCCGGTGGGCTGGAGCCCCGGCGGGCCGCTCCTGGTGATCGGCTCCTTACCAGCTCACCTCTCACCGCGCATGTTTGGAGGTACGGACCCCTCTCCACGCGCCCGCGCTCGGTCCTCCCGCGGCTGCACGTGGGCCGTGGCCGCCGGCTATTTTTACCCTTCTCCTTTTCTCCTTCGGCCGGGGCGCCGGGGGCTGCTTCCCGGCCCAGCCCGCGCCGGTCTCCATCCTGGGAAGAAACCCGGCACGTAACACCTGCGGTGTCGCTGCCGCGTAGACACGTGGTTTTGTTTTTAAACATCGTGAGCACCCACACCTCAGCGGGTACTCAGTAGAGATAGTCTATTTTCCAGTGAGTTGACTGGAGCAAATGTTGTTTTACAGCAAACCCACGAAATAGCCCTTGTGGTTGTGGCTTTTAGTACCAGGAAGTCAGGAGGAGACGGTTGCTAAATGTAGTTCTATCTGGTACTCGAGTGGGGCACAATTTTTAAAAGCCAAAAGTCAAAGGGTCTCAAATGAACTCTGAGTTACCATCTTTGGACTGACTTTTAATATAAAGCTGTAATCCTTAAATCTGTGTCAGTAGTCCCACCTACTATGTCACTTTAATTGGATGAATGCGTTAATGAAAAGTTTGTTTTCAAACCTCACTAAACTGCTACTTAAGATCACAGTTAATGTGAGTCCTGCTTAATTTGGAAAGCATTTAAAAAATGGAAAAGTTTCTTAGGGAAGCAAAAATTTTGCAACTCTGCCTACAAGGTACAGTAATTGGCTAGGTTCTTTTGAAGAGCAGTGTTGACTAGAGTTAAGGAAAAGTCAGTTGTGAAAAATGGACATTTTTAATAGCAAAATGATGTGCTTTACTGTAGAAACAGGAGGAAGGGTGCATTTTCCTGGGGAAAATGAATTCTTCTTCAGTTATATTTTATGCTGCTCTACTTTATTGCAAAACGCTAATATTAAATGAATCAAGACCACCTCCCCTTCCCGCTTTATGAAAATAAATAGAAGTATAGAAGATAAGCATTCCCATTTCATCGCATTATGTATCTGATATTAGAAGAATTCGCAACTGAGCACAGATGAGCAACGAAAACACCATCCCCTACATTTTTGTGCCTCTTTTACTTACATATTTGTAAACGTAGGAACTTTGAGTGGAGACTTAGTAAAGTGGAATACGTAGTAATTTATCTGTTGTGATGTTCTGTGCTATCAGCACACACGCCAGCATAAATTAAAAATAGGAATGTCATGTTTAGTTTTTCCCATCTTTTTAGTAACGCTTTGTACATTCAATATGGAACGACGCTTGACTTTTAATTAGCAACCTTGTTTTAAAGTAATTTTTGCTTCTTAAAAATATTCATCCCTCTTAAAATTGGGCCATTTTTAAAAGTCATTTGCTTTTGAGTAAAAGAACTCCACTGGTGTCTTTAAAGTGATTTGATCACAACTAACCCAGCAGTTGAAGTTGCTGTAGTCCACACTGAAGAATATAAAAGGCAGTTTCTGAGAATTGGTGATTAGTGCGAAAATGAAGGGCAAACTGGTTTTTAATATTTATCTTTATCTTTTTAAAGTGAAAATTTGCATTTAGCAGTTATCAAAAGATGAATATTTGTTTGCTAAAGAAGGGTCAATAGGAAAAGCCTTGTCAAGTTAATATTTATTTAATATGCTGATTTTTAAAAATTCATTTTCTAAGAGCTGATAATTCCCTTTGAGAAACATTATAGTTCTGTGGGTTTATTTTGTTAAGTAAATGCATTCTATTCAGAGCAAGAGACAGTTCAACCCCATGCTATTCCTAGTAAGTAAAAATACCTAGTTGCTTAAAGTTGGAGATAAAGCATTTATCTTTTTTCTTATCTAAGTTCTAGATTTGTGCACTCACTATAGTTCTTTTAGTGCTGTTGGGGTTGGGTGACTGGGGCCTAGTAGTACAGTGACACTTTCTGAGGAACTTATAGCAGCCTTTCTCACCCGGCTTTCTGGAGAGAATTGTGCCGTAGTGTGCAATGAATTTTAACTTTCAGCACCAGTGCATTTAGGACGGTTTTAGTTATGTATCATTCTTGGAACAATTGAGAAAAGTCACTGAAATAATTTCCTATGTTTGGTGATTCAGATGAGGAACCTCAGTTGAGAATTGCTGGAAAGGGATCAGAGAAATTACCTGTTCTTATTATATGACAGGATCAGATGAAAGTGCCACATCCTGAAATCTCTGTTGAGGCAGGGAGATGGAATACACTTATTTAAAAACCCATCTTAGTGGCATTGCCTTACTGAGATTTTTACCTATATTTTAGTGGACGGGTTATTAGGAAAACAATAGAAGCATGTTTCTCATCATCTTGAGATTTAGGGAGCTAGATGAAGAATCTTAAAAAGTTAGACTTGACTGTACTTCACATTTACTTAATTTTTTAGTATCTATTATAGCATTATTGTGTTTATTCAGTTACAAATTGTATAAATGGTTATATACAAATAACTCCATCTGAAAATTGATAAAAGGATTATTTCAGAATTAATGGAAAGTTCATATTGTTTTTTGTAAAACTTGTTTTAATTGTTGTTTATATTATTAACGTCTCCTAATAAGAAAATGTGGTACTTATAAGATTCAAAATTATTCTCTTGTGAGGTCTCATGTAATTTATAGAAAATGAAAAACAGTCCCCCCCTTTTATTTTTAACACTTAAGAGTCTAGCAAGTGGAATTGTTAGTAGTTCCCTCAAAATGAATTGCCACATTGAACGAGGAAGTTTTCTGTGTTGGTTTTATGTTTTGCTGTCTTTTGCACATCTATTTTGGCTATATACACTCTTATTCTCTCTAGAGAACTGGAAGAAAAATGCCTAATCCAGATATTTCAGTGTGTAGAAATTTCCTAGAATTGAGTTGCCGGACATCAGAATGTGATTATATTTAGGAGTTTTTAGGTGAAGTAAATCTTGTGCTTGTTATTCTTTCCAGAGTGGGGAGTGTTAAAGCGAACAGACGCTTTCTTGACTACTGCTAGTGTGGTCCATCACCTTTGTTTTAAAAAAGGTCTTAAGGGTATTTCCTAATATTTAAAAATGTTGATGGTATTTTAGGGTTTGTTTGGCTTTAATTTACGTCTACGTTTTTTTTTCCACTGTCAAGTAGCTATTGTTCATAGAGCATAACATGAGTGGTAAAATAGCCTTTAATGATGCAGCAAGGATGGGGTAGATGAATTGGGCTATAGAAATATACCAATACATGGAGATTATTTCCAGAGAAATCGTGTGGACTTCTATAATGTATCCTTGAGTCCAGAAGTGAAAATGTAAAATGACTTAATCTAAGACAACCAGTGGTGCTGGGTTGCTTTTGGCCTCCTGATTTTCTTGAGCTTTTTTGGGTGTGGCTTGCTCATGAGTATTTCAGTAGTCTGATTGTAATTCAGGTGCCTTGTTACTTGTGCAACATGTTTTCTTATATTGAAGGAGTGTGGGTTATCTCTTAAAACTGAATATGTTGAATAAGACCTGTATTTCTAGGACGATTTCTCTTAATTTTTAAGCAGATGTGAAGTTTTATGCTGTTAGGTTGTCTTCATCAATTAACCATTATGGAATTGGTCTCAGTTATCACTCCTTACCAATATCAAGTGCCAAAATGTTTGAATTTGGGATACTGTAATTAATCTACTTCCTATTCCTGAATGTTATTTTGTGCCATTGAAGGCTTTTATGGGGAGTGACCAAAGAGGAATGTTTGCCTCTTTCTAAAAAAAATGAGCCTTCTAACCACAACCCCTGCCACTCCTGAAGTAATAAGAATTTTGGTGGTTATTGTTCCTCACTTGTGATTTCATACCTTCGTGTTATATGTTTTGCTGTGTGTAAGTGTGGCCTGTGTCATGGAAGTTTCTGCTTTGGGGATTTTTTGGAACTATTCTTGACTGCAAGGTGGGGAGGATTGGTGAGTTGCACAGGGCATCACTGATCTGAGAGCAGCGTGACCTAAGAACCTGGTATTTTGATGCTTTGCTGGCTGGTGCAGTGCCTGAGGGAGTAAGAGTCCTGTTGTTGTAAGATAGTGTCTTACTCCCTCAGGCACATCTCCAACAAGTCTCTTGCTCTCCTCCAATTTGATTGCTTTGCCTGGTGACCAGTAAGTAAGTTCTTTTGATTACCAGATACATTAATTAGATATCAACTTTTAAACTATTTATTATTATTTGGGTTTGTAAGGAGAATTGCCCTAATATTAAACTTATTACATGTACTAAGTATTATGTACAATTGGGTATACTGGCAAATGTGTTAAAAGAGAGTGTAGGAACTGCTTTATGTAGCAGATTACTTCCTAAGTTTTACCTTATGTAAATATTCTTAAGAACTATTGTTTATTTGAAATGTTAGTCTGTGTTTTAATTTTGCATATACATGACATTTATTTGTTTAGAAATTGGACAAAACATAGGCCTTTTTGTGAACAAAGAGTTCAGAAATACCTTAGGTTCTGATTTTATTCATTTTCTTTTTTTTTATTTTATTTTATTCATGTTCTAAGCTGCTTGTTCACAAATAACTACAAATTTAGCTGTTCTAAGCAACACGTTTATTACCTCACAACTTCTATGGATCAAGAGGCTGGGCACAACTTAGCTGTGTCCTCTGTAAGACTGCAGTCAAAGTGTTGGCCAGGGCTGGGTTGTTATCTAGAGACTCAACTGGGGAAAGGTCTGCCCCCAGACTTCCTTGGGTTATTGGCTGAATTTATTTCCTTGTGTCTGTTAGGTTCAGAGCAGCTTGCTTCTTCAAAGTCAGCAAAGGAAGAGAGTCTATCAAAGGTGAACTGGTGCTATGTTCTTACATAATCGTGTACATGTAATCACATACAACCCATTGCCTTTGCTGTATTTCATTGATTAGAAGCAAGTCATAGGTCCAGTTCACGTGCAAGGGGAGGGAATTATACAAAGGTTTAAACACCAGGAAGTGTAGGAATCAAGAATAGTCCCATCAGTTCTGTCTGCCACATGGATTATAGACTTAGATTGACAGCTGAACATGCAACTTTTTTTTTAAACTCAGTTTTTATTTACTTTTAAAAAGTTGTACTAATGCATATGGTAAATATAGTATTAATAAACATGAATTGAGCCCCTTTTAGGGGCTGGGCATTGTAGATATTCAGGGTTCAAATGTGGGGCTTCTTTATGCACTGCTCAACTCTCCATTGAATTTGAGAGATGGATATGTGTGATCATTATACAGTGCAACAAATTCTGTAATAGAACTATTAACAAAATGCTTCGTGAAGTATCTTTGTCTAGGCTAGTCAAAAAATGCTTCACAGAGGAGGATACATTTGAATTGTAGTTTGAAGGATTTAGAAGTTTTATGGAGAGAGGGCACTGTAGACTAAAGAAAAATCCACAAAAGCTTGGGTTTTGATAGGGCATACTGAAAAGTTAAATATGTCTGGATTGTAGGGTGCATAGAGGAATGATGAGAACCCGAAGCTAGAAAAATAGAAAGTGGAGCCAGTTGAAGGATTTTATAGTGCTGTAGGTTTGTTTTATCCAATGAAGTTTGAAAGCAGGGGGAGTATCATGATTAGGCCATTGGGCACAATTAACATTCGTAGTTTACATGGATGGCAACCTTCTCTAGTGGTGCAGACTTCAGGCTGTATGCAGCAACCCTGATCAGGATTCAGTTCTTAAGGAGGAGAGTGTGATAGCAGGAGGATAAGTTAGGATTCTTTTAGAATATAACTGATAGAAGATGCCTACGTTGAAAAGATGGCATTGGTGAGGGAGAAGAAAAGTTAGATTTGATTGAGATTTCTAAGGTAGAACTGATAGAATTGAGAACCTGGGTACATAGTGATGTCTTTACCAGTATTAAAGATGAAAAGAACAAGTTTTAGGAAATGATAATGAGTTCCTTTTAGGCCTGTTAAATTTGAGTGGCTATCGGATTTCCATCTGCATAGAAGTATCCTTTAAGTGGCTGGAAACATGAGTCTCTAATTCGGGATATTACAAAAAACTGAGAAATCAATTTGCAGGATATAAATGATTCCAGAAAGTGGATAAGATTACTAAGGGATGAATATAGATTGATGAAGGACAAGGATGGAATCCAGAGGAGCAAGTATTTTAAGAGACAGGGAGAGGAAGAGGCCAGCAGTTAGAATTCAACCAGAGGGAAAGGAAGTTTTTTAAAACCTTTTTTTTTAATTATAAAAATAATACCTGTTCACTAGAGAAAAACTAACATACAGAAAAGCAGTGGCTCACGCCTGTAATCCCAGCACTTTGGGAGGCCAAGGCGGGTGGATCATGAGGTCAGGAGATCTAGACCATCCTGGCTAACACGGTGAAACCCCATCTCTACTAAAAATACAAAAAAGTGGCCAGGCGTGGTGATGGGCGCCTGTAGTCCCAGCTACTCCAGAGGCTGAGGCAGGAGAATGGCATGAACCTGGGAGGCGGAGCTTGCAGTAAGCGGAGATCGCGCTACTGCACTCCAGCCTGACCCACAGAGTGAGACTCCATCTCAAAAAAAAAAAATCGCAAATCGCTTATAATCTTACCACTAGAAATAACCAGAAAAAAGTGTTAATGTCTTTTATATATGTATTTGTTTTAGACACAAAATTTGGAACATTCATTTTTATATTGTTTTGATTTTAACCTTTCTGATGTTCTAATACGAAGTTTTAAAGCTACACATTTTCCTCCAAGAATTGCTTTACCTGAATCCCACTGATTTTGAAGGGTTCTTGTTAACATTCAGTGAAAAATGTATTTTAATTTCCCGTATGATTTCTTCTTGATCCATGGGTTACATATTCTTTGATAACGTGCTCTTTCCATTTCCACCAGTTTCTAACATCACATTAAAATTTTTTATAACATGATTTTTAATTATTACCCAGTATTCCAAAAATCACTCAAATATTTAATGAGGACCTGCTCTTCCGAACACTATTCTGGGGATACAGCAGTGAAGAAATAAGATAAAAATCCCTGCTTTTAGGGGCCTTATTATTCTATTTGGGAGAGATAGTAAACAAGTAAAATACATAGTGTGTTAGGGCATTGAGTGTAATGGAAAAAAATGGAGTGCAAAGGCTGATAGAGATTATGGGGTGGAGGCCTATCTATAGTTGCTATTTTAAATCGGGTTTTAAGGATGACCTCAATGACAAGGTGACAATTCAAGCAGAAAGTGAAGGAGCAAGTCATGAGGATCTCTGGGGGAAAAACATATTCAGGCACAGGGAGCAGTAACTGTAAAAGCCCTGAGGCATGAGTGTACCTGATATGTAGGTTTACTACAGCTGGAGTGCAGAGGGCTGTAGAAGATGAGAGCGTAGTGGGGTGGCATGAGGTTGGGACAGAATCATAAACTGCCTCATAACCACTGACCTGTGGTTTGCGGCTTTTGTTTTAAAGAGGGATGGAGAGACACTGGAGTATTTTTGTGCAGAGGATAGACATAATCTGACTTGGGTTTTAAAGGATTACTCTGGCTATTGTGTGAGGTGGCAAGAGTCAGCAAGGAGTCAAAAATCCAGATGAAAGATAACAGTGGCTTGGACTGGGTGGCAGTGCTGGAGGTGCTAAGCAGTGGCCAGATTCTGCATATCCAGTGTTTTGAAGATAGAGCCACCTGGATTAGATGTGGAGGTATGAGAGAAAATGAAGAGTCAAGGATTTATTTGGTTGTTCCTTATAGCTGAACATTTAGTTTGGTACAGTTATAATAAAATACTGTTGCCGTGAACACCTTGGTAAGCAAATTTTTACAGTTTTTTTTTTTTTTTTTTTTTTTGCATGGAGTCTCGCTCTGTCGCCCAGGCTACAGTGCAGTAGTGCAATCTTGACTCACTGCAACCTCTGCCTCCCAGGTTCAAGCGATTCTTGTGCCTCAGCCTCCCAAGTAGCTGTGATTACAGGTGTGCACCACCATGCCTGGCTAATTTTTGTATTTTTAGTAGAGACTGGGTTTCGCCATGTTGGCCAGGCTAGTCTCAAACTCTTGGCCTCAAGTGATTCGCCCACCTCAGCCTCCCAAAGTGCTGGGATTACAGGCGTGAGTGCCCGGCCAGTTTTTAGAAATTTATCAGCAACATGGGATTGCCAGAAACAAAGATGTGCTTTTCTTCAAGGCATTTGATCTTTATTGCCAAATTGCTCATTAGAAATGGAAACAGCTTCTAGCAAGGTATAATCTTTAGGACTATGTAAAATTTTTTAACCAATAAAAGCTTGTGAGGTTTTTGATATTTATAAGTGCAGATTGGTAGATATATTTCGAGTAATATCACCTGTCAGAGTCATTATTTCATTCAGGGCTCTTTTTTTTAGCAACAAAAAGATTTAGTGTGTCAGAAAATTATAGGTATATTCAGTCATTTGAATTTCATAAGTTCTGACCATGTGGAATATCCTAATTTTTGCTTGAATTGTGATTAGTGTGTAATAGTTCTTTAATTTACCTATTTATATATGAGCTGAGGAAAAAAAAAGAACAAAGAAGCCATATATACATAATGGGTTATTTATTATGTGTAATATGTTTCAGAGAGCCAGTGCTCAGTTGAACAATAAATTTTTCTATTTTTGTTGGTTTTTAATTTTTTTCTACTGTTGCCTCTATTCTGTTCTTTCTCATTTTGTAAAGTTAATTTTGTTCTTTCTCCTAGCTTTTAGTTCTTTTATTTTTTATTTATCATTTTTTAATGATAAAAGCGTTTAAGGCTGTGTTTACTTCTCGTTACATGTAGTCACTTCCCATAGCTTTGGATACTTACCATTTTCATTGTCATTGAGTACACATTTTTTATCTTTTAAAAGTCAGTTCTATCGAGGAGTAATCATGTTAACTGCATTTTGATATTTTCTTTTACTTGAAAGTTATTTTAAAGTGTGGCTTTATTGTGGTTATCCTTACTACTACCCTATCGTTACTTCTAGTGTTAATTTAGAAATATTGCACCGTGGCTCGGCACTGTGGCTCACGCCCGTAATCCCAGCACTTTGCGAGGCCGAGGTGGGTGGATCATCTGAGGTCAGGAGTTCGAGGCCAGCCTGGCCAACATGGTGAAACCCCATCTCTACTAAAAATACAAAAATCAGCCAGGCATGGTGGCAGGTGCCTGTAATCCCAGCTTATTAGGGGGTACTGAGACGGGAGAATTGCTTGAACCCGGGAGGCGGAGGTTGCAGTGAGCCGAGATCGCACCACTGTACTCCAGCCTGGGTGACAGAGCAAGACCCCGTCTCAAAAAATATAAAAGTATTGCACCATGGTCAGAGAATCTAAAGTCTTTCAGTTGTAAAGGATAGAAGCATAACTCAAAATAGCATTAGGTGGAAACACTATATATTGTTTCAAATTATTGAAAAGGATCCTAGGGTAACTTAGAGAATTGAAGGAACAAATGCAGGAACCAAGGCCCCTGGAGCTGAAATTTATACAGGGAGAGAGGGAGAGAGGGAGAGAGAGAGAGAGAGAGAGAAAGAGTGAGAGAGAGTGTGTGTGTGTCTTTGTGTCTGTGTGTGTCTGGGATTACAGGTGTCAGCCACTGCCCCCAGGCCCCAGTATGGGCCTTCTTTAAGCTGGGGCCTTGAGACTCTCTGTACTTCCAACTGCATGCTTTTAAAGATGATTATTATCAGAATTATTGCTGTGTTTAAATTATGTATAATTACAGGCCTGAAAGGAGTACCTTTCTCTGCCTCCAGCAGAAAGGACTCAGATTAGCTCAGTTTGAGTTCTGCGTCTGTCCATAAATTAACGAAAGCAGAGATGGGATGCACTTTATGTCCAGGCTGTATTCTGTTATTGTGGGGAAGAGTTTAAGTCTTCAAGTCATGTTTCTTGGGCTGACCTTAAGCAAGTTTCTTAGTTCCTCTGTACCCCCATTTTCTCGTCTCTAGAATCAGGCCAGGTGCATTGGCTTGCACCTGTAACCCCAGCACTCTGGGAGGCCCAGGGGGGGCGATTGCTTGAGCTCAGGAATTTGAGGTCAGCCTGGGCAACATGGTGAAACCCAGGTTCTAGCAAAAATACGAAAATTAGCCAGGTGTGGTGGTGCATGCCTGTAGTCCCAGCTACTCCAGAGGCTGAAGCAGGAGGATCACTTGAACCCAGGAGGCTGAGGTTGCGGTTAGCCAGGATTGCACCACTGCACTCCAGCCTGGGCGACGGAATGAGACTCTGTCTCAAAACAAAACAAAAACCTGCTTTTGTAGTATTATGAGGGTTAAAGTAGTCCACATACTTCATACCTTTATGCTTTTAACTATTGAAGGAGCCTCTTCAATGAATGAAAAAATTAAAACATCCAAGATTTATGCCCCACTTCCAGTCTCACCCTCCTCAGAATGACCATGTGCTTTACTCTGATACCGTATTCCTTTCTCTTCCCAACTGATCAGACTTTGCAAAAACAATCCAGTTTTCATTATTTTTAGAATGTATCTTTCTTATATTTACAAAATTCTCCCCTGAACATTTGAATTGAGTTTTTCAGCACATTTACTATGCCAAACACATGGTAAAAACTTTGTAAATATTGAATATTTCCCAAAATGTATTTGATAACTACATTATTATGTTTTAAGATGATTATTATCAGAATTATTGCTGTGTTTAAATTATGTATAAAAATGTATTGCTCTAGAAGGAAGTGGTAGGCTATGTTTTTATTTGTATAATGTAAATATAGGTAAATTAATTTTTGAACCAAATAGGCATAATGTAGATTATACAAATGGAGACAGTTATAAAATTGCCTTAGAAGTAAAATTATACTGTGCTTATAGCTCTTTTATAACCATTTGAATGTGTTACAAAGTGTTATCAGTGTGAGTGTGTTTTGTGGGCG
Source organism: Homo sapiens (assembly GCF_000001405.40). Classification (NCBI taxonomy): domain Eukaryota; kingdom Metazoa; phylum Chordata; class Mammalia; order Primates; family Hominidae; genus Homo; species Homo sapiens. The sequence goes on along the minus strand of NC_000007.14, from coordinate 29,673,954 downwards.
GTTGGAGATGGTTGGAAGGATGGTTGATAAGGTAGGTCAGTGTTTTCATTAAGTGTGTGCTGCTGCTTCAGGGCAGAGGCTGAAAAACTTAGTTTTTTTCAGCTACATGATTTACTACATCTCAGGCAACCTGGATGACTTGGCATTTACTAAAGCAATTCACTGCTTTGCTGGTGCTTCAGCACCCTTCAGTCTGACAGCCCTGAAGTCTTGATTTGTAATTCTCCATATTTCCTGTCTATCATAGCACTTCTTCAAAAACAGCATATCTGGTCACCTTGAAATGTCAGTTCCTTAATAACTCCTTTTGTCCACTCTTCCTCCACCTTACCATACACAGAGTTCTTTGGAGGATTGCCATTAGTTTCTTTAAAACAGAATAACTAAAATTAAGAATATTTAATATTATTGGCCACTTTAAGTGTCTTTATAAATATTGAACTAATACAGTTACTTTCATATAGTAATTTATGTGTTAGGAAAGTTACTTCATAAGCACTATCTCTTTTGAGTCTATGTCATAAGAAGTCGGTGGTAAAGTAGACAATTGCTTTAGCTATTATCTGGAGATGAGACTCAGAAGTTAGATCAACCACTTGTAGTATTTTAAGTGTGAGTTATTCTGTATTGTAGTTGTGAAGTGTACAGAATCTAATTAGCTTTTAATAATTCAGAGTTCTTTTCACATTTGGCTGCTTTTCTTTTCCTGTACAATTTTGTGTTTTCTCTTTTGTCTTTTAAAAATTTGTTAGTTTAAAAAAACTGTTTAGTTTTACAACCCTCCCTCATTTGTATAAATCTCCTCTCAGATTATTCATATAATGAGTATTGCCTGAATTTCATTTTCTTGTTAAAGTCTCTTTGGAGACCCTCTGACCTACCCTGTTCTGAAATGATTATCCTATGAGATCCCTCTTTGTTCATCATCATCTTGGAAATTGTATTTGCCTGCCTCTCTCTTATGTTCAGTTTCCTGGTTCCTTGAATTTATGTGTCTTCTTTCTTGATGTTCTCCATTGTTTTTAGTTGATATAATCTCGTAGTTCCTACTGAGAAAGAATATGTGTAAGGTAAAATTTTTTTGAGGCTTCCATTCCTGAAAATATTTTATTTCTGCCCTCATTTTTGATTAGTACTTTGACTTGATATAGAATTCTAGGTTGAAGTTATTTTCCCTGAGAATTTAAAATGTGTTGCCTTGTTGCCTTCTGGCTTCTAGTGTTGCTGTTGAGCACATAGATGTCATTATGGTTTTTGATCCTTTGTATGAAAATTTCATTATTACATGCCTTGGGAGGGAACTGTTTTCATTCATTGTGCACCATATTTGGTAGGCTCTTTGAGTCAGCTGCTTTCTGTGATTTTTTTTCTGCCATTTTTTTCTTTGATGATTTAGATGTTGTACACCTAGAGTAATCCTTTGCTTTTTCTTTTTTCTCTTCAATTTTTTTATGTCTTTGGTTTTTGTTCTTTTTTTCTTTTGAGGGATTTATTTATTTATTTAAAGACAAGGTCTCGAGGCTCTGTCACCTAGGTTGGAGTGTAGTCGTGTGATCCTAGCTTACTGCAGCCTTGAACTCCTGGGCTCAAGTGATCCTCCTGTCTCAGCCTCTTGAGTAGTTGGGATTACAGGTGTATGCCACCATGCCCAGATAGGGACTTTTAAAAATGTGATCTTATAACTCTTTTGTCAGTTTTTATTTGTTTCTGTAATTTTAATTTTTAACTTAATTTTTAATGTTTTTTAAAATTTCTGAGGTCTTTAAAAAATAATGTTTTTTTCATATATTCCATTTTTGTTTTGTGGGTACAATATCTTTTTCTAAGAATATTACTGATACGTATTTACATGTGCATCTGTTTGTGTATAAGTGTATATATGTATGTGTATGTATATATATGTATGTGTATGCTTTGTTCCCTTTCCTGATGACTCGGTTTCTTCCCACTTGCTTTTTCTGTTTGTTTGGCTTCATTCTTTTGTTAGATATTTTCTTTAAATGTTTGGTGATCTTTGGCTAACTCCTGATACTTTTAAAGTGGGGGGCGCTAAAAAGCAAATTGGAAGCTCTCTGTGCATGTAGTGTCCTCTGTCTGGGCCATTTTCTTAGGAATATTACTGTCTTTTCTCTTGGGCTGGTCATATTTTCCAGAAATGGCTTTTCTTGCCTGGAATACACAGTCGTTTATGCTAGTGATCTAGGAGCAGAGTGAGAAGAAGATTGAGAGTCTTAATACTCAAAGTGATACTTTCATTTAATCTCCGTATTTAGTATCAATACAGGACCTCTGCCTTCAGCTATTCCTGTTGTCTGCAAGTCTAGAAACTTTTCCCTCTCCTAATAACAAACTTGTAGTAGAGTGCCAGGGTTGGGGTTGCTTAGCTGCTGCAAGTCAGGGAGGACAACTAGGAGATCTCACAGCTTCTTACGCAGACTGGCGATGAATCTTTCTCTTTTAGGCCTGCCTTCACCCCTGCTTCCAGGGATATCTTGTGCTTGCCAATTCTTGTGCCTGCTGTAAATCAGTTTGCTTCTCTGCTTTCCTAGTTCTGCAGTGAAAATTATTACTCATTAATTTTCTTTCCAGAGTCTAAAGGTACTGCTTTTTATTTCATCTTCTTGATTTTTTTATAGGCGTATTCCCTTTAAAAATTACATTTTTATCATTTTAGTAGGATGTTTGGACGGAGCGGAAACTAATGAATGTGTACAACTAGTTATCTTTACTTGGAAGTTTTCTTTTTTTAATTGCAGAAGAAATAAGAATTCACTCCTATAAAAATTTAGATGATGCAGCTGGGCGTGGTGGCTCACGCCTGTAATCCCAGCACTTTGGAAGGCTGAGGCGGGTGGATCACCTCAGCTCGGGAGTTTGAGACCAGCCGGACTAACATGGTGAAACCCTGTCTCTACAAAAATTAGCCGGGCGTAGTGATGCATGCCTGTAATTTCCAGCGACTCGGGAGGCTGAGGCAGGAGAATTGCTTGAACCCAGGAGGCATAGGTTGCAGTGAGCTGAAATCACACCATGGCACTCCAGCCTGGGCAACAAGAGCGAAACTATGTCTCAAAAAAAAAAAAAAAAATTCAGATGATGCAAAAAAAGTGAAAGTCACTTTCAGTCCTCTGGTATGAACATGTTCAACCAGTCCTCTAAGGAATCTAATGGTTTTCAAGCTTTTTTTTTCTTTTTTTTTTTTTTTTTTGAGACGGAGTCTCACTCTGTTGCCCAGGCTAGAGTGCAGTGGCACCATCTCGGCTTACTGCAACCTGTCTCCTGGGTTCAAGCAATTCTCCTGTCTCAGCCCCCCAAGTGGCTGAGCTTACAGGTGTGTACCACCGTGCTTGGCTAATTTTTGTATTTTTAGTAGAGACGGGGTTTTACCATGTTGGCCAGGCTGGTCTCGAACTCCTGACCTCAGGTGATCTGCCTGCCTCGGCCTCCCAAAGTGCTGGAATAAAGGAACTGTGTATTAACATGTTAACAATTCATAACTGCACTTTTTATGACATTTTGAAAATCTATGTATAGTTACAGAACAATGGGTTTTGTTAAACTGTATCACATTTATACTTGCAGAAATTATTTCATCATTATTAGTAGGAATTTTATTGGTTCAATAAAATTGGCAAAACTGAAAAAAATAGAAATTTATATCTTACAATTCTGGAGTCTAAGAATTCTGGAGTCCAAGAAAGTCCAAGATCAAGGCGCTAGCAGATTTAGCGTCTGGTGAAGACTGCTCTCCACTTCCAAGATGGTGCCTTGATGTTGCATCTTCTGAAGGAGAGGAACACTGTGTCCTCACATGGGAGATAGTAGGAGAATAAGAGAGCTTTAGTCTCACTCATGAGGGGGGAGTCCTCATGGCCTACTCACCTCTTGCAGGTCCCATCTCTTAATACTATCACATTGGCCATTAAGTTTCAACACCTGAATTTTGGAGGGGACACATTCAAATCATAGCAGTGCCCATTGGCATTTCTGGATTGCCAGCCTCTTTAACTCCAAGTCTGAGAAAATGAGGCACAAAGAGAGCCCATGGAACTCATAACCATGTTATTCTTTGGGTCTCAAGTCTGTCTTCTCTCTACTTTTCAGAGTCTTCTTATGTTTGATTTGTGTATAACTCAAAGGGTTTTCAGTTGTACTTCAAGGGAGTAATCAGGAAAAGTACATCCACTCCGTCTTCCCAATAGCAAACATTTGTATTACTTAAATATTTATATATCGTATAGGCAAGAGAGAAGGCAGTGCTGTGAGGGAAATGTATGGCACTAAAATGAATATGTTAGAAAAGAGGAAAAAAATCAATAATCTAAGCATCCAGTTAGGAACCTAGGAAAAAAAGAGCAAAATAAACTGAAAGCCAGTAGAATCAAGGAAATAATAAAGAGTAGAAATCAATGAAATTGAAAATAGAAAAATAATAGAGAAAGCTGTATTAGTCTTTTTTACATTGCTATAAAGAAATACCCGAGGACTGGGTAGTTTAGAAAGAAAAGAGGTTTATTTTTGCTCATGGTTCTGCAAACCGTACAAGAAGCATGCATGGTACCAGCATCTGCTTCTGGTGAAGACCTTAAGAAGCTTATAATCACGGTGGAAGGCGAAGGGGGAGCAAACAAGAGAGAGAAAGGTTCCAGTGGGGAGGGGGCAGGTCAAGAGAGAGGGAGCAACAGAGAGACGAGTGAGGTCCCAGATTCTCTTAACAATCAGATCTCACATAAACTTACAGAGGGAGAACTCCCTTATTACTGTGGGGCGGGAACCACGTCATTCATGAGGGTTCCACCCCCATGACCCAAACACCTCCCACTAGATCCCAGCTGCAACACTAGAGATCACTTTTCAACATGAGATTTGGAGGGAACAAATATCTAACTATATGAAAAGCCAAGGGAAAAAAGGAGCTGGTTCTTCAAAAAGGTCAATAAAGTTGACAAACCTCTAGCAAGACTGACAAAGAAAGAGAAGACACAAATTATCCATATCCATGTCAATGAAACAGGGGCTATCACTGCAGACTCTGCATACATCAAAAAGATAATAAGGGAATACTGTAAACAACTGTACACACTTAAATTTGTCAATTTAGATGGAATATACCAATTCCTTGAAAAACTCAAACTATTGCCATAAATAAAATCAATATAAAATAGATCATTTAAATATTTCTATAACTATTGAGAACTTGAATTCAAATGTAGAAATTCTTCAAAAAGAAATCTCTAGACCCAGGTATTTTCACTAGAGACTTCTGCTAGAGGTTTAAGAAATCATTAACATCAATTCTATACAATCTCTTCTGGAAAAGAGAAGAGGAAACACTTCCCAATTCTTTACCTCAAACTAGTATTACCTTGATACTAAAACCAACAAAGTACCAACAGTATCAAAACAAAGTAAACTTCAGACTGATATCCCTTGCGAATATAAACACAAAATTCCCAAACAAAATTGCAAAAATAGATTTCAATAATATATTAATTATATACCATGACCAAATGAGGTTTTCTTCCAGGGATGCAAGGCTGTTTCAATATTCAAATACATCATATTACATGTTAAGAGGCAAAATAAGAAAAATCACATAATCATATAAATTGGTACAGAAAAAAAAATTTGAAAGAATTCAATACCCATTCATGGTAAGAACTCTCAGAAAAAAAAAGAAATAAAAGGGAGATTTTCTCAACTGTGTAAAAATCACGTGCAAAGAACTTGTGGCTAACATTATGCTTAATGATTAAATACTGATGCTTTCTCCTAAGGCTGACAACAAGGCATGTATGTTCACATTCACCACTTATTAAACACAGTGCTAAAAGTTTTAGTGCAAAAGGCAAATAATGGAAATAAAAAGCATACAGATTAAAAAGTAAGAAATAAAACTGTCCCTATTTGCCCATGCCAGAACTATGTAAAAAATCCCAGCAAATCTAAAACAACAACAAAAAGATAACCACAACAAAACTCCTAGAACAAGTGAGTTCAGCAAAGTTGCGTGATAAAAGATAAACATAAAAAAATGTATTTTATGTGCTAATGATGGACACCAAAATTAAAATTATAATTCTATGACATGAAAAACTTAAATGTATATCTAGCAAAATACGTATAAGACTTAGATGATCAAAACTATACAATGCTGAGGAAAGGAATCAAAGGTGATCTAAATAAATGAAGAGATATACCATGTTCATAAACTGGAAGATTCAATAAAGATGTCAGTTCTTCCAAAATTGATTTACAAATTTAATGCAATTCTTATCAAAGTCCCAACAAGATTTTTGTAGATATAGCATGTTGTAAAATATATATGAAAAGGCAAAAAAGAAAAAAAGAACCTAGCCAAACCAATTTTGGAAAAGAATAAAGTAGGAGGAATCAGGCTACTTGCTTCTAAGACTTACTGCATAGATGCGTTAATTAAGACTACTGGCCAGACACAGTGGCTCACACCTGTAATCCCAGCGCTTTGGGAGGCTGATGTGGGCGGATCACTTGAGGGCAGGTGTTCAAGACCACATTGGCCAACATGGTGAAACCCAATTTCTACTAAAAATAAAAAAGTAGCTGGGCGTGGTGGCATGTGCCTGTAATCCCAGCTACTCAGGTGGCTGAGGCATGAGAATTGTTTGAACCCAGCAGACAGAGGCTGCAGTGTGCTGCGATCATGCCACTGCACTCCAACCTGGGCAACAGAGTGAGACTCAGTCTAAACAACAACAACAACAACAAAAACCTATATGGTATTGGCAGAGGGGTAGATGCATAAATCAGTGGAAGAGAACAGAGAACCCAGAAATAGACCCATACAAAATATGTCCAATTGACATATTTGGCAGAGGCACAAAAGCAATTCAGTGAAGGAAAGAAAGGAAAGATCCACTTTCAACAAATGGTGCTGGAGTAATGAACATCCATATGCAAACAAACAAACAAACAAACAGAATCTTGACCTAAATTTCATTCAAAATGGATCAGTTAGATATAAAATGCAAAACTCTTAACCTTTACAAAAAATACAGGAGAAAATCTTTATCTCTAGGGCTAGGCAAAGAATCCTTAGACTTGACACCAAAAGCACAATCAATAGGAGAAAAATGGACATACTGGACTTCATAAAAATTTTAAAATTTTTCTATGCAAAAGACCCTGTTTAAGAGAATGAAAAGGCAAGCTACAGAGTGGGAAAATATATTTGCAAGCCATATATATGAAAAGTAATTAGCATCTATAATATATAAAGAACACCCTAAGATCCAAAATTCATAAAACAAACAATTCAAATAGAAATGGAGCAAAATACATAAAGACACGTTTCACATACGGACGGCAAATAAGCACAAAAAGATGTACATCATCATTAGCCAACAGGGAAATGTAAATTAAAACCATAATGATATATCACTACATATGTGTAAGAATGAGTAACATAAAAAATAGTGACCATACCAAATGCAGGTGAGGATACAGATAAACCTAATTTTGGTTGTGCTTAGGTTGTATCCATTGACTACTGAGTATGTAGCACAAGGAAATTTGCATAGTTTCATTCATTCAACAAATATGATATTGAATCAGCTCCATATTCCAGGAAGTAGGCACCTGGGATACAGCTAGGAAATACATAATGGGCACGGGAAAACAGTAGAAAACAAGGTCATTCGCTGAGAGTGAAAGCGGGAGAGGAGGTTTGGGATAACTGGAGAGAGAAGATATGAAACAGGAGTCAAGGGGTTAGCAAAAGTAAGGCTCAAGAACTAAATCAGGATCTGTGGCCTATTTTTGTACCAGTAATGTGAAAAGGACAGTGTTTTCCCCCAACTTTTCCCCAGCAGTTTAAGCTAAGAGAGTTTAAGACTTATAGGGGAGATAAGGAAGAGCGGGGTGGGTGGGTTTCATGCCTTTCTCTAAGTGGCTGCTGTTCTCCCAGGCTTTACCATGGAGGATGCTTTCTGAGCACTCTTGCTAATCTTTTGTCAGCACCTTATGAGCTCTGTGTAAAAATGTCTGTAAGCAATTGCAAATTCCCTTGCTAACCCACACTAGGCATTTACCGACTGACTGGTGAACAATTTGAGCTGAGTTCTTTACCATTGTGTCTAGTGGCATGACCCGTATAATTAAATGCTTGTTTCTGTTCTCCTTGCACATGGTTTTTCTTTTTAATTTATTTTGGGTTATTTGATTGTCCTGTGACCTCAGCTCCCTGACCACTTCAGGAAAAGTTGTCAATTTGAAGACTGTCTGGCTTTTGTTGTTGTTGCTGCTGACATTGCTGGAAGGCCATGAGCAATGTTCTTTTTGGCTTTCTACATCCAAGGGAAAGCTGACCCAACATGATTAAATCCAACTCTCCATTTTCTCCGTGTTTATACTTGGGAATCTGATTATAGCTGGAGAAACACAATTCTGTTGGCTGGTTTTGTTCTCAGTTCAAGACCATCAACCTCAAATGAAGCCCTTGGTGCTGCCCAAGAAACTCACATTATATCCCTAGTCTATTCATTCTCCTAGACAAGAGGTCAGTAAGCTTTTCCTATAGAGAGCCAGACGATAAGTATTTTAGGCTTTGTGAGATAGTCTCTGTCTCATACTCTTTAATGTGTTTACATTTACCCCCAGGTTTGTATATGCATGTTTGGTTTGTTTATCTATTCATTCATGCATTTGTTTGGTATTTATCCTTTTTGCTGTTCTCTGAGTTTCTTGGATCTGTGGCTTGGTATCTGTCACTAATTTTGGAAAATTCTCAGTCATTTATTTTTCAAATGTTTATTCTTCCTCATCCTTTCCTCTCCCACTGGGATTCTAATTATGCATATATTAGAATATTTGATATGGTGTCACAGCTCTTAGATGCTCTTATCATTTCCTTCCTCCATTATTTTTCTCTTTGCATTCCTATTGACCTATCTTCATACTCACTGATTATTTCTTCTGCTGTGCTGTGTCTGCTGATGAGCCCATCTAAGGCATTTTTTACTTCTTGTTTTTATTTTCAGCATTTCCCTTCGATTCTTATAGTGTCCAACTCTCTGCTAAAATTACCTATATGATCTTGCGTATCATCTGTCTTTTCCATTTGGGTGTTTAAAATATTAATCATAGTTACTTAAATCTCCTGTCCAGTTGTTCCAGTATCTGTATCTTCTTTGGGTCTGGATGATGATTGCTCTGTCTCTTCGGACTGTGCTTTTTCTTACCTTTAGGTATGCCTCATAATTTTTGCTGAAAGTTAGACATGTTGTAGAAGACAGTAGACATAGAGGTCAGTATTTTTATGCTTGAAAATAAGAACATCTTTCTTACTGTTAGGTCTTTATTGTAGGTATTTGTGTTAATCTAGTTAGGGTGGGCTGGATTTGAAGTTTGTAATTGCTGTAGTTACCAAAGCTGGAGTTTGTTGCCGCTATGGACACTAGCGATTTCAAATTCCTCTAGTGGTACCCTGTTTTGAATTTGGTTTTGGGTTGTCCTTTGTGCTGCTCACTAGAAAGAAAATGCCTTGCAAAACTCACTCAGTCACATTCCACTGTGATTTTTACCAAAGGCTTGTTAATGTAATGGGTGAAGAGTGGCAGGTTTTCTGATGTTCCAATTAAGCCTCAATCTTAGACAGGTACTGTGAATTTGGGACTTGGGGGCTGTACCCTTCATAAGTGTTCCCTTCTCAAGGAATATGATTGTCTTTTAACATTTAGGTTTTTTTTTCTTTTTTCCTGCCTGTTCTCTTTCACCAGCTTCACTGGATACCCACCAGTGTCCTCAGACAATGGGTTTGATACCGTTCTCCCTGCAGATCATGGCTTTCTTTTCCTTAGGTGAGATTTCACAACTTGGGTGTGAGCAGAGTCTGAGCAATGACTGCTTTTCCTGTCCCCTAGCCAGCACCATAGGGAAAGCTTTCTCTAAATGCTTCCCCAATCTTCCCTGACAGAGCCTGCTCGCCTTCACATTTCATGCCAGCTCACACTAAGCCTGTAGCAATTCATTAAAAATTTCTGGTTTAATCTTTGTACCAGCTTATACGGCATTCAAAAGCATCTATCTCAGTCAAGCAGTTCCTATTCCAGAATGCTCAGTTCCTGTTGCTTTCTGCAGGCACCTGTCCTTGAAATTTTGCGTTGGTTGTCCTCTGACCTCAGTTTTCTGAAGGGTTCAAAAAAGGTGTTATCTTGCAGTTTGTCCAGCTATTTTCCTTGTTGTAGGAATGAGAGTGTCATCATTCCAGCTCTCTTCATCACCAAACTGACACCTGAAGCCTCCAGAAGCTAAATATATAAAGAATTAAGAGTTCTTTATATATTAGGTGTATTAGCCCTTTATCTGTGAGGTATATTACAAATATTTTCTCCTGACCGGGCATGGTGGCTCACGCCTATAATCCCAGCACTTTGGGAGGCGGAGGCAGGGGGATCACCGGAGGCCAGGAGTTTGAGACCAGCCTGGCTAACATGGTGAAACCCCGTTTCTACTAAAAATACAAAAATTAGCCAGGCATGGTGGTACACATCTGTAATCCCAGGTATTCGGAGGCTGAGGCTGGAGAATCGCTTGAACCTGGGAGGCGGAGGCTGCAGGGAGCCGAGATCACGCCACTGCACTTCAGCCTGGGCAATGAAGTGAGACTCTGTCTCAAAATAAACAAACAAAAAGAAACCAAACAAATATCTTCTCCCAGTGTATCAACTGTCTTTCGATTTTGTTTATTTATTTTCTTTTTTAAACTCTGCCTGGTTTTCCCTTTCCCATAGAAACCCCAATAAAAGCGATGGCCTAGGCTTTACCCTCAGTCCTGCTTCTGCCTGACCAAACTGTATCTCTCCTGTGGCTCTGTGTGATGTGACTTGTCCTCTTCTCCAAGGAAGTATTAGTCATAAATTCTTCTTTCAGTGGCACTGATCTGTGTCATCACTCAGTCAACCGCATAAATTAAGACCTAGGCACAGAACAACTCTGTTTCTATTTCTATAAAATTCTAGAAAATGCAAACTAAACCATAATGACAGAGAATATTAGTGGTTTCCTAGGGATGGGATGTGGGCAAAGAGAGACGAAGGAAGGAGGGATTACCAAGGAGGACAGGGAAACTTCGGGATGAGGGATATGCTCATTATCTTGACTGGTGATGGTTTTACAGGTGGGCCAAAACTAATCAAACTTTACACTTCATCTATATGACCAGCTATCATATGTCAATTATACCTCAATAAAGCTGTTTAAAAACATTTAGGGTATATCTACTGGAAAGTAAAACTTTTTAATTATAGACTCTATCATCACGTGCATAGAAAAATCCAAAGGATTCTACAAACAAGCTACTAGAACCACTGACTGCATCAAGATGCAGGTACAAAGTTAATATTCAAAATCAACTATATTTCTATACAAGAGCAACAAAAAATGGAAAAATAAAAAAATTTTAAAATAATACCATTTATAATAAAAGAATACTGGGGAAGACCATACATTGAAAAATACAAAACATTGCTGAGACTAATTAAAAATAATCAACAAAATGGAGATCTATACCATGATCATGGATTAGAAAATTCAGTATCATAGAGATGTCAATTCTTCCCAAATGCATGTACAAGTCCAACATAATCCCAACCAAAATCCCAGCAGGTTTTTTTTTGAGAAATTAATAAGCTGACCCTAACATTTAGATAGAAATGCAATTTTAAAAAGGAAAAACAAAGTTGGAGAACTATCTACAGTCAAGATTTATTGTAAAGCTACAGTAATCAAGACTGTGGTACTGGCATAATTATAGATCAAGAGAATAATAGAGTCCAGAAACAGATTCACACATAGTGTGGTCAATCAATTTTCAACGAATGTACCGAGAAAATTAATTCAATGGGGGAAAAGACAGTTACCACAATGGAGCATTTTTTTGGCATTCTGAAAATGTTTTGTAACTCAATTGTGGTGATGGATACATAGCTTCATACATTTGTCAAAATTCAGAGAATGGTACACTCAAAATTGGCACATTTTATTACGTGTAAGTCATACCTCAAAAAAGCTGATTTGGTGACAAAGATTTATATATGTTGTTGATAGAAGAAAAAAATCCAAATGCTGTTTAAACATGGTAATATATTTATTCCCATAAATAATAAGGGAAGAACAAATTAAAACAAAAAAGCATATCACAGCCATCATAAGAGTAAAAATCACAGGGTCTGACAATTCAAAATCTAATAAGGATATGAGAAAATTCTAGACAGCAGTGTGAACTGCCACATTTGCTTCAGACAGCAATTTAGCAATATGTGGTAAAGCTGAAAAAGCACACACTCTATAATAGCAATTCCACTTTTAGGTATATATCCTAGACAAAATATTGCACATATACAGAAGAAAACCATACGAAAGTGTACATTTTAGATTACATTGCTTGTAATTGAAAAATTGGAAATAATGTATTAAGGTGGGGAAATATATAAACTTTAGAATTCATAAAATGGTTAAAATTAAAGAAATATATATATACAGAAAGTTCAAAAATACAATTTTGAAGAAAAAATTCTACAGTGATACATACAGTATGAGATCATTTATGTGGACTTAAAGCACATAATAAAACAATCTGAAAACAGAGATTGGATGGATACACACACCAAATTTTAATAAAGGTATAAGTTGGACTAGAAGCAGAACAAAGGTGATTTTAACTGTATTTCTAATATTTTAATTATTTTAAAATAGCTGATGCAAAAATGACAAAGATTAGCATTTATTTATTCTAGATGGTTGATCACACATATTTGAATATTATTTTCTAAGTCTGTAGTTTTAAGCATTTCAAAATCTAAAGAATAATTTTTAAAAGCTATAAAAATATGAATAAAGGACTAGAAATCAGTAACTTTTAATTAATATGCTGGATTCTGGGACAACTTTAAACTCAACAGTAGTATTTACCATGGTGTCAAATTTAGCATTTATCTTGAGTTCACAAACTTGAGTTCACTAATTTTGTCTCTGTTTTTCAAATTTCTAGCGTTTACAGACTACTATAACAACCATACTCTTTTAGGCTAAGTGTTGGAAGATAGTAATAGATTTCTGGCTGAAAAAGAAGTCTTACTTTACTAACGTAACTCCAAGATCACTATTCAAGCCCATCATTCTCACCGTCCCTTCACGTGGTCATCGTGCCCACCTACAAGTTCTCGAAAGCCAAAAGCCCATCCCTATTTAGAACCGTTTTGGCTCCCATGACTCTCTTTTCCATTTGGCTTGTCTATTACCCTGGCCATTATTTACACACTAAGGTTCATTCTTTGAGTTCATGCGAGAACAGTTTCTGGGGTCTTTAAATTTTAAGAGAAGAACTTATGATATTCTGCTCACCTATAAGGATACACACAATTAATAAACCTGAAAGGTCCCCTCCCTTTCTTTTTAACAAGATTGTGCTTACTATTTATATCTGATAAAAAGGATCACTCTACAAATATTATTTGTCTCAAATTATGACTCACCTCTGGATAAAGATGGAAGCGTTTTACTGTATTAATTACAAGAGGATATTCAGTAAGCCTGTCATTCATAATCATCCACAGTCCTTCCAAAAATGAAGATGCTTCAATATTGTTCTTGAAGTAGGAATAATAAAGTCCCTTTTTTTTTTAAAGGCACATATTGTCAATGTAATTAAAACTTTAAAATATTTATTTTTATCAATTCTTTAGTACATTTTTTTTCTGAAAAAAAAAAGGTCAATAATAAGACTTCCTAATTACTCCTTGCTATTTTGCATTCTTGGACTTTAAAAAGCACGTATTTTCAGGTGATCACCGTACTATTCTTTCAAATTGTCTATAGGTTTTCAAACTAAAGAGTTGGAGGTATGGTCCAACAATTTAAAGAGTTTATCTAATATTGTCTTAAAGTGTGTAGACAGTACATGTTTAATTTTATCAAATCTGGGTTTTATCCCCCACATTTGAGATGCTTGAAGGTTGACCTCTGATTAATTCTGTCATAAACAGGGATGCCTTCATGCCTCTGTACAACTTTGCATATAGAAAATTACTTTTTTTCCCATGCTCTTAGGAAATAAAATATAATGACCATAAGCATCATGGGCAAGGAATCCAATGCTTCTAGCTTACTTCATAGCTCCATCTAATCCTCTGTACAAAGTGAAAGCTCAATGTCGATTGACTATTGTTGCTTACAAATGCTATGTACTAAAAAGCAGATTATTTTAGTGTCTTACACTTCAGCATATAAAATAAAGTCTTCATTAGGATAGTAGAAATGCTGTTGAGTTAAAATTCATGGATTAATCTCAAGGATCTAGAACTAGAAATACCATTTGACCCAGCCATCCCATTACTGGGTATATACCCAAAGGATTATAAATCATGCTGCTATAAAGACACATGTACACGTATGTTTATTGCGTCACTAGTCACAGTAGCAAAGACTTGGAACCAACCCATATGTCCATCAATGATAGACTGGATTGAGAAAATGTGGCACATATACACCATGGAATACTATGCAGCCATAAAAAAGGATGAGTTCATGTCCTTTGTAAGGACATGGAGGAAGCTGGAAACCATCATTCTCAGTAAACTATCGCAAGGACAGAAAACCAAACACCGCATGTTCTCACTCATATGTGGGAATTGAACAATGAGAACACTTGGACACAGGAAGGGGAACATCACACACCGGGGCCTGTCATGGGGTGGGGGGAGGGGGGAGGGATAGCATTAGGAGATATACCTAATGTAAATGATGAGTTAATGGATGCAGCACACCAACATGGCACATGTATACATATGTAACAAACCTGCGTGTTGTGCATATGCACCCTAGAACTTAAAAGTATAATTAAAAAAAAAATTCGTGGATTAACAACAGCATGTTGTGTCTTATTTTCCCATCAATTTCTTGTTTTCACTCCTAAAATCTAAAAGCAAAAAAGGGCCACATTGTTTAAAATGCACTCTCCCTAAAAAATGCTATATGCTATAATCATATCTGCCTCATCCAACACGAGTAACTACTAAATTAAAGGTTTGTTTTAGCTGGTGTCGGAAAGGCCATTACCTCATAGTTGATTGGCAAAATATGAGTTCATAAAGAATTTTCCTTTCTGCTTAGGAGGATAACAAAGCAATACAATAATTAAAGGATATCTAATATGCAAAAGTCTATATGTAAGGAAATATTAAATATATAAATAAGTTACTAATAACAGCTATTGTTTTGTGTTAAGTATCCTGCTATGTGTTGCCATTCATTATCTCCCTTCATTTTCCCTAAACCTCTCTAAGGTTGGCATTATTTCTATTGAGCAGATGAGATTACTGAGAATCTGAGAGGTGACCTGACTAGCCATGATACAATAAAGCACAGAACTGCTATTAGAATCCAGCAGTCTGTCACCAAAGTCCAGACTCTGCCACAGTTACACTCTTTATTTAATACTATTTTATATTCTGTCTTTGGAAATACCTTTAAAATGTTCAGATGTCATACATATGTTAATGTATCCAATGCTTTGAAACTTTATAGGGGCAATATAGGGATGAAAATTAAAAAGCAGTGACTGAGGGGCCTGGCATAGGCAAAATCATAGAGACAGAAAATAGAGCTGGGTGTGATTAGTGTTTAGTGGGTGGAGTTTCCGTTTGGGATAGCAAAAAAAGTTCTGGATGTGGACAGTGGTAATAGTTGCAAGACAACACGAATGTACTTAATGTCACTAAATTGTATGCTTAAATGATAAACGTATTGAAATTTTTTATTAGAAATTTAAATCTAAATTTTACCATAATTTAAACAAAAAGCAATGGTTAGAGTGAGGAGAGTCAGTTTCAGTGCTTCACTAGGCCCCCGACCAGCTGCGAGCAGATCTGGAAGATGGACGGTTGTGGTGTCTTCTAAATGTAAAACTGCAATTTTGGCATTTGCTATCCCACTTACTCCCCACAATAATTATGTGAGATGTGTACGGCAGAGAACTCCATTTTAAAGATTAAGTATCGAAAAACAGAAAATTATTTAAAAATTATATCAAAAGTTATCTCTTAAAAGAGATTATCTTGAAATCAAAAGAGAGCCAAATAATAATCATCATCAGTAAAAGACCCAGTAAAACATGGGATCTCCCAACTGTAGCCAAAGAAAAAGCAATTTCTGATAACATCTTATTTCAT
Organism: Homo sapiens; assembly: GCF_000001405.40. NCBI lineage: Eukaryota > Metazoa > Chordata > Mammalia > Primates > Hominidae > Homo > Homo sapiens. Next base: position 29,657,749 of record NC_000007.14, on the reverse strand, counting down.
TCCCCTTTATCACTTCTTCAGTGCTTTCTTTGTCCTCCTTCCTCAGCTATTATAATTCATCTTTATTATCTTAAAAAGAAGTCTGCATTAGGAAAGGGTGAGAGACAATGAAATAAGTAACAGAAAAATAATCTCAAACACTTTACTATTTAAATAATAAACCTGGGTTATAGCTTACGAAACAGTGCAGTTCACCAAAAGCTGGTTTCAATTCCTAATACATTTCTACCTCATAGTCTCACTATTCTTAAACCACAGATTAATTCGTTAGAAGAAGAAATCTAACCATTTCAGTGGGAGAAGTCATCTAAGTCATCTCCCGTTCCAAAGATGAGAGGTGAGAGAAATGACGATCATTTTCAAAAAGTGTTACTAAATGTAACCTAGAAAAAAAATGAAGTATCATATTACAGTGAGAACAAGTTTCAAAACCAACACTAAAATAAGCGATAAGCAAAGTAAGAAAGCCATGAAAAAGAAAATAATAAATTGTTATAATATTGTTTTTATAATTTGCTTACCAACTTGTATGTTTTTAGGCATTTATAATGCAGTATGGCACACACCTGAAATTCCTTAACTCAGTGGTTTTTAAACTTAATTGTTGCCGGGTGCGTTGGCTCATGCCTGTAATCCCAGCACTTTGGGAGCCCGAGGCGGGCAGATCACTTGAGGTGAGGAGTTCGAGACCAGCCTGGCCAACATGGTGAAACCCCCGTCTCTACTAAAAATACAAAAATTAGCCAGCCATGGTAGTGCATGTCTGTAATCCTGGCTGCTAGGGAGGTTGAGGCAGGAGAATTGCTTGAACCCAGGGGGCAGAGGTTGAAGTGAGCAGAGATCATGCCACTGCACTCCAGCCTGGGCGACAGAGTGAGACTCTGTCTCAAAAAAAAAAAAAAAAGAAAAAAAAACCCCTAATTATATATCTAAAATTCTTGTGGCTTTTTTCACGCTCCCTTCCGTCCCAGGCCTCAAAATCAGAACAGAGGCAGGTTATTGTTTGTTTTTTAAGTTTCAAGTGATTCTAGTGTACCGGCCTTGGGAAATACCTCCATAACTGTTGAAAAGGGTTCCGAATATAATTTTAAATAAAATTACTTTAGATCAAAGCAGACTTACAATAAGTATAATATCACATAAGGGATCAACTTTCAAGTGCCAAAGAATACAGGTGTGTACTTGAAGACCTTTTAGTAGTGAAACTCAGCAGCTGTCGGCAGTGAAGAAAGGAGCATATGTGATAAACAAAATTAGCTGTGGTCAACAATTATGCTATAGCTAACTTATGTAGTCAGTACTTTCCAGTGAAGTTGAAAATAAAGCAAAGTTCCATACATTAACCCTGTTTTCCACTAACCGTTCTTTACATGTAGGCCATATGCCAGGGTACCAAAAACTGCAGGAATATTCCCTACCATTGCAGCCTCAGTTCTAATATCGAAATCTCCCTGCAGACTAAATGTCTAGAGCAGCACTGTGTCAACAGAACATAGGGGCACATCTCATACCTCCCAAGGGTAGAAATCGCTGAGCACAGGTAAAAATAAAATATTCCAGAGGGAAATATTATTTTACAAATTTTTATAAACACTTTTGTAAAATAATGTACACAGGCTTGCACACTGAAAGGCTCAAAGCCATTTAATTCTGTATAACCACTGCAGAATCTTTGTCTTCTTTTTTACCTGATTTCCAATTGGCAGGTGTTACTAAAATTTTATGACCAAAGTATTTTTTTTTTTTTTTTTTTTTGGGACGGAGTCTTGCTCTGTTACCCAGGCTGGAGTGCAGTGGCGCGATCTGGGCTCACTGCAGGCTCCGCCTCCCAGGTTCACGCCATTCTCCTGCTTCAGCCCCTGAGTAGCTGGGACTACAGATGCCCGCCACCACACCCAGCTAATTTTTTGTATTTTTAGTAGGGACAGGGTTTCACCGTGTTAGCCAGGATGGTCTCGATCTCCTAACCTTGTGATCCGCCCGCCTTGACCTCCCAAAGTGCTGGGATTACAGGCGTGAGTCACCGCGCCTAGCCATCACCAAAGTTATTTCACTGGCTGGGTGTGGTGGCTCATACCTGTAATCCCAACACTTTGGGAGGCTGAGGCACGTGGATCATTTGAGGCCAGGAGTTTGACACCAGCCTGGCCAACATGGTGAAACCTCGTCTCCACTAAAAATACAACAAATTGGCTGGGTGTGATGGTGCACACCTGTAATTCCAGCTATTCAGAATGCTGAGGCATGAGAATCACTTCAGCCTGGGAGGCAGTGAGTCAAGGTTGTGCCACTGCACTCCAGCTTGAGAGACAGAGCAAGACTCTGTCTCAAAAAAAAAGAAAAAAAAAGTTATTTCACTAACAACATATAATTACCATAAAATAAAGGAGGGTTTTAAATGAACTACACATGCAAAATACACTAGAAAAGCTAGATATTTAAAGAAACGTGTAGTGAATTATTTGGTAGCAAAACGATTTTAATTCACAAGTTACTATTCCCCTAATGCATCTGTTTTGTAAATGCTGCTTCACATATGAGGTTTGTAAAAAAGCAAAGTATACGTATAAATTGGTGCACATAAAGATGTTCTACAAATATAGCCAGAAGCTGTTTTACTGTATGCAAAGAGTGATGGCAATTTTTAATTCAAATGTTTTTAAATATTTCAAACTGAAACTAAATCTTACCAATGTAAAATTGCCACAAAGACGGCTGGAATAAAGAAAAAAAGAAAAGTTATTAAAAGCTGCTTTATTATAAAATACCATTAAAACAAGTATTTCAAATGTATTATTTTACATGTCTAGAAAAGATAGCACACAAAGCAAGACAGCCAGCTAATCCTGTCTCTATGAGCATAGGAAAAAATCCAGGACACAAAGCAAATTTTGAACAGAGCTTACCTGTCTGCAGCGGGGCTTGACAAGCAAAGGGAGAGACTTGAGAGAGTTTTTTTACTTCAGGTAATTGATAAGAGTGATGGAATTATAGAAGATTGTGACCTTTTTTTTTTTTTAGTATTATTTTCTATTCCTTTATATGAAATTTTTAAAAGAAGTAAATATATACAGTATGCTTCAGCTAATTCTAACCAAGAGGAGCCACTCTAGATCAGTTTCTCTAGCATTCATCGGGAGACAAATGCAGGCAATCACTTCCTCAGCGGCACATCTAAAAGCCCCATTGTGCAACTCAACCCTTGATGAATTGCAAGCTCTTTGCAAGCGCCCAGACCTAGGAGCTACTAGATGGCCTAGGAAACTAATCTGGAGTCACCTGTGCCAGCACCCCATGTATACGTAAGACTTCACCAGGGAGCTGGGAGACACTGCTCTGGGTATGGAGCTTTTACAGGAGCTGCAAACACAGCCTGTGCCCCTGTATGGTTGGGGAATTGCTTGTTTTCAAGGATACCATGGAGCTGGGGAGAGAAGAGTGGGGAATAGAACAAGTTAAAGCACCACAAACTTTGCTGTTCTTATAGAGTTTCAGCAGCTTTTCTTGAATTAATGCCCTTTAGATTGTTGTAAACCTTTGGTTAATTTCCAAAGTTTTGAAGAAAATGATTTTGATAATTTTCCAAGTATTTTCATTGTCGTCATGGAGGAGTGCATTTCCTTGGCTATTCCAGAAGTCCCACCTCCCTTCTGAGATCTTATAATGGTATTTCTTATGGTTATCCCAAATATACTTGGCAAGTCATCTTATAAACCACCAATAATAGCCTCTTAAAAATTCAAAAATCACTCCACTTGGCTAACAAAATAAATGCAAATTAATTCAATAATTATTGAAGAAATTAAATTTTTAAAAATTAAAAAATTGCAATGTTGAAATTCTCAACCAGGCTTATCCAGATCTTTTCCTATGTTACTAACTGTCCTGGGCTTATCTTAAATACTGCTCAGAAGATTTACTTGTTTTATACCAGGATAGGCAAAGTATGGCCCATGGTGTGTTTTTGGACTGTCCGCAAGCATGGTTGCTATAATTTTTAAAAGGTTGAAGAATTTAAAAGGTTCTAAAGATGCTCATTAACTGTTTATTAGGCTTCATTAATTTTAAAATATACAACTATTCAACTATATTTGTATCCTATTTCTAATTCTCCTAACAACCATATACACTGGCAAAAACTCTTCAGATGATATATAAGGAAAAGGTCAAATATACTTCCAAATTCATCCAGCTTTCCAAAGATGCTCAGAATCTTTCTGTGTCTCTCACTCCCTCCCTTAACCCACATACCACATCTGAAAAAAAATGATATGGTGTAACGATGCCAGTATTCTAAATGCTTGAAGGGCTTATCACATGCCCTTTCCAAGCTGTGAAGAAGCGTGTCCCCTGGACCCCGGCATCCTATCAGTCTCACCTCTGAAGGTGACCACAGCCTCATACTTCACTGCAACAAAGACCATTAGACGCCAGCACTCCCGACTTCTTTTATCTCCACTTTAACATTTCTCCATATAGTAATCCTCACTTTTCTACTCCCTGCCATCTCAGAAAAGGAATTCCCTCTCCTCTTTTCCACAGTTAGCTTCTCAAATTTGTGCCTTTAATTCTACCCCTCCCAAATATTCCAAGACTTGCTCCACTAATTATTTCCTCTCTTGGAATCTTAATATCATCCTCTTCCCTTGATCCTTCCCCTCAACCTTTAAAACTCCTAGACCTTAAAACACTCTCTGCGATCTGACAACCCTTCAAACCAATATACTCCCCATGTCTCTCTCTCCCCTGGTTCAATGACAAGATCTTTGGCCAACTTCTTTCTACTAAGTTCCCGTAAGTTTTTTTTTTTAAATGACCAACAACCTTTTAGTTATCACAATTCTTTTGTGTCTTTCTGTAGCATTTGGTTAGATTCTTGGCTCTCTTCCCCTCTCATCTTTCATCACACCAACTTTCCCAGTTCTATTTCTGTGACTACTCTGATTTTATCTGGTTTTTCCTTTTCCTCTCATCTCTTAAAACCAAAAGTTTTCCCCAAGTATCTGTCCTTTGCTGACTTTTCTCTCTTGGCAGTTTCACTCATTCTTAAAGTTTCGGTGCTCACGTCTACAGAGATAACTCCCATATCCTTCATTCCTGAACCTTCATTCCTGAACTTTCTCCCTTCCCAGGCTCCTCTTCTACCAGGCCACCCATCCAGTCCTGTCAAATGTCTCCATCAGCTCTCACCTATCCTCTCCTCTCCATGTCTTCTGTGGCTACCCTCGTGAAGACTATTATTGCCTGGATTCTAGTGCTAGTTTTCCAATTATTCTTTCTGCTTCCTTTCTCAGTCTCTCTTACACACTGCTGCCAAGTTAATCTCTGAAGCTCACTTCTGATCATGTCACTCTATTTAAAAATTGTTTGGTGTCAGTATTGGGAATGTACTATATGCCACTAAACTGTTCACTTTAAAATGATTAATTTTATGTTATGTGATTTCATCTCATTAAAAAAATTTTTTTTAAAGAAAAGAATTAACGCCTTCCTACAGATGGAGTTCAAATGCCTTACACCTAACCTTGAATTAGACTCTCCAAGGCTGGTCTCAATCAACCTTCTCAACTTATTTCCTGCTACTTCTTTCTCATGCCCTTCATTTCAGCCTACTTGGCTTTCATGTTTTCTGCCTCCTATGACTTTGATCATGCTGTTCTATCAGCCTCTGACACTTATTGATCTCAGCTCCACATATCCAAATATAAGCCTTTTGTCACAATTCGAATCTCACCTTTTCCTAAAAGTCTTCCCTGATCTCATTTCCCATTTCCCATCCTAAAGCATTTGTTCACACTTCTGAACTCCCATAACAGTCACAATAGTCACGCATTATTCACCAAACTCTAGGGTTCCTTCAATGCACGAGATGTTGGTGCACTGGAGCTTGTGTTGGGGATGGCAGTACAGCTTGGTTTCCAGGACCACGCTGATTCTGGATGGGGGATGTGTTCACTGGCATAATTAGATATCTGATAAAATCCAAGTCTGAACCTCCATCATTCCTCAAGTACTGTTAACACTTCAAGTGTGGGGACACATTCTACTTTGACATCAACAGTCAACTTACAGTGAGAAAATTACAATAATTGACATTAAGAGACATTTATCTATGACAGTTTATATCAGCAGCCAGTCTGACTTAGGGCCAGGCTCAAAACTGATTCTATACCAACAGCAACAACATTTAAGCTCCCTCTTATGGTACAGAAAATGAAGCGAATGAGGGAAAGGGAATGGGGGGAAGAAAAACCCTTCAAGTGCATAAATAAGGAAATCTCCTAATTGTAGGCACTGAAGCTCCACAGCAAGATGGAAGTCAATCGGGCAATATATATCTACTTTGGCCCTATTTCCATTATAAATGTTCTCAACTAATTTTTTTTTACTCCATTTTATTCTGCTTTCAGGTGCTGAGAAACATAATGTCTGTTCCCCAAGAGCCAGCTAATCATTTTTACTAAGTACGATAATTGGCTGCCCTGATTCAGATAACATATCCTTATTGTGACATAGGGGTGACTATTGTCAGAAAACCCTGAAAATGTTTTAAAACAAGAACTAATGGGGCTTGGCGATTCTTGCCACGCTTTTCCAGAGCTCGGACCTTGCTATTATTTGCTACTAGACACCCACAAACCCTTGCTTGTTAAACTGATCGCCTTCAAGACTCAAGAAAAGCGCCATGCGGCTCCCTCCTAGGGCTCTCCTGACCTTTCCTCACCAATGCCGAGAGTGGTCCTGCTGGAGAACGCACACGCCTGCAGTTCGTGCACCTTTTCCCGGAGCTGCACCAGGAAATTATGGATCAACTGGAAGCAGCCAAGAAGAAGGGTCTTGGCGATCACATCCAGCTATTCAGCCATCTCAGACTGCGGACCTCCGTGCACCCCCTGGCAGGTTCCCTCCGCCTAGGGTCGAAAGCTTCAGAGGCAGCCCCAACTCTTCCACTTCTTCCTCCATCTCTGGCTCCCAGGCTTGGGAGGCCCCGCGCCACCGCTTCAACTGGCTGGGGTGGGAAGATTGAAACGGCTCTTGAGACTCTGCTTTTGCGCTTACTGCTCGTTTGCCCGACTATTTTCTCATAGTCCCTATTCCAGTCAATTTCTGGCACAGCCCAGCTTGAAACTGCTCTTGAGCCTCCGATTTTGAGCTTACTCCTGGTTTGCCCGACTATTTTCTCATAATCCCTGTTCCGGTCAGTTTCCGGCACAGCCCAGCTTGAAACAGCTCTTGAGCCTCCCCTTTTGAGCTTACTCCTCCTTTGCCTGACTCTTTTCTCATAGTCCCTGTTCTGGTCAATTTCCGGCGCAGCCCGGCTTGAAATGGCTCTTGAGCCTACGCTTTTGAGCTTACTTCTCATTTGCCCGACTATTTTCTCATAGTTCCTGTTCCGGTCAATTTCCAGCGCAGCCCAGCTGAGTTGGGCGAGGTCTAGAAAGGCCTGACTCGCCTCTTGGCCTCAATGACTTGTACCCGCTGCTTTTGCAGACCTCCCGGTCTTCATGGCAACTGTGAAATGTGGGGTGGGGGGCGTAGGGTTGAAGCCATTCGCGCCGGTAGTCCCTGCATGTCCCCTCATGTGCTCCCCAGTGCGCACAGCACCCCAGCCTCCGCGCTTCTGGAAGCAGCCCAGAAGGGTCTTGGCAATCACGTCCAGCTGTAAGCCATTTCGCGGTCTCAGATTGCGGACCTCCGCACGCCCCCTGGCAGGTTCCCTCCGCCTAGGGTGGAAAGCTGCAAAGGCAGCCCCAACTCTTCCACCACCTCCTCCATCTCCGGCTCCTGGGCTTGGGAGGCCCCGCGCCACTGCTTCGACTGGCTGGGGCGGGAAGGTTGAAATGGCTTTGAGACTCCACTTTTGAGCTTACTCCTCCTTTGCCCGACTATTTTCTCATAGTCCCTATTCCAATCAATTTCTGGTGCAGCCCAGCTTGAAATGGCTCTTGAGCCTCCGCTTTTCAGCTGACTCCTCGATTGCTCAACTATTTTCTCATAGTCCCTGTTCCGGTCAATTTCCGGCGCAGCCCAGCCCAGTCCGGCGAGGTCTGGAAAGGCCTGACTCGCCTCGCAGCCTGAATGACTTGTACCCACCGCCGATGCGGACCTCCCAGTCTTCTTGGCGACTGTGGGGTGGGGGGCATGCGGTTGAAGCCGTTCACACGGGCAGTCCCTGCATGTCCCCTCACGTGCTCCCCAGTGCACGCGGCACCCCCGCCTCCACGCTTCCCTGAGCGTGCAGCCTTTGGTGAGGGCAGCCCCACGCACAGCCCCCCACACCCTCCCCAGCGCCTGCAGCCCCTGGTGCACGCAGTCCCCAAGCCCGCACGTGCAGCCCCCACCTTGCACACAGCTCCATGTACAGCCCCTCATACGTTCACAGCCCCAGTGGCGCAGAACCCATCACTACTCGCTCTTCACGCGCTTCACTGGGCGTGCAGCCCCCACAGCGCGCAGCTCAATGCAGCCTCTCCACGTGCTCCCCAGGGCCTGCAGCCTCGTCTTAACTTCTTTTGCCAGGCCCACACATACCTGCCTATGGCCTGAGTGGATTGGCAATGACAGTGGTGACAGCTGACATTTACTGAGTACATGCTATGTTCCAGATGCTGCGTTTCCATTCTCCAATGAAGAATCTTAAGTCTCAGGGCCTCATGCAAAACTATACAGCTAATAAACAGTAGAGTTGGGATCTAAGCCCAGGGAATTTTACTCTAGAACTCGCAGTATTAACCACAGTGCTCTCTTGGCTTATATTTCTAAGGCACATGCTGTAACCACTTTTTTTTTTTTTTTTTTGAGATGGGGTCTCACTCTGACATCCAAGCTGGGGTGCAGTGGCGCGATCTCGGCACACTGCAACCTTCGCCTCCCAGATTCAAGGGATTCTCCTGCCTCAGGCTCCTGAGTAGCTAGGATTACAGGCACATGCCACCATGCCCGTATAATTTTTTGTATTTTTAGTAGAGACGGGGTTTCGCCATGTTGCCCAGGCTGGTCTCAAACACCTGACCTCAGGTGATCCGCCCATCTCGGCCTCCCAAAGTGCTGGGATTACAGGTGTAAGCCGCCACGCCCTGCCTATAACCATTCTTTTTTTAGGGAGGTGTGGTATATGGTGCTACCCTGGATCTGTAGTCAGGATTTGAAGAAGGGAGAAGGTATTTGCTTGTGAAGAAGGCACCATGCATTGTGCTCTGTAGTGGTGACTGGAGAGAGAGCTGGGAGGGGCACAGGCAGCAAGGTCCCTGCTTAAAGACAGTTATCTAGTTTGGAGAAACTTAGCTGGATAGTCAGTTCTTACATGCATTTGGCAAGCACTTATCATACACTGTAAAGAGGCAATATGTCTAGCTTGTTAGAGGGTGGGCTCTGGAGTCAGACTTCTGGCTTTGAACCCCAACTTCCCTGCCATTTTCAAATGACACTGGAGAAGTCACAAAACCTATTTCTGTCTCAGATTCCTCCCCAGTAAAAGTGGGATATTAATAGTACCTCCTTTGGCTTGATATGAAAATTCAATGAGTTGATATATGCAGAACATCTTAGAACAGCAACTAGCTTAGAGTAAATCTTCAGTAATTGTAAACTGTGAATATACTATGTTTTTGGCACTGAAGCCACGTCGTGGTAAGACAGTGCCTGACCTCAAGAAGCTCAGAGTCTAGTACTGGAGACAGGTGAACAAATACTTGCAAAGTGTGTGGTGTGAGAGAGGTGTGACAGGTGGGCGGGAGCCTGCAGCAGGCACATCTGACCCATCCTAGGTGTGTGTTGTGCAGAAAAGTTAGCCTAGGCTTTCTAGGGGCACTGATGTCTGGGCCGAGTCTTGTAGGGCAGGGAATTAGTCAAGGGGAGCTGTAGTGATCCAGCTGGGGCTGAGCAGGAGCTGAAAGTGAACAGCTCACATCTGTAGGGTTGCCAGATTTAGCAACGGAAAGTACAAGATGCCCTATTAAATGTGAATTTCAGATAAAATAATAACTTTGAAGAATATGTGTCATGCAATATTTTTAGTATAAGTATGTCCCAAATATTGTATAACCACACACATTATTCATTGTTTATCTGAAATTCAAATTTCACTGGGCATCCTATGAAAAGTCTGTCAATTTTATCTGTCCGCATTTAGGAAGGTGCAGTATGTTTCAGAGTAGCTGGAGTGATGCAGGGAGGAAAGGCAGAGTGGGCCGGATGGGGCTGAGAGGCACACAGGAGGCAGTTTGTAAAAAACCTATGCTATGTTAAGGGATTTAGATTTTATCCTGAAATTAGTGATGAGCCCTTGGAGAGCTTTAACCACAGGGATGTGAAACCACAGAGACAGCAGTGTCGGGCACGAAGAAATGAGTGTCACTTTCTATGGCTGAATAGCAAATTACTCCAAATTTAAAGTCTTAAACAGTAAACATTATCTCCCAGTTTCTGTGGCTCAGGAATTCAGAGGCAACTTAGCTGGGTGGTTCTGGCTGAGGTTTCTCATGAGGTTGTAGATAAGATAGTGACCAGAGTGGCAGTTATCTAAAGGATGCACTGGAGCTGGAGAATTTGCTTCTAGGGTGACTCACTCTAATGGTTGGGAAGGTACTGCTGGCTGTCAGCAGGAGAGCTCAGTTCCTTGCTACAGGACCCCCCATAGGACAACTTGAGCCTCCTCACAACATGACAGCTGGCTTAGTAATCCAAGACAGCAAAGTGACATTAACTTTGGAAGTCACATGCCACCTTGTCATTCCCATATATCCCAGTGCTAACACAGCTCAGCCCTGCTCAGTGCAGGAGGGTCCTACACAAGGATGTACATACAAGAAGGTGGGGATCATGGGGTTATCTTGGAGGCTGGTTTTCTGGGATGGGAGGCTTACATGGTGATGCCTGTGACCTTGGAGGTGGAGGAGAATGATGGGCGTACAGAGGAGTGAAGAAAGGCTGGGAGGAATAGAGATGTGGGAGAGGAGGTGAGGCAAAGAAAAAAGAAAGGAGGAAGGGGTGTTGGAGCAGATTGTAGTTGATCCACAGCAAAGAGCATCACCAAAGCCATTCCAGGAGGAACTAGATCCACCACTTCCTCTGCTGGGCATGCTCCAAAAATGGTTGTGGCCTCCAGAGAGGACTCCAAAAGAAAGCACAAAAACTAGACAGTGGGAGGGCATACCCAAAAGCCCTGAGTTTCTGAAAAAATATTGAAAGTTTCTATGGTGAAATAGGAAGTTAATGTGCTTAGGAAGAAAAAAGTGGTAATGATTCAAGGAAACATAATCACACACGGTTTTAGTTTTAATGGACATGGGAGGAGCCATAAAAGTAGTCTATCTATCATCAGTTACATATCTAATGAACTGTCTATCTGGGATACCCTATCCTGTTTTAATCTGAGTGACTCTCTCTCAGCTGAGAGAGCTGGACAGACTCCATTTTAGCCTCTTCACTTGCAGTCCCCTTATCCCCCTCCCTTAAGGGAATAACTAGTGCAAGCTGACTCCAAGCACATCCAGGAATGCACTTACTGATAAGATATTGAGGCAAGCTGTACCAGCAGCTCCTGGGGACGTGCTCAGTGGATGGTACCCAAGCCCCTGCATTTATCTCTTTGTGATAGTTTAAGCCCCTGCACCTGGAACTGTGTATTTTTCTGTAACTATCTCTGTAACCATTAATTTTTTTTAACTTTTTGCGTGTTCTGCTTCTGTAAAAATTGCTTCAGCTAGGCTCCCCCTGCCCTATTTAGACCACGGTATAAAAAGAAATCTATCCCCTTCTTCGGGGCTGAGAGAATTTTGAGCTCTAGCCATCTCTCGGTCACTGGCAATAAAAGAACTCCTGAATTAGTCTCAGAGTGTGGCGTTTCTCTATAACTTGCTTGGTTACAACATTTGGAGGCCCCAGTGAGATCTGCTAGTGGGTGAAGACCGGACTCGCTCTGGGCTCCCCTGGACAGACGGCGGGCTTATAGGGGAGGCACCCCCTGAAGACGTTCCAGGGCCCTGTAGGCCACCGTCTTCTGGAGGGGAACGGATTGACTGCCGTTGTGCCCGGCCAAATTCAACTCCTGAGTCCTCAATCTCTGGTCTCAGGAAGGTAAGTCAGATCTGACTCTGTCTTTCTGGGAGGGAAATGGCCATGACGAGGGTCCTCCCTCAGACTCTGTCCATATTCCAGGATGCTGGAGGACAGAGTCCTGGTTTCTGTCATGTTTCTCTGTTAAGCTTCTCTCTCTCTCTATATATATATATAAACACACACATATATATGTGTGTGTATATATACACATATATGTGTATATATACATACATATATATGTTTATATATAGAGAGACGTCTCTCTATATATATGTATATATATAGAGACTTAACAGAGAAGCATATATATATACATATATATGTGTGTGTATATGTATATGTGTGTGTATATATATATATGTATATATATATATATTCTCCTTCTCTTGTTCAGGTCTCTAGGAGACCTCCATTTTAGAACGAGTATATACATATATATATATATATATATGTGTATATATATATATATGTGTATATATATATATGTGTATATATATATATATGTGTATATATATATATATGTAAAAATTGTAGTAAACTCTGTGTGAGTGAATGAGTGAATGTGGAGTTCAAGGGCTTGCGCTTGAATTTCCAGTTTGTAGCTCCATGTTGTAAGCTACGGAGTTCGAGTGGGCCCTCACCTGCGGTTCCATGGGGACCTCATAAGGCTTAAGGCAGCATGGGGCATAGCTCGATCCAAGCCAGGGGTTTATACCGGCCTGCCAATGCCAAGAAGAGCCTAAGTCCCCGCAAGGGGAGCAGCGAGGCGGGCCTCTGACTGATCCCATCACGGGACCCCCTCCCCTTGTCTGTCTATAAAAATTGTCATACTTGTTTATATATCCTAGTGTCTATTGTCCTGTTTGGTGTCTGTCTAAATTTTGTATGTCCGGTCGCCGATACTGCCTATGACAACTGGGCAAGGACTTCTTCAAGGTCCTCAGTACAGATTTGATATCTCAGGAGGTCAAATCTCTCATCAGTCGTTTGCGCTGGCCATCCCAGTCCTGCCTTTTCTGTCAGACACAAATCAGGTGTTGTTATGGGGAGGGGTGTGGAAGACATTCACCCGTTTGGGATTTCTGGCACAATAAAGATTGCTGGCATTTAGATTGCCATACTCCACACCCCAATGACTGGACCATCTCCTCCTTAGACCAGTGGTGGATTCAAAATAGCCACCCTGCAGACCTCCTTGCTCACCTTTTCTGTCATACCATAACTTTTCCCGTGCCCTTAAATAAGGCACTGTGCAGAGAAACCTACGCCCATACTGCTTTACTCCATCTGGACTCTTATTCTATCCCTCCGTGGCTACTCTCTTACCTTAGGAAAGACCCGAGTGGCCCCTTTCCTCCTCATCCCCATCCCTTACCCCGTACATCTCCTTTTCCTGTGTCACAGCAAGTCCAGCGCCTCCAAGACTTGGCTCTGCTCTCCCTCCTAAAACCCTTAAAAGAAAGGGCTGAGTTTGAACTTTCTGCCTTTCAGTCGTGGAGACACCACAGATATTTGGGCTGTAAGTCAAGAAGAGAGGGGGGGTACTTGAGGAGGCAGATCTTATGTGGCAAGAAGCATTAGCTATAGCTGTTTTCCTACTTCTTCTAGCTATAATACTTCTGTTCTTCCGATACTACAGCCTCCCAGGCTGTGAATATCTCTGTCCGTGCTGGGTTTAATATTTCTGCTGAAACCTTGTTAATTGCCTCCAGAATGGGAAACTCTTCTTCCCGGCCCCGTAGAGATTGGAGCCCTTTCCAATGTATGTTACAATGTACTTCTCTCTGGGCTTCTCAGAGGATTACGGAGTCCACCTTAAAAAAGGCAAACTCCAGACACTCTGTGAAGTAGATTGGCCACAATTTGGAACCGGGTGGCCCCCAGAAGGGTCACTGAACCCCACAACTGTCCAGGCTCTGTGGCGGGTCGTTGCTGAAACTCCTGACACCCTAATCAGTTTCCCTACATTGATCAATGGCTAGAGTTGGTCCGGAGCCCTCCTCCATGGCTCCGCTCATGTGCCATTCATGATCCCACCTCCAAGGTCCTTTGAGCCAGACCGCACTTCTGCCCAAACCCTCAGCTCCCTCGGCTCCTCCTGTAATGCCTCCTTCTGAAGAAGAGGACAGCTGTAGGTCCACTGTCCTACAACCCTCCTGCTTCCCCAGAATCTTCCCTTGTCTCCTCGACTACATCCCCTGTGGCCTCTCCGCCTATAGCCACCCGATTGCAGCCTCGGCCGGAGGCAGTGGCCCCCCTCCTCCTGTTGAGAGATGCCCAAATCCCTCTGGAGAGTGAGCGCACTGCTCCATTTTTAGTTTATGTCCCCTTCTCTACTTCTGACCTGTATAATTGGAAGGCTCATAATCCCCCCTTCTCTGAAAAGCCCCAGGTCTTGACTTCACTGATGGAGTCCGTGCTCTGGACTCACTGGCCCACCAGGAATGACTGTCAGCAACTCCTTTTAACGCTTTTCACCTCTGAAGAGAGGGACCGTATCCGAAGAGAGGCCAGAAAGTATTTTCTCACATCAGCCGGTAGACCAGAGGAGGAAGCCCAGGACCTCCTTGAGGAGGCTTTTCCCTCTACCCGGCCTGATTGGGATCCAAATTCCTCAGGTGGGAAGACAGCTTTGGATGATTTTCACCAGTATCTCCTTGCGGGTATCAAGGGAGCCACTGGAAAACCCATGAATCTGTCCAAGACAACTGAAGTTGTCCAGGGGCCTGATGAGTCACCAGGAGCGTTTCTAGAATGCCTCCCAGAGGCCCATCGGACTTACACCCCTTTTGACCCCGCGGCTCCCGAGAATAGCTGTGCTATTGATTTGGCATTTATGACTCAGGCAGCCCCTGATATTAAAAGAAAATTACAAAAGCTGGAAGGATTTGCTGGAATGAACACCAGCCAACTTCTTAGAAATAGCCCAGAAAGTTTATGACAATCGAGAGTTTGAAAAGCAAGAACAGGCAGCCCAGGTAGCTGAAAGAACTGCTGACAAAGCATCAAAAAGACAGGCAAAAATCTTAGTAGCCACCATCCAGGGGGGCAAGAAGAAAGGGCCCCCATCACAAAACACTGGCCAGGGGACCCCGGGTCCCCACCAGAAAGGCCAAAAAGGTGAGTGGGCTCCCCTACAAAGAAACCAGTGCATGTATTGCAAACAGATTGGACACTGGAAAAAGAAATGCCCATTAAAACCAGAAGAAAAAACAGAAAAGAAAAAGATCCTCATCCTCCCCACTGTGGAGGAATCTGATGATTGACGGGGCTGGGGCTCCCTCTCCCTTGGCCCCCAGGAGCCCATGGTGACCGTCACAGTTGGGGGCCAGCCTGTACACTTCCTAATTGACACTGGGGTGGAACAGTCAGTACTGCAAACACCCTTGGGCAGTGTCTCTAATAATAAGGTGGCTGTGCAAGGGGCTACTGGAGCTATTCAGGAATATCCTGTCACCCACTCACGAGAGGTGAGTTTGGGACAGAAAAGAGTAACCCACTCGTTTCTTGTGGTCCCAGAGTGCCCCTTCCCCCTCCTCGGACAAGACCTGCTTCATAAGCTGAAGGCATCCATCTCCTTCTCCGCCCAACAAGCTCACCTCACGTTAGGGGACCCAACACCCCCTACCGCCCAGCTCCTGCTAACCACCCCTCTGTTGGAGGAGTATCTCTTAGTTTCACCCTCACAACCACTGGAGAATAAAACCAATCCTCTCCTACTGGATTTACAGACCCTCTTTCCTCGCGTCTGGGCCGAGTCAAACTGCACGGGACTGGCAAAGCACCATCTGCCAGTAGTTGTAGAACTCCTGGCCACTGCCCTGCCAGTCCAAGTAAAACAATATCCTATGAGTCAGCAGGCTAGAGAGGGAATCAGTCCCCATATTCATTGACTATTACAAGCTGGTATACTCACACCATGTCAGTCCACCTGGAATACTCTATTTTTGCCAGTCCAGAAACCTGGAACAAATGATTACCAGCCAGTACAGGACTTGCGGGAAGTTAACAAGCAGACAGTCACCATCCATCCAACTGTCCCTAACCCTTATACTTTACTCAGCCTGCTTCCACCAGAACATACAGCATACAGTGTCCTTGACTTAAAGGATGCTTTCTTTGCTATTCCTCTGGCCCCCAAAAGCCAACCTATCTTTGCTTTTGAATGGACAGATCCTGGCTCAGGAGACACCACCCAATTAACCTGGACTCAGTTACCCCAGGGTTTTAAAAATTCCCCCACCCTTTTTGGGGAAACCCTCCAACAAGATCTTATACCATTCCGAGCCAGTCACCCTAACTGCACTCTCCTCCAGTACATGGACGACCTGTTTTTGGCTACTGAAACTACTGACAGCTGCCTGCAACACACTAGGGACCTACTTTACCTCCTTCAGGAACTTGGGTATTGGGTCTCAGCCAAGAAGGCCTAGCTTTGTCTTCCCAGAGTTTCCTACTTAGGGTACGAGATAAACAAAGGAAAAAGGGCACTCACTAGTGCTCAAAAGGAAGCCATCCTGTGGATCCCCACTCCCACCACCAAGAGACAGGTATGTGAATTCCTGGGGGCCGTGGGATACTGTCATTTATGGATATTGGGGTTCGCAGAAATTGCCAAGCCCCTGTATTCTGCTACTGGAGGAAATGGCCCACTAGTTTGGACTGACAAAGAAGAGCAGGCTTTTCAAAATTTAAAGATGGCATTAACTGAGGCCCCTGCTCTTGCCCTCCCAAATATCTCAAAACCATTTCACCTTTTTGTTCATGAGAGCCAGGGATTTGCTAAAGGGGTACTTACTCAGACTTTGGGACCATGGTGATGCCCAGTGGCCTATATATGTCTGAAAGACTGGACCCTGTGGCCTCTGGGTGGCCAAGTTGTCTATGAGCCCTAGGGGCAACAGCAAGCCTGGTCCAGGAGGCTGATAAACTTACTCTGGGCCTGAATTTAACACTTACAGCTCCTCATGCCATAGAGAATTTGCTACGAAGTGCTTCTGGCAAATGGATGTTGCGTGCTCGCATCCTACAATATCAGAGTTTACTGTTAGATCAGTCTTGTTTAACTTTCTCTCCCACAAGGTGTTTAAATCCAGCTACCTTGCTCCCTGATCCAGACCTTACCACACCTGTCCATGACTGCCAAGAACTGTTAGAGACTACAGAAACTGGCTGACCTGATCTCCAAGATGTGCCTCTAAAGGAGGCAGATGCCACTGTGTTTACAGACAGTAGCAGTTTCCTTGAACAGGGAGTATGAAAGGCTGGTGCAGCCGTTACTATGGAGACAGATATACCGCAGGCCCAGGCACTGCCGGCAGGTAACTTGGCACAGAAGGCTGAATTGGTCACCCTCACTCAGGCTCTCCGATGGGGTAAGGACAAACGTATTGACATCTACACTGACAGCAGGTATTCTTTTGCTACTGTACATGTACACGGAGCCATCTATCAAGAGCGAGGGCTACTCACCTCAGCAGGAAAGACTGTTAAAAACAAAGAAGAAATTTTGGCTCTGCTTGAAGCTGTTTGACTTCTTCAGCAGGTGGCTGTAATTCATTGCAAGGGACATCAAAGAGAAGACTCAGCCGTTGTCTGTGGTAACCAAAGAACAGACTCTGCAGCGGGAGAGTCAGCTCGGCTCCCGGTCATGCCTTTGACCCTGCTGCCTGCTGTGTCCTTTCCTCAACCTCACTTACCAGACCACCCAGAATACTCCCCAGAGGAAGAAAAACGAGCTTTGCATCTTCAGGCCAGTAAAAATCAGGAAGGTTGGCAGATTCTTCCTGATTCCAGAATCTTCATGCCCCAAACCCTCAGGAAAACTTTAATAGTCGTCTGCATTCTACCACCCATTTGGGAGGAGTAAAACTGGCCCAGGTTCTAAGGAGCCATTTCAAGATCCCCCACCTTCAGGACTTAACTAACCAAGCAGCTAGCTCTCCAGTGTATGGCTTGTGGTCAGGTAAATGCCAAACAAGGTCCCAAGCCCAGCCCAGGCCACCGCCTCCAGGAAGGCTTGCCAGGAGAAAGGTGGGAAGTTGACTTTACAGAAATGAAACCACAGCAGGCAGAGTATAAATACCTCCTAGTGCTAGTAGACACCTTTTCAGGATGGACTGAGGCATTTGCCACCAAAAACGAAACTGCCACCACGGCAGTTAGGCTTTTACTCAATGAAATCATCCCTCGACCTGGGCTGCCTGTTGCCATAGGGTCTGATAATGGACCAGCCTTCACCTCGTCCATAGCTCAGTTGGTTAGCAAGACATTAAACATTCAATGGAAACTCCATTGTGCCTATCGACCCCAGAGCTCTGGACAGGTAGAACACATGAGCTGCACCCTAAAAAGTACTCTTACTAAGTTAATCCTAGAGACCGGTGAGAATTAGGTAAAGCTCCTTCCTTTAGCCCTTCTTAGAGTAAGATGCACCCCATATTGGGCTGGGTTTTCACCTTTTGAAATCATGTATGGAAGGGCTCCGCCTATCTTGCCTAAGCTAAGGGATACCCATTTAGCAGAAATCTCACAAGCTAATTTGTTACAGTACTTGCAGTCTCTCCAACAGGTACGAGTCATCATCCAGCCACTTGTCTGGGGAGCACACTCTAATCCAGCTCCTGACCAGAGTGAGCCCTGCCACTTTTTCCAGCCGGGTGACCTGGTGTATGTTAAAAAGTTCCAGAAAGAAGGACTCACTCCTGCCTTGAAAGGACCTCATACTGTCATCCTCACCATGCCAATGACTCTAAAGGTGGATGGCATTCCTGCTTGGATTCATCACTCTCACATCAAAAAGGCCAACAGAGCCCAGCAGGAAACTTGGGTCCCCAAGCCTAGGCCAGGCCCTTTAAAACTGTGCCTAAGTTGAGTGAAGCCATCAAATTAATTCTTTTTATTTACCTCTTTTGTTTGTTTCTGCCTATTATACCTTCTGCTCCATCCTACTCTTTTCTCCTCACTTCTTTCACGACAGGACATGTGTTTGCAAAAACTACTTGGAAGGCAGGAACCTCAAAGGAAGTCTCTCTTGCAGTCGATTTATGTGCTTTGTTCCCAGAGCCTGTCTGTACCCACGAAGAACAATGCAACCTGCCGGTCATGGGAGTGGGAAATGTCGACCTTGCTGCAGGATGTGGACACACAGGAAGCTGGACTGGATGTGGGATCTCTAGAGGTGCAGAAAAAGGACTCCAGAGCGTTGACTTTTACCTCTGTCCTGGAAATCGCCCTGACTCCTCTAGCTGTCGAGATTCTTACCAGTTTTTCTGCCCTCACTGGTCGTGTGTAACCCTAGCCATTTTCCCTGGAGGATCAACCCGGTCCTCAACCCTCTCCATAACTCGCACTTCCCGTCCTAGACCGTGAACTATGGGAAATTGTAACCCTCTTACTATAACTGTCCGTAACCCTGGTTCAGCTCAATGGTATTATGGCATGTCATGGGGATTAAGACTTTGTATCTCAGGATTTGATGTTGGAACTATGTTCACCATTCAGAAAAAGGTCCTGGTCCCATGGAGCCCTCCTAAGCCAATCGGACCTTTAACTGATTTAGGTGACCCTATGTTCCAAAGACACCCAGACAGGGTCGATTTAACTATCCCGCTGCCCCTCCTTGTTCCCAGATCTCAGTTACAACGACATCTCCAACCCAGCCTGATGTCCATTCTGGATGGGGTGCATCACCTCCTTAATCTCACCCAGACTAAATTAGCCCAGGATTGTTGGTTGTGCCTAAAGGCCAAACCCCCACGTTATGTTGGATTAGGAGTAGAAGCCATGATTAAAATTGACTCTCTTTCTTGTCGTACATGCCCCCATGCCCTTACACTAGGAGACGTGTCAGGGAACGCCTCCTGTCGAATTAGCACCAGGTATAACTTATCTGCTTCTCCCTTTCAGGCTACCTGTAATCAGTCTCTACTTACTTCCTTAAACACCTCAGTCTCCTACCAGGCACCCAACAATACCTGGCTGGCCTACACTTCAGGCTCACTCATTGCATCAATGGGACTGAACCTGGACCTCTCCTGTGCGTGTTAGTTCATATACTGCCCCAAGTTTACGTGTACAGCGGGTCAGAAGGGTGACTTCTCATCGCTCCCCCTGAGTTACATTCCAGGTTTCGCAGAGCCGCCCCACTCTTCGTACCCCTTCTGGCCAGCCTTAGCATAGCTGGATCAGCAGCCATTGGCACGGCTGCCCTGGTTCAGGGAGAAACTGGACTAATGTCTCTGTCTCAGCAAGTAGATGCTGATTTAAGCAATCTCCAGTCAGCCATAAATATGCTACATACCCAGGTAGAGTCTCTAGCTGAAGTAGTACTTCAAAACCCCCGAGGCCTAGATCTGCTATTTCTCTCCCAAGGAGGGTTATGCGCAGCTCTAGGAGAGAGTTGTTGTTTCTATGCCAATCAGTCTGGGGTCATAAAGGATACTCTCCAAAAAGTTCGAGAAAATCTAGATAGACGCTAACAGGAATTGGAAAATAACACCCCTGGTACCAAAACATGTTTAACTGGAATCTATGGCTAACTACTCTAATCACTGGATTGGCGGGACCCCTTCTCCTCCTCTTGTTAGGTTTAGTCTTCGGGCCTTGTATATTAAATTGGTTTCTTAAATTTATAAAGCAGTTCATAGCTTCTGTCAAACTTACGTATCTTAAAACCCAATATAACTCCCTTGTTGTGACTGAAGAATCAATGATTTGATTACCCAAAACATGAGTGGGGAATGTGATACCTACCCTGTTTTAACCTGCCCCAAGTTTACGTGTACAGTGGGTCAGAAGGGTGACTTCTGACCCTTCTGCTCAGAGTGACTCTCTCTTAGCTGAGATAGCTGGACACTCTCCATTTTAGCTTCTTCACTTGCAGTCCCCTTATCCCCCTCCCTTAAGGGAATAACTAGTGCAAGCTGACTCCAAGCACATCCAGGAATGCACTTACTGATAAGATATTGAGGCAAGCTGTACCAGCAGCTCCTGGGGACGTGCTCGGCGGATGGTACCCAAGCCCCTGCATTTATCTCTTTGTGATAGTTTAAGCCCCTGCACCTGGAACTGTATTTTTCTGTAACTATCTCTGTAACCATTAATTTTTTTAACTTTTTGCCTGTTCTGCTTCTGTAAAAATTGCTTCAAGTAGGCTCCCCCTCCCCTATTTAGACCATGGTTTAAAAAGAAATCTATCCCGTTCTTCGAGGCCAAGAGAATTTTGAGCTCTAGCCATCTCTCGGTCGCCGGCAATAAAAGGACTCCTGAATTAGCCTCAGAATGTGGCGTTTCTCTATAACTCCCTCGGTTACAACATATCATCTATATATCTACCAATCATCTATCTATCATCTATCAATTACCTATCTGTATCAACTATCATCAATATATCTATCCATCTATCAATCATCTATTATCTATCAATTATCTATATCAACTGTCATCTATATATCCCTCTATCAATCATCTAATTACCTATCATCTATCAATTATCTATATCAACTATCATCTCTATATCCATCTATCAACCATCTATCATCGATTATCTATATCAACTATCATCTATGTATCTACCCATATATCAATAATCTACCTAATTATCATCTATCAATTATCTATGTCAACTATCATCTATCATCTCTCATCATATCTATATATCATCTATCTTCTATCTATCTATTATCTATCTAATCTGTCATCTATTTTTTAAAGGGCCATAAACTTGTTAACATATATATACACAGGCATTTTAACAAGTGTTTTCCTTGGAGAAGTGAGGATAGAAACTAACCCGTAGGAAGAGTGCCCTCTGCTGCCACTTATTCACAATAGCTCCTCTGTCTGGCCATACCAAGGAAAACATCCTAAAAGGTTCTTTGCCTTCTGGCTGCTGTCTATAACAAAAAATAAGTAGCATCTTTGCCTCTTAAAATATCTTTAAGATTTCTTTTCTGTTTTGTAGACAGCCATGTTGCTACGTTTTTCCATTTGGTTTTATTCTTTCCATGGTAACTGTAAAGCAAACATAACTAAGAAACAGACATTGGATACTTATGCAGTACACAGAAAGCATTTCTTCCAAACTCTTAACTAAATAAAGTAAATCCTTTTCTAGGTGCACAAATCCATAGGTGAGAGGTCAATATTACCCAACCAGGAATAGCTCATCATTGTGGGCAGGAGGAAATGGCTTTATTTACTCCAGAGCACCCAGGAAAAGGTGCTGAACTTTACAACCAGCTCTGCTTGCTATTCCAGGGGAAAGCAGGGAGGGGCGGAAGGACAGACCCATAAATGTTCTATGACAATTACTTGGCAGCACCGTTTCAAAGAAATAACGGAAGCCTTTACTTGGCATTCTGTACTAAGCAGTGCATGGAAATGGGTTGGTTTCAGCTCTGGACTGCCCACCCACACCTGGCCCCTCTGGGCATACTAAACACAGACAGGAGTGACACTGCTACCCCAGGTGTTAGCCTGGAAACTTCCCTCCCTTCCATGCATCATCCTTGCTTTCATCTCTGTAGTTGACAGATTTTCTGGGTCTGTTGTGTGGATTCCAGGATCAGCTTCTGAGCCCTTGCCCTTCTCTGAAACATCACTGTTGGCTAACTCTTTAACTCAGGACTCTGCAGGGCTCCTGATTCTGAAATACTTGCAACTTCAGGGAGAAGACACTCCCTTGGCCAGCTTCATCCCAGCCTCTATCTGGGGAAAGAGGATTGGACATGCTACATTTTTGGGCAAGGTATTTATCTTCTCCAAACCTGTTTCCTCATCTGTAAAATGAGAATAATAAAAGAACTCACATCATCAAGCTTTTGTGAGAATTACAACTAATAAAGGATAAATGTCGATTATTATAATATAGTAATAAAATAAGTATTATGGAATATTATTGAAGTTCTTTCTTTCTTTCTTTCTTTCTTTCTTTCTTTCTTTCTTTCTTTCTTTCTTTCTTTTCTTTTTGAGACAGAGTTTCGCTCTTGTTGCTCAGGCTATAGTGCAATGGCGTGATCTCAGCTCCCTGCAACCTTTGCCTCCTCGGTTCAAGTCATTCTCCTGCCTCAGCCTCCCAAGTAGCTGGGATTACAGGCACCCACCACCACACACAGCTGATTTTTTGTATTTTTAGTAGAGATGGGGTTTCACCATGTTGGCCAGGCTGGTCTTGAACTCCTGACCTCAGGTGATCTGCCCACCTCGGCCTCCCAAAGTGCTGGGATTACAGGCGTGAGCCACTGCGCCCAGCCCTGGACAGAGGACAAATATTAATATATGGGTATCTAGTGGCTGTGACCAGGCCAGAGAGAGGAAGGTTAAAAAGTCAAGGGTAGGAGTTTTGTCCCTAAGTTTAAAAATACAAAACATTAAGACTGGAGATAAATAGACCAAATACTAACAATGGTTATCTTTGACTTTTTTGTTTTATTTTCAGCTTTAAGTTTTTCTTTTTATTTTTTGTGGATACATAACGGATGAATATATTTATGGGTTACATGAGATATTTTCATACAGGCACGTGACATGTAATAATCATATCAAGGTAAATAGGACATCCATCACCTAAAGTATTTATCCTTTGTCTTACAAACAATTCAATTATACCGTTTTATTTTAAAATGTAAAATTAAATTATTTTTAACTATAGTCACCTTGTTGTGCTACCAAATGTTAGGTCTTATCATTATTTCTAACTTTTTTTTTTTTTTTTGAGACAGCCTCACCCTGTCACCCAGGCTGGAGTGCAGTGGCGTGATCTCGACTCACTGCAACCTCCGCCTCCCAGGCTCAAGCATTTCTCCTGCCTTAGTATCCCAAGTAGCTGGGATGACAGGCACATGCCAGCATGCCCGGCTGATTTTTGTATTTTTAGTAGAGACAGGGGTTTCACCACGTTGGCCAGGCTGGTCTTGAACTCCTGGCTTGTAGTGATCCACCTGCCTCAGCCTCCCAAAGTGCTGGGATTACAGGTGTGAGCCACCACACCTGGCACTACTTTTTGTACCCATTAACCATGTCCACTTCCCCCCAATACCCAACTACTCTTCCCAGCCTGTGGTAACCACCATTCTACTCTCTGCCTCTGTGAGTTCAATTGTTTTAATTTTTAGCTCCCACACAAAAATGAGAACATGCAAAGTTTTTCTTTCTGTGCTTGGCTTATTTCACTTACCATAATAAACTCCAATTCCACAACAATGGTTATCTTTGAGGGGGGAATTTATAGGTGATGACTTTTTTTTCTTCTCCTATTTTTCAAATTTTCTCTAATGAGTACTTTTTAAATACTTTTTAAATAAAAAATACGAAATTTTGTTGTTAAAAAGCCATCATTTGTTCTTTCTTTTCACTGACTAATACAATTAATACATGATTTTATTCTCAATCTAAAGCTTACAAGCCAGAGGTAAGGCTAAAACCCCTCATGGACACACACACAAACACGACTGCTGCCACACCAAACGCAGTCACTTCCCAGAAGTAGTCATGATATTAATTTTGTGCCGACCCTTCTAGATATTTTTCTATCCACTTATGTGTTACTGGCTCATTGATCAAGGACAATTTGTGACATGATTAAACACGCTTTATTTTTCTTCCCATCGTCTCTTCAGAACTTGTCTAGT
Organism: Homo sapiens; assembly: GCF_000001405.40. Lineage (NCBI taxonomy): Eukaryota > Metazoa > Chordata > Mammalia > Primates > Hominidae > Homo > Homo sapiens. The sequence goes on along the minus strand of NC_000007.14, from coordinate 29,633,057 downwards.
GGGGGGTAATCATCTCTTGCCACTAGATGAAGAATAGGGCCATTCTAGAGGCTCTCTGGTAAGTCATAGGTGATGGACACTTCCACATTTTCTTCCTTGTGAGACAAAGGGTCCATTTGGAAATTCTGAATATCCAATGTAAGGTATACAAGAAACCGTCCTATGGCAAAGGGGAAAAAACTGAGCCTAAATATGATCAAAACTGTAGATCAGTGGTTTTCAACGTTGGTTGCATACTGGGATCATCTGAGGTAGTTTAAAAAATTCCTGTGTCTCAGTTCCCCCCAGAGTCTCTGGTATAATTGCTCTTGGATTTGCCTGGGCTTCAGGGATATTTATTTATTTATTTATTTATTTATTTATTTATTTAATTTTATTTTTTTGAGACCCAGTCTCACTCTGTTGCCCAGGCTGGAGTACAGAGGCGTGATCCCAGCTCACTGCAACCTCTGCCTCCCGGGTTCAAGTGATTCTCCTGCCTCAGCCTCCTGAGTAGCTGGGACTACAGGCACCCAGCAACACACCTGGCTAATTTTTGTGTTTTTAGTAGAGTTGGGGTTCCACCATGTTGGCCAGGCTGGTCTCGTACTCCTGACATCAGGTGATCCGCCCGCCTCGGCCTCCTGAAGTGCTGGGATTACAGGTGTGAGCCACCGTGCCCGGCCGGCTTCAGGGTTTTTAAGAGCTCCCCGGATAATTATAGTGGGCTACCTTTGAGAATCACTGCTCTGGATTTAACACCCAATTTGTAGAAAATACAGGGGAAAGCATAGAAGAACAGCATGGAGTGCAATAAGCAATAGCCACACTGGGAAACCCTCTAGGACAAACACTCAGTTTCTTTTTTTTTTTTTTTTTGAGACGGAGTCTCGCTCTGTAGCTATGGCTGGAGTGCAGTGGCGCGATCTGGGCTCACTGCAATCTCCGCCTCCCGGATTCACTCCATTCTCCTGCCTCAGCTTCCTGAGTAGCTGGGACTACAGGCGCCCACGCCAGGCTAATTTTTTGCATTTTTAGTAGAGACGGGGTTTCACCGTGTTAGCCAGGATGGTATCGATCTCCTGACCTCGTGATCTGCCTGCCTCGGCCTCCCAAAGTGCTGGGATTACAGGCGTGAGCCACCGCGCCCGGCAACACTCAATTTCTTTAGAAAAAGTTGTAAGAAAAAAAGATGAGGAGGAGAGAGGAACCTACGGGTTAAAAGCAACTTACAAGAAATTACTAATTGCAATGTGTAAAGAGAGATTTTTGGATCTTCAGGTGAACAAAGAAAACATATGAAAAGTTTTACACATCAAACAGGAATATTTGAACATTCAGTAGATATTTGATATTAAGGGATTGTTTTTAATTTTGAGGCTACGATAATGTTGTGGGGTTTTTTTAATTTTTTTTTTTTTAACTTTTAGGCTCATGGGTACATGTGCAGGTTTGTTATACAGGTAAACTCCTGTTATGGGGGTTTGTTGTACAGACTGTTTTATCACCCAGGTACTAAGCCTAGTACCCAATAGTTATTTTTTTCTGCTCCTCTCCCTCCTCCCTACCTGAGACCTCGGGTAGGCCTCAGTGTCTGTTGTTGTTTATTTTTAAAACAGTTTTTCTCTTTCAGAGGCATGTTGAAATAACTGAATGAAATATGTCCAGATTATATATCTGAGATTTACATGAAAAGAAGCCTATGAGAGGGAGGAGTGGGTGAGGGTGTAGATTAAAAAAAATGATTGGCCATGAGTTGATAATTGTTGAAGCTGGGCAATGGGTACATAGGGAACTCGGTATTCTATTTCCTCTATTTTTGTATGCTTAAACATTTCCAAAATAAGAAGTTTTTTTAGAATGCTCAGTCCAAGATATTAATTAACAATTTAGTGCTTATTTAAAGATAGAACATCTTTTTCCCACTACAGAGTACAGTCCTTGGCTGTCTGCTTTTGGGGAGAAAGGTGTGACCATCTGTTCTGCTCCTTGCCCATCCCCACCGCCTCTCCCTTGCTGAGCGTTGCTTCCCAAGACCAAGGCCAGAGGGCGGAGGAGACATGAGGGTATTAGACCATTAGACAGCTCTCATCTACTGGGTAGCCTTGGGCTCCCACCCTGGCTGATTTTACAGCTGGCTTTTCCTGGGTTTGGTCACTTTGCTTGTGTTATGGATCAATTCTGTTCTCCCAAAAGCCTTTTTTTTTGACAGAGTCTCACTCTGTTGCCCAGGCTGGAGTGCAGTAGCATGATCTCAGCTCACTGCGACCTCTGCCTCCCAGGTTCAAGCGATTCTTCTGCCTCAGCCTCCTGAGTAGTTGGAATTACAGGCACCCACCACCATGCCTGGATAATTTTTTGTATTTTTGGTAGAGACGGGGTTCACCATGTTGGCCAGGCTGGTCTCGAACTCCTGATGTCAGGTGATCCACCTGCCTTGGCCTCTCAAAATGCTGGGATTATAGGCGCCAGCCACTGCATGCAGCCCCAAAAGACATGTTGAGCTCCTAGCCCCAGTACCTGTGAATGTGCCTTTATTTAAAGAAGAGGTCTTTGCAGGTGTAATCAAATTAAGATGAGTTCAGACTGAGTGTGGTGGCTCACACCTGTAATCCCATCACTTTGGGAGGCTGAGGCGGGCAGATCATTTGAGGTAAGGAGTTTGAAACCAGTCAGACAAACATGGTGAAACCCCATCTCTACTAAAAATTCAAAAATTACCCCATTGTGATGGTGTGAGCCTGTAATCCCAGCTACTTGGGAGGCTGAGGCAGGAGAATCGCTTGAACCTGAGAGGCGGAGGTTGCGGTGAGCCGAGATGGTGCCACTGCACTCAAATGAGGTCATACTGGATTACAATGGGCCCTAAATCCGATGACTAGTATCCTTACAAGCAGAGAAATTTGAGAACACAGAGGAGACACAGGTGAAATAAGGCCATGTGAAGACAGAGGCAGGGCTTGCATAAGCCAAGGAATGCCAAGGTTGGCAACCAAAGGAGTTAGAAGCAAGGAAAGATTATTCCCTAGAGACTTTAAATTCCCTAGAGAGCATGGCTCTGCTGACACCTTGATTTTGAACTTTGAGTCTGTAGAACTGTGAGACAAGTTTCTGTTGTTTTAAACCACCCAGTTTGTGGTACTTTCTTACAGTAGCCCTAAGAAACGAATACACTCGATCCAGACCTTCCCAGCTCTGGGGATGTCTCTTCTGCTGCACACTGTGTTATTTGGTCCCCAGGAATGCCAGCTCCAACTGCAGCTCCCAGGAGCCCAAGCAACACACACTCCTGCAACTGGGGTCCCTCACCTTTGCCTCTGGGTCCACTTGGGCAGGACTTGAGCGCCTCTCTCTCCCACATGCCTATCCCAGCCCAAGGGAAACCCTCACCCATCCCTGACTTCGCCCATGCAGAAAGAGGTGGCTTTGCTCAGTGCAGTAGCACTTTCTGACTCCCACAGAAAGCACTTAGTTGGCCCCTTTCCTCTGTTTAGATTTCCTGGGCATGAGCCAGGAAAACCCCCCTTTTATATACCTGGTTTTCACTCTCTTTACACTTGAGTGTGAATAACAGAAATTTCCCTTCCCCTGGAAGTCTCCCCTCTCATCTCTCTGACCTTTTCTTTTCTTTTCTTTTGTTTGTTTGTTTTTTGTTTTTTTGTTTGTTTGTTTTTGTTTTGAGATGGACTTTTGATCTTGTTGCCCAGGCTGGAGTGCAATGATGTGATCTCGGCTCACTGCAACCTCCGCCTCCCGGGTTCAAGCAATTCTCCTGTCTCGGCCTCCTGAGTAGCTGGGATTACAGGCGCCTGCCACCATGCCCAGCTAATTTTTTTAATTTTAGTAGAGATGGGGTTTCACTATGTTGCCCATGCTGGCCTTGAACTCCTAACCTCAGGTGATCTGCCTGTCTCTGCCTCCCAAGGTGCTGGGATTACAAGCGTGAGCCACTGCACCAGGCCCACTCTGATCTTTTCATATCCCAGGTCTATCTGAGGTGTGCGAGAGCCTAGGAATCGGTGCTGAGCAGTTCCTTTGTAAATTATTCACACGGGGTTGCCTCATAATCACTCTAGTAACTAAATTACGTGTCCCTAGAACTCAGTTAATTGTTTTGTGGGTTGTTCTCCTTTTTTGGGTTGTAAATAACATCATATCATATATACTAAAACTAACTTTTAAATCCTACAGTATGTCCTAAAGATCCTTCAATGCTTCAATGATAGTACATATCATTTTCTCTTATTCTTTTTTTTTTTTTTTTTTTTTTTTGAGGTGAGGTCTCACTCTGTTGCCCAGGCTGGAGTGCACTGGTGGGATCACAGCCCACTGTAGCCTCAAAACCCTGGGCTCGAGCGATTCTCTCACCTCAGCCTACCAAGTAGCTGGGACTACAGATGCACACCACTACACCCAACTAGTTTTTATTTTATTTTATTGTTTGTAGAGACAGGGTCTCACTGTCCTGGCCTCAAGCAATCCTCCCACCTTGACCTCCCGAAGTGCTGCGATTGCAGGTGTGAGCCACTATGCCTGGCCCTGTTTTCACATTTTAGAATTCTGCCAAATGCTCTCTAACATGGGTACCTCACCTTATATTCTCTCCCACTGGTAAACTGTTAGGGTGTTCTTTTCCTCTAGTCTCACAACTCAAGGTGTTCTTCTACTTCTCAATGTAATGTTCCAAATTGTAGTGAACTCATATCAACTAACTCGCTAGAGTGCCTACTGATGAATTTCTTCACCTTGATATTATCAGCTGATACTCAGTAGTCATTGCCTCTTCATTTTAGTGCACCTTCCAGTATGGCAGAAATTGGAAAGCTTTACAACACATAAACAAACTATATTTTGATACTTTCCTGCAGGTAAGGTTCTGGATGCAAATTAGGTCCTGACAATGAGATGCTTCATTGGAAACTGGAAGGTAGAAATGAGGTTGCAGCATTTTTCTCTTGCTCTCTTGACTGTTTTCTGATGTCAGATATAGCCAGAGGATGGAGTTCCTCACAAATCCCTGAAGTGGTCTGGTGTCCAGTCTCTCCAGATTTGTGGGTGGTAAGGGGCATTTGCTGTGGTGCCAGTGATTCCCAGATACCAGCTACTTGATCTTGGATCTTATTTGCACTAGCATTACCTTGGCCGATGATCTCGGACTCAGTCATTCCAGGGGCAATCTCTTGATATTCAAGCTCCCTGGTTGGGACAGTTGTAATAGCTTCTCTGGTGAAACAGTTCTGCAGTGTTCTGGGCATAATTCCTGGAAACCTAGCCTACAGCCTAGTTCTGCCAAGTTTATAAACATCCAATTCCCTGTATTAAATCCCATTCTGCATAAAATCCCTAGGGTTGTATATGCTTCCTGCAATTGAACCCTAACTGATACAGGCTTGCTATATGGCTTCTAATTTTACTTCTCAATTATAGGCTATGGCCCTGCTTAGCCATAATTGATGGCCTCGGCTCCCTTGTTGGTAGACCAGGAAGAGAAAGTCTTGGTATTCAGCAGAATGGATTTCCACAAAAAAGTATTTAGCTGAGCCTCAGGTACCGGAACTAACAGATGAAAGAGACAATATTGTGTTGTGAGTAAACAGAACTCCAGGCTTAAATTCTGTATCCCATGTTCTGTTTGTGACTGTGTCCCTTACCAGCAAAATGACCTTCATTAAATCCCTTACTATGTCTGGGACTGAGTCTCCTTGACTTTAAAATAAGGGGTTCCAGGCTGGGCACAGTAGATCACACCTGCAATCTCAGTGTTTTGAAAGGCTGAAACAGGTGGATCGCTTGAGGTCAGGAGTTCGAAGCTACAGTGAGCTATGATCTCGCCACTGCACTCCAGCCTGGGAAACAGAGCAAGACTCTGTCTCTAAAAAATAAACTAAAATAAAATAAGGGATTTCAGATGACTTTTAAGGTCGATTTTAGCTCAAAGATTCTATGGTCCTATGAAATCATTATTACAAACCTAAGCACAAAATGGTTAAATGTTAAATAATGTCATGGTTCACTAAACCCTAAAACCCTGGCAAATGACAGGTCTGCTCCTCTTCCTCCTTGCTTTGCCAGTCCGTCTTGAGGCGTTAAGGTTTCTCCTGTTCTGTCTGCTTGCTTTTGTTCCATCTTCCATTAATAGTAAATTGACATAAAATTGCAGTTCCAGAGAAGTAGAGGTGTTGCTATGGAAACAGCCTTGATTCATTGATGTAAACATTAAGCTGTGGATGCTTATTCCTGAGGTGCTGGCAAAAAGAAAAAAACACAAAATAAATGTTATAGTAAGAATGACATTTTGTTTTCAGAGAAGGTGGACCACACTCTAAAGGCTTGCTCTGAAGGTATATGTAGCACATTCTTACCAGGATTCAGATCTACCCCAGGTGTAATGATGCTCCCTGACTCACAGTGTCTGATGTGACGCAGGAAGACTGAAATGTGGTATTAGTCCGGTCCCCCTGCACTTGTGTTACAAGGAAATCCCAGAACTCATCATGATGAACATAAAATAAAAATACCTCCGCTTTAGGCTTATTGATTGTGGCTCAAAATTGTCCCCTTTTGGGGCTTAATGAAATTTCATTTTTTCCCTCCAAACTGAATATCTCATTTACTTTCAGAAAGAAAATTTCCTAATTTTGGCCCTTTCTTTTTTCTTTGAGGGAGAGTGTTTAAAACTGTTTGTTTTTTAAACAAACATTGTGCATTCCTATAATTAAAATCATTTTAAACACAAAAAAATAATGGCACTCTGACTAAATGGCATTTAGTAGCCAGCAGGACACCTTGGGCCAGGTTGGTTTTACTCTAGATTTCATTGTCATCCCACCCCACTTCTTCCTTCACCAACATGCAAGCTCTTTTCCTGCCATGACAGCCAGATAGGCAGAAGGGAGAGGCAGGTGCGGCCCTCATCATCAGTGGTTCTCAATTCCTTGATGTGAACAGGACAGCACAGGCATTAAGCTTGATCTAGCCTCTTTGCATTGTACAAAGTTAAACAGCTAAGCAAAGTAAAATACGAAGGCAATACCTGTGGAATGCATACTGCACGTTGGCGTGCTTGCCTCATTGCAATTTGCCTGCTTGTTTCTATTCTGTCATTTCTTTGGAAGGCAGCAGATTTTTCTCTTGCGTTTCTGTATTCTTCAATTTCAACTTACTGAATTTCTTGATCTCAGCCACGTCAGGTTTGTCAGGCATAGAGGAAGTGGAGTGAGGCACGAGAGTAAATGGAATCTTGGCCTTTTCTGTTTCCCTCTCTCCCTTCCCCTTCCCCTTCTCCTTCCCCTTTCCCTCCCCTTCCCTCCCTCCCTCCCTTCCTTCCTTCCTTCTTTCCTTCTTCCTCTCTCCTTCCCTGCCTCCCACCCTTCTTCCTTCCTTCCTTTTCCTTCCTTCCTCTCTCTCTTCTTTCTTTCTTTTGTTCCTTAGCTTTATTGAAGTATAATGTATATACAATAAAATCCACTCACTTTAAGAGTACTGTTTGGTGAATTTTGATGATTGTATGCAGTATTTAACCTCCACCAACATTGAGAAACAGAATGGTTTCATCATCCTAAAAAGAACCCTCTTGTCCCTTTGCAATTGATACCCTTCACCCTCATCCCTAGTCCCAGATAACCACATATCTGATTTCTGTCACTATGGTTTTACCTTTAGTAGAATTTCATGTAAATGGAATCACACAGTATGTAATCTTCGTGTTTCACTTCTTTCACTTAAAATTAATGTCTTTGATATTCATCCATATTGTATAAATGATTCCATTCTTTTTTCTTGCTATATGATATTCTGTAATATGGATACACCACAATTTGTTTATTCACTCACCAGTTGATAGAAATTTGGCTTGTTAGCAGTTTTTGGCTATTGTAAATAATGCTGCTACATACAAGTCTTTGTATGGGCATGTGTGTTGTTTCTCTTGAGTAACTACCTTGAAGTTGGATTGTTGGGTTGTATGGTAAGTGCATAAAGTTTCATAGTTGTCTAAGAATCTGCCATGCTGTTTCCAAAGTGGCTGTACCAATTTGCATTCCCACCTGCAATGTATGAGGGTTCCAGTTGCTTCACAGCCTTGCCAACACTGGGTATGTTCTCCCAATTTCTGTACTAATTTCTTGGTAGACTAGCACCAATCTGTAGACCATACTTCATGCAGGACTACTCCAACCCATTCATAGGAATATGTCCACGGTCCTAAATATCATGGAATAAAGAACTAGGCATTCTGGTTATTGCTGACCAGAACAACATGTTCTAATGCAATACTCCCCCCAGCTCAAGAAAATAAATATAATACAAGTTTAGCTTTGTAGTTTTTTTATGGATTCTACTTCAATAAACACTGGGGTATACATCTGTTTGAAAAGCACTTTGAGTTTTCTTTCTTAAATAATAGAAAAGAAATGTAATATCTGTTTTTAAAAAATGAATACAAATCTAGCTCTGACATACCTTGTGCCATTGATAGCATGTCCATTGGCATCGTTTCTGGCCTCTTTAGCAGTGCCTGGATTGAGCTTGGTTGAGCCAGCCTATAATGGGTAGACACACAGCCAGGCTCAGGAGCAGAGGCAGTGACACATGTATTGGATGGGGTGGATGGAGTCAAGGAGATGCATCTTAAGCTAGAGTAGGAAAAAAAGACCAAGTTGAACACTAATTAGGAGCCATGGAGAATGGAACATACTGCCGGAGGGAACAGCTGCAGCAACTTTTCTAACTCAGGTAAGTTTCTCAAAATTTGGTGATAGGAAGGAAGAAAAACCATTGATCTGAGATGTCAGGATAGCCTGTTAGCTTTTCAATTTTCTGCCCCTTTAGAGACACACTTGAGTCACTGCCCAGCCAGATGAATAAAGTGCCACACAATTATGTGTGTAGATTAAAATCTGGATGCAACAGCCCCGAGGGCAGGCTGACTCAGCTGCTTATTTGTGACTAGAGAGCACATTAGAATAGAATATTCAGAAATGCACAAAACACACTTATCTCTAATCACTTATAGATGGTAGGTTGGATCTGAGTGGGGTTATTTTGCTGAATGGTACAGAAGAAGTTCTATTGAAAGATTAATTCTGCTGGGCGTGTTGGCTCACACCTGTAATGCTAGACTTGGGGAGGCCGAGGTGGGTGGATCACCTGAGGTCAGGAGTTTGAGACCAGCCTGGCCAACATGGTGAAACCCCATCTCTACTAAAAATACAAAAATTAGCCAGCAGGTGCCTGTAATCCCAGCTACTCGGGAGGCGGAGGCAGGAGAATCGGTTGATCCCAGGAGGCAGAGGTTGCAGTGAGCCGAGATCGCACCATTGCACTCCAGTCTGTGCGACATAGCGAGACTCTGTCTCCAAAAAAAAAAAAAAAAAAAAAGATTAATTCACTAAGGAGAAATTGCACTATACTCTGAATAAAAGTAGCCATAAGGTGTGGGAGATCCTGTTGAAATAACACTGCCACCTTGCTAGTGGGTTTTTTTCAGCAACATATTCTGGAATGGGATACAGTTATTGCAGACACATGAAGACCTGCATTAGAACAGGACACACATTTTTTCACGAAAAATAAGTTTTGGGAAAGTTTATGTTGAAGAGTTATTTTGGATAAGACAGGGCTACAAAAAGTAAAGTATTATCATTTAGAATTTTGAAACTCTTCTCTTTTCCCCTTCGGTATAATTAGCTTTAAGTGCATTTACAGTGGCTACAATAATTAAAATGTACTTATCTTTTTTGGGAGGCCGAGGCCGGTGGATCAGTTGAGGTCAGGAGTTTGAGACCAGCCTGACCAACATGGTGAAACCCCGCCTCTACTAAAAGTACAAAAATTAGCCAGGTATGGTGGCAGATACCTGTAGTCCCAGCTACTCGGAAAGGGCTGAGGCAGGAGAATCGCTTGAACCCGGGAAGCAGAGGTTGGAGTCAGCCGAGGTCGTGCCATTGCACTACAGCCTGGGCAACAGAGGGAGACACTGTCTCAAAAAAAAAAAAAAAAAAAAAAAGGACTTATCTTTAAGGCATAAAATACCAGTTAAAAATATCCAAGTTTATGAATAGGGAAGCAAAGCATTGTCAGATGCTTTATATAGTTTATATACATTACAATTTATTGTATACTCATTGCATCAGCAAGTATGAGGTCCTCTCTAAAGGACTGATTTAAATGTAGTAAATCATTTAAGTATGAAAGTAATTAGTGGACATCTGCGTTACAGGGGCTGGGCTGCTAGGCAGAGAGATGCCTGACTCACCTCCCTGCTCCTCAACATGCATGCTTTCCAAAATGATTCATGAAAGCCTTTCATAGAATCGGCTGCCAATTGCAACTCCCAGGCAGGAAACACATTAGTCAACTATCTGTCACACACCAGGAGAAGTGTTATTAGCCTGTGTCTAAGGGGCTCCTGTCCCAGGTTGAAGAAGAGGTTTCCATGTATCCCGAGACCCCAGAGATTTGGAGCCTTCGTTGTTGAGCAACTGTCGGTTATCTCTCCACTGCACAGGGACAGCTCTAGGAGGTAGCCCTGGTTGTTTCACCCCAAATTAATACCTGCCTCTCTGCTTCTGCTACAGGGCTGCAATGGACTGCAATGCACTGCAATGCACTTGGAGGAGGACGGGGTTGATCAGGAGCTCACTGCAGCCAGGAACAGGAAGGTAATACAGGTGCAAAACCAGGAAAGGTGTGGGGACTAGTTGTCGCCGGAGGTTTTAGTTTTTCTAGATGCTTTTTCTAACAGGCAATTAACTATAAACTGCTTCAAATTATTCTTGAAAAACCCTCTAACTGGCCCAACAATTAGGTACCAGGCCTTAGTAGATATAATAATTTAGTATCTTAATAGGTGGTTAACCATTTGGGAGAAAATAATTTAGATCTTCATCCCATATCATACATCAGCATAAATTCCAAACAAACTAAAGAATTAGATGTAAATGATTAAGCTATAAAATAAGGAAGAATAAGTAGCTGACTGGGTTTGGGATGGGGAAAGGACTTTCCAGGCATACAAATCAATACAATATTACAAAAGAAAAATTTGTAATAGATTTGGCTGCATAAAACATTTATTACATCCGTATATATATATTTTAAAACCACAACCAATAGAATAAAAATAAAGAATATAAAAATGAGTAAATATTTATAAATATTTGTAGAAGTGAGTTCATGGCCTTATTATAGAAAGATTCCCTTCCCTCAGTTTAAATTTAAATTAACAAAGCCTAGGAAAACATAATTCATAAATTTAATATTTTATGAAAATAGCAAATAACATTAAGATGTCCAGCCTCTCTAGGAACTAAAAAAATCTAAATGAAAACAAGATTGTTTCTTTTTAATTATCAAAGAGCAATGATATTTTTAGAACAATAATACACAAATATAACTAGATAAAGACCCTGTAGTTATTAGGTAGGGAAATTTGGCCATATTTCTTTAAATTTATTTTACTTTAGTAAATTTTTATCTATATCCTAATGAACTAGTCAAACATTCAAGAATTTATATATAAAATATTCATCCATTAATTTATCAAAAGTTTGAATTGACCCAAACCCCCAACATAAGAGAAATCGTATATAAACTACAGCACAGACACATATAAAATACAGTTTTTAACTATTTATTTTTAATTTAATTATTTAATTTTAAATTTCTGTTTTTAAATGTTAATAGTTATTTGAAATGATAATTAAATGATGTGAGCAATGTTCAGTGCACTTTGTGGAGCATCATAAATACTTTATTTCACAATGAAAAGAGTTCCTTATGTTTTTGATAATAAAATTAGAATGTAAAAGTAAAATTTAAAAAGTAATACAGAAAGCTCAAAGGAAAAAGTAAAAATTAACCAAAACATCATCTCTAAGTGATAAAAGATGTTAAATTATTGAATAGCCTTTTGTATAGTTTTCTGTGCATATATGTAGACACACAATCTCATGTACAAATTTACAAAGTATTATTTTTATGAACTAGAGCATACTTATCCTGAATTTAACTAATTTCCTTTCCTTCAAGATATTTATTTATATCTTTTAATGTGAAAATTATACATCCTCATCATCATTTGTAATGACTGCACAGTATTCTATTGTATATTTGTTCTAAAATTCAGTTAACTAGCTTTCCACTGATGGATATATTTAGTAAGTAAACAGGACCAGGGCAATGCAGCTGGACAGAGAGCTCAGTTTTAAGAGAGAGTCTCTGTTCCCCTGCTAATCTCTTTTCTAAAGCTGCAAATACAACGACAATCTTGTTTGTAGCTAATAAGCTCTAAGCACACAAGGACCAGGCACGCAAACATGTTCCATACCACCTGTGCAAGACATTGTCTGACCCCATCAACTGTAAGCTCCTGGCAACCCTTTAAGAAACAGGATTCAAGCTGCAAGGGTGAGGGGAGTCTTGATCCTTTGGGAAGCTGAGTTTTTCTGGTTCCAGTCCACCCATTCCAGGCAACCTGAGCACATAGTCATTGACTGAATAATCCTGCCCATCCCTCTCCCCAAGAACATTGTCCTGAAGACTCACTCAGAGGAAGATCACACCTCTAATAAAAACCTGCTTTTGGAAAAATTTAAAATGTTAGCTACTGAAAGGCACTCCTGGGGCTAGAGGGGGAGCTTGTCTTGTTTCTTCCTTTTCAATCTGGTGTTACTTTACAATAAACTCATTGGTCTATTCCATGGGCTTGGCTCAGCCTTCCTTGCAAATTACTTCCTGCAAAATCCTACTTTGCATATTCGAAGCTTATCCTTAACTCTTCCCTGTTGCACTTCTGCTATGACAATCCTAATTCTTCCCAGTCCCTGCCCACAATTCCTACCTAACTAGGGAAAACGTGGCATAATGCAGAAACACACAAAGCAAAGCACATGAATATTTTCCAAAATGTTTTTCTTATGGCATCCACACTTAAGTTCACATCCTTCAAAAAATAAATTTGTAACGTGTTTTTAAGCGATTGGTATTGTTAACACCAAGTATGAGATCCCATTTTCAGAGGTGTTTGAACCACAGCAACTCCATCTTGAATAAGGGCTGGGTAAAAATGATGCTGAGACCTACTGGGCTGCATTACCGGATGGTTAAGACATTCTAAGTCACAGGATGATACAGGAGTTCAGCACAACATACAGGTCATAAAGAGCTTGCTGATGAAACAGGGTGCAGTAAAGAAGCCAGCTAAAACCCACCCAAACCAAGATGGCGACAAGAGTGATCTCTGGTCGTCCTCACTGCTACACTCCCACCAGTGCCATGACAGTTTACAAATGCCATGGCAACATCAGAAAGTTGCCCTATATGGTCTGAAAAGGGGAGGCATGAATAATCCACCCCTTGTTTAGCATATCATCAAGAAATAACCATAAAAATGGGCAACCAGCAGCCCTTGGGGCTGCTCTGTCTATGGAGTAGCCATTCTTTTATTGTTTTACTTTCCTAATAAACTGGCTTTCACTTTACTCTGTGGACTTGCCCTGACTTCTTTCTTGCGTGAGATCCAAGAATCCTCTCTTGGGGTCTGGATTGAGACCCCTTTCCAGTAACACAGCTACACCCTGCTTTAAAAATTGTAATGGCGTCTCAAGGCCAACAGTGTAAGGGACTAAGCTCTTATCCTGTGTGGTATAAAAGACTTCATAATCTGACCCAGGTACCTCTCTTTCCTCGTTTTCCACCATCCCTTATTATGTTCGCTGTGGAAAACAGTTACGGTAACTAACTTGTCATCGTTTCCCTCAAATGGCTAATGGTATTTTATCACTATGTGACTCAGCTCAGATTTCTGCTTTTCCCTAGGGCTTCTTAATGCTACTGGCTCATCAGAATCACCTGGTGACATTTTTTAAATGTTTACTTGTTTATATTTCAAAATTTTTTAAATTTTGAAATTGTTTTAGATTTACAAAAGAGTTGTAAAGATAGCACATAGAGTTCCTGTCTATTCTTCTTTAGCTTCCCCTAATGTTAACATTTAAACTTAACTGTGGTACATTTATCAAAACGAAGAAATCGGCATTGGCATTTTACTAACTAAACTATAGACTTCCTTTGGATTCTGCCAGTTTTTCCACCAATGTCCTTTGTTCAAAGATCCAAACTAGGAAATCATATTTGTATTTACTTGACATGTCTCCTTAGACTTCTTCAATCTGCGAAAAATTCTGTTTTTTTCCTTGTTTTTCAAGATCTTGGCACTTTGAAAGAGCATTATTCCGGTATTTTGTAGAATGTCCCTCAGGTATGTCTGATATTTTCTTATGATCAAGCTGAGGTCATGGATTTGGAGGAAGAATACCACAGAGGTATGTGCCCTTCTCCCTGCATCCTATCGGGGGCACGTGATATCACCAGGAGTTTTCACTGGTCATATTAACCTTGATCACTTGGTCAAGGTGGTTTCTTCCAGGTTTCTCTAGTGCAAAGTTAGGTTTTTCCCTTTCCATACGTATTAGTCAACAAATCACTAAGTTCAGCCCACACTCAACGGCAAGGGAATGAAGTCTCACGTTTTGGAGGAAGAAGTATCTATCTACAGAAATAACTGTGACATGTGTTAAAACTACCACAGTAGCTGAAAATATCATGAACGAGATACTTTGAGGCTATGCAACTCTCTTGTTTTTCTTTAAAGTTTTGCCCACAAATTTTAATATTTAATATGTTAATTATTATACTGGTGTTCTAAAGATGATTTCTTTATTTCCCCCATTTCTTCTACATTCATTAATTGGAATTCCTTCTGTATTTTTACTACACAGTTCTATAGGTTTTGACAAACTCATATAGTCATGAACCCATCACCACAGTCAAGATGTAGAATATTTCCATTGTCCCTAAATGTTCCTTCAAGTCCCTTTGTAGCAACCTTATCTATTTGCTGTCTATATAGTCTTACTTTTTCAGAATATCATCTAAATGGAATCATATGTTACATAGCCTTTGAGTCTGGCTTCTTTCATTCAGCATAATGCATGAGAGTCATCCAAGTTGCTGCATATATCAATAGTTCATTCATATTTAGCAAAGTAGTATTCCATGTATAGATACAGTTTTTTTTTAAAAAAAAAATCTATTCTCCAATGGATGCACATTTGGGTTGTTTCCAGTTTTTGGCAATAACACATAATGATGCTATAAATATTCACAGGTGTGTTTTCATTTGAACATAAATTTCCTCTTTTTTGGACAAATAGCACTTGCTTAGGATTGCTGGGTATGAGAGTCATAATGGCCCCCCAAGATGTCTACATTTTAATTTTCTAATTGCCAAGACCCGTGAAGATGTTACCTTACATGGCAAAGGGGAATTGAGTTTGAGGATGGAATTAAGGTAGCTAATTAGCTGACCTTAAACTAGGGAGATTACCCTGGATTATTTGGTGGGCCCCATTTAATCACATGGGTCCTTCCTTAAAAGCACAGAAGTCCGAGGGATACAATGAGATGTTGCTAGGTTATATCATGAGTTAATTTTCTTACATTTCTGGAAGTCAGAATCCTAAAATCAAGGTGTTGGCAAGGCTCCATTCCTTCTTCAGGCTGCAGAGGAGAACCTGTTTTCTTGCTTTTACCAGCTTCTACAGGTGCCCACATTCCTTGGGCTGTGGCCTCTTCCTCCATCATCAAAACGCATCATCACTCCAACCTCTGTTCCATAGCCATTGCCTTCCCTCTACCTGCCTCCATCATCCCATTGCCTTCTGTCTTCGACTCTAAGGTTCCCTGTGGTCACACTGAGCCCATCAAGATAATGCAGGATAATCTCATCTCAGGATCCTTAACTTATCTGCATAGTCCCTTTTACCACAGAAGATAATGTGTTCACAGGTTTCAGAGGTTACAACGTGGGCATTTTAGAGGGCCATTGTTCAGTCTAACACAACAGCATTAAAAAAAAAAGTAAAAACCAAAAAAGCACAGACTATTAGGATAATCGTCTCATTCTGGTTTGGCTGAAACTTTTGAGTTTTTAGCATTGGAAGTCTTGCATCCCTCAGTCCTGGGCACAGTAATGGTTGCTCACCCTACCTGGTAGACACAATAAATGTTTAATAAAATGAACAAATAAACAGCAAATAGATCATGAACTTGCTAAACTAGAAAGAATCTTAGCATGTCATTTTGGATAGCACTTTCTGCTTTCACTAGGTAAATGTTAACATTACCAAAGATTCTCCACCAGTCATATCGATTCATTATCTGAGGCCTGAGGAATCCCAGAATAGGGAGAAGGGATTTCAGGTTATTTGGAGCAAAAAGGACATGCATTTCCCTTGTTCCTCTGGTGGCACAAATGTATTAGACCCAGGCAACTTCATCTTTGACATGAAAGGGAGTGGTTTGAGAATATAATTTTTTAAATATGAGACCTAAAACACATGTTTGAGGGTTGAAGAAAGTGAAAAAAGTACATAAGAGGAATGTAGGCTTCTGGCACAGCCTAGGGTTTCCTTTGAGGATGATAACCTTAGAAGTCTGGACCTCAGTTTCCTCATCTGTTATATGGGGTTAGGCCTGCCCATCCTTAACTCACAGAGTTGCCGAGAAGAACAAATGAGATCCCACATTAAAAGCACTCTGACAGGGGAGAGAGCCTGGAGTGAGATAATTTGCCTCTTTTTGCCTCAGTTTTCCAACCCATCAATGACGTTTCATTCATTCAACAGATATTTATTGAGCATCTTCTATGTGCCAGCATTCATTTTGCACTAGAATACAGCAGTGAATAAAACACAAAATCCCTGTTCTTCCAACAGTTATATTCTGGGACTGGAGACAAATAAGTATATATTGGGATGATAAGTGCTAAGAATAAGAATTAAAAAAATAAACTAGGAAGAAGGACAGTCAATGGGAGAGTGTGTGTTTGTTTGTTTGGTTTGGTTTTTGTTTTTGAGACAGAGTCTTGCCCTGTTGATGAGGCTAGAGTGCAGTGGCACAATCCTGGCTCACTGTAACCTCTACCTCCTAGGATCAAGAGATTCTCCTGCCTCAGCCTCCCAAGTAGCTGGGATTACAGGCATGTGCCACCATGCCTAGCCAATTTTTGTATTTTTAATAGAAATGCGATTTCATCATGTTGGCCAGGCTGGTCTCTAACTCCTGACCTCAAGTTATCTGCCTGCCTCAGCCTCCCAAAGTGCTGAGATTACAGGTGTGAGCTACTGTGCCAGGTTGGGAGAGTGTTATTTTAAAGAAGGTAGTCAGGGAAGGTGACATTTGAGTAGAGACTTCAGTGAAATGAGGGCAAGAACCATGAAGATGTCTGGGACAAGAGAGTTTCAGACAGAGGGAAGGGCAAAGTGTATGCAAAGCCCCTGTGGCAGGGAGTAGTTGTATTCAAGAAGCGGTAAGAAGGCCTGGGTCGCTGACGCACCAAGTGAAGAAGGATGCAGGTGATGAAACCAGAGAGGAAGACAGAGGTAGGGCAATGGTGATGGTTGCATAGGCTGTGGAAAGAAGGACTTTGAATTTTAACTCAGCCACATGAAAGTCTACCAGAAGATTCTGAGCAGAGGAGAAATATGATTTAACTTTCCTTTTAAAAGGATCGCTCCAGCTGATATCAGAAGATAGACATCAAGGACAAAGGCAGGAGCAAAGAGATAGTTGGGAGCCTCTTGCAGTAATGTTAGGGTGGAGGTGGTGGTGGTGAAAGTGGTTGCATTCAGGTTGTATTTTGGAGATACAGAGAACTTTCTGATTGATTGGATGTGGGCAGGGATGCCAGATAAAATAAAGCACCTGTTTTTTACTTTTATTTGATAAATCTGACAACCCTAGGTGTGGGGACAGAGAAGACAGGAATCAAGAATGACTCCCATGTTTTCAGCCTGAATAAACGGAAGAATGGGGTTTCCCTTGTTAGAGAGGGAGACAATTTAGTGATGAGGGGGTGTAGTTCAAGGGCTTAATTTTAGACATGTTAAGTTTGAGATCCATTTGATAATCGTAGATGACATTTGAGGCCACAAGACCAGATGAGATCCCCTAGAAAGTGAGTATAATTACCAAAGAGAAGAGGCCCAGGAGTCTGCCAGTGTTCAGAGGAAACAGCCAAGGAGATGGAACTCACAGGCTTTCATTCATACAGCTGTTGAGCAGTAAATGAATAAATACATGTAAAGTACTTACAACGAGCACATAGGAACCATTTAATCAATGGGAACCAGCCCTGCTTCTTTCCTTTTCTCTTTCTTTATTTCATTTTTTAAGGTTTTGAGTGAGAAATAAAGCAGTGCATAATTACAAGATTTGCTAATTTAACAAACACATTGAGCATCTACTGTCTGCTAAGTACTGTGCTGGGTACTGGGGAAATGGCCATGACAAAATGGACAAAATTATCTGCCTCCATGGAACTTACATTCTAGGAGAAGGAAGACAGACAATCAACAAGATAATAAGTCAATTACATGGTATAGCAGGTGGAGCTGAGAACTGCAGCTGCAAACAGAGTGCTGGGGCAGTGGGTAAGGAGGAACCATTTTAAATCTGATGTTCCTGAGAGGAACTGCTGAGATGCAAAAGTGAGGGAGAAGATCACATGGAGGACTAGAAGTCCCGGCTGGGGGAACAGCAAGTGCAAAGGCCCTGGGGTGGAGGCCTGCCTGGGCTGTCCAAGGTAGAGCAAGTAGGAGAGTGACTTGATTAGGGATAGTGGAGGGGAAGAGCAGCAGGCAGTGGGGTCAGAGTGATAGCCATGTGGATCCTGTGTGGCCTTGTAGGCATTGTCATGACTTTGGCTTTTACTCCCAGGGAGATAGGAGCCAGTGAAGGCTGACTGACCTTTACCCAATTCTCATTTTATAAGAATTTTTGTTGGCCGGGCATGGTGGCTCACGCCTGTAGTCCCAGCACTTTGAGAGGCTGAGTTGGGTGGATCACTTGAGGTCAGGAGTTCGAGATGAGCCTGGCCAACATGGTGAACCCCATCTCTACAAAAAAAAAAAAAAAAAAATGAGTCAGGCACGGTGCCTGTAATCCCAGCTACTTAGGAGACTGAGGCAGGAGAATCACTTGAACCCGGGAGGCAGAGTTTGCAGTGAGCCAAGATCGCGCCACTGCACTCCAGCCAGATCAACAGTGAGAAGCTGCAGAAAAAAAAAAAAAAAGAATTTTTGTCATCTGCCAAACTTATTTGTGAGAAAACACTAAAAGCAGAAAGAATGCTAGTTATATTCAAGGTCACTAAAAGCGAACACTGGAGAACAATTTGGAATGACTCAGCATTAGGAATTTAAAAATTCATTCATTTCTTCATTCAACAGGCATTTATTGCCCAGGAAACAAAAACAGGTCTTACAACATTGTCTAAGAAAAGTAACTGGCACCAAGATTAAATGCTTAATATTTATGTGACAATTATAATGCTATGCCCTGGATTAATGTCAACTTACAGAAATACTGCCCAAATAGGAATTCCAGAGTTCAATTTACAGATGAGGAAACTGAGGCCAGAAATAATAGACAACTTCCTCGAGATCAATGGTGGAGAAAGTGGTGCTAGTGTCTCCATGGCCACAGAGGGATCTATAGACCACCAAATACCTCTCTTTCTTTCTGTACCTCCATTAGCACCTGATAACAGTGCTGGGTAAAATAATATGGCGGAACTAAAAAAGTACAGGCAGATTCCCACAATGTTCTGCTACTAAGAGAAAAGCTCATGAGAATAGGCTATACCCTCCCTTCTTCCCTTTGTATCCAAATGCAGAAAGTGGTCTCTGCGGGAATTCAACCCCATTGTCATTGCTCCACTGACCCATTCAGCTGCCTGGGTCTGTGCAACTCAAGGTGTGTCCCGCTCAGCTGCCAATATTATGGAAAAGCTGCTCAGCCTGGGACAAGGGATTTAACTCCCTGGCCTCATGTTTTGTATCCTGAAAATGAGAAGCTTAAAATGAATACATGATCTCTGAGGATCTTTTCAGCTTGGAAATGTTAGGATTCTGATGAGATAGTTGCTTGAGATTTAGTGCACAAAAGAGAAAGAGGTGAAAAACAATTGGCTCTTCTCTGTTTTCACATTATTGGCTGTGTGGCTAAAGCTGGTACCTGAAATGTAAATATTCTGTGTCTCCTGACCCTTTAAAAAAATCTCTCTCTCTCTCTTCTTTAACCTCTCTCCTTTTTAATGTCTTTTGTTTTCTCTGATTCACAGTCAACTTTGGATTTCTATTAAACTTTTAAAAGGCTTGAGCCAATCTTTCTTGTAAATTGTGGTGGCCAGGGGGCAGCGTGGGAAGAAAGAAGAGAAAAGTTCTTGTTTCCACATGAATCACCATGGAGCAGCATCTGTCCTCAATTTTGGCAAAGCAAATTAAAGGGGAAAAGAGTTCTTATTCACTGGGAGAAAACAGAGACAGCAAAGCCCAGAAGCTTCTCTTTGGTCAGCCTCTCAATTGTATTCCCCCCTCTTTGCTGTCCTCCCAAGGGCTAGACATCCAACACTCCTACCGAGGTTCTCATGACATTGACAGTTTAGCTGGAAACCCAAGACCCACTCCTACTTTCCTGTGGGATTTCTCACTGCCTTCCCATGAACTGTCCATCCTGCAGCCCATGAGGGCGTGTCAGACCCAGAGAGAATAAGAGAAGGCCATGCAGCAGATGCCAGGCAACATGTCTGCTCCCAGTGGCCCCCAGTGGCTGGGCTTGGCCAGCCAGGCTGTGAAATCAGAGACAGCCCAGCCCTCCAGAGCACAGAGACTCCCGGCCACTCTGACTTCATTATCATGCAACTAGGGCACCGGGGCCTTGCCAGGGGCTGCTGCAAGCAAGTTTGCTTAGGGAGACAGCTGGAAAGATGGATACCATGGGCTTCTTTGTTCTCTTTGTTTCTTTTCATTTTGTCTTCTCTCTCAGCATCTCTTTCTGTCTTTTTTCCCTTCCTCACTTTCTCTTATCTTCCTTTTTCTCTGCATTTCCCCTTCTCTTTCTTCCTCCAACCTACGACTCTCTCACTTCTCTCCCTCCACATTTTCCCCATCTCTCCTTTCTCTATTCCCTCTTCCCTTTCTCTTTCTTTCTCTCTCTTACCTTTTCCTTACATGGAGGGTTTACCAAAGAGTTGCTCAAGGATTTATTAATCAGCTGCTGATGCACCAGGTGACCAGGTGGATGAACCCATCTCAATGAATTTTCAACATGGACACTTAGCAATCGTTGCCTGGAAGATTGAAGGAGTTGCAAAACATTTTCTTGATGTTTGTTCCTGCAAAAAACATTAAAAATAATAACTCAGCTGAACTCATGAGTCAGTTGAATTACTGTCTTTGGGTTTTCTCTCTGTCATTGTCTGTTTGTCTCTCTCTATTAATCTTTTTCTCTCAACTTCTCTGTCTCTCATACCCTAGTGAGAAATTAGAGAGCATCATTTCAAGTGTCAGTTAATCTGAAGTGAAGCATTATGGGATTATTAATAAACCAGGACTGAATTTCACTGAGATTTAGAAAGAGGAAGTTACCCAGTAACCTCCATTTCATTACATATCAAAGTGTTTTCTACTTTGGTAGAAGAGAAGTGACCTCTCTCTTCACTCAGGTAGGGAGTCCCAGAAAACCAGAGCCCCAGTGAAGTCCATCTAGAGGAATTTTTCACACGACCAACAGATAAATTTTCTTTCCAAGTAAAGCCAAGTGCTGGGTCCAGGGTGCTAGGCTATCAACACAAGCACAATGAGGAAGACTTCTCTTCCCCTCATAGCAGGAAAGAGGACAGCCATAAATATGTCCTGTGGGGTCTAGCAGGGCCCCTGTGAGGCTAGATGTGAGAAAGAACCCTTTCTGTGCCTCCCAGGGCCTGGTTGGCAGCTGCGCAGAAGGCTACTTCTCCTCAGGGCCACAGAGAGACGGGCCCTGAGGCAAAAGCCTTTGAGAGACCTTCATGGCAACCTGGAAGTTCACAGAATCCATTCTTAACCTCTTTCTTACACTCAGGCCAGGCCTCTGGCCCAGTGATTCTCACATTTAGTTCAAAGACCACTAGACTCCACCTGTACATCCGGGTGAGGGTCTTCTGAGGGAACTTCTGGTTTTGTTTATGTGGATTTACACAAGAGTCTTCTGTTGTCTAAGTTTAATAAACTTCAATGCTATTTCATCTAAAGCAGCCTATCTTTTTTTGGTTATTTTTTGGTAAATGTTGACATTTAATTGACTTCAATAATCTCAAAAACCACAATGGTGGAGGTGGTATTTTCTTTTCACTGTTGATGGAAAAAAGAGCTGAACACAGCTGGGTGCGGTGGCTCATACCTGTAATCCCAGCCCTTTGGAAGGCCAAGGCAGGTGGATCACCTGAGGTCAGGAGTTCAAGACCAGCCTGACCAAGATGGCAGAACCCTGTCTCTACTAAAAATACAAAAAATTAGCTGGGCATGGTGGCGGGCATCTGTAATCCCAGCTACTCAGGAGGCTGAGGCAGGAGAATTGCTTGAATCTGGGAGGCAGAGGTTGCAGTGAGCCAACATCATGCCACCGCACTCCAGCCTGGGCAATAGAGTGAGACTCCGCCTCTCCAAAAAAAAAAAAAAAAGAGCTGAACACAATTCTGGGACCAGAAATGTCAACACTCTTTCCACTTAAAAAATGAAGTATTAGGGAGATACTGTATTTATTATAAACAGATGTGGATCTTATACATTCTGTCAATTTTAACTGTGGAAATAGAAGTCCATCTATCTAAAACATGCACTACTGTCCAACTTTAAATTTATGAAACCTTTCTCTTACATCATTTCTGAACATCTTGGCATCTACTCAAAATCATGAGAAAGTATTACTCCTGCTAAATTCTGGTGTCCAAATTGTACAAACTGCATCTCTGTAGCTTTCTAGTTTCCTTCGTGTGTGTTGTGGAAAGAGTACTATTAATAGCTTTGGAGCAAGGGTTAGAATCCCAGTCCCACTCATTATTTCATCCCTCGGTGCCTCACTCCAGGGAGATTACAATATGTGAGGATTCAACAAGATCATGACAAAACACTTTGCAGGGCACAGGGACTGCCATGCCATGGAAGAAGAATATATTTACAAAACCAAACATTACCTTCCTCTGTGCGTTCGATGACCTGGGCTGCAGACCTTACTCTAGCAAACCGCTAGGTGGCACTAATTTGGGGACTCCTTCCTTTGCCGCCTAAAAGCATCCTGGAATTTACCACCATTCCGTCTCCTCAACGCTTGCCTAAGTGTTGGTGACTCAATCTGTGGATTCCACTCCAATTGGCTTAAGCCCAGTCATTTTGGGATGAATAATTGGCACTGCCATTACTCTAGGAACAAGGCACACATTCCATCTAGACCTGCAGGATAAGTAATACGGAATGTAGTCCGTGGAAAGAGACAGGTACAAAGAAGAGGAAAGAGACAAGGAGAGTGAAAGACAAGCAAAAAAGGAAGGATCCCTCCGAAGAGAGAGACTGAGTGATGGTCAGAGAAGGACAGAATAAAAGCATGATGGGGAAAAGGAAAGGGGAAGTGGGTTAATATTCAACTAAAAAAGGAGGGCTTTATTTTAATTTCTCATGCTAAGGAGCAAACAAACAAAAACACTGAAAGAGAGACTGCCTTTCCTTTGCAAACCAAGAGGCTTTGAGGGCTGTGTCCACAGAGCAGGTGAAGGCACCAGCTGCCCAGCTTGTGAATGCCAGAGATAAACAAACCACACCCAGTTGCCTTTCAACTATCCAAGATACCGTCTCCTCCCTGCGTTGCGGAGGTCGGATGACTGAGAACACAGCCTAGGGTCACTAAAAGGTCTGGAGTATGAGGGAAGGTACCCGTCCTTATTGTTCTTCACTCTGAAAATGCTGAGGCAGAAGCGATTCATGGGACATGAGAACTTTTTAGGCTCAAGGTTAATTCTTCAAGATAGTGAGCTGTCTGTCTCTGGGAAGATACAGACCAAGGATAGGACTGCCTGTTAGGATTCTAGGGGAGGAAGCCTGCCCTGAACCGAGCAAGAGGGTCTCCCAGACCGTCAGGGTCCTTTCTGAAGCCACCTTGTTTCCTATAAATATAAAAAACAGACCCAGCTGTGACAAGCTTCCTGGCTGTCTTTACCCACACCCCATCCACTTGGTGGTCTGAACTCGGGGCTGCAGGTAGGTACAGGAAGAAGAGGCTGTGGCCACTTAAGGTACGAAATAAACATTCCTGCCTTTTAAGCCAACACCTGCAGATTTCACCTCCTCAGTACTGGGGTGGAGAGGAGAGGTTAGGCATTCACTGCATGGGCCACAGAGGGCAAAAACTGAAAAGAAGTCAACCTTCCGAGAACTCGCCACTTTGAGAATATGATACCCTTGCAACCACCTAACTAAATATCTGCCATTAACTCAGTCTAAAAGCATGAAGTACTGTATTCTCCTGAGATTGGGGGAAAATACGCCTCACTGTACCAGTGCGTGAATAATCAAAGTGCTCCTTTCGTTCCCCATTATTCTCCCCTTTCTATTGATGTTGTTGTTTTCGTGTGTATTCATTGTCTCAAAAGCCTGATAACTCATTGTTTTAGAATGTTTGTTAAGGAGCCAGAAGCTAGACAGTCTGGGTCTGAATATTAACCTTGTGGCCTTGGGTAACTGACAATCTCTCCTAACTTCAGTTCCTTCATCTGTTAGGTGGAGCCAAGTTAGGTACGTACCTCAGAGAGCACCTGTATAAAAGAGGTGAGATCACATAAAGAGCTTAGTCCAGGGCCTGACACCATGCTATTAGTGATACAATTATGATATAAAAAACTTCTTTTGCATTTCTGCAATAATTCAGGTGGAGCCTGGCCCACGGACATGTGAATTAGTTCATGTGCTTTCTTGCAGAGGTTAATTTACTATTAGTTTTGAAGAGCAATTTGCAAAGCCAAGATGAGAAATTGTTTAGTGTGATAAAGACTGACTCAAGACCTACAAAAAGTGCTGAGTGAGTTGGAAGCTGAAGCACACACAAGAAAAGAAACAACTGCCAGCTCATAGTCACAGTCACCAGCAAAGCCCGAGGCATGCAAGTTTGCTTTACAATTGCCCTATGCTAAGTAGCCAACCTCTCGAAGAAAAGTTACTCAGCAGGAACTCTGATACCACCATATCACAGTAGCCTGGGACGAATTGAAAAGATCTCACACAGATTACCAGTCAGGTAATTCTTTGAAGAAAATGACCAAACTTTAAGTCCATTTTTGCACTAGTTCCCACATTAAAATATAATCTCATTTTAGAAGGCTTTAGATGATGCTTTATAAGTTGATTTGGAAACGGAGTTCATGTTTCATCTTCTGGTCCAACCGAAGACAACTCCAGAAAATACTTGCTGGTGGCCAACCTCCAGTTGGTTCTCGCTCTTTCAAACTTATTGAAGATATTCCCCACGCTGTCGAGACAGCAGAACCCATTTTATTTTTAGTGCGCAGAAATTCTTTCACTGTCAAAATGTTTCATGGACACCAACATGACGTGTGGTTTGTAGTTTTCCAGCAATTCTAGTTCTCTTGTCAGAACCACTTCTTTCCCCTGTGTTAGCATGGGTCCTTTGAGGGAGCAGGACCCATGAAACTGGGCAAAGCCAATCACCAATCCTATTCCTCTGGTCACAATGATTGACTCAGAGATGGCCAAATGACCTGTTTGTAACCACGGAGACAGAATGAGACTTTGCTGAGAAGCCTGGGAAAGAGTCAGGCTGCCTTCTGCTGTCCAGGTGATAGAGTTGAGAGCTAGAAGCTTCTGCAGCCTCTCTCTAAACCTAGAAAAGAGCTGCTCTGTGGAAGCTGAGCTGAGAGACGGAGAAAGTTCCCAGTGCATCACTAGAGCCATGTCTTTCCCTAGACTTTTCATTTAAATGAAATAATCACCTTTTCATGTGTGAATCCAGTTTGAGTTGGGGTTTCTACCACTTGCCACTACGATATCAACACCTGCCACACAGGATTGTTGTGTAGATGTAATAAGAAATGAAAGAATCCACAAGGAAACACCTAGCACAGCGCCTGGTTTAGGGATGTGCTATGAGCCCCACCCATCTGTGCCAGCAGCGGCAGCCCCAGGAGCGGTCTCACTAGGATGTGAGCTAGGATGCTCAAGGAAAAGCACCAAGCTAGGTCTGAAGGTCTGAAGGTTTGGGAAGGGCATAGAGACCTGCAGAAGAGGAGAAAAAAGGGATGGGAGTTTCAGGCATGAATGTATAACACACACTTGGGGTACACTGAATAGACAGACCAGTGAATAGAATGAGGACTCATGGACAGGAAAATGGTCAACCAGCTGGCCAGGCCGAGGTCTGGATTACTGCAGATCTAGGGTGCAGCTAAAGAGCTTGGACTTTTCCTGTAAGACACAGAGAAATATTGCTGCCTGACTTGACCTGACATATCAGCATTAATCTGACACTTCCCTGGCTACACTCAATGACTTGTCAGAGAGTACATTTCCGAGGCTCCTGCAGTGATGAAGGCCAGACATAGCCCAGGCCTGACCCAGAGAGAGGGCAGTGGATGGAGGGAGAGGCCAGCCTTGGTGCAAATGCTGTGTTCTCACACTGTGCACGTAGTTCGGCTCATGACCTCTTCTGTGCAGGGGATGAAATACTAGCCTTGAAACACCAGATCCCTTATTAGCCTTTGTCCCTGGGCAAGAAGAATGGAGATTCCAGGGCATTTGCTTTGTTTGGCTTGTTGAGTGATTATCAGTTTTCTGTTTCTGTTCTCTCACCACACCCTCTGACTCACCCTGTGTGCTATAGGCGTGGACTTCTTTTCAGAGCTTTATAGCAAATTTCTTTTTCTTCTGCAAATATCTCTTTTTAAATAATGCATTCAACATAATTATAAAAACACTCTTCTGATGTGAAAAATTCTCCACATATGCAGATAAGAAGGGCTTATTTTGAAAAGAAGTCCAAAGCTAGGAACATACAGGCAAGTGTTTTGAATTATAAGAATTGATATGGTTAATTTCATGTGTCAACTTGGGTGGGCCATAGTACCTGGATCTTTGGTCAAACATCACAGGTGTTTCTACGCAGGTATTTTTTGGATGGGACTCTGAGTAAAGCAGATTACCATCCATAATGTGGCTGTACCTTATCCAGTCAGTTGAAGGCCTTAAGAAAAAAGATTGACCTCCTGCTAAAAGGAGAGAATTTTGTCAGCAGACTGCTTTTGGATTTAAGCTACAGCTCTTCTCTGGGCCTTCTGCCTGCCAGTTCGCGCTGCAGAATTTGGACTTAACAGCTGCCATGCTCATGTAAACCAATTCTTTAAAATAAATCTCTTTATCCCTGCATATTTATACACACACATACATGCTATTGATTCTGTTTCTCTGGAAATCCCTAATACAAGGATAAATTTTTAAAAATTCCTACAAGCATTTTGGTTGGGAAATCAATGACTCAAACAGCCCTACCCCCACCAAAAAGTAGGAATAACAGAATATAGAGTTCTCTTTGCCATCCTTAATTGTGATTTTTGCTTTCTTTTTGACACTTGTTATGTAAGAGATTTTTGTCAATTTCCAAGAATAGCTTTTCAAATTTAAAATTTATTTCTTTATTTATAATTTTCTAGTATTAGAGAATGTAGACTGTATGCTTTCTGCTTTATGAAAATTTTAAGAATTTTTCTTATGGACTCATAGAAGTCTCACTGTTACCACAATTTTTGTAATGTCTCATAAATAGTTGAATGAATAGTATATTCTCTCTTTGTAGGGTAGGGACTTTGATAGGATAGAAAATTCTATACATCTACTAGATTATTGAAATACTCAATAACCTTTTTTTATTTGTCTAGTAAACTGTCAGATATGGAAAGTGATATAGTGAAATAACCTCCATAATAGTCATCCTCTGATTTCTCATGCATATGAACTATTTGGCTTTATACATGTTGGTACTGTATAAAGATACAGATAAAGTATATATAGATAAAGATTCTTGGATACAGGGGCATATTTTTCTATAATATAATATAATTTAATAATGTTAATATGACCCTACTTCATATTTTTTTTACTTGAATTAGATCTTGTTTAGAATTAATATAACCTCCTCCATGTAGTTAACTTTGTTCTCTAAAAAATTTTGCTTTGCTTTCTTCTGTTTCATTTTGTTTCAAGCCTCTTATAAGCAGTAACTGTGATTGCATTTTAAAAGTCTTTGTTATTTAACTCTCAGACTTTAATCCATTTATACTTATTCTTGCAATTAGTATGATTAGTTTTATTTCTTTTTTATGCTTTCTGTTATTTAGACTTCTTTATTCTTTATGGTTGTTTTTCTATATAAACTATATTTTGTTTTTAATATAAAAATTAACATTTAAAAATTATAGTAGTTTTAGCAATATTATTTAATCCATAGTTTTTTGAATCATTAATTCCATTTGAAATGATGTTTTTGACACCGTCTCTATTGAGACACACCATTTTGTACCTTTCTACTTCACTATACCTTCTCCTTCATGTTTTCTGTGTTTATATGATCGGCCTCTCACCCCAAGCCACTGTGTGTGTGTGCCTTGTGTTCCAACCCCGGGAGTGCCCTTGGGATGCTTTCCACTCCTGTTCTCCATCTACTCCATCAGTGGGCTCTCATAGCACCTCTTACTTTCCTTCATAGCATTTATCACAGTTTTTAAAAATTACACATCCATTTGATTAATACGTATATACCCTATGAGGGCAGATACCATGTCTGGATTGCTTACCATGGTAACTCCAGCTCTAGGCAGAGTAGCAGGCACATCAGACAACAAACTAATATTTGTTGGGTTCATGAATAAAGAAATGAGTGAATAACTGCTTATGGAAGCATAAATTGGCCAACATCCTGAAAAACTACACAGCACAATATATCAGGAGACTTAAAGATTGCATATTTCTGCATACAAAATCATACTCTTAGGAGTCTGTCACGGCGAAATCATCAGAAACAGGCACAATGATTTGTGTATAGTTGTTTATGAAAATGTTTTAAAAATCATTATTTCTTTTTTTGTATGCTTTCAGAAGTAATCATGCTCACTATAAAACATTCAAATAGGGCCCTGCATGGTGGTTCACGCCTGTAATCCCAGTGCTTTGGGAGGCCAAGGTGGGAAGATTGCTTGGGTCCAGGAGTCCAAGACCAGCTTGAGTAATGTAGCAAGATCCTGTCTCTACAAATTTTTTTTTTAACTTAGTGAAACATGGCGGCACACACCTGTAGTTCTAGCTACTTGGGAGGCTGAAGCAGGAGGATCACTTGAGCCCAGGAGTTCCAGGCTGCAGTGAGCTATGATTATGCCACTGTACTCCAGCCTGGGCAACAAAGAGACACCCTGTCTCAAAAACAAACAAACAAAAAGCATTCAAATAGTGCATCAATATAAAATGTAAAAAGCAAAATTATATTATCATATTCAAGATATAGCTATTATTAATTGATTGGTATAATTTTCTCCAAATAGTTTTCCTTGCATATATTGACATTATTATAAGAATTTTTATAGTAGTTTTTTCCAAAAATGGGATTTTAGAAACATATTTAATCTTCCTTAATGATTCAAAATGACACTATTTGCCTCTCAAATATATTCCTAAATACATATAAATCCATTTCAGTATACCATGATATATTTCCCCCAAACTCTGTACTGCTCTACACTCTCAGCCAAGGAGATCAACAGAGCAGGTTCAATTGTTCACTCTTGGCCAATGAGGGTTTGTGCTCCCTACTGCAACTGCTTTCAGCCAGTGAAATCTCCATAGGTCTATCAGAATTGTTCCATAAGATATGTAATTTACATTCCTGTGACTTCTCTTTCTTTAATTACTTTTAAATTCTGGCAGAAAGTGTACCTTTCTATTGACTAGCAAAGGGTTTATGGGTGATTGTGCTGCACCTGGCCCAAAGAAATAGATGAGAATCGTGCCTGATGTTGGAAATGTTATGAACATTCAAGGTACTTTAATGTAAATGGTAGGGGAAACAGAAGATAGAGATTAACAGACAATTAGTGATTGTGGAAATTCTTTGACATTATGAAGAGCATCATAAACAACACGTTAGCCTAGAAGGATGGACCTATAATTATATAAGCTGTAGCTGAAATCATGCCATGATTTCATGGAATTTAAGGAGCAGGAAAAAGCAACTGCTCATGTAGAATGTAAAAACTGCAGCTCCTTCAAGGCAGGGCTATAACAACTTGTATAAGCAGCTTACTCAGCCAGAGCCACATTTCCAGGAACTAATCAGTCCCCCATATTAAATGGAGTATATGTGTACAGTACAAAGTATCTGTATTATCCTTTTAATTTTTAACTTTATAATATATCAGTATATTCTGGACATCTTTCCATGTTAGAATGTGGATATTCTATCTAATTGTTTCTAAAGACTCCATAATATTCCTTTGTATTAGTTTACCATAGTTTATCAGGTTCCCTATTAATGGACATTTGGGTTGTTTCTAATTTTCTATATTAGAAACAATACTGCAATTGCCATATTAATATACACTTCTATCTAGTTTTTGAGACTGTTTTTCCATGTCCTCACCAACATGAGGAATCATCAAATGTTTTAAAGATTTTGTAACTTACAAGTGAAAATAATGATTTTCTTGTTTAATTTGCAGTTCTTCAATATTAATACAGTTGCTCTTGTAGGACATTTATGATTCAAATTCTATGAGCTCCTCATTCATGTTATCTGCCCATGTTTCTTGTGGGTATATTTATACCACTAAGAACTTGGAAATAACCTATATGTTTAATCAATTTCATACAATAAAATATTATGTAGTCATTATAAATTATATTTTCAAAGAATCTTTAATGATGGAAAGATTCACTATATGATAACTGAAAGAGCCTGTTGGGGTTGGGGGCTAGGGGAGGGATAGCATTAGGAGAAATACCTAATGTAGATGATGGGTTGATGGGTGCAGCAAACCACCATGGCACGTGTATACCTATGTAACAAACTTGCATGTTCTGTACATGTACTACGGAACTTAAAGTATAATAAAAAAAGAAAGAAAAACAGAATATAAAATTACATGTCATATATCATGCTGGTTTTGTTTTTTAAAAAGGCATAGAAAAAATGCCTGGAAGAAAATGCACAAATATATTAATGGGAGATTAAATTTGGGTGATGAAATTATAGGTAATTTCAAAACTTTATTCATTAATTTTAATATTTTTCCAAAACTACTACAAAGCCTATTTACTTATATTATCAGAAAGCACAAAATGCTCTAGTTTTATAGTTATGGCTGACCTCGAACTTGTACTGTTCTGTTCTGCAAGAGCTCTGGTGCTCAGGACCAAAGGTTTCTCATCCCAGTGGCCCCTTAAGTATGGGTGGAACCATGTAAAATAATGGGGCGAGTAGAAGGAGGCAACTAGTCATCCACATAAAGCCCAAATATGGTCCACACTGCACCGCTGGACCATGAGGGTCCTCTGATGGCCACTGACCAAGAAAAACAAAATCAAGTTTTGAGTTGTATGAAGTTGATTAAACATATAGGTTATTTCCAAGTTTTTAGTAATATAAATATACCCACAAGAAACATGGGCAAATAACATGAATCAGGAACTCATAGAATTTGAACCAAAAAATGTCCTACAAGTCCAAATGTATTAATATTGAAGAACTGCAAATTAAATAAGAAAAATCATTATTTTCATTTGTAAGTTATAAAAGCTTTAAAACATCTTATGATTCCTTCTGTTGGTGAGGACATGGCAAAACAGTCTCAAAAACTAGATAGAAGTGTATATTACTATGGCAATTGCAGTGATCTTCGTAATGTAGAAAATTAGAAACAACCCAAATGTTGATTAATAGGCGATCTGATAAATTATGGTTTTGTTTATCTTGATTTGAGTTTTTGTACTTGTGGAAAATGTGTAGTTGCAAGGATTTTCTTTGTTATGTAAGACTTCAGTTATGTGCAACAGGTAACCTCCTAAATAAATTAAGGTTTATTACAATTTGGTGTTTATAAATAAAATTGGACTTATTTTTAGGGCAACCCAGATTTCCCCACATTTTCCAGCCTTTCAAGTCCAACTCAAGTGCTCCAGCCCTCACCTCATACCATCTTCATAAGCACTTCCAGTTATTTCCCAGCTGCTCTTACTTTGCTCAGCTGCTCCAGCTTCCAGTTGGTTACCTTCGGTGGTCTTGCAGCTGAACATCTCTCTCCCCAGCCCCTTCCTAAGTCCCCAGGGATCGCTAAGCATGGCTGCTGATGTAGTAAACATGACTGAAGATTGGAGCTTGCATGGGGCTTCAAGTGCAGAAAAGGAAAGCATGAGACTGTCATGGACACTGCCTCTCCCTGGCGGCTGGCCGGCCTTTTTGCAAACTGTTGGCTCCCTGCAGTCCAGTTTCTATTCCCATCTTCACTCCTCACTGATCCTTGGGATTCCAGCAAATTGGGCGAGCATTCTTTGTGAGCATCATTCTATCTTGAGGTGACTGTAGTTTCTGATTGAAACTTTTGCTTTTGATTGATATGTTAATGTTTAGTTTGTTGTAGATGCTGTAGTTCACTCAATAATGGGAGGTAGTAAAATTTTTGTCAGTGACATTTGGGGTCTATCATATGCCTATATGTAGATTTTTGAGACATATGTGTAGTGTTTCATGTAAGAATCATCTAATCCTCTATTGTTAGAGTACTTGGATATATGCACAATTGTTCCCATTCCTATTTGTTTATACAAAACACTCCATTGTTTTCATTGAATTCCTTTCCAAAACAGCGCAGAAGTAGATGGGTTAAATTGGTGGGGATCTTTCACAAAGTCTAACAAGTGTGAGAGATATGGATGTGGAGACAGTGATATTAAAACTATTTAGCAGTTGGTAAACATAGGAGCCAATTAACTGGAAGGGCTCTGAATGTTAAGATAAAGGCAGGTCCTCGAGACCCCTTTTGGGGCAGATACTGTCTCTCTAGTTGCTGGATCCTGGGGAATAAGGGGATGTGGCGGGGTTCACACTGGCTGTTTACCAACCAGTATGGAAATATCTTAGCATTTTAGCAGCCAATAAAATCATACCAGTGCATACCCACTAAGTGTCAGTCCTGAATGTAGAGCTACAGAATTATAGAATCCCTGACATGGAAGATACCAGAAGTCATCTAAATAATCCTTCCAAAGGTGAGCTTCTCAAGAGCAAAGACCACAGTGCTTCTATGGGGACTGCTACCCCCACAGATGCTCTGTGACTGATGAGTGATTCAATGAGGGAATGAACCAACCCTCACTGCTGCATACATGACAAGTTGTCACCTGGCATTTCCTGATCATCTCAAGTGATAGCAAGTTCATCATCATGCAACGCTGCTGCTGATTTTGTTTGTGGATCCTTCTTATTTCTCTATAGGACTGTATGACTTCGAGTACTTTTAATCTTCTTTTATTTTCTGATAAGTATTTATAGCAAATGACTGGCTCTCTGTCTCAATGTATCTCCACATGTTGGAATATTTAATATAAGCTAGCATGTGTCTATTATATATATTGTTCTGATTTCTGCCTTTTTTCAGGCAACCTCCTCTTCCTATCACAACTTCTCAGCCTCAAAATGTTCTATTCTTTGTGCTTTAGCAATGGCTGATAAGGAATCAATAGCGAGGAGGCAGTGATATGAATGCAAAAAAAAGTGAAGACAGAGAGAAGGGGCCTAGACAAGCACCGAGCCCTCCTTCCCTTGACCTTAAGCTAAGATCAGCTTTTCTATAGAGCAATTTATGTGGACCTTGAACACCAGAGCTCTGCAGAGGGTGGGCAATCAGTGCTCCTGAAACTGCTGATGGCTTTGACAGCCTGGAGTGATTAGCACACAACCATGCTTGAAGAGAGTGCTATTTGTCCTGCTAATGGACCAAGCACATCAAAAAGGGTCTACAGAGAAGGCAGCCAGGCTGTATTTTCAAATCAACATACCAGCATCTAGTGTAACTGTGGGAGGTGTTTATTTTTTTTAGATTGCCCTTGAATCCCTTTTGGGGATGAATTTGATATGAGGATGTGTATGATTATTATTGTCCTTATTAATGATAATCAGAATGAAATACAAAGCGCTTAATAAACCTTTTTACTTTGCACAACACTGTGAGGTAAGCATTATTATTCTCATTTTACAGATGAAGATCACGCAGAAAATCAGCAGAGCTAGGCAATAAGTCAATCTAAAGTCTACATGCCCCTCCCTCTTCCCATGGATTCACGCCAAGTGACACGGAAAGCCACCGCCAGCTGCTGAGAAGGGCAGGACTGTAGGCTCACATTCTTCCCGACGCCAGAAAGGTAGAGGAGGTTTGGAGTTTTTTATTTCCTTCTACTTTAGAAAATGAAGCTTAGCATTTTCTCATTTCAACCATATCGAAAAGAAATAGGGGCTTTGAGGGGCTCAAGAAAAGGTGCAGTTCTAAGAATCTGCAAGTAAGAAGAATGGACACTTTACAGCTGTCTAACCACCCAAAGCATGCAGGGGTATCTAAATGTTCAACCTGTTAGGTAGGGATAACGTGCTCTTGTTACGTTTTAGAAATGACACTGTGGCTGCAAACAGTCACAACTGCCAACAACACTGGCCCAAACTTATTTGGTCATCAGAGAAATGCCACATGAATGCATATATGCATATATGTATACATATAGTACTTGTGTTCAGTCAATCCTCCTTATTCATGGAGTCCATATTTGCAAATTTACTGACTTATTAAAATTTATTCCAATTCCATACTTAGGATACTTTGGTAGTCACAGCCATATGCAGAGTAGTGAAAAATTCAAATCACCTCACGGGCACATAGGTTCCCAGGCAAGGTTATGCCTTCTTGTTTCAGCTCTCATACTATAAACAAGTGTCCTTTTCTGCTATTTAGTGCCATGTTACTCCCATTTTGTGCTTTTTGTAGTATTTTGCTGTTTCAAATGGCCCCCAAGCATAGTGCTGAAGTGCCAGCTAGCATTCCTAAGAACAAGAAGGTTATGATATACCCTACAGAGAAAATCCATGTTAGATAAGCTTCATTCAAGCATGTGTTATAGTTAGTGCTGTTGGCCATGAGTTCAATGTTAATGAATCAATAATACATATTAAGTATGGTGACTTTAAACAGAAACACACATAAAACAAAGTTATGTACTGTTCAGTTGACAAACGTTGTGACAAGAGGCACATCGGGGCTGGGTGCTGTGGCTTATGCCTGTAATCCCAGCACTTTGAGAGGCCAAGGCAGGTGGATCACCTGAGGTCAGGAGTTCAAGACCAGCCTGGCCAACATGGCGAAACCCCCTCTACTAAAAAATACAAAAATTAGATGAGCATGGTGGCGGGCACCTATAATCCCAGCTACTGGGGAGGCCGAGGCAGGGAGAATTGCTTGAACCCAGGAAGCGGAGGTTGCAGTGAGCCAAGATTGCGCCATTGCACTCCAGCCTGGGTAACAGAATGGGACTCCATCTTAAAAAAAAAAAAAAAAAAAAAGAGGCACACAGGAACCTAACCTCTATTTCCCCTGGGAGCAATGGTTCAGTATTTACTATTAAGTGAATCAGTGAATTAGTAATTCAGTAAAGTGGTGACTTTAAAAAACATAACTACTGTGACTAACAAGAACCAACTGTATGTTTATATGTATAGTATGAGTGTGTATACATATATGTGTGTGTATTTGTGCAATGCCTTATCTAATTCACTGAGGCCCTGAAAACTTAATTCTATATTATTCAGTGATAAATGATACCTGGAGAAAGCTATTATCATTCAATATCAAGTGCATTTTTCTTCATTAGAGCTTAAAGTTCCTATAATTGATCTTTTCTTCACTAGCAATATTTTTGAACAGTAATAATTTGATTGCATCAACATGAAAAATGTTACTTAACTAATTCTTGGAAGAGTGGGAGTATGTAGGCTAGAATAGTTTGTGAATGTTACTGCAAAATATTTACTTGGAATACGACTACATTCCAAGCAACATTTTCACTCCAGAAATCTGTCTAAGAGTTTGTTATCTAGTTAATAAATGGACTTTTGAACATCATGTCCTGTCCAAATCTCCTCGGTCACGTACCTTTAAGCAACTTAGCAATACCATTAAACACCAACTCAAACTGACTGAGTCAGACCCTCTGAAAGACTAATGCTACCTTTGCTAGGGAGGCCAAACATGAATCCTCCCAAACCTACTCCCTTCCCTGCTACCATGTGAGGGTGGAACAAGACACTTGTTAGTTTCATGTAATCTTGTTGTAGCAGTTCCAGCAGCTTTCTGGCATCTTCCTATTCTCCATGTTTGCCCAACTCCACAGTATCAACATGTCTTGAATCTGGGATAGAAATCAACTATGAAGAAGCAATAAAAAATAATACAAAGTTGTCATTTCTTATTTGATCATCTTCATAATTCCATTATTTTATAAAAAGCAGCATGTGTTGTCTAAAGAACCCTTGACTGGGAAACGGTATCATTTTCATCTATGATGTTAATTAACTGTTACTAGGCAAATGACTCAAGTAGGCCTGGATATTCTTATCTGTAAAGGTTGAGGTTGGATAGAGTATAATTTTAAAAAAATATTTTTATTTCAATAGCTTTAGGGGTACAAGTGGTTTTTTATTAGATGGATAAGTTGTATAGTGGTGAAGTTTGGGCTTTTAGTGTACTCATCACCCAAACAGTATGTAGTATACCCAACAGGTGATTTTTTTTAAATCCCTAACTCCCTCTCATCCTCCCCACTTCTGAGTCTTCAGTGTATCTATCACTCTGTCTGCCTTTGCATACCCATAGCTTAGCTCCCACTTATAAGTGAGAACATGAGGTATTTGGTTTTCCAGTCCTTAGTTATTTCACTTAGGATTATGGCCTCCAGTTCCATCCAAGTTGTTGCAAAAGACATTATTTTTTCTTTCTCATGGCTGAGTAGTATTCCATGGTGTACACACACACACACACACACACACACACACACGTATATACACACATGCTACATTTTCTTTATGCCAAATTATTCTTTAGAGTCCATTTCAGGTGAAAAAATTCTAGATTCTATGCTTCTACCTGGACTACTTGGGATAATCTTGGGATTTTCCCAGGTCCTCTTGACATTCAGAAGACTTCTAATATGCTGTAGACCATGCAAAATTTCTAAAACAATATAATACACATCTTATTGGATTTGGCAATAGTCTCATCCAGTACTGTTTGGCTGAAGAATATGTTAGTTTTTCTCCACGTCATCCTTAGACATCTTAGGTATTGATAATCTGTTAATTCATGCATTCAGTGAATATCATTGAGCCCCTATTATGGTTTAGGCACTTCACAAAAAAGACAAGGTCCCTATCCTTAAGCAACACCAAGATATGTGGGTGCGCTGAGTTCGATAATAATTTGGTACTCAAAGTAGATGAATAGTTTGATATCCTGTGAAATTATAGTCTTTAATATGCTCGACATTTTTTAAAAAAGAGAAAGATCAGCACCAAAGAGAAATTTTTTTATGTAACTCAAAGATATAGAGCTAAGTTTTATTTTATCAGCTATATGAGGAATTGTGTGTGACAGTCTGAGTTAATTGACATCGTATTTTTTGGATTTATCCTAGAATTGGTTTTAGAGATCATTGAAAACTCCCTCCCTGTCAAGCAGCTACCCCTGGCCTCTCCCTGTTTGCCTGTCCTGGTGGTTATAGCCTTTTATTTTCCCTTTCAGTAATATTCAAGCAAAAGATATCAGAAAGTATTTATTAAATAGCTTACTATGATAATTTTTGCCCTTGGTGCCTAAATATTGATTTTATTCTTTTTGCAATTTGTATAAGCCATTCAACACCTTTTTTTTTTTCTCCCTCCCCCGAGACGGAGTTTTGCTCTTGTGGCCCAGGCTGGAGTATGATGGCGGATCTCAGCTCATTGCAACCTCCGCCTCCTGAGTTCAGGCGATTCTCCTGCCTCAGCCTCCGGAGTAGCTGGGATTAAAGGCGCCCGCCACCACGCCCATCTAGTTTTTGCGTTTTTAGCATAGACGGGGTTTCACCATGTTGGTCAGGCTGGTCTCGAACTCCTGACCTCAGGTGATCCATCTGCCCCAGCCTCCCAGAGTGCTGGGATCACAGGCGTGAGCCACCAACGACAGGCCAACACTTTAATGATAAAAGATGAAAATAAGCTATTAGCTTAATTAACTTTGTGATATTTCTGTGTTCCAACTTAGCTAAAGTCATTTCATATCTGTTATATTCTGTCCTGACTAAATTTTGTTTTTTGGAGAGGGCAAAATCTTCTAGACACATAATCTGCTATATAAAGAATTATGTAATTCCTTTCATTAGATTTTATACCATTTCCTATATAAATCAATGTTTGACAAAGCAAATCATATTTTCCCATTAGCTTACATTATAATGGTAAAGCATTTTTGTTTACTTATACATTGATCTACAATTTGGGGCCTCATTATCCTCATTTTGGAGCCTTTTCCATCATTTATCCTCTGCACCTGTAAACGCTATGATAATTCCAAATCTAAGACTATTTTTGGTGAATCTTTTTTGAGTTAAAGAGTGTTTTGGTAATAAAAAATAATTTCTGTCCCTAAGTGATCTGTTTTGTACATTCAGATTTTTCTTACAGTTTGTTAATTTAGGGGCATTCCTATAAATATTATGGATTTAATAAGTAATGTTTCCTGGGAGTCTTGAAATATAGAAGTTATGATTTTACAATAAAAATATTTTAACCATTTAGGATGCCAGGTGTGGAAGAACAAGACCCCACATCTGCATAATCTTGCTTCTTGGAATCAAGTAAAATAAAAATTTCCTTAATATTCAACACGTTATTCTTTTCTTACAAAATAAAATAAATACATTTTGTATAGAAATAGTGCTCCTTATAACTTATTTTTGTCATTTAGTTTGCTGACCTATGGAGTTCACTGTGAACCCAAAATCTACAATCCCTCCTTAGATCTACCTAAACAGAAGGAAAATTAATATCTCCTTCCAGGTTTTAATCCCCCAAAGAAAGAAAATTATTTGTCTAAAGTATATTTCTAGAACTAGTCTAAAGAAAGTAAGATTTTGCTAAACAATTTGGCTGATTTTTTCTGTCTCAGAAAGTTAA
The DNA here is from genome assembly GCF_000001405.40 of Homo sapiens. Lineage (NCBI taxonomy): Eukaryota > Metazoa > Chordata > Mammalia > Primates > Hominidae > Homo > Homo sapiens. The sequence continues at coordinate 29,593,907 of NC_000007.14, read as the reverse complement.
GATTTTAAATCAAAAGTCACTTAGTGTGATCTTGCATTATCTTAAAACTCAATTATAATTAACTTGCTTTTCTAAAGAAGAGAGAGCTAGTCTTAAAATGAGACCTTTGCCATTTAATGCTGTGTTCAAATGTAAGTTAGAGAATTAGAAAAGATAAGGATCCCTATTGCAAGCTATTCATCAACTAAGAATGTATCTGTTCTTGAGATTGTTAAGGTGTGGTTGAAGTTAAATGATTTGCTCACAGAAAGAAATTTTTAAATACATATGGTAATCTTTGACCTTTACTATACTGAGTCAACTGAGTACAAGAGTAACTTCCCTTCACTTTTTTTTTTCTCCTCAAGGTAAGCATCAGATAATCTGGGAAGAAAATATCATTCAGAAGTTCATGTATACATGTGGATGGTAAATATATTATATTTTTGCTTTTTTTACTTGTTATGTTATGATGATAAGTTATCAAAGAGAAGTAGCTGCATTTCACTTTGAGTTTGATTACATGCTCAGAAATATAAATTTTGATGAAGAAAATGAGGAAGAATATTAAATAATAAAAACTATTTATTGCTGTCAACTAGATATCATGCTTAGCATTTTATGTAAACCATGAATGTATTCAATTACAATGATGGTGATGATAATCATGATGATAATAACTAACATTTGTTAGGCAACCATTATGTGCTCAGATGTGCTGGGCACCTGAGATACAACAGTGAGGAGGTGGGACATGGTCCCCGACCTTGTGGAGCTTCAGACTAGTGGTGAAGTGTAGACAAATCGACAGTTATGTAATGTAATGAGGCAGTGATGAGAGAAGTATAGGGTGCTGTAAAAGCATGTTGGGATGATGTCCAGCTCTTACTGGGGCAGAAGGACAAGGTGTGTATTACAAAAGGCTTCCTGGATGAATGGATATCAAAATAGAGCTAAAAGGATGAGTTGGCCATACAAAGGGCAAGAGTATTCTCAGAAGAGGAGTGAGCATGAAGAAACATCTAGAAGGTAGAAATAGTGTGGCATTTTTAAAGGACTGAAAACTTTTCAATGTGGTAGGAACAGAGAGTGCAAACATGAGAATAATGAGACACAAGCTTGGGAGGAAAGTTGGGGCTGCTCATGAAAGTCACATGTGAGGAGCTGAAACTTGGGATCAGAGATCATAGTGTCATGGTCAGATATAGAGCTTAGAAAGATTACACACTGCTACCATGCACATAAAGGCTGGGAGGGGGCAAGATTGGTGGCAAAAAAGTAAGTTAGTAAACTTAGAGTCATTTGGCAGAAAACAAAAACAAAAGGATAATCTTACACTAGAGGAGACACCATGGAAATGGATAACAAATGATTTGATTCAAGTGACTTTTAGGATGTAGACTTGCTAGGACTTGATATTAATCAAATGTGGGGTGAGGAAGATGGAGGGAAAAAGATATTTGGCTTGGGTTCCTGGGGAGAAGAAATTGGCATTTAATGAAATTTGGAGCAGAGGAAGAGGAACAGGTTTGAGGGTGAGGAAAAATAGAGCATTTAGTTTTGATGTGCTGAGTGTTAGGTGGCCATTGGATGATTAAGTATACCCAGAGTTTATTCGTGAGGAAACCAAAACTTAAGGGACTTAATAACTTGATCAAAGTCTCACAGCCAGGATTTGAGACCAGGTAATCTGGCTCTAGATTTCCTGCTCTTATAGACTACACTATACTGCTCCTTAAATTTCTGAGCAGACTTCTCTCCAAAGACAAGATCTCAAAGATCTGTTTTCTCTCAATACCTCTTCTTATCTGATCTTGTAGGACAATGTCAGGATTCTGGATTCTAATACAGCTGTGCTACTAACTACTTGACCCTGGGCAAATCATTACCCTTTCAGGTCACTGTCTGTAAAAGAAAGGAGTTGGAATAGGTCAGTATTTCTCAAAGGGGCTTTGGGAGTATGACTGGAAGGAGATTAGAAAGAGGTGAGCATGAGCAAATGGGGTTTATTCCAAGAATGCAAGGTTTGTTCAGCATTCAAAAATTAGTCAATGTGGGCTACACTGAAAAAAACCACATGATCATATCAATAGATGCAGAAAAATCATTTGACAAATTCAATATGCACTTATGTTGAAAACTTTTGAAAAACTAGGAACAGAAGGGAACTTTCTTAATGTGATAAAAGGCACCTATTAAACTTACAGCTAAATCATATACAATGGTGAAGATTGAACATTTTTGCTTTAAGATTGGAACAAGTTTCAAGATTAGAATAAGATTTTCATCACTCCTATTTAAGAGAATACAAGAAGTCCTAGTCAGTTCAATAAGGCAAGGAAAAGAAATAGAAGATATACAGATAAGAAAGGAAGTAATATAACTGTCACTATTTGCAGACAATATGGTTTTCTACATGGAAAGTTCAAGTAACGCACCAAAGAAAAAAAATCTCCTAGAGCTAATAAGTGAATTCAACAAAGTCACAGGCTACAAGATCAATATTAAAAAATAAATCACATTTCTATATACTATTAATGAAAAATTGGAGGTTGAAATAAAAAGTACCATTTATAATAACTCCAAAAATAAAATACTTAGGTATAAATATCACAGAATACTTACAGAATCTGCATGTTGGAATACCGTTGAATAAACTCGAAGAACTACATGAGAAATATATTGTACTCATGCAATAGAAGACCAAACATTGTTAAAATGTTAATTCTCCCCAAATTGATAACTTTATTACAATCCCAATAAAAATCCCAGCAGAATTCTCTTTATTTATTGACAAAATGATTCTAAAATTTTTATGGAAAGTCAAAGAAACTAGAATAGACAAAATAATTTGAAAAAGAAAAATGAAGCTGGGAGATTCATACTGCCTAACTTAAGACTTATGATAAAGTCACAGTGATCAAGATAGTGTGGCATTTGCAAAATGATAGACACAGAATTGAGTCTAGAAGTAGACCTATACAAATGTGTCCAATTTATTTTTTGACAAAGGTGCGAAGATAATTCAATGGAGGAAGCACAGGTTTTTCAACAAATGGTGATAAAACAACTGAATATACATATAAAAAATTAATCTATACTTTTTACTATATACAAAAATTAACTTAAAATAGTGCGTAGATCTAAGGATACAATATAACATTTAAAAACTGTTGGAAGAAAATGTAAGAGAACATCTTCAAAATCCTGAGTTTTGCAAAGAGTTTTTAGACATGACATCTAAAGTCTAATACATTTAAAAAATGCTAAATTGGAATTCACAAAATTAAAAACCTTTGCTCCATAAAAGACACTGTGAAGAAAACAAAACGCAAGCTAAAGACTGGGAGAAAATATCTGCAAATCGTTCTTCTGACAAAAGAATACCTAGACTATATAAGGAACTTTGAAAATTCAGCAAGAAAACAAACTCTAAAACAATGGACAAAAGACTTAGACACTTTACCAAGGAAGACATATGGATAGTAAGTAAGCACACAAAAAGATGCTCAACATTATTAATCACTATGGAAATGTGAATTAAAGTCACACTGAGATACTTTTATGTATCTCTTAAAATGGTTAATACAAAAACAAAACTGACAATATCGAGTACTGGCAAAGACCTCTCATACATTAGTGGTGGAAACACAATATAGTAATGCCACTCTGGAAAATAGTTTGGCATTTTTAAATAAATTTAAACATACCCTTGTCCTACATATTTACCATAGAGAAATGAAAATTTAGGTTCACCAAAAACGGGTATTCAAGAAATTGTAGCAGCACCATTCATAATTGCAAACACCTGGAAACAACCCAAATATTGCTCACTGGGCAGATGGATAAACAAGCAGTGGTACATCCATTAAATGAAATATTACTCAACAACAAAAAGGAAGAAACTAGTGATACTCTTGACAAAACTGATGGATTATGCTAATCAATGCATTATCATAAGTGAAAGAAACAAGGCTCAAAATGCTACAGATTGTAGGATTTCATTTATATGGCATTCTGCAGGAAAGAACCCTATAGGGATAAAAGTAATATCAGTGGATCAGTGGTTACTAAGACTTACAGGTGGGGGAGGATTTGATTAAAAGGGACCACTTGGAAGAAATTTTTGGAGAGAGGGGATCATCTGGTCTCCTGATTGGGGTGATTGTTATACCAGTCTATGAATTTGTCCAAACTCATAGAACTGTACACTACAAGGGATTTTTATCATATTAAAATTTAAAATATTTACAAAAATAATGGAAGATCACAAAATGGGAGATTCTTTAAGAAGGCTTAAAAATCCTCTCTGAAAAAATGATCAAAAATGCCTAGATGAAAACCCAGGGAATTTTTCAAAAAGTGTGTGAGAAATTTGTGAACAATGATGAAGTCAATGGGCAGAGGATGGCACTTAGGTTCCATACATGTTGTTCACAGCAAAACCAAACCAAAACAAAACAAAAACAAAAAAAAAAACAAGAAACAAAAACAAACAAAACAGTCAACTGCCCTTGCTCCAGCAGCCCTTGCGTCCTTCAGAGGAGCATTCCTTCCAGTGACCACTAGAGGCAGCACAGAGAAGCTTAAAGCCCCAACTTAAGCCCGGAAGATAATCCCCAAAATGATTACAGCCTCCTGACCTCTGCCTTTGGAGATTTTTCTGAGGGCACACTTGGCAGTTCTGGGCCACTTCCTCTGTTTAACTTACTTGGGTTGTGGGTGGCAGATAGAGCAGAGTGATGTGACAGCAGAAGCATTCCAAGTGGGTGCTTGAGGTGGCAAGTTTCGGGTATCTGCCTGAGCCCAGGAGACCCTGCATTGGCGAGTGGCCCGGGTCCCCTGGCTTCTCTTTAGGGTGATTGATGGGATGTGGAGCGGAACTTTCTGGGTGAGCAAGACCCTCTGCTCAGGCTTCTTCCCCTCTCACTGGCGCCTGCAGATTGGAAAGCAGAACGTGGGATGGGACAGGAAGTCAGAACAGCACAAAAATGAACTTGCTTAGTGTGGCAGGTGCATGGGGGGCTGGGGGAGGCTGAGGGAAAGAAGGAAGAGAGGCTGTGTGTGGACCGATGAGGACAAAGAGAAGCTCAAAGGGTCTGAGCAGACAACAACCCATTTTTACCTCATTGCTCGTTTTTGTTTCATTTTTTTCTTCCTCTCTTCTTTCTTCTCCTCTCTTTGACATTCTCTACCCCACTCCAGTCCCATCTTTTCCCTCTTCTCTTATGCTTTCTGTACATCCTTCCTTCCTCTCCTCCTCTCACAACAGTCAGCAGAGTAACGTGTATTCACTTGATGTGATAGGGAGGGACCACAGGAGCTAAAGATGATGTATTTGTTTCCTGTGGCTGCCAAAACAAATGATCACTAACTGGTGGCTTAAAAAAACACAGTTTATTCGCACAGTTCCGGAGGCCAAAAGTCTAAAATCAAGGTGTTGGCAGGGCCATGCTGCCTCTGGAGGATACAAGGGAACAGCCTTCCTGGCCTCTTTCAGGCACTGGGGACTCCAGGTGCCCTTGGGGCTCTGACTCCTAACTCCAGTCTCTGCCCTTCCTCTTCACCTGGTCTTTGCCCCTTTGCTGTTTCTGTGTTTCCTCAGCAGTGGCAATTAGTTGACTGAGTGTATGTGAATGATTATCCAGGACCCACCTAGGTAATCCAGGATAATCTCAAGATCCTTAACTTAATTATAACTGCAAAAACCTTTTTCCCAAATAAGGCCTTATTCACAGGTTCTGGAGGTTAGGACATATCTTTTTTAGGTCCATTCCATCCACTACAGGTGAGATCCCAGTCTCCAGGTAACATTCAGTTCTTCTGTTCTCCCTCATTCAGTAAGCCAAAGAAATAAACATAATTCACTGGTCCTGTACTTAGGGAACTAAAATCTGGTTGGATATCCATAATAAATCCTTTAACACACACACACACACACACACACACACACACAAAACCCCCAAAACCATATCATGAGAGTTGAAGAATATAATAACGCAATAATGTCATAACATAAATGTGATTAAAAAGCAATCTAGTCGGATAAATAAGACTAGCATATGTCTCATAATTAGAGACCAATTAAACCAATAACATGGTCAAAAACACACAAAGAATATCAACAGAGTTCACATAAAAAGATATAGAAATGTTCCAAGAGATGCTGAAGCTCACCTATAATAGAAATGCAAATTATAACTACTCAAGATATATACCATTTTTTACCTATTAAGTAGTTAAAATCCAAAAGTTTGATAAGACTCTATTTGGCAAGGGTATGAGGAAACAGCTCTTTTGTACATTGCTTGTGAGTGCTGTAAATGAGTACAACCCTTATAGATACAATGTGACAATATCAATAAAATTTATCTATAAAAATCTGTGGGCCAGGCACAGTGGCTAACGCCTATAATCCCAGCACTTTGGGAGGCCGAGGCAGCCAGGTCACTTGAGCCCAGGAGTTTGAGAACAGTCTGGGTTGTGAAGTAGAGATAGTGAAACCCCATTTCTACTAAAAATAGTAGAGGTGCAGAGGTGTTGGTGGTGTAGTGGTTAGCATAGCTGCCTTCCAAAAAGGACAAAAAGTAGCCAGAAATGCTGGTATGCACCTGTAGTCCCAGCTACTTGGGAGGCTGATTTGGGAGGATCGATTGAGCCTGAGAGGTTGAGACTGCAGTGAGCCATGATCATGCCACTGCACTCCAGCCTGGGTGACAGAGCAAGACTCTGTCTCAAAAACAAAACAAAACAAAACAAAACTGTGAAATCTGTACTCTTTGACCTAGGATACCTTCTTCTAGAATTTAATTTTACAGATAAACTTATCAGTTGCAAAATCTATGTTCAAATTATTCTATCTAGCATTGCCTTAAAGAGCAGAATATTGGAAATAAGCCAAAGATTTTACAATAGGAGGCTGGGGTTATGCCTGTTAGTGAAGGCAGAGAGCTCCATGGGCTGGAGTACAAGGGAAGTCTTACGGGAATGATGAGTCCCAGGGCTCAAGCTTCCCCTTCATTGTCCTTGTCTGTCACTCTTCTCAAACAGCAATCATCTTCCAACCCTGTTGTGTGTCTCTACACCCTTGATCTATTCCTGACCTCAGCTTCTACAACAGCCTTCAGCATATCATGGAGAGATTGAGAAACTCTCTCTGAGGTCTATTGCTAAGGAACATATTGAAACACATGCCCACTCTTTCCCGGAGGCTATCCCCATCAGGCTGATATAAACTTGCAAGCCCCAAATCCATCACAGCCAATAAAGCTATTCACTGCTCACAAGGTTCTGCATAAAGAAACATGCAGTTACTTGGTAAGTCTCAGTGGTGACCTTCTGGCATTTGGCATCAAAGAGCCTGATAAACCCTGAGTCTGTATCCTTAAGAGGAAATATAGGTAAGTGCTTGCACACACACACACACTCACACATTCAAATACACACATTCACAACACACTCACTCTAAAGTCCATTAGGAATCAATTTGTCAGAAAAGGCCTCATCATAAATTGCCCCATTTCAATGTCTTTGTGTTTCCAGACTCTGAGTTGATCATTTTTGGAGCAGAATTAGAGGCTAATGAAAACAAAACAGAACAAAACCATCCAGGAGCAGTGGGTCATGCCTGTGATCCCAGCACTTTGGGAGGCCAAGGTGCGCAGATCACTTTGAGGCCAGGAGTTCAAGACCAGCCTGACCAACATGGCGAAACCCCAGCTCTACTAAAAATACAAAAATTAACCAGGCGTGGTGGTGGTCACCTGTGGTCCTAGTTACTCAAGAGTCTGAGGCATGAGAATCGTTTGAACCCCGGGAGGCAGAGGTTGCAGTGAGCTGAGGTTGTGCCACTGCACTCCAGCCAGATGACAGAGGGAGACCTTATCTCAAGAAAACCCAAACAACAACAACAACAAAAAAACCCTCCAGAAATCCACAAAGGATTTGAATTCAGAAGACTCAACTTTTTTTTTTTTTTATTATACTTTAAGTTTTAGGGTACATGTGCACATTGTGCAGGTTAGTTACATATGTATACATTTGCCATGCTGGTGCACTGCACCCACTAACTCGTCATCTAGCATTACGTATATCTCCCAGTGCTATCCCTCCCCCCTCCCCCCACCCCACCACAGTCCCCAGAGTGTGATATTCCCCTTCCTGTGTCCATGTGATCTCATTGTTCAATTCCCACCTATGAGTGAGAATATGCGGTGTTTGGTTTTTTGTTCTTGCGATAGTTTACTGAGAATGATGATTTCCAATTTCATCCATGTCCCTACAAAGGACATGAACTCATCATTTTTTATGGCTGCATAGTATTCCATGGTGTATATGTGCCACATTTTCTTAATCCAGTCTATCATTGTTGGACATTTGGGTTGGATCCAAGTCTTTGCTATTGTGAATAATGCCACAGTAAACATACGTGTGCATGTGTGTTTATAGCAGCATGATTTATGGTCCTTTGGGTATATACCCAGTAATGGGATGGCTGGGTCAAATGGTATTTCTAGTTCTAGATCCCTGAGGAATCGCCACACTGACTTCCACAATGGTTGAACTAGTTTACAGTCCCACCAACAGTGTAAAAGTGTTCCTATTTCTCCACATCCTCTCCAGCACCTGTTGTTTCCTGACTTTTTAATGATTGCCATTCTACCTGGTGTGAGATGGTATCTCATTGTGGTTTTGATTTGCATTTGTCTGATGGCCAGTGATGATGAGCATTTTTTCATGTGTTTTTTGGCTGCATAAATGTCTTCTTTTGAGAAGTGTCTGTTCATATCCTTCGCCCACTTTTTGATGGGGTTGTTTGTTTTTTTCTTGTAAATTTGTTTGAGTTCATTGCAGATTCTGGATATTAGCCCTTTGTCAGATGAGTAGGTTGCGAAAATTTTCTCCCATTTTGTAGGTTGCCCGTTCACTCTGATGGTAGTTTCTTTTGCTGTGCAGAAGCTCTTTAGTTTAATTAGATCCCATATGTCAATTTTGTCTTTTGTTGCCATTGCTTTTGGTGTTTTGGACATGAAGTCCTTGCCCATGCCTATGTCCTGAATGGTACTGCCTAGGTTTTCTTCTAGGGTTTTTATGGTTTTGGGTCTAATGTTTAAGTCTTTAATCCATCTTGAATTAATTTTTGTATAAGGTGTAAGGAAGGGATCCAGTTTCAGCTTTCTACATATGGCTAGCCAGTTTTCCCAGCACCATTTATTAAATAGGGAATCCTTTCCCCATTGCTTGTTTTTCTCAGGTTTGTCAAAGATCAGATAGTTGTAGATATGTGGCGTTATTTCTGAGGGCTCTGTTCTGTTCCATTGATCTATATCTCTGTTTTGGTACCAGTACCGTGCTGTTTTGGTTACTGTAGCCTTGTAGTATAGTTTGAAGTCAGGTAGTGTGATGCCTCCAGCTTTGTTCTTTTGGCTTAGGATCGCCTTGGCGATGCGGGCTCTTTTTTGGTTCCATATGAACTTTAAAGTAGTTTTTTCCAATTCTGTGAAGAAAGTCATTGGTAGCTTTATGGGGATGGCACTGAATCTGTAAATTACCTTGGGCAGTATGGCCATTTTCACGATACTGATTCTTCCTACCCATGAGCATGGAATGTTCTTCCATTTGTTTGTATCCTCTTTTATTTCCTTGAGCAGTGGTTTGTAGTTCTCCTTGAAGAGGTCCTTCACATCCCTTGTAAGTTGGATTCCTAGGTATTTTATTCTCTTTGAAGCAATTGTGAATGGGAGTTCACTCATGATTTGGCTCTCTGTTTGTCTGTTATTGGTGTATAAGAATGCTTGTGATTTTTGTACATTGATTTTGTATCCTGAGACTTTGCTGAAGTTGCTTATCAGCTTAAGGAGATTTTGGTCTGAGACAATGGGGTTTTCTAGATATACAATCATGTCGTCTGCAAACAGGGACAATTTGACTTCCTCTTTTCCTGATTGAATACCCTTTATTTCCTTCTCCTGCCTAATTGCCCTGGCCAGAACTTCCAACACTATGTTGAATAGGAGTGGTGAGAGAGGGCATCCCTGTCTTGTGCCAGTTTTCAAAGGGAATGCTTCCAGTTTTTGCCCATTCAGTATGATATTGGCTGTGGGTTTGTCATAGATAGCTCTTATTATTTTGAAATATGTCCCATCAATACCTAATTTATTGAGAGTTTTTAGCATGAAGGGTTGTTGAATTTTGTCAAAGGCTTTTTCTGCATCTATTGAGATAATCATGTGGTTTTTGTCTTTGGCTCTGTTTATATGCTGGATTACATTTATTGATTTGCGTATATTGAACCAGCCTTGCATCCCAGGGATGAAGCCCACTTGATCATGGTGGATAAGCTTTTTGATGTGCTGCTGGATTCGGTTTGCCAGTATTTTATTGAGGATTTTTGCATCAATGTTCATCAAGGATATTAGTCTAAAATTCTCTTTTTTGGTTGTGTCTCTGCCCGGCTTTGGTATCAGAATGATGCTGGCCTCATAAAATGAGTTAGGGAGGATTCCCTCTTTTTCTATTGATTGGAATAGTTTCAGAAGGAATGGTACCAGTTCCTCCTTGTACCTCTGGTAGGATTCGGCTGTGAATCCATCTGGTCCTGGACTCTTTTTGGTTGGCAAACTATTGATTATTGCCACAATTTCAGCTCCTGTTATTGGTCTATTCAGAGATTCAACTTCTTCCTGGTTTAGTCTTGGGAGAGTGTATGTGTCGAGGAATTTATCCATTTCTTCTAGATTTTCTAGTTTATTTGCGTAGAGGTGTTTGTAGTATTCTCTGATGGTAGTTTGTATTTCTGTGGGATTGGTGGCGATATCCCCTTTATCATTTTTTATTGTGTCTATTTGATTCTTCTCTCTTTTTTTCTTTATTAGTCTTGCTAGCGGTCTATCAATTTTGTTGATCCTTTCAAAAAACCAGCTCCTGGATTCATTAATTTTTTGAAGGGTTTTTTGTGTCTCTATTTCCTTCAGTTCTGCTCTGATTTTAGTTATTTCTTGCCTTCTGCTAGCTTTTGAATGTGTTTGCTCTTGCTTTTCTAGTTCTTTTAATTGTGATGTTAGGGTGTCAATTTTGGATCTTTCCTGCTTTCTCTTGTGGGCATTTAGTGCTATAAATTTCCCTCTACACACTGCTTTGAATGCGTCCCAGAGATTCTGGTATGTTGTGTCTTTGTTCTCATTGGTTTCAAAGAACATCTTTATTTCTGCCTTCATTTCGTTATGTATCCAGTAGTCATTCAGGAGCAGGTTGTTCAGTTTCCATGTAGTTGAGCGGTTTTGAGTGAGATTCTTAATCCTGAGTTCTAGTTTGATTGCACTGTGGTCTGAGAGATAGTTTGTTATAATCTCTGTTCTTTTACATTTGCTGAGGAGAGCTTTACTTCCAAGTATGTGGTCAATTTTGGAATAGGTGTGGTGTGGTGCTGAAAAAAATGTATATTCTGTTGATTTGGGGTGGAGAGTTCTGTAGATGTCTATTAGGTCCCCTTGGTGCAGAGCTGAGTTCAATTCCTGGGTATCCTTGTTGACTTTCTGTCTTGTTGATCTGTCTAATGTTGACAGTGGGGTGATCAATTCTCCCATTATTAATGTGTGGGAGTCTAAGTCTCTTTGTAGGTCACTCAGGACTTGCTTTATGAATCTGGGTGCTCCTGTATTGGGTGCATATATATTTAGGATAGTTAGCTCTTCTTGTTGAATTGATCCCTTTACCATTATGTAATGGCCTTCTTTGTCTCTTTTGATCTTTGTTGGTTTAAAGTCTGTTTTATCAGAGACTAGGATTGCAACCCCTGCCTTTTTTTGTTTTCCCTTTGCTTGGTAGATCTTCCTCCATCCTTTTATTTTGAGCCTATGTGTGTCTCTGCATGTGAGATGGGTTTCCTGAATACAGCACACTGATGGGTCTTGACTCTTTATCCAATTTGCCAGTCTGTGTCTTTTAATTGGAGCATTTAGTCCATTTACATTTAAAGTTAATATTGTTATGTTTGAATTTGATCCTGTCATTATGATGTTAGCTGGTGATTTTGCTCGTTAGTTGATGCAGTTTCTTCCTAGTCTCGATGGTCTTTACATTTTGGCATGATTTTGCAGCGGCTGGTACTGGTTGTTCCTTTCCATGTTTAGCGCTTCCTTCAGGAGCTCTTTTAGGGCAGGCCTGGTGGTGACAAAATGTCTCAGCATTTGCTTGTCTGTAAAGTATTTTATTTCTCCTTCACTTATGAAGCTTAGTTTGGCTGGATATGAAATTCTGGGTTGAAAATTCTTTTCTTTAAGAATGTTGAATATTGGCCCCCACTCTCTTCTGGCTTGTAGGGTTTCTGCCGAGAGATCCGCTGTTAGTCTGATGGGCTTCCCTTTGAGGGTAACCCGACCTTTCTCTCTGGCTGCCCTTAACATTTTTTCCTTCATTTCAACTTTGGTGAATCTGACAATTATGTGTCTTGGAGTTGCTCTTCTCGAGGAGTATCTTTGTGGCGTTCTCTGTATTTCCTGAATCTGAACGTTGGCCTGCCTTGCTAGATTGGGGAAGTTCTCCTGGATAATATCCTGCAGAGTGTTTTCCAACTTGGTTCCATTCTCCCTATCACTTTCAGGTACACCAATCAGACGTAGATTTGGTCTTTTCACATAGTCCCATATTTCTTGGAGGCTTTGCTCATTTCTTTTTATTCCTTTTTCTCTAAACTTCCCTTCTCGCTTCATTTCATTCATTTCATCTTCCATCACTGATACCCTTTCTTCCAGTTGATCGCATCGGCTCCTGAGGCTTCTGCATTCTTCACGTAGTTCTCGAGCCTTGGTTTTCAGCTCCATCAGCTCGTAAGCACTTCTCTGTATTGGTTATTCTAGTTATACATTCTTCTAAATTTTTTTCAAAGTTTTCAACTTCTTTGCCTTTGGTTTGAATGTCCTCCCGTAGCTCAGAGTAATTTGATCGTCTGAAGACTTCTTCTCTCAGCTCGTCAAAGTCATTCTCCATCCAGCTTTGTTCTGTTGCTGGTGAGGAACTGCGTTCCTTTGGAGGAGGAGAGGCGCTCTGCGTTTTAGAGTTTCCAGTTTTTCTGTTCTGTTTTTTCCCCATCTTTGTGGTTTTATCTACTTTTGGTCTTTGATGATGGTGATGTACAGATGGGTTTTTGGTGTGGATGTCCTTTCTGTTTGTTAGTTTTCCTTCTAACAGACAGGACCCTCAGCTGCAGGTCTGTTGGAATACCCTGCCGTGTGAGGTGTCAGTGTGCCCCTGCTGGGGGGTGCCTCCCAGTTAGGCTGCTCGGGGGTCAGGGGTCAGGGACCCACTTGAGGAGGCAGTCTGCCCGTTCTCAGATCTCCAGCTGCGTGCTGGGAGAACCACTGCTCTCTTCAAAGCTGTCAGACAGGGACATTTAAGTCTGCAGAGGTTACTGCTGTCTTTTTGTTTGTCTGTGCCCTGCCCCCGGAGGTGGAGCCTACAGAGGCAGGCAGGCCTCCTTGAGCTGTGGTGGGCTCCACCCAGTTCGAGCTTCCCGGCTGCTTTGTTTACCTAAGCAAGCCTGGGCAATGGCGGGCACCCCTCCCCCAGCCTCGCTGCCGCCTTGCAGTTTGATCTCAGACTGCTGTGCTAGCAATCAGTGAGACCCCGTGGGCATAGGACCCTCCGAGCCAGGTGCGGGATATAATCTCGTGATGTGCCGTTTTTTAAGCCGGTCCGAAAAGCGCAATATTCGGGTGGAGTGACCTGATTTTTCAGGTGCATCCGTCGCCCGTTTCTTTGACTCGGAAAGGGAACTCCCTGACCCCTTGCGCTTCCCAAGTGAGGCAATGCCTCACCCTGCTTCGGCTGGTGCATGGTGCGCGCACCCACTGACCTGCGCCCACTGTCTGGCGCTCCCTAGTGAGATGAACCCGGTACCTCAGATGGAAATGCAGAAATCACCCATCTTCTGCGTCGCTCACGCTGGGAGCTGTAGACCGGAGCTGTTCCTATTCGGCCATCTTGGCTCCTCCCAAGATCAAGACTCAACTTTTTAGGACTTACTAGCCATGAAACCTTGAGTAATCACTTAATTTCTTGGAGATTCCATATTTCATCAAAAACATGCAGAGAAAAGTAGTATCTGCCAAATAAGTTAGATTCTGCTTTTTGACAAACCACCCCCCAAACTTAGTGGCTTAAAATGCCACCAATTAATTTTTTTGCACAATTCTGCAAATCACCGATTTGGAGAGGGCTCACCTGGATGGTTCTGGTCTCATGTAGGCTGTCTCAAGCATCTTCAATGAGTGCCCAGGTTGGTTGGTGGCCAACTAGTCTCAGGTGGCCTCAGAGGGACAGCTGGTCTTGGCTTCATGTGGTCTCTCTCTTCCAGTGGGCTAGCCCAGACCCATCTAAAGTTGGAGGTAGGGTCCGAAGAGAGAGTGGAGGCTGACAAGACCCTTTGAAGCCTGGATTTGGTGTTATAAACAGCATTGTGTCATCCCAAAATTCCTATATTGAAGCCTTAACCCCCAAAGTGGCTGTATTTGGATATAGGGCCTATAAGAAGATAGTAAAGGTAAAATGAAGCCATAAAAATGGGGCCTTGATCCGATAGAACTAGTGGCCTTATAAGAGGAAAAGTCATCAGGGATCTCTCTCTCAGCACACACAGAGAGGAAAGACCACACGAGGACACAGTGAGAAGGCAGCCATCTTCAAACCAGGAAGAGAGGTCTTACTAGAAATCAGCAATAATGGCACCTTGAATTTGGACTTCTAGCCTCTAGAACTGTGAGAAAATAAATGTCTGTTGTTTAAGCCACCCAGTCTGTGATATTTTGTTTTGGCAGCTCGAGCAGACTAATAGACTTGGAGTTGGCATAATATCACTTCTACAACATCTATTAGCCACAGCAAGTCATGAGACTAGCCCCACAGACAAAAGCTTAAGAAATAGACTCCACCTCTTGATGGAAGGAACTGCAAAGTGATGTAGCAAAGGGGTGTGGATTTAGGAATAATCATCAAACACGCCTGCCACAAACTTCTTGTATGGATCACATAAATCATGGGTATGAGAGTGCTTTCTAAATTGTAAAGCCCTATAGATTGTCAGCTATGATCAGCATTCTGGCCTCCTTGGCAGCAGTTGTGACTACTTCTCAGCTACTAGGCCAGGTGGAGTGGATTGTAGATGCTTCTGCATGGCACATTTTCCTCAGGGAGTTTTTGTAAGTTGTTGCCTAATGAATGAAGTCCTCTAATTCTTGTTATTAACCAGAGAGGTAGTTATGATTAGGACAATGTATTAGTCTGTTTTCACACTGCTATAAAGAACTGCCCAAAACTGGATAATTTATAAAGGATAGAGGTTTAATTGACTCACAGTTCAGCATGGCTGGGGATGCCTCAGGAAACTTATAATCATGGCAGAAGGCAAAGGGGAAGCAAGGCACCTTCTTCACAAGGTGGTAGGAAGGCCAATGAATGCAGAAGGAAATACCAAACACTTCGCCCCCATGACCCAATTACCTCCACCTGTTCTCTCCCTTGACATATGTGGATTATGGGGATTATAATTCAAGATGAGATTTGGGTGGGGACACAAAGGCTAACCATATCATTCCATGGCCCCTCCCAAATCTCATGTTCCTTTCACATTTCAAAACCAATCATGCTTTCTCAACAGTCCACCAAAGTCTTAATTCATTCCAACATTAACCCAAAAGTCCAAGTCCAAAGTCTCATCTGAGATGAGGCAAGTCCCTTCTGCCTAGGAGGCTGTAAAATCAAAAGTAAGTTAGTTACTTCCAAGATAAAATTGGGGTACAGGCATTGGGTAAATACACCCATTTCAAATGGGAGAAATTGCCCAAAATGAAGGGGATACAGGCCCCATGCAAGTCTGAAATCCAGCAGGGTAGTCAAATCTTAAAGCTCTGAAATAATCTCCTTTGACTCCATGTCTCACATCCAGGTCATACTGATGCAAGAGGTGGGTTGCCATGGCCTTGGGCAGCTCTGCCCCTGTGTCTTTACAGGGTACAGTCCCCCTCCTAGCTGCTTTCATGGGCTGGAATTGAGTGTCTGCAGCTTTTCTAGGTGTACAGTGCAAACTGTCAGTGGATCTACCATTCTGGGGCCTGGAGGGCAGTGGCCCTCTTCTCACAGCTCCACTAGGCAGTGCCACAGTGGGGACTCTGTGTGGGGGCTCTGACCCCATATTTTCCTTTCACAATGCCCTAGCAGAGGTTCTCCATGAGGGCTCCACCCCTGCAGCAAACTTCTGCCTGGGCATCCAGGCATTTCCATACATCCTCTGAAATCACCAAACCTCAATTCTTGACTTCTGTGAGCCTGCAGGCCCACCACCACGTGTAAGCTGCCAAGGATTGGCGCCTGCACCCTCTGAAGCAATGGCCTGAGCTGTATTTTGGCCCCTTTTAGCCATGCCTGGGACACAGGGCACCAAGTCCTGAGACTGCACAAAGCAGCAAGGCCTTGGGCCCAGCTCACAAAATCATTTTCCCCTCCGAGGCCTCTGGGCCTGTGATGGGAGGGGCTGCCATGAAGCCTCTGACATGCCCTGGAGACATTTTTCCCATTGCCTTGGCAATTAACATTTGGCTCCTTGTTACTTATGCAAATTTCTGCAGCCAGCATGAATTTCTCCTCAGAAAATGGGTTTTTCTTTTCTATCACATCAGCAGCCTGCAAAATTTCCAAACTTTTATGCTCCGCTTCCCTTTTAAACATAAGTTCCATTTCCAAACCATCTCTTTGTGAATGCATAAAACTGAATGCTTTTAAGAGCACCCAAGTCACCATTTGAATGCTTTGCTGCTTAGAAATTTCATCTGCCAGATACCCTAAGTTATCTGTCTCAAGCTCAAAGTTCCACAGATCTCTAGGGCAGGGGCAAAATGTCACCATTCTCTTTGTGAAAGCCCAGCAAGAGTCACCTTTATTCCAGTTCCTAAGAAGTTCCTCATCTCCATCTGAGACCACCTTAGCTTGGACTTCATTTTTCATATCACTATCAGCATTTGGTCAAAGCCATTCAACAAATCTCTAGGAAGTTCCAAACTTTCCCACATCTTCCTGTCTTCTTCTGAGCCCTTCAAACTGTTCCAACCTCTGCCTGCCTGTTACCCAGTTCCAAAGTCACTTCCACATTTTCAGGTATCTTTATACCAGTACCCCACTCTACTGGTACCAATTTACTGTATTAGTCCATTTTCACACTGCTATAAAGAACTGCCCAGAACTGGGTAATTTATAAAGGAAAGAGGTTTAATTGACTCACAGTTCAGCATGGCTGGGGATGCCTCAGGAAACATAATCATGGCAAAAGGCAAAAAGGAAGCAAGGCACCTTCTTTACAAGATGGCAGGAAGGAGAATGAATGCAGGAGGAACTACCAAACACTTATAAAACCATCAGATCTCATGAGAACTCACTCATTATCACAAGAACAGCATGGGGGAAACTGTCCCCATGATCCAATTACCTCCACCTGGTCTCTCCCTTGACATGTGGGTATTATGGGGATTATGGGGATTTAATTCAAGATGAGATTTGGGTGGGGACAAAAAGCCTAACCATATCAGACAGCAAGCCAGCATTTTTATAGCTAGAAAATCCTAAAAATAAATATTTCAACGAGTATCTCACTCAGTGAGTTTGAGAACAGGAAGTCTGATGGAATAGAAGTCTGATGGAAGTCCGATGAATAGAAGAAAGGAAGGATGCAAATCAGATTGGATTTAGTGAACTTGTCATCCACACTTACCACTTCCCTGAGAGACTGAGGGGAAAAGCAGGCTGCTGACTAAGGGGTGATCTGTGGCTACAGCCTTGGACTTTTTCCCATTGAAAGAGCTTCCCATGGGTCCTAAATCTGTGCCTAGGTTCACAAGCCTTCCTCTGCAATAGACTGATAGCCAGAGGAAGAGAACATTGTCATTCCCTGATTATCTCCTTACAAGCAGAACTCTCATTGATAATCATTATAAAGAGAGGTAATGCTGTAGGAACAGATAGACTGGCCAATTAGTGCCTCCATCCCAACTGAGAACAAGTTAACTTGCACAGCACAGCACATTTCAGAATTCTCCCACTGCGGAGGCTAGACATGGCCTCTGGCTTTGGGATGGAAGAAGCTTGTCCCCAGGAAGTGAATCTGTATGCCTTGAGAACTCAAAGAGGTTGAGAAGATGAGAGGGTAAGGAATAGGGCTTGCAGAAGAGAAAAATCCTAGTTTGACATGCCTCTAGGATCTCCAGGGAGAATGTCCCACCCCATTTAGTGCTGCTTCAGACTCTGTGACTGCTTTTGAACTCTAAAAACTTGATGAGTTAAGAGGCAGAGCATCACGCTCTGATGGTCTCCTACCTGTTGGCTCAGATACGTGTTGGCCCAGAAGCAAAGAGGGTGAGTTGCTCAGGATGTGAAACATCTTTAATGCCTCCAGGTAAATAACACTATCTGAGATGTAATTAATTAACCAAAATATCTTGAAAGGCTCCTGAATGATCCAACACCAGTCTCTAAACTATTATTGTTCTTACTACACTATATTGCAGGGCAAACTTAAGATCCTATTTTCTTTCTGCACCTACAGTATAATTCATTGCGTAGGACCTAATAGGCACATTGAATAATTGAAAGAATTAATAAACTCAATACGTATTTGATGAATACATAAATAAATGAGTATTTCTTTATATGCCATTCATTTATATGAATGGCATAGCCAGGGCTTAAGCTTATGAAGTATGTGAAGCAGTAACAACATCTCTGTCTTCATTTTTGGCTCCAAGGCCCTCATACAAAGGCCTGTGTGTACTATGTACTTAATAAGTAATTGTTGAATTGCACTGAAATTATAAAGCCTGGAAATTAAATATTACAACACAAAAATGAAGTGTTCCCACAATTAAAGAAGGCAATGGGTAAAATTCTACCCTTAACTCCTAAGAAGCCCTAGCTCTGTGTCCCTGTATACTGAAAAGAACTGACTTCTTTCCTCGAAATAGTCTCTGGTTCCTGTAGTCTTGGCTATACTAGAGTCGGCAGTGGCCACAGCTTCCCTTTTCTGATTATATCCAACAAGGGAGTGTGTGGGATGCCATAGCACTTCCTTTCAGAACTCTCATGCCTTTTGGAACCCTCGTTAGGCTACATCTCCTGCTCTGTGGTTGCCTAGGCTCCCCTGCCTCAACCTCTCCCTGTAATTCCTGAGAACTGTCCTTATTATAAAAGAAACTTAGAATACATCCCAGGGTGAAGATGTGAGTAGCTTCCTTCAATCAAAACACACTCTTCAGCAAACTCGGCTTGAGAGAGACTTTCTGCAACAGATGGTAGGCCAAGGCTCTAGGCTTTAAAATGCCCCCCAGGGACCTGCCAAGGAGCCACCTGAGGCCTGTCTTCATTTCTCACCATCATTGCCTCTGTGAAGCCATCCCAACAAAAAGTTCCCACCCACTGTACAGAAGTGAAGAGCTTGAGTAAACCGTGTGGATTGTGAGAATGAAACTGCTTCCTTGTCTTTCTTCTGTTTCTAGGATAAGAAATGCAGGGAGAATGGTGATTCTCAGGTCTTTAGAGATTTTATTGTTGAGAAAGTGGTGTTCTTGTAAGTACCCTAAGCGATGCCTAAATATTGCTGAAACTCACCATTGCATTTCCCCATAAAGCCAATTGCCTCTTCATTTCTCTATTTCACCACCTCCTTGGAAATCTGGGAACACTTTAAATTCATTCACTAAACAATCTCAGGCTCAGGATTCATTCTTGGACATAAAGATGACAACATAGAGTCCCACTATCCTTTTTTGTCATCTCAGGGACTGAATGTATAGTCCCCTCTTTTCCTCCATCTCCTAGACCTTCTCCTGTGTCAACTGTCCTTGACTTTTTGGAACAAAGACATAATCACAGTTTTCTAAAAAGCAGACTTCTTGAGATTCCTAGGAAGTGGATCCTCCAAATTCTAGATAGTTTTTAAAGGAAAACATTGAAATAGCTCCTTCAGACCAACTTCAACCCATTCAAGAGTAAGAATTTAAACAGCTGTATTATTGAGGACTTTTAGACTGTGTCATTCGTCTTTGAGAGATATGCTTTTATGTGCACTTAGGTCATGCAAACACCATGAAGTGGTGTTATCACATGCATTTACTAACAAGGGAAACAGAATCAGAGAGGCTAGTTAACTCCACTCAAGTTCTGTTTATATATGGTTGCTCAAGCAGCTGAAGTGTCCTGAAAATCACAGGAAGTCTGTGAAGAAAGAGCATATCTCAAGAGGTTCATCAAGCTCCTGAGCTCTTGGAAAACCTAAACCCCCGGAGGGTTTCTAAGTGGTGGAAGGAACGTGTTGTAAGACCTGGAGGTAGAAGAGAGATGGTGATCAATGGACTGAAATGAGCCTACTTTCACTTGAATGGAGAGTGTTTGGAGAGATGGCAGGGAGAGAGAAAGACAGCGAGAGAGAGAGAGAGCTGGAGAGAAACAGGCAGAGGCTGGACCAAGTAGGGCCCTTCAAGAACTTTAAATGATCTTGAATTTTATTTTGAAGGGATTGTCTCATCAGAGTGTGTTAAATAGAAGGAGATGTCATAAAAACTGATGCAGCCTGGTCCTCCCCATACTGTATTAACCTAGTGGTATTTCCTATGATATTTTCATTCATGAAGCTCAAAGCATTTAATGATTAGTGCTTTAGGACCTACTGGTATACAGTAACCAGCAACTTTTGCTGGTGGGGCATCATGGCAACTTGTCAACCAATCAGTGGGTCATGGCCGAGTCACTTCCAATAAGGTTTGAGGGGTTGGAGAGAAAAGGGGTTATTCTTTGAGCACTCTGTCTCAGTTCTAGGGGTAGTGGCTGCTCATTGGCATGAGCAATATATTCTTTAGGGTTCCCTTTACTTCTTAGCAATCAATCTTTGCTATGTGTAATAGTTCTTTATATTAAATATACTCTGTTCAAATTACTATGTGGCTTCTCTGTCCCGATTGGACTCTGACTGATTGACAACCCCCAGACATTTCTCTACCTGCCAGACATAACCTGTTTCCCCAGAGGAGAAAAGATTGTGGCCCTGCTAAGAGCTACATGCTAGCTGCTTGTTCTATCTGAAGGGTCCACTTCCTTGTAGATTAACCAGGAGTTCATGAAAGTTCATAAGGAATGAACATTGCCCCCTGAATTTTCCTGAGCTCCATGACTAAAATGGCAGAGAGACATGAGATCATATTTATATACTATAGTTCCTGCTGGGGGATAACACAGGTTTATGGATGTGTCTCAACAGGGTGATCAGATCTGCTTGGGAGAAGGAGGCCCGTAGCAGTTAAATAGAAAGAGATTCTTGAGTCTTGAAGGCTATTGAGGATTTGCCAGGCAGGTGGTGGGGAAAGAATATGCCCAACAGAGGCAACAGGATTGACAGATATTTGCAGACATGGCAAAGCACAACCATGCATCAGGGGTTGTCTGTCATGTGGAATAGCTGGACATGGTGAAGGGGTTTGACCTTATCCTGCAGGATTTCAAACAGAGTATGGAGAAGGGTGAAGAAACAATTGTCTTCGGGCCTCTGTGCCTGGAGGGAATGAATTCTTGACCTAGGAAAACATCATTGGGAATGGAAAAATTGAGTTTAAACAGAGTAGACAATCAGGTGGGTTGACAGAATTTTGGACCCTTAAGAGCTAGTTATGAGGAACAAATGAAGTAATATACACAAAAGCACACTTTTTGATGCTAATCGACTA
Organism: Homo sapiens; assembly: GCF_000001405.40. NCBI lineage: Eukaryota > Metazoa > Chordata > Mammalia > Primates > Hominidae > Homo > Homo sapiens. The sequence continues at coordinate 29,572,176 of NC_000007.14, read as the reverse complement.
TGATAAGATATTTCTTCCACAATTTGATTCTGAAAATGAATAATGAGGCTTCATGTTCCTAGATAGCAGGATTACCCCCAATCGTTAGGCCAAATGGCAGTACAGTGGTGGTGGCATCCATAACATAGTTTATACTTCTCAGACTTCCCTCCCATCGCCCCACTTAACAATCAGTACTGGACAGCTGGTGCCTTTTGTTTTCAAAGTGAACAATGAATATTTTATGAGTTTACTTTCACAACGAGTTGCTCAGAATAGGAGAATACTAAATCAGAGTTTTAGAACAGGAATATAAACTAATTCCCCAATTTTACAGAAGAGTAGAGTAACACCCCTATCAACTAAGATTTATGTAAGAGCAAGTCAGAGAGAAGACTATATTCAGGTGTCTTGAAAACTGCAGTTTTCTGCTGCTATCCTTGCAGGGTATCAATCAAGGGGCATGCTTAATGACTGGCTACTAGAAAGAAATGCCTAATTCAGGATACTTATAACTCAAGGAAAATTCCTTATTCCTTTTTTTTTTTTTTTTTTGAGAGAGAGTGTTGCTCTTGTCGCCCAGGCTGGGGTGCAATGGCACGATCTTGGCTCACTGCAACCTCCGCCTCCTGGGTTCAAGCGATTCTCCTGCCTCAGCCTCCTGAGTAGCTGGGATTACAGGTGTGCACTACCATGCCCAACTAATTTTTATATTATTAGTAGAGACGGGGTTTTACCATGTTAGCCAGGCTGGTCTCGAACTCCTGACCTCAGGTGATCCACCCGCCTTGGCCTCCCAAAGTGCTGGGATTACAGGCATCAGCCACTGTGCCCGGCCACAGGAAAATACCTTCTTAAATGTCACAGGGAGGTCCAGCATTGGTCCCATAATCCCTACTTAACCAGCAGGTGAATCAGTGTCTGGTTCTTCTTAGGGTTAGGGATCTTCAGTTTCTTTAAACTGAATCTTCCTGATTTTAGGGCCAAAAATTTTTATTTCCTGTGTAAACAGTCTTGTTCCACACCTCAGAAATAAAGACACTCCATTCATGGATCTCATTATTGTAGAAGATTATGCCAACAACTTTGACATAATTATGAGTCTATCATTTCATCATCTGTAGTACAATTTTGTTTGAAAGCACAGCTGATTTCCTTGCTTTGAATTCCCAGAAGGACTGCTTTTATTCCACTGTCCATCTTATTTATCATGGTTGACGGCTATTGCCATTTCTAAATAAATGGTCAACTGTCTTCTTCTAAGGCAAGGTCTATTTAGTTTCCTTACATCCTATCCGCTTAGTGGTCATATTCTCTCACCATGAACACTATTCATCCCATGTTCCAAATCTGCATGGTCTTCTAACAAAGTGATTGGCAACACACTGTGCCTGCAGGAGTCCGGGAAGTCTCATGGCAGCCCCTTTTCTGTATCCCTGAGCCTCATGGGAATGCATGTGCAGTGCCTTGGAGGCAGGGTAAGAATGGGGTCAGGGAGTACAGAGAACAGGTGAGAAGAAACATACTGCAATGGGACAGCCAGCCCATCAGTGACAAACTTTGCTGCGGGTTCCACACTTGTTTCTAGTCTACGATATTTGTTTCTTGTTTTGTTTTGTTTTTTATTTTTGAGACAGGGTCTTGCTCTGTCGCCCAGGCTGGAATGCAGTGGCACAATCTCGGCTCACTGCAGCCTCGACCTCTGGGGCTTAAGCAATTCTCCCACCTTAGTCTCCCAAAGTGCTAAGATTACAGGTGTGAGCCATCACACCTAGCCTTAGTCTATGGTATTTACATGTTGACATCCAAATGTATAAAATATCTCTGGTCCCACTTTTTACTTGTCATGGAGGTAAACATGAATCTATCTCAACAAACAATCTTCCACATTTATGTTATAATGAAACCCTCTAAAAATAAAATAGACTTGGAAAAATCCATTTTCCTTACTATATCATGCTAGCTTTTTGTGTGCTTGTTTCTAGTCGATTGACACTTCTCAGCTGGGGAAAAAGAATATTCTTTCTCTCTTTTTTCATAAAACGTCTCTTGGGGTCACTGAATATGTGTCCTTTCACTTATTTCTTTCAAGTTTACCTTTCATTTGAAATTCTGTCTGCTCATTTTTAGTATTTGCTTCTTTCAAGGCACCCAAATATTCTTCTGCGCATCTCAGGAAAAGCACTATTTTTGACAAAGCTTTTAGCCAATGCTCATTAGGTTTCTATTTCCCTTCTAAGGACTTGGCAGGACTAGAATTGCTGAGTTCACATAATGTTTCGAAGCAGAAAAAATATTTCCAGGTGTTATACTAAAGGAGAACATCCTAATTGCATATGTAAAGTCGGGTTTGTGCTTTTGAAATGCAAGTCAGAATGTGCTGAACAATAGAAGTACAGACACAAAGGGACGTTCAGGTGACCTGTAATATGAGTCACTGCCCAGCCACCGATTTTGCAAGGAGAGTCACTGGGGCAAAAACTACCCTTTGTATATAATTATCGTGGTTACAAAAGTGTGTAGCAAATACACTGCTAGAGTTTTGTTCCTTTTTTTCCCATATCTTTGGAAGTATAGTGTTAAAATTTCTGATATGGCTTCCAAATTTGTGAGTGAAATTTCATTTGTAAGATAATTTAAAGAAAAGTTTCTGACTGCAAATTTAATTCAGCATTTTTTTTTACTATAAATTATCTCAAGGTTAAAAAAAATTAAATCTGTATATACTATTGGAATGTAATTAAACATCTGTAAAGCACATAAATCCCAGCAAGACACGTCGTCAAATTCTCTCATCTTCCTTATGCTCTTTCTGTCCCACCAATTTTGCTTGGTTTCTGATTTCACTGAGTTGGGATTAAATCAGTGTATTCCTCCCACTGCATAATTTAGGACTGCTTTAAAACGATGTAATTACAAACCTCAATGGCAGATTGTGAATTGCATTCACTGTCATAACTGCATTAGTATGGTTTTAAATTCTTTCAGAACAGTGGGGTAAAGATGTCATGTTAATATGGTAATAAGTTCCATTGCTCTACTATATGTCTGCTATTGATTATCTGCAGCAATTGTAGATTTGGATGGGATCCAAAATTAGACACAGAACCTTGAAACTTGCCAATGTTTTGTTCATCTACAGTAATTTTAAAGAAAAAAGTTCTTTAAAACAATAAAACTGGATGAAAGGGTTAGTATAGGATTTTAAACTTATGTAATTGCAGACTTAATTTTATAAATAGGTACAGTCCTGATCTATCGGTCTTCCTGAAGGAGGGAGAGAACATTTTGGGTAGTTACCTACTCTAATTTTGATTACTTTCTACGGAGTGAAATTGAAATACTTTTTGAAGGTTTTCCAAAGCCTTATTTGACAACATTTGCTATATTCACTCCCGTTGCTCTGCCAACCCCCAATCCTGTCCCTTATCATGAATTCTTTTTTCATGCCAAGTCTCAATTCCCTCTTCTTTTTCTGAATCTAGAGATGGTAGGCCCATTTAAACTGAATGTAGTCTGCCTCATCCAGGAAGCCCACCTGGATGAGATTTTGGTCACACACTTTCCAGTTTTACGTATACAATGAAAATGTCTTTTCATGCTTAAAAAAGTCCTCTCACATACTTTCTTTTAATTTAAGGTGTTCATAACCTCTAGATATACACTTTCCTTTAGTGTAAGGCCTTTGGTATGTGGAAACTCATGTATCAAAATTAGCTGTATTATTCTGCTGGCACCAAAGCTTGATTCATTAATTTAAATTCATTTCAGCCATCTTCATCAAATTTCTTTGTTAAATTTCTTTTAACAATCGAACTGTTTTGCTACTTTATAAATTACTAATTTGGGAGAAACAAAAAAATAGCTTGTCTACATATACAAATCGAGAAGCTATAATTAAGTTCCTGCTTGTCATTATCTACAAAGATATACACTTTGATCAATATAATTTTCCTGCCATGCATTTCTGGGTGTTTATAAATGAACTGAATTGTGGTGGGAAAAGATCCCAGTGCCTCTTAACGACTACAATAACTCTCTTGTAATTTTCTCAAAGCAAATGGTATTCGTTTACTCTTTTTCTTGAAGTTCATAATAAAAGCGAACAGCTTTTTGTTAAGAATCTTCAGGTTGTTAGATCTAAAGGGTCTGAAACTAGATAAATGCATACTTTAAGGAAATAAGCTTTTAAAGCAAAGGGGTGGGGAAAATACCCCCACCTCTTTAGCTGCGCAGAGTTCAGTCTTTTTTTTTTTTGAGATGGAGTCTCCTTCAGATGCCCAGGCTGGAGTGCAGTGGCACGATCTCTGCTCACTGCAACTTCTGTCTCCCAGGTTCAAGCAATTCTCCTGTCTCAGCCTCCCGAGTAGCTGGGACTACAGGTGCCTGCCACCACGCCCGGCTAATTTTTGTATTTTTAGTAGCGACAGGGTTTCACCTTTTTGGTCAGGCTGGTCTTGAACTCCTGACCTCAGGTGATCCACCTTCCTAGGCCTCCCAAAGTGCTGGCATTACAGACATCAGCCACCGTACCTGGCCTTGTTTTTTGATTTTAGACAATCGTTAGTAAGTTTAACAATGGATACTGAAAAGGATGTATTACTAGCATTGTAACTTACTATAGTCTATGAAAATGCACTGAAGTAAAAGGTGAATTTAGGAATAATGAATTGGTACCTCTCTCCCTTCCTCGAATTTGGCTGATAAATAGGGATATCTGGCTAACAAGTTCCAGTCCAGGTGTTGCTGGTTTCCAGAAATATTCTCTTCCCTGCAGCTTTCCACTAGTCACTGTTATGTTGTGTGGCAAATGATTAACTCTCACCTCGGACTTTGCCTGCCTGCTTTTAAGTATGATGGGATTCAGTCTTGGAATGGAAAAAATACAAAAGTCACCTTAAGCCTTACAGTGCAAGGGTTTTAATAGTCCACACTAAAATAGGCTGTACAGTTTTGTAGTTTAACATTAAAAGCAATCCTGCCTTATTTTAAAATGCTTCTACTTAAGAATGCTTCTTCCTCCCCCACTCCTTCACTTAAGGTATAAGTCTACCCCTAAAGTGCATTTCTCAGGCATTAAAAACAGCACTGTGATTTGCTTTCCACAGAGTCCTAAATAACAGCCACCTTCTTCATTTGAGAGGCTACAGAGTTCAAGCTGAGCTGTGACAGGAGCCAGGGGGCCAGGGCCCCAGAATAGCTTTTTGAAAAAAAAATAATTATGCCACCCTCCTCCGCGGCAGGTATCTTCTCTTACCACAAATAAATATTTAATGCATCCTTGGAGTCATGAAATATTGAGAACCCAATTGACACTTCAATTTCCAGAAAAATAAAATCATGAAGGCATTGTGTAAATATTCTGAATTTGGTGGAATGAGACAACGCGTAAGGGGGCGGGCCTGAAGTCTCGGGTTTGGAACTGGGGGTTTGGGGTAGTGCTGGGTAGGCAGTCCTGGAGCGCGCAGGCTATTGGGGCTACTGCTTGTCCTCGTGGGGGTCACCAGGAAAGCCTGCCTCCTCCGGGGACCTGCCCGCCTCCGGGAGCAGCGTGGCGCGCACTTTCCTCTTCTCCTTAAAGCGGCCGGAGCGCGAGATCTTCAAATTGCGGCGGCTGCTGCCGGATTTGTCCCCGTATAACTTGTCTGGTTTGGGGGGCTCGCCGGCGCCCCCGAGGAGATTGGGGTGCTGGTTCTCCCGGGAGCTGCTGGTCCAGTCCGGGCTGGGCGGCGCAGGTGGCGTGGGCTCCCCGGGAGCGGGCTGGGCGGGAGGCGGCACCCCCACTGCGGCTTCCTTGCTTTTCTTTCTGCTGTTGGTGAGCGATTTCCACCAGGGGCCGGAGCTGCCAGCATCGCCGCTGTCGGCCATGGCCGGAGGGCCTAGGGGCTCCCGGCACCCAGATGGAAGGGCCAAAGCGGCCCCTTTCTCCACGTGGTCTCCGGCCGTTCACTCCACCCCTTCCCCGGCTTGCCACACGTGGGCTGCGGGGTGGATGCTGAGGCAGCGGCCTGTGCTGGGGAAGAAAACAAAACTTGGTTACTGGGTTGGTTGAAGTCACGTGCCCCCCCCAGTCCCCTTTCCTCCCTTATGCTGTCTGGCACCGGATCGGCCAGGGTCGGAGCGACCCAATCCCGTAGCTACGTAGCCCACATTAGCATTAGACGCCACTGCGCCCCATAGGGTGCTGGCGGAAGTGTCTTCCAGGGCACCATCACCTGGTCTCTAGGCTGAGCCTTGAACTCTTTGGCTTCAACCTTTGCCTTTCCTTCAGGGGAAGTGCAGTGCAGTGGTCAGCGTGCCCGGGGGACCCAAGGGACGTTCCCACCCCTCTGAATCAACCCGTCTCTAGAGGGAAAATGACCGCCCTGTCCACACTGCTTGACTGTAGATGGACGCCAAAAGGTGACCCATCCGACCCAGGGCGGCCTCCCTTTGGATAAGCACCTGGGAGGAGGGCGCTGGGAACCAAGTGCATCCTCTCTACAGGTGAACGGTATTAATTAGTCCATGGTCAAACAGTCACGAAATTTCCCTCCAAGATTTGCCCCCATCGACTTTCGTCCCAGGAGCCTTTTCGATGAGATACTTAGGAGAATTTATATCCCAGTAGGAGAGAAGGACAAGCTTATGATATTTGTTTTGGTTCTTTTAAATTCTACTTTTGACCACTTCTGCCTTGTGACTTTCAAAGAAGCATGTCTAGACTTAACTTCCCTTGAAAACCGCCATCCTAATTCTTCCTTTTACTCCCCAGAGCCCAATCTTGCGTCTGTTTGAAGTCACCCCCGGCTGACGGTTGAGATGAAGCCAAGTATCAAATGGCCTCTTCCCTTAGTTTTGTATTAAAATATGCACCGAGTCTGTACGACGCAACTCAACTCTGGAGAATTTCAGTTACAAAGTAAAGGCTTCTCTTCTTTTCCTTGTGCAATTCCCTCCTCCCAAGGAGAAAGAACGCAACAAGGAACTCCGAAACAATGTGCTTCTTCCCCAAGCTTCTAAGACCCCCCCTCTGCAGAGCGAAAGGCCGCTTCTGAGCACTTAGGTGCGGGTACAGCAAGCGAGACTCCCAGCCCACTTTCTGTGCGGGGTCTCTTGGGCGCTGCCACCAGCAACGGCAGGATTCGCCTGCGCCGCGGCTCACTTCCAGGTTTCCGCTCGGCTCCTTCCCAGCCCACGCGCCGGGCGCTCCTGGGATTGGCGATCGCGCTGGAGAGGGAAACTTCGGCGGTGTTTGTTGTAGGAGGTTCTCCTCCCGGAACCGCCAGGGAGAGGAAGTCTGATCGCCTACGGGAGGCGGCGGGGCGGCCTCGGCTGCGCCCCGAAACCGCAACACCGGCTCCTCCCCAGGATGCCCTGAGGACACACTCGGGCAGCGACTTGAAAACAATACAAGAAAAAACGGCCAAAAGTTCTTTCGGTACAAAAGGCACCCACGCCCTCAGGCACAATTAGCAACTGCGTCTGCAAACATCCCATTCCCTCCTACTTTGCAGATCGGAAAAGCAACCCGTACCCCCAAGTCATTTACTAACAGTGGTGGTAAGGTGTCCTGATGCTGCTTCCTCTCCTCTAACCTACATTTTCTTCTTCACAATCATCAACTTTGTGAGCACGGAAGGGCTTTGTACGAATTGCGCAAGGAAAAGATGGCAAATTACTCAAAAGTACAGAAAACGGAGTCCTGGAGCGTCCGTGGTTTTCAGCCTCTCTTAGGGCTCCGGGAGGCGGGTACCTGGGAGGTACCAGGCAGCACCCCAGGGTGACCCCCGGGGCCAGGCTCTGTCTCGGCGGACGCCGAACCACCCCCAGTCGCTCACCTGCTCGGGCTTAACAGGACCCGGAGGCCTCGCGCGGTGAACGCGGCCGAGAGCACGAAGGGGGCGCGCTCGGGTCAACCTGGAAGCCGGGGCTCGAGTCCCTGGGCGCGGACTTGGAGAGATCAGGCTTCTGGAAAGTGTACAGGTCGGAATTCCCGCAGCCCAGCTAAATCAAGTGCTGCTGCTGGTCTCCTCTGGCACCTCCAATTGCTGCGCGCTGCGGCGGAAGCCCGGGGCTCGCAGCGCAGTCTGTTCTGGTCGGAGGGGGCGGCGGCGAGGGGCCGCCAGACTCGCTGCCCGGGTGGAAGGTCCAGGGCGGCTTTCCGGGCTAGTAGTGTTTCATTCGCCGGCGCGTCCCTCTTCCCTGCTAGCACCGCCCGGGAGCCGGCTGAGAGATGGGACCCTGGCTGTTCACTCCGGCGCATCGAACTTGCCTACGCGTCCGTAGGAACGCAAAAAAGACATCTGCCCACCTGCTGGTTATTTGCCAAGTGATTCGGGAAACCAGAACCCTGGGGCAGCTGGGGGAGAAAAGAAAATAACCCAGGAGGCGGTCACCGCTGCCACAGGTGCAGGTAGGAACTTCGCGTTCCCACCCTCCAGGGGAGGAGATTGGATCAGGCGCCAGCCTTGAGGTGTCTGATTGGAGAAAAGCTGTGCAGTGCCGCTCCCCCGACCGACTCCTTGAGAAGAAACGGCGGAGACCTGAGACCCGGAGGCTGAGGCTGTAGGTGGGCTCCGCTGGGTAAAAGTTGCCGCAGCAGCTGTCCCTTGGCCCCATCGCGATTTATTTTTCCCCCTTGCTTTCCGGGTCCCGGGATCCCAAGTTTGTAACTAACGGGAGCGAATCCACACCCGAGCAAAATGTTTGCGAGTTTCAGGCGCCCTTAGTTGAAAGGCTGTAATTAACAAGTCCGCTGTTTGCCAGCCAGGCGCCGTTGCAGGCGCTTTCTGTGGATTGTCATTTATTTCTCACAGCAACCCTAGGAGGTAGGTATTGTTATTATTATTATTCTCACTCGACAGGCGAGGAAACCCTAGCACGGGAAAATGGTTGCTCAGGTTTGCCTGTCTGGTACGTGGCAGAGCAGGGTTGGAACCCAGGGGGCCTGACTCTAGCTTCTACGGTCTTAACCACCACAACCTGCCAGTCTGAGACTCTTAACACGACTCAGTGAGGATGTGAATTTCCTTCTTTCAGGCCTGGAAGTCCATGGACAGCCACCCAACGAGGGCAGTGTAAATCCAGCCCTGAGCCACTGCAGGAAGTGAACCGGGGATTGCACTCCTGGTCACATAAGAGTACTTTTTTTTTTTTTTTTTTTTTGAGACGGAGTCTCGCTCAGTCGCCGAGGCTGGACTGCAGTGGCGCGATCTCGGCTCACGGCAAGCTCCGCCTCCCGGGTTCACGCCATTCTCCTGCCTCAGCCTCCCGAGTAGCTGGGACTACAGGCGCCCGCCACTGCGCCCGGCTAATTTTTTGTATTTTCAGTAGAGACGGGGTTCCCCGTGTTAGCCAGGATAGTCTCGATCTCCTGACCTCGTGATACGCCCGTCTCGGCCTCCCTCCCAAAGTGCTGGGATTACAGGCGTGAGCCACAGCGCCCGGCCAAGAGTACTTTTTATTCATTTGACATAAAGATATTGGCACAGGGCATTTTCACTAATGAAGGCAGAGGTGCAGCTTGCTTCATCTTCCAGGATGCTCTTGTTTCAAAAAACGATTTTGATGTTCCTTGAGCTCATATGCAAGCATAACTCCCCTGAAGGACTGGGTGTGGAGCAACTGAGCATCTCTGTTGTGAAAACTGTTTGCAGTATAAAAGCAGTGAAAGACAGCCGGGCAAGATGGCTCAAGCCTGTAACCCTAGCGCTTTGGAGGCCGAGGCGGGTGGATCACATGAGACCAGGAGTTTGAGACCAGCCTGGCCAACATGACAAAACCTTGTCTCTACTTAAAAATAATAATAAAAAACAAGGTGGGTGTAGTGGTGCACGCCTGTATTCCCAGCTATTGGGGAGGCTGAGGCACAAGAATCATTTGAACCTGGGAGGTGGAGGTGGCAGTGAGCTGAGATCCGGCCACTGCACTCCAGCCTGGGTGACAGAGTGAGACTCTGTCTGTAAAAAAAAAAAAAAAAAAAAAAAGTAGTGAAAGACATACTGCCTAACTCAAATAATTTGCAATATAGAATTAGTAGAAAAAATTTTTAGAGAGTATTTCAATTTGTGAAAGATAAAAATATGAATATATGATTTACTTTTTAGTTTGGGATTCTTTGAATTTCTATGATATGCACAGCACAGGGTATTTGGAAGTCATGCATTTTTATATATTTCTCGGGATTACTTTTAGAGCATAAACTTTCAATCACAGAAGCAGGATTGAACAAAGGCAGGCCACCAACTTTGAGGGGAGAATGGGATAATTCATCATAGTGCCATTACTTTACAGATGAAATTGAATCATGGAAGAATGCCTTTATCTGAGGAGTCATCACCACTAGGGAGCTATGGAGGTGGGTTTTTACGTTGTTGGTTGAGCATATGGGTGAAAATAAAAAATTCAGGAAAAGAAAATAAGTTCTGCCAACTGGCTCCTCAAGTGTGATTTTAACAAAATGGTCAACATTTTACTAATAAGCAAACCTCTACTAACTGCTGAAATTAACAAAAAAAAAAGATTATTTTGCATGCCCTTTCTCATTTATATTCAGCAACTTTGAACTTAATAACAACATCTTACAAATAACCCTTGTGTACGGGGAGGACATTGAAGGAGAGACATGAAAACTGAGGAGAGATTAGCTGAGATGCAGAGTGGGTGAGCATTTCAGATGGAGGAAGTAGCGTGTGAACAACTTGGAGGTGTGAAGAAATTGAGGTTTCTTGAGAGGCAAAGAGCAGGCGCATGTGATCTGAGTGAGGAGAGGGAGCTGAAGCTGGAGAGGTGGGTGTGACCAGAACATTCAGGACCACAACCCACTAAAGAGGAAGAACATGGTAAGATTCGCAGTTAAATGTTGTGCAGTGGTGTATAAAGAATGAATGGGGCTGGGCGCGATGGCTCATGCCTGTAATCTCAGCACTTTGGGAGGCCGAGGCAGGTGAATCACGAGGTCAAGAGATTCAGACCATCCTAGCCAACATGGTGAAACTCTGTCTCTACTAAAAATACAAAAATTAGCTGGGTGTGGTGGCGTCCTTCTGTAGTCCCAGCTACTCAGGAGGCTGAGGCAGGAGAATCGCTTGAACCCGGGAGGTGGAGGTTGCAGTGAGCCGAGATCGCGCCACTGCACTCCAAGCCTGGTGACAGAGTGAGGCTCCATCTCAAAAAAGAATGGGCCAGGCGCAGCAGCTCACATCTGTAATCCCAGCACTTTGGGAGGCTGAAGTGGGAGGATTGCTTGAGCCCAGGTATTTGAGACCCGCCTGGGCAACATGGGGAAACCCCCATCTCTACAAAAAAAACAGAAGAAATTAGCTAGGTGTTGTGGTGTGAGCCCGTAGTCCCAGGTGCTTAGGTGGTGAGGTGGAAGGATCACTTGGGCCCAGGAGTTCCAGGCTGCAGTGAGCTATGATTGCACCACTGCACTCCAGCCTGGGCAACAGAGAAAGACTTAAAAAAAAAAAAAAAGTGGATGGTAGAGGGGACAAAATGGGGCAATCAGGATACCAGTTAGGAACTGTTGGGAGACTTTAGGTGGGATATTCTGAAGCCTGTAGTACAGTGGTGGGAGTTGATTTGGTGGGGGATGAAGATAATTAGGTGGATGCAACAGGAATGTTGGAGATAGAATCAACAGGGCACTATTTCATTTAATTCCTACAAATAAGGAGATTGAGTTTGACTAGAAGCTGAGAAGGGAAATACTTTCACAGCCTTCCCTGTGACTAGGAGTGGCCATAGTGATTCAGTTTTGGCCTATGGGGCTATAAGGAAGACTTCTGGAAATGCTTCTTTTCCAGATAAAGGACAGAACCTCCTGAGAGAACATCTTTTGCCACACCCTTGATGCTTGCATTTAAGCACAGCATGAGGATGTGACGTCTGGTGTGACAGCAGCCAGTGAGGCAGCAGGGATGGGAATAGGACACGTCATGCTAAGGATGATGGCATGGGAGTGTGGAAGTGTCTAGGTCCTCGATTACACCATCCATTCCCTGAAGGAACCCTGGAACCACCTACCTGTGGACTTTTAGTTCAGTGAGATCGTACATATCCCTGTGGTTTAACCACAGATTTAAACACAGTTTTCTGTTACTTGTAGCCAAACCCATTCCTACTTGGTAAGGACTATTTTAGTTAGAGGAAGAGACGATATTGTCCAAAAGGGAAAAAAGCTAATATTGCCACATTTTTTTGGACTAATATGAAAAGTTCTTCCCAGAAGGAGGATTTAGTGAAATGTTAAAGTGATGGGCAAGTTTTTAGAGGCAGAGAATGCATCTGTAAAATTTTGAGTTAAGGGAATGGGTAGATAAAACATATGTATAGTGCATGGATAAGTAAACTGGGGGTAAGACCAAAAGGTGAGGTTCATCAGATTATCTGAGATATCAGTGTAATTTGACTTTTAAAGACAGTGTTAAACAATTAAGACTTATTTTTCTCCATTTTTGCATCTAGAACTGTTTTAATCTCTCCCCACCAAGACACACACACACACACAAATGGTTAGTATTACAAGTATAGTTGTGTTCTGTAACTATTGATCTGGGAATCATATTGTTTGGTTCTACAAGGAGGACATGGTCTGGCCCTACAGCTCTGTATTGTTAAGCTAGACATCTTACATGATAGATGCATTTAAAAGTTGATTCATCTATTTAGTTAATAGTAGATGACTTTTAATGTTACAATATTGACATATGCTTTAACTGGACAATGCTTACATTTCTTAATTTATCTTGTCATTATTTTTCAAAAATGCATTGATGATTTGGGTGAGGACACATTTTTTCTTTTTCTTTTAAAAAATTAGCACCAGGCCTGGTGGCTCATGCCTGTAATCCCAGCACTTTGGGAGGCCGAGGCAGGCAGATCACCTGAGGTCGGAAGTTCAGGACCAGCCTGACCAACATGGAGAAACCCTGTCTCTACTAAAAATACAAAATTAGCCGGGTGTGGTGGTGCATGCCTGTAATCCCAGCTACTTGGGAGGCTGAGGCAGGAGAATCACTTGAACCTGGGAGGCGGAGGTTGTGGTGAGCCAAGATCACGCCATTGCATGCCAGCCTGGGCAACAAGAGAAAAACTCCATCTCAAAAAAAAAATTGCTTCTTTTAAAAAATTAAATTGAACCTTTAAGTGCAATAAATATTTATACTCAAAGACAATAGAGAAGGAATTATTAGAGGACAAGCATTGCACTAGCAATTAAAATCAGATTTTTACAGGTTAACATGGCATCTGCTCTCTTAGCAAATCTGGCATTGAATGGTAGGTTGAGAAATGTATTATCTTCCTTTGAAGCATCTGTATTGGGAACTAGGCAAAGAGAAAAACAAGATGAGAAATTTAAAGAAATATAGAAATCTAGCTAATCAAAATGAAGAAAATAAGAATCACCTATGTTCTTTTCATTCAGGGATGAGCCTGGTTAATGTTTTGGTGTTAGTCCTTTTGAGCTTTTTGCCACTTGTTTTCATGTTTACTCTTTTCATTTTTTCCTTTCCCTCCCTTTCTTCATTCCTTTCTTCTATGGACTCCTCCAGCTTTTGGAAATTACGCATGTATCTCTCCTGTCCTTTTTCTTTATAGTCATCAATGTATGAGTACTTTACGATTTCTTTTCTTCTTTCTGTGTATATGCATCAGTGTTGTGGATTTAGAGAGTGGGGATTTTACCCATGCATGAAATTGGAATCCACTTTTTACAGCATCTCATCCTGTACCTTGTCAGGTTAACACACATGCACATCTAGAAGTTCAAAAATTATAGTCACAAAACATTACTAATTATTTCAGTTCTACACATTTTCCCTGAGTACTACTTGACCTAAGCAAGGCTGATTTCTTTGCCCAATGCCACCTTTCTCTGCAATTCATCAACACCAGCTGACTCTTCCTGACCCCACTCCTAGTCCCTGTGTCTCACGAGCCCTTTCCCTGAATCATAGGTCTGCAAGTCATCAGCCTCCCTGTTCACCCGTCTTAACAAATGGTCATCCAGTGTCTGTGTGATCAGTGCTGGGAATGAGGAACTCACTATCTGCTGAGTCAGCTGTCCCACAGGCAAGGACTGGGAGATATCTGTTGGTGCCTCTTTCTTAGAGTAACAGCCCTCCTTGCCCCTCCTCCCCCTTCTCCATAGGAACCTATTGATATTTTTATTCGCCCTTTGTTAGTCCAACTCTCAGATGTGTCTTCTACACTTGCTGTCTCCATTTTCTCACCCAAACTCCAATCTGGCATCTGTACCCCTCTCCTTCTAACATGGTTTCTCTAGGGTCCCCGGGCTTATAGGACATTTATCAGTCCTCATCTTTTTGACCTATCTGCAACATCAACACTGCTGGCTCTTCCTGAAAACATTCACCGTTCTGTCTTTTCTTCTTTTTCTCTCTGGCTGCTGCTTTGTCTCCTTTCCCAGTCTATCCTCTCCTTTCCTGTCATATTATGAATAAAGCTAAGCTTTGGAGCTGTTACCATGAGACAGATACCATGGTAGGTGCTCTCCATGTATTATATAATCCTCTTAGCATCCATCCGCTATTTTACAGAGGATGTCAGTGGTACTCAGAGAGGGCAAAACAGCCTGTGGTTAGTAGAGCCAGGATCCAAAATCAGGCAACCTGACTCCAGAGCTCAAGCTTCTTAACACTTCAGGATGTTAGAGTTCTTGAGGTTCAGTCCTAAGTCCTTTTCTGGTCATCGTTGCTATGCCCATGGCTTCAGGTTTTATTTCTGTGAAGATGACTTTTGAATTTATATCTTTAGCTTGGGCTTCTCTGAATTCCAGGTCTAAGTATTTAACTAGTTCTTTGACATTTCTGCTTGACTGTCTTAAAGGCACATAAAGCTAAATAAGTGTAAAATAGGGTGTCCCAACATTGTCTCCTCTTCTGCTACCTGCCCTTATTGCAGGTCTAAGTGACTGGTACCACATCTAGCCAGTAATGCAAACCAGAAACTAAGGTGTCTGTCTTGTCCATTTGGGCTGTTATAGCAAAATACCAAACACTGGCTGGTTTACCAACAATAGAAATTTTTTTCTCACAGTTCTGGAGGCTGGGAATTAAGGTACCGCCAGATTTGGTGTCGGGTGAAGACCCATGTTCTGATTCATAGACGGCTGTCTTCTTGCTTTGTCTTCACAAAGTGAAAAGGGTGAGGGAGCTCTTTAGGTTCTCCTTTATGAGGATACTAATCCCATTCATGAAGGCTCAGCTTTCATGATCTAATCCCCTCCCAAAGGCCTCGCCTCTAAATACCATTGCATTGGGGATTAAGTTTCAACGTAGGAACTTTGGGTGGACATAACCGTTCAGTCTATAGCAGTGTCCTTCTTGGTTTCTCCCTCTGCGGAGTCTCACATCCAGTGTGTCCTAAAGCCTGTCAACTCTCTTTCTTGAATGCCTCTTGCATCCAACTACCACCCTCCATTTCCGTTGCTTCTCTGTAATCTAAACTATCATCTCTCAATTGCAACCACAAAAACAACCTAACTTGAAACCCTCTGTCCACTTTTGCCCTGCTTCATCCTGTATCTTATGGTACCCAGAGTAACAATTTAACCTTATCTCCCTGCTTATAACCCCACAACAATGCCCCCTTGCATGTGGGATAAGAAGTGACATCACTCATAAAGTCCTATATAATTATATATGACCTATATAACCTAATTCTTCAGCCCCACCTCAATCCTCTCTTCCCCTCCAGCCACAGTGACCTCTGTCACCCTCAGTGAAACATTCCTTGACAATCCCCTTACCCCCAACGAAACCATATGGTACTTCCATAGCATAATTATTTAATGAAGATTGCTGTTCTTTATTCAGTGGTTTACACTTATTCTATTTTTGCTGTTTATTCCTTCTTGTATCTCGTAGTTTCTATCTGAGAATACTTCTCTCTGAAATACATCCTTTAGATTTTCTTTAAGTGAGGATTGGCTGGTGGTGAGCTCTTTTTAGCTGCTGTCTGATATTTTGTCCTAATACTGATATGATATTTTTGTTGTGTATAGAATTTTAGGTTGGCAGTTATTTTCTTTTAGTACATTGAATATACATTATTTCACTGTCTTTAGGCTTACATTATTTCTGCTGAGAGGTCAGCTGTCAATTTGTCCCTCTTTTGAAGGTGACCGGTACTTTCTTTTTTCCCTCTGCTGCTATTAAGATATTTTTTCTCCTTGCCTTAGGTTTTCTTTAGTATCACTGTAATGTGTCTAAGTATGGATTTCTTTTTATTTTTATACCGTTTGGGATTATATGCTGCTTTTTTTCCCTTCAGAATTTAAGACTTTATTTTCCTCTTCAATTTAAAGTAGAAGTACATTATAGTGTAGATCAGTTTCTTTTGCATAATTACTCATTTCAAGAATCTTCCACTTCTTTATACTTTCTTTAAAAAAAAAAGAGACAGGTGTCTTGCTGTGTTGCCCAGCTGGTCTTGAACTCCTGTCCTCAAGCAATCTTCCCACCTTGGCCTCTCAAAGTGTTGGGATTACAGGAATGAACTACTGTACCTGGTCTGCTTTTTAATATTTTTCATGTTTTTAAAAATACATATGTTGCAATTAAGATTAAGTTTGGCTATTAAAGAGTGACTTAAGAGAGTAGGTCATTTCTCTCTCATGTAAAAGAAGGCCAGAGGTAAGCAGTGGCAATTTCTTTTCTGCCTCAGCAGCAGCAGTAGTCACAGGTTTAGAATGACATTGACACTCACAGGACCCAATAAGCCTTGTGGCATCCAATTTGACACCCTGTTCATTTAACTTTGCAAGATACAGAACAAGAAACAGCACAACAACATGGCAGCATGAGGCTTATTTCAGCAGAAGGCTTTACTCCAGCCTGCCAAGTGTCAGCTCAGGTATAAGGAAACAAGATCATCCGGTGGGTGCAGAAGCCACCTGGCTTGGAAGCTTCATGCTCCATGAGAACTAATACCTGTTGAGATAGCCCATGACTGTAATTTCCAGGAATCTTTGCAATGAGGAACACTACGCTTAAGGAATCTCAAAACTCATGTTTTTCAATGGGCACTTATAGTACGTGTCATAGTCTTCTTGGTCCAGATACAGTTTACCAATAAGGGATCATCTTTAATCATGAAGATGATCCAGTATTGCCTAGTATCACAGTTGACATTCCATTATTACCTTGCCTAGTAGGCTTCCAGAGAAATGATGATGAAAGGCAAAGTCATTTTACCAGGGAAGAGAAAGGGTTTTGTTAACCCTTTACTCAGAGCAGTCCAGGGCAGTCTCACATAATCTGGACCCAATCTTCTCTCCTGCTGCTCTGCCACTCAAGGGTTTATTTCCAAGGTTGCTTTAAAGTCCAAGAATCCTGCTGGAGTTCTAGCCACCACATCCATGTTCTAGCAGAAAGAAAGAGAAAATGAGCCTACCTACTTCCTCTTATGCCTTTAAGTTTAAGGAAACTTTCTGGAAGCATCACTCAACACCTCTTATTTTTTTCTTGAGACAGGGTCTCACTCTGTTGCCCAGGCTGGAGTGCAGTGGTGCAATCACAGCTCACTGCAGCCTCAACCTCCCACGCTCAAACAATCCTCCTACTTTAGCCTCCAGAATAGCTGGAACTACAGGCGTGCCCCACTATGCCTGGCTAATTTTTGTATTTTTTGTAGAGACAGGGTTTCGCCATGTTCCCTAGGCTGGTCTTGAACTTCTGAGCTCAAGTGTTCTGCTCATCTTGACCTCCCAAACTGTTGAGATTACAGGTGTGAGCCACCGGGCCTGGCCCAACACTTCTAATTCCATGTCAATGGCCAGAACTTAGTCATATGGCCACATGAATCTATGGGGAAAGTGGGCACATTGCTAGTCTGAATAAGTTCTGGGATTCTGTTACAAAAAAAACCAGGGAGAACAGATAATTGAGTCAGGCAGTTAGCAGTCTCTCCTATACATATATATGGTGGGAACAATAGCTTCTTATTAAATGCTGACATTAGGCTAGGCAAAGTGGCTCAAGCTTGTAATCCCAGAGCTTTGGGAGGTTAAGGTGGGAGGATTGCTTGAGGCCAGGAGTTCAATACTAGCTTGGGCAACATAGTAAGACCCTGTCTCTACAAAAAAAATAAATAAAAAAAAAAAAAAAGAAAGAAAAAATTAGCTGGCATGATGGCATGCACTTGTACTTCCCAGCTACTCGAGAGGCCAAAGCAGGAAGATTGCTTGAATCCAAGAGTTCAGGCTTCAGTGAGCTATGATGGCACCGCTGCACTCCAGCCTAGGTGACACAGTGAGACCATGTCTCAAAAAAAAAAAAAAAATGCTGGTATGGTTTGGCTGTGTCCCCACCCAAATCTCATCTTGAATTTTAGCTCCTATAATCCCCACATGTGGTGGGAGGGACCTGGTGGGAGGTAATTGAATTATAGAGTGGGTTTTTCCTGTGCTGTTATTATGATTGTGAATAAGCCTCATGAGATCTGATGGTTTTATAAAGGGCAGTTCATCTGCACATGGTCTCTTGCCTGCTGCCATGGAAGATATGCCTTTGTTCCTCCTTCACCTTCCATCATGATTGTGAGGCCTCCCCAGTCATGTGGAGCTGTGAGTCCATTATACCTCTTTTTCTTTATAAATTACCCAGTCTCAGGTATGTCTTTATTCGTAGTGTGAGAATGGACTAATACAAAAGCTGAGACTAAAAAAGTCGTATAAAACTTGGGAAGATATATGTGCTTATGATTTGAAAATGCTTTTTATCAAGGTAAGTTGTTTTCCAATTAAATACAAGATTTTTTTGAAGAAACAAATTCCTCCTCCAGAACATTAGTTCTCTAACCCGTTAAAATAGTTACATCTCCATCAATTGTGAGATGTGATTAATGTGAGGTGTGTTTTAACTATTAATTTCACCTAGGCTAAACTAGGTGAAATTGCTGTTTTTTTGTAGTCAGATACAAATATTGACAATTTAATACAGCTCAACCTATAATACTGTATCTATATTTGTGAATAATTTACTTAAAAATACAAATTATCACAGATTTAGGTTACTGCCCTAATAAAATCAAGATTACAGTTGAATTCCAGCAATCTTGCTCTAGTGAAAAAAGAGTGGATTGACAGCTGGAATATTAGGAATTGTACCTTTATCTTTAAGCACTTCAAAATTCTTTTTCTGTTTCTAGATAAAATACATATTATAGTAGACTGAAAAATGGTCTCCCAAAAGATTTCCATGCCCCAGTCCCTAGTTTTATGCCTGTATATGTTATAAATTATGCAGCAAAAGAGACTTTGCAGATGGAATTAAGGTTATAGACCTTAAAATAGAGAAATTATTCAAGTGGGCCCAATGTAATCATAATCAAATGGACCTTTAAAAGTGGAATAGAAGACAAAAGGGTAGGTCAGAGAGAGGTATGATGAGGAAGTAACAGGAAAGGGGACATGACCCACCATTGCTAGCTCTGAAGAAAAGGAGACCATGAGCCAAGAAATGCGGGCAGCCTCTGGAAGCTAGAAATGGCCCTCCGCTGGCAGACAGCAAGGAAATGAGACTTTGATTCTTCAACTGTAAAGAACTGAATTCTGCCAACAACTGAATAAGCAAGGAAATGGATTTATGGCCCCCTAACCTGCCCCCAGCCTCCATAAAGGAATGCAGTCCTGCCAGCATCTTGAATTTAGCTCAGTTAAGACCAGTGTCAGATTTCCGACCTACAAAACTATGATGATACATTTTGTTGTTTTCAGCCACGGAGTTTGTGGTCATTTGTAACAGCTACAATAGAAAACTTATGTACTTACCTTAGTAAAACCTTGAATTTAAAGGACTCATCAGAGAACTGTCCCTAAAGTCATTTAAGCTGAATTTTAAAAAATTCAATTCATGTCTGGTCCTGAATGATTCTGGTAAAATAAGCTGTGATGTGACTGGATATGTGTGTATAGCCAACAAAACACAATAAAATAGTGAACAGCTGAAAGCTATACAGCTGGATATCTTTATATAAGAACACCAGAAAGCTCATAATGCATTATTATGAGAAACATTTCATTAGGAGTGACTTCTAAGGCAGCATCTTAAGTTTCTATAAACACAGAAGCTTCTGTCTCAGAAGGGATGTCATGAGGAGGACCAGAATCCTCTATGTCCACTTGCAGTGGCTTCTCCTGTTCACAACTCAGGTTTGAACTGTCTTTCATTTGAATCTTCCTTCCAATTCCAAAGGTTTATCTGAGGCCAAAGCTATCACTTCTTCATCTTCATTTTTATGTAGAAAGCTACAAATCATGTTGGGTCTAGAGGAGAAATCCTTATCCTTGATTTACAGCCATTCCACCTCACCTGTTTTCTCCTCCTTCCTTCTCTGTCAGAAGAGTTCTTGTCATGCTGACATCTTCCATGTATGGCACTTGTATTTTAGCACTGTGTACTCCTTGCCCTCTCTATCCACATGTTCAACATTTTCTTCAAATGTGACACACGTCCCAAGAGTGTCTTCAGACTCCCCAGCCAAGACATAGCTGTCCACTTGCAGAAAGGGCCTCTTGGTGTCAATTCTCAAAATTTTGCATTTATTTTCACATTTCGAGAGAAAGTCTGAATCAATAATTCCTGATAATTCCATGAGAACTAACTGTTCTCCCTCCTCCTTCATCCTCTTCTCCATCCTCTGGATTCTGTTCCTCTGCTACTGCCATGGTCCCACAGCTCTGGATTATAGGCTTCTTATTTCAGTTTTAGAAAATTTTCAACTATTATCTCTTCAAACATACTCTCTTCCCCATTCTATTCTTTATTTTTATTTTTTATTTTTTATTTTTTTTGAGACAGAGTCTCACTCTTCCACCCAGGCTGGAGTGTAGTGGCGCGATCACGGCTTACTGCAGCCTCGACCTCCTGGGCTCAGTCGATCTTCCCACCTCAGCCTCCTGAGTAGCTGGGACTACAGGCACAAGGCGCCAAACCTGGCTAATTTGTTGTACTTTCTGTAGAGACAGGGTTTTGCCATGTTGCCCAGGCTGTTCTTGATCCCCTTGGACCAAGCAATCTGCTAGCCTTGGTCTCCCAGAGTGCTGGGATTACAGGTGTGAGACACCCAGCCTGGCCCTCTTTCTTTTCTTTTTCTGGAATCCCAATTAGACATTTGTTACACCTTCTCAGTCTCCCCTACCATGCTTCTTAACCTACTCTTTTTTATTTTTTGCCTTCTTTGATGCATTCTAGAGAATTCTTTCTGATCTATGTGACAGTTCATTAATTCTGTCTTCTGCTGCATCTAAACATCTGTTAAATTCCTTCATTAATTTATACATTTTAACTTTTTCTTTTCTAAATGTTCTATCTAGTCTTATTTCAAATAGGACGCTATACTTTTCTATTCCTTGAAGATATTTTTAAACTTGTATTTTTAAACTTTAAACATACTAAACAGTTATTTTATAATCTTTGGCTGATACATTAAAAAATCTGAAGTCTTTGAAGGTGTTTCTTTGGTCTTTTTTTTTTTTTTCCTGCCAGTTTCCACTCATAGGGTCTTGTTTCTTGATATTCTTAGATACTATTTTGTGTTCCTCATTCTACTTTAAAAATTATTTTTGGAAAATTTAAGGCCTAAGACAAAGGTGACTTACTCTAGAAAGGATTTTCAAGAGGTTAGGGGAGTTACCAGACATGAACACTGAGTTCGTGGCTTGAGGTTTCTTGGACAAAACAACTGATCCATAGGAGCACTGCTAGCCCATAGTCACCCTCCCAGGGATCAGTCCATTCATTTTTCCCTCCCCTACAACCTCCTTTTTGTGCCAAAGTAACTTAACTGTCTGTGCAGTCTTGTGGGTGGATATGGGTATGGTTTACTTCTGGTTTGCCTATACCCTGATTTAGGAGAATCTCCTATTAATCTATTTTTGGTTAACCTTGGGTTTAATTGGTCGCTTTTGCTCCAGGGACTGTCAAAACTGGAGTTGTTTCTGTGCCCAGTTCTCAGCAGGAGAATTCATCCAAATAACCTAGCCTGCCACTGATAGAAATGAGTGTGTTTTAATTCTATTGTAAATGGTTTGCTTGGTGTTTGTCCCATTGACTATAATTTTCTTATTTATTTGTTTATTATGAGACTCCCTCACTAGAAAGTGAGTTTCATTTTTAATGATCATTTACATGATGTTTCCTATGTATCAGGTACAGCTCCATGATAAACTGTAAACATAAAACATAATGTAAACATTATCTCATTTAATGTTCCTAAAAGCCCTCTGAAACAGACACTATTATTATAACAGGTGAGGAAACTGAGACATCAAGAACTTACTTTATGTTCCTAAGGCCACACAGCTGGGAAGCTTAAAGGACCAGCGTCTGACCCCAGAAAGACTGGCTTCCAAGTCCCGGGACCTAACTAATCACTGTGCTGTGTGTTTCTCCATGAGTGCTAAGACATCTCATTGATGAATCTTTAGCACCTGGTGTGGCACCCAGCAATAATGGTTTTCAGTATTGTTGAATGAGATACCATAGAATGCATACAAATCAATGCTTCATTGATTATAACACTACTGACTTGTAAAAGCAAATGTAATAAAAATGGCAAAGAATACAATCCAATTTGTCATTACTTGTAATAATAGCTTGATTTTCTTTAATTCTGAAATGTGAGTACAACATGTAAACCAAAGTATCTGATACATTTTTGTTTTGTTGTTACCACATTGGAAGAATATTATATTGTAATGCCTTTGAAGGAGATAAAGTTGGGTGATAGGATACAGATGGGGCATATTGTAATGCCTTTGAAGGAGATAAAGTTGGGTGATAGGATACAGATGGGGCAGAATAATGACCTATCAGAGAATGGCTGCTGAGATTTTCTTAAATATTGTACTTAGGGAATAAATGAACGACTTGGAGGGCATGAAATCCTCAAATAAGGCTTCACAACGTGTCCATACTCTCTTAGAAAACAAAGATAATTCAACTTAGTTATTTGTTAGAAAATCATTGATGTGAGTAGAAGTCACGTGTTACCCTCCAAGGCAATGTTCTCTAGCTGATCACCTGGTTCCAGGTCAAAGCTGGGGTAGCCTAGCTCCTTTAGAAGGTGACCTGCTACCTGCTGTTGTTAATATCCCTTTTCAAAGCACTGATTTGGTTATGCTCCATTTGCCAGGTCTTATTTTCTCTCTTGTGGTTTGTCGATGTGTCAGCACATTACGTCACAGGTGCACAGGTAGAAGGTAGATATCTGATGGAAGGGTAACATGATGCAGGAAGTGAATCTTTTGGTTTCCTAACCTGTATCAAGGCCAATGTCAGATGGACATAGTTGGCAGGACTTAAAACATGGCTGCTTTCCTAAGTCACAGGCTGTCGGGAGGCTCAAGCAAAGTTTTGGGAGCTCATCTTTGCTCAGTGCTACCACAGGTGAATCTCATACTGTGCACTCTCACTTAGCATCAGGCTCATGCATTTGGTGTAACTGTGCTTACCTAGAGAGAGGAGCTGCTTTAGCTGCACTGATAGACCTTTTATTATAATAGTACATTTTGAATTTTTACGATGGGTTTCCCACTTCTAATGGCCAGAGCTACCATAAGAGATAGGAACTACCAGTCCTACAGTTTTATCTGTGAAAGTTGAAGCCATTTGTTTACGGTTAAAGGACCAGAAGAGGTGGAGTTATGTTGGTTAGGTTTGTGTTACTCTGCCCCTGATATGGTGTTCTTCTAATATGGATATTCAAATCTCATGCTGGCGTTTAGTTAATCACCACATTAATAAACATTTGTTAGTATGAAGGCTATTACATCAAAAGAAATAGTAGTATTTTTAAAATTCTAGTAGATCATTGTCTTCTAAGTTTCTTACTGAAAATAATGTTAAGTCATATGTGGCTGCTTAAGTATTAAGCCCTATGGAATCATAGGGCACTCAAAACAAAGCTCAAATTAACTCTAGGAATTGTAATTACATACTTTTTTTTGTGGAAAGACTCGATGGTTGGTTTGAATTACTAGCTGTGTGGCTTTGGGAAAATTACTTAATATCTTTAGGCTCTGGTTTCCTTATCTGTAAAGTGGGTACGATACCATCTACTTTTCTGAGTGGTTGCCAGAATTAAAGTACACAATGCATTTATTAAAGTCCCTAGCACAGTACCTGACACATAATAAGCACCAGTAAATGTCCATTTCTCTTTGACTAATGTCTTTCATTGGCTGTGTGGGAAAAGTATGTGAACAAACTCTATACATCAATCCATTCTAAGTGCTTTTTGGAAGTAATGGTAGAAAGTCTTACAGAACACTGTCATTATTGTAGTTTGGGGCCAGTTCCTCCCCGACTCCCAATAACATAACGTTAAAATTTACTGTAGAATATTTAATATACAACAACTTGCTATGAATCTGTTTTCAGCAACACAACAATTAAATCAAGCAGAAGTTTTCTGTATGTGATTCCAGAATGCTCTTTATCCTTTCAGCACTAAAATTGCATTACCTGTAGCTAAAGGAGGAAGTGTGCTCAGTTGAGCTTGAAAGCAGTGGTACGAGAAAAGGATTAGCAAATTGCACGACAAAGTCCTTAGAAGTAAGGTCACCACCAGACTGTAGCTGGGGCACAAGCCAGGGAATATGTTTAATATGTGCTGCTCCATTAGTTCCTGAAATCTTAAAACGTAACCTGCCTCAGTGAATCATAGCAGAAGGAGGAAAGCAACAGGAGCATCATGTCTCTGCTTTTTCAGACAACATAGCACTGATTTATTTTCAAAAATTTTTTTAAATTAAAGTAACTTATGTACATAAGTTTAAAAGTCAAATGTTATTGAAGGGCTTGGAGCAAATTATGGGGGTTTCTCCTCATCCTTTCCCTCAGTCCTCTTCTGCCATTACTTCCAACAATCTCAGCTTTTTATTTCTGGCATTTACGCATCTCCGTATTTCTAAATTACACGTGTGTCATGCTTTCTTTTGATTTATCAATATGAGCCATTCTGTAAACATTCTATAATGATATTTAAGAGTTTAGTTTTCTCATACCACCACGACTTCTGCCTCCCTTCTCCCATATTCCCACTAGAGAATATATCACAACGTTTGCGTAATTGACTATTCCATGTTTATAATATTGTGCCCATGCAAATATTGCTTAGGCTAAGCACTGTAGTGTGTAGATGTATATTTACATTCTTTTTGTCTTTTTCTGAAGTTAATGATGTCTTTTTTTTTCCTTTCAGTTTGCTGGTCTTTGTCCCTATTTCTACCCCTTTCACACTTTACAATGGCTTCTTCATGCTCTTTTTCTTTTCTTTTTTTTTTTTCTACAAGTTCAATCACATCAATAATATACATGCTGCATTTTGGTTTTCTTAGAAGCATCACCCCCGAACACCTCTCTCTGGCCTGCTGCACAGCCTCCTCCTGGGAATTCCTTGAGTTGGGTTCTTTATTTCCTGGATTTTGAGCGTTGCTTGGTGGGCTTGCTCGTTCTGGTGGAGCATGTCATCAGATGATGCAGCAGCAGAAGACACGGTGGGGGCATCCTCAGTGTCTGTCTCTAGTCACACAGTGACTGGTCTGGACTGTTTGCCCTCCATGCTTAATACACAGCTACCCTCCTGGGATCTCCTTTTACCCTCATTTTCAAGAGTCCCTTTGTTTCCTCCCTGATCCTGAGTTTCTTTCTTTGTTTCTCACATCTCATGCCTTCCTGGCTTACTCCCTCTGTTATACTCTCTGTCTTGGTTTCTGGTTCATTCTCTCAGATTTACCTCTTCAGTAAAGATCCATCTTCTGTTTAATTGGTTCATTCGGTATTTCATTTCACTGGCTTTTGAAAAAATTATACTCATTTTCAACTTCTGTTTTATGTTTTTATTCTTCTGTTACAGTTTCTATTCTTTGGTTTGTCTCTTTAACCATTTCGAATGTATTTATCTTACAATATTTTAGATTATTGCTCATATACCTTCACTTAGTTGATGGCTAATTCTGCTGTATCTACTTACTATATTTACTGTTACCTGCTTTTTCTTGCTCATTTTTAAATTTATTTTTTACAGTTGATTTACATTTTTTTATTTTTAACTTTTGTGGGTACATAGTAGGTATATATATTTATGGGGTACATGAGATGTTTTGATACAGGCATGCAATATGTAATAATCACATCATGGAGAATGGGGTGATCCCCTCAAGCATTTATTTTATGTGTTACAAATAATCCAATTATATTCTTTTACTTATTTTTAAATATACAATCAAGTTATTGACTATAGTCACCTTGTTGTGTTGTCAAATAGCAGGTCTTACTCTTTCTATTTTTTTGTGCCCATTAACCATCCTCACCTCCCCCTCACCCCCCACCTACCCTACCCCTCCCATCCTCTGGCAATCTTCCTCTCTCTATGAGTTCAATTAATTTGATTTTTAGATCCCACAAATAAATGAGAACATGTGATGTTTGTCTTTCTGTGCCTGGCTTGTTTTATTTAACATAATGCCTTCCATTTCCATCCATGTTGTTGCAAACGACTGGATCTCATTCTTTTTTATGGCCCAATAGCACTCCATTGTGTATAAGTACCACATTTTCTTTATCCATTCATCATGGGTGCTTAGGTTGCTTCCAAATCTTGGCTGTTGTGAACAGTGCTGCAATAAACATGGGAGTGCAGAATATCTCTCCAATATACTGATTTCCTTTCTTTTGGTTATATAACGAGCAGTGGGATTGCTGGATCATATGGTAGCTCAACTTTTAGTTCTTTGAGGAGCTTCCAAACTGTTCTCCATAGTGATTATGCTAATTTACATTTTCACCAACAGTGTACAAGAGTTCCCTTTTCTCCACATCCTTGCCAGAATTTGTTATTGCCTGTCTTTGGGATAAAAATCATTTTAACTGGGGTGAAATGATATCTCATTGTAGTTTTCATTTGCATTTCTCTGATGATCAATGACATTGAGCACCTTTTCATATACCTGTTTGCCACTTGTATGTCTTCTTTTGAAAAACATCTATTCAAATCTTTTGCCCATTTTTGATTAGATTATTAGATTTTTTATAGAATTGTTTCAGCTCTTTTTTTTAGAGTTGTTTGAGCTCTGGTTATTAATTCCTTGTCAGATGGGTAGTTTGCAAATATATTCTCCCATTCTGTGGGTTGTCTCTTCACTTTGTTTATAGTTTCCTTTGCTGTGCAGACATTTTAAAAAACTTGATGTGATCCCATTTGTCCATTTTTGCCTTGGTTGCCTGTGCTTGTGGGGTAATACTCAAGAAATTTTTGCCCAGACCAATGTCCTGGAGATTTTTCCCAATGTTTTCTCGTAGTAGTTGCATAGTTTGAGGTCTTACATTCAAGTCTTTAATCCATTTTGATTTGATTTTTGTATATGGCTAGAGATAGGGATCTAGTTTCATGCTTCTGCATATAGTTATCCAGTTTTCCTAGCACCATTTATTGAAGATACTATCTTTTCCACAGTGTATTTTCTTGTCACTTTACTGTTCACTGTAGGTGTAAGTTCACTGTAGGTGTATGTACTGTAGGTGTAAGTTCACTGTAGGTGTATGCATTTGTTTCTGGGTTCTCTATTTTGTTCAATTGGTCTATGTGTCTGTTTTTATGCCAGTACCATGCTGTTTTGGTGACCATAGCTCTGTAGTATAATTTGAAGTCAGGTAATGTGATTCCTCCAGTTTTGTTTTTTGTTTTTGCTTAGGGTAGCTTTGGGTATTCTGGGTCTTTTGTGGTTCCATATAAATTTTAAGACTTTTCAATTTCTGTGAAGAATGTCATTGTTATTTTGATAGGGATTGCATTGAATCTGTAGATTGCTTTGGGTAGTATGAACATTTAAACAACATTGATTCCTAGAACATGGAATATCTTTCCATGTTTTGGTGTTCTCTTTACTTTTTTTCATCAGTGTTTTATAGTGTTCATTATAAAGATTTTTCACTTCTTTGGTTAATTCCTAAGTATTTCATTTTATTTGTGGCTATTGTAAATTGGATTACTTTTTTTAATTTCTTTTTCAGATTGTTCACTGGTGGCATATAGAAATGCTAATGATTTTTGTATGTTGATTTTGTATCCTTCAACTTTACTGAATTTATCAGTTCTAATAGTTTTTTATGGAGTCTTTAGGTTTTTCCAAATATAAGACCATATCATCTGAAAGCAAGGATAATTTGACTTCTTCCTTTCCAATTCCATGCTCTTTATTAATTTCTTTTGTCTGATTGCTCTATCTAGGACTTCCAGTACTATGTTGAATAACAATAGTGAAAGTGGGCATCCTTGTTGTGTTTCAAATCGTAAAGACTTTCAGTTTTTCCCCATTCAGTATGATACTATCTGTAGGTCTGTCATATATGGTTTATATTATGTTGAGGCATGTTCTTTCTATACACAAGTTTTATGAGGGCTTCTTTTTTTTTTAATCATGAAGGGATGTTGAATTTTATCAAATGCTTTACCAGAATCAATTGAAATGATCATATGGTTTTTGTCCTTCATTCTGTTGATATGATGTATTGCATCGATTGATTTGCATATGTTGAACTATCCTTGCATCCCAGGGATAAATCCCACTTGATCCTGATGAATAATATTTTTATGTATTGTTGAATTCAATTTGCTAGTATTTTGTTGAGGATTTTTGCATCAATATTCATAAGAGATATTGGCTTGTAGTTGTTTTTTTTTTTATGTGTCTGGTTTTGCTATCAGGGTAATACTGACCTCATTGAATGTATTTGGAAGTATTCCTTCCCCCTTCGTTTTTTGGAATAGTTTGAGTAAGATTGGTATTAGTTCTTTAAATGTTTGGTAGAATTCAACAGTGAAGCCATTGGGTCCCGGGCTTTTCTTTACTGGGAGACTTTTTACTACAGCTTCGATCTCATTACTTGTTATTGGTCTGTTCAGGTTTTGGATTTCTTCCTGGTTCAATCTTGGCAGGTTGTACATGTCTGGGAATTTGTCCATTTCTTCTGGATTTTCCAATTTATTGGCAAATTAGCCAATACATTTGTTGTTCCAATTTATTGTTCATAGTAGCCACTAATGATCCTTTGATTTTCTGTAGTATCAGTTGTCTCATTTTTTGTCTCTGATTTTATTTTTTTGGATCTTCTCTCTTTTTTCCTTAATTAGTCTGGCTAAAGGTTTGTCAATCTTGTTTTATTTTTCAAGAAACCAATTTTTTGTTTCCTTGATCTTCTATGTTGTTTCTTCATTTCAATTTCATTTATTTCTTCTCCAATCTTTATTATTTCTTTTCTTCTACTTATTTTGGGTTTTGTTTGCTCTTGCTTTTCTAAATCTTTTTTAATTTGAAAAGGAGAGGAGACTTTATTTCTTAATAAAGCGTCACAGCCTGCGAGATGCTTTTCTAGTTCTTCAAGATGCATTGTTGGCTTGTTTATTTGAAGTTTTTCTTTTTTGATGTAGGCACTTATAGCTATAAATTTTCCCCTTAGTACAGCTTTTACTGTATCCCACAGGTTCTGATATGTTGTGTTTTCATTATTTATTTCAAGAAATTTTTCAATTTCCTTTTTAATTTCTTTAATGACCCACTGGTCATTCACGA
The DNA here is from genome assembly GCF_000001405.40 of Homo sapiens. Lineage (NCBI taxonomy): Eukaryota > Metazoa > Chordata > Mammalia > Primates > Hominidae > Homo > Homo sapiens. The sequence continues at coordinate 29,542,613 of NC_000007.14, read as the reverse complement.
ACATATTGTTTAATTTCCATGTATTTGTATAGTTTCCAAAATTTCTCTTGTTACTGATTTCTAGTTTTATTCCACTGTGGTCAGAGACAATACTTGATATTATTTCAATTTTTTTGAATGTTTTAAGACTTATTTTGTGACCTAACATATGATTTATCTTTGAGATTGATCCATGTACTGAGGAAAAGAAAGTGTATTCAGCCATTGGATGAAATGTTCTGTAGATATCTATTAGATCCATTTGGTCTATGGTGCAGACTGAGTTAAATATTTCCCTGTTGATATTCTGTCTGGAAGATCTGTCCAGTGCTCAAAATGGTGTATAGAAGTCTCCAGTTATTACTGTATTAGAGTCTCTCTCTCTTTCTCTTTAGCTGTAGTAATATTTGCTTTATATATCTGGGTGCTCCAGTGTTGAATGCATATACATTTAAAATTGTTATATCCTTTTGATAAGTTGACCCCTTTATCATTATATAGTGACCTTCTTTGTCTCTTATAGTTTTTGTCTTGAAATCCATTTTGTCTAATATAAGTGTCGCTACTCCTGTTCTTTTTTGCTTTCCATTGGCATGGAATATCTCTTTTCATCCCTTTATTTTCAGTCTATATGTGTCTGTATAGGTGAAATGTGTTTCTTGTGGGCAACAGATAAATGGGTCTTGTCTTTTTTAAATCCATTCAGCCACTCTATGTCTTTTGATTGGAGAATGTAATCCTTTTACATTCAATGTTATTATTGATAAATGAGGACTTATTTCTGCCATTTTGTGATTTGTTTTCTGGTTGTTTTGTGATCTTCTTGTCTTCCTTTAGTGAAGGTGATCTTCTCTGGTGATATGGCTTAGTTTATTGTTTTTTGTTTTTTGTGTATCTGTTATATGTATTTTAGTTTGAAGTTACCATGAGGCTTGCAAATACTATCTTATAGCTCATTATTTTAACAAATAATTTGTTTATACAAACACACTCATTATTTGTTTGTATAAACAAATAAGCAATAAGAAAACCAATAAAAACTTTATACCTTAACTTTGGTGCCCCACTTTTACCTTTTTATTGTTTCTATTTATACCTTATTGTACTGTCTATGTCTTGAAAAGCTGTTGTAGTTATTATTTTTGATTGGTTCATCATTTAGTCTCTCTTAGCTTAGAGTAGTTTACTCACTGCAGTTAGTGTTACAATGTTCTGTGTTTTTCTGTGTACTTGCTATTACCGGTGGATTTTGTACCTTCAGGTAATTAGTTATTGCTCATTAATGTCCTTTTCTTTATGATTGAAGTACTCCCTTTAGCATTTCTTGTAGGACAGATCTGGTGTTGATGAAATCCTTCAGCTTTTGTTTGTTAGGGAAGTCTTTATTTCTCCTTCATGTTTTAAGGATATATATAGATTTTATATATATATATATAGTTATATATGTTATATATATGTTATATACATTATATATAACTATATATGTTATATATATGTTATATATATATTATATATAACTATATATGTTATATATATGTTATATATATATTATATATAACTATATATGTTATATATAGTTATATATATTATATATATAACATATATATGTTATATATATTATATATAACTATATATATATTATATATATATAGTTATATATATATAATTTTTTTTTACCAGATATACAATTCTAGGGTAAAACTTTTTTTGCCTTCATCATTTTAAATATGTCATGCCACTCTGTCCTGGCCTGTAAGGTTTCCACTGAAAAGTCTGGACATATTGGACTTGATTGTGTGTCACTTGTTTCTTTTCTCTTGCCTCTTTTTGGATCCTTTCTATATATTTGATCTTTAGGCATTTGACTATTAAGTGCTTTGAGGTTTTCTTCTTTGGGTTAAATCTGCTTGGTGTTCTATAACCTTCTCGTACTTTGATATTGGTATTTTTCTCTAGGTTTGGAAAGTTACCTGTTATAATTCCTTTGAGAAAACATTCCAGCCCTATCTTTTTCTCTGCATCCTCTTTGAGGCCAATAACTCTTAGATTTACCCTTGTGAGGCTATTTTCTAGATCCTGTAGGCATGCTTTATTGTTTTCTTATCTTCTTTTGTCTCCTCTGATGTGTATTTTCAAATAGCCTGTCTTCAAGCTCATTAATTCTTTCGTTTGATCATTCCTGCTATTAAAAGAATCTGATGCATTCTTCAACATGCCAATTGCATTTTCAGCTGCAGAATTTCTGCTTGATTCTTTTATTTGTCTTTGTTAAATTCATCTAATAGAATTCTGAATTCTTTCTCTGTGTTATCTTAAATTTCTTTGAGTTTCCTCAACACAGCTATTTTGAATACTCTCTCTCTGAAAGGTCACATATCTCTGTTTCTCCATGATTGGTCCCTGATGCCTTATTTAGTTCATTTGGTGAGGTCATGTTTTCCTGGGCTGTCTTGATGCTTATAGATGTTCATCTGTGTCTACGCATTGAAGATTTAGGTATCTGTTACAGTCTTTGCCTTGTGAGTTTGTTTGTACCTATCCTTCTTGTGAAAGCTTTCTAGATATTCTAAAGGTCTTGGGTGTGGTGATCTAACTGCATCTTCTTTAGGGGGCACCCCAAGCCTGGTAATGCTGTGGTTCTTGCAGACTTGTACAGGTACTGCCTTGATGATCTTGGATAAGATCTGCAAGAATTATCTGGATTACTAGGCAGAGACTCTTGTTCTCTTCCCTTACTTTCTCCCAAACAAATGGAGTCTCTCTGTTCTGAGCCACCTGAAGCTGGGGGTGGAGTGACACAAGCATCCCTGTGGCCACCACCACTATGACTGTGCCAGGTCAGACTTGAAGCCAGCACAGCACTGGGTCTCACCCAAGGCCTGCTGTAACTACTTTCTGACTATTGCCTAAGTTTGCTCAAGGCCCTGGGGCTCTACAGTCAGCAGTTGGCAAAGCCAGGCCTGTGCCCTTCCCTTTAGCGTGGCGAGTTCCCCTAGGCCCCTGGGCAGGTCCTGAGGTGCAATCTGGGAATCAGAGACTAGAGTCAAAAACCATAGAAGTCTACCTGGTGTTTTATTGTAGTGTGGCTGAGCTGGCACCCAAACCACAAGATGCAGTCCTGCTCACTCCTTCCTCCCCTTTCCAAAGACAGAGGAGACTTAGCCCATGGCCACTGCCACCACAGGCCCATGGGGAGTAGAGCCAGACTACCACTGATGTTCCTTTAAGGTCCAAGGGCTCTTCATTCAGCTTGTGGTGAATGCTGCCTGGCCTGGGACTCACCCTTCAGGGCAGTGGGCTCCCCTCTGGCCCAGAGCAGGTCCAGAAATGCCATCCAAGAGCCAAATTCTGGAATTGGGGACCCCAGGAGCCTGGAGAGTATGCCTGTGACCAAGCTGGGACCTAAGTTGCAAGACAAGGTCCCCTTTGCTTTTGAGACAAGCAGAAGGAGTCTCACCCCATAGCCACCCCAAGCAGGAGTCTCACCCCATAACCACCACATCTGGGAATGTGCTGAGTCTCACCTGAAGCCAGTAAGTCTCAGAGTGTCACCCAAGGCCCTTGAGATAGTTCCTGGGTATTGCTGCTTGTTACTCAGGGCCTAGGAGCTCTTCAGTTAGAAGGTGATGAATGCTGCCAGTACTGTGTCCTGCCTTTCAAGGCAGCATGTTCCCTTCTGGCCCAGGTTGTGTCTAGAAAAGTCATCCATAAGCTAGAGCCTGGAATGGAGGCCTCATGACTCTGACCAGTGCCCTATTCTGCTGTGGCTGAGCTGGTATCCGAGATTTAAGACAAAGTCTTCCCCACTCCTCACTCTCCTCTCCTCAAATGGAAGTAAGGGAGCCGTGTGCTCTGCAGCCTGGGGTTAGGGGAGGGGTGATGCCCGCACTCCCTTAGTTGCTCCAGCTGCTGTCTCAGCAGGTCTCATACCCCATACCCAGTCTACTGGCTCTGGGCCCAGATCAGCACTAGGACTCGCCTAAAAGTTGCAGTCCTTGTGGCCTAGACTGCCTTTCACATGTATTTAGAGCCCCAGAGCACTGCTAGCCTGTCGTGATGAGATCTGTGGGAACTCAACTTCCAACTGCTAAGATTGGCGATTCCCCTCTGGCTAGAGCTGGTTTAAGTGCTCCCTCTGTGGGCAGGCATCAGCTGAGGTTTTCCTTTCTGCTATAAAGGGGCAGCAGTGAGTTCAATGTCTCACAATTGCTGCATTCTCCCTCTTCTAGCACACAGAAATGCTCTCCGCACCACACCGCTGCTGCCAGGGAGGGATTCAAGACTTTTTCCTACCTGTTCAGTGCCTCTTTCAGCCATACAGAGTTAAAGCCAGGTACTGTGAGTGCTCGCCTGATTTTTGTTCTTATAGCGTGTGTGTGTGTAGACAGTTGTTAAATTGGTGTCGTTTCATGGTGGTGAGGGTGCAATTGGTGGAGGCTTCTATTGTGCCATCTTGGTCTGCTTCCTCTTGCTCATTTTAGATCTTTTAATCAGTTGTGATTTTTTCACTGTGAGCTTATCTTCAGAGGGGCTAAGTTTTTCCCATGAGAGAGTTGCGTGGTCTGTATTAGTGCGTATCCTTCCTCTGCCAGCACCCAGAATATCAGTCCAGGACTAATTCTTGTGTTAGCTTCTCTACTTGGGCTTTCTCCTACAAAATGGGCAGTATAAATTAGGACTTCAAAGATGCGTAAGTTCTTGGTTTGATTTTACATGGAGAAATAATTTTTTTAAAAAATCCACCAGTACTCTTTTCGTCAAAGGGCTACATTTTCCTGGTCTTTATTTACCTAGGTGGCAGTTCTTTTAGAAGATCCTGGCTTTATGCAGTGGTTTCAGTTCCATGTTCATACTTGGTACAGACCTAAATTTCATCTCCTGTTAAAAACTAAGCTCTTAGTTGTGAATTGGGTCAAAACTGCCCCATGCCCCACCATGGGTGCTCCTGCAGAGTCGGCTTAATCACCTCCCATACTGGATTTCATTTCTGTCTGGGATACTGGGATTCACTTTCTTTCTTATGGAATTAACTGTGCAGTTAGTTTTTAAATTATATTTTGTTCAACATTTTTAGATATTGGTAATAGGAGAATTTTTATGTTTCACTGTTTTTACTTTCTTCATTCATTTAACAACTATTTTTTGAGCACCTGTAGGCATCAGTCACTGAGATGTATCAATGAATGAAAAAGACAAAAACTTTGCCCTCAAGGTGTTCACATTCCTGTAGGGAATTATGGCAGTTACCGATAATAAATAAAAATAAATAAAATACTTATTAGATAGTAAGTGCTGTACAGAAAAATAAGCAGGGGATTAGAGTGTATATGGGAGGCATTACATATATATGTAAGGGGTATTACAGTTTAACAACTTTTAACAGATTTGAAAAGAAAATACAAAGATTACAGTAGAAATTAATGAAATGGAAAACAAAGTAGAAGCAATTAAACGAAAAGCTCAGTATTGTAAAAAAATAAATAAAATTGTAAACCTATAGGACTAGCAAAGATAAAAAAGATAGGAATTACCAACATCAGGAATAAAACAAGGGCTGTATACAGATACTGAGGCTCTTAAAAGGATAATAAAAAAAGGGAATACTATGTACAATTCAACCTACATAAATTCTGTAACTTAGATGAGATGGATCAATTCCTTGGAAAGCACAAACTCTGAAACTCACCATATATGAAAGATATACTCTGAATAGTCCTATAGCTATTAGAGAAATGAAATCCATAATTAACTTCCAAAAAGAAATCAGACTCAGTTTTACTGTTGAATTCTACTGCACATTTAAAGAAAAATTAACACTAATTCTATACGACCTCTTTCAACAAATAGAAGAAGAAATGATTCTCAATTCATTTATCAGTCAGCATTACCCTAATACCAAAACCAGACAAGGACATGCCAAAAAAAAAAAAAAAAGGAAAAGAAAGAAAAACTAGAGACCAATTTTTTTAGATATGGAACTGTCTCAATAAACTATTAGCAAGTCAACTCCAGCAATATATAAAAGGAATTATACACAAACACTATGTGGGTTTTATTCCAGGAAAGCAAAGTTGACTCAATATTTGAAAATAAATGTAATTTGCCAAAATAATGAGCTAAAGAAGAAAAATCACATGATTTCAATTGATGCAGAAAAAGCATTTGACAAATTTAACACCCATTTGTAATAAAAATCCTCAGCTAATGAGGAATAAAGGAGAACAGCATCTATGAAAAACCTACAGCTAACATTCTTAATTATGAAATACTAAACACATTCCCCTAAGAATGAGAACAAGGCAAGAATGTTCAGTCTTACCATTCTTATTCAACATAATGCTGAAAGTTCAAGCCAGTACAATAAGGCTAGAAAAGGAAATAAAAGGCACACAGATTGGAAAAGAATAAATAAAACTCCCCCTGTTTGCAGATGACATGACTGTCTACATTAAAAACACCAAAGAATTCACAAAAATGCTCATAAAAATGTGAGTCCAGCAAAGTTGCAGGATCCAAGATCAGCACACAAAAATTATACAAATTTCTTTATACTAGCAACAATCATGTGGATCCACAATTATGTAGAAACAGAAGTTAAAACAACACCATATACAATCACTCCCTCTACTCCCTGACTGAAAAAAGAGAAATGCTAGGTATAAATCTAGCAAAACATGCAAAGAACCTCTATGCTGAAAATTATAAAACACTGCTGAAAGAAATAATGAAGATCTAAATAAATGGAGAGACATACTGTGTTCATGGATTGAAAGACTCGGTATAGTAAGGTGGTTAGTTCTTCCTAAACTGTTAAACCTATATTAAAATACACTTTTAACAGATTTTTAAAATCAAAAACAATTCCAACAATTTTTTTGTAGATATAGACAAGGTTATTCTAAAATTTATGTGGTTAGGCAAAAAAAAATTCTGCAATAGCTATGACAATTTTGAAAAAGAAGAATCAAGTGGGAGGAATCACTCTAGCTGATGGTAAGACTTACTATATAAGTAGAGTAATTAAGACAGTAAAGAATGGACACTTAAGTCTATGGAAGAGAAAAAGAGAACCCAGAAATAGACCAAAACAAATATGACCAATTAATTTTTGGCAAAGATGCAAAAGTACTTCATTGAAGGAAGGACAGTTGATTCAACAGGTGGTCTTGAGACAATTGGACACATATAGGCAGAAAATGAGCCTTGACCTAAACATTATACAATATAACATCAATTTATGCATTTATAATAGATAATAGACATAAGTATAAAATGTATAACAGAAAAACTTTGAGAATAAAATAGGAAGCTCTTCTGGACCTAGAGCTAGGCAGAGTTCTTAGACATGACTAAGTGCGACCCATAAAAGAAAAAAAATTCTAAGTTGGACTTCATCAAAATTAAGAAAAAAACTTTTAGTCTGAAAAAGACTCTAAGAAGATGGAAAGACAGGCTACTGACCAGGAGAAAATATTTGCAAACCTCATGTTTGACAAATGCCTTCTATCTGGAATATACAAAGAATTCTCAAAGCTCAGCAGTGAAAAAATAAATAATCCAAGTATAAAATGTGCAAAAGATATGAACAGACATTTTACTAAAGTAAAAAGCCAGATGGCAAGCACATGAAAAGATGTTCTTGTATCAGCAGTGAACTGAAAATTAGAACTACAGTGAGATAGCAATGTTCTCTGATCAGAACGGCTACAATAAAAAAATAGTGTCAACACGGAATGCTGCTGAGGGTGAGCAGAGGCTTGATCATTCACATATTGCTGGTGGGAGGGTAGAATGGCACAGTGGCTCAGGAAAATTTGTCCATTTCTTAAACTGAACTTGCAAATATAACCCAGCAACTGCGCTTGCAGACATTGATCCTAAAGAGATTGATATGGTTTGTGTCCGTGTCCCCGTGCAAATCTCAAATCTCACGTTAAATTGTAATCCCCAGTGTTGGAGGTGGGGTCTGGTGGGAGGCGATTGGATTCTGAGAGTCCACCAAAGGGACTTCCCCTTTGGTGCTGTTCTTGTGATAGTGAGTTATCGCAAGATCTGGCTTTTATATATATATATATATATATATTATATACTTTAAGTTCTAGGGTACATGTGCACAACGTGCAGGTTTGTTACTTAGGTATACATGTGCCATGTTGGTTTGCTGCACCCATTAACTCATCATTTACGTTAGGTATTTCTCCTAATGCTCTCTCTCCCCCTGCCCCCCACCCCATGACAGGTCCCCATGTGTGATGTTCCTGCCCTGTGTCCAAATGTTGTCATTGTTCGGTTCCTACCTATGAGTGAGAACATGTGGTGTTTGGTATTCTGTCCTTGTGATAGTTTGCTGAGAATGATGGTTTCCAGCTTCATCCATGTCCCTACAAAGGACATGAACTCATCCTTTTTTATGGCTGCATAGTATTCCATGGTGTATATGTGCCACATTTTCTTAATCCAGCCTATCACTGATGAACATTTGGGTTGGTTCCAAGTTTTTGCTATTGTGAATAGTGCTGCAATAAACATACGTGTGCATGTGTCTTTACAGTAGCATGATTTATAATCCTTTGGGTATATACCCAGTAATGGGATCGCTGGGTCAAATGGTATTTCTAGTTCTAGATCCTTGAGGAATCGCCACACTGTCTTCCACAATAGTTGAACTAGTTTACACTCCCACCAGCAGTGTAAAAGTGTTCCTATTTCTCCACATCCTCTCCAGCATCTGTTGTTTCCTGACTTTTTAATGATCACTATTCTAACCAGAGTGAGGTGGTATCTCATTGTGGTTTTGATTTGCATTTCTCTGATGACCAGTGATGATGGCCATTTTTTCATGTGTCTGTTGGCTGCATAAATGTCTTCTTTTGAGAAGTGTCTGTTCACATCCTTTGCCCACTTTTTGATGGGGTTGTTTTTTTCTTGTAAATTTGTTTGAGTTCTTTGTAGATTCTGGAATTAGCCCTTTGTCAGATGGGTAGATTGCAAAAGTTTTCTCCTATTCTGTAGGTTGCCTGTTCACTCTGATGGTAGTTTCTTTTGCTGTGCAGAAGCTCTTTAGTTTAATTAGATCCCATTTGTCTATTTTGGCTTTTGTTGCCATTGCTTTTGGTGTTTTAGTTATGAAGTCCTTGCGCATGCCTATCTCCTGAATGGTATTGCCTAGGTTTTTTTCTAGGGTTTTTATGGTTTTAGGTCTAACATTTAAGTCTTAATCCATCTTGAATTAATTTTTGTATGAGGTGTAAGGAAGGGATCCAGTTTCAGATTTCTACATATGACTAGCCAGTTTTCCCAGCACCGTTTATTAAATAGGGAATCCTTTCCCCATTTCTTGTTTTTGTCAGGTTTGTCAAAGATCAGATGGTTGTAGATGTATGGTGTTATTTCTAAGGGCTCTGTTCTGTTCCGTTGGTCTATCTCTCTGTTTTGGTACCAGTACCATGCTGTTTTGGTTACTGTAGCCTTGCAGTATAGCTTGAAGTCAGGTAGTGTGATGCCTCCAGCTTTGTTCTTTTGGCTTAGGATTGTCTTGGCAATGCAGGCTCTTTTTTGGTTCCATGTGCACTTTAGTTTTTTCTAGTTCTGTGAAGAAAGTCATTGGTAGCTTGATGGGGTTGGCATTGAATCTATAAATTACCTTGGGCAGTATGGCCATTTTCATGAGACTGATTCTTCCTACCCATGAGCATGGAATGTTCTTCCATTTGTTTGTGTCCTCTTTTATTTTGTTGAGCAGTGGTTTGTAGTTCTCCTTGAAGAGGTCCTTCATATCCCTTGTTAGTTGGATTCCTAGGTATTTTATTCTCTTTGTAGCAATTGTGAATAGGAGTTCCTCATGATTTTGCTCTCTGTTTGTCTGTTATTGGTGTATAGGAATGCTTGTGATTTTTGCACATTGATTTTGTATCCTGAGACTTTGCTGAAGTTGCTTATCAGCTTAAGGAGATTTTGGGCTGAGACAATGGGGTTTTCTAAATATACAATCATGTCATCTGCAAACAGGGACAATTTGGCTTCCTCTTTTCCTAATTGAATACCCTTTATTTCTTTCTCTTGCCTGATTGCCCTGGCCAGAACTTCCAACACTATGTTGAATAGGAGTGGTGAGAGAGGGCATCCCTGTCTTGTGCCAGTTTTCAAAGGGAATGCTTCCAGTTTTTGCCCATTCAGTATGATATTGGCTGTGGGTTTGTCATAAATAGCTCTTATTATTTTGAGATACGTTCCATCAATACCTAGTTTATTAAGAGTTTTTAGCATGAATGGCTGCTTAATTTTGTTGAAGGCCTTTTCTGCATCTATTGAGATAATCATGTGGTTTTTGTCATTGGTTCTGTTTATGTGATGGATTACGTTTATTGATTTGCGTATGTTGAACCAGCCTTGCATCCCAGGGATGAAGCCGACTTGATCATAGTGGATAAGCTTTTTGATGTGCTGCTGGATTCGGCTTGCCCGTATTTTATTGAGGATTTTCGCTTCGATGTTCATCAGAGATATTGGTCTAAAATTCTCTTTTTTTGTTGTGTCTCTGCCCGGCTTTGGTATCAGGATGATGCTGGCCTTATAAAATGAGTTAGGGAGGATTCCCTCTTTTTCTATTGATTGGGATAGTTTCAGACGGAATGGTACCAGCTCCTCTTTGTACCTCTGGTAGAATTAGGCTGTGAATCTGTCTGGTCCTGGACTTTTTTTGATTGGTAGGCTATTAATTATTGCCTCAACTTCAGAGCCTGTTATTGGTCTATTCAGGGATTCAACTTCTTCCTGGTTTAGTCTTGGGAGAGTGTATGTGTCCAGGACTTTATCCATTTCTTCTAGATTTTCTAGTTTATTTGCATAGAGGTGTTTATAGTATTCTCTGATGGTAGTTTGTATTTTTGTGGGATCGGTGGTGATATCCCCTTTATCATTTTTTATTGCGTCTATTTGATTCTTCTCTTTTTTCTTCTTTATTAGTCTTGTTAGTTGTCTATCAATTTTGTTGATCTTTTCAAAAAACCAGCTCCTGGATTTATTGATTTTTTTAGAGTTTTTTGTGTCTGTATCTCCTTCAGTTCTGCTCTGATCTTAGTTATTTCTGGCCTTCTGCTAGCTTTTGAATTTGTTTGCCCTTGCTTCTCTAGTTCTTTTAATTGTGATGTTAGGGTGTCAATTTTGGACCTTTCCTGCTTTCTCTTGTGGGCATTTAGTGCTATAAATTTCCCTCTATTCACACTGCTTTGAATGTGTCCCAGAGATTCTGGTATGTTGTATGTTTTTTCTCATTGGTTTCAAAGAAGATCTTTATTTCTGCCTTCATTTCATTATGTACCCAGTAGTCATTCAGGAGCAGGTTGTTCAGTTTCCATGTAGTTGTGTGGTTTTGAGTCAGTTTCTTAATCCTGAGTTCTAATTTGATTGCACTGTGGTCTGAGAGACAGTTTGTTGCGATTTCTGTTCTTTTATATTTTCTAAGGATTGCTTTACTTCCAACTATGTGGTCAATTTTGGAATAAGTGAGATGTGGTGCTGAGAAGAATGTATATTCTGTTGATTTGGGGTGGTGAGCTCTGTAGATGTCTATTAGGTCTGCTTGGTTGCAGAGCTGAGTTCAGGTCCTGGATATCCTCATTAACCTTCTGTCTCATTGATCTGTCTAATATTGACAGTGGGGTGTTAAAGTCTGCCTTTGTTATTACGTGGGAGTCTAAGTTTCTTTGTAGGTCTCTAAGGACTTGCTTTATGAATCTGGGTGCTGCTGTATTAGGTGCATATATATTTAGGATAGTTAGCTCTTGTTGAATTGATCCCTTTACCATTATGTAATGACCTTCTTTGTCTGTTTTGATCTTTGTTGGTTTAAAATCTGTTTTATCAGAGACTAGGGTTGCAACCCCTGCTTCTTTTTTGCTTTCCATTTGCTTGGTAGATCTTCCTCCATCCCTTTATTTTGAGCCTATGTGTGTCTCTGCACGTGAGATGTGTCTCCTGAATACAGCGCACTAATGGATCTTGACTCTTTATCCAATTTGCCAGTCTGTGTCTTTTAATTGGGCATTTAGCCCATTTACATTTAAGGTTAATATTGTTATGTGTGAATTTGATCCTGTCATTATGATGTTAGCTGGTTATTTTGCCCATTAGTTGATGCAGTTTCTTCCTAGCATTGACAGTCTTTACAGTTTGGCATGTTTTTGCAGTGGCTGATACTGGTTGTTCCTTTCCATGCTTAATGCTTCCTTCAGGAGCTCTTGTAAGGCAGGCCTGGTGGTGACAAAATCTCTCAGCATTTGCTTGTCTGTAAGGGATTTTATTTCTCCTTCACTTATGAAGCTTAGTTTGGCTGGATATGAAATTCTGGGTTGAAAATTCTTTTCTTTAAGAATGTTTACTGAGAATGATGATTTCCAATTTCATCCATGTCCCTACAAAGGACATGAACTCATCATTTTTTATGGCTGCATAATATTCCATGGTGTATATGTGCCACATTTTCTTAATCCAGTCTATCATTGTTGGACATTTGGGTCTTTGCTATTGCACTCATAGATGGGAATTGAACAATGAGAACACATGGACACAGGAAGGGGAACATCACACTCTGGGGACTGTTGTTGGGTAGGGGGATGGGGGAGGGATAGCATTAGGAGATATACCTAATGCTAAATGACGAGTTAATGGGTGCAGCATCCCAGCATGGCACATGTATACATATGTAACTAACCTGCACATTGTGCACATGTACCCTAAAACTTAAAGTATAATAATAATTAAAAAAAAGAAAAATATAGAAAAAAAAAGAATGTTGAATATTGGCCCCCACTCTCTTCTGGCTTGTAGAGTTTCTACTGAGAGATCCGCTGTTAGTCTGATGGGCTTCTCTTTGTGGGTAACCCGACCTTTCTCTCTGGCTGTCCTTAACACGTTTTCCTTCATTTCAACCTTGGCAAATCTGACAGTTATGTGTCTTGGGGTTGCTCTTCTCGAGGAGTATCTTTGTGGTGGTCTCTGTCTTTCCTGAGTTTAAATGTTGGCCTGCCTCGCTAGGTTGGGGAAGTTCGCCTGGATAATATCCTGAAGAGTGTTTTCCAACTTAGCTCCATTCTCCCCATCACCTTCAGGTACACCAATCAAACCTAGATTTGGTCTTTTCACATAGTCCCATATTTCTTGGAGGCTTTGTTCATTTCTTTTTACTCTGTTTTCTCTAAACTTCTCCTCTAGCTTTATTTGATTAATTTGATCTTCAATCACTGATACCCTTTCTTCCATTTGATTGAATCGGCTATTGAAGCTTGTGCATATGTCATGTAGTTCTCGTGCCATGGTTTTCAGCTCCATCAGGTCATTTAAGGTCTTTTCTACACTGTTTATTCTAGTTAGCCATTTGTCTAATCTTTTTTCAAGGTTTTTAGCTTCCTTGCAATGGGTTCTAACATCCTTCTTTAGCTCAGAGAAGTTTGTTATTATCGATCTTCTGAAACCTACTTCTGTCAGCTCATCAAAGTCACTCCCCATCCAGCTTTGTTCTGTTGCTGGCGAGGAGCTGAGATCTTTTGGAGGAGAAGAGGCACTCTGGTTTTTAGAATTTTCAGCTTTTCTGCTCTGGTTTCTCCCCATCTTCATGGTTTTATCTACCTTTGGTCTTTGATGCTGGTGACCTACAGATGGGATTTTGGTGTAGATGTCCTTTTTGTTGATGTTCATGCTATTCGTGTCTGTTTGTTAGTTTTCCTTCTAAGAGTCAGGTCCCTCAGCTGCAGGTCTGCTCAAATGCCATGCTGGGAGAACCACTTTCTTCAGAGCTGTCAGACAGGGACGTTTAAGTCGGTAGAAGTTTCTGCTGCCTTTTGTTCAGCTATGCCCTGCCCCCAGAGGTTGGGTCTACAGAGGCAGCAGGCCTTGCAGAGCTGCGGTGAGCTCCGCCCAGGTGAAGCTTCCCTGGCTGCTTTGTTTACCTACTCAAGCCTCAGCAATGGTGGACGCCCCTCCCCCTGCCTGGGTGCTGCCTCGCAGGTTGATCTCAGACTGCTGCACTAGCAGTGAGCAAGGCTTCATGGGTGTGGGACCCGCCAAGCCAGGCACAGGATATTATCTCCTGGTGTGCCATTTGCTAAGACCATTGGAAAAGCGCAGTATTTGGGTGGGAATGTCCCCATTTTCCAGGTACAGTCTGTCACGGCTTCCCTTGGCTAGGAAAGGGAAATCCTGCAACCCGTTGTGTTTCCCGGGTGAGGTGATGCCCTGCCCTGCTTTGGCTTGCCCTCCGTGGGCTGAACCCACTGTCCAACCAGTCCCAACGAGAACCAGGTACCTCCATTGAAAATGCAGAAATCAGTGTCTTCTGCGTTGATCACACTGGGAGCTGCAGTCTGGAGCTGTTTCTATTCGGCCATCTTGGAATGGAGGAGGAAAAGATCTGGCTTTTTAAAAGTGTATAGCACCTCTCCTCCTTTCTCCACCTCCTGACCTGGCTGAGTAAGACATGCTTGTTTCCCCTTTGCCTTCTGCCATGATTGTAAGTTTCCTGAGGCCTTCCAAGCCATGCTTTCTGTACAGCCTGTGGAACCGTAAGCCAATTAAACCTCTTTTCTTTATAAATTACCCAATCTCAGGTATTTCTTTATAGCAGTGTGAGAACAGATTAATACAGAGATGCACACACAAACCTGTACATGAATGTTCATAGTCCCTTTATTCATTATATCCCCAAACTGGAAACAATCCTGATGTCCTTCAGTGAAGGGATGATGAAACAAACTGTCATATTGCCATCCTGGGAAGTACGTCTCAGCAATAAAAAAGGAACAGACTCTAGATGCAAGCCACAGCTTGACTGAATATCCAGAAAATTATGCTGAGTGAAAAACAGCCAGTCTCGAGAGGTTTCATAGTGTTTGAATCTGTTTATATAATATTCTCAAAATGACAAAGTTGTAGGTCTGGAGAACAGATGTTAGTGGTTGCTAGGGGACAGGGATGGGGAGCACAGCAGTGGGTGGATATGAATACAAAGAGGGAGCAGGAAGGAGTGCTGTTGTTGTGATAGATTTTATATGCATAGGATCCAGATTTCCTAGGAGCATCCCTCCTAGAGAACCCATCTCTGGTCGGGATTCAGGTTGGCTCCATGAGGAAGCACTCATGACCCTAAGGCTGACCTTTGGCGACGCCATGCTTCTTGGATCATGGCTCATGACCCCAGCGATCAACTCACCTGTGATAATCAGTGCCACATTGAGGCTAGAGTGCAGTGGCATAATCATAGCTCACTGCATCATCAAACTCCTGGACTCAAGTGATCCTCCCACCTCAGCCCCCTGAGTAGCTGGGACTACAGGTGTGCACTACCATGCCTGACTTCTTTTTTTTTTTTTTTTTTTTTTTTTTTTGGTAGAGATGGGGTCTTGCTGTTGCCCAGGCTGGTCTCTAACTCCTGGGCTCAAGCGATCCTCCTGCCTTGGCCTCCTCCTAAAGCACTGAGATTGGAGGTGTGAGCCAGAATGCCTGGACAGATTATATCTTGATTGTGGTAGTAGATGAATAAATCTATACATTTGATGAAATTGCATAAAACTACACACACACACACACACACACACACACACACACACACACACGTGGGTATAGGTTTAAGGCCTTGTGAAAACTGAGTAAGGTCTATAGTCTTGTGAACTGGTCAATTTCCTGGTGTTGATAATGTACTATAATTATGCAAAATGTCACCACTGGGGAAGCAGGGTGAAGGTTACTCTGGACTCTGTACCATTTTTCCAAGTTTGAATTATTTCAAACGATGAAGTTAAAAAAACTCCAAACAACCCCCAGTGGAATAAACAGAATTGTCTAGTGATGACTCCAGGGCTCCCTCTCTTTCTCATATTGGGAGGGACTGTGCTTGGACTCAGCTTCTCACTGGATCAGGAGCCTCTAAGAATTATAAGTGCTGGGCAAGCTGGCATTTTGTAGAACTTTCCTTGAGCATGTGGCAACCAAGCTTAGAATACTTGGCACCTGGGTCTAAAATTTTTATTTCTCTCCTGCAAAGCCACTCTCACCTTTGCCTTATAAAAAGGAGAGCAACCCAGGGAAGGTCCATGTCCTGCAGCCAACTCCAGTGGTGTATCCATCTGGGCCTCTGCCTAGGATGCGTCTCTACTGGGTATGCAGAGAAGGAGACCCTGTTTTTGCTGATCCCTTTCACTATGAATTCTAGCCTGCACTGGGTGATGCATGTTGCTGTGTGTCCAAGCTTTAGTTCCACAGACCTGAAGAGGGAAAGAGAAGTAGCCACTCAGATAAATGGTGAAAGAGCATTCCAGGCAAAAGGAACAGCAATGGCCAACTCCCCCAGGACTCGAGTGTGCCTTGCATGTTGAAGGAACAGCAAAAGGGCCTGAGCAGGTCTGGAATACAGTGAGCCGAGGCCATAGTAGTATGAGAGGAGGTGGGGGGAATTTATGGAGATCTAGAGAAGTCATGTACATAGGCCTGGGGCATCCACTGTAAAGACATTGACTTATTCTGAGTAAGATGGGAAACCAGTGGAGAGTTTTAGGCATAGCAGTGACATTTACGATAGCTTTTAACAGGATCCCTCTACTCGCTGTGCTGGGATAGACTCTTAGGGGTGGGATGTGGGGTTGGAGAGAGGCAAGAGCAGAAGCAAGGAGCTGAGTTAGGAGGCTGTTACAGGTGTCCAGTGAGAGACAGTGGTGACTTGGACCAGAGTAGTGGCAGTGGAGATGGGGCAGGTGGTAAGATTGTGAAGATATTCTGAAGTAAAGCCAAGAAGCTTTGCTGATGCTTTGCATATAGTGTGCAAGAGAAGGGAAGGAGTCAGAGATACCTGACTCATGCCCAGAAGAGTTAAAGGTAAAGGGCTACCCAACACTAGTAGGGTGAGTAGAGAGGGCTGCGGTGGAGTGAGCTGCCCTCTACCAATGGTGTGGTAGAGGTGTATGCATTACTGTGGGCCAAGTGGAACCTGGTGATTGCTTAGATGTGAAAGGGACCCAATCTAGGTCCAGCAATTCTAGCAGAGAAAGATGTTGGTTGTGGTAGGCAAGGGTCATGTTTTTTGGAAGCCAGGGTTGTGAAGATGGTTTCATGAAGCCTGTAGGAGAAGGCAGTGCTGTGTGAGGCAACCACAGGTGGGAGATCTCCAGGGCAACAAACAAGCAGACAGAAGGAGCCTGGGTCCCTGATGAGTATGCAGCTGCCGTATCAGACCAACACCACCCACCTGGATTTGATATGAGCGAGACGTCAACTTCCATTTTGTTTTATCTATTGCAATTTGGGTTTTCTGCCATTTCCAGCTGAACTTAATTCTAATTTACCAATTTTATTAAAGCTGTTTCAGAGAAAAGAACAATAGAGAAAGCTGTACAACTCCTCTTATGAGAGAAAAAATGGAATAGATGCTATTCAGAGACAGTTATAGGCCATTTTCCCATGTGTAGCTTGATGTAAATTCTAAAAAATGAAAGAAAGGAAGATAAAAAGAAAGGAAGGGAAAGAAAGGAAGAACACACTAGAAATTAAAGCAGCGTATTAAAAAAATACTACATGTGACCAGGTTAAAAATTTCCTAGGAGCACAATGGTGGCTTAACATTAAGAAATCTATTTATGTAACATACCAGCTTAACAGGGTAAAAGAGAAAATAGGACCTAAAGATCATCTTAAGAGATTTCAGGAAAAAAACCATTTAATAAAACACCACCCATGTGTGCTTTTTTAAAAAGATTATTTCTTTAGAACTAGAAGGGAACTTTCTTTGGTGGGTAACAGAATCACCTGAGAAGCTTGGTAAAAATACAAAGGTCCAGGCCCTTTCTTTTTTCAACAAACCTGGCATCTGTGTTCCTTTTAGTTCTTGAAGTGATTCTGACATACACCATGTTTGAGAATCATTAGTGTAGAAATTACAACAAACATCACGTTTAATGGCGAAACTTTAGCTATATTCTCATTAAAGTCAGAAACAAGGTGAGGATGGCTGCTTTCATCTCTAGCGGTCCTAGCCACTATATTAAGAAGAGAAGAAATAAAAAGTATGAGAATTGGTTCCATATGAATTTTAGGATTTTTAAAAATTTCTGTGAAGAATGTCACTGGTATTCTGATAGGGATTGCATATAATCTGTAGATTGCTTTGGGCAGTATGGTCATTTTAACAATATTAATTATTCTAATTCATGACCATGAGATGTATTGCCATTTGTTTGTATCCTCTTGGATTTATTTCATCAGTGTTTTGTATCTTTCCTTGTAGAGATCTTCTCCCTCCTTGGTTAAATTTATTTCTATGTATTTTACTTTTTTGTAGCTATCATAAATAGAATTTTCTTCTTGATTTTTTTTTTAGCTAGTTTGTCTTTTGTGTATAGAAAGGCTACTGATTTTTATAAGTTAATTTGTATCCTGCAACATTACTGAATTTACTTATCAGTTCTAAGAGATTTTTGGTAGAGTGTTTAGGTTTTACAGTGCACAAGATCATGTCATCCACAGAGACATTTTGACTTCCTCCACTCCAGTTCGTATGCCTTTTCTTTCTCTTGCCCATGGCTCTGGATAGGACTGCCAGTACTGTATTAAATAAGAGTGGTGAGAGTGGGCATCTTGTCTTGTTCCAGGTCTTAGAGAAAAAGCTTTCCACTTTCCCCCATTGAGTATGTTGTTAGCTGTAAATCTGTCATCTCTGACCATTATTGTGTTGAAGTACTTCCTTTTTATTGAGAGTTTTCATCATGAAGGAATGTTGAATTTTATCAGATGCTTTTTCTGCATTTATTGAGATGATCGTATGGTTTTTGTCCTTTCTGTTGATGTGATGTACCATATTTATTAATTTGTGTTTGTTGAACCATCCTTGCATCCCTAGGATAAATCCCACTTGATCATGATGTATTATCTTTTTTATGTGTTGTTGGATTCTGTTTGCTAGTATTTCGTTGAAGATTTTTGCATCTATGCTCATCAGGGATATTGGCCTATAAATTTTTTGTTGTGTCCCTGTCCGGTTTTGTTATCACGGTTATGCTGGTCTTATAGAATGAGTTAGGGAGAATTCCCTCCTCTTCAACTTTTTTGGAACAGTTTGAGAAGATTTTTTATTCTTTTTAAAAATCTTGGTAGAATTCAGCAGTGAAGTCATGTGGTCCTGGGCTTTTATTTGTTGGGACAATTTTTATTACTGATTCAATCTCATTACTTGTTATTGGTCTATTCAGGTTTTCTATTTCTTCTTGGTTCACTCTTCGTAGGTTGTATTGTCTAGGATTTTTCCTACTTCTTCTAGCTTTTCAAATTTATTAGTATATAGTTGTTCATAATCATCTCTAATGATCCTTGTATTTCTGTGGTATCCATTGTGACATCTCCTTTTTCATTTCTGATTTTATTTATTTGTGTCTTCTCTCTTTTTTTCTTTGTTAGTCTAGCTAATAGTTTGTTGATTTCATTTTTCAAGAAACCAACTTTTTGTTTCATTGATCTTTTGTATTTTTTTAGTCTCAATGCCATTTATTTATCCTCTGATCATTATTAGTTCTTTCCTTCTAATTTTGGGTTCACTTTGTTCTTGTTTGCTAGTTCCTTGAGATGTGTAATTTATTTGTTTGAAGTCTTTCTACTTTTTTTTGATGTAGTTATTTATTGCTATAAACTTGCCTCTTAATACTGCTTTTGCTGTGTCCCATAGGTTTTGGTATATTGTATTTCTATTTGTTTCAAGAAATTTTTAAATTTCCTTCCCAATTTCTTAACCCATTGGTTGCTCAGGAGCATGTTTAATTTTCACTTATTTGTATAGTTTCAAATGTTTCCTTGTTATTGAGTTCTAATTTTATTCTGTTGTCATCAGATATTTGATATTATTTCAACTTTTAAAAATTTATTGAGACTTCTTTTGTGTCCTAACATATGGTCAGTCTTACAGAATGTTTCATGTGCTGATAAAAGGAATGTGTATTCTGCAGTTGTTGGATGAAATGTTCTTAGGTCCATTTGTTCTGTGGTGCAGTTTAATTCCGATGTTTCTTTGCCAATTTTCTGCCTAGCTTATCTGTGCAGTGCTGAGAGTGGGGTGTTGAAGTCCCCAGCTATTATTATACTGGGGTCTTTCTCTCCTTTTAGATCTAATAATATTTGCTTTATATGCCTGGGTGCTCCAGTATTGGGTGTATATATACTTTCAATTGTTATATTTCTTGCCGAATTGATCCCTTTATTATTATATAATATCCTTTTTTGCTTTTTTAATAGCTTTTGGCTTAAAGTCTATTTTATCTAAGTATAGCTACTCCTGCTCACTTTTGGTTTCTGTTTGTGTATAATATGTTTTCCCATCCCTTCACTTTCAGTCTATGTGTGTCTTTACAGGTGTATTTCTTATAGGCAGCATATATTTAGGTCATGTTTTTTAATCCATTCAGTTACTCTAGATCTTTTATTTGGGGAATAGTTAAAGTAATTCTGAGTAAAAAGAACAAAGCTGGTGGTATCACACTACCAGACTTAAAAATATACTACAAAGCTATAGTAATCAAAATAGCATGGTACTGGCATAAAAGACACATAGACCAACAGAACAGAACAGAGAACCCAGAGATTAATGGACATATCTATAGCAAACTGATTTTTGACAAAGGTGCTAAGAACATTCCTTGGGGGAAGAATAGTGTCTCCAACAAATGGTGCTGGTAAAACTGGATATCCATATACAGATGAATGAAACTAGACCCCCACCTCTTGCCATATACAAAATTAACTCGAACTAGATTAAAGACCTAAATGTAAGATCCAAAACTATAAAACTACTAGAAGAAAACATGGGGAAATTCTTCAGGATATTGTTCTGGGAAATATTTTATGAGTAAGACATCAAAAGCACAGGCAACAAAAACAAAAACAAATGGGATTATGTCCATTAAAAAGCTTCTGTACAGCAAAGGAAACAGTCAACGAGTGTATGACAACCTACAGAATGGGAGAAAATATTTGTAAACTGTTCATCCAACAGGGGATTAATATCCAGAATATATAAGGAACCCTAACATCTCAACAGCAAAGAGATATTTTGATACAGGCATGCAATGTGAAATAAGCACATCATAGAGAATGGGGTATCCATCCCCTCAGGTATTTATCCTTTGAGTTACAGACAATCCAATTACATTCTTTAAGTTATTTAAAAATATACAAGTAAGTTATTGACTATAATCATGCTATTGTGCTATCCAATAGTAGGTCTTATTCATTCTTTCTTTTTTTGGTACCCATTAACTATCCCTACCTCTCCAGTCCCCCAGTACCCTTCCCAGCTTCTGGTAACCATCCTTCTACTCTCTGTGTCCATGAGTTCAATTGATTTGATTTTTAGATCCCACAAAAAAGTGAGACCATGTGGTTTGTCTTTCTGTGCCTGGCTTATTTTACTTAGTACGATGATCTTCAGTTCCATCCATGTTGTTTCAAATGACTGGATCTCATTCTTTTTTATGACTGAATAATATTCCACTGTGTGTATGTACCACATTTTCTTTATCAATTCATCGTTGATGGGCAATTAGGTTGCTTCCAAATATTAGCTATTGTCAACTTTACTGAATATATCAGTTCTAATAGATTTCTTGTGGAGTCTTTAGGTTTTTCCAAATATAAGATCATATCATCAACAAATAAAGATAATTTGACTTCTTACTTTTCAATTTGGATGCCCTTTATTTCCTTCTCTTGTTTGATTGCTCTAGCTGGGACTTCTAGTACTATGTTGAATAACAATGGTGACAGTGGGCATCCCTATTGTGTTCCAGATCTTAGAGGAAAGGCTTTTAGTTTTTCCCCATTCAGTGTGATACTAGCTGTGGGTCTGTTGATCACTATATTTTGTACATATTGAAACATCACTGTGTACCCCATAAATATGTACAATTAGTATGGGTCAGTTAAAAAGATAAAATATTTAACAAGTATGAGAATTGGAAAGGGACAAAGTTGTCCATATTTGCAGGCAATATGATTATACAAAAAGCCCAAGAAGATTATTTAGAACTAATAGAGTTCAGCAAGGTTGTTAGAGATAAGATTTATATAAATAAGCAGTGTTCCTAATATTTGTAATAACCCATTATAAAGCATATGAGAAACAATCTATTCACAATAGCAACACAAACTATAAAGTATCTAGGAATAAATATTATAAAATATGGGCATACACTTTGTGTAGAAAATTATAAAATCTTATTGAAGGGCATAAACACCCAAATTAAAGGAGAGCTGTATTATATTTGTGAAGGGAGATGTCTATTCTTTCTAAAAATAGAAATCAAATGCCATTCTTATCAAAATCCTAGTAGGTTTTCTTAGGATGTCATGATAGGAAAGACTAGACTAGGTGGTCCTAGAATTCATATGTGAGAGTGAAACATAAGAACGAAGACAATTTTGAAGAAGAGGAACAAGAATGGGAATAAGATCTTAATACTTATTATAAAGTAATAAAAATTAAAAGACAGTGTAGCATTGGTACAGAGCTAGATAAAATGACTAACAGATCAGAAAAGAGAGTCCAGAAACAGACCTATGCAATTAAAGAAATTCCATTATGACAAATTAGGAGACCCCTCTCCCTTTGGGAGAAAGGATGGTCTATTCTAGAGCTGTGCAATAGAAATACAATGTATTTGTATTTCTACCTATTTGTAACTTAAAATTTTCCAGTAGCCACATTTCAAAAAGTAAAAAGAAACAGGTGAAATAAATTTTAATAATATATTTTAACACCAAATATCCAGAATATTATTTAAACATGTAATCAGTATTAAATTATTGACATATTCTGTACCAAGTCTCAGCATGTATTCCTCTTGTTGCCCAGGCTGGAGTGCAATGGCACGATCTCGGCTCACCACAACCTCTGCCTCCTGGGTTCAAGTGATTCTCCTGCCTCAGCCTCCTGAGTAGCTGGGATTACAGGCATGTGCCACCACACCTGGCTAATTTTGTATTTTTAGTAGAGACGGGGTTTCTCCATGTTGGTCAGGCTGGTCTCGAACTCCTGACCTCAGGTGATGCACCTGCCTTGGCCTTCCAAAGTGTTGGGATTACAGGCATGGGCCACAACTCTGTCTCAAAAAAAAAAAAAAAAAAGAAAATCCAGCATGTATTATACACACAGTACATCTGGATTTGGACAAGTCACATTTCAAGTGCTCAAAAGCTTACATGTGACTAGTAGTTACAGTATTGGATAGCACAGCTCTGTTCAATAAATTGCACTAAGATAATTTATTGAATAGAGCTGCACTAAGATAGTTTGGTATTCACATGGAAAAAAATAGATTCCTACCTTTTGCACCAAAATTTCAGACATCAATGTGAAAAGCATAACTTGAATATTTTTACAAAACATATAAAAAAAACCTTTATGATTTAAGGGTCAGGATAAGAAACATAAAGCATAAACTATAAAAAAATTGATCCTTTATATTGGGAGAAGATATATACAATGCACATGATTGATTAAGAAACAGTTTGGAATTTATAAAGAACTCCAACAAATCAGTAGATGTAGAGAAAAAACTCAGTAGAGAAATGGTAAAAGTTATGAATAGCCAGTTCATAGAAGAGACAGTTAAGTGGCCATTAAACCAGAAAAGATGCTGAACTTTAGTGGTAATCAAAGAAATGCAAATTAAAACAAAAAGATGTCATTTTATGCCAACAGAGTAGCAAAATATTTAAGTCGGGTGATGCCAAGTGTTCATAAGGATACAAAGAGACAGGAACTCTCAAACACTGCTGATGAGAGTATAAATTGGCACAGTCACTTTGGGGAGCATCTAGCAAAGCTTTTGATATGCATTCCTCACAGTCTAGCAATTCCAATCTAGCACATGCAGACTTCAACAAAAACATTCATGGAAATGCTGTTTTCAATAGAAAAGAAGGAAACTGAATACCTAATAGTAGCAGAGGGATAAATTACTTAGTAAAATATTTTAGGACAGCTAAAATGAATGAAGTAGGTCTATGAGTATCAACATGGATACATTTCAAAAACATAAGGAGAATTAAAAATAATTTGTAGAATGTTAATATAGAGTATGATACCATTTCTATAAAACATGGCATAGATTGAATATACACAGTAAGAATATAAAAAGTGCCAAGGAATGAGGAAGAATAAATGGGATCAAGTCCTTTATTCTGATTTTTAAAATTGTTTTAATGCCATGCAAGTATGACAGATGTGAAGATTTTAAAGAGCTGAGTGGCAGAGGGATTGGCATGTTCATCAGGGACCTTGGCCATGAGCAACAGATCACATGCTAGCTGGTTTAAGCAGAAGGGATTTGTCACAGTGCATTAGGTAGCAAACTGAATCTTGAGGATAATTTGGATTTGTTGACAGATAGCATTCAAAGCCAGAGTGAATGTGATTGGCTAGGGAGAAAGTAGGGTGAGAAGCAGCCTTGGAGGATGCATCAGGGACTTGCATGTTTGGGCAGAGGAGCCTGAGCAGAGGATGCGGGACAGGATGTACCGAGGGGTGTGAGGGTTTGTGAAGGAGCCTCCACACCTGCTGCATGTCATCTGGCCTCAGTGATAGACCTGTGAGGTTGGTGAGTGGGGCCTTGATCTGTGACTGAGCCAGGTCTTGTGGCTCTAAAGCCAGTGCTCCACAGGAACACTTGATATGCATCCACAGGAACACGGGCTTTAGAGCCACAAGACCTGGCTCAGTCACAGATCAAGGCTATTAACATTTGGAACTAGGCCTCCTTAACTCACCCTTCAGCATGTTCTTTCTGCACACTCACTGTTGTCCATCATTTGGAGCTGGACTTCCAAATGGCTTCACTTCCAAAGTTCATTGGGTAGTAATAGTTACCATTCATGAAACTCTCTCATTTGCTAGACAGCCGTAAGTGATGGTGCCTTATCACTGTGAAGAAGGGATACTAATGGTTAAGCATTCTCAAACATTTCCCCAAGTTGTTGCGTATTTTAGAAAAGCATTTGCTTACCTACTTTGTTCTCCAAATATGCTGAGTGCTGTCCACAGAGTACCTTAAGCCTCCATGGAATAGGAACTGGTATTAGTTCATTTTAATGACAAGAAAACTGAGACCTAAAAAGCAAATTAACTTTCCGTAAGTCACACTATTAGAAAGAGATGGAGCTATGATTTAACCGGAGGCTGTCTGGACCCAGCACCTGACCTCCTCGTGTCTACATTGCACTAGATTCTAGCCAAATCTACCATTATCTGTGTAACCTGCAATTGAACTAGAGACTTAGATCTTCAGATTCTTCAAACTGACTTATTTTGAAGCTTAATCATTCCTTCTGGGGAAAAGGAGAAAGAACATGCTGAAGAGCGAGTTAAGGAGAACGTCAAGGAGAAAGCTTCAATAACCAAAGAGTTCAGATGTTAGCCACAGCTCCAAAAGACAGGAGTTACTGTGCATTTTCAGAATCTGCTTCTCGAATTATTCCCCTCCACTACCACACCAAAATGGGACATTTGAGTGCAGTATTTGTAGAAGGAACAAGCCATTAATTTATAAAAGTTTGGGGTTGGCTACTGTGTGCTAGCACAGTGCTGGGTAAGGGATGGGTAGGATGGTGAGCAAAGCAGATCGGATTCCAGTCCTCATGAAGCTTATAGTTTAGACAGTGTTACATTAGAGACAGAGTTGGTAATACGGTTATAGGGGTGGGACCCATGGAGATCTTGGTCATGAAGGGAGGAGTGTATGGGTGGGGAAAGTTCTCTACCACTTCTGAGAATCTCAACAACCTTCACAGTGCCGCAAAGCCCCTTTCTTTGCTAATGAGTCCTAGTTCATTTCAGGTATCCAAACACCTTGAGTAAGTTGGCTCCAACCCCAGGTCAGGTGTAAGTCCTGATTGCTCAATCAATGGAATTACCTGAAAGACTTGTTAAAAAAAAAAAAAAAAAAGAAAGAAAAAGAAAAAGATCGCAAAATGCTTCCCCTGGATTCAGTGAGTCAGGCAAGAGAATTTGCCTTTTTAACAAGTCCCAGTTCATGCTGTTGCTGATCAAGGGATCTCATGTTGTGAACCACTGATCTAAACTAATCCTGGTGATCTCATTCCCCTTGCTAGTGACTGGTTTAGCCACATGTGTGCAATGCAGTTCTGGCCAATGTAAGGGATTGTATGTTGGGGAATGTCATTCAGGACCCCTATTAACTTCAGTAGGGATGGCACCAGGTTCAAGAGGCCAAAGAAGAACCAGAGCCAGTAAATAAGACAGAGTGTTATTAGTGGGAAACTTACATACAGAGCAGTGCAGTGGCAGCAGGCTAGACAGGAGGACCACATGGTCTAGTGGTGGCAGGCTGGACAGGAGAAGCATATGGTCCAGTGACAGCAGGCTGGACAGGAGGACTACATGTTCTAGCGGTGGCAGGCTGGGCGGGAGAACCGCTGCCGCTTGTAAAAAGCATGCAGTTTATAGAGCATTTTCACTTAGCACCCTTCCCCTAACAACCTCCAGCTGTTAACCTTCATTGAACTCAAAGGGTCTTGATCCATAGGACAGGGCAGGGGCTCAGATGTTCCTCATAGATGAGAAAGTAATCTCCAGGTTTGCCACTCCCAGTTCCTCGAAAGTCCAAATACACATTCAGGCGTGTCTGCCACACAGCATCATTCTCAGGGTATGCTTAAGTAATTGCTGTCAGGTATCACTGTCTACTATACAGGGGACTCCTAGGAAAGTTTTCCTCACTGTTAAATGGGACACACAAGAAGAGAAAGGCATTGACTTGGTGGTCTTTGTAGCCTCCTTGTAACTATGTGAGCCAAAACCCAAGGGGAAATAACAATAATCCTAGGATGGTGGAGCAGAAAGACAGCACCGACCTTGGAAATGGCCCTGATGGCTGGTACCTCCTACATTCTGTGTCTGGAGACAAATATGTAGTACCCATTCCCCTTAAGAGTCCAAAACCCTTAACATGATCAGTTTCCTCTCTCTAGCCAGACTAACTTTATTGTTTAATTCTTCCAGTGCGATAAGCCTTTTCCTTGCCTCCAAATATTCAGTGTCTACCTCATTAATAAATGCTTGATACATACTGGTTAAAAGTTAATGTTATATTTTTAAAATAAAAGACTGATTATACACTGGATATTGATAAACTTGGGAATTTATAAACTGAGTTGGGTTTTCACAGGAGCCAGGACAGCCCAGGCAATCCTTCATCTATATGGTATGTTTCTTTCTGATGCTCTCTTCACTGTCCTTCCCTTAACCTTCTCTCTTCCTCTCTCTTCCCTTCTAGGCTGTTATCCTTGACATCTGCAGCAGCCCTTCCAAGCTGTGGAGACCAGGTCATCTGGAATGCCCATTTATGTCAATGGAAGAAAGAAAAAGGGGTCTCCTCCCATCCTCACCACTGCATTCTCCCACCAACCCTGCTCCTGTCCCACTTCCCACAACTCAGTTGTTGACAATTTAACAGTGGGTTTCTGGAAACAGTGCTGCCTCCTTGATGGTCTAACTAACTACCAGAGTTATTCTAACAGCAGGAATTTCAAGCCAGGTAAGGGGAGCTATGTCAGGCTGCCAGATGGTGGGGAAGACAGGTGTGGGTGAGCTGGCTTCAGACTAAAGGAAGAGGAGATCAAGTGTTGGAATCACATTTGAGAAAAGGAGTCAAGTGAACTTCATTACCCATTATAGAGGCCTGTTATATCCTTTAGTGCTATTTGGACTTGGATTGAACCTGTGACAAATCCTTTTCTTATGCTTCTTCCATCCCTGCTTCCATGTTATATCCTTTCCCCTTCTAAAATGGTAATAATGAGAAATAACTATTACTAATTACCCTAGAACATAAATTTCATTTAAGGTGTCACAATCAGATTATCATCTTCAGTTTTTCAGAGCCGCAAACTTCCCATGGTTATATGCAGGTAGTACTAAATGGATGGATCTGGGATCAAACTCAGGGCTTTCTGACTTTAAAAGTCTTGTTCTGCTACCCTCCAAGTGGCCTAGGGTGATTTGCCCTAAACGGTTCACCTCTGTATGATGATGCATCCATGCAGTGGGGCTTATGGAAAGTGAATGTGGAGCCTCAGGGCCTTAATCTTGAAGCAGGCTCTCTAGAAGGGAGCTTGCAGAAGGAGTGGGGACTCGATGAGATGCTGTTTTCTCATTGTGTTTCAGTGATGACTGAAAATTTGTTGCCAGCGTCTATCTGGAAACAATGTTTTGATGATCCACCACCCCATCCCTCCAAACCACTTTCTTGCACATACTCCAGAATAATAGACAGAAGAATTTAATACATGTGATGCTTTGCCTTCCATTTACACTATCATAAATTACAAAGTATTGTTCACTTCACAAAATAAAACCATTTCCAGATAATTTTTTGACAGTATCAAGAAGTACATAAACTACAACAAACAAATCTGTACAGTTGGGAGGAGGGATAATAGCAGGGAAGAGGTCAAACCTCCCTGTGCCAATGGAGTCCATCTGCATAGCCCTTGGGACTGTCCAGGTCAACAGTCACACAATGATGCTCCACGTAAAATAGTCATTCTCTTCTGCTCACTCCAAAGCAAGACTGGTGAGTTTACACAAATCATCTCAATCAAAGGAAAAGACATTGCAGTTGGATTTTTTAAAAATCTAGATTTACAGTTTTTGATGTTTTAAATATTTCACCTATGTTACAAAATATAGAAATCTTGGTGTGAAAGGCTCATGCTAAGATAAATATAACCAAGTGACTGGAACTGTAGTAATAAAATCATATTATCCACACAGAGCTACTTTTGTCAAGGAGGAACAAATATTTGGTAAAAACCAACCTTATTCTCACTTTAAAAAATAGGTTTGTAAAACAAGAATGAAAAACGTTGACAGTTATTCTGCAGATTCGCTTTTCACCAATACAGAAATGTGGCAAAAATACAATTTGATATTAACAGATGAATTCAGAGGGCTTGGCCAGGAAGAAAAGAGGGTAAGTGCTAACTTTTTACACAGACCAGATACATCCAGTGTTCTCAAATAATTTCAGGTAAAATGACCGCATTCTGTATCTTCTGGGATACACACTCATGATACGAAAAGACTATGACCAATTCCAAAGCATACTTTGGGAATTCACAAAATTTGTATGCATAGAAAGTGTGTGGACATTTCAGACCATCCTACAATTGCTATAAATACATACCATACAATAGAAGAATGCCAATGCTTAAGAGCAAAAACTATCCAAAGCAGGAACACAAGGGGCAGGTGAAATTTCATTAAAAAGCACTGAGGAGGACAGAGGTATGTCAAGATAATACTGCATTTGTGGTCAGCTTTTTCAGGGTGTCACAGCAAAATGAGGGACAAGGTACACAGGGTAATAACCAATGCACTGCATTGAGTTCTATTTGCTAAAAATAACAACATTCTCGTGGGTAAAATAAAAATACATTTTACGATACACGTTTCATTTAACAGAATTGTCTTCTTTTTGTAAGTGGAAAATGTATAACTGTATCAAGTACCTGTATGAATTAAGTTCCCTTTTATTACCAATAAGACTGAAGTTTAAAGGTCTACATTGTTTTTTAATAAATTAAAGATGTATTAATCACTCTTCCAGCAAACCAGACATACATAGGAGGCACAGCAAAAGACCCAAGGTGAGGGGCTTCCCTCACCTTCACCCTTGTTCTCACGTGGAGGTGGCGCATGTCTATGAGACACAGTACCCCACTCAGCGATCCTCTGCAGTCCAGGAAATTCTAGCACTTGCTTGGAAAACAAATCAAGTGGTAAGAAATGTTTTTATTCCTTTAGCTGTGTCAACTTGGATGGTGCTGGGGCCATTCAGCTCATTTCCCTGATGGATTAGAATAAAACGTCTTCGTTTTCTATTAAAATCTGCACAATCAGCTTTTGGTACCGCATATCATGCAGGGTGGTCAGGGTGCTGTCCTCAGGGGGCCTCATCAGAGTGGGCCCAAACACGATCCCCAGATTTTCTGCATTCATGAAATTGTCTTTTTCATTCATAGTAACCCTGCAAAACAAACATATAGAACAGAGACATTATGGAGACTTGAGGATTGATTTTATGTATTGATTATGTATGTAAGTCCCGATAACATCTCTGGTTCAGGAAATTGCAAGAAAAAGATTGGGAATCAGAACAGCAGAAAGGTATTTTTGGAAGGGTAATTTACTGATTTTTCGTTTTAAATTGTTGACATTGCCTTCGCCGGTGGAAATGAATTACTTATGTGAATCTGGCAGGAACACAATTTTTAAAATTAGAAAATTAGTCCTCCTTATTAAGTAAATGTGGAACTATCATTTGAGGAATACTGGTTTGTAGGGGCAGCAGATTCTGAGGCTGGCCCATGGTCCTTTCATAGGCCTTATACAGAAGGCGTTTTTTTTTTCCCTCTTGTGGCTTCCTGCTGGTCTGTATGCTGGAGAGTGGGAAGGGAAGGGCAGGATCCCTCTCTGCTGGGAGGACCGGTGCCAGAGGAGAAAGGTTATGTGTAGAATGGGCTGTCATGAATTGAGGAAGAGTCAGGCCGTTATCGTGGGGTGGGGGAACGGCTGGAATGTCGCCAGACTGGACGGCAGTTGGACATTATTTCTAGTTCCCACAGGATGAGGTCTACAGCAGTTGAAATTAAAAATCATTTCGACATCCAGGTAAGAACTGCAGAGCCTTTAAGAATAAAATTCAAACTGCAAAGCTGGTTTAACACCTTCCTCATGGAATAAAATTACAATCTATCTATCTCCCAGAGTTTTGTTTTCACAACTTTAAGTTTTAGAATGTTCATAATAGATGTAAAAGGGAATGGGTTCTCCAAAAATGAGCAAAATATAATTAAAATGTGTTTAGGAAAATATAATTAAAATGTGTTTAGGTTGTGCATAAAAAGCCATCCCTTTCTATTTCCTTATAACTCATTAGGATTAGCCATTGAGTATTATTTTAAGGTCAACCCAGTTTGTGTCATGTACATGCCACAAAGCCTAAGAAGAAGGTTGGAAAGAGGACGTTTCTCACCATCAAAGTGCCCACAGTTTCCTCTTAAGTCAGGCACTATGCCTGACTAAACAAGATGGCTGGCAAACCCACTATGATAAAGATACAGTATTATTGGCATTTAAGGTTCAGCTGAAAGGTGTCAGCATTTTTCTGGTAGTGGTACTTTGCCTTCCAAACTGTAACAACTGGATATTGATCACAATAAGTATTTTACAGCTAATTGAAAGCCAGATGTGATACCCATAGTTTATTATCTAAAAATTACTTGCACTCCTAAATTCAGTAAATTAATCAGAATGGGAATATTCTGAGCTAAATGTTACCATCACCCTGAATCTGAGCAACAATATTGTATGTCTTCTTGTATGTCTTATAAGGTAGAAAAATAAAAATCTCAATACCTACTGTTTATACAGTCCTCCGTTTGCTTCTTTTCACATACTAAGTAGATCTGTAAACTGGTCAATGTAGACAATTTTCGGTTCATTTTATTTTTATCAAAGAATGGGCTGCTGCCAAGTATCTTTCAAAAACACAGAGGCACACAGATGTGCCCTGATCCCTCCAATGTTATAACACCAATTCATCGACCTCATTACACATGTGCAGTGAAAGAGAGAGACACAAGGTTTAGGGAGAATAGTGTCACCAGAGGTTCTAGTGTCCCATAAACATCCAGACGTCTCCATCTCTGTCTCCCACACACTCACGCAGACAGCTGTGTGTGTGGCAGGTACTCTCTGAGATGGACCTCAGCGATCCATGCCTCCTGGAATTCATACCCTGCATCCCTTCCCCTAAAGTATGGGATGGACTTGATTTGCTTCTAACAGATAAAACACGGTAAAAGCAATAGGATGTCACTTCTGAGATTAGCTTACAAAAAGACTGTCTCTCATATTGGGTGCTCTTGCTTTTTTGTTCTGAGAGAAGCCTGTTGGCTTTTTGTGAGCTGCCTATGGAGAAATGCACATGGCAAGGAACTGAGGGTTGCCTCCAGCAAACTGCTGGTGAGGGAGTGAGGCCTTCAGTCCAACAGCCTTTAAGGAACTGAATCCTGCCAACAACCATGTGAGTGGGCTTGGAGATGGATGCTACCACCATCAAGCCTTCAGGAGTGAATTTTTTTGTTCTTGAGACAGCGTCTCATTCTGTTGCCCAGGATGGAGTACAGTGGTGCCATCTTCGCTCACTGCAGCCTTCGTCTCCCGGGTTCAAGCAATTCTCCTGTCTCAGCCTCCCAAGTAGCTGGGATTACAGACCCATCAAGCCTTCAGATAAGACTGCAGCCTCATTACAGACCTTGAACTGGAGGCAGCCAGCTGAGTCACACCTGGATTCCTGACCCTTAGAAACTATGAGATAATAAATGTTTACAGTTTTAAGCCACTAAGTTTCGGGAGCAATTTGTTACTCAATGAGAGAGAACTCACACATCCAGAAAAATAAGAGACCAGGCTGGGAATGTGCTCTCCCAGGAGGCAGGCAGTCTCAGGAGCCTGGAAAGGGGCAAGCAACAGGGGGATGAACAGGACACAGAGTACAGGGCTTGTGTCAGATGAAGATGCAGACACGGAGGCAGAGTAGTTAAAGGCTGTACATCAGCCTGCCTGGGATCCTGCCTTCACCTCTTCAAATCAGCTGTGTAACCTCCCCAGGCATCAGCAATCTCACAAGTGACACAAGGCCCCTAATGGCACCCCTTTCTTTTTCTTTTTTTTTTTTTTTTGAGATGGAGTCTCGCTCTGTTGCCCAGGCTGGAGTGCAGTGGCACGATCTCGGCTCACTGCCAGCTCTGCCTCCTGGGTTCACACCATTCTCCTGCCTCAGCCTCCCAAGTGGCTGGGACTACAGGCGGCTGCCACCACGCCCGGCTAATTTTTTTGTATTTTTAGTAGAGACAGGGTTTCACCGTGTTAGCCAGGATGGTCTCAATCTCCTGACCTCATGATCCGCCCACCTCGGCCTCCCAAAGTGCTGGGATTACAGGCGTGAGCCATCACAGTGGCGCCCCTTTCATAGGGATGATACACTGAAAGTGCCTGGAGTGGTTCCTGGCACAGTGAAACTCCAGCAGTTATGGCTGGGGAGGAATGCCGTCCACTTTTCCTCATGCATTAACCGCTCTAGGAGCAGAGCAGGCTTTGTGCACGAGACATGAGCTTACTTTTTGAGGTGGATCATTAGGTACCGGAGGGTTTCATAGTGGGCAGGAGGCAGCAGCATCAGCACTTCATGGACGGCTTCCAGCCTCTCATCTGCATTGGAGATTTCTGTGAAGTTCACGCATGATGGGTATTAGTTCAGAGTGTGGCATTCAAGTTTTCAGAGAAGTAACAAGAAGTTTTTGTTTTAGCCAGAAGTGGGGAAGGATTCTAATAAATTCATGCAATCCAAGCACTGTTTCACTTAATCAATTTGTTGGTGTCCTGTGTCATTCAGGAAAGAGTTTGAGGCTGAGCACCACATGCTTATTGAATGTCCTCTGGGTGGCCAGAGGCTGGACACTGTCCTTGCCCTCCATGAATCTGTAAACCAGCAGAATGCTTACAGTCAGGGAGCATATGTGCAGACTATGCTTTGCCTTCTTCTGAACACTAGATTTGCTAGAAATATCCCTCTCACAAGTTTTAATTTAAACTGCACCACATACGGTAGTATTGCCTTGCAGTTGTCTAATGAGTCTTTCCCTGGCGGACTTCTACAACCTAATACATTTTACAAGGCAAGGACATTGGCAATGAGCCACCCAACTCAGCCTGCACTCATGGCACTTCTCACCGTGGCGTTGGCATACTTAACCCCGGTGCACAGCCCAGGTTAGGAAGTGGAGACTGGACACATTAACAATGGGAGGAAGAGTACATGCTTCTGGCTTTTGGGTCTCTGATAGGTACTGGCAGCTACTCAAAGAAAACCCTCCTGCTATTCCTCCTGGAGTAGAGGATATCTAGATGCTAGAACCTTCTTTGCCAGGACCACTAGGGCCCCGGAAGGAGGGAATAGTCTTACCGGGGTCAGGGCCTCAGCTCATCCGAAAAGTGCATCTCACACTGATCCCAGCCTGCCTTTGTGTCTCCCCATCAGGCATCTCATTACTACATTTAACAGCATGCCTAAACTTTTCAACCTTTAAAGGTTTTTTTTTTTTTTTTAAATAAAAACAACAACAACAACAACAAGCAAAAACTTCCTCAAAGTGAGCTTGACTTCCGTGTCATGTGTCTCAGCATCTGAATCTACCTTTGGTCACTTTTGACTCTTCCTGGGCAAAGTGTAGCCCCTTCCCCCAGACCTGCCCCCTTTTCACTCTATTCCTCTCTCCCTCAGCAGTGGGCCCAAGTGCCAAACACTGAATGAGCAACCCCGGGCTGATGGAAAGCAAATCCTGATGTCCCATTCCTGGACGCATGAGCTCAGCTCTCCAAGCCTTGCTTTTCTTCTTTGTAAAATGGGATTATAATATTTGCCACATGGGGTACATGAGAGAATTAAACTGGTGAGACGTTCTAGTATACTGCTTGACACAGTGTATTCTGGCCCTCTATTCATTTTGAACAGCATCAATAGACAAAACTTGCTTGTGACTTTAACTGACTAGGAATGAAATTCTGCCTAACAGATAAAAGTAGTTAATCTAGACCAAGCTTGTCTAACCCGCAGCCTATGGGCCGCACATGCCCAGGACAGCTTTGAACATGGCCCAGCACAAATTTGTAAACCTTAAAACATTATAAGATTTTAAAATAATTTATTTTAAAAATTATTTAAAATTATCATTAAAGCTATCATTAATGTTAGTATATTTTATGTGTGGCCCAAGACAATCATTCTTCTTCCAATGTGGTCCAGGGAAGACAAAAGATTGGATACCCATGATCTAGTCAGTCCTCATTGAAGACTTTTTTTTCTGCTACAGAAATATTCATGCTTTCAACATATAATAGGCCTGACTGTGTTGGTTCCCAGCATACAAGGAACAATGTGGACAGAACTGCCTGACACATACATCAGCCCACAGAGTTCTTAGAACTGGTTCAGCTCAGCTGTTGAACTATGCCTGGTCAGCTATTTATTGTTGTGCCCTCACTTGACAAGACAGGCACAAATGCAATAATTTAAACAGTTCTGAGTTTTAATTATCTGAAGGTCAAAAGCACTGTACTTAAAAATTTGGTAGAAATAAAAAATTAATTTGAAGTACTTACTTGCTGCATCTATAAATTTGGAATAGGTATCATATGTGATGACAGGGATGGGTAAGTCTCTGAAATACAGTTTAAGGGCTCCAGTGATGATGTTTATGTCTGGATAGACATTGGCAGATATATCGGCCTTTTCACCATCTGAAAAACAATCAGTGATCCAAGTCCTAATTAGGACCTTATTTCACCAAGGCATGTACAGAAAGGAAAAAAAAAAAAAATCCAGCGATGAATGCTCCCTGACAAGTCTCAGCTAACTCTTTTGGCTTCTAGTAACACTGAAGTGTAGGAGGCAACAGAAAGGAGTTTGGTGAGAGGGAGGTAGGGTCTGAGGGTTTGTGCAGGCAAACGGGTGATAAAACAAACTTCAAACAGTGATTTGGGTCCCAGCCCCTGGTAATTTGCTAAATAGAAATTTAGCACAATAATTTGTATTATGGACACTAAGGTTCATAATAAAATGACAATCTAATCTGAAACAAGAGAACATCAAGAAGCTCTAATACATCTCCACCAGTGTTTTTTAGACTTGGATTTGGAAGTCACGTTCACAAAATGATTGTTGAATAGTTTCAGTTCTTATTGTTTCTTTCAGGCTCACTGAAGGGTTTGTTTGTTTGTTTTTAACTTGATCCTTCCTCCCTGATCCCCTAGGACTTTAATCTGGGAAACTTTACCCTTTCCTCTTGGATATGTGATGTTATATTTCTTATCATTCTTTTTTGTGTGTGTGAGACAGAATCTCACTCTGTAGCCCAGGCTGGAGTGCAGTGGTGCAATCTTGGTTCACTGCAACCTCCACCTCCTGGGTTCAAGCAATTCTCGTGCCTCAGCCTCCTGAGTAGCTGGGATTCCAGGGACGTGCCACCATGCCTGGCTAATTTTTGTATTTTTAGTAGAGAGGGGGTTTCACTATGTTGGCCAGGCTGGTCTCGAACTCCTACCTCAAGTGATCCACCTGTCTCAGCCTCCCAAAATGCTCGGATTACAGGTGTGAGCCACCACGCCTGGCCTATTTTGACAGTTATTTCACTTCAGCACTTTAAATATATTATACTAATGTATCTGGTATTTATTGTTGGTCCAGAATTATTTCTTTGTAGGCAGTACAAAGGATCAGCACAGAAGTTTTGACCTGCTCCGTTTCCAACCCCCAAAGTGCTGGGATTCTAGGCCTAGCCACCGTGCCTGGCCTATATTTCTTACCATTTCTAACAATAGTTCTCAAGACATTTTTTGACTTTTAGTTTTACCGTTAGGAAATACCACTCCAATTTGTCACAGACTATGACATTTTTTAGATAAAAATGTTTTAATCATATAGGAATTCTTAATATCTTTTGCATAAAGAATTAAAAGAATAAATGCCTCAGCAAATTTGGTTCTGAAGATGAAAAAAGCTGCCGATGTATAGAAAACAGTAAAAGCATAGAAGATATGCCATGTTGATTTCATTATTTACATATTTAGCAAACAGTTATTGGGAATCTGTCATGTGCCAAGCACCATTAAGCCCTGATGAACCATGGAAAAGAGATACTCTCTGCCAACCAACAGTTCTAGTTAGACTGACTGACAGACATGCAACTCAACAATGACAAGGAAATAGGAAGATTGCTATGCTGAAGAAGTGTGGAGAATGTGGGGGGATGTGGAAAAAGGAAGTGGAGCTCTGAGGTTAGCTTGGGGTAGTCAGCGAGGCTTCCTCAAGGAGGAAAGGCTTGAGCTGACCCCTGATTACAGGTGTTTGCCAGGCAGAGAGGTGAATACATTTCAGATAGACAGGACAATGTGAGCCAAGGCACTTCTTCATGGCAACAAATAGGGTGTATTTCAGGATTGCTGGAGTGTGCAGTACAGTAGGGAGGAGGAACTGGAGAGAAGTCTGAAGAGAGAGGGAGGGCTACCTCACTGATTTCACATACCACACTACAAAGTAGAGGCTCTATCCAGTAGGCTCTATCCAGTAGGGCTTCCATGTCTTGACTGGCTGTACCAGAATTATTTGGATTGCTTATTAAAAATACAGATTCTTGGGCTTATCCAGCTTTCTGAATGAGTCTTCAAGTTGGGTCCCAGTGACCCATATTTTTAACAGGATCCCCAGGATGGCCATGATATCTGACTTAAGAGATAGTATGTTCTAGAGAATATACACCACAGTTATAAAGAACAAAAGCAGTTCCCTCCTACATGTCCACTGCCTTCCCCTACATTAGTGCTGGGGGTGCCCTCCCATCCCTATGATCCCTTCTTTGGAGCTTTGAGAGAATGAGAAGAATGGGATTCTGAGACAGGGGATGCAGATGGGTACTCCAATGCCATGTGGATTGTCTGCCCATTGACAGTGATCACTTATCAATGGCTGTGAAGGTAACACTTCACCCAGTGAGGCAGAAACATGAGATTTGTAAGCCATTATTCCTCCGTTTCTTGAAGAACAACTCTTAGTAGTTCTGAAACCCCATTTCTACTATGATTAAAACCTACTTCCAATCGAGAAGGGTGTTAGGATGTCAGATGGCATTCAAGAAAGTACAAGCTTACCTCTGTCAAATGCCATTTTGACATCTTCAATGTGTTCAGTGAACCCAGAGACTCTGTAAAGGCCTTCCGATTTTAATCCTGTTAGAGAGAGAGAGAGAGACTGACTTTAGCTTCTTGAAACATCTAAAAAAAAAAAAAAGACTAATTTCACGTCTATACTACATGCTATCAGAAAATGAGCAAACATAGACAGTGATTTTATTTATCACACACTGTTGCATCAGAACTTGGACTTGTCTGTCTCAATTTCCCAGGCAAGTCTGTTCTCATTTGCCCATGTAGCAGTGGAGATCTCAATGGAAATCCAGTCTTCATCCTTCCCTGCTTTGCAAAGAGAACTGATATTTAAGATTCCCATGGACCGTTCCCTTACTTCCTTTCCTGTGTTCATGAGCTTGATGGACATGAATTTCGTCATCGTAGGAAGCAACCTGGCTTTCTTCCTAGCATCATCTTTATTAATTTTTGTGGGTACACAGTAGGTGTATATATTTATGGGGTATATGAGATATTTTGATACAGGCATAAGATGTGTAATAATCACAGCAGCGCAAATGGGGTACCTAGCATCATCTTAATCCATGTGCTATATTGTATGTAGCACTGTACTAGATACACACATGTATGTATGTGGGTATCTAATCTGTATTACTCTGATTGTATTGGAAAAAATTAGACTATTACAGCCTTTCATGTTTACTTGTAAATAAGACTATGTTAACTGTTTAATTAAAAACGGTTACTTGTTATACTTTTAGACAACTGATTATACAAACAGATGCAGGAAAATAAAGTTTTGGTTATTGCTTCTGGAAATTGGATCACTGCAAATTTAGGCTAAGAAAAAAAGACATGGTTTCTGTCCCTGGAGCTTATTGATTTGTTAAGATATGTCCTAAAAACGAGTCAGTTCCCAAAAGTATGAGCAGGGATAAAGGACTGGGTTTCAGACTTTGTATGTCACAAACTAGCTGCTATCAAAACTATAGCTACAGTAAAAATGAGCAAACAAATAGCCTCTGCTGCTGCCGCCATATATTCTGCCAAACTCTTGATAACTCACATATTCTCCTGTTTTTTCATTTGGAAAACATTTATGGAGTATGTATTATCTGCCATATATAAGGGTCTTCATTAGGTATGCATCAGAGACAACAAATACGTGGCGTAAATCACGAATACTTCCCCTCATCCCTCCTGTGACCATGACAGATACTCTTAGTTGATCTCAGCCCTTTTTCCCACTGAGCCCTATTTAGCCTCAGAATTCATCTCAGTTCCAATTGTTCAGGTGACCACTACTGATCAACTGGAGTTGCCACACAAGACGAAACCTGTGGGTCATCCTGTTCTAAGATGTTGGTGCATATGAGCACATCTCATTCCAGTTGGAACATGCACTGCCACAGAGGCACAGACCCAGTGGATTATGGGAGCCCCTAGCAGTGAACAATGAACCCTGCCTGTTGATGGATGAATCAAAGTTCTGGCCTCTGGTGAGGCTCTCTTTCTGGCTCATAGATGGCCACCTTCTCTCACACGTCCTTTCCTTGGTATATGTGCATGGAGAGTGAGAGAGCGAGCTTGCTCTTTGGTGTCTCTTCTCATAAGGATATTAGTCATAATGTTTAGGGTCCCTCCCTCAGGACCTCATTTAGCCTTAATTATTTCTTTGGAGACCTCCGTCTCCAAAGACAATCACACTGGAGATTAGGGCTTCAATATGTAAATTTGGTGGGGCAGGGGACACAAACATTCAGCCATAAGATTCACTGAGTCACTTTCAAAGAAATCCAGGTTTTCAAGGAACGTAGAAAAATCCATGCTTTTGTTCTCACTCATAAGTGGGAGTTGAACAGTGAGAACACATGGACACAGGGAGGGGACCACCACACACCGGGGCCTGTTGGAGGGTGGGGGTCAAGGGGAAGGAGAGCATTAGGACAAATACCTAATGCATACAGGGCCTAAGACTTAGATGACAGGTTGATAGGTGCAGCAAATCACCATGGCACATGTATACCTATTTAACAAACCTCCACATTCTGCACATGTATCCCGTCACTTTTAAAAAAAAAAATCTATGCCTTATATAATATGCCAAGTTGTATGGTTTGGATTATAATTAAATGGGGGTAATTTTCCTGACTTTAGCCCATGCTTCACTGAGCAAAGCGTCACCCTGTATTACATCGAGATGCTTTTTTAAGAAGCTAATCTTTGAAGGAAATGATAAAGGATGGTTAGAGTTTGCCAGAGTAGCAGAAGTTGCCAGCTATCCTTCCAATATTTGTTCTCCCATTCTTCTGTTGTAATGGAACCTTTGATTTTTAGAACAATATCCATTGCAGTGGCCATTAAACTCTGGCCCATGTGAGAGCAGAAGTGACATTTACAGCTTCTGTGGCCTTGAAGGAATGGAGCATGCTCTTTTCCACTTCCTGTTAAGTGAAATGCAGATGAGATGGTGGTGGCCAACTGTGATTGTGCACGCAGGATAGCACTCAAGCAGGACAGAGCAACAAGCTGCAGTGCCTGGGTTCCTGCCACGGTGGAACAGACTATTCCTGGACTGCTCCTGGGTACCTGGACTATTACTGGGCAAAGAAATAGATTTCTATCTTGTCAAAGGCACTGTTACTCAGGGTCTCTGTGACAGCACTGAGATGTACAGGCTACATAATATAGTTAGACAGATTTGGAGGTGGAGGTATGGGTGTGGGTCATTCCAAGAAAAGGCAAAATTAACATAGATTGAGTTCAGTAGATTGGACATTGTACTCGGTCCATTTATGTATCAAGTCACTTTAATCCTCACCAACCACCTTATGAGGTACAGTTGATTCCATTCATATTATAGATGAAGAAACAGATATGCAAATGTAGTAAGCAACTTGCCCAAGGTCATACTACAGCCAGTAAGAGACAGGGCTGATAATTTAACTTCAAATCCTTGATCTTTTCACTCTGCCACATCACGCAGAGACAAATGAACATAAAAGAACATTTGGAGAACAATAAGGATTTTTTATGGATGGAAGACAGGGAAAAGTGTTGGTAGTGGTGGCCCCACAGCTGGGAATGCGGGTGTCATACAAATTTCTCCCGGTGCATTCTCTGGTTCTGCTTGCATGCTTAGGCCCCTAATACCTGTCTGGGGCTCTAATCCCTGTGCTGTGACTCTTTTGGCATCAATTCCTAATTTGTGCTACTCTATCTCGCTCTTGTACTAGGCAAACTTAGTGCAGTGCCCCCTATTCTTAAATGTTAGACATGTCAGTAGTTATCATGCCTGAATTATCAGTTGTCTTTGGTAAGGATCACAATGGGAGGACCCCAGCTTCTTCAGAAAAGCCCTGACTGCAGGCTCTGGAGAGGCTGATAATCTGACCCCAAACTGCAGGGCCCAGGGTCACTTGTCCCAACCACTCATCCAGAGGCAGGGAATCCCTCCTTTCCTCTTACCCAGTTTAGCCACTGGATTAATATGTTCACCAGATCCCAAAGCACTCATTAAGCTCTGTCAGCCACAGTGGTGAAAAGATAGAAGGCATTTCTTACACTCTGGGATTAAATTAGCAAGTTCTCAGGGAACAGGATAGCTATGGTTTTCCCCCTCCATAGAAAAGGGAATAATTTCCTCTCTCTAAAAGGGTTGGGATAATAAGCTATGACATCCTCTTTAGTTGTGCTTTGGAAAAATGGGGTAGTTGACCAATGAATATATATGTATAAAATATATTAAGCCAATTAGGACACAATAATGGATAGCCAGTATAACAGAATATGATACATGGCAAAAGTGGTTTAAGCCTTATAGAAAGGCTCTATACATGGCCAAATCACCCAAATTATATCCGGCAACTTCAGTGAACATTTTGATACTGAACAGTGGCCAAAGAAAGCACAAATAAAGGAAAAGTGACTCATGTACAACATAAAGAACATTTTTTGGAATGTTTCTATCTTCCTTGTTTCCTTTATTTTTCATTGCATAGATCTTTTAAATCTTTGAACTCTCCTCTTCGAAATAAACGATGAATATTAGGAGCACATTTTTATGTGGTAGGAGATGTATGTGTTACTCAACAATTTCTTATTTAACAGAAGCACCTTTTTTTTCAAAGCTCCAATTCAAGCCTCACCTCTGCCATAACCCTTCTCACCGTCCTTAAATAGGATTAAAACATTTTGCTTTGTGACTCCATGGTACCCTGAACACGGCCATCCACAATGTTTATTTATTTGCTCCCCTGATTGCCCACTCTAAAGTATGAATTTCTTCCATGCCTCAGCCTCTCGAGTAGCTGGAACTACAGGTGTGCACCACCACACCTGGCTAATTTTTTAAAAGAATTTTGTAGGATGGGGTCTCACTATGTTGCCCATGCTGGTCTTGAACTCCTGGGCTCAGGTGATTGTCTGGCCTCAGCTTCCAAAAAGTGTTGGGATTACAGGCGTTAGCCACTGCACCCAGCTGAAGTATGAATTTCTTGAAGGTGAGAATGGTGACCTTTATTACCTCAATGCCTACCATATAATAAATGTTCAGTAAACATTTTTTGAATGCATATATGCATGGTTTATATATACAATGGAAATTGATATAGCTGGTTGGATTGAGTCTACCTGTGAGAGAGAGAGAGTGTGTGTGTGCGCACACATGCGTAGGTCATTTTCCCAACAAGAGTAGTAGAGCAACTCTGTTTCCTTGACAACAGTAAAAACAAACAATAAAAATAAAATCACTATACTACTATAATAGGAAGTATTTTCCAAACCTCTTGCTTCAATTTCCCGAATGCATATGTCTACCACCATGGGTCTCTGAGTGTTGTGAGCCTTCACAAGTGTTGTGAGGTCACAACAGTACACTTTCTTGATCCTCTTGAGATCAGGTTGGCAGTCATTGGGAACGTGCTTGGAACACTGTTTGTGTACGTTCAATCCACAGTCTGTAAACAAAGAAGCCACATTAGCCTAGCCCAGCCCTTTTGTCAAAGCACAACACAAATTATATGTTGCCAAAAATAAAAATATCACCACCCAAGGGTTTGACATATTTCTCTGGAACATCTATCCCGTTTCTAGGACTCTCTACAGGATAAATACAAGTATCATCTCTAATCACTAAACCCTTATATGATTCCATTTTTCTCGTTAAGCCTTCTCTGTCGCTGGACCTTAAGAACAGAACATCTGAGACAGCTTAGGTAATTGATCAGGTTTTTTTGTATATGTTTTCCTGTTTCAGGCTGGAACCCTTTGGGTCCACAAGTAGGTTTTCGGGTTTGGATTCCCAGACAGTCCTGGCTTATAAAGGGCACCTAGGGTTTGTTCCAGAC
The DNA here is from genome assembly GCF_000001405.40 of Homo sapiens. Taxonomy (NCBI): domain Eukaryota; kingdom Metazoa; phylum Chordata; class Mammalia; order Primates; family Hominidae; genus Homo; species Homo sapiens. The sequence goes on along the minus strand of NC_000007.14, from coordinate 29,499,476 downwards.
TCTTTCCTTTAAGCTCTTGATGCTCCTTGTGTGGGAGGCAGAGTTACTCTTTCTGCAGGACTCTCTAATCTTTGCTTTGAGAAGCCCACGACCATTGGTATCCTCTTCCCCTTTCCTGGAAGGTTGCCCCATAGTTTCCAATCCCTTCCTCCTTGGGCAGTTTGGGTAGGCCGCTTTCCTTTCTACATGCCTTATTTTGACACCTGTGAGTGGAAATAATGCCTAACTATATACACCAGTAGGAGTACTTGAGAGTTTATAACAATACCATGTAATGTAATGTGATGATTATTTATAAAGTTCATATGAAAATCCAAAGCTGAAAAGGGTGCTTTTAAAGTTCAATGAAAACACGAAGAGCCTGTTAGCAGTCAATATCCACTGACGGAATTTCTCTGATGATAAAAAGGCACAGTTGGCCGGGCGTGGTGGCTCACGCCTGTAATCCCAGCACTTTGGGAGGCCGAGGCAGGTGGGCGGATTGCCTGAGGCCAGGAGTTTGAGACCAGTCAACATGGTGAAACCCTGTCTCTACTAAAAATACAAAATTAGCTGGGCATGGTGGTGGACCCCTGTAATCCCAGCTACTCAGGAGGCTGAGGCAGGAGAATCACTTGAACCCAGGAGGCAGAGGTTGCAGTAAGCTGAGATTGCGCCACCGCACTCCAGCCTGGTGACAGAGGGAGACTCTGTCTCCAAAAAAAAAAAAAAAAAAAAAGGCAGCATAGTCTACATTCTGCTACATTCTGAAAGGGAAAAATTCAATGCTGAAGTTGTTCAAAGTTGATGTGCTCTCTACTCAAAGTATCTTCTAATACTGTTTTCCTAGGCACAAAGAATAACACACACGTGCACACATGATAAGGAATATTGTAGTCATCTGCTTTATAAAATAGCACTTAAGCACACCAAGAACTTGAGAGGATCTAAACTTTTGTAAAATCAGTGGTAATTTCTAAGTGATTTTCATGTAATTTTTATTGGCTGAGTTCTCTGTCTACCTCCTTTCAAAATAAAAAAAACAAAAACAGTTCTAATTAATCTTTATCAACATGAGAAATTCAACAAAGCTCAAGTGACTTCAATAATATTTTGATACATCTATCTAGTGAATGTAAATTTTGGCTAACTGCGCTAAATAGAGTTGGCTGGGTTTCCTGTTGAATCCTCTTCTATAGAAGATCATAATAGCACCTACCTCCTGGCATTAGCCATGAGGCTCAAATAAAAGTTAATAAAGTGTTTAGCATAGTGTCTGAAATATAGTTAAGTATTGTATACATGTTAGGTCAAATAAAATAAATAGCAAATATGGTGATAAAAAAATGTAAGTATATCTGCCCAGCAATTCTGAAGTGATTTCATTAGGAATTCTTAGTATGTCTTACAAACTTCATTTAAATTTTTTTGTTAAATTCTGATAAATTTATCATTTTAACCATTTTTAAGTGTATGGTTTGGTGGCATTAAGTACATTCACACTGTTATGCAACCACTACCACCGGCCATCTCCAGAACTTTTTTCATCTTCCAAAGCTGAAACTATACCCATTAAACAATATAACTCCCCATCTACCCATCCCCTGTAACTACCATTCAACTTTCTACCTCTTGGAATTGCTGCCCTAGGTACCACATATAATAGGAATCATCCATGTTCATTTAAGACCTAAAGCAACAATGTGTTTATGTAGAGTTTAATACTGATATTTTATTAAAATTAAGATGTTCTATAACAAATGTAAAAATGCTCCATTTTTTACAAAGCAGTAGAAATCCATATTCTACAAATAAAGTCCAGTGCATTCTAAAAATACTTAAAAGATGTAATATATGGAAAGCTGAGAGGCAATGATGGTTCTTCCTAACCTTTCATGATCAGTTTTTAGCCTCCCTGCTGCTAAGAGGAAATATAAGGCCAAAAAGTAGCCATTGGAAAATACTAACAATATGGCCTCAGAAAATGTCTTATTTAAAAAAAAAAACAAAACCAGAAAAAAACCCCACAAAAACGCTTTTATCCCAGAGAAACTTGAAAAGTTGCTGTTCACAGCTAATATGAAGCCCAGAGTTTTGTTCTCATAATATTGACTTTGGACCAATTTCTTGCTGAAACTGGTTAATACCAGCAATTAGGGATATTTTTGATAGGTACAATAGGGACAGGCCAAATTAATGACCACTGAGTAATTCAGATATTCTACCCCTTTGCTCAGTGGCTGAGCTGGGAGATACGTTGTGGCTCCTGGCAAGTCAGTCTTTAGTGTTAAACAGAGTTTCTGAATATTTATGGAGAAGCTGCTTCTGAGCTATGTTGACCACCCCTTAAACATAGACCTGCAATGGGGGAGGTGGAACTACTTGAACCATCCAGGTATCAACACCGGTGATTGGTGTATTTACACAATGGAAGCTAGAAGCCTCTTCCAGGCAGAGAGGAGGACTTAGGGTTTACGGGATGCTGTGAGCCAAAATGGGAAAGATCACCTTAATTAGTGTCATTACCTTATTGTATTCTAAATGCTCCTGAGATTTTTAAAAATCATATCCTAGCAAGGAAGAAGTCAGTCAGGGTGTTGGTAGAAACCTGATCAATATCAGAGGAGGCTGGTCTTGCTCCCAGCCACAAGTGTTTGCCAGAAAAACCATGGCAACATGAATTAGGAAACCCAGTTACACATTAATTTGTATCATTTATCATTGTGTTAGATGTACCTTAATAAGATGTATGCTGTTAGCAATAGGTGTATACCTCCAATTCCAGATGGAAAATCACCCAGGCTTTCAAACTACTTTGAAAATATGTGATATCAAATCAAGGTGCATGGTTTCACTGCTAATCTGATGACAATGAGATACTGAGCATGAACTCTGGAATCTGGCTCCCATTGAATCAATATTCTATTCCTTACTGCGTAGCCAAGGGCAAATAACAAGCCTCTGTGTCTTTTTTTTTTTTTAATGGAGGATAATTGCATCTCCCCCAAGGTCTGTTGGTGAGGCTAATGACATGATAAATAGAGATTAACTGGTGCCTGGTATGTGGTAAATATTCACCAGCACTATTACTATTTTTATGTCTTACCTTTTGTAGCAAGATGGGGTAGGACAAAGTATGGCTTTTCTAGCTATGCAGTTCCATTGGAATTGATTTTTTTTTTCTTTTACGGACTACTGCCTATTGTAAGAGGCAGGTAGGTGTTTAAGGAAATGTACTTTTTGTTTTTTTTTTTCTTTTCTTGCATAAACATGATATATTCTTTTTCATTCCTGCAAACACTTGAAATAGTTTCCCCATTAAGCACAGACAGGCCTTGAACCCTGCAGAAGGCTAGACTTTTGAGCTAATCTGAGCACATTTCCCAGCTCTGGAGAGACATCCTCCAGCTCAGCACAGTGGCATTTCATATAATTGGAAAAGAAGAAAGTTCTGTGTCTACCTGAGCACCGGACCCCTTGGGCGATGAGCCCCCACATGAAATTGGCACAATATTCACACCAGTGTGGGCCTCGGAACGTGTGGACCTGTGATCCAAAAAGAAGAAAAATGTCAGAAAGCTCAGAGTCATTTAAAGGCAGGTAGCCTCAGACATGTCAATGAAGATCAGCAGGAGCGATCCCCCACTGGGCTTTTCCTTCCAGTAAAGCAGTTGCAAACAGATCCTGAGAAAACAGAGATGTGCTTTGATCTTTGAAAATCCTTCATCGATCCACCATGCCCCAGGACAGAGTCAGAAAGGAACGTGGAGAAACAGATTATAGGCCATGCCATCAGCTAAGGAGTAAGACTGTGACCACCCACAACAAGGCACTGTGTGGACAAACCCAAGATAGCCCAAGCTGGTCGCTATAACCTGCATTTAGCTCAGCAAGTTCTGGAAGGCAGAACTCAATTACTGTGTCCTTTTGACTGAAGTTTTCCCATCTCTACACTATCCAGGCAGGTATAAATAAGACATGATTATGGGATAATTAAAAGGTTCCAAGTCTTTGAGCTACTTCCAAAAAAGGCATTTTAAAAAGTAAAGGAGTTGGCTAAACATGGAGGCAACCAATAAGGCCTGTGGAATTGCTTTCCCCAGAGATAGTTTCCATATTCAGTAGGACTTGGTGTGGCCTTCAGGTAAGTAAGCTGAAAATCTTTCCTGGTTGACCAAAGTGCTGGTCTCATTGATTGATGCTCCCAGCCAGTTGTTAAATATTCTGAATATCACAAAGTAAGGATGGTCTTATCTCTGATTATTTTGAGGCATAGGTCCTCCTGTATTAAATTATGATTTAAAATGAAAACAAAACAAAGCAAAAATACTGGCATCAAAGAGCTTTAAGAAGGAAATGTGGCCATGGTCAATCTAAAATGACCATAGGCAGTCTATCGGGGCCATACAAATGTGCACAAAAATGTCCCGAATTTTTACAAAGTTAAAATGTTATAAAGCATTATAGAAGGCCTTTCAAAGTCATAAACCTCTATTAACAAAAGAAATGTAGACAATTTTTTTTTTTTTTTTTTTTTTTTTTTTTTTACAAACTGCTTTTATTTAACAAAAAAGCAGGATGATGAGTGTGGTCACAATTTGGAAAGGTGTTCATCCGAGTTCTGCTTAAGAAAAAAAGAGCCTCAGTTTGAGTTCTTTATTCATACATGTTAGTAATTGGGTGTACATAAAGAGGCAAACAAAATGGATCTGGATCTCTTCTAAGGAAACCAATGAGTAAAAGCAGAGAAAGATGATAAGCTAGTTAATAAATAAAAAAGAGCAACTTATAACTCTGTAATAAAGCGAAGTTATAGTAGTCTTTCTGGTATTTCAGTTTATCATATGCAAACTGCCTATTATATAGTTCCTGCTTTGAAAATGATGCCAAAAATTTCTCAACATTTTTCTAGGGAATGACCCTAAGAAATGACAAAGCATTTTTTAACAGGAATGCAGAGAATTCATCCCAGAAGGACTTACAGGGCCAAATGTCATAATTCACTTAGAGGCCTACCAAGATTGAATGCAGTACTAAAAGAGTTCCTCAGTAAAGTATCCTATCTAAAGTTGGACATTTTCTAAATTCAGCAATCATACATTTCTTAATATTTTACTAGAAATGCTCTTAATTATGGCAGCAAAGTCAATTGTTAATCTGCTGTGAAGATCAATTAAATATAATAAAATAATATGTAAAATGCAACTCCAGAAAAAAAAAAGTATAAAAAGGGCTACAGAAGAAAAAAAGATGAGGCTGCTACTAGAGAGACCAAGTGGGGCCCAACCTTAACCAGAATGGTCAGGAAAGCCTCTTTTGGAAGGTGACCAGATGTAAAAGAAGAGCCAGTTCTCTTCCACAGGGAAAGAGAAAGGGACAGAGATCATTCCCAGCAGAAGGAATATATGGAGGCCTTGCGGGAGCAAAAGAACTTGGTGTGGTGAAGGAACTAGATGGCCAGGGTGGCCAGAACACCAAAAGTTGCGGGGAGAGGAATTGGAGTGAAGCTGAAGGTAGGATAGGAAAAGTTACACAGGGCCTTAAAGGCTTTATTCATGAGTGTGGATTTTGTTTCAATCTAAGTACAGTAGGAAGTTCTTGGAGGACTTCACATAGATTTTTTTAAAAGATTATTCTGACAACTGTGTTGAAAATGAATGAGAGGGTGTTAATAGTGGAATAGATATGAAAACTATGTTGTAGTCTAGTTGAACAATGACAGAGCCTAACACCTGGATGCTGGCAGTGGAGATGGAAAGTGGAAGAATTTGAGGTATATTTTGAAGACAGAATTTATAGGACCTGACAGTAGAAGTGTGGGCCTTTGAGGGAGACAGGAGTCAAGAATGACTCTGAGATTCTAGCTTAGGAACTAGGTAAATGATGATACCATTTGCTGAGATGGGAAAGACACTCTTCTGGGGAGAAAGTGAAGAATTCCATTTTAGATGGGTTAGGGTTAAATGCTGCTATGATATCCAAGTGTTAGTGTCAAGCAGGAACTCATAGTTTGAGAGGTCAGAGGAGGAGCAAAGACCAGAGGTATAAATTTCACCATCTATGATGAATAGATGATATTTAAAATTGTGTGAATGAACAAAAAGTATGGTCATGCATCACTTAATGATGGAGCTACATTCTGAGAAAAGCATCCTTGGGTGATTTCATCATTGAGGGGGATCATCATAGAGCGTACTTGCACAAACCTAGATGGTAGGGCCTACTACACATCTAGGGTATATGGTATAGCCTATTGCTCCTAGGCTACAGACCTCTACAGCATGTCACTTTACTAAATACTGTAGGCAACTGTAACATAACAGTAAGTATTTATGTACCTGAACATATCTAAACATAGAAAAGGTACAGTAAAAATACAGTATAAAGGATAAAAAATGGTACACTTACATAGGGAAGCTCCATTATAATCTTATGGGTTCACCATGATATATGTGGTTCATTCTTGACCTAAATATTGTTATATAGCACATGATTATATTAAAGGTAGGGAGCAGAAAACAAAAGAGAGCTCATCCCTGAGCACTCAGTGTTCAAACATTTAGAGAAAACCAACAAAGTGTTCCAGAAGCCAAGAGGTGAAGAATGTTTTAGGGAATGAATGGTCAATTATGTTGAATGCTGATAAGAGGTTCAATGAAATAAGTACTAAATATTGACTCAGATACATGGAAGTCATTAGCAACCTTAGCAACAGCAATCTCTTTGGATGGCTGAGGGTAGAAGTAAGACTCAACTGAACTGAAGAAGGTAAGGAAGTAGAGAAATATGTGGGTACCTCCTCTATCAGGAAGGCTGGCTATGATGTTCAACAGAGACAGAGGATAGCTCAAGGGAGATGTGGAGTCAAGGAAGGACTTTTTTAAAAGATGGGAAACACCAAGGCAAGTTGACTTGTTGATGAACTTGATACAATAGGTAAGAGACTGGAAATGCAGAAGAGAGAAAAGATAAGCAAAGGAGTGATGATCCTCAGAAGTTGAGAAATGATGGAGTTTAGGGTATCTGTGGAAGCAATATATATTTAAGGAGAAGAACAGTTGAGATCTTTCCAGAATTCGTAGTGAGACACAAAATATTCAGATTAAAAAAAAGCTAAATGAAACTCAAATCAGATAAATAAAAATAATCTGTATCTATGCCATTATACTGAAATTGCAGAATACCAAAAGACAAAGCAAAATCCTAAAACAACAACAACAACAAAAACCAAAACAGGTTATCTTTGAAAGGGGAGAAATAGGTAAAAATAGAGTTTTCTTCAGCAGGAAGACATGAATAGATTATTGAATAATTTCATCAAAGTGCTCTGACAAAAATACTGCCAACCTAACTTTTACACCCAGCTAATTATCATCTAAGAGTAAGGGTGAAATAAAGATATTTTCAGACAAATGTCAAGAGTTTCCAATCACAGATGATCACTTGAAGAAATACTAAAGGATATACTTCAGTGAGAAGCAAATTGAATCTAGGAGGAAGGATTTCCAGAAGCAGTGGTGAGCAAGAAAACTGGTAAGTGTGGGTCAATCTAATCATGCCCTATTTGCATACAACAATAACAAGATGACTAACTGTAGGGGACTTAAACATGGGGTAAAAAAATGACATGGAAGTTTGAAGGGGATGAAGAAGTCTAAAGTTCTCTTAATTTGGGAAATGTAAGAAGAGCTACTAATTAACTGAAGAATATTTGAAGTCAATTATGCATGTATTAAATTTTTGATAATTTAAAAAAGGGTGGGATGAAATCCATTAATCAAAAAGAATATATGGCTGGGTGTGGTAGCTCATGCCTGTAATCCCAGTGCTTTGGGAGGTCAAGGTAGGAGGATCACTTGAGGCCAGGTAGAGACCAGCCTGGGCAACATAGTGAGACTCCATCTCTAAAAAGAGTTTGAAATTTAGCTGGGCATAGTAGCACATGCCTGTAGTCCTAGCTACTCAGGAGACTGACATGGGAGGATGGCTTGAGCCCAGGTGTCCAGGGCTAAAATGAGCTATGATGGCGCCACTGTGCTCCAACCTGGACAACAGACTGAGATTGTCTCTCTCTCTCACACACACACAAATACATAAGGGAAAAAGAAATATAGGTTTAATTAAACCAATAAAAAGCAGGGAAGGAGAAAAAAGATGCAATAGAAAAGTACAGTGATTGTAGAAAAAATCCTTATACAACTCTAATCAGAATAAGTGGCTCTAATTCATCACAAAAAAAGATTTTTAGATAACATTTTAAAAATCCTTTCAAGAAACACAACTAAAACATAACATGAGAGAAATGTAAGAAAGAAAGCCATACCCAGCAAACTAGCCAATAGAAACCCAAAATAGAGCAAATATATATATTTGCATTATTAGTGATAGAGATAATAGAGATTTATTTTTACCAGAAGTATATAATTTTGAGCTTTTATATGACAATATGGTCTCAAAAATATAAAGCGAAATTGAAAGACTTACAAAGATAAATTGACAAATCCACAATCATAATGATTTTGACATCTTTCACAGAAACTAGTAGATCAAATAGCTAAAGTTGATCTATGAATACGAAAGGGATCTCATATCCAGCCATTCAAAGAACACACACACTTTTCAAAACCACTTGGAATATTCGTATCAATTGACCACAAATTAAGCTTCAACATATACAAAAAACTGATACCATACATACCATATTCTGAATATAATATAATAACATTTCAAATAGAGAGCCAAAGCCCAGTATGTTTGGTACAGTACATTTGGTACCAGTAGTATACACTGGAAAGACAAGAAACCAAATCACACATATATGGATACTTGGTATATCTCAGAAGTGGCATTACAAATTAATGGGGGAAGGATGTCAGACAGATGAATTATATCCTATTTTCATCTTATTTCCACCTTTCCAGCAACTCATTATTCACTCGTTTGTTTGATATTTACATGCTGATTGCCTGCTTTGAACTTGGCCCTGTACTAGTCCTTGGATATACAAAGTTGAAATAGATCAGAGGAATAAGAACTGCCTGCACTCAAGGATCTCATTATCTACAAGAATAAACAGGCAATTATGTGTCAGGTGATACAGCAGAACACGTAGGAGATCCTATGGTAGTATAATGGAGAGAATAATAAATTCTTCCTAGAAGTCTGCGGAAGGGGATATTGAACTGGGCTTTGAAGGATGGATAGGAATTCACCAGCCTGGGAAAGATTGAGCAGGTGGGGAAGTGATGGTGTTGACTGGAGAGCAGATGACTTGAGGAAGACATTTACAGAAGAGAAAACAGCATAACCAAAGGCCAATGAAGGTGGGCTTAGGTTTTGAAAGGCATTCTTTTCTGGCAAATGGTGTTTCAAAAAAAAAAAAAAAAGGAATGACATCACGTTGGTCTCTGAAACATCTTGAGTGGATGAAATAACCTCATCTTAAATATCCCTATATCTTGGGGTAAAAATGAAAATGCAATATTTAGAAATTAAGTGAGTGGCTACATGTTTACTACACGTGGACAGAATGCATATTGACAAAATATAAACTGGCCTATTGTTTCAGGAAAAACAGGATAGGCTAATCACAGATTTTCTAAAATTTCACTTTTTTTGCCAATATTTTTAAAAATAATTGAGCACATCAGGATTGCATTTTAATGCTTATTATCACTGTCCATATTTACCAACATCCTTTCCCAACAAGTATCCCTACTGCCTTTGATCTGTTCTGTCCAGCCAAATAAATGCATAGACGTCTCGAAGAGCAAGTAGCACCCAGTGTCCCCACACAGTCCCCAAAAAATAAAACAAAATGAGAATAGAGCAAGGATGTAAAGTGAAACATTATTTTAGGCCCATTGCCTACTTTCCTTTTTGGTGATGGGCCATTGTTTATTTTCACGACCGATATATTGTTCAATTTTCTTTTGGATCCACAAGGACAATCTCTAGACAGAAGGCTACGTGTAAATGCTGAGGGCATGCTCTGAGCCCATTTTATTTGGCTTCTACTTATTATGTCTACTCTTTCATTGAAATATACCGTATCTTAAAATTCACTGGTCGGCTTTTTCCATTTTCTGAAGTTCACTGATTTGCAAGAATATCTTTTTAGAGAAAGAACAGTTTGAAAACTTGAGGGCAGTAACTAAAATATTCTAGACAGGAAGAAAATACTCCAGACAGGAAGAATGTCTGTCCAAGACTATTACACTAGGCACGGTCTGCCTGGAATTCAAAAACCACACCAAACAAAAAAGATGATATTACACGAGATAAGGTATGTTTGACAAATGGCCCAGGAATGGCTACTTTGCAAAAACAAGAGCAAGAAGAGTCATCCAGAAAGATCTCAGGCATTTAGCAAGTATCTCTCAACACAGCTCTTTCTAAATGAACAGGATGTTATTTGTCTCATAGCTGCTGAATCTGGAAGGCAGTATTCTCTGGTGGTTTTATACCAGATATGTTTTGATGGGTCAATGTAGACACCACCCAGATGTATTAATATCAGCTCAGCCTGGGATCGAAACTGTAAGAAGGAAAAGTACCGTTTATGACATGCTGCAGTTGAGAATTTTTGCTTTTTCTTACCAGTATACATCATGATTTCTTAGCCTCGGCACTACTGATTAACATTTTGGGCTGGAAAATTCTTTGTTGTGGGGGTCTGCCTCGTACATTGTGGGATGTTTGGCAGCATCGCTGGCCTCCACCCACTAAATGCCAGTAGCACTCCCAGCTGGGACAAATCACAAATATCTGTAGGCATTGACAAATGTCCCCCAGGGGTCAGGGGGAGGTGGGGGGGTGAAGTTTCCTTTATTGAGAAGCAGTGGTATAGATGGAAACCTTATTGCCTCAATTTGTCATTTTATTATTCATATTAAAAATCAGAATTTTATTCTTTTGCTTTGAAAAGGAATCTTCGGGTCAGAGGCAGTTTGTTTGTTTGTTTGTTTGTTTAGCTACTTTATGTTCACAGAAGAGAGAGCTAAAGTCCCTTCCAGCTACATGTGGCTGGGTTCTGGAGGTCTAGTCTAGTGTTTGCCCAGGGTTAACTGAGAGGCTGGAGGGCAGGCAGCCTATCCTGCGTCACCCAGGTCAGCAGCACAGTCAAGGCTTCCAGATCTCTGCCAAGGACTTTTCCTATAATTTACTGTATTTCCCACAACCATGTGACATTCATCTCATATGAAAAATTAGGTTAAACTTTGAACTCTCCCCTTTTGCAAGACCAGATGAAGTCCTAACCTTGAAGTGACCCTTTTCAGATGTACGAAAACACAGCAGAGGTGAATCAATCTATGACAGACACTCTGAGTTCCCTCTGAAAGGCTGGCCAAGGAGATGGGGCAGGAGAGCTGAGTTTCTCAAACCGGGCACCACAGATCCCTGGACTTCTCATTAGCAGCTGCCCTAGTTTAAGATAGGATTGCATTTCTAAAATATTGATTGTCTCAAAGCTTTCTGGGAGTCTCCCCACTGCATAAAGTAAGATGTCCTCATGCTACTTAACTTTGATCAGGTTTATGAGCACATCGACACCCACATCCTTTTGACACTTCCCTGCTCAAAAACCTCGAGTGGCTCCCCATTGCCAGTAGTGAGGTTTCTCAGTCTCAGCACTACTGGCATTTAGGGCTGCACAACTCTTTGTTGTGGTGGCCTGTCCTGGACGTTTAGTAGCACACCTGGCCTCTACTGGATGCCTCTGGAGGAAGGAGAGGGAGAAGGAGAGACAGAGGAAGGAAGAGATAATGAAAGTAGGGAGGGAAAGGAAGGAGGGAGGGGGAGAGAAAGAGGGAGGGAGTTAGAAGGAGAAAAAGAAGAAAGGAGGGAGGGAAGGAGGAAGAGAGGGAGAAACTGGCTCCAGGTATACTCCCAGTTCCTGTTTCCACCCGTCCCTGAGTTCTGAGTATTCCCTGGAGGCTTTATGAGACCATCCTGTATAATAGTCTATTTAGCTTAAGATAGTTTCCAGGGGTTATATTACTTGAAAACAAGGACTTTGTAATCATTATAATGTGGAGCAGGCTGAATTAGGAGGTAGACAAAAACAACTCCTCTTCATAGCACTCTGGGAGCAGAAACAACATTTTTTTAATAAAGCCATATATTTCCAAACCTGTTTATTCCAGTCTCACTTTGAGTCCCTCATTTTATATTTAAGGTGATGAGTTTTGCCTTTGTTTTGAATTTTCTTTCCAGACTTGTTTCTGGCAAAACAGCCTTTTCTGATTATTAACTTAAAAAACAAAACAAAACAAACAAACAAAAAAAAAACAAAACAAGCCCCCAACCATTCTGAAGCCAATTTCTGCCTGTGTCAATTTGCAGGTGCAATATCCAGCCATCCCTGTTCTCCAGGCACAGAAGTAGCATCAGATGGACAGAAAAGGGTGATAGACACCTGGGAGCTTGATAAGAAGGCAAGGCAGACAAAATGCTGGGAATGACACGAAGGGCTGACACACTTTTATGAGGTCAAGGGGGAAGAGGAAGAGAGAGGGGCTTGCATGCGGGAAGCAAAAAGTCTTCTTCCAAAGCAAATGACCACTAGACTGAGAAGAATGCAAAAATGAATGAAAGGCCTAGAAATCATCAAGGAGCCTCAAATCCAAACTGGGAGGTGGTGGTGCTGCCACGTCCTGGACAGGTGTTTTAGTGGGAGCGTGGGGACATATTCTTAGCTTCTTGAACTTCTAGTCCTGGCCTCCAGGATAGCACGGGGTGGGGGTTGCATGTTGAGAAGGAGCATGCTACAAGAGCACACGCGATGGGGTGTGCCATGGGAACGGGGTGCTCCTGGTGCATCCTCAGTCTGTCAGCAGAGTGGGGGACATATAAGAGTAAGTAGGGCAACCATTTCCCCTACGTCCTGATGGGATGCTTTTGAAAGGCGCCACACAGGACAGCTGTAGTGAACTGGGACAGATCCCTCCTCCCCCTTACCCGCCCGCTCCCATGGATCAGACACGGGGTAGCACTGCACAGTCACCATCCCTGGCAAATGGGGATTGAGAGCTGGCCCGACACATCCTGATAGGGCCTCCATCTCTCCTGCGCCATCTGATGACCCTGGCAAGGGCCCACTCCGTGGAAGGACTCTAGTACAATGAACACAGGTGCATACAACACACAAGCCGCACAAGAGGGCAAACTGCAGGGCAGGGAGTGAGGAGAGGGCTCCGAAAGCTCAACTGTAGGGAGATACGGTCCCCTGCTTTCTGCCAACGTGAATGAACAGCTTGTGGGCCAGGACTTGTTCTAGACACTGGGGTTTCTGCAGTCAATAAAACAGACAAAAATCCCCACTCCACGAACCCTCTCTCCCCACCCCCTCCCATCGGGAGTTTCCCTCTGGTAAGGGGAAGGCAGGCAAACACACACATAAATATGTACGATGTCAGCTGGTGATCAGCGCTAGGGAGAAAAGGGAAGCTGGTACAGGCTGGGCAGGAGGTGGAAGGGGGGTGGAAAGGGAGTGGGGAACACACAGTGAGGGGGGTTAGAACTTTCTGGGCCTCTGCTCTCCATCCATATTCCATATCGGGAAGAAGGAAGGGTATCCTGGAAGTGCATGGGGGTGGGAGAGAATTTGGCAGGAAAGAGTGATGCAGATCCCCATGCAGACTGGAGAGGCTGGGAACAGAAGCAGCAGGCTGAGTGGGGGAAGGGCCTGCTCAGGAGACTCTGATGGCTCCAGGGCCCAGGAATCATCATCTTTCCACCATCTGGCCCACCCCAACTGATGATTTAAATGTGATGGACTCCTTTCTGTCCCCGAGGTCTCTCCCCTGCACCTTATTCGCTCCTGGCACATTTCTGACTCCAAGTTCTCACTCCTGTTGTTTGCATAGCCCGGGTGCTCTTTCTTTCCCCTGTATAACCATCCTTGATCTATTTATCTACTTGGGCTTCAGCCAACTTTCCACCTACCCACGAGGATTCTTGGTTAAGGCTGAGAGAACAACCACACTGTCTCTTACACAGGATCTCCAGCACTAGGGAGCCCCCTCCTCTTTGAATGCTCACAGAAGCTTGTCTTTTACTCCTGTTTTTTTATACATCACCACAGGGTCAGCTTCAGGGCGCATGTGACCTGCGCTGTTGCACAGAGCCCTGTCCTTAGCATGGTTTAATGTGCTGCTGTCATAGTTTTGAAAGTCTCAATTTTTTTTTTTAACAAGAACCTCATATTTTCATTTTATACTAGGTCTCACACATTACCTGCCCAGTCCTGCATAATCAATCACACATATTAGTGTGAACTAATAGCTACATCATAAATTTGATTATAAAGTATAACACATACTCTGAATATGAACCAGCTACAGCAAATAGACACTTTCAACTTGCTACTAAAAATGGAAGCTCACCAGCTATTTTAAAGTTTTTTTGGTGCCTCTTTTAATGAAGAAATGCTTGGTAAAGATAAGAGACAAAGAATAACTAAGTTTCACCACTTTCTATCAGAGCAATGAAGCACTGATAAGAAAAATCCATGAAAACTTTTCTTTACAGATGTTAAAATCAATAGCCATGGAAATCAGCAGTTATGCCTGGACCAAGGGGTTGACACTTAGGAGCAATTAGATTACATCTAAAGACCTTTTTTCATGGACATAAAAATCTTTAATGAAACTGTAAACTTTAACATTACTGACAATGCATCCTTTAGGGTGAGGCTAGAGATCCTTCCTATTGAGGGTTCCTGAAAATGTCAATTACAGTTCCTATAACGGGTTGCATCGTATATCCCCCGAAAGGTGTGCTTCACTCCTAACCCTGGGTCACTGTGCATATGACCTTATTTGGAAATAGGGTCTTTGAAGATATAATTAAGACGACATCATACTGGATTAGTATGGGCCCTAAATCCCATGGCTGGCAACCTTATAAGAAGATGACAGATATACAGAGACATACAGAGAAGGCTATATGAAGATGGAGGCAGAGATTGGAGTGGTGTGTCTACAAGACAAAGAACGCCAAGGACTGCCGCAACCACAAGAAGCTAGGAGAGAGCTGCAGGGCAGTTTCTCTTTCAGAGCCTCCAGAAGGACCCAACCCTGCCCATACCTTGATTTCAGACTTCCCAGCCTTCAAAACCACCAGCAAATAAATCTGTGTTGTTTTAAGCCACCAAGTTTGTGGTCATTTGTTATGACAGCTTTAATAGAAAGTACTTTTTAAAAGCTAGGAGAAAAATGTGTGAAATCTAAATCTAAATCATCTAAGTCATCCATTTACTTTTTAAACAAACGAGGGGTATAAACCAGTATTGGCTACAGGATGGAATACATTCAAGGAAATAACCATCAGGCTTTATTTCATTTTCTCTTACATATAATTAATGAGAGAAGAAGAAAGAGATGGTAGAAAAGAGACAAAAGAAAAAAAGCCATGAAGAAGAGAGGGTAGAAAATAAAAGACTGAAAAAGCTAGATACAAAAATACAAGTGAGAGGCACAAAAAGATAATAATAGATGCTAACATCAAATGAATACTTACTGGGTGCCAGAGACCACGATAAGTGACTCGCATGTATTCTTTAAACCTCCCAACACTCCCATTTTATAGATGAGGGAACTGAGGCAGAGAGAGCTGAGCTCTTTGGAAGAACATGGTGTGGCCAGGAGTACTATGCGGGCTAAAGCTACCTCAGCACTGTGCTAAGTGTGGGCAGGAAGCCGAGCAAGCCGACTGCCGGGCCTCTGGGGTTGGCTGGCCTGAAGATTTTCAGAGCTCAGCCATAAGGTATTATTAGGGTGGACCATTCAAAAGAGAGCTGTTCCAGTTACAGCAGAGTGCCTCCTTAAATCAACTAGATAAACAGAGATGCAGTTATAAAATGAGCTAAATAACCGAGTGGTTTTTCTCTTGACAAACAGTTTTCATTTTAGAGAGGAGTCTGTTAATTTCACCATTCCTCCAACAAATACGTCTCAGTGCCTAGTAGGTACAAGTAACCCTAGGAAATCCAGGCTTTAAATAAGCAAAGATTGCATCAGCACACAGTGTTGAAAAGTATACAATTATTGCATGCGATGAGGTGCCAACTGTCCTTTGGTTCCCAAAGCTTTTGTTCTCAGAGCCGAATTTTACTTTGCTTAGACAAGCTTTGTTTGAGAAGCAAAGGCAGTGACTGTGAGCTTTCTGAGAGAATAGAGCGCAAGGTCCCAACTTAGGGAATGTTGGGGGTTTCTATTCATTCCTCTTGACAAAGTTCCTGGGCAGAGCAAAGGAAAGGGCTTTTTACCTGGGGTAATAGTTCTGACTGGGGCAAACAATCTTGTTATGGGGTAAGAAGAGAAACTCTACTGGCAAATTTGAATGTCAGGTAGGAGGCCTCTAGAAAAAAGTGCAGGCCGGGCGCGGTGGCTCACGCCTGTAATCCTAGCACTTTGGGAGGCCGAGACGGGCGGATCACGAGGTCAGGAGATCGAGACCATCTTGGCTAACACGGTGAAACCCCGTTTCTACTAAAAATACAAAAAATTAGCCGGGTGTGTTGGCGGGCGCCTGTAGTCCCAGCTACTTGGGAGGCTGAGGCAGGAGAATGGCATGAACCCGGGAGGCGGAGCTTGCAGTGAGCCGAGATCGCGCCACTGCACTCCAACCTGGGAGACACAGCGAGACTCCGTCTCAAAAAAAAAAAAAAAAAAAAAAAAAAAAAAAAAAAAAAAAAAGAAAAAAGTGCAGACAGCACCTAGCAAAGCCTATTATCTGATGAGCATGAAAATGTGATTATTTGTTCTTTTTATTGACTGCTTACTATATGCTATGCACATAGTAGCCTCAAATATTAACCCGAATTACAAATCAAGAAGGCTTCTGAATAAAGCCCATTAGAAGTTAATGTAAATAAAAAGCTAATGTAAAATTAAGGTCTGAAACACAAATTCCAAGCAGATGGCAGGGACCTAGGATAAGAATTTTCTTCCTTTAGTTCAGTTCAGTGGCTTGTCCCTAAAAACCTGCCACTGTATTTATAGCCTGAGCCTGCTTTTTGAATGTTCTTCCAAAAACCATGTAAAGTTTCCACCTAGAGTTAGTTGCGGGTGAGGAGTGGGGAGATTGAGGGTGGAAAGGGCAAGGAAGGACAAAGGGGATGCCTCATCTGGCCCCTGCCACTCATTCTTAAGGACAGTGGCACCAACAGTACCATCGAATGCCACAATCAACTGTCACAGCTACTTGAGGTCTGCTAAGTTTCAAAGATGTCTGTTTAAAACATGGAAGAGAAACGCTCCTGTCTGGCTTGTGTACTCCTCTTGAACAGCTTCTCTATTTTGTGCCTTTTCTTCTTTCAAGAGCTGTTAACGGTGAATAGCTTTTGAGTTTTTAAACAAATATTAGAAGAGCTGCTGGTGTTTTCCAGTGATAAGTAATATATTGTGTTAGCAACAGTACTACTTAAAAAATAAGATTTAATTATCTTTTAGTTTTAAAATGTCTTAAGATTAATTTTCCATTCAGGGATCTAACATTAAAAGGACTGAAATTAGTTTTGAAAATATCAACTATGTATATTTGTGTGTTTTTAACACAAGCTCAGACACAGAATATACATGGACAAGCTACTCCATGCAAACATATTATAGTATGGCATAATTCCAATTTCTTAACGCCAAATGAATTGGAATTTTCAAGAGGAAGAAAAAGAATTTACAAGTCCATGAAGATCCATCCTCTCATCACTAGTAGTGTATCCACAGGATGCAAAAAAATCAAGGATTTCTGCTAAAAATCAAAAAAACACTTTCTTAAGGCCAAAAAAAATTAATGAGGATAAAAATGGAAAACAGAGTAAAAAAAAAAAAAAAAACGGGAGGCATTTAATGCTCCAAATTAGACCTGTCAATATTCAGTGACGGGAGAAATATGAAAAGCTTTGGCATAGAAGAGGACCTATGCAATGCAATTCTTCACCCTAATGCTAAGTATGTAGGGCTGTATAATTCCATTCCTCAGTTCAATTATAGCATGCAAATGCCTGAGCTGCTGGCTTTCTAAAAACAGATGCAGGGAAACAGACCAAACTAACACCAATGTATATTTAATAGATGAATATTTGTCCTCAGAAAGGATCGGAAAGCAACAGAATAAAATCAGTTTCCCTCGTCACCTCTGACAAAAGGGTTATCTAATTCCAAGAGTCACTTGGGTTACTGACCCTAAAGGAAACAAGAATTTTTTTAAAAGAAAGCAATTCACATTTTGCTTCTCCTGCCTATTGTTTTCTTCCTGGATCCTCCATCTCCACTCTCCCCAACTTTCAAACTGCCAGCTCACTTTTTGGGGTGAAGCCTCTAACTCTAACCTGTCTCTC
This sequence comes from Homo sapiens, assembly GCF_000001405.40. Taxonomy (NCBI): domain Eukaryota; kingdom Metazoa; phylum Chordata; class Mammalia; order Primates; family Hominidae; genus Homo; species Homo sapiens. Next base: position 29,481,154 of record NC_000007.14, on the reverse strand, counting down.
CTCCTCTCAACTGCAATTCAAGCTAGACAATTTGGCAGCAGCATCCCTTTCCAGCCCTTCTTGGAAAACACTTGGGCAAAGGAAACAGGCCATAATTTTCTGATGGCAGGCCCCTTCTACAAGTACCAGTCTGAAACGAACATAGCGGTCTTTCCAGTTTATAAATTCACTTGGGAAATTCCACTTAACCCCTCACCAGGTTTCCAGATCTTTTTGTTTGGTCTGGTGAGCAGGATAAAGGCTGTGACCAAGGGTGCCCCCCCTGCTAGCCGTACCCGGAGCACAAATAAAAGCTTCTGGATGGCATCTCCTGTCATTATTTGATTTCACAGGTGTCTACGCATAAAGGAAAGGAGTTAGCATCACTGAAAACAAAAGACAAAACACAAAACGAGAAACAGGCAACTGTTTTCCCTTGCTCGGAGACAGCAATATTCTTTACTGAGTGGAAAAGTACTGCTCAGCTCTCAGCAGAACATCTCTGACTGAGAGAGACTGGGCATGCTCTGTGTTTATTTCACTGGACATGGGAACGTGAAGTGGCAATGGGCCCAATTCTCCAAAACTAAGTCAACATCCAGATAAGGTGTTTCCAGGCATAAGCACTGAGCAGACTGCTTTCTGAGGTCTCCAGTTTGAACTGACAGAAAGCGCAGGTGTTAAGCTTATAGCTAAATGTGGAAAGCAAAGGAATTCATTGTCTCTTGACTTTACAGTCAGAAACCAGACGGAAACTATACACTGTACCTTTCCACCTGCCCTTTTGTAACAGAAGAAGGAATGCAGAGGCTTGCTTACCTTAAAGTTGTGTGTCTTCTCATAATTGAAGTGGTTGTCGTTGTGTGTGAGGGCAGCCCTTCGAACCAGGGAGGAGATCTGTGAACAGGCAAAGAGTTTGAGAGGGGGCCAAAGAAAGCCGCCTTTGACACCCACCTTCACCCCGAAGGCTACGGCCAGCAGTTCTTGGCGTTTCCTGCCCTGCTTAGACTTCCGAACCACAGCACACTTTTTCTCATTTTCCAGCCACAGTTCTTCAGAGAACATAGTGCCTGGATCCCAGCTCTTTCCAGTTTGCTCTGCAGAGCCCAGGAAGCCCTGTGCTGTCAGGATTTTCGAACCGCAGCTTATGTTAGGCGGCAGATTTGAGGCAGCTGGGTCCTGTCTGCAGCAGCCTCCGGCATGTGACCTGAAAGGCCCAGTTTGAGTGATGGAGGGGGCCCGGCTTCTGAATAAGGATGGGCCTGTTTTGTGCTATTTCTTAAGGCCGACGTGCGCCTGGAACAATAGCAAACATTCATGTGCACAGCAACCCCCAGAAGCGGTATCCAGTCAGCCACTGAGGATTCAGGGAGGCAGGGGCCGGCAGCCTGCTTTCTCCTGCCGCAGCACATTGCAAAGGAGAGGTCTCTCCTCCTTATTAGCACATTTCACACTCAAACACACCAGCGCACACACCCCCCAGCCAGCTCTGACGTTCAAAGTCTGAGGCTGCATCCAATTAATCTGGGGCTCTGAACCCCATCCTGGGCTGAGCTCCAACAGATTAAACCTTTAAACCCTGATGACTGTTTAATCTTATAGGGGTAAAGCCTATGTCTCTTTATTAAAAATCTGCCTTAGCACTTGAAAGCTTAATTTTTATTCTTATGCATGCATTACATTGGAACAGTCTGAGCACCAAATGGGATATCAGAGGAGAGCAAAGCTTTTCCACTCTGAGTTCTGCAAAGTTGCAGAATAAGAGGCAGGATGTCTTGCCTCAGGACACTCCCCGGTCTCTCCTGTCCTTCCTGCACGAACAAACTCTGCTCAAACCCACACAGACAAGACAATATTCCTTACCTAAAATCAAAACATCATAATTGCTTTTCTTTTAAATAAAACATCTTCAGTGTTCATTCTGTTAGTGCCCAAGCCTATGAAAATGGCCTCCTTCCTCTTAAAAGCATCATCTGTTTGATGGTCTCCCATGACCCTAATTCTTTGATCCTAGGTCTCCCCATGAAAAGAAGCAGGGAAATCCTGATGTCTTGGGAGTACTCCTGACTCATTGGTGAAGATTAATGCAGCTAATGCCAGACAGTAAAATTAATGCTTTAGGAACTAGAAAACAAGATCTAGATAACTGGGCCTTTATGTAGATGGGCAGTCCTGTCCTCTACTCAAACAAGGGCCCCATGCTGCAGTCCCTCCAAGCAGCCTTGTGAAGAGTAACCAAAGATCACTCCTTCCCATGTGTAATTCTTTATTCCTGGTAAACACCATGATTTTAACTTGGTTCAAAAGTTCATCCTCCCATTTCATCCTCTCATGACCTTCAATAATAACACCCAATTTTTACGTTAAGCTATTGAGCACAATAATTTACGCTGTGTCAGAGGACGTTAGAATGTGTCAAAGGCACTTAACTCATTTAATCTGCAGCATATGGGTGTGAGGAGCAAGATTTTTATTCCCGATTCTTTTGGATGAAGAGAGCAAGGCACTGAGAGGTAAAGCAATTTGCCCAAGGACATGCAGCCTAGTTTAAGTGGCAGAACCAGGGCTAGAACACAAAGCATCTGTGTCCAGCGCCCATGCTCCTCAACACTGTGTCCTGCTGCCTCGGTACACCCATGTGCTGCCTCATCCTGCCATCAGTCCTGACAAATGCTTTATCTCAGATACTGGTTGAGTCTGGCCTCTCCCTACCTTTCTTTCCCCACATAACTCAGACCCTTGTTATCTCTCCAGTCCACCTTACACATCGCTCTACAACAATCTTCCTAATCCACCCATGCTTCTCCATAGCTTAACTGTGTCCTGGCATTGCTGGTTTTTCATGAGCTGATCCTAATGTACCCAGCTCATCCTATTTCCCTACACTCCCCTCCACAAATCCTACAACATCTCTTCTGTGACATACTTAACTGCTAACCTTGGTAGCTTGCTCTGTTCTTTAGAATATTCTAGCATCCTTTCAACATATCTACATTTTCACCAACATTTACATTCTGATTCTAATGCTACCCTTTCCAAAAGGACTTCCCCAGACTCCCCACTGAAGGCCAACTGTGTCCTCTGAAATCCCATAGTGTTTTATCCACATTTTTCTGATTGCACTTGTCACTTTCTGTCTTGTATTATAGTGACTATAACAGCTCTTATCCCTGCCACACTGAGAACTCACTGTGACATGCTCTATGCTTAATTTGCTTTTGTTTCCCCCTACAAAAGTGTCTAATAAGAGTCCTTGCCACAGTAGACACTGAATAAATATAAGTTGCTAGAAAGCACATGTACATATAGGAAGCCAGGGTTGTGGAAGAAGGTGTGCAAAGAGGACTGCATGGTGCGGGGTCTCCAGTCCCTCCTGTGACCACCCATCCACTGCCTCAGCTTCCAAAGACAAGGTTCCCTCCAGGGGTCTACTCTCTTAATGGGCTTCACCAGGCCCCTTGGCCCTTCTTCCCACTGTCCCATTCTGAAGGACAACTGTTATGGCAGGCGTTAAGTGAAGGCTTGGCATACCTTTGCAGGGCTTCCCATCCTTAGTCTACAGGTAAAAAGATGGAGAGAAGCAAAAAGGGTCCTTTCCCAACCTTCACTGCTAGCAAAGCGAGAGAGACCTTTTGATGGTGAGCCATTTGTGTAAGGGCAAATTCTGTGATGTGGACTGGACTAATGACATGAATATACCATTTTTAGAATCTGATCAAATAACTATTTACATGGAAAGTGGCCAAAAGAATCTCCTCCTTTTGGTCTATGGATGGTTGAATACAATGAGATTTAATATTTTTTCATGTCTGTGCTTGTATGTATAACAAGTAATTTTTATTTCCATTTGTGACAGTGATTTCTTTTTCAGCTATTGATTCAATAGAATTTACCCAAACACAAGACACATTCAGACAAGTGAAGGAACCAACACTATTCCCTTAGGATGCTTCTTTACAGGGGACTAGAAGTGTTAGCCTTTGAGCGAGCATTACTGGGAGCAGTGTGGGTGACCTCAGATCACCCTCTTATTAAGGGAAAACTGATTACAGTAATCTCTTGGCGAAAACTTCTCTCTGAAATAACCCCATCACACAGAGCTCTTTTTTATCTCAGCTCCTCAAGGACAGCTCCTTGCCTTATTTTATATGCTCCGTAATGTCTAATATAGTGTTCTCTATACACAAGGGACATTTAATACATTTGCTGACCGTCTTCTTCTAATGAAAATTTCTACCTGACCTATTTTAATATATACATTCATGAGATGAAGCACATTTCCCTACATGCTCTGTTTGAACCAGGGATTCTCACTGGAACGAATGGTCTTTTGGGCCAGATAATCTTTTGTTGTGGGAGGCTGTCCTGTACGTTGCAGGATGTTCAGTGGCATTCTTTGCCTGTATTCACTAGATGCCAGTAGAGCCCCTCCCCCTAAGTATGTAATAAAAAATGTCTCCAGACATGGCCAAATATTCCCTGGGAAGCAACGCTGTCTCCAGTTGAGAATACTGGGCTAAATTAATAACACAAATATTAATATTTATATCATGCTTACTATGTGCCAAGTGTTATACTCAGCGCTTTGCATATATATGTGTATTTTTTTTTTTTAATTTTTATTGGTGGTTTTTTTTTTGAGACGGACTCTCGCTCTGTCATCCAGGCTGGAGTGCAATGGCGCGATCTCGGCTCACTGCAACCTCTGCCTCCCGGGTTCAAGTGATTCTCTTGCGTCAGACTCCCAAGTACCTGGGACTATAGGCACGTGCCACTGTGCCTGGCAAATTTTTGTATTTTTAGTAGAGATGGGGTTTCACCATGTTGGCCAGGCTGGTTTCAAACTCCTGACCTCAGGTGATCCACCCACCTTGTTCTCCCAAAGTGCTAGGATTACAAGTGTGAGCCATGGCACCCGGCCCACTTTGCATATTTTGACTCATTTAAGATTTAAAACCCTACGAGGTAGGTACTGTTATAATTACCCTTATTTTACAGATAAGGAAATGGAAGCTGAGAGTTTAAGTGACTTGCCCATGGCCACATAGCTGGTAAGTGGTAGAATATAGGCACAACTAACTGAGCCTATCTTTCCTCAAAGCCCTGAAGAACAAGTGTCTTTCCTTCTACTACACTTAACATAAAATTTACCATTTTAACCATTTAAAAATGTAAAATCCAATGGCATTTAATGCATTTACAATGTTCTGCAACAATCACCACTACCTAGTTCCAGAATATTTCATCACCCCAAAATGAAACCCTGTACCCATCAGTACCACTGCTCATTCTCTTCTCCTCCCAACCTCTGGCAAACACCAATCTGCTTTCTGTCTCTATGAATTTGCCTATTCTGGATATTTTGTATAAAGGGAATCGTACAATATATGGGTTTTGATATCTGGCTGCTTCTTTTTTCTTTAGATATTTCACTTAGCATGTTTCAAGGTGCATTTATGCTGTGGCATGTATCAGTACTTCATTCCTTTTTGTTGCTGAATAACAATCCATTGTATGGATATACCACACTTCATTTCCATTTATCAGTTGATGGACATTTAGACTGTTTTCACCTTTTGGCTAATTGTGAACCATGCTACTAAGAATATCCTCATACAAGTTTTGTTTGAACGCTTGTTTTCAATTCTTTTGGGTATACACTAAATCTATGCTTTTAAATATTGTTTAAACAGTCTCTCATCCCCATAATACTTACATTAAAAAATATGCAGTGGTTGAATGCTTGAATTACTCTCTTCCCCATTATAGTCTGTCAACGACTAGCAGGTCTGGTGTTCCCTGAACTGGTTTTTAAATAGGAGACTTTAGTTCTCCCTGAGCCCACTGTGAAAGCAGGTACCACTTAAGATACTTCTGGAAGTAGGTGGGGCTATAAATAAATGGTGACATAAGCTCACCACTTCTTTTTTTTCTTCTTTTTTTGATGAATAAAGGTTGGGATTCTATTTTCTAAGCCCTCTCACTGTTCTTCTTTCTCTCTACAATTAGGATCCTGGATCCAAGAAGGAATCAAGTAACGAGAAGGCAATGAGAGGTTGTCAGATATAGACAAGGAGGAAAGGGTGGGTCAATGGGCAGGAAGACCTGGGAAAATGGAGCCCTTTTGGGTGTCTGTGGACATACAAAGTGCCCAGGAAAGGAATGGTAGAAGAAAGACAAATACCCCTCTCACTACACTGGCTCTAATAACCTAGCATCATAAGCCCAGAAGGGACCTTAGAGGTTCATCTAAGCAATGGCTCCTCCTCCACCTGGCTTCAGTCAGGACCACCTCTCAGCTTCTAGGGAGCACAACATTGTGCTTTATCAGTACCAATTTCTAGAGAAGGTGATTTGCCACCAATCCACAACCTTTCCACAAACTTCAAGTAAATTCCAGTGCTACATTTTAAGGAGGGCTCTTTGAAAATGTCATCATTGGTCCTGTATGTCTCCCTGTATTCCAACCACAGTGTCTGTGCTGCTGATAGCTCTACAGTTCTGTTTATTGAGTCTGAATCTTCCTTAGGTGTTGACTGCCCGAGCTATACTCCTATTCCAAACACTGTCCTGCTGTTGCAGCCTTCTCTGCTTCATGGCAGTGCATGAAATGAAAATCAATATTACGAATGATGATGAGGGTGTGGTGAGGAGAGTTCTTTAATATCCCACTGGTGTTTGTGTGAACTGGCCTGTGTCTGGAAAAAAAAAGTTGGAGATGGATCAAAAGCCGGGAAAAGTTCATGTGCATTGATCCAATTATTCTATTTCTAGGATTCTCTTGAAAAGGTCTTCAGACTAAGATCTAGATAGATGGATAGATATAGAGATACAGATATTCATCAAAACAATATCAAGAAATGTGAAAAAGCCTAAACAGTCAATATAGGGGAAAAGTTAAATAAATTATGGCATAAAATGTAATAGGGTATTATGTAGACATTAACAAAGACAATTAAAAGAACATTTAATGATGAGAAGATTTGCCTCTGGTATAATGTTAGGTGAGAAGTAGGCTCCTGAGCCATGTATAGTATAATTCCCAGATTTGTAAGTAGGTATGCACAGAAAATATCAGAAGAAAACACACCAAAATATATTCAAAATACATTCACTCAAACTGCTGAAGATAAGCAACAGTTACTTCTGGGTGGAAAAATTTTAATTGACATTTATTTTCTTCTATATTCTTTGCATTTTTTTTTGAGTTTCCTACAATGACTATGTTCTTATTCCATTATATAAAAATGATTTTTAAAGTATATTATAAAACTCTTATTAGATTTAGTGTGCATGGATGATAAATTCTTAACCATTGAGATTGTCTAATCCCTCCTCCACCTTTTACAGGGGAAGAGACCAAGGGCCAGAGAGGTTCCACAATTACCTCTTATCAAAGAGCTATTCTACAACTAAATCTGGAAGCAGATCCAGACTCCAGCTTCTCCTGCCTTATACCTGCAGGCATCAGAACCCCCGGAGGGCTTCTTAAAACATATGGAGCCCCAGAGTTTCTGGTTCAGTCAGTATGAGATCAGGCCAGAGAATCTGCATTTCTGATCGGTACACAGGTGATGGTGATGTTGCTCGTCTCGGGGCCACACTTTGAGGACTCCAATTTTATCTTTCCACTGAACCTGTGGGTCGCAGCCTTGCCTGATAATTAGAACACACACACACACACACACACACAAAAAAAAAAAAACACAAACACACACACACAAACACCCCATGCTCAAGCTCTACCTCTGCCCAATTAAATCCAAATTTCTGGAGATGGGGGCTGGGCTGTAAAAATCCTCCAGGGGATTGTAATGTGCTCTTAGAATTGAGACTGACCACACTAATCTCAAGTGCTTCAGTTCAAGGGGATTGCCAGAAAAGATGAAAGTATGAACGTAGTCAGTGCTATTGACTAAATCCCCTCCAAAGGAATTAACGTTGTTTCAAACACAAAATATGATCATGTTTCTGCTCATGCTCACCCCACACCCACCTCCCATCATGCCACTTAAAACCTCCAAAGACGATTTAAGGCAAAGGCAAAAATCCATACCATGCCCTGCAGGGGCTTGTGGGGTCTGGCCCCTGCCACCTTTCCAGCCTCGCTTGCCACCACTTTCTTCCTGCTACCCTGAGAATGTATACACACACCTGGATGTATATTAGTATGATTTTAAAATTATGACCTAGGGCCCTCACTAGCCTGCTAGCCTTATGAAACAGGCCCAGAATCAGGTCTCCTGAGGTTCTTTCCATGGAAATCCCTGGCACCACATGTGTGGCAGACTGGGGGTGCTGGCTGCCCACAGCCCACTGACACAAAGACTCATTCCTCCTCTCTGTTCCTAGAGGAATTTTACAAACATCTAAAGCAGAAAAATTATTTTTAACCTACCTATAAAAGAAGAGTTCTATTAACTCTTCTCTGGTGACTACCATGATGCCAACATTGGCTTGACATTCAGGACAGTTCTGTTGCAGGAAAAAAAAAACATGCCCATTTTTCAGCAGCTCTCTGTCTTCCTTTCCTTCCATCAGAAATGATTTCGACTTTTATGAAGAGTTAGCATGCTCTTTTTTTTTCCCTTGGCCCATTGGCTCATTCCCTGAACATATGTCTGGGGTACTGGTGTTGGGTGATGACCCTGGGTGTCCCGTTATTTCCCCAAAGCCACAAAATGTTAAATCCTGCCCAGATCCAGGAACACGCAGCAAAATGCTGCAGCCATTCGTACAGCCCTGGATGGTGTGGGAAATCTACACTTTCCTTTGTTTTCACGCTCTGTGGGTCACACTAAAATACTTTTAATGTTGGTTGGTGGTATACTAAGGGTATGCCTACTACCTATTTCTGTGTCTAATGTGTGTGTGTGCGTGTGTGTGTGTGTGTGTGTGTGTGTATTTTGTTTTGAAAAGCTTCTATGGGGATTTTGAGGGGACTGGTGGATAAGGAGGTGCGGTGATGTCCACTCTGGTTTTTTGCTATGGCATTGTGGAGCTGGTTCTCTATTCCTTTTGGGAAGAGAAAAAACTAGAAATGCTAAGTGAAATAAGCTCCAATTGCCGAATGATAATCAAAGGGGTGGTTATCTTTTATCAACCCAGCCTGCTTGATCCTATGTACTTTGAACCCTCTTGCATACTGCCAAATGAATCATCCTTGCCTTTCCTAAGAATTGCCCTGTTTGTTATATTCTTTGTTTATGGTTTTCAGTCCTGAAAGAGGAGGAAGACAACAAAGACATATAACTAAACGCAAACACATTGCCATGGCGCCAAAGAAATGAGAAAGATCAGGGTGGGACCTGCCGTCTTTCCTGCAATTGGGCTAGTTCAAGCTGTATAGTCCTGGTTTTATTTGAGGCCATTTAAGCATCAGGTGTCAACGATTAACCTGGCTCAGTCCTAAAACTGCTGCTGACCTCCAAACCTGCTGCCTTCTGATCTGAGACAAGGTTCCTTGTCTCTGATGACACACCATGCCCAGCTGCCACGCCGATTATTCTCCAGGGACAGATGGCGACTCTCGATGTGAGAGACACACAGAAGTGCCGAAGGAACAGTCTTACTGCCCCTCCTAGAATACAATTTTGCCTCATTCAAAACAGTCACCGTTCACCCAACCTGAAAGGCCTGTATGTGCGCTGAAATGGACCAAAGTACCTTGTTTAGCAGCAAATAAATAACCTGATGCTTCCTGGGTTGGCTGATCGTGCAATGCTACAGTTGCTGTCCTTCCCACATGATACCACCAGCTGTTCTGCTGAGACTGATGTCAAAAATTGTGGCTAATTTCTGATGTTTCTCACAGACTTTTTAGATATAGAAATAAAAGATACTCCACCTCATAGAGGAAGACTTTGTGTTGCATTAAGGATCTCGCGCATTTCAACACGTCATTGTTATTATTTGCTTTTTTGTTTTGTTTTGTATGCAGTTTTTGAGAGAGTCAATATTAACAACAACATGTTTTACCATCAGAGTAATCCATTTCCTTAAATACGAACTTTAAAAGTCTTAGTCCAATTTCTCAAATGCTAAACTTTAGAAAGTATGGTAGGGTTATTCTTGAGAGAATGGAACATTTGTTAAATCAAACTCCTTAAAACTTTTGTAAAACTAAGATCCAAGTAAATAGTGTAAAACCTAAGGGAGAAGCAGCTATTACGAAGTTCCCAGCTACTATCTTCCTTCTTGCCCTAGATGACTTTCTTCTCATATTCCATATTCATTTGCTTTTCTCTGTATTTTCCTTGCTGATATATGACGCAACTCCCCACTTCTGGCCAAAGAAGTAAGTGCCCCAAATGACTGACATGTGGGTTTTCCTACAAAAGTCAAGACACTCAATTTCTAGCTTATGGCATCAAACTGCAATATTGATGTTGGGTGTCTTTCTCAAGCTCCGCTCACTCAGGGGAGCCTGGGAAATCCCTGCGAAAGGCCAGACATTTGTCAAATTGCATTTTCTTGTCCACTACTTTCTTGTCCAAATTATGGCAATTTGCAAAGCAGCACTACAGAATGTACCAAACATAGCCTCCAGCTACTCCTTTACCAGGTTCTGTGGTCAGAAGTTGGAGTAAGGTGCACCTTTATCTACAGAAAAAAAAATCAAATTAACCGGTTGTTTTCTCCATGTGAACTGCCCCATGTTAAAAACAACCAAGATACCTATGAAACAGGTTTTCAAAATTTCACAAATAAAAATATCTCCAATCCCTACTGTGCTTTTTACAGTGAACAATCACCCAAACAAAATAGTCCTTGGCGCCACTCACAGCTGTGCAGCTGATACTGCTCAATATAGTTCTTGGGGATATTTAAGAATGCAGTAGTCCTGAAACATGGATGTTGACACATTCCAAAGATAATCTAAGTTTATTTCTGGTCTCCTGTGTGAGTGGTGGCTGGGATTTCCAAAATCTACAATTGGTCCTTGTATTTGTGTTTGGGAAGACTAGCTCTACCAAGCGTAGGACTGTGTTGTCCCTTCCCAAATGGAATGTCAGAGTGTGTGTGATTGATGCAGACACCTCTCAAGCCACTCCCTGCTCTGGAAAAGAGACTGTCATGCTAATGAACAAGTGTAAATATTCCAGGGGAACACAGTTCAGTCTGAAATGACCACATGCAATTTGGCCTATGCTCTGTTTTAATGCAATACAATTATTCTTGGATATGTTGCAAACATAGCTCCTTCCTTCCTTCTCTCCCTCTTACCCTCCCTCCCTTCTTTCCTTGCTTCCTTCCTTTCTCTCTTCCTTCCTTATTTCAGCAAATAATTATTGAGCATCTATTATTTATCAGGCACTGTATTAGGCCAGTGAGATAGAACAGGGAACAACCACTCTAAGAGAGTAGACAACAAACAAAACTAAGAAGTACATTGTATATTCTTTTAAAAAGTGTTGGGAACCATGAAGAAAAACAAAGCAAGAACAAGGATAGGAAGTGAGAGGGAGGTTACAACTTAAATCAAGGTGGTCAGAAAAGGTCTCATGAGAAGGTGACATTTGGAAATTTGGGCAAATACGGGCCGGAGGTGATAGGTGAGCCATGCTGACATCTGGAGGAAGAACATTCCAGGCAGAGGGTACAGCACATGCAAGGCCATGAAATAGGAGCAAGCATGGTAGGCTCCAGAAATAGCAAAGATCAGGAACAGCTAGAGTGGTAGGTGCTAGAAGGTGAGGTAAGGGACCTAGGGCCTTCTGGGAAGGAATGGGACTCCCACTTTCACTCTGAGTGACGTGAGCAGCCACTGCAGAGTACTGAACAGAGCTGTGGTATCATCTGAATGACTTTACAAAAGCATTGCTCTGCCTGCTGTGTTGATGACTGTAGGGGGGCTAAAGTACATGCAGGAACATCAGCTAAAGGCTATGGCAGAAATTCAGCTAAAGGATAGACAGTGGCTTGGATGAGGGTGGGAGCAGTGGAGGTGATAAGGAATGGCCAGAATCTGGATATTGTTTCAAGGTAAAGTCTACAGGATTAGCTGACAGGTTGGATGTGAAGTGCACATGAAAGAAAGAATTCCAGGTAATGGTGCAGTTTTGGGCACGAGCAGCTAGACAGATGAAGTTTCCATTAAATGAGATGAAGAAGACTCCAGGAGGAGCAAGAGTGAAAGAGAAGGCCAGCTGCTCCATTTTGGGTATAGGAACATTGAGGCAGTTGGACTTACAAGCCTGAGGTTCCTGAAGAGACAGATGCCAGAAATCTACTTATGGGTAGATGGATTTTAGAGGAAGAGAGTTAGTGCAGATAGAGAAGAGCAGAGACCCCAGGACTAGGTTCTGGGACACTCCAATCATTAAGGGGTCAGAAAATTGAGAACTAGTCACAAAGAAAGACAAGGAAAGCTAACGCTCACAGGATAGGTATGATGGGGAGTGAGAAAGGACCACAGGGGTTAGCAATATGAAAGTAAGTGATCATCTTGACAGGAGCAGTTTCCAGCAGCAGTCGGGGGAATCTGATTGCACGTGTTTTAAGAATGGGAGAAGAGCACTTGGATCAGAGACTACTGTACAGCCAGTGCTGGGAGTACCGGGGAGCCAAGCACTGCAGTAAAAAGAGTAGGAACAGGTGGGATCCAGAGAGTTGGCTTGTTTCTCCTTTTAAGAAAGAAAGAAAGCTACTGAGATTTCCCTTGTCCATCATAAAACCACACCCCACATAATAAAGAGTCTGACTCCATTTTTATTGTTTGACTGCTTACTGATTGCAAGTCAAGAACAAGGCCAGTGCACTCCCTCCCTTGGTGTTGGTGGAAGTTCAAACCATGCAACCCCTGCTGGCATGAGAACACTTACCCAGCTCCGCCTCCTAACCACCACAGAACGCTGAGCCAGTCCCAGCTCTCTCAAGCCATTTTATGGACCTGCCTGGGGGTCAGTCCTGCTTCCCCCAGAAAGTCACATCATGTGAACAATAAAACTTTGTACATCCTTTTGGTGGAAGTATGGCATCATCAATCTCAACACCAAACAAAATTTTGGGTAGTCGGGCGGGGGGGGGGGGGGGCGGGTCCGTTTGGTTTCTGTGAAGATGTCATGGCGGCCCATTGGAGCTGAAAATCCCCTGAGATATGACCTATAATGACCTATACCTGCTCCTACTCCCCGACATGTTATCAATTCTCAGAACCCAAGACCCATGCTGCAAAGACATGATATTCTTTTGTGAAGAAGCAGCACACATGCTCCCTACCACTTAAAACATAGTGGTAGTTTCTAAATCTTATTAGAATCGTATCAGCAACAAAACAGAAAAAAAGAAAAAACCTAACAATTATTGAGCTCACGTTGTGCCAGGCAGGTTAACCATTTTCTCATTTATCTGCACAACCATCCTATGCCACTGGTATTATTACCCTCATTTCAGATATGAGGAAGCTGAGCTTAAGAGACTTCTCACTATGCAAGCTTGCACAGCTAATAACTAGGAATTGAACCCAGAGCAAGCTACTTCCAGAGTTCATTCTCTTAAACTTCATGTGATTCTGCCTCCACTTATCTGTCCCCCACTAGAGTGTAATATCCTAAGAACCCTGGACTTCATTTTCTAATCTCTTTGGTACCAAGAAACATAAAAAGCACTTAGCAAAGGTTTATGGATAAATGCGTGTGTCTGCAAACCTCCTGCTGATTTGCCCAGGTTCTCACAGCCAGTTAGTTGTAGAGTCAGGACAAAAAGTCAGGTCCTTGAACTAGCTTGAACCAAGCTCTTTCCCCTATGCAACAACAGATCTGATCCATATCCATGCTCTCCCACATTGCACAAGTTAAACAACATGCCCTACCCCACCCGCTACACACAAACACGCATATCAAACACAGGCAGGAAATTGCCAGACAGTGTACTCTGTTAAAATCATCTTAGGAAGTAATTTGGCCATGTGGATAAAGAGTTTCAAAATATTAATATCCTTTAAGATTCAGTAACTCAATTTCTAAGAATCTATCCTAAGGAGATGGTTTATAGCAACATGATTTCTAATGTGAAAAATGGAATATATTGTGCACGCTCTAACATCAGGAAATAGCTACGTACATATGACACTCATGCAACAATAAAAATGATGCTTGTGAAGAGTGTACAATAATATGGCTTTAATATGCTTCATAAAAAAATGTAGAATACAAAATGATAACTATACTATGCTTACAGGTATATTTAAAAAATCCCAGTGCATAGAAAATCATTGTAAGGAAACAGACCAATGTCTACCTTTTTTTATCTTTTAAAACTTCTTTAATTATATTACATTTATAAATGGTATGAGAAAAAAAGAAAAACTTTGCCACAGAAAAACAAAATATTTTTTCCCAGTTTTGTTTTGTATTTGAACTAGGAGAAAATGTTTCCCTTAGGGAAAAAATTAGGCAAGTTTCAAACAAAACTAGAAACTGAATAGATCTAAAGTATCAGAGTCTTTTGTGATCTAGATCTCACAGCTGGGATACATTTGCAGAAACTCTCAGATGTGCAAAACAAGTGGTTAAGTAACTTTATTGGAAATGAAAATTCTTAATCTAGCAGGTATTAAGGAAGGATTCACTTTCTGTGGGACTTAAACTGAGCCATTTTAGGGCCTCTATTGATAGAAATGAAAATCATTCCAAAATGCAAGAGAGATCACTATGACATGTACAAACATGATTTAGGTTAAATCCCTGAAGAAATTTTCATCTTTAGCCAAGAGAACTAAAAGTTTTAAAGTAAAAATACTGTATCATGCTGCTCTAATCATATATATTATTATTTGAAAGGCCAGGGGATAAAAGAATAATGAATATTATCATGTTCATATAACATAGATTCGCTCCAAATAAATTTATCTACACCCAGAAAATTACGTCTCAATATGTAGAGTATAGCTATGATAATTTTAGCTTTGGTAACCAATCTTTCTTTCCTTCCTTCCTTCCTTCCTCTCTTCCTCTCTCTCTTTCTCTCTTTATTTTGACAATTTCACTCTGTCTCCCAGGCTGGAGTGCAGTGGCGCAAACTTGGCTTACTGCAACCTCTGCCTCTGGGGTTCAAGCGATTCTTGTGCCTCAGCCTCCTGAGTGGCTGGGATACAGGTGCACCCCCAACACCTTGCTAATTTTCATATTTTTAATAGAGACGGGGTTTCACCATGTTGGCCAGGCTGGTCTCGAACTCTTGACCTCAAGTGATCTGCCCACCTGAGCCTCCCAAAGTGCTGGGATCACAGGCGTGAGCCACTGCGCTCGGCCTGTAATATTTCAATAATGGTTTGGAATGGAGGAGCTTCCATTTTACATAACCCAAAAGTTTTCTAGTTTAATTTTTGTTTACTTCAGTCTTATAATAACATGGCTCCATTTAAAATTTTTTATCAATAATGGAAGGTTTCCAGCCATCTCCTGAAGAGTTGTGTAAGAAGTCGGCACTGTAATTGGCCATGTGCAATTTGAGTTGGAAATGCAGTGTGCTTATCAAACCTGTGGTCATAGAAATGGCAATTAACTCTAAAAATGGTGACAAGTTTTTGTTTGCTAAGAATTTCTTGTTAGGAAGACTCTGGAGCTAAGTAAGCTGTCCAGGTTAACATTCCTGCTTCCACCCTTCATAACTGGGTGACCTTGTGCCAAGTTATTTAACCTCTTTGTGCCTCATTTCCTCAATGTGAGATGTGTATTGTAATAGCAGGTTCCTCAGAGGATGAAAAGTGCAACTTAAGTTGTAAGTTGGATATTGCTCAGATCTACAGCTGGCACCATTTTATATAGGTGTGTGCATGTGTAATTTAATGAATAAACTTTCATGATTATGCAGATGATGTTTTCAAAGTAAAGCATAATCTTAAGAAGGTGTTGACATTTGAGTTTAGCTAAGACTACATTTCCTTCATTTAATACAATAAGAAATCCCTCTCTGACCTGCCACAATTCCTAAACATAAAATCATTTTAATTTGATCAGAATCACTAGAAAGCTAAGATGAAGCTGGAAGGATTTTAATCACAAATGGCAGTTCTTCAGAGGCACTTGGCAGAATAAACATGAAGTTGCATGAAAGATGTGTAAATGCAGGCTGTGTCCTGAAATATTCTGATGATATCAGAAGGAAAAAAGGCAAGAAGGGGATGTGTTTTAGGATGTGAATTTATAAAAACAAACAGAATGAAGGATTAGGTTGTAGCTTAGATTGGTTCTGGGGATGAAAACACGGCTGGCGGCTTTGATCCTGGGCTCCATCTGGCATTGCACTCAGGAAAGAGCCTCCCATACTCCTGGAGAATGTGGGAAACAACAGCAGGGCAGCCTGTGAACGTCTCCATGGGCTCAAAACCTTCACATTCAGCTTCCTCACCTTGCACATGTAACTGGGTGCTGGAAGCAGATGGAGCTCCCTGTTCCTGTGATGCAGCAGGCTTCTTTGAGAGTTATGAAGCAGAGGACACATTTCTAAGCACAAACCATCAGCTACATTCAGGAGTCACCTGGCCAACCTGGGTGTATCATGAGTAGCCATTTTCAAAGGCAGTCACACCAAATCCAACCCTGATGCTTTAGACTACACCTAGTTCCAATGGTTCTTAGACTACTCATAGGACACTAAGCATATTTTATGAAAATCCACTTTTTTAAAATAAGCTCCAGGATACGTGTGCAGAATGTGCAGGTTTGTGACATAGGTAAACGTGTGCCATGGTGGTTTGCTGCACCTATCAACCTTTACGCAGACCCACTTCTATATCATCCAGTCAGGTTTCAAATTCATGTTCCTTAAAATATTAGTTGCTCGGTGATTAAATACAATTCAAAAAGTCAACATATATCACTTTCTTGGAGGATTACAGGCATGTCACTGTTTTAGAACAACCAGCATTTTCCAAACTATTTGCAAGGCCAATGAATACCTACCAGTACTAATGTCCGGGAAACTAATACTTGATACCTCAGGATTGTTGTGTTGATTGAAACAGGCAATACACATAGTTTCTAGTGCCCAAAACAAAATAAGGGCTCAATAAAGGTCAGCTATGATTATGATTAATCGTAACTATGCTTTAAATAAGCTTAGCTAGCCATCCTGCTGTACCCTGAACAATGCACACATAAGAAGACTGGTGTTGGTCCTGTCAACAAGTCCTGGGTGACACTGTGGGGAGTGGAAAAGGTTGTTATGTATCCTTTTTCTTCTATGAGGTGAGTCATTCAGGGCCAGTGGAGGGGGCAATGCCAGTCAAAGTAAGCACAGGATTACTGGCCACACCCGATGGCATAAGGTACAATTCAGCCATGTCGGTGCCAGGCAGGCAGGCAGGGCAGGAGGCACCACTGCTGGGCACTCAGTTCCACATCTATACACCAGCAGAGCTTGGACACATCTCTAGTTCTTGTGGGCCCCTCAGAGCTGCTATGATGTCTTGCTAGTCAGAGCCCAGGGTGTCATCTGAATCCCAGCATTCCACATTGTGACCTGTTTAACTCCCTGGTGCCAGAGAGTCTAAAGTCCCAAGATTTCCAGGCCCTCACCCAAAGTGTTAATATCCACCCACCTTATTTTCTAAAGCCATCTGATGGATAAGAAACCATCTCTTTAAACAGTCCTTTACCCCCAAATGACATCTTAAACAATCTGAGTCCACAGGAAACTGCCCTTTTACCCATAGCCCTGAGCACTTCCAGAAAACTGTTGCGCTCTGGTAAAAGCACAAAAGCCGAGACCCTAAGGAGAAAGAGTGTCTGTGGGGTGGGTGGAAGCATGGTGGCTATCACTGCTTTGGGCATACTTGTGTGGTTGCAGGTGGTTACTCTGTGGTCAACTGCTTTGCCCTGGTTTCCTTACATGGGCTCTGTTGCTCCATTAGGAAAGTTCACTGCCGCTGGTTTAGCTGGTAGCCAAGGGTTCCTCTCAAAATTGGCATAATCCAAGAGAAGCATTAAATTCAGAAAAAGAAGGAAGCATCTTCTTGCCACAATGTTGCCAGCACATTCTAGGTGTATTGGGAGGCTGGGGACCTGGTTCTTCCCTCACAAAAAGAAATGCTAGGTATTAATGAAAATGATGCTCAAAGGGCAATGAAATAAGGTGAGATTTCCTTGTGTTGGAATTCTAGGGCTCAGTTTCTAAAAACTGGGGATGCGGGGTTTTCTAAATGGCTGTAAAACTCTTTTACATTCCTCTGTTCAAGGTGGAGTGGGGAGGTAGGTCTCTTCCTTGGGAACCCGGATAAACTTGTAACTTACTTCAACTAATGTGGGGTGGGGGGAGGGGGGAGGGATGGCATTAGGAGATATACCTAATGCTAAATGACGAGTTATTGGGTGCAGCACACCAACATGGCACATGTATACATATGTAACAAACCTGCACGTTGTGCACATATACCCTAAAACTTAAAGTATAATAATTTAAAAAAAAAGAATATGATGGAGGAAATGCTATGTGATGCCTGAGGCTGGGTCATAAAAGGCAATGAAGCTTCTTCCTTGTCCACTGGCATCTTTGCATTGGAGCCATGAGCTGTTATGCAAAAAGTTCAACTATCCCAAGGCTGCCATGTTTGGGGGAAGCATAAGCTGCATGGAGAGGCCTCATGCAGGCACTCTGATTGACAATCTAGCTAACATCAGTGTGTGAGAGTCTTCCCAGCTCAGGTGCCAAATGTGTGAATGAAGGAGATGCCCAATGATTCCAGCCCCCAGATGTTGAGTTCCCCTCAAGACTTTGAGTCTTCTCAGATGAAGCCTCAGACAGGATGAAGCAGAAGCAAGCCATCCCTGCTGTACTCTGTTCTAATTTCTGACCCAACAGAACATGCAACCGTAAGACAATGGATATTTTATACTACTAAGCTTTGAGGCGGCTTGTCATTCAGCAATAGTGTCCAAAGCAGGTTTTGGTGATATGGTCTATAGCAGCCCTTTCCACTCCTGAAGTGAAAAAGCTAATGTCCTTGAGGACCAAGCACATATGTTTGTTCAGGTTTATGCAAACTCATCAAGTTTTTAAAAAAGAATTAATGCTCAGCAGTGTTATATATGACACTAAGTTTTACGCAGAATGCATTTGTATTTTGGCTTCCTGCACAAACAAAATGCGTGTGAAACAATGACTATATTTTTTCTATTATGAGAAAAACACTGTTCCAAGTACAATATTAAAATAGGTTAAATGAATGGGAATTTATAGACACAAATGTTTCAGTGTATATGACAAAAAAGGTATTTTTTATGACAGAAATATACAGTTACAATTTATTATATGTATGTATGAGACACTGCTGTAGGCACTTTGCATCCTCTCTCTTCCTTCCATCCATCCATCCATCCATCCATCCATCCATCCATCCATCCATCCATCCATCCAATGAACCAACCAGTTAACCAACAAACCAGTCAGACAATCAAGCAACATTAAGTGGACAATTCCTATGTGTCAGGTTCTGTATTAGGCTCTGGGCATCCAGAGTGAAATAATACCTAACCTCTGTTCTCATTTAAGGTAGTTCATAGACTAGAAGAAGTGTTGGCAGCCTAGGAAGTCTGACATCTCTAAAGCTTTGCTGTTCATCATTACTGTGCTTCACACATGAAACATGAAGGCCCCTTCCTCTAGGCCTATTTTTTAGTCTTTGGCTATTCTCCAGATCCCGAGAATATAAACATTTATTGCCTGAAAATAAACAAGTCTTCTGCTCAGTATATAGCTTAAATTTTGAGTTTGTATGTGTATAAAATCCCAGTAAGTTGGGACCATTACTCTAACAACTTGGACCTTCCTAGAATACAGTCCATCTCATCTGATATCATCCTTCTTTGTTCATCTGGTTAACTCCTAGTCACCCCTCCATCCTCCCCTGGGTCTCCCACTCTTTCTTTTGGCTCTATTCACCCTAAGTTCTACATGGTGGTGACTGTCTTGCTAATCACTGTATTCCTGTCTTTAGCACACTGCCTGGCTGTGTAGCATACATTACATGTTTCTAAATGAATAGAGAAATGAGTAAACTAAGGGCATGTCCTTGAGAAATACATACTTGATTGGTTGCTCAAAACATGTGGTTTCCCTGCCATTTATTACTTTGGCCAGGAATACAGATGGAGGAGAATGGCTTCAGTTACCCTACATGAGAATAGAATTGATGATAACCATTTATGCTACACAGCACAAAGTAGAGAAAATCATTATTGTGATGTGGAACAACATCGTGAGACAAGACCAATTACTATTTCTTTTAAGCATCTATCTAAGCAACCCTCTCATCTTACAGATGAGGAAACTGAGGCCCAGAGAAGCGGGTGGTTTGTCTAAAGTCCCCAAACAAATTGGTAGCAAAGGAGTTGCCTCAGAACAAGGCTTCCAGAAGCCCGATCCGCTGTTCTGCTTCCCTGTGCCTATGCAGCCAAGGACAGGGCTCTGTTCCCTCCACTAGCAGCCATTTGCTTCCCTCCGATACCAAGAGATGGCTCTGTCCAAAGAAGCCACACCTGGAAAGATTCTGGACTCTAAGAATTACTGATGCTCTAATGAAAGGTCCTGAAGCCAAATCAGAGCCCCTCAGATCTTTGCCTCTTCCAACACTTGCCTCATGACCTCTGGCCTTTTAAAACCATCCTCTCTTGGCACCTGTGAAACATCCTTTGTCCGAGGAACATCTATGAATTAGAAAGCCACAGAACATAAAGACCAGACAGTTTGTATTTACACCTCAAGACAGCGCTTTGCCTTTAGAAGGGTACCCTCTTAGAAGCTCCCTGCTGGCTAAGCCAGATAATACATAGGGAGGCACGAATCCAGGGCATGGCAAGTAGTAGGTGCTCAATAAATGTTGGATGGGTCTGAATTTGCCCCCAAATTTCTACTGTTACAAAAGGGTGATGGGTTTGCCCTTGCCCTCTTAAAGTGGAGCCTGTGGCAAGCTCTATTTGAGGGCGGGTGGGGCATGGGACCTAGGAATTATCTGGCCAATAATGCAGTGGTTCCCTAATTTTATTCCACATTAGAATTGCTCAGGGGGCTTTAAAAATCCAGAAGTCTACTTGGTACCCCAGATCAATTAAATCAGAATCTCTGGGGGTGAAAGCCAGGTAGCAATATTTTAATCTGGTGATTCAATGTACATATGCTAAGGGGAATTTGCTTTAGAAGAACATAAGGATCAGAACTGAGTTTGTGGCTGCCACCTTGGAAAGGGGCAGCCACGCCTGACTTGCCTGAGTGGCAGAGGGGGAGGCAGAGAACGCCTATTGTATTCTATTGTCTCGATGCCTCCTCCCCGTCCTGCTCCTCTTTCCTCTTCTCTGCCTCTTCTTGTGGTTGCCTGGTTTCTAATGGTAACGATAGACAAGCTTTTCGGGCTTCTTCTACCACTTGTGGGTTTGCTGGAGTCATGTTCTTGCTTTCTTAGATACCTGAGCCTGCCATGCAGGGAGGAGAGGGGGAGACAAGGAGCCCTGCTAGGGTGCAGGCTGATGTCACACCTGGCCTGCGGTGAAGGTGGCTGTCGTAACAGAGGCCCCCACCTGCTGCTATGGGCTGCTCTGTGAGGCTGGGTCAGCTCCTGGAATTGCTGCTTGACCTCAAAAGAGAATTATCTGTTCCTTCCCCACCCTGGACAATGAAACAGATGTTGTATTGCATCTTGAGGCAACTGTGGGCTCTCCACCTGACCCACGGAGGTTTTATCTCATGAACAACCTGCAGGGGAGGCGAGCTCGGAAAGTCTCATCCGAACTAGGGAGAAGGCCCAGCCGGCATGACCTTACCCTGATTCCTCCAGGGCTGCATCCACCTTTCAACAGTAAAAGGAAAATTCCAAATGACATGGGGAAAACAAAGGACAGGGAGGAATAGTGAGAGAAAGAGAATTAGTGGCAAAGGAGAAAGAAGTAAGGATGAAAACACAGGAGGGAAGAAACATGACAGTTTTTCCAAAATCCTACAAGTCTTTGGAAAGACACATGAGAACTTTAAAAAGTTAAACCGTGTGAACTTGAGCCTTTCATAGCCTTCCGAGCGGGAGAATCTGACCCCTGACCCACCGCGTTCCTGGCGAGGTGTACTGCATAGCACAGAATACCAAAGGATTCCCGAGAAAATCTGAAACTACATAAAAGGGAACCAGGAACTGGTCCCTGCTAGTTTAGTGTAACTTAATTCAAAACCAGGGAAACTTCTTTGTGAAAGGATCACTGTCAAATTCAAGGCAACAGAGTTCTTAACTGGTTGAATTTCATCTTCTGGGCATTGCATCTGTCCGCTCCTGAATTCTGATATTCCATCACACCATGGGATCATTACAGAAAGGACTTTGCAGATGAGATAGGTAAAGGGAAAGGCCAAAGCCAAATGTGGTATCTTCTTTGGTGGGTCTGCTCTACTAAAGCACGCTTTTACATAGCCAAGAGAATGTGGGAAACTAAGACGCTTGATAGAGGACGTTTGGATAATACTTTAGTTTGATCGAACAGTCATATGCTTATTACATACACACTTGGTGTCTTGACTGCTGCAACCTTGGCCAAGTAATCTGATATATTTGGGCCCTCACTTTCCTCACTTCTAAAGTGAGGACTTAGCTAGGACCACTTTCCATCTTCAAATGTTCCACACACATTAACTCCAGGCACCGGGAATACATTTGCCCTTGAGAAGTAAAAAGTTGGGGGCAGGGGTGAGACACATAAACAGATAATTATATAATATTGGAGAACAGAGGTAGGGCAGCTAACATTAGAATTCTACATCTATTTGTAATGCATGGGGTGTGTGTGTGTGTGTGTGTGTGTGTGTGTGTGTGTGTGTGCACAGCTATGCTCCTTATACAAACAGCTACTGTCTCATTCCCTTAGGAAACCAATGATCTAGTTGTATAACTTGTCTCATAGTTCAGAGATTCAAATGGAGTCAGCATATCCCACTAGTTTTAGAATCTGTCCCATCTGAAAATAGGGACCTAGGCTTCAATTATACAACATATCTCCCTAACCACACCTATGAAAACAGCTCACTGTATCTGCATTCCATTGGGAAAGTTTTAAATTAAGCAGGAATGAAAAACTATAACACTGTCTTTTGTGACATACAATAACAGGGGCATGGAGTTAAAAAGTTAACAAGGATTTATGACTATAATGCATGAAAGCTGTTTTTAAAAAGAGTGGGGAATTGAAACTGTAGTATTACTATGATTTATTTGTAAATTTCAGAGACAGTAACATGTAAGAACTTAAAAATATGTGCTAATTCATAAACAGAGGCCACTGAGTCATGGGTAAGCATGGCAGTAAAATCACTCCAGCACTGAGTGAGAGATTTGGTCCCCAGTACAGCTGCACAATTCATCAACGTCAGGGCATCTTGTTCCCCAGTGATCCAGCTGACTTCCCACGCACTGAAATGGAAGCGCGCACTGCCATGTCAGGACGTTTAAGCACTTCAAAGCTGCCCCTTTCAACACTCGGTTTCTCCTCATAATTACTTCTTGCGTTTCCCTCCTGATACTCATTTAAATGCTAAATAAAGGGAGAGAGTTCTCCAAGGCCAGAGACTTGCTGTTGAAACCTGGAGCAACCTCAGAGTGAAATTAAAATCAATTATACCCCATGTGGGTATAATTATAGTAACTTAATGAGTAGGAATATACAATGACTGTCTTCTGGGAAACAAACATACTTTGTTATGTGAGTGAGTGTGACAGGTACTGCTCAGCACTCAGACCGTTTCCAGAATCTCGTTCTCAGATTCATCAAATGGGGCTTGCAGAGGCACGGGGAGCTCTGAGACGGCCTGGGGGCTGATGACAATGCAAGGAACATGGTCTCCCTTTCCAAGGAGGTCACGACCCTATTATCACTCAGCGGGAGCACAGACGTGACTCTCTGTGCAGAGAATGTGGCAGCTTCAAGGATGTGTGTGGCTTGACTAAAGGACATGGTGCTGTCACTGCTGAGGCCAGCAGAGGAGGTACAGCCTGAAGGAAGCCTGAGGTCATCCAGGACCTGCTCTGATGGTGGCACTGGTTGTGGTCACTTTGTTGGGGGCCTCACGTTCCCGAGCTGCAGGCCATCGCCCGTGCTAGCTCCCTGCATGTCTATTCCACAGCTCAGAATGACTAGCATTAAAAATATTCAGGAGGTGCATCCTTAATAAGCTGAATATTTGTCCAGAATATTCTGGAAAAAGAGGCATACCAGTGTGCCTCTGTGTGACTGTGGCCTGAATGAGTTGAGAAGGATTCTGGGCTGCAGATGGGGAAGATGAAGGGCAATATCCCCAGGATCTTCCAGCTCCTGGTGCTTTCTGGAGACAAAGTGCAGGCTGCAGCGTGCCCTCCCCAGCCCAGGAGGCAGCCACCAGGGCCTGAGTCTGCACGCTCCCTGTGCCCTAAATGCCTGCATTCCTAGAACCCTCCTAGTCGGAGACCAGTGCTTCTCAAAAGTGTCCTCAGATCACCTGAATCAGAATATCACCTGGAGTGCCGGTGAAAACACAGACTTCTGGGCCCCACCTCAGATCTAGACATCAGAATGGCGAGAAGAGGGGTGTTGGTGGTGGTGGTGGGGGGGAGGGGGCGGGTGGTGGCAGGGGCAGGAATCTGCATTTTGAACGAGTATGCCTTGGGGACATTCATGCATTGTGAGCTTGAGACTTAAACCCTGGAGCTCATACAGTCATTTATGGAGCATGAATGGGCACAGGGGAACTTCACTTTCCCAGAGAATTTGCTCTCGATCCAGAATGGTTCTTCTTCTGTCCCCCTCTCTCTTTCTTCACCATGGGCTGGGCCAGGCCACATGAAGGCAGCTAATGACGTCTAACACACAGAGCAAACCTCACTTCAAGAAGCAAACATTTGGTCTAGTTGAGGAGATAGACATCTGAACAAATAATCACAAAACCCTCTGTGAAACAGGCTGTAGTAAAGGCAGGTTCAAAGTGTTCCAGGGGCAGGGTGAAAGAAGCAATACGTTCAGAGGAGCAGATGGGAGGTACTCCAAGGTCAAGGTCAGAAACATCTTCAAAGAAGTGGCATTGAGATGAGCCTTGAAGGAAGGGCAAGCATTTGTCAGACTGAGAAAGAAGTCTGAGACATATTTAGGGACAAGTCTGGCTTGGCCCCCAAACAGTCAATATTATGATAGAGTTATTATTATTATTGGTTTTGACTCCACCCTCAGACCTGCAGAATGAACTCATTCCCCCAAGGACTCTTCTTGGCTACTCCAAAGTTTAGTTGAGATTGGAAAATGCTTAGTGGTCTTGCTCTGAGCACATGGCTGCTGTTGTTGTTCTTAATGCAGGGTGAGCTGAGGAGTGGGGCTGCGAAAGGCTGGGCCACCACACGGCCAGAGGAGCCCATGAAAACAGGTTCCCACGCGGGCTGGGGGTAAACCACGGTCCTCAGACAAGGTGTCAGGTTATCCTCTGTTCTCTCCAGGGAGAAATGCATTGTTTGAATCCAATAGCTATCAAATAGCCCATGACACCCCTCCCCAACCTCTGGTGCCTGCCACTTGTTCACCACAGGCATGGCTTAGCTGAATGTTTTGACCTTTTAAAAATAATACTTGTAAGATGGATATCTGAAAATGGGCTAGGAACAATGGTACCCATTCAAAAACTGGAATCCCACAGTTCCTGCAGTGGTGGGGAAAGCCACACAAAGACACTAAATAGGAAGTCAGGAAACCGGGGTTCTGGTTCCAGTTCTGCCACCTGGGTGGCAGCTGGGTGACTCTGGGCACATCTGTTACCTTTCAGGGTGTCCTCAACTGTGCCGCGACTAGCTGATCTCTCAGGCCTCATCTAGCTTTAAATGTACCATTCTATTGGATTATTTTTCAAAGCTGTAGCATCTGATTGACACTCTTATTATGATTACTAATCCCGCATCACCAGCAAACTAGGGAATTGTACGAGGCAATCTTGGAACACCATGAGGACAGTCATTACCTTGCTGCTTATTATATTGTCAACCCATAGTACATTTTTAGTGGTGTGCTGGAATTGGCTCAAAATGTGTGCATTTCTTCTCAGCTAACTCAGTAACATTACATCCGTAGCCTGGAATCAGCCATGGTGGGAGAACAGGATTGCTCACCTGCCTACCCCTGCCCTGAAGGGAAGACATTCCTGGCTGTTGAATGTCAGCAGCACTAGCAGCATGCCACAGGTTATGATGCCTCTAAAAGGATCCATAAAATTGATTTTTAGAAATCAAATCATATTTTAAGGGGTTGTTTACAATATAATTTTAATAATTTTTAAAAGCAGTCTAGTTAAAAAATGCACTAAGGTGTTTTTTAAAAAGTCAGAACTGTTGACACATACTTTAGATACAGTAAAATTCACTCATTTTAAGCATGCGTTTCTGTGAGTTTTGACAAATGCACGTAGTCACGTAGCCATGGTAGGACTGCACTTCCTTGTTCCATCTGAAGTTAGGATGGCCACGTGGCTTTTTTTGGCCAATGAAATGGAAATAGTGATAGGTGTCATTTTTGGGCAGAAGCAGCAGGGTCACAGAAAGAGGAGGGCACTGGGCAAAGATCACAGTCATTCTGCACTGGGCATGTCACATGGGTAAGAAATAAATGTTTGATGCTTTGCCACTGACATCTGGGGGTTGTTACTGCAGCCTAACCTGGCCCATCCTCACTGGGACACTCATGATTGTGGATTAGTTGGCTAAAATGAGAT
Organism: Homo sapiens; assembly: GCF_000001405.40. NCBI lineage: Eukaryota > Metazoa > Chordata > Mammalia > Primates > Hominidae > Homo > Homo sapiens. The sequence continues at coordinate 29,454,481 of NC_000007.14, read as the reverse complement.
GCAAATACAAAACCTAACTCTTTTAACATACTATTCAGGGCCCTTCACATACAAAAAATCTCAAACTCCATCTCCAGTTTTATTTCCAGACCTTCCCTCCTGGTATTGTAGCCATACTGGGTATTTGAAATTCCCTGATATGTAACAGCAATAATGACTAGCACTACTAACATTTATTGAGCACCTAGTATGTGCCACACACTGCTCTAAACACTTCACACATATTATCTCAGCTGAAGTCCCACATCTCTGCTCCCCTGTACCTAGCATGCCCTTCTCCCCTTTCTTTGCCCTAAAATATTCTACTTATCCTTTATGATCCAGTTCAAATGTCATCTTTGTTTTGAAGTGTCCTAATAAAATTGGTTGTGGCACCATTAAGCTCTCAGAGCATTTTGTGCAAAATTTACATTATGCAATTATGATTTGTCTACTGCTGTGGAGTCCACCTACCCTGTCCCCACCACTAGAGTTGGCACCCACTGGGCCATTTATATGAGGTGGAGATTTCGGGCCGTGACGGAAGGTGGGAGACTACAAGTCAGGATGAAAGGATGAGTAAGGGCAGCATTTTAGGATGCACAAGGTTTCCACATCAATCACAGAAAAGCAGGTACAAAGCTGACTAGAGGAATCAACTGTGACAGCGTTTTAGTCCAAAGGACCCGAGTGAATCTTTTAAAATGGAATCCTCTTATTATAGCTCATTAGTGGATGGATTTAGATTTAGCCTGGGTAGGCCTTGATCTCTCTATCAAATCCAAACCACCCACTAATAAACCCTGGAATGACCTAGTTAGGTTTCAATGTTGGGGGTAGTATGAGTGGTCCCTGCTTCCAGAATTTAATGATGCTTCTTTGGTACAAGCAGGATTGTCTGAAAATGAGCCCAGATGTTCACCCTGAATTATCAGGTTGAAATGCTATGGCGTGGGGGGGCGTCCTAACTCTCTCTCAGAGCTGGAGAGGCTCCTCTTCCCATGGGACAAGTGGTGTCCTCCTCCAGGGTAACAACTTTAGTCCCAAGGTCCCCAGGTGCTGTGCACTTGCCTTCCCAGACAATTTCTGTAAACAGCTGACACTCAAATCCAGGCTGCCTGGTGCCAAAGTAGTTTCATTATCTCCCCACTAACAAAAGTGCTCTCCCACTTGCCCTACAAAAAAGGAGATTATGGGGGTGGGAGTGGGACTGGGGAGGGTATGTTCCTCCCTGGACCACAAATCCAACCAGCAGAGTGCAGCGGCCTCAGCAGGCCCTTCTATCTTATCTGGCTGACCCTGACGTCAGTTTCTTTTCCTCAGTAAAGCCTGTTCCAAGGTCTAACTCATATTGTGAGATGCTGTGGAATTTATCCATTGGCAGATAGCAGGTGGCAACTTAGAATGAACTCATCATGCAAAACAATTCCCCCCAAAAAGCTGAAGAATCAGTGTCAACAACCAGCTAGCATTTTATAGTCTGCAAAGCACATTAAGAAATATAAATTTGTTAGACCCTCAAAAGTCATGTGAAAGAGACAGTTTTATTTTTATAGGTAAGGAAAGTCAGGCTGAGGAAGCACAAGCACTGCATGAGGTCCCACAGGGAAGAAGCAGTGGAGTCGGGATGAGAACTGAGCTTCTCTGATTTCTCCTCACTTGCTACCATGCCACACTGCTCTTGCTCTCCGGGACAGAATGAATGAGACCACCATCTACTCTTTCACTCTTCCTATAAAATGTTTCATGCTATTGACAATTCAGCTTTATATCAAATTACACTTACACAGTAGAGCATGCACCAGCCAACCATGGCGAGTCTTGCAGAGAATGGGGAAATGTAATTCTTCCTTAACAGAGACTGAGCAAATAAAGAACACTTTTAGAAAAATCTAAGAACAAGTCAATGGGGTAGGTTTCTGTGTGCCACCTGATCTGGCTGATGAAAATTCAGTGACCACAGAGGCACGCAGAGGCAAAGGAAGCAGGAGAATACTGTACTGCAGGTGTCTGCAGGAACATTACAGGCATACTGCAGGTGTACTACAGGATGAGACTTGGGTGAGGAAAGTGAGCTGCAATTTTTAAGGGGTACTCCCTCTCAGGTGCCGGCTCTGCCTTCACACACCCCCAAGAGTAAGGGCCTCCTTAACTTTTGCGCTCTAGACCCTTCCCTTCCTTCACCCGAGGCCCAGCCTGGCGATATTGTGTCCTCACCCAGGAGATGATGGTCTGTCAGATCCTGAGGTGCAATAATGAAGGCTGTGTCTCCAGAATGACAGCAGAAGCAAACTAGAAATAAAATGAAGTTGGATCCAAACGGCCTTGCTTGCACAGTCCCAACTATATAATTTGTAGGGGTCTATGCAAAATAAAACTGCATGTTCTCTTTTGAAAATTATTAAGAACTTCAAGAAGGCAACAGCAGGGCATTAAATCAAGTGTGGCCTGTCTCAGTGCAAGGCCACACACACGTGCAACCTGCCCAGGACCCTAAGGACCCTGCTGTCCTCCACGGGTGGTGTGGCGGTCATGATGACCTTCCTTCTTTAGCCTGATTTAGGCCTATGGGCATGCACCAGGTTGCCTAGGAGACCACCTCTAGGAGGTCCATGAGATGTCACATCAGTGGCTACTAAAAAAGCACTGGAATGGGATTCAGAAGACACAAGCTCTGGGTTTGGGCCTGTCTCGGATGCTAACTAAATTGTAAGACGGGGGGCTAATCACAGAGTGCCTTCACACCCTAGTTTCCTTGGTGGGATTGGCTTGTAGCTTTGAACCTCCAGGTCATGGACTCTCAGGGGCTCATGATTATTATATGTGGTTGGAGAATTCTCTACATTTGGAATAAATACAGCTTCCTAAAATTATTTCTCTCTTCTTCGCGTATATGACCATTTTAAAACGTAATATATTGTGATTAATTAATAAATTTGTAATTAATTACAAATTTATTTTAAAAACATTGTTGAATTTACAACAGCTCTTTATCAACTATGTCATTTTTTTCAATCAGTGGATTAAAAGAAAGCAGTAAGAAGTAGTTTCTGAAGACCTCTGTACTTCTGTACCCATTTCGCCATGGACTGGTAACAAATGGCTCTCAAACAGGCAGCTGTCTGTGCACCACGCTTAATCACAGTATCCATCCAGGGTCCTAATGCCATTACAAGCTGACAATTCACACGGAACTTTACCTGCCTTGATATCATTTATGTATTGAGTTGCTCTTTTCTGAGCATGTTACATGTTCTGGGCACTGTTCTCAGCATCATAATAGACAAAAATCTCTTCCAACCCCAGTCCAGTAACTTGTATTATTTACCATCTGTTCTTACTTGTGTGGCTAAAGCAGAAGTTAATGTGGTGGTGGTGGGGGTGCGTTGTTGTTTCTCTCTCTTTCTTATTTATTATGGTATAAGAAGTAATGAGGCCGGGTGTGATGGCTCACGCCTATAATCCCAGCACTTTGGGAGGCCGAGGTGGGTAGATCACGAGGTCAGGAGTTCAAGATCAGCCTGGCCAAGATGGTGAAACCCTATCTCTACTAAAAATAAAAAAATTAGCCGGGCGTGATGGTGGGGGCCTGTAATCCCAGCTACTCGGGAGGCTGAGGCAGAGAATTGCTTGAACCTGGGAGGCGGAGGTTGCAGTGAGCCAAGATTACACCACCGCACACCAGCCTGCCAACAGGGCAAGACTCCATCTCAAAAAAAAAAAAGAAGTAATGAAGTAATGTACCTACCATTCATCTGATGAATACATCTGTATTAGTTTTCTGTGGCTGCTATAACAAATTACTACAAGTTTGGTGGCTTAAAACAAGGCAAACTTATTCTCATACAGTTCTGGAGGCCAGAGGTGTGAAAAGAATTTTTGGGGCTGCAATCGAGGGCTGTGCTCCCTCTGGAGCTAGGAGAGAATCTGTTCCAGGCCTCCTCCAGCTTCTGTGGGCTTCCTGCATGCCTGGCCTTGTGGCTGCACCACCCCAGGATCTTCAAATCCTTCTCTGCTCCACTTCCCCCGGACTTCTCCTCTGTGACTGTCTGTGAAATCTCCTTCTGCCTCTCCCTTAAAAAGAGACGGGTGCTGGTATTTAGGGTCCACAAAGATTATCCAAGATTCTTCTTCATCTCAAGATTCTTAATGTAATCACATCTGCATAAACCTTTTTGCCAAGGTAAGGTCACAGTTATTGGCTCTAGGGATTAGGATCTGATATCTTTGGAGGCCATTATTCTGCCTACCACAAAATCCTTAAAAACAAACTCATTCTTGCTACCTTCCTTTAGTGTTAATTTGAGCTTCGTCTGCTTGGATTATGCTTAGTGAGGAGACTGATGATTCATGCTCACATGCAAACAAAAGTGTGCACTGCAAACAGAAGAAACTAACCTTTCTGTTTGCCTTCAAGAGATTCTTCAATTGATGTGAAATACACACCCTGAATTTCTTAAACCTGTACCACATCCCCTAGGGAAGATCCTGGAAGCCACTTCACGGAACTCAGAGTGAAATACTGACTAACCACAAATTAAGCTTGGCCTGTGATCGTTTTCTCTGGAAATAGAGAAAAGAAAGTGATAAAAACATTCTCCAAGAGTGGTTTGCTTTAGAACAGAGTAAACACCAAGTTACCACCCAGCTCAGTTTGTCTTTGCTCTTTGGGCTTGGCCTTGGCCTAAATTACTTCACATGCCTTGAACATCTGTACCCCTGCCTTCTGTAGCAGGGCCTTTACCTGAGCCCAGTGTCTGTTCATCAATGCCCAACCACTATAATGTCAATCACAGCCCACATTTATTTGAGTTAACTATAAGCCAGGCACTGTGCTCAACATACTACAGAACTCCATAAATGATTCTGAATGAATGCAAATAATCTTATTCATTTCCTAGCTCAAGGATCAGCAACTGTAAAGTACCAACAGTAAATACTTTACGATTTGTAGCCCATATAGTCTCTGTCCTGTCTGGACCACTCAACTCTGTCATTGTAGTACGAACTTTCCCATATTTTATATTTCAATGAATGGATGTGGCTGTATTCCAATAATACTTTATTTACAAAATGATGCCTATTTACCTCTGTTCTGGGCCTGCAGGACGGATTCTGACTTATTAGTCTCCCACCATAAGAATCTGAATGATTTCTATTGATTTAAGGACAACTTCAGATTTGCTTTCCATTATTACCGCTTCAAACCAGGTTTCCTGACACATAGATTATTTTTTTTCAGACACTCACCTTAATTCCAACACACCTTAATTATTTAGAGCCTCCCATTTTTCCTGCAATTCCTAAGTTGTTCTGCTTTTTCCCTTGTGTGAAATAATAAGGAAACACTTCACTCTGGGTTTATTCTGCTAAGTTTAACTTGCCGGCAAATAACTTAATGCTGCAAAGTTATCAAGTCTCTCTTGCAGTATGAAGCTCCTATGGCTGAATTTGAGCAGTAATGTCCATGAGCTGACTTGGTAACTTGTAAATCAGAAATGCTGGGTTTGATGAAGGGCGAGGTAGCACCATTTTTTACAGTGAATTAAATTCCGCACACATTTAGTATGGACCATGCCCTGTACTGGATGCCAGGACTGGTTTCTGTTCTCAAGGAGTTTACAGTCTGGTTGGGGATAACAGAAGCTAACAAACAATTATAATACAGAGCAATAACTGCTAAGGTGGGGGAGATATAGTGTGCTCTGGGGCACAAAGCCTTCCCCAACTCCCCAAAACAAGTGATGACTCCTCTGAGACCTTAAGGATGAGAAGGAGATAGCCAAACAGTGAGAAAAAGCCCAGGAGAATATTTCAGGCAAAGGGAATAGAATTTGCAAAGACTTGGAGGTGAGTTACAGGGTGATCTATTACAGAAATGAAAATTCATTATGGCTAGAAAGAAGAAAGTAAGGGAAGTGGGTAGTGATCTATGAGGCGGGATCTTACAGGATGTATTAGGAGACTGGGTCACATCTAAAAGCTTGGGGTGGGGTAGCTGGTGAAGAATGACTTTAAGCAGGGAAGTGACATGCTGGGATGTATAAACTAAAAGTAAAAACTAAAGAAAGAATTAGGAGAAAGCTGCTGTGTGTTTCTTCAAGTGGAGTTTAGAAGTCTTCAGATGACTAGGTCAAGATCATTTCCAACGACTAAGAAATCAATGGACCCACTTTGAGCATGATGTTGTGAAGTTCTGGGAATATCAAGAAGCTATTAATGTTCTAAAAGAAAAAAAAAACCCAGAAAGTTTCAAAAATAAGGAAAGAGGTATCAAAATCCCATTCTTTAATAAAATAAGGTATTGCGTACCTATAAGTGGAAAGACTAGATACAGAAAACTCAGAACTTGGAAATTAACACTGTACCTCAAAGGGCCATATCCCTGAAATATAAAACTGCTTAGTCAGAATAAAGGTCATTAACCACCAGCTCATGTAAATGGGGAAGGTTTCTGCAGTTTCCTTTTTCCAGTGATTTTCAAACAAACTTGCCAAATAGAATTGCCAAGCTCTTAAAAATACGGATGCTTGGGCCTCATCCCAGACTATCTAAACCAGAACCTTTGAAGACGGAAATTTCTATTTTTTTGCAAAGTTCTCCCAGTGATTCTAATATGCACCCAGGGTTGTTACTGTTTGTTAATAGATCAGTTTTATTGGGGTTATGACTGACATACAATAAACAGCACATATTTTAAGTGCACAACTTGAAATGTTTTCACTTGTCACTCATATCACATATCATGTTATCTATATACCTGGAAAACTACCACCACATTCAAGAAAATTAACATATCCCTCTCACCAAAAACTGTCCTTGTGCTCCTTTGAAACCCCTCCCTCCTACCACTGGTTTTGAGGTACCTGATTATGATGTGCTGGGTATAGATTTTAGTGCCTGGGACTTGCTAAGATTCTTGGATCTCTGGGTTTACAGCTTTCATCAAATTTAGAAAATTTGAGGCCATTATTTCTTCATATATTTTTGTGTCCTCCCTTTCTCTCTCATCTGTGTGGGGACTCCAGTTAGACATATATCAGACTGTCTGAAGTTGTCCCACAGCTCACTGATGATGTTTTTGTTTTTAAAAAAATTCCTGGATAGTTTCTATTTCTGTCTTTAATCTCTCTAATCTTTTCTTCTGCAATTTCTAGTCTGCTGTGAGTCACATGCAGTGTACTTTACATCTTAGGCGTTAGAATTTTCATTTCTAAAGGTTTGATTTGGATCTTTTTTTATATGGTCCATGTCTCAACATAACTTTTTGACCATAAGCAATACAGTTATAACGCCCATTTAAGCACCCTTGTCTGCTCATTGTAGCATCTCTGTTAGTTCTGGATTGACTAGTCCCCTCATAGATGATGTTTTTCTGCCTCTTCCCCCATCTGTAATTTTTCATTAGTTGACTGACATTCTGAATTTTACCTTGCCAGGCGCTGGGTATGTTTGTATTCCCATAAATGTTCTTCAACTTCGCTTTTGGATGCAGTTAAAGTTACTTGGAAACAGTTTGACCCTTTTGTGTCTTGCTTTTGTGATCTGCCGGGCGGATCTGGAGCTGGGCTCAGATAGGGCTAAGTGTGGCCCACTCCTGAGATGGAGGCATCCTGAGTACTCTCCCAAGGCCCCATGAATGATAAGACTTTCCACTCCAGCTGGTGGAGAAAACCACTATTTCTGACCCAGTATGAATGTCAACACTGTTTCCTCTAATCCTTTGTGTGGTTCTTTTCCTAGCCTCGCTAGTTTTGTTACATGCATGCACTAATACGGCTGAATTTGCTGCACTGATATCTGCTGAATACTCCAGGGAGACCCCTAACAGTAACCCAGATCTCCATTTCTCTCTTTGGGCAGCTCTCTCATCTTCCTTACCGGGTCGTGTGAACTCTAGCTGCTGGACCCACAGCAACTCAGAAAGTCCCCTGGGCCCTGCCTGAGTTCTCCCTCCCTGCATCTGCCTGGACATTCTCTCAGGGCAGTCAGCTGGGGCAATCGCAGAGCTAACCTCATTTGTTTCAGACTCTCAGGGATCACTGTTTTGTTGTCTGATGTCCAGTTTCTGAAACACTTTTGAGATATAGATACACATAGGGATCTAAGGCATATAGTAGGGACCTAAGGCAGGGCAATCTTAGGTCCCTACTGCTCTATCTTGGCAGGAGTTAGTCTAAAAAGGTGATTCTTTTTTGCTGTTCTTTTGTTTGTTTTTTAAATTTCAATAGTTTTCTGGAGAACAGGTGGTGTTTAGTTACATGGATAAATACTTTAGTGGTGACTTCTGAGATTTTGGTGCACCTGTAACCCGAGCAGTGTACACTAATGTGTAGTCTTTTATCAACACTTGGGTGTACACTGAAATCACCTGGACAGCTGTAAAAACTACTATTGTTTCTGTTCCCTACCCAGAGTTTCTGATGTAATTGGTCTGGGGTATAGCCTTGGCATCAGGGTTTTTAGAAGCTCCCAGATGATGCTCATGTGCCTCCAAGGCTGAGAACCATTGAGCTAGATGTTCGCCTTTCAAGAGAGCTGCACGAGTAGCCACTTCCGGCTCCACAGTAAGGCAAGAATCTCGGGGGCCCTTGCAAGCTTGGAATTCCGTAATTGGAGACCTAAATTTCTTTGCCTTTGGTACTACCATGATGACTAAACTGAATCTGATCTCACCCATTTGATGATCGATTTATTTAATTTGTTAGAAAATGCTATAGAATTTCATCAAATTTACTCTAGCTCCTTGGGACTCAATAAATATTTACTGTTTGGTAACAGTAAATATTTAACAAGAAAAAAAAACAAGAACCCCCAACAAAAAGCAAACCTGAGTTGATTATAGCAGTGATTACAAATGGCAACAAAAACAATAATGGGTTAAACATCTAAACTTAAAAAAGAAAAAACGGTCCTTTTGCAGACCAGTTTTACTGACGGCTCTCACAACAGTGCAGGATTTATTATGCTAATCATTTACTGCTTAATTGGCTACAGCTGATTAAGAGTACTATTATGCTTTAAGGACATAATACAGAGCTGGATTTTGCATAATTTATGCAAATCATGGTAATAAAAAATCTACATGTACCAACACATTTTTGGTGGCCAGATGAATTCATTTCATGATTTCCCAGAGTCTGGCAATGAAAATGTATTAACTGAGTTCAGAGACTCCCTCCATTAACAGGAGACATGAGTTTGGGATGAGATAGGCCTGTTTGGGGTATTTGTTCCCTTAAGTCTGGCTAGGAGGTAGGGTTCTCAGTGTTCCCAATAAGAATCTAGCTGGGACTCTTACTTATTCTGTGGGTCTGGGCTCCACACTAGTCTACTTACATGTACTGGTGGGATTTCTCCAGAATTGACACTAACTTTCTGTTCCAGAAGAAAGCGTGGAGGAGAATGACTAACCAAACATACCAGCTGGGACCAACAGACTAAAATGGGAGAGAATTTTGCGTAGCCTCTGTCTCTATCTCTTCATTCTGCTCAGATCTCTAGGCTTCAGATCCAGAATAAACCTCTCTTTTCTTCTATTCAAGATTCTTCCCCTTTCTTGTAATCCTCCTAAAGTGTCTTCAAAGGTATCCAAACCATCGAATGCCTGCTAGAAACTAACAACCCCCAAAATGTATGAGGCAGATCTGGTACCATATATCCTATTTGGTTCAAGGTTGAGGGTGGGCAAACTGTCCAAGAGTAGTGTGGTAAGTTGTCTGCATAGATGGCTACTAAAAATTCCTCTCATCTCTGGATATGCAAGCCACTCCTCCCATTGAGAGGTGGAATCTAGTTTCTTTGTCTTTGAATCTGGACCAGTCCTGTGATTGGCATTAGCCAAAAAGATATGGCAGAAAAGATGTTATAAAACTTCAGAGCTTAGGCCTGCAGAGGCCTTGAGTCATTTTGTAGAGAAGTTGAACTGCTGCTGGAAACAGAAGTCACGTGGAGAGAGAGAATGAGGCACTGAGGATGACAGACTCTGAAGGGAGGCAGGCCCAGCCAGCCTCCAGCCATTTCAGCTACAATAGCTCAGGTGCCAAGTAGGTGAGTGAGGTCATTGATATTCCTTGGGCCCAGATGAAATGCCCCAGACAAAACCATGTGGAACAGAGATGAGCCATCTCTGAAAGCCCTGGCCAACGTGCAGAATCATCGGCAAATGCTTCTTGGTGTTTAAAGTCACTACATTTTGGGGTAATTTGTTATGCAGCCATAGATAACTGAAATGAGTGGGAAATAGGATTTTCCGGTGTTAGTTACAAAGGGTTAAATAGAATTTTTTATTCTGAAATATAAAAAAGGTATGCATATATAGACTTCCAATATTTACACTGTTAATCCATTTATTTGTTTGTTACAGGGACTCAAGTTTCAAAGACTATATTACTTTTTCCATCAGCATAAATAAAATTTATAATGGTAATTTCTTTCACAATTCTAAACTACTGGAAGCTTGGAAAGTTGCTCTATAAGCAAAACCATGGGTGAGTATCTTAGATAAAGCAAAACTTAGAGAAGCCTTATGTGGGAACCATAATATAATGGTAGACACTTCCTCAAGTATTTCCTGCCTTTTCCTGAATTCTTGTTCTAACAAGTTCTTGTCTAGTTCTTATTAGGCTTGACCATATGACCTGCTTTGGGTAATAAAATGTGAGTGGAGGGAACATTAGTCAATACTGAGTGGGAGCAGGGAGAGCCTTTGTCTCACACCTCTGCCATCTCTCTCACCCCCCTGCCATCTCTCTCTCACCCCCTCCTCTTTCCTGAGGCCAGCACGTCTCAGATAAGGGCTGCTCCTTTGGCCTAGGTCCTGGAATGATGATAACACAAAAAAGAGATGCAGCCAACCCATGAAAAGCATGTGAGAAATAAATCTTTATTGCCATGTAAGGCACTGAGACATTGAGGTTGTTTGTAAACACAGAAGAGTAGAACCTATGATGACAGATGTGTGCCTGTGTGTATATATACACACACACACATAGTCATGTATTGCTTAATGACAGAGATACGTTCTGAGAAATGCATCATTAGGTGATTCTGTCATTGTGCGAACATCATCAGATGTACTGACACAAACCTAGTGTACTTACACAAACCTAGATGGCAGAGCCTACTATGTACCTAGGCTATGCTGTCATATATGTGATCTGCTGTTGACCAACTTCAGTACTTCTCAGCTTATACATCCAAATGGGCAAGACGACCTCTGCTCTGATTCAGTTCTATTTCAGTTAGAAATTCAATGAAATTGGGCCGGGCACAGTGGCTCACGCCTGTAATCCCAGCACTTTGGGAGGCCGAGGCGGGTGGATCATGAGGTCAGGAGATCGAGACCATCCTGGCTAACAAGGTGAAACCCCGTCTCTACTAAAAATACAAAAAATTAGCCGGGCGCGGTGGCGGGCGCCTGTAGTCCCAGCTACTCGGGAGGCTGAGGCAGGAGAATGGCGTGAACCCGGGAAGCGGAGTTTGCAGTGAGCCGAGATTGCGCCACTGCAGTCTGCAGTCTGGCCTGGGCGACAGAGCGAGACTCCGTCTCAAAAAAAAAAAAAAAAAGAAATTCAATGAAATTGAAAGCGATGGGGATTAAGTGGAGAAAATCATAGAAATGGAATAAATAAGGAAAAACCTAGGCAGCATTCAGGTATTAATCGCTGAAAAAATAAATGGCTGTTTTAAAACGACCTCGTATGTATGCAGTATCAGTGACAATATTGTTTACTTTAGCGGTAGTTAGGAGAATGGTTGTGGATACATGCCCAGTATAAATTGACATGAGAACACAGACACAATATATGCATATGACACTCTTGCATGTGGGAAAATGAAATAGTTTAATGGCAGAAATCCACCAGGTCAGGCTGTGTGCACACTGAAACCTGGCTGTGGGTATTGGGAATTAGAGGTAAATACCCTGAACTCTCAGAGTGGGATGGTTCAGTTATCAACAGACGATTCTGTTGTTATTTATACAGTCTGGAACTGAAAGAGCCCTTCAAATAACACTAAGCAGAGATAGCAACAACAAATAGAGCCAATCCACCTTCGAAATAAAAGCCCTGGTGTCCATGCAGATCAGGCTGAGCTCAATCAACCCTGCACAGAGCAGCCTAATCCTATTTGGTTGGCACGTGTCTACCCTCCCTCCCACATACACCACTATAGCTTTTAGGCCACTGTAACCTGAGATGCACCCATTTGAGTCATGAGAATCTGACCTGATGGGGAGTTACAACTAATACCCTTCCTGTGGCTTCTGAGCCACTTCTTTCCTTTCTTTCCAGATTTTTAAATTTGAGATGAAATTCCCATAACATCAAATGAACCATTTTAAAGTATACAATTCAAAGTTCATGCATGTTGTAGCACGTATCGGAATTTCATTCTTTTTACAGCCAAATAATATTCAACTGTACGTATATACCACCGTTTGTTTATCCAAGCATGTGTTGATGGACATTTGGCAGGTTTCTATCTTTTGGCTACCATGGGTAGTTCTGTTATGAACATTTGTATACAAGTGTTGTTTCAGTACCTGTCTTCAATTATGTGGGTTATACACCTAGATATGGAATTTATGAGTTATATGGTATTCTACTTTTAAATTTGTAAGGGACTGCTAGACTGTTTTCCACAGAGGCTGCACCAATTTACACTTCCACCAGCAATGTATGAAGGTTCTGATTTCTCCACATCCTCACCAATACTTATTTTCCTTTTTTTAAAAAAAAATTATAGCCATCCTAGGGTGTGTGAGGTAATATCAATGCGGTTTTGATTGCATTTCCCTAATGACTAATAATGTTGGACATGTTTTCATGTGCTTATTGGCCATTTGTGTATTTTCTTTGGAAAAATATCGATTGAAGTTTCTTGCCTATTTTTTCATTAGATTGTCTTTTGGTTGTTGAAATATAACAGCCTTATCAGATATATGATTTTCAAGTATCTTACTCCATTTTGTAGGTTCTCTGTTCACTTTCTGACAATATCCTTTGATGTACAAAAGTTTTAATTTTGATCAAATTCAATTTTCTATGTTTCTTTCTTGCTCTTGCTTTTGGCATCATATTTAAGAATCCATTGCCACATCCAAGGTGATGAAGACTTGCCATTTGTTTTCTTCAAAGAAATGTTTTCTTTTAAGTCTTCACTCCAATATTAGGTTGTTGATCCATTTTGAGTTAGTTCATGTAGATGGTGTGAGGTAGCCCAACTCCATTATTTTGTATGAGGATCTCCAGTTGTCCCAGCACTATGTAATTGAGAGATTATTCATTCTTTCTCCCATTGAATGCTCTTGGCATCCTTGTCAAAAATCAATTGGACATGGATCTCAACAAAAAAAAATGAAATTTATTTCTTCTCTTTAACTGAGGCTTTGTGTACTTTGATTATCACCTCCCCATGCTAAGAGAGTAAATCTCAAATGTTCTCATTATAGAAAATATCAAATATTAGGTGATGGATATGTTAATTAGCCTGATCTAATCATTTCACATTGTATTAAAAAAACATAACATCACTTTGTACCTCATAAATATATACAACTATAATTTGTCAATAAATAATAAAAAACAAAAAATAAGTTCTAGTATCTTTCAAGTCAAAAAATGGAGAAATATGAAATAAAAACTTCTACCAAAAAATCAATTGGCCACAGATGTATGGGCTTTCTTCTTATTTTGATGACGGGTTTGGATATCACACACCTTGAAAGCAGATTAGCAGTCCTTTGCACTGCATTTTCTCAAACTCCTTTTCCTCTCTGTGCATTCTTTTTTTTTTTTTTTTTTTTTTTTTTTTGAGACGGAGTCTCATTGTGTTGCCCAGGCTGGAGTGTAGTGGCATGATCTCAGCTCACAGCAGCCTCTGCCTCCTGGGTTCAAGAGATTCTCCTGCGTCCCAAGTAGCTGGGATTACAGGCATGTGCCACCACGCTTGGCTAATTTTTGTATTTTTAGTTGAGATGGGGTTTCGCCATGTTGGTCAGGCTTGTCTCGAACCCCTGATCTCAGGTGATCCACCCGCCTCGGCCTCCCAAAGTGCTAAGATTACAGCTGTGAGCTACCACGCCCAGCCTCTGTGCACTCTTTAATTGTTGTATAGTGATGATAACCATTGTGCATTCAAGCCCTCTAACATATATATTATTTTCACTGATTACTGTTACTTTTACTTTTGCCATTGGCTAAAGACTGAATTGCACAAACATTTTGTATCCTATAAATGCTATGTTTGTGAGGTTGTCTTAGGTATATACTACATTTTAGCCACAAAAGAGCATATTTAATGCAGATAAACTACCATGCTATAATCAGTGAGGGGGATGAACCTTGCTAGAATTTGTTGTTTTTCAGAATTTGGAGTTGTGTTCAATGTGTACATAAATTTTTGTTTCTAAACATACTGTACTAGGAGTCTCGCTTTCTTTAAAAGATAGTTCTGACAAAATGATTTCTTGTCACCAGTATGTGGTTTACAGTCAGACTTCAAGCCTGGTTCAAGTCCCAGCTCCTTCTCTTACTAGGTGGAACTTGAACCAGTTAATTAACCTTCACAAGACTCGGTTTGCCTGTCTGTAAAATGGAGATAATAACTCCACAGAGTTGTGAGAACCTAATGAGATAATGTGCATGGAAATACTTTATAAAGTGCTAGACAAGTGTGAGTTACTGTTAGTGTGGCTTTAATTCAACATCCACAGTGGTTGTTTTACATTATACTTAGGTCATTTATTCAATCAAGAAATATTTCTGACTATGTCCCAAGAACCATTCTGGACCATAGGCTCAAAGCTGTGAATAAGAGACACAGGAACCTCACTCATCTACTGAGCAGAAGCAGGACATAAGCCAGCAAGCATATCACTGAGGATGATGATGTCAGACAGCAGAGGGTCATATGGGGGATGTGGATGAAGAGGGCCTGAGTGAGGATGGTCAGCTGAAGAAGACCTTCTTAGAGGGGCGACACTGGAGCCAACACCTGAAGGACAAGAAAACGCAAGAATGGAAAGATCTTGTGGGGAAGAAGACCCCAGGCAGAGAACACCAGACATGCAAAGCCATTCTAAGGTGAGAATGAACATGGCAGAGTCAAGGAACAGGAAGAAGCCAGTTAAATTCAGTTCAACAATTTTACTGAATGGTTGTTATATACCAGGCAAAGTTCCATCCTAAGTACTCAGAATACCAGGCTGAAAAAGATTAAGTCCCTGTCACTACATGTCCAGTTTGGCTTCTGGTTTTCTATTCCAATGGCACCCACATATGTGTAAATATTCATGATGACAATATCATGACACAAGACTGTTTAGTTCTGTACAACTAGGGAAGTCTCCTTTTTGTCCTCTGAAAACCAATACAGGCAAAACCTCCTTAATAGGCCTGGTATACAGCAGACTCTCAAGAAACAGTAGGTTTTGTAGGATGAATAATAGGTTAATGAGGCAAATGTCACATTCATTAGCCCTCTGATAGATATGAGGTAAACAGGCATCTCTGGTTATAGACTAGTCAGTGAATCAGTGAAACTAAGATAATAGGAAAACAGTATCAGTGCCTCTCCAATGTTTGAAGAGGAATTCAAAATAATATTGTGAATAGTTCTAAACAATTGTTTCTACAATGTACAACTGTCTGTTTCTAATATTACTCTCAACAAAGGTTGTTTAATCAACCAGTAATGGCTATCTAAAACAGAATGTTCCAAAGGGAGATACAAAATATGAAGGGATATTTCCTGAAAACAAAATAAAACAGGACAAAAATCACATGATCTCATGGCATAAGAGGAGAGGAAAGAGGTTCCCCAAACAGTGCAAAGTAGGTAAAGTTACACTGGCTATCCATCTTAATATGAGTGCAAATGTGTAAAATAGATATCTGAAATTTAATCTAAGGAAATAGTTGAACATTTGCAAAGATTTAGCTACAAGGATGTTCATTGCAGAGTTGTTTCTAACATGGAAAAAAAAAAGAATGAACTTAAACATCTAACCATAGAAGGTAGTTAAATTAGTTACAGTGCATCCATCCAATGAATTGCTACGCAGCCATTAAAAATGATTTTGTTAAAGGTTATTTGGTGATCTAGAAATATGTTCAGAACAAATTGCTAAGAAAGAAAAAAAACCAGCCTTTGAGTTGCCAAATAATAAGATTCTAGTGTTACTTTAACCAGATTTAAGTAGAACTGCATGAATCTCTTGAATCTGCATAGTGTTTATTTCAATAGGTAAAAAATTTTAATGGTTCTCTAGCTACTTCTGGGTGTTGGAGGCTGGTGTGGGGTATGCCCCCTTGGGAACTGCTTCCTGCTTTGGCTAGAGTTGCACGCTGCTCTGTGTCTTACCCCTTCATTGACTGTCCTTTTTCTGCCCACCAGTATCCATGACAGACATCACCATTATCCCCATATGTTCCACTCTCAAATCTACATGTGTTGCAGATTTTACTACACTAAGAGATAAGGGTGAGGTAAGACCAGGAGGGACAGCTTCGTTAAAGTATCATCTAGAAATCCACTCAAAATTATATGTTAGACACCTGGGTTCTTAAAGCTCTTCAGCCATTCTTACTGACCTTGACACCCCAATGAAGCTCTAGCCTCTTGCTCTGACCCCTCTGGGCTCCATGTATATATATTTGTATATTTAACTTAAATATAAATGATATAATAGCTTTTTATTTTATTCCTGTCTTTTTCAGACTATGCTCTGAAGGCTTTTTCTTTCGAAATAATCTATATAGGTATTTTTTTTTTCCCTAAGCAAAGAGCTATCTACCCAGGAGAGAAATTATGCTAAGCCTCTTAGCAGGAAGAAGCTGCTTTTGGATTCTTAAGGTTTTTGGCCTATTATGGTTTTAGATATCTTTTTTTTTTTTTTTTGAGACGGAGTCTCGCTCTGTCGCCCAGGCTGGAGTGCAGTGGCGCGATCTCGGCTCACTGCAAGCTCCGCCTCCCAGGTTCATGCCATTCTCCTGCCTCAGCCTCCCGAGTAGCTGGGACTACAGGCGCCCGCCACCACGCCCGGCTAATTTTTTGTATTTTTAGTAGAGACGGGGTTTCACCGTGTTAGCCAGGATGGTCTCGATCTCCTGACCTCGTGATCCGCCCGCCTCGGCCTCCCAAAGTGCTGGGATTACAGGCGTGAGCCACCGCGCCCAGCCGGTTTTAGATATCTTAAATGCTGAGAAGATATGCACCAGCATATGGCCTTGGAAATCTCTACTAGGTCAGGTACAGATGCTCAACAAATGTTTTCTTAAATCTTTATTGTCTAATTTGTGTACAATGAAGATGTAATATTTAAATGACTTTTGTAAGAATATGGCAATAAAATACTGAAAAATTTAAAATTTAAAGATACAACAAATATATATTTACATAGATGTAGACATTGGCAGGAAATAGTATCTCTGGTGGATTTCAAAAACCTTTATTATCTTTGTTGCTTATCTGTATCCTCTACTTATTATTCAGTGAGCATATTATGTAACAGTAAGATCAAAGAGTAAATTTTATTATTATTATTATTATTAATTTTAATAAGAAGCAATAAACTGATATTAAAGTGTAGCTTAAAAAAAAAGGTTAGGATTGATTGGAATATAAAAGTTTAAGACCCGGGGAATTCTGTGAATGTGTATTGTAAGCCCAATACTTAGGAACCTATTTCACTGAATGTACACTGGAAGTTATTTATTCAAATATCATCCCAATTAAGAGAGAATCAGAAGTATCAGAAATTTGTTGGTTTATATTCACATGATTGGTTAATAACTTAGGGGACAAACGGTGTGGTCTATAGTCTGTCTTTGGAGAATTCAAATACTTTTTTGGGGGGTGTCACCAGGCACAATCCTTGGAAGTGCATGAGACCAAATGCCATTAAGAATCAGAAGGCAGGGCTGTCTCTCTTTAGTCCAGGGTCAGGGTGCCCTTCACATAGCCAAGCTGGGGACAACGGGGACTGAAATGAAACTCCAAGGTCAAAACTGTACCTTAACAAATGCTTGTTGAGCACCTATAAGTTGGCAGCTTTTTTCCCATCAATATTCAAGCGTAATATTCAAATAATCAATATTCAAGCATAATAGTCAATATTCAAACAAAATATTCAACTATAAGCATAGGTATATAAAAGCCAATTTACCTACTTTAAAAAATGTGGATAGGTACTGGAGTCCTTGACATGCTCCCTAGTCTTACTGGTCAAAGCGTGGTCTCTGGATCAGCAGCCCAGCATCCCTGGGAGCTGCTGAGAGATGCAGAATCTTGAACCCCAGCCCAGTCCCCAATCAGAATATGCCCTTTCAGGAGATCCCCAGGGCTGGAGGGAATTCAAAGGTTTGGGTGTGCCTCTCTAGTATTCTATGGTCTCCAACTTGAGGCGTCACTCCAGGGCTTGCCATGCATGCTGCATTTGTGTTTACAGGGCAGATGTTGCATCTTTAGGGCAAGCAAAATCTAGTGAGAGAAGACTGCTTCATTCCACACCTTAGTTAAAATTCTGGGCCGATTATCTCCTAGAATCCAACTTTCACCCCTTCTCATGATCCAAAACATGAAAAAAGAAAAAAAAAAAAAAAGGAGGCGCTTCTGATAGGATTTAGAGAAGTGTGCATAATTTTTTTTCTCAGCTTAATGATTTATTTGGCTGCTGCTGGCAGTTTTATCCACTCCAGCTTGAAGAAAAGTGCTTTTTCTGAATTCCTAGACTGGTGGTTCTTAACCTACAGCCTGTATCAGAGTTACCTGGAGGGCTTATTAAAATTTAGTCATGTACCGCATAATGACTGGTCAATGACAGACCACATATACCATGGTGGTCCATAAGATTATAATATTATAATTTTAACTGTACCTTGTCTGTGTCTAGATATATTTAGATACACAATACTCACCATTGTGTTATAGTTGCCCCCAGAATTCAGTACAGTACCATGCTGCACAGGTTTGTAGCCTAGGAGCAATAGGCCACACCATACAGCCAAGGTATGTAGTGGGCTCTACCACTTACTTTGTGTAAGTACACTCTATGGTGTTTGCATGATGACAAAATCACCTAATGACACACTTCTCAGAATGAATCCCTGTCATTAAGTGACATGTGACCCCCACAGTATCTGACTCAGAAAGTCTGAGCTGGGACCCAAGTATTTGCATTTCTAACAGTTCCCCCAGGTGATGCAGAAGCTGTTGGTCTCTGGTCCAGAGCCCAAGCTTTGGAAATCACTCTCCTCTCCTAAACCATTCACTTTTGGTTTCTCTCATTTGGCTCTTAAAAAATAATTGATGAACAGATGGATATGTTTACTGGCTTCTATTTTTCATTCTCTCATTATGATCTGGTTGGTTTTTTTGTTTGTTTGCTTGTTTTTGTTTCTTTTTTGAGACAGGGTCTCGCTCTGTTGCCCAGGCTGGAGTGCAGTGGTGCAATCTTGGCTCACTGAAGCCTTGACTTTCCGGGCTTAAGCTATCCTCCTAACTCAGCTCCTGAGTAGCTGGAACTACAGGTGCATGCCACCATGTCTGGCTAATTTTTTGTATTTCTTGTAGAGATGGGGTTTTGCCATGTTGCCCAGGCTGGTCTCAAACTCCTGTCCTCAAGCTATCTGCCTGCCCTGGCCTTCCAAATTGCTAGGATTACAGGCATGAGACACTGTGCTGGCCTGTTAATATCTTTTCCAAATACTGTACATGACAAGTTTCTGAAGGAAAGAACTATGTCTTTAGACCTGTGGTGACCTTCTCCAAAAGATATATTCAACCCCAGTACCTGCGACTATGGCCTTATTTGGAAATAGGATCTTGGCAGATGTAATAAAGTTAAGATGAGGTCATATTGGATTAAGATAGGCCCTAATCCAATGACAGGATTCCTTATAAGGAAAGAGGAATTTGTACACAGAGACCCACACAGAAAATGCCATGTGACAATGGAGGCAGAGATTGGAATGAGGTAGTCAAGGACTGCTGGCAACCACCGGAAACTAGGAAGAGGCCAGAGAAGATCCTCCCCTAGAGCCTTCAGAGAGAGCATGGCCCAGAAAATACCTTGACTTCTGACTTACCACCTCCAGAATTGAGAAGAAAAAAAAAAAAGGTCTGTTGTTCTAAGGCATGCAGTTCATGGTATCTGCTATAGCAGCCTGATGAAACTGACAAGGGGCCTTTACATTTCTCATGGCAGAGAACATGGTGGGTTACAGACACTCCTAGCTCTCTGGGATGCAGACGAGTTATAATCAGAACCACATTAGCAGCATCTAGTTGACTAGTGTGGTGATGCGGGGCAAAGAATGCAGATACTTACAAAAGAAAGTGAAACTGCATAGGCTTTCCTGGTGAGGTTCAAAACCCCCACCACCTAATCTATCTTAGTGCACTTTTCATTTTACCAAGGAAAAGAGTACAAATTAGGAGAGGAAGAAAAGATGGCCAAGAGGGAAGATCCTCAGAGGTTGGTGCACATCCAGGACACACTACCGGTTTATCTCTTTCAGTTGTGGTTAACAGAGAACTGTAAGATAGATTCCTTCCTTCCTTCCTGCCTCTCTCCCTCCCTCCTTCCTTTCTTCCCTTCATCCCTTCCTCCCTTCCTCCCTTCCTCCCCCTCTCCCTTCCTTCCTTTTTTTTTTTGTTTAGATGGAGTCTTTCTCTGTCACCCAGGCTGGAGTGCAGTGGCATGATCTTGGCTCATTGCAACCTCCGTCTCCTGGGTTCAAGCAATCCTCCTGCCTCAGCCTCCCGACTAGCAGGGATTACAGGCATGTGCCACCACACCCAACTAACTTTTTTGTATTTTTAGTAGAGACGGGGTTTCGCCATGTTGTCCAGGCTGGTCTCGAACTCCTGACCTCAGGTGATCCACCCGCCTTGGCCTCCCAAAGTGCCAGGATTACAGGCGTGAGTCACTGCACCCGGCCCTGTAAGGTTCTTTCTAGATCAGGCAACTCTACATCTAGGTTTGTCCACGACACTTCTGGTTTATTCCTGTACGTCTCATTTCACTCTAAAAAATCTATATCCATTAAATAGTCACTGTAATATAAATAATCACTTATGGTCAAGACAAGGAAAATACACTGGTACTTCCTACTCCGTGACCTTGGCTCTTGCCAACTCCCTTCAGCCCAGTCCTTCCCAGTTCTACACATCTTTCAAATCCCATTTCACTCACAAGATTTTCCTTGACCCCAAAGGTCCTTTTTGGGTTTCCGGACCTTATCACAATAGAACATAAAGCAACTATGACTTTGTATTCTATTTCTTTGTGTACACATCACTTTTTGCCAAAGTGTAACAAAAAAAAATCTCCCCCCACGGCATGTAGCACTGTGCATTTGGCATTATAGGGTCATGATAAGTGTCTGCTGACTTAAACACTGAATGAAAGAAATAGCCCTAAATAAAGCACTCCTGCCAGTAAGAGCTGATCCCTCTGATGGAAAAACTATATCCGTGCAAGAATTCTTTTTGGTAACCATTTTCTGGAATGTCTTTTTATACACTAGGAGTTACAGAGCTGTCGCCAACAGAAGAATGCCGGAGCTACAGCCTCCCAGTTGTCAGCTCTGGTTCCACACAAACCTTTTTCTTCTGGTTGCAGCAGACAAATTATAGCTCCAGAGAAAAACATAATTATATTCCAAAAGGCCAGGGACAGCTGCTGAAAATACCCTAACGATGAACAAAACAACAACGAGAGATAAACCAGGATTACCCGTGACGCATAGCTAGTCCAAAATAATCCAGGGATCATTATAAAATGATTTTACATCTGTTGTCCTCTGTTCTTCAGTCTAAAACTATTAAATACAGGTCTGCCAGGTACAGCGAAATGGATCACATTTCCATATGTATTTACTAATGATGTTGATTCCTTCCAGCACATACCCACACTTCCATTGTACTTATGGCTTAGTAGGCGAGTATAGTATAGATTCCTGAGTTAGGATCCTTTAATTGGCCAACCTTGAAAAGCTCCATTGCTTTCTGGGTTGCCCTGATCAGCAAACTTGGAGACAAATTATGGGGAGAGGGAAGTGGGTAGAGTTCATAGCTGACAGCAGGAAGAGAATAGCAAACAATACTAGACTAGAAAAGGTATTAGCCTTGGGCTATCCCTTGTGGGAACTTGGACCCCTGAAGAATGCCAATAGCCTATTGGGACATCACTGTATTATAGCAAGACATATCATTCATGCTTCTGGGTCAGGATGTTATGACTGAATGTTTCACCGTAGGAATAGCTACGGAATTTCACAGTGAGGCACACCGTCAAAAGGCAGTGTATCAAAGGAACCAGGGAAAACCGGTTCACAACTCTTAGATCCCACACTCACACTGGCAGTGAAAAAAAACAGGGAAGGTGGTTGAACACTAGGAAAGGATTCATAAGGAGATTCTTTTGATCCACTCAGCTGTGAGTCCCAAACCCCTAAATCCTGCAGAAATGGAGGGCACTTAACCGAAGTTGAAGCTACCTGAGCCATCTTAGGGTGAGATCCCAAGGCTGTCAGCCCGCAGGGTGAGATGAGAGGGCCCTGTCTGGAAAGCAATAGCATTTCCACCTAACTGAGCATTTCTCAAAATCAGGCCATCAGGACCATCTGGAAGGTTAAGGGACTTGAAAAGAGAGTTCTTTGTTGGAAAAGCAGGGGCTGATGGGAGTGTGGCCACTGGAGAATCTGTGCATTGCTAAGGTGGCCCTGTGGCCCTCCTCCCTGATTGCCCAATACAGGTGTTAGATGGTCTCGGTTCATGACTGTTGGCCTGGTGAAATCATGACTACCCCTGCCCCATTCACTCCCACTTTCACTGTCCGGTTTAGCAGACAGTTTAGAAGAAGTTATATCGCCACTTATGTATTTCTTCTGTTGCAAGAACTGTAGTCAGAGGGGTCTAGTGGACCAACCAACCTTCTAAGAACCCACAAACGTGCCCACCATGCCCAGTAAGTGTGAAGCCTTCTTAGGATGGTCTCAGTCAAGGAAGAACTCTCCCCACTCTTTGCATCCCTACCCTATGGGCAGTGAGCTAGGGAACAAGGGTGAAATATGAGGGAAGAAGCTGATCTCATCCCTTGCCAGGCAGCAGGCACCCTCCCGAAGTTAGCCGTGGCTAAGGGAGGAGAGATTTAACTCTATAATCCAGTTTGGATTTTCTAGTATTATTCAGGACTAGGAATTCTGATTGTCAAAATAAGCCTGTGTTTTGAGATTGAAAGTGATGGTAGGGCCTTCTATTAGCTACAAGTGGCTAGAAAAGTCAGGGGGCATAACAGAGCATTTATCCCAGGAGCAGGGGCAAAACTTCCCTAAATGTAAGCGTTTTAATTGGACAGTTGCACTTTGATCATATTCTATGAGTTGTGGGTGTTCCCTATACCAGGTACGCTTACTGGTTAGGCTTGGGGGCAGATTCTCTGCCCCCCAGTTACTCTCTCTTTCTTACTCGCCAGCAGGACCCTGACTAGGCTTAGGCAGCAACATGCAAGGATCCCAGGAATTGACTAAGAACAGTCCAAGCCAATTATGGCTCCTTGTTCACTTTGTCAATGACTGGCTTACAGGAGGGCATGGGACAGAGCAGGGGTCAGTGAGGGAAAGTCCGCTGGGGAGAGGCTTTCTCCTGTAAAGGGAGGGATGGAGAAGTGGAGAAGTCCCCTTTTTTTTTTTTTTTTTTTTTTGCTATCATCTTTCTTACCCTCTGCTTAGGACATTGTCACGTGATGCCTCTGTTAAGTTAAGCTTGGCCTAAAACTGCCTTCGTACATATTTTAAGTTTGGCCTAAAGGTGTCTCATCTCCATACATAGTGAATGGTAACCTACTCTGATGCGTAAACAGACTTTTTGATGTGTAAACTACTCTCGTAGCTGAGCTTTAGCCAACCAAATGTGGCCA
Source organism: Homo sapiens (assembly GCF_000001405.40). Lineage (NCBI taxonomy): Eukaryota > Metazoa > Chordata > Mammalia > Primates > Hominidae > Homo > Homo sapiens. Next base: position 29,430,573 of record NC_000007.14, on the reverse strand, counting down.
GTTGTTTAGAGCAGACTCAAAAAAGGCCACGGCCCAGCTGTAACCAATCCAGCTGTTTCTGCACCTCACTTTCATTTTCTGTGCAACACTTTCTTTTTGCTGTCCATAAATGTTATCTGACCACGTGGCAGCCCCAAGTCACTCAGAACCTATTCTGGTTCTAGGGACTGCCTGATTCTAGAATCATTCTTTGCTCAACTAAACTGCGTTAAATTTAATTTGTCTAAAGCTTTTAACACCTGTGATGGAACAGCAATCTTCCTGTGCACTTGTTGACCAAATCAAGGGGGTAGGCCATGTAGTGGGGCTGGCAGAGGGGCAATGAAAAGAGCCTGGGTCCATGACAAAACCATCAGCTCCAACGCATCCTGAAACCACCATATCTTGGCCTTTCTGTTCAGGAAACAACAAATGCCCTGCACAGTTTAAATCTTTTAGCTGGACTCTGTTACTCAACAAAGATTTGCTACCTTTAAACTCTAAGAAAATATTAAGCAATATATCCTATGCAAAGCGTGTTTCTTTCTAAGTACAGTAGAAATGGCCTCCTAAAGGGGAGCATCCTAAAGTGGATTTACCTTTTCTCCTTGGAACAGCGTGCTTCTATTCTTTACAGAGGTCTTATACTGCCAATTAATTATAACACAAACAGCATATGAAATCGAAGATATAGCTACGAAGCTTAAATAGCTATACGCTAATTACGCAAGGTTCCTATATATAATAAAGTCCATATAAAGCACAAAAGTACACCATATTGTTAGATACATTTCCAAATTTATATGTAATATAAACATCTAAAATTAATCTAGTCACAACAAATATAAAAATCAAATTTCTACCTTATAATTTTATCTAAGTCTGTACTAGGACCCACTCAAGTCCTGCTCTCAAAGCTTTAGTATAAAACTCAATCACATTTTCCAGGGAACTGAACCTTGAACACATATTCCAGGGAACTGAACCTTGAAGTATGGGTGTGTGTGTGTGTCTGTGTGTGTGTAACTCATGCTTTGTTCCAAAAAGTGTAAGATGGGCAACCTGTGTGTTTCTTGTCAAAGGTCATCAATTTCTCAACTTATAAAGTAGATTTTATATAATTGGTATCAGATATCAAAGCGAACCAAAAACAAAACAAACAAAAGAGTCTCTAAATTTAGTTCCCACCATCTCTTACTGTTAGTTTCAAAGGAGATCAGAAATGTTTATAGACTATTTCACTCTTACTGCAATACCACCTGATTCTAAAAAGACTGATATCTCTTCTTTTACTTACTTGGTTAAATGCATAGCTATTTCAGATAAGTGTCTGCCAACTTCCAAATGACTAGGGCAAAAACTAGGCTCATTCTGGAATTTTCTGAAGTGGTCTGAGTATATGAAACCAAATGTTATTGCTCTTGGAGAACACTAAACAAGATACTTGTGATATGCATAGGGCAAGAGGCAATAAACCCTTGAAAACAGTCAACTACTGTAAAGATTGGGAGGCGGTGACCCATCCATTTCTGCTTTCTCTTGAGCAGTAGCCAGTTACAGTCCCCACTCAATGAAAATGCGAGTGGAAATGATGTGCTACTTCCAGGACTGGCCCATAGAAACCTCCCCAGTGCGGCCCAAAGAGACTCATTTTCCAGCTGACCAGAAAAGCCTCTCAGGATTTACATCATTGCATCTTCAACTCTGGTCTCAGAACCTCTTTATATTCTTTATTTAGGACCCCAAAAAGCTTTTGCTTCTGTGGGTTGCATCAGTTTATACTTACAAAGAAAACTTCAGAATATTAATACATTAAAAATACAAAAATATAAATTTTATAGGCCCTACGTGCTAATATAAGTAGTTTTTACATAAAAATTAACCATATTGGCTCAAACAAAAAAATGACAAAAGTAGCATTATGTCACGTTTTTCCAAATCTCTTTGTTATCTAACTTGATAGAAGACAGTTGGATTCTCACATCTGGTCCTATATTTCACTTGTTGTGTTGGTTGAAGAATATGAAAAAAAATCCAGGCTTTTGCAGAGACACAGTTGGAAAAGGAGGGCCTTGTGGAAATGGTCTGAATTTGAAATGGTCCCAGGGAACCCAGGGTTCTTGGATCTACTTTGAGAGCCAGTGATTTAGAGAGAGAGCCATAGGATGTTAGGAGTCTGGGTTCTTAAATGACCACAAACAATGCAACCCAACCAGAAACATCCCCATTGGACCATGATGCAAGTGGGAAATGACCTTTGACTGCATTAAGCCACTAAGATGTGGGAATGTATGTGTTATAGCATCTGGCATTATTCTAATTAAAATGCTTACTCATGTGGTGGTAACCCTGTGCCAGGTCTGTTTAAGCACTCTACTAACTCATTCACTCCTCTCAACAATCCTGCCAAGTTGTTGCTATCATAGTCCCCATTTTAGAGATGAGGAAACTGAGGCAGAGAGAGATTAAGTGAATATCCAAAGTCACACAACTAGTAAACGAGTTTAGCTAGCTCCAGAGTTTGTGCTTCCAAGTGCTCCCAATTACTTTGCCATGCTGCCTATAACCTTACCCAAATATTTCTCATCACCATCTTGCACCACCTATTCCAAACATGTCACATAAACATGAATAAAAAATGGCCGGATGCGGAGGTTCAAACCTATAATCCCAGCACTTTGGGAGGCTGAGGCGGGTGGATCATGAGGTCAAGAGATCGAGACCAACCTGGCCAACACGGTGAAACCCTGTCTCTACTAAAAATACAAAAATTATCTGGGCATGGTGGTGCATGCCTGTAGTCCCAGCTACTCAGGAGGCTTAGGCAGGAGAATTGCTTGAACCCAGGAGGCGGTGGTTTCAGTGAGACAAGATCGCGCCACTGCACTCCAGCCTGGCAACAGAGTGAGACTCTATCTCAAAAAAAAAAAAAAAAAAAGAATAAAAAATATACACTTGAACTAATAGCTTGCTTGGTCAACAGATATATGAGTAGCAACCAGTTTGGATGGGAGTTGGTAGCGGATAAACAGGAGAAATGCAGTTACCAAAGACTATGGAAGCGAGGTAGCAGAGTGGACAGAGGATGTGGTAGGCAGAATTTCAGATGCCCCCTATGACCTTTGACACCTAAAGTTACTCCCCTGATTATGCCATGTGACATCATGTTACATGATTATGTTATACGGTAAAAGGGATTCTGCAGATGTAATTAGTCGACCTAAAGACAGGGATGTGATCTAGGTGGATAATCATGAATCCTTTATTATTTATTTATTTTGAGACAGTCTTACTCTATCACCCAGGCTAGCAGTGCAGTGGCACAATCTCAGTTCACTGCAACCTCTGCCTCCCAGGTTGAAGAGATTCTTGTGCCTCAGCCTCCCACGTAACTGGGATTACTGCATGTGCACCATACCCAACTAATATTTGTATTTTTAGTAGAGAAACAGCTTCCCCATGTTGGCCAGGCTGGTCTCGAACTCCCGACCTCAAGTGATCCACCCACCTTGGCTTCCCAAAGTGCTGGGATTATAGGCATGAGCCACTGCACCCAGCCAGATAATCATGAATCCTTTATAAGCAGAGAGTTTTCTCCAGCTGTGGGCAGAAGGAGAAGTCAGAGAGATTAAGAGTGTGAAAAAGACTTGACACTGGCAGATGGACGTGATGACGGAGGGACCATGTGAGAAGGAAGATGGGAGCCACCGGGAGCAATGGCCAGTCCCCAGCGGACAGCCAGCAAGGAAGTAAGGAGCTCATATCTACAAACTCAAGGAAATGAATCCAGCCAATAACTTGCATGAGATTGGAAGTGCATTCCTCCCCAGAGCACTCAGATAAGAGTCCGCCTGGTCCATGCCTAATTGGGCCTTGTGATACTCTGAGTGGAGAACCTGGCTGAGTCTGCTGGACTTCTGACCTACAGAACTGAGTGAACATCTGAGTGCTGTTTTAACCTGTTAAGTTTATGGTAATTTGTTACACAGCAATAGAAAACTAGTAGTGAAGGTAACTCCAGAGAGACTGGATATGTCTCATGTCATTTTTTAAGCAAGAATGACTTTGCTAGGGTTAAAGGTCATGGAAGGAATCTAGGGGCAGTTGTCACTACTTCAAGCAACTAATGGCAAATAACCCTAAATGCCAGCAAGTTCTCCTATACAAACAAAAATAAATACGTAAAAGAAACTCAAATCACACATTTCCTTATAAATATTTCCACTTTACCACTGGCAACTTTAAACTACTAGTCCATAATTGTTTATTATTAACCATATAAAAGGTAAGATATTTCTGAAGGCAACATTTCTGATGCAAAAATCCCAGTGTCCTACAATCCATTAACCTCTCTTGCAGTCCACTCTTTTTTTTTTTTTTTTTTTTTTGAGACAGAGTCTCGCTATCACCCAGGCTGGAGTGCAGTGGCAGGATCTCGGCTCACTGCAGCCTCCACCTCCCGAGCTCAAACAATTCTCCTGCTTCAGCCTCCAGAGTAGCTGGGATTACAGGCATGCCTCACCATGCCCAGCTAATTTTTTTATTTTTAGTAGAGACCAGGTTTCACCATGTTGGCCAGGCTGGTCTTGAACTCCTGACCTCATGATCCATCCGCCTTGGCCTCCCAAAGTGCTGGGATTACAGGTGTAAGCTACCACACCCGGCCCACAGTCCACTCTTAAAAAGAAGTTCTGGATAAGTCCCAAGAGTTAAATACCACATTCATGCACACACCCTGTAAGATATGTACAGCAAATTCTCAGGGTTTTAATTGTTTTATATCAGTACAAATTAATTTATTTCAAGGGAGACATATACATGTATTTGAAAGTAAATTATATCAATATAATAATTTATTTTTATATACAGTATTGATCTTCCCTTAAAAAAATCATAGCCTCCTTACAATATGATAAGAAGTAGAAAAAATAAGATTAAACCAGGGGAAAAGTCAGAACACCTACCCGAATACCCCACTTCTGCTACAGTTAGGTCTAAAGTTCCTAGAAGCTAAAGAAGATTCTTAGGATCCATAAGATAAGTGGAAACCAGCTTCTAAGAAGAATTTTTCTCAGGACTCTTGGAGAAGTCTCTTTTATGGACTGTATTACTCAGTACAGGCTAGGTCATGCTGCAGGGTCAAAAGATCCCAAAACCTGAGTTTCTTGTATCTACCAAGATCTACATCTCAATCATGCTCCATGTCCTCTGTTCCTCAGCTGGGGGTCTGCTCCGTGTCTCCTCCCTCCGGGACTCAGCTGGCAGCACCCACCATCTTGGATGCTGCTGATTGCAGTAGTGGGAGGAGAAGACAGCTCTGGGCATCTTGCACAGGCAGACAATGCACTCATCTGGAAATCTACATCATCTCCTTTCATACTTTACTGGTCTGAAGTGCCATATGGCCTCACCCAACCGCAGGGGGGCTGGGTCTTTCATCCTATCATTGCTAGAGGGACAGCGAACGAGTGAGATCTCTCAATCAACACCAATGGCTGTCATAGAGATGGTTGTTAAGGGTGTGAAACAGTCCACATCACAATCAACAGTGTGTGAGTCACCAACATCCACTGCTTGTCAAATCTCTTGATGCAGGTGCAAAGCACCAAGCCAAAGCTTGGTCAGGTAAATACTATAGTAGGTGGGGCCAGAATCACAAGCTCCAGGATGCAGCTTTGTCAGCCTTGATTAATGTAAAGACAAAATCCTCCAGGAATAGGCCTCCAGGGGCCAGAGGGTAAAGGAGGTGAGGGAGGGTGGCTGTCTGACCAGACTGTGCTGAACTGCAAAGCACCTGCCCCATCTGAAGGCAGCGCGGTGGACGAGGCAGTACTTAAACTCTGGCTAAATTGGTTGCCATATGAGGCTGTGAACTTTGGCCTAACAGATTTTTTTTAAAAAAGAGAAACTAGAAATCCAAATGTTTGTAAAATCTCCAAAATTAAAAATATTTTTAAAAACAATGTACGAACCAGTCAAAACATGTCTGTCAGCCAGATGTGGCCTGTGCACTGCCAATTCATGGAGAAAGTCTAAGTTGCTGACTATTTAGAGAGTCAACAGTTGTGACAATTGACTGAGCAGAAGGTAGTGCTGATGTTCCCTTGGGGGAGGCCACCGAAAGTGGGATCTCACCTAACTCCGACAGGGGAAGTGAAAGCAAATGCCATCTTGTTTGTGGTCCTCATATTGAAATCACTGCTGAAGATGTCCTGGTTTAATAGGGACCAAATTCCTATTTAAAAAAAAACTGGGGAGATCAAGGGTCTTCCCTATGTGTTTCTCTACTATGTCCCCGGCATCTTGAACAAACCCATAAATGGAAGGTACTCAATAAAGATATGTTAAAGCAATGTGGGAGGTTGCATGGAACTAATTTAAAAACTATTTCTGTAGAACATGTCTGACGGCCTCTATTTCACCCAGGGACACCAAAAAATAACTTCTTCTTTAGGACTTTCTGGACAACTCTAAATCACTTACTTTGAATAATACTTCAGTGCTAAACAATGGAACTCTACTATAGTGGGTTTTCCGCCCTATAAACAAACAATTTCTATAGTGGCAAATTAGGCAACCTCATGTTGTCCCCAAGTAGCCCACCATGAGTGGGAGGCAGAAGAATGGTCCTTCCCTTGCAGCTATGAGTGGCAAGGACGTGGCACTGAGAGGTAGCCGCCAGGTAAGACCTGGCATTTGAGCCAAAAAGGATGCAGCTACAAATGGGGCATGGACTACAAACCAGCCTGCGACCAGGATATGGGATGTTTCAATGGATTCTGGCACAGAGAGATGACAACTCCTGAAGTCCCATGGAAAGGAGACGTAAGCCCAGGGGGAAGTGGGGAGAGGGAATCCCTGAACTGGCTGAATTTACTCTAAATTGACAAAGACTATGATATTGCCATTAGGCAGAATGGAAGCTTGAGATGGAAATTAAAATGAATTAAAAAGAAAATAAAGTGGCTACTTTCCACTTCCAGTTTTAGCCTGAGATTTCGTCCTTCCTGGAGAACCGTTGCTGGCCAGGTTTTCTGGGAAGCAGATTCCAAGGCCAGTGGCATGCACAGGATGCAAGATTGGGCAGGGGGAGGTATGGCAAGGCAGTCTCAACAAAAACCCCAGCTGACCCCAGGGAATTCTGAAGTGTGGCTGGTCCTTCAGACTTGTCCCAAATTGCAGCAAAGAAGCTGAGCTTTTATACCCTCAGGTTACACAGTCACTGGATGTGGGCTTTGGACAACACAGCTTCCTTCACCTGGGGGCGTCTGCCTGCAGCCTGCCCAGCTGCTGGGGGAATGAGTCTTCAGTCCTGCGGGGTGCAGGGGCAGTGCATTCCAGCACCCACTGATTGTCAGGGGAGACAAGTCTGGCCATCACTGGGCTGGGACATAAGCATGAAATAAACGTCCCCGTCATTTCCTTCTTTTCTCCACCCTGGGTGCTAACATTCTATGAATCTGGGAATTGAAAGCATTTCCTTGGTGTTCCTAATTCAGTTGAAATCTTTTCTATAGCAATTTATATAACGCTTTGATAGGCAAGGTTTGGTACGAACAGGCCAAAGTCAAAAGCAGCCTGAAGAAGGAAGTAGAATTAACAAGTCAAGTATGTAAAAAGAGCTGTAACAGTGTAAGTTACGAAGCACACCCCTAAACATGGAAGCTTTTTCTCTATTTTTCATTTGCATTTGCCCCACTTCTCCCAAAGTGTGTTTCTCAGAACATTAGTTTGAGAGATGTCCAGCACTGAAAGCTTTCCATGGGCAGATAAAAGTGGGAACCACTCAGCTTCCAGCCCCTCTGGGAGATTTCTGGGGTAAGCTAGCCCACCGAGAAGTCCTATGAAAAAGAAACCTGGTTAGCTTTGTAAGATGCAAATTTATCTGACCACAGGTAATAGCCCTGACATCTCGTAGAAATACCACATGATTCCAAAGAGTTTATTTATGTAAAGCAAGCAGTTTACTAATTTGTTTTGCTTTTCTAAGTAAATACTCCTTTTTCAAAACATCAGCAACTGCTTCTCTAAGTATATACATATATTTAATTTGTGAAGGAAAATCTCAGCTATGGCTACTTTGCTCAGAGAGTGGCCAGGGAGAGAGGCCGTCTATTAGATCTGGAAAATGACTTTAAAATTTGACCTTGATCATGCAGGAAACATCACAGTCAGAGACTTCATTTTTTAACCATGACTCTGGAACTACCTTAAAAACTAGTAGTATACCAGTGGCTGGAATTGATAGCACACCTGGCGGGTGCCGGCTGCTGCACCTGTGTGTATTTGACATCCATCAGGTCACTCAAAGGGCTGCTTAAAGCTCAGGCTGAAAGAGGTTCCACGCCCAACCTTCCATCATTCTTTTAAAAAAGATCCATTATAATAAAAAGTGCTAAAGTCATCCTTAAAATTAACACACTTGACCCGGAAGAGAAAGTCATTAAAAAAATCCTCACTTGGAAAACTAACACAAATACATGAATTCTGACCATGTATACTTGCTAATTTAAACAGAGTACAGATATTTCAAAGGAGAATGTTACATTTTTCTATTATAGCAGGGAATTTTATGTCCCTATGTGGCATAAAAATATACCCATATTCGGTGATTCCCATGTTAATAGTCACCAAATATGTGACTGGAAGTTCTGTGCATAGCTTGCCTGACAGCATTTCAGTAGGAAACGCTGTCTGCTTTCTTCAAGTCCCTTAAATCTTCCCCTCTGAGAAAATCACAATATATATGGGCCGGTGTTCAAATAGCTTCTTAATGTGGCCATGGCAAGGATGGGGGTGCTCTCATACAAACCATCGGCCAGCACCTTCCTGTGTGACTTACACTCACAGGCATGTGGTTGCCTTCATGGACATTCACGTACATTCTATCTCAGACGTTTATGAGCCCTTCTCTCACTTTCTCCTCAAACAGCTATTCTTAATTTTCAGCTCACCTTCTCTGAGCTAGAATGTTCCTGCCAAAAGAAGTCATTGGATGAATCCCTTTGGAGATGAAGAAATAAAGCAGGAGGAAGTGCAGGCATCAAGGAGCTTTGGTTGTCCCAATAGTCACTTCTCTTATGTGTGGTTAGGGCGGCAGGTGCAAGACTACTTGAAACCCAGTCGTTTTTAGCCAGTAGCCTCACATTCCTCTGTGCACAGAACTTTTTACCAGCTCTGCCTTCAGTTTTACTTCCTTCCAGAGCCGTTTCCCTGAGGACACTTCTGAGAGGCACTAAAGTAGCCCAAAGGCAGGAAATGGGGGGTAATTTTTAATTTGGGGAGTCTGCCCTTGGGTAGGCTGAAGATCTGAACAGTCCCAGTGCGGCTGACTCTGTTGCTGACTCTCAGACAGGCTGGCTTCAGATCAACCTCTGGTGCTGGGCAAGAGAAATGAACTTGAGTTGACCTTCATTGAAAGTACAAGAAAGGTGTTGGTACTATCTGCTTCTCTAGATTGAGTTTTTCTTTCTAAATTTAGTTGTGGTTTAAAAACCCATATAGCCGGACATGGTGGCTCACGCCTGTAATCCTAGCACTTTGGAAGGCTGAGCCGGGTGGATCACCTGAGCTCAAGATCAGCCTGGCCAACATGGCGAAACCCCGTCTCTACCAAAAATACCAAAATTAGGTGGTGGGTGCCTATAATCCTAACTACTCAGGAGGCTGAGGCAGAAGAATCGCTTGAACCTGGGGGGCAGGGGTTGCAGTGAGCCAAGATGGCACCACTGTACCCCAGCCTGGGCAAAAGAGCAAAACTCCATCTCAAAAAAAAAAAGAAAGAAAAGAAGAAAAAACAACCCATATAATCTAAAATTTATCATCTTAACTGTTTCAAGTGTACAGTTCAGTAATGTTAAGCATACTCACATTGTTGTACAATTGATTTCCAGAACTTTTTCATCTTGCAAAACTAAAACTTGTTGAACAATTCCCCATTTCCTTCTCCCCTCAGCCCTTGACAACCATTCTGCATTTCACATTCTGTTGCTGTGAATATGACTGCTTTAGATACCTCATATTAAGACAGTATTTGTCTTAGTATAAACAAAGATTCTTAGACAGAATATGTCTGACATATTTCACTTAGCATAATGTCCTCAAAGTTCATCCATGTTACAGCACAGGACAGGGTTTCCTTCCTTTTGAAGCTAAAGCTAAAGTATGTTCCACTGCATGTCTATACTACATTTTCTTTATTCATTCATCCATCCATAGACACTTGAGTTGCTTCTACCTCTTGGCTATTGAGAATAATACTGTTATGAACATGGGTATACAAATTTCTCTTTGAGATCCTGCTTTCAATTCTTTTGGCTATATACCCAGAAGTGGAATTGTTAGATCATATGGTGATTCTATTTTTGTTTCTTTGAAGAACTGCCATATTGTTTTCCATAGCAGCTGCACCATTCTACATTCTCAGCAGCAATGCACAAGGCTTCCAATTTCTCCACATCCATACCAACACTTGTTACTTTTTTTTTTAATTGTAGCTATCCTAATAGGTGTGAGATAATTTTTTTTTTTTTTTTGAGATGGAGTCTCACTCTGTCACCTGGGCTGGAGTGCAGTGGCATGATCTTGGCTCACTGCAACCTCTGCCTCCTGGGTTTGAGCAATTCTTCTGCCTCGGCCTCCCGAGTAGCTGGGATTACAGGTGCGTGCCACCATGCCTGGCTAATTTTTGTATTTTTAGTAGAGACGGGGTTTCACCATGTTGGCCAGGCTGGTCTGGAACTCCTGGCCTCCCAAAGTGCTGGAATTACAGGCATGAGCCACTGCACCCGGCCGGTGTGAGATAATATTTCCTTGTGGTTTTCATTTGCATTTCCTTAATGATTAATGATGTAGAGCATCTTTTCATATGCTTGTTGGCCATCTGAGTATCATCTTTGGACAAATGTCAAGTCCTTTGCCCATTTTTAAATTGGGTTATTTACTTTTGTTGTTGTTGTTGTTGAGTTGTAGGAGTTTTTAAAAATACATTATGGATATTAAACCCTTATTAGATATATGATTTGCAATATTTTGTCCCATTCCATAAGTTGCCTTTTCACTTTGTTGATTGCATCCTTTGACACATAGAAAATTTTAAGTTTGATATTATCCTTTTTGTCTATATGTGCTTTTGTTGCCTGTGCTCTTGGTGTCACATCCAAGAAATCACTGCCAGCCCCAATATCATGGAGCTTTCCCCTATATTTTCTTCTAGGAGTTCTATAATTTTAGGTCTTATGTGTAGGTAGTTAATAAATTTAATGTTAGTGTATTTGGTGAAAAGTAAGAGTCCAAATTCATTCTTCTGCATGTGAATATCCAGTATTCCCAATACCTCTAGACTGAGTTTTAATCTGGTAGTAGATTCAGAACACTGTGCTAGGTGTAAATTGGTGGTGATTATTTCTAACTATCTAACTAACAATTAAACAAAGCCTTGAGGTGTCTACCCCAGAAAGTTGACTCTAAGTTTGCTAGAAACTTTATACACAGGCACACCCAAGACTGGCCTAACAGTTGTCAGTTCTTGGAAAATTTAAAAAAAGAACTGCCACCATGTGCCCACTGCATACTGGTACGCTGAGAAGTCATCCTGACTGGCCCTTCAAAATCCAGAATTTCAGTTCATCAGAATCCCTCTTATGGGCTTATTAATGAATATTCATGTTGCTGAGTTTCGCCAAGCACGAGGCTAGACTGGCAGAGCTACCAGATACATAGAGTGCTAATTGACACATCCTGTGGTTGTCAAATTTGTTTAAAAATACTTGCATTTTAAACACTTAAATTAGGCACGCCAAGGAAAAAAGCACCATCCTGGCAGGTCTGGTAGTTCCATGTTCCAAAATCGAGGGAGGAGACCACGAGTCCTGGTCTTTCCACCTCCCACCAATGAATCTTAGTGAGCTTAGCCCCTGGACAGAGGGAAACTGAGGGAAGTAGCAGCTAGGCTGTGGCCCAGAACACAATACTCAACGGGGTGTATGCTTTCGCTAAGCCCAGAGGGCAATCAGATAAGCCATGCTTCCAGATTTAAAAACAAAACAAAAAAAGAATTCATTTTCTGGACATCCACTCCTAACATATGAGCTTGTGTTTGCTGGGCTCAGCTAACTATGGAATTAGGATTTCTTTAAAGCATCCCAATAAAGGCACCTACCACTCCCCAGTCAAATAGTAATTTCTGGATCTCACAACTCTCCTGCAAGCCCCTCAGCAACTTTTCTGAAAATGCCAAGGACTCCATGTTTGGCATCATGCCTCCTCCCCGCGCTTCCGCGAGAAGTTTCCGCAGCTTCTGTTCCTGCTCCCTACTTGGGTGTCTGCCTGGTGTGGCTTACATTTACTTAGTTAGCTCCACTTCCACTCCAAAACATCCCATCTGAGGGAAAATGCATGAAACATACGAACGTGAGAACTTCCACGAAAGGACAAACTGTCTGCCTCTGAAGTCTGTCCGACGTGGAGGCTCATTTTGTCTTGGAAATAGCACCGTTCAAAACCAACAAGGCGCTCCAGCAATCCTTCATCTCTCCACTTGACTCAGCAGACTGTATGGATTTCTGGCACCTGAGTTACCTGCCAAGTGGGTGTGCTATTCTACAGATTCTTCAGAAGCGACTCTCCAGCCTCACATGTGCTTGTCCTAGGAGCTGCCATCTTCAAGCCAGGCCCCTAGCACGTGTCTTTACTATGAAGCTCTGAAGCACATGCTCAAGTTCCAAGGTTCTCTCAGGCAGGGGCCTCTCCGTGGCACCATCTACAATACCTTACTAGTATTTTTGCCTTAATTTTTTTTAAAGAGGGCCTTCCAGAGCATATAAACTGCAAGCTTAGTATCCACTCCTAGTGGACTGTATTCTAAAACTTGCAAACTGTGTTATTCTTACCAGGATTCATATACCTTCGTATTAAATAGATATTAGTTTGAACCACATGAAATTGCCTGATTTTTGCAAATCAAAAACTTATCAGGTATCAACAGTGGCATTACGGTTCAACCTAAATAACTTCTAGGTTTTCTGCCTAATGGATCTTTCTCTACTTTTGGCTAACACGGTGAAATCCCGTCTCTACTAAAAATACAAAAAATTAGCCGGGCGTGGTGGCGGGCGCCTGTAGTCCTAGCTACTCGGGAGGCTGAGGCAGGAGAATGGCGTGAACCCAGGAGGCGGAGCTTGCAGTGAGCGGAGATCGCGCCACTGCACTCCAGCCTGGGGGACAGAGCGAGACTCTGTCTTAAAAAAAAAAAAAAAAAAAAGGGTTACAGTAAAAAAATGTCACAAAGACAATGAGCAACCTGGGAAAATTCCTTCCTTCCTCCCTCTCTCTTCCTTTTCCTTTTTTCTTCCTTCCTTTTCTCAACAAATGTTGATGAAGTACCTTGGAAATACAAAAGCCCATTTGCTGCAGCAAGTCCTGCGGGGTCACAGAACTGAGTGAGGCGCAGCTCAGGACTGCGAGCAGCTGGGGCCCTGGCAGGGGAGCCAGAAGGAGAGGACGCGCTGCAGAGGTAGCTGGTATTTCGAAGAAGGTGCAGGTGAGATGCTACCCGGCGGCATGCAAAGGAAGGGAAGGAGGCTTAGGAGGGCTCAGCCACACAGCCACTGGCCCTGAAGCCCACGCTCTAACCACTGTGCAGCACCTCCTCTGCAGGGGAGATGCCTGCAGGGGCCAGCAAGGAGCTCCACAATGGGAGGAAATGTCGCATCAAAGCAATCACTACTTAGAGAACGCCTAAGGTGCAGTTTGCTTATATTCTATGAGAGTCAGTATAAAAATGCTGGAAATATACATATACATATACATACACATATACACGCATACATACATATGCATATGATTACAGATTACATCTAATTAATCACTGTCATTTAGCCTTACTTCTCCAGTTGCCTTATATACTTAACTGTGCTACTCTACTGCCCGGGCCAGCGGTTTCAAACTGTGGTTCCCGGACCAGCAACATCGGCTGTCTCCTGGGAAGCTGGGCCGCTGGTCACACCTACTGTACTAGAAACGATGGGAGAGGGCCTGGAACTCTGTGTACTAACAAACCTTCTACAGGATTCTCATGTACGCTAAAATTTGAGAACTACTGGACTTGAGCCAACATGATTAGCAGCCTCAACACTGCTGCCCTTTTTCACCCCATTTTAAAGTGTATACTCTGAGTTGGAAGAAAACCTTTGCTCTCTTAAGTAACAACATTTCCATTTCAATATCCTTTAAACTATTTCATTAGTAGATAACTTTTTCATAGCTTCTAAAGGTTAAGACTGTGAAGTTCAGGTTAATGAGTATTTTTTATTTTATGATAAAATTCAACAGAGATAATATTTGAAGTCCACAGCTTTTCTGAGAAAGGCATATACTACAGTTCTGTCTTTGCAGGTAGCAGGCAGAATGAAGAAAGAATGCAAACACGCTAATTCATTCATCACTTATTCCAAGTGTATGTTTAAGGAAAATGGCAGAGGGCTTTGCAGAATAGAAGGTTATGTCTTGAACACAGAAGCCCTGTAGGTTAACGCAGCTCTGTGGGGCCGCATTTATCCAACCCCGTGGAATAATGGGTTTCCTGCTTCCTCCCACTCTTCTCCCCAAACCCAGTAAAACTTACAAAAAACAATTTAACCAACTTAGGCCTTCAACACTTACAAGTCTAAGATGACAATTAGCTTTGGTAATAGTGTCATCATTTAAAAATGGAAAAGGCGGGCTTTTAAAATTTTGCCTACAGCAACTGGGTTTTGAAAGCAAAAATGCAGATGCCTCAATGTTACTGCATTGATGTCCCAGAGCCCCAGGCTCTGTCTCCAGCCCATCCTCTACCCTGCCACCAATGTATCCTTCTAAAAATCACACTGCAGGCAGCTCCTTAAGCCATTTGGGCATAAGATCCACACTTTGGAGACTACTTTATGTGGCCCTTCCCAAGCCCGCCCATCTCCAGCCTCCCCCCTCTCCAACCTGGCCATCTCCCTCCTCGCAGCCTTCCCCTCCACCAACTGTGTCCCGAGGCTGGCCCAACTACTCCCTTCCTTAGAAGGGCCTTCTCTGCCAGGCATGGCCTGTTTTGTTTTTGTTTTTGTTTTTAGGACTCCATTCGGGCTCTTCTGGCTATAGGAAACAGAAACTCCACCCAAAATAGCATAGAACAAAAAGAAAGAGAAATGTACCAGCACAGAAAACCAAGGTGGGAACTCCCCACTTGAGCCTCTCCAGAATGAAGCTCTTGGTTTAACACATTCTCCATCTCTAGCATCAGCTTTCTTCCATGGCTTCATTCTTTGATGTCTGACTCCCCAAGTGCCAGCCAGGTGGCCCCTGTCGCTCCGTGTTTATGTTCTGTGCCTTAGCAAGTCCAGGCAGAAAGAGTCCACTTCTTTCTTAATTCTTCCAGCAAAGACCCAGGAGCTGCCTTACTGAACCTATGTCACTGGCCCATCCCGAGCTAGTCGTTGTAAGTGCAATTGGCAGCACCGTGTTTCACACAGATTAGGGGCTCAATGAATATTTAATTATTATTAATTATTAATAGTTAAGCATGAATGAATTAATGAAAGAACACGCCGGTGGGGTGTGCTCAGTGCAATGAGAACTGTATCTAAGCTACAGAGAGGCAGCCAACTGAAGGTATAACCAAGGCAGGCTTGTGTAGGTCAGGGAAGACTGCAGGGAAGGATATGCCCAGGATTGGTCCACAAAGCATGGCAGGAGTTCCCCAAGTCAGGACAGGAGCCTGGGGAAGGCAATGGGGAGGGACATTGCAAAGAACTGGAAGATGCTGTGTAAAGGCTGAGAGGCATTACACTGGCTGTTGGGCTCAGAAAACTTGAATTGCTCTGTTTTGCCGGCCTCTTGGACACAGCTAGGGAGAGGGAGCAGCTGAGGTGAAGCGACGTGTGCATGCGTGTGTTGGGGGACAGGGTGACAAGAAAAGGGTCAGAAAAGGCCTTGCATGCCACACTGGGGTCAGGCGGTGGTCAATCTCAGGTGACCAGGAGCTCTTGAAGAGGCTTTCCTTCAAGCCAGGACAGCTGGCGGCAGGGTTTCAGCTCCCCTGCCCACTGGGTGGTCATGAAGAAGTTACTTCCACCGCTCCAATTCCCAACTCTCAGAGCCGTTGTGAGGACGGAAGAAGGTGACAAACTGAAAGCCACCCCTATAGCACGTGGTATGTGGTCAATACCCCGTGCGTGCTAGCACTTCTTCCTTTCCTTGTGAGTAGGTTGATTTTTACACCGAACTTACTGGAGGGGAAAGAAAATCCAATGCATTAAAATCTCCATGTATATCATTTTACAATCCCAGAGTTCGGGGGTGTTTCAAAGCTACACTGAGAGAGAGCTGGGTCAGGCATCACTTCCTAACCTTCAGGAGGGTAACATCAATTTCAGTTTCCTCTCATCTGAACTGACTCCATCATGACTGGAAGAAGTGAGACACATGCTTGTGTCTGAAGACTCACATTTCAGACTCATCACCTTGCGATATAGTAAAGGTATACAGAGCTTTATAGTATTGCCCAATCCTTTTCAAATTCATATAGCTCAAGGCTAAAAATGCACACAGAGATTGTTCTCTTAGAAATCACAGAGGCAGGCATGTGTGTAATGAACACATCTCTTCTCGAGGAATTCCCTCAGCCACACCTATTTCTTCATAAGAACAAATCAGTCCAGAGCAGAAGACGATTAGAATCAAGCCACAAGGACACTGAGTACCGATATTGGGAAGAGGAAAATAATTCCTAATATAACGCTTTGTTTAGAAGCTTTAAAATGAGACACACAGCAAATCTGCTCACTGTGTCAATGTGGTCCAGTGGAAAGTACAGCCTGTTCGAAGTCAGACGAGCCACCTTCTAGCAACTGGCTGTTCGTGAAATGACCCGCAAGTCACAAGTTCTACGACCCTGGGCAAATCGCCTGGCTTTCCCAAGCCCCGGGTTTCTTGTTTCTTTGTTGGAAGAGGAGGAACAATGAAGTTAAGGGTTGTCATGAAGCAGAATGAAATAATGTAGTTTATGATAGATTAAAAACAATGATATGCTTAATACATGTAATGTTCTTTCTAGGGGGAGTAATTGTAACTTTCCTAAAATCATTTGAGATTAACATAATAAAAGTCCCTTATATCATGAATTATTTTCATGGAATTTATATGTACTGTGGTAAAATATAACTGCTTTTACTCTGTTAAAGGTGTGTTGGGACACGCATAGCCCACAGTTCTGTGTCTTACTTCTAATCCTCAACTTGGGTATTAAAGTGTCTCTTGCAAATGACAGTGCTTTGACTTTTTAAATAATTTTTTAAACCAATGAGTCACTTGAGAACAATCAAAGTTGCATGTGTAAACTTTAACTTTCTCTTCTGATACTTGGACTTCATTAAGTTCATAAATGGGGACTTAGGAACAAAGTGAAATATTAACTTTGCGGGAACTTCAAAGTGATTGTGTATAAGGAGAGAGAAAACCAACAGGGGCATTTATAAACTATCATCATAAGACCCGGCCAGACATTTTTTTATTGCAAAATGAGTAATGCCAGTTCTGCAACCTGGTCCAGAGGCCATGAAAACAAACCAATGTAGCCCTGACAGTTTCATTTCCATTAACGGCAATGGGAATTATTCAGGGAACAAAATCCTTCTTCTTCCCACAGTTGATCCAGGACCCCACCCACCCACCCCTACAAATTCTTATAGGCCAAGCCTTTAATTCTGAAAGACTACAAATGGAACTTTGACCTTTCCTTCTTCAGAGTCTACAGGTTCCCAACTGCTCATCTGTTGTACCAATGATCTGAGAGATACCCCTTCCAACAGAGGGCTCTCGTGGCCACATCCAATGCTGCAAAAGGGGCCATGTTTCATCCCATTCTGTTAAAAAAGTTTCCCGGAAATATCACAAGTTGCTGAGAATCTGGTTTACCAGGTTCATTAAGACTCTTTAGTGTCCTGGCGCGGTGGCTCACGCCTGTAATCCCAGCACTTTGGGAAGCCAAGGTGGGCGGATCACGAGGTCAAGAGATTGAGACCGTTGTGGCCAACATGGTGAAACCTGTCTCTACTAAAAATACAAAAATTAGCTGGGTGTGGTGGTGTGAGCCCGTAGTCTCAGCTACTTGGGAGGCTGAGGTAGAAGAATCACTTGAACCCGGGAGATGAAGGTTGCAGTCAGCCAAGATGGCACCACTGCACTCCAGCCTGGAAACAGAGGGAGACTCCGTCTCCCAAAAAAAAAAAAAAAAAAAAAAAAAAAAGACTCTTTAGCAGAGCGCCTTAATCTTACTGAAATGCATTTAACTGTAAGAGGTCTACATATATATATGTTGTGGAGCCAGGAGGTAAAGGATGACGGCTGCATTCCAGCAGTGGCTTCTGGGTTATTTCCCATGTCTGCCTGGTAAACAAGATGCTACATTCCTACCCATTTCAGTAAACACTAGAGGTCCCCTTTTTCTGATTTAACACCACCATTTTAAAGAAGGGTAGTGTGGATTATTGGATTAAAATTAAAATGAACCTGAACTTGAATAGCTAAGCTTCCTCAGTAATGGTGACAAGTAAGGTGAGTGGGAATGAAGGACAGCAGAGGTGGCAGGGAGCTGACAGGTGGGTTCCAGTTCTTGTGGGGATGATAGCAGCTGCCGACTTAAATGCAGCACCAACATCTGCTTACCCAGCTCAAAGGCAAGGCAGCAATGAACTGCCAGCAGTACTGGAACATCCAGAGACGGGGGCGGGCTGAAGGGCAGCTCCGCGAGAAGCTCAGATCAGGCCTCAGGACTCAGCTTCTCTCTCCCCATCTCCAGGCTCTACTTTCTCCAGGCTCCATTCTCAGGCTCTATCGGGTGGCGGGAAGCCTTCAGCAGCCCAGGCTCTACTTCCTGCCTAATTGAGCCAAGCAGAAAGAGGGTGAAAGGCCTGGCTCCTGGAACTCACGGTAAAAGTCTGTTGTCTTCCCCTGGCTCTGACTTGACCACATGGTCACCCTTGAACCAACCACCCTAGCCAGGGACACGGGGTCCTTCGGCTTGGCCTTGAATCACAAATCCACCTCTGGGATTAGTGGGCAGATATGACTCCACCAGAAGCTCCTACACTGAGGTGGCTCTGGGTGGCAAAAATGACAGCTACTCACTCTGGGGGTGGGGTGGGGAGACTGCCACATCCTGATGAAATAGACACAAAGATGGTAGCTGGAGAAGCCCAGGAGAGGTAACAAAGAGGGTGATACCCAGTACGAGGCCAAAGAAGGAAAATAATAGGCTCTGCTAAAATTGTGTTTCCTCCTTCCAACCCTCCTTGTTCAATGTCACTTTGAGCTTTGAGTCTTGGTATTTCCTCTGTACGGAGAAGAGAATGAGACCCAGTCGGTGGCTCCTCATTGGCCATATATATCAGAATTGCACCTGCAGAACTGTTTCCTGATGACACAGGCCCTAGGCTTGTGTTGAAGTCTAAATTTAGGTTTGTGTACTTGGTGTGTAGTTGATGTTAAATAGTGATACACAGGTGTTTGGAGATAGAGAAATGTTTATTTGATCTGATTAAAGTAAGAAGGTGGGGAAGGCAAGATTTTAAAAATTTGTTTTAATAAAAAGTAGAAATGGGGAATTTTTAATGTGGCTAGGGAGTAAGGGAGGAGAGTTTAGGGATTTGAGGAGGAAAGTCTGTGTTTTTAAAGTTTTAGATAATATTTTAAATAACTAGAGCATTATATGTAACAGTCATTCTTTAAAAACTTCTCAAATTTATAAATCAAAAGTTCAACTTTTACTATGTCTCACTACTTTCAACTTTTTCTCCCCTTACAAAGGTCTAAAATAATAACACTCTCCTTCAACTTTTTCATCAACTCCTATAACTTTTTCCCTCCAGTTTCTTCAAAAACAAAAATACAAAAAAAGACAAACTCCCCTAATTAGAAAAACAAATCAAAAAAGTCAAGTATAATCTCACATCCCATACTCAACAAAATACCCAATTTAGGTGAGGGGCTAAGACTCCTCAAACAAGAGTCTCTATTTCAACGCTTACCAATTAAAAAACTAAGTGCCAATAGATGACCCACAGACATAATGCAAATATACTCTCCATTTCTCACCTCAAACCTATTTAATTAAAAAAAAACCTTTAATCAAGAGAACCCTAAATACTTATCCAAATTATTGTCTTTTATCTTTTTAACATATCATCCCACCTAGACTAATAAACAAACATTAATATTTTACTCACAGCCAAAAACCACCATATAATTACTAAAAAGACAAAAACAGCTCAATTTCACCTTAAAAATGAAAGTAATCACCCTAAATCTACCAACACTGTTCCTACGATTAAGCCCAACTAAAATATAAACAAGACACTACCCTGTTTTAAACATTATAAAAATTTTCTTCCAGAATAAATTATTTAAAAGTCCCATGATTAAAAAGCCTCGATGAAATTAAAAACATTCAACAACCCCAGAGGGATCCCTAAAATTAAAACTCATATAGACTCAGCCTGTTGTCCCCCCACCGCCTAGTGAGAGCCACTGGGAAGAGCTCTGAGGTCGTGCTCAGGGCAGGCGCTTGGTGGGTCAGGTCCAGAAGAATGCCTCCTCATCATAGCCTGCCCAGTCCCCATAGGTGTACAGCAGTCCCAGGTGACAGCATCATTTACCTCCTGCAGTCAAAGGTGATAAAAGTGGTGGGACAATTCCTCTCAAACACCACTCTGGAGATGTCAAAATATAAACATCTTGAAAAGCTGGGCTCTTCATCAAACTGTGGCCCACCAATGTTTGGGGATCCCCAAGATCCCTTTAGAGAGTCCATGATGTCAAAACTGATTTTATTACAGTAATTGCCTTCTGTGATTGACATTGCAACTAACCTTTAAGAAACTACCACTTGTTGAATTGTGGTCTAGTATATATTTTAAAGCCCACATTTACCTGAAAAGGCTATAAGAACACTCCTCTTTTTTCCAACTACACATCTGTGTGAGGCCAGACTTCTTCCTATACTTCAAATAAAACAATATATCCCAGGTTGAATACAGGAGCAGATGTGAGAAGCCAGCTGTCTTCTTTTAAGCCAGACACTAAAGAGATTTACAAAAATGTAAAAACAATGCCAATATTCTCATCACTTTTTTATTTGGAAAACAGTGTTATTTTTCACAAAAATATGTTATTCATACTAACACATAATAGGTTTATTACTATTATGTTGAAAGAATTAATAAATATTTTAGATTTTTCTATTTTACTTTCTAATACCATAAATATCAAGATTTAACCCACATTAACAGAAGCTCTTTGGGGTCCTCAGTAACTTTAAAGAGTATAGAGGGGTCCTGAGGCCGAGAAGTTTGAGCACTTTTGGACTAGAATTAGATTCCTGGGATGATTTTTACAAGTCCTAGGCCCGCAGAGCTGCCCACGTGCTTATGCAGAGAAGGAGCACAGGCTACAGAACAGACACCCCAAGCCACTGTGTAGCCTGATCTGTGCTATAAAACTTGAGGAAAGTGGGATGACTCAATGGATTCATTGCTGAAAAATTTGTTCTTGCACATTTTCACATCCGTTAGGTTTGGTCCTTTGTGTCATCAGCATGTAACTCTCCTTTCAGCCACAAGATGGCACTATTTGCATAGAAAATACTTTCTCGGGAGCCGTGTCTCTAAATTAGCTGTTTCCTAGAGAGATTTTGGATGGGGACAAGGAGGGTTTGGCGTTTGGCCCATCATATCCCTCCATACGCTGAATGTATTAGGATGACTTTCCTCTTCCGTTCCTCTTTGAAAACACCGATATTGAGGAACTGGTAAAAAGAGATTCTTTCTAATATCCACCCAAAGAAACCACTAGCTGACCCCTGAGAGAGGGACTAACTTTTCCTTGCCCCTTCATTAAATTCTTTAATCCCACTTCAGTTAATTGTTTCCCATCATTTATATTTCAGGCAATAATCTCGGGAAAGGAGTCATGGAAAGGGAGCAAAGCCAAACCCTGAACCAGCACAGGTAACTGTAGCCACCAGAGTTAACTGTGTGAAGAATGTTTCCCCAGAGGACTTCTCACGTGTTGTGTAAAAGTAGAGAAAGAAGGCTAGGGTCTAATTTACAACATAAAAGAGCCTCAGGAATATAAGAGGCATGGGAAGAAGTGAGACAGGTGTCCTTGAAAGAAAATGCTCCAAAATGTCTGATCACCTTTACTCTCGTCTCCCCTTCCATCTAACCCAGGTTCTCAAGCCCTGCACTTGACAATCACCTGAGGAGCCAAAAAAGACCGACAGGTGCCTTTCACCAGTGAAGACTTTGATTCCATAGGCAGGTGGGGTCAAACATGGGCATTTTTAATATATATTTTTTAATTTAATTTATTTTTTTTTTTTGATACTGAGTCTCACTCCGCCGTCCAGGCTGGAGTGCAGTGGTGTGATCTGGGCTCACTACAACCTCCGCCTTCTGAGTTCGGGTGATTCTCCTGTCTCAGCCTCCAGAGTAGCTGGGATTACAGGCATGTGCCACAGTGCCTGGCTAATTTTTTTGTATTTTTAGTAGAGATGGGGTTTCACCATGTTGGCCAGGCTGGTCTTGAACTCCTGACCTCAAGTGATCCGCCAGCCTCTGCCACCCAAAGTGCTGGGATTACAGGCATGAGCCACCAAGCCCGGCCATGGGCATTTTTTTAAAAGCTCCCAGAGTGAGTCCAACCTTCAGTCAGTTTGAGAACCACCAAGCCAACCAAATCAGCAATTGCTCAGACTGAGTGATAAATCCCAAATCATTAGGGAATTCTGGTTTAAAACAATGCTTGGCAAAACCCAGTCTCATGAGCGGATGTAATCTAAGTTAAATCCATTCTCACTGCATCCTATCCCACCCCATTTTATGACTGCGTGCAAGGGCAGCAAGTCGGCTGGTCAGCATCATCAGGGTACCTGTCACCTACTATAATAGCTAAGTTATGCTCATCTTCATTTACCCTTGAATCCTGAGAAAAGACTGGGTATGTCAGTTACATGTTATTTCCAAAGAACCTCCTGCAGAGAAAATCTATAGGTTCTTTAGACCCTGTAATGCAAGTGATCTTTTCCAGCTCCATAATGCTTTCTGCATTAACAATTCAGGTTCTTTCTTTGGCAAATGAATGCACGCCTCTGCTTGGTGAAGGACAATGGGTAACACTATGTTTGAATCTACTGTCCTGAATGAAGTCACCAAGCCTCTCCACCCCCTAGGACCAAGACCCCCTCCACAGTGGCACAGTTGTGGATCCCATCCAAAAAAAAGGCCTCAACAATCTTAACTCTAAGATAGCTGCTGAAAAGCATCCTTTTCTATCCAAGCCTCCTTGGTGTCACTGAAATACTTTCTAAGCTATTGAGCCGGGTGCCTCAGTTTCCTGTCCTGCAAAACAGAAGGGTTGCATGAGATGGTCTCCACGATTCCCCTGCTTCTCCAGACTCCTGCTGCTCCTGATGCTACAAGGAGTTGGTGGCCAGATCTTAGCCCAGTGAAGGAAGGAGCACGTGCTGAGAGACGGTGCGGGAGATGCTGAGGCACCCTCTTGGTGAATTTGAGATACGCTGTTCCTTAGGGTGAATGTGGGGCAATGTGTTACATTTTAAAAGTCACCCATCCATTTTTCATTCAATCAGTGCTTGCTTCACCGAGTGAGGTGGAGGGCGTTAGAATTAGGAAGTAGGCTGAGGAGTAGCCTCTGCCTCCCACTGATCCACCTCTGGGGAAAGAGACAGACATAGAAACCACAGATTTTTAAATGCAGGTGGGAATCAGAACTGCCTAAAGCTTAAAACACACATTGGCGGAGGGCACCCCAGAGTCCCCCACACAGTGGCTCCTGGGAACGTGCATTTCTAACCAGCCTCCCAGCTGATGTTGATGCTGCTGGTTCCCGAGGGCCATGCTTTGAGAACCACTGATCAAAACAATGACGCTGGACACAGGGTGATGAACTCTCATAAAGGTGGTGTGCAGCATGCCAGGGCGGGGAGGGGAGGGGAGGCTGAGTGTGGCAGGTTCTATTCAATAGTAGAAAAGGACAGCTGCACTGGACTCCACAGGCTGCCAGGGATGCCCATGGCACCCACCTAGCTCTCCAGCATGCCTGGCCTGGAACTGGGGAGAATGTTAACAGCTCACAGGTACCCCTCAACCAAGAGGGGACAGGAGGTGATGCGTTAAACACTCCCACTTCAATTCCTCTTAGAAGCAGTTCTACCCGGCTCCTGAGAAGGTGATCAGCTCCACAACGTGCATATACCAGCCTCTCTCCTCCTCTATTTACCTGCCCAGCTTCTCCTCCTCTCCCTGGGATGCCTTTCCAAATTCCCCATCTGTACCAAACCCCAGTCTCAGGCTTTGCTTCTCCAAGGGGCCCAGGCTTAAACAGGCTGCAAATTTCCTGTAAGGAATTTGAACTCTGTCCTAGAGAAAAAGCAAATAAGAGCTGTTGCAGAATTACAGCAACAACAATAACACTCTGATGAGCACAGAGTCACCACGGGGACACCAGCCATGAGATGCGAGCATGGCACTGGGGAGAACCACTCGGGACAGGCTCAACCTTGTATGAAGACTTCTGCCAGTAAGCGAGGGCTGGACATTCACTCCTTGGCCTGGCCACGGCCTCTGTTCAAGCACATTGTAGGGAATCATTCCTAGGCAAAGATACCGGGACAGGCCAGCAGATCACATGATGGAAACAGTGAAACAACCAATGAAAGGACCACCTTGGATATAAAGGCGGGCAGCTGGGAAGGAAGAAAATAATTTAGAAAGAAAAAACAAACAAACAAACAAAACGCTGAGTGGGAGACAAGAGGGGAGAGGTTGTTCTCTGATGAAACAGTTCATCTGTAAAGGACAACCCAGTAAGGTTGGAAGGCCTTCAGTCCAGAAAAGGTAACTCTCTTTGGTTTTGCAGGAAGAAAGTAGAAACCAAAGAGGGCTTCGGTGCCTGCCCTAAGAAAGCAAGAGGACTCTGGGAGTTGGCTTGGCAGCAGTTTGAGAAAGGCGTGGTGATGGTGGGGTGGTTAATGGGAGGAGAGCTGGGGAGGGTCCCAGAGGGCACAGCTGAGGGGTCTGTGTGTCAGGGGAGGCAATGCCAGGAAGGAAGAAAGCAGCAGCCAATCCACTGCCAGGGGCAGACACACTGCACTGTAGTTAATGATGTGCGCCCTGTGCTATCATTACGCTCTCCCAGCTCCAACCTTTAGTAAAACTCTGCTAAACACAGACTCTTCGTTAAAGACCCCATGGAGAAATGAAAGTGTCCTATCAGCATCGGGTTGAGCTGAGAAGAAACAGCCTGGGTGCAGAGTGTTGGAACTGCCGTGTGTGTGTGTGTGTGTGTGTGTGTGTGTGTGTGTGTGTGTGTGTGTGTGTGTGTGTATGGTGACATAAGCACTCCATACAGAGAATGTTTCTTTATTCAGGGTATGCTTTAATGTATGTGAATTTAATACACAGCGCATTATTTTCTCTTATTTAAATTTTTAAATAGGGCACTGCATCGATCACGGTTTAAAATTCCAAGAGTCTGAAAGAGTAGCAGGGAAAAATCTCCTTCCACACTGTACCCCTCAGACACCCACTTCCCTTCTTCAAAGGCAATCAGTGATACTGGCTCTTGCATCCTTCAAGGGATATTTATGACTTTGCATGAAAAAAATATATGCTAAAGCTTTTTTTGGCTGGATGCGGTGGCTCGTACCTGTAATCCCAGCTACTTGGGAGGCTGAGATGGGAGGATCGCTTGAGCCCACGAGTTTGAGACCAGCCTGGGCAATAAAGTGAGATCCTGTCTTTAAAAAATAATAAATACATACAATTTTAAAATAAAAATCAATAAAAATATTTTTTTCTACTAGTTTACTCAAATAATACCATACTCCACACACCACACTGCTAGGTACTTTTCCATATAACGATTCCAAGTGCCCATTCCACATCAGCCCATATGAGGGTTCTCATTCATTCCTTTCCTGGGGTTGTGTGATATTCCTTAACATGGATGTACCATAATCCATTTAAGCAGTCTCAAATTGATGGACATTAAGGTCATTTTCTAATTTTTGCTGCTATAATGAACAGTGAAACGGATAAACTGGTATAATATATTCTTAAATGTGCTTTTATTATTTAAGGGCATGGATCATTTTTTCCCCACTAAAACACAGATGCAATTTAATATGACAAACCATATTTATTGAATAAAAATGTGCTGTCAAAAACACTGTTGTCATATGCATTGGATTCGTAGGGTATACTTTTTAAGAAAATACTAGTTATTATAGCTCGTAATAGCAGTTTTCTGCTTACATGATCTGTTTTCAGAAACAGATCATGTAAATACTGAGTACTTTTAGCATCACTTGCCTCAGGATGGCCCAAAACCAAGGGTGTTCGCTCAAAGCACTAAGGGCAGTGAGCACAGAATGAGGCACAACTGCTCAGTTGATTTAAGAAGCTTTGAGCGTGGAATCAGGAAGCCTGGGTCTGATTCCTCACCCTGCCACCGTGAGCCTTTCAATAAGATGGGGATGGTGATTCCTGCCCTACGGACCTGGCAAAGTGGTTCTGAGGATAAAATGGGAAATTAGTTCACATATGTGAAATGTGTTTAACACTAAATGTCTGAGCTCATGTTAAATCTCCTGTTATTCCTTTGTTGCTTACAGTGATGTGAAGGTCAGTAGATAATCCATCTATGGAATAAGTTCTGAAATGCGTTTCATAGAAGAAATGACACTGGATGTGACCATTTTAATTAGATGCACCGAATGGTGGCCCACATACATCATAATGTTTTTAAATCCAACTAAATAAAGAATCAGTGGGGAGACGGATCACTATTGGCTAACCATCACAACTTTTTTTTTTTTTCTGCCTTCCTCCCTGCCTCTCCATCTCATCTACGGTTATTAAAATCAAGTTTACTGCTAACAATCATGACTGGAGAGAAATCTGGGAGCCACTCAAATCTGATGGAGTAGGTAATCTCTTTTTGCCAATTATTACTGCGTTAGTATTCTTGGATACACAGGTAACATCGTCTCTCTGGATTCATTTGGAAACGATCAATAAAACAAATGAGAAAACGAAATTTAAGTACCTGGAAACGGAAATGCTGGTGTGTCTGGAATTGAGAAATATTAGGAAACCTGCTCATTTCACTCATTAAAACCTTCAAGACACGCCCTTAGCAAAGCAAACAGGTACCCTCCCCCCACCCACTCTTCTCAGTGAAGCCATTCACGTTTCCAGTCCCTCTTTTCTAGTCACTGACTCCATCGCAATGGACCACTGACTGCCTTTAAGGGAAACAGAATCTCTGGCAAGGCTGAGACCTTTAATAATTCCACTTGTCAATATAGGTCAGAGAGAAACGGATGGATTCGTACCAAGTAACTTAACAAACTACTAACAAAATGAGTAGCCCCAGCAAGTGACCAGGCCCAGTGTCCCTTGGGACAACCAAACATCACATCATTAGTGTCCAAGAAAATCCACACCACCGACACCCGTCCATCAAACTGCTCAGAGAGTTGGGGTGTCTTCCTGCAATATTTTCTTGATTTACCGTTTCCCAAAAAGGTAAATGTATATTGGGTGGCTCATTCAAAGTGATTATTAATTGGATTATTAATTTCCTCCACAATTTATTTTTGACAAATAAATACAAAAATATCTGCACAAGGGGGCATATTTTGAGGTACAAGTTTCCTGATAGGAATATTGTCCAGAAATATCAGTTTCTGTTGACCAAACTTCCCTCTCAGGGAAGGACAAGAATCTAGAAATATCAGTTTCAATACCCAGGATCTCAAGTCGGCCCTAACACAGAAGAGACACTCCTCCTGCTCTCCTCTTTTCCTTGAGCTGTTCTAGTGTGCATCCTGCAGTTTGTAACAGATTGCCTTTTCAGTGACTTTGCTCTCTGATTCAGAAATATAAACACTGCTTCAGAGATTTATTTTACAATTCATCTTCTGATTTGTCATGGCTGGGAAGGTCGGCTTTCATATTTTCTATTCTAAATTACTTTGGAACAGATTTTGCAAACAGACTAAGGAATGGCTTTTGTCTGGACCGGAACAAACTCTGAAAGTTGGGACTCAAGTCCTCTCTCTTTTGTTAAAATGTAAACAGTCAGAAACCCCACAATTTCCCAAAGCAATTATTTGGAAAAGAATAAACAGGTGCTTTGGAGACACTGGAGTTATAAAAAGAAAATGGCAAATTATATTTTCATGGGCCCAGCTGCTGCACTGATGTGATTCTGTGGAAGGTTCTCCTAGGATCTGAAGCTCAATCAGCAAATCAGTTGACATGATCCCTGTCTCCACCAACGGGACCACGGTGCCACCCCGCCCTCCTCCCTCTCAGGGCTTTCTGATGAAGCCCCTCTGCCAATGCCAGTCCCGAATCCATCAGCCCGAGGCTCCTTTGCTTCCCATTGACACTGGACGACGGGAGGCCCGTTCCGGTTTAACTAGGATTAGTGACCACTGGAAGGAGCAGTGTGGCGGGGCTGTAGCTCCTATCCGCTTATTTCTATCTGTCCCAGCCCTAGTGTGCCTGACAAGCCGGGCTCAGCACAGACTCTGCAGGGGCTGATTGGCGTGGCTGGCTGTCACTTTCTTTCAGTGGGAAACAGATAGGACCAGGCAAAGCAGATGGTCCCTCAAGGGGCACATCCCAAAAATCTGCTAGCAAACTCTGGTGGTGCCTTTCAAACAAACAGCAACTTACTGGAGAGGAAAATCAGATCTCCCTGGCCGCCTCCTGCCACAATCTACCCCCCGCCTGCATACTTGCCCACTTAGGAGTTTTTTAATCCTTGGTGAGGCATAATAACTTTGGGGCAAAGGACAGCTTGTCTTTCTACTTCCCAGAGATAGCCACGTTCCCATATCTGTCAGTGAAATGCTCCCATATCTGTCAGTGAAACCTGTTATCTAAGTAAGACCACCTTCAAGAGACCTGACCTGTGGATCATGGGCAGTCACCCAGTCCTAAGAGAAGCAAATACAAATACCACGTATTTGGCCGGCTGGGTGGAACTAAAGATGGAGCCAGTGACACCTCAAATGGTGACTGAAAACATGTTTCATCATAATACATTAATGGAGGTTTGTTTTTTTTTTCTTTCAAACTCCAAATAAACCCACAAATGACTTGGTAGAAGTCCTGGGTCTGACTGTATGAATTTGAACAAATCATCAAACATTTCTGGGCTTCATCTGTAAAATGAGGGGGCTGACCTAGAAGATTTTTTTTTTTTTTGAGACGGAGTCTCGCTCTGTTGCCCAGACTGGAGTGCAGTGGCACAATCTTGGCTCACTGCAAGCTCCCCGTCCTGGGTTCATGCCATTCTCCTGCCTCAGCCTCCCAAGTAACTGGGACTACAGGCGCCCACCACCACACCCGGCTGATTTTTTGTATTTTTTGTAGAGACGGGGTTTCACCGTGTTAGCCAGGATGGTCTCTATCTCCTGACCTCGTGATCCACCTGCCTCGGCCTCCCAAAGAGATTACAGGCATGAGCCACCACGCCCGGCCTGAGCTAGAAGATTTCTAAGGTCCCTTTGGCCCTAACATTCTAGAGTTCTTCGGGTGGGGGTGGGTCTCCTCCAACATTTCAGCAAATCGCACCTATAGTTAACCCGCCTGTTGATGCGGCATGGATTAAAACGAAAGGCTGCTTCCATCACACACAGCTCACCTTTTCCACCGCTGTGTGTTCTTCATGTGTGACGTTTGTTTTTCTTGGTTCATTTTTAGACCTGCTCAGCCTTCTGGATACTTTTTCTCTGAGTAGGGTGGCATATCCAATGTGTTCATAGATGGGGTTAGTTGTCATTTTTGAAATGTACTCGGCAGCTTTTGTTTCTATGTACAGTGTTATCAAGCCATCTGTCACCAGATCATGAATCGACTCAAACCTCTTCTCACCCACAAAGTGTTTCCCGTCGTGGAAGAGCCTGTAGTTTAAGGTCTGGTTTCCAAACCTGCCCGTGAGAGAATGAGGGATTACAACCACGTTAGAAATAAGCACAGTGTGGAATGATAACAATAGCAGCTAACGTTTTTTGAATACTTAGTGTATCCCAGGCACAGGGCTAAGCACTTGATGTGATTTTTTTTCCCCTAACGCTCACAGAGACCCTTTGAGACGGTATAATGGTTATGCCTGTCTTACCGCAAAGGTAACTGATGCTTGAAGAGATGGCGGTTCCTGCTTGAGTTTATATGACTGGAACGAGGCAGAGGTGGGGCTTAACCCCAGGACATCACATGGAGTCGTTTGATCCTAGAAATCACTAAGGTCATTGTCAGTATCCTTCTCATTTGTAAGGGTCAGAGGGTAATGCCTGATTTACAACTATGTTACCTGTAAACTTACTTAACGGGAACCAGCTCTCCTCTATACCTGGCAATTACCTCTGCAAGGGATGCCCTGTCCTGGTCCTGATGCCCCCTTGTTAACGCATCTTTACCACCTCCAGCAGAGCACCCCATGCCTTCCGCCCTAGTTGGTGCAGCAGAAGGGAAGCAATAAGGTGTGCTAAACTCCCTGCTGGAGCTGTTGCCAGTGTCCCCACAATCTAACCTAGAGGTTCCCTCCTCTC
Source organism: Homo sapiens (assembly GCF_000001405.40). Classification (NCBI taxonomy): domain Eukaryota; kingdom Metazoa; phylum Chordata; class Mammalia; order Primates; family Hominidae; genus Homo; species Homo sapiens. The sequence goes on along the minus strand of NC_000007.14, from coordinate 29,399,921 downwards.
TGGGCCCTGACCTTCCATCTACAGCCCCTGCTTGACTCCCCACTACAACTGCCAGCTTCTGCTACTGAAGTGCTGGGAAGATAGGAAATTATTTTGCACACCTAGAGCGCATGATATAATAGCTTTTTAAGTTCGTCCTCATAATTACATTATTTAAGATATGCTGTAGACATGTTGCAACTTGGAAAGTGTCATTGCACAGCCATAATAGGGAGATGGTGCATGGAACACACCATTGTGGGCCTGGGAAGGGCTTCCATGGACACCATTCCCCCTATGGAGAGAGGGCTTTCCAATTCCGAAGAGTTCACAAATGAACTTTTGGAAGACAATTCAGTTCTGAAATTGGATACCTTCCCCGAAATGTATAGGGCTACGGCGAGGATCAAATGACAGAAAATATTTGATCAAGGTTTGAAAAGTGCCATAAATGTGCTGTCTTTCTTATGTTGTGATGTTTAATACTTGTGATTTTGTGGTAAAGGCTCAGTAGAGCCTGTTCTACTGGCTCATTGGCCTGAAGGGTCATGACTGCCCTCACGACAGGTTCCTGGGGTCAACAAGGTGAACCCTGAGAGAACCCCATGAGCAAATGCAGGTCTTGTGAGGTCTGCACGTGCAAGGCCAGGTGAAGGAGCCCTTCCTTCAACATGGGCTGCTGGGAGCTGAGGCAAAGACGCTGCAGCCTCGGCCAGCTAGATGGTGCAGGCAGAGGTGGCTGTAGAAACACTAACTTTCCAGATGGTTCTCCAGTTTACTGTGTGTCCATGATCAGAGTCCCAGTGTCCACACCTACCGATAGCATCTGCGGCTGAGGAAATGTAAACAAACTCTGATATACTGCTGGTGCTTCAGAAACAAGTGAAGATATCAAGTAAGGAGTAGGGAGGGGTAATTGTTTATGGTAGTGGGTTTCTGTGTGGGATGATGAGAAAGTTCTGGAAATGAATATGGAGATGTTTGTACAACATTAATAATGTACTTAATGCCACTGAATTTTACTTAAAAATTTTAAAAGGAGGCCAGGTGCAGTGGCTCCTGACTGTAATCCCAGAACTTTGGGAGGCTGAGACAGGCGGATGGCTTGAGCCCAGGAGTTCAAGACCAGCCCGGGCAACATGGTGAGACCCCATTCTCTTCAAAAAAAAAAAAAAAAAAAATTAGCCAGTCATGGTGGTGTGTGCCTGTGGTCCCAGCTACTCAGGAGGCTAAGGTGGGAGGCACTTGAGCCTGGGAGGCAGAGGCTGCAGTGAGCCATGATTGTGCCACTGCACTCCAGCCTGGGTGAGAGAGTGGGACCCCCCCCTCATAACATAAACATGGGAAAAATGATGAATTTTGTGTTATGTATACTCTGCTACAATTCTTAAAAATGGGCAAACATCAGTGAAGCCACTTGTACAGCAATGAAAACAAGGAATGAAATGCGCCTCACCTGAGAGCCAGCGTGTAGCATCCTGGTTGCCGCTGGCTTTCTCTAAGGATGTAGGCACCCTCCACGCCTCCAAGAAGCTCATCCGCCTGCTCCCGAGAGATGATCCCATGAAACCTGAAGGTACAAGACCATCAATGCTCTGAACAGACCACATACAGAATAAGGACCACAAAGAACTAGCCTTAAAAGGATGGTGGGGGCACCCAGAATCGACAGCCCCACAACTGAGTGAAGAAGGGGGGTGACTACTGCCCATCTTAAGTGACTTGGAACCACCCCTCACATGCTCCAAACACAAGTATTCAAGCAGGCAAACAAAAGGAAGGATGCCCAGTCCACCTGGCTTTCTGCTATTGTCTTTGCTTTCAAGTTGAAAATGAAAGTTGAAACAAAAAGCCAGGTTACTCAACCACCGCCCCCCCCCCCCCTTTTTTTTAACCATGGGAAATAACAGAAGAGCAATTACCAATTTAGCTCTCAGCTCAGAGAACTATGTGTTATCCTAATTGCAAGTGGACATTTATTGATTAGCAACCTGCTTGCTTCAGGTGCAGGGTGGTGTTAATTTTAGAGGCTCATTTTCTGGAAAGAGGTAGCTATCATCAACATTCTTCCAGTTATTTACACTTGGAGAGCAATAGCTTATGGGTATTTTAGAAAATGTACCTATTTTTCTTTTTTAAAGATAAATTTATCTTCTCTACCATTTTAAAACCCATACACATGCATGTGGAAAATGTGGCATATCCGGGAGGGTTGTGTGCTGGCCCATGATCACTCTGATGTGGAGGCAGTTGTCTGAGGCCCAGAGAGTGGACAGTGACTCCACAGAGGAATAGGGAGAGGTAGGAGTTGGGTCAGGAACCAGCCCACGTTCCCTGTTGCCTTTAAGTAAATACAGCTGCTCCTCCCACAGGACTGGAGATTTGATCAACCAGTATTTCATGGAAAGTGGGGCAAGCTGGGTTGGGGAAATGAGGCAGTCCCAAGGGACTTCAAGCTTCTGGGAAAGGAGTAACACCCCTTTCTAGGATTATCCAACCTTGGAGAACTTTGGATAATAAATCAGAGAATAAATTTTCTGGACAGAGAAAAACACCTTTACTTTCTTGAAGAGGAGGAAAGGGAAGTAAGCTAGACAAATTTTCTTTTGTTTTGTATTTTCCTCAGGAATGCAAAGATTAAGTTAGAGTACAAATGCAGAAGGATAACATTTTTAAAAGTGCCTATCACAATATTTATTTCCTAATTCCCTCTATCCTTAAAAAGTAGACCTTCCAAGCTGAAGCTTCTGTCCAAGGAAAGTGAGGTCAGAAGCAGCCTGTGGCTTTGTGTTTCAAAATCGCTTCTTAAAGGTGTACGGCAGTGATGGCCTGGAAGAAAAAGGCTTTCTGGCTTCCCAAATTTTGATTTTAAATCTCAACAGCTGATGTCTGGAGGTCTTGGAGCAATGCTCTTCTGAGTGAGGATGAATGTTCTGTGAATCCCCGGTTCTGGTGGGAGGGACTGAGGCAGAGCCCAGTCTCAGGGGGTCTAACTGGCCCTGCATAGCAGGTGTGGATTGGAACCGGGAGGCCAGTTTATTGGGGCCTGGAGCAGAGGTGTTGGAGCTTTGATAGTGAGGTCACTGGACCTAGGAACTTTGCGGAGGAGCCTCCTGTGCAGCCTGAGCCAGGTTGGAGAGGATGGGACAGATGGCCTGGGCAAAGAGCCCTGGGGGCAGCCTTGCGGATGGGTTGGCGGGTGGGTTGGCAGTGAGTGTGGGGGTGGGTGTGGGGGGAGGGACATGCAGCAGGAGAGTGGGAGGGGCAGACAGCATTGCCAATATTCCAACACATAAGTAGAAAAGACAAAAGCTGGGATGTCGAAGACACAGCCCGTGGGCCAGAGTAACAATAGCAGGACAGGGCACGCAGAGGGACCTGCCCCAGGTCACTCCAGGAGAAGGGACAGGAAAAGGGGTAGTCTCTAAACAAGGCAGTTAACCCAAAAGCAGCTAGATTTTTTTTTTTTTTTTTTTTTTTTTTGGAGAGAGTCTCACTCTGTAGCCTAAGCTGGAGTGCAATGGCGCGATCTCAGCTCGCTCACTGCAACCTCCGCCTCCCAGGCTCAAGCAATGCTCCTGCCTCAGCCTCTCGAGTAGCTGGGACTACAGGCACACCCCACCATGCCCGGCAAATTTTTTGTATTTCAGTAGAGATGCGGGGAGTGGGGGCGGGTCTCACCATGTTGCCCGGAGTGGTCTCGAACTCCTGAACTCAGGCGATCAACCCGCCTCGGTCTCCCAAAGTGCTGGGATTACAGGTGTGAGCCACTGTGCCCAGTCAAAAGCAGCTAAGTCTTATGTTTCTTTTTTAATTCTTGATTTTGAGTATGCATACTTTTTCTATTTTTATTTTTAATTGATATATAATTATTGTACATATTTATGGAGAACATGTGATATTTTGATACATAAGTACAATGTATAATGATCAAATCAGGGTAATCAGGATGCCTGTCACCTCAAGCATTTATTGTTTATGTTAGGAACATTCGAAAGCCTCTCTTAGCTATTTTGGAATATATAATAAATTGTTTTAACTATAGTCACCTAGAACTTAAGTTTTAATTCACTTGAATTGGCAAGTTTAAGTGATTGACAGCGTCAAACAGTGTCAATAACTAAATTAAATTCAATCATTCAAAAGAAGAAAATGACAATTTTGTGCACCTGAAGACCAGTCTGTGGCTTGTCATCCCCTTTATGCATCATTTTTAAAAGTCCAAATATCTCCAACCTATAATATCTAATATATTTGTATGACTGCAACTTGGTAAGAAAAAAGCAAGCATGCACAAAGACCAGAAAGAGATGAAGAGAAAAGGTTAGCAATGATTCTCTTTCATGGTAGAACTATGGGTATTTTCCCTCTTCTATTTTCCTTTATTTTCTAATTTTCCAAGTTAATTGGTATTAATTTATTAATTTTTTTTTGTACAAGGTCTCACTCTGTTGCCCAGGCTGGAGTGCAATGGTTCAGTTGACCTTCTGGGCTCAAGTGATCCTCCCACCTCCCACCTGTGGTCCTGAGTAGCTGGGACCATAGGCATGTGCCACCATGCCTAGGTAATATTTGTATTTCTTGTAGAGATGAGGTCTTCCCATGTTGCTCAGGCTGGTCTTAATCTCCTGAGCACAAGTGATCTGCCTTCCCTGGCCTCCCAAAGTGCTGGGACTACAGGCGTGAGCCACTGTGCCCAGCCATAATTTATTTTTAGAAACAGAAGTAATACCTGTGCACAGCAGAAAATTCCAATTTCAAAAGTTGAAGGTATAAAAGAACTAAAAATGCAAAATTCCTCTCTCCCTAAAGGTATCCATTGTCAATAGTTTCTTGTGATTCCTTCTAGGAATAAATGTGTATGTGCGTTTCCTGAATGAAGCATGTATTACTTTTTAAGTGGAAGAAAAAAACACCCTTCATTTTTTAAAAAAATAAAGGGAAACACAGAATCTGAAGGTTTTAGGCTAATTACCATCTAATAAAAGATGTTCCTTTTGGTAGTTAAGAAAACACTTCTTTAGTCTCAAGACTCTCATATGTTTTACATGAATTGGGGGTAAGAAGATGAGAATTAAAAAGTTATTTGACAAAACTTTTCTGCAAAAAGAAAATGCATAATAAACAGCTCCTTTTAGAATTCACATGCAAAAGTGTATATGGTAGGTTTTCATTTTCTTCTATTTTTTTAAATTAATTGTGCTATCTTCAAGGAAAAAACAAATAAGCATACTGAGGAAAAAAAGCCATACTACAACATAGATTAGACAGTAGGGGCATGGGGTAGAGAGGAGCGGAGGCCAGTGCCCCCAGGCAGGCATTCCAGAGGTGCTGGTCAAATTCCCAGGGTGCTGCGAGGAAGGTTCTGAAATGCAGCTGTGGCAATTAGGAAGGTGCACGGGGCTGGGACCCCTAAGAGGGTCATTAATCATGAAGATGAGGCTCTGACGGGTAAGGGAATAAGAGGAAGGTTTGAGATTGGCTGTGAGAGCTTGGAAGGTAGACTCAAAAGAGACGTTGCCTCACAACGCCTCCAGGTTGGACTTGGGAAGAAAAGTGATTGATGCATCTCCTCTCCCCTGGCCCGTTCTGCCTGCCCTCTGTGTTGTGCTGTACACACCATAGGCTTAGACTGCGAATTATTTTTATGGTCATGCGTATTTGCTGGGCAGTAGGTTTTGGAAAAAGTGAAACAAAACAAGAGTTGAAATTAAGAGAAAAATGGAAAGGGGAGTATTAAGGCAATTTGGCTACTACACCCGAGCCAAGAGATATCATCATTTGGGTTTTATGAGACTGCAGAGAAGTGGGATGCCTATCCTGACCACCGCACCGAGGTACACGAAAGTCAGGAACTCACATACAGTGTACCATCTTGGACACACCAAACGTTTCTATTGTGTTGAGGTAGAAAGTGAAATGAAACACTAACAGAGAGCCTCCATTATGAAAAATGCTGCCTTCCGTTTCAAGTACTTGCCAGGCACTCAGTAGCTCTTTTGTGGAGGGAAAAGTAGCGCAAAATGCTCTACCTCCCACATTAATGGAAACCAAGCACTTGACTACTATAAAAAATATTAATTCAAAGGAGTCTGATTGCATTTATTATCATTAAACTCTTGCACAATAGACATATGATGATGACCATATATTAGAAAATTTGTAATATTTAAATGACACATGAAATGACTACTTATTAAATTATTAAAACAAAGAATAGTATAATACATACTCTCTTCCATAATATTTTGGTCTGTTTTCCACCTATATTAAAAAGAAAAAAAAATTAATAATGCATTTGAATTCAAATCAGCTAGATAAAAATGCTATTCAAATAAACAGAACTAGGGTCCTGGTAGTAATTTTATTACAGATTGTATCCTCCAAATCAGAGATCCATGAAGCTATGGAGTTATAATCAGCACATTCCAGTATCAGGTAGGAATGACCTAGAATCAATCATTAGGCTCATTTCCCACCCAAACCCAATCATCCAATAAGAGAATTTTCAACAAAAACAAAGCGATGCTTATTTTAATATTAAGGAATTTGTAAGGATATTATAAGGCTTCATCCTGAAGGATAAAACAACTACTCTGTCATGAATAAAACATAAGCATTTATTTTACTCTGTGCCTAATTGTTTTTATTATGTATTTATAATTAAAACAAGAAGTCTACCTGGATTAAAAAATAAAGCAGACTTAACTTGATCATGTTCTAAATAAAATCAATATTTTAACATTCTTATTTTTTCAACATGTGGCTAATGGGCTGAAATTCATTTGACACCAGAGGTGCAGGCTACAGGGGACAAGATTTATGACTTGACTAAAACACAAACATTCCAGAAAGGATCTTTCAATCACAGCTTTAGCCTTGAGGTTATCACATCTGATTTTTCTCACATACATGATCATCTGCTTTCATAAGAGCTTTGTTTTCACATGTTTATGATGTTGGAGTTGGTGAGAAAGTGACATGATTTCTCATGCTCGGCCTTTGTTCTTCTCTCCTAACTCCAGGGACACTCAAAACATTGTAGAGCCACATTAAGTTATGGGTTTTTATGAATGGTTCTATGTATGACAGCAAGTTTATGTTTATTCACTGTTGTAGGATACGAGCTTGGCAGCTGTTTTATTCACAGTCATTTCTTCCTAGAGTCAAATGGACAGTTTTCACAGCAGGGCTCAGAGACAGGCACAGTAGCAGGATTTCATGATATGGGGCAGTTTCCTGGCCTAGCTCCATCCTCCAAGGGATGCAGATCTGAATAGGTAACAGGACACTAGGAGCTAGGGGAAGAGGCTCAGAAAGGCGGAGCTGGGGCTTTGGGGACCACACTCACAATGCTGCCTAGGACAAGCCTCGCTGGTACAAAACTTATCATCTAGACACTTCTAAATATGTGTTCACTCTCCTGTGCATTTTACACCTGAGAATTACTCAACCAAGCAGGACATCCATAACTTAATCTTCAAGGTTCAAAGCCTGCTCGGTGTCATTTGTGAAGGAAGATTTAAATAATATCATTAATAGAAGCAGAAAGTGTGTAAAAAGGCACCTGGTTATCTGATATCCTTTCTATAAATGATGTGTGCCATTATTCTACAGGCTGGTAAGCTTTTTAATGAGAATTGAATATGTTGTCATTTATATCAGTCTTTCGGCTTTCAAAGTTCTTTTTTAGTTTTATAATATTATAGACATGTGACTGTAAAACCAACATGCCAGAGAAGAAATTTAGAACTAGAAAAGCCAATGAAAGTTGAGGATATATAATGGCAAAATCTCCATTCTTTGAGAGGCGATATTCCAAAATTTGAAGTGATTCTCTACATATGAGGACGATTTTTAAATTTCCATCTTTTTGGCTGAACCGTAGCACAAGTTTGCAAAATCTGGGTGTAGCTCTCAACCCTATTCCCTTCCTGTATCTTCTTATTTCCCTAAAAGAGAAAGAGTTACTAATCTAACTTCCCAGATGAGCCACATGGTAATACTACTAACTCTTGGCATGCAGGTAAACAGTTAATAGATGCTGAATTTAATTGATTCTTAACAAGACAACAAATTGCTTTCAGTTCATCAACCAATGATAAAAATACACAGCACCCTTATGTTCTGGGCTCTAGGCTCAGGCCAGCCATGTGCATGAAGTAATGACCTTGCAGGTGCAGAGAGGAAAGGTATGAGGCGCTCAGGGGTGTTCTGCACTTGCAGCAGAGGGAAACGCTTAAGGAGAAATCTAACATAGACCCCCAAAGAGGGAAGCTGATATTTAGGGTGCCTTGAAAGATGCCAGATAAGATTCTGCCCAGAAGAGAGTTTGATCCAATTGAGGGACAAATCTTCTGAAAATGAAAACCACTAGAAAATAAAAGAAGAGCCCTGAATTGTGTGGGACAGGCATGGAAGAGGGCCATGGAATACGTCCCAAATATTGCATGAGATATATACTAATACATGATTCCTTGTATATCTGAAATTTAAATTTAACTAGGCATCCTGGTCCCTCCTTCCCTCTCTCCCTTCCTCTCTTCTCCCCTCCCTTCCTCCCTTCTACCCTCCCTTCCCCTCCCCTCCCCTCCCCTCCCTTCCTCTTCCCTTCCCTTCCTACCTCCCTCCCTCTCTCCTTTTCTCCCTCTCTTCCCCACTCTCTCTTTCTTTCCTAAATCTGGCAACCCTATGTAGGGGATAGGAAAGACAGAAGTAAGAGAGAGTAAAGATAGAGGATGTGGTTGGCCATCTGATAACTGCTTCTACTGGTTGAGGGCCATTTTGATAGCAATCCAATCTCTCCTTCCTTTTTTGTCTCTGAAGCTCGTAAAGAAAATATATGTGTCCTTGTTAATGTCAAAGAGAGAGAGAGAGGCTGGGATCAAAAAAACAAAATCCTCTTCTTTTTGTAAACTTTTTACTCACAGGAGTCTAAACACAGTCTCTATTTCTATACTTCACTAAGCTTTAAACCAGTAAAGAGCTTAATGTTTAAGTTAAATGGTGCTATACAAATCATACAACGTCTACATTTCTTCAAGGTGGATAATACTGGATCCTCAGATCCAGAAAGAATAGGTGGCTGGGGGCTAGGGCTCCCAGGGACAAAGGTCTGCCAAGAGACTAAGAACCTCCGTGCTGTGCCCCCAGCAGTGCCTTAGAGAAGCCTGACTCACTCCCTGGGCAAGGCTCCGTGTTGGCCATCAGTGGAAACCAGGACCCACCTGTGAAACTGAATTTAATTAAAGAAACTGTAACTCAATTTCTGTTTCCAATTGTATGAGATTCTCTTCAGTAGGTGTGAAGGCGACAGGATAGTTGATAAATAAAAAGTAAGGCAACTCAGAAATTCTTCTTGCATTCTCATTGAAAACTATGTTTGTTAAAATCAGGCAACTTAATAAAAAAATTTAGGCAGTCACATGGATTCAGAAAGGAATGGAAAATGCAATATATCATGACAAGAATGAAGACTGGTTCTGGAGCTTCCCTGCCACTGTGACTATCCTAGGACAGCAGCTGCAGCTGGTCAATCCATCACCTGGTGAACCTGGCCTTTGTGAGTAGGACTGACGGCTGTCGGATCGGCCATGTCTGCTCTTGGGATTTAGTGCTCTGACTCCAAGAAGTGAAAGCAGCTCATTCTTTTTAAGAGAAAGAAAATATGTAGTCGTGTTACACGGATTACTAGTTCTTCTAATACTGGGTCCTTAGATGATCCAGCTGGCTCAAAAAGGAACACCTCTCTTTACAGAGGGAGAGCACCAAGTAGGAGGTCATTGAGTGAGAAAACACATGAAATGGGTCCTTCCCAAGGCACAGAGGGTTTCACTGTATATGGTGTGACCATGCAGAATGGTGGCTGATTCTTTTTTTTTTTTTTTTTGAGACAGTGTCTCGCTCTGTTGCCCAGGCTGGAGTGCAGTGGGGCAATCTCAGCTCACTACAACCTCCACCTCCCGGATTCAAATGATTCTCCTGTCTCAGCCTCCTGAGTAGCTGGGATTACAGGCGCATACCACCGTGCCTGGCTAATTTTTGTATTTTAGTAGAGACGGGGGTTTCACCATGTTGCCCAGGCTGGTCTCGAACTCCTGAGCTCAGGCAATCTGCCCAACTCAGCCTCCCAAAGTGCTAGGATTACAGGCATGAGCCACCGTGCCTGGCCGGCTGATTCTTTTTAAAAATAAAACTGAACATTTTATTCTAAATAAGCATCATCTACAAGAGAATAGTCACCCCAAGGAGGCACAATACATGCCACTTATATCCCTGTTGACCAGAACATTTTTGGAATTTCTGTTTTGGAACTACCTTAATATATACCACCCTTTCTTGTGAATATCCTTAAAGGTACACTTCTCAAAATGACCAGTGTGGACTGGTCATTCAAAACAGAAACTTCAAGATGCTTGTTGAAGACTGCAGACAGCATCCCCATCTCGAACCAGCTGAACCAAAATTACTGAGGGTAGAGGTATGACGTGTAATTTAATCAAGCCCCCTAGATGATTTTAAAGCATATACTAAAGTCAGAATCACTGTATGTAGAAATATACATACATTTACTTTTTTGAGAATGGATTTGAGAGTGCATGTTATTTCAGCAAACCGGCATAAGTTATTTGGAGCCAAGACCAGTAAGTAAACGGGGTGAGTGACCAAACTAGGAAAAACATTCGAGACAAAAACGAGGCATGATCATAAGAGAATAAGATTTTCATTGTGACTTGCTCTGAAGGAATTTTAGAAGAGACGTTCCCAGCACGCTCTGAGCAACGGGAATATTAGAAGAGACATTCCCAACACTCTCTGAGCTATGGGAATTTTAGAAGAGACGTTCCCAACATGCTCTGAGCAATGGGAATTTTAGAAGAGACGTTCCCAACACGCTCTGAGCAATGGGAACTTGGCAGAAATGAAAGCAGAGCTTCCCAAGGTGACTGAAGGGAAGGGACCAGGCCCATGTAACAGATGTGTTAAAATAACATCCATGTTATGACTTTATAGTTACATCTCAAGTATAATTAAATTGTTAGCACTGTGACTACTGGAGATGGGCTCAGTCCTGTCCCTACTATCCACAGTCCACACACCGTGCTCCTATATATATGAGGCCATGCGAATGTTATGTTTTCAGCCCAATGGTCTCATCATCCTATGTTCATCCTCTGCACTCATCAAACCAGATGAGGCCATAAGTGTGTGCCCTCTAATATGTCTATCATTTTTACGTGGTCTTATTTTAAGATCCTGAATTATCTTTCAAATGAGCCAGATCACATGTGGGTTAAGACGGCAGGCTCTGGACTCAAACTGCCTAGGTTTGAGGCCAGATCTGTGGGAATTTAAGCAAGTTACCTATTTCTATACTCCTCAGTTTTCTTATCTTTAAAATGAGAATGATAATAAAAGTACCTGTCTCATGGGGTTGTTGTAAGAGTAAATGAATAAATATGTGTAATATGCTTGCAACAGTGCCTGGCGCAGACAGCCAGTCAGTTGCTATGAGCTATCACCGGGATCCTGAGAAGGTCTCCTCTGTATAGAAGGAAGGGTTAGGCCCATCCCTTGCTGTGTTCTTAGAGCTCCTTTTACATGTCTCCATTAGAAAACTTATCTCACCATATTTTAAATATTTATTTGCCATTTTTTTCCTAACTGTTCTGTGGAGCAGCAATTTTGTCTTCATCATTCACCTATTTCCAGGATTTCTGCCAATATCTGTCACAGAGTAAATGCAGCTACCCCTTGTTATCTGAGTCTCACCCATTCCTAAAAAATGTATAGCGCAGCAAAGCTTCAAACAGCAAGAGTCTATATTCCATTACTTTACACAGAAAACAAAATTCATTTTTAGAGAATGCAAAAATATCCATTTTCCAAATATTACTAAAATGCTCCTAAATAATTACCTGACAATCTAATAGCAATCTTTTCACAATATAAAACACTTAAAAAACAATTACCTAATTGTTTAACACTTAATGCAGTAATGAGTAGGTATATTTGTGTGCAGTCTACAGCTGAATAAATAGGAATTTCATTAGCCTTCTACACTGAGCATGTATTATAATAAAAATAAATAATGCAGTGATATTACCAAAGATTCGAAAGTTACTATCTAATTGGACCTGAGTTGGTAGTGCTCCTAGGGTCCTGGCCTAAACAAATACTGAAGGGCTAAACCCTCAGGGAAAAGGTAGGGAAATTACAGATATAATGTGCTATATGTTTAAACAGGATCAGGAGAACACAGATATGAGAGAAGCCCACCCTTTGTCTTTCAGCACCCTGCTACTCAGAGTGTGATCACGGGGCCAGCAGTATTGGCATCATCTTGGAATTTGCTAGAAATGTGGGATCTGCAATTCTAAGGGGATTCATAGATACATTAAAGTTTGAGAAGCTGCCACACATGAGAGAACGTGTCATAGCTGGTTTCTAATTGGGAATGGCTTTTAGCAAGTCCCAATAGCAAATATTCAAATAGTGAGTATTCGGAAAACAAGAGTGCCTGTCCTCATTGCATGTTTGCAGAATGAGACACAGAATATGCATGTGGACCCTTGCTCATCAATCCAGTTACTGTGGGACTCTGAGTAGATTATTACACTCCTTTGCATCTCATTTTTCTCAATTTTCAGTAAAACTGGGGTTATAAAAATGAGCTATTTTAATAAGGCTGTTTCACAGATTAGATGAGATACCCACATGTGAGACTTGGACCATCGTGGCAATAGGTTCTCATTTATTGAGTGGCTACTCTGTGCCAGGCAGAGTCCTGAGGGTTTCTCTCCTTTTGTCTCATTTAAGTCTCTAAACAATGCTCCAAGGTAAGTGAGTGCTGTTATTTTAAAGAGAACCACTAAATAGCATGAGGTCACAGAGCTAGTTAAGTGGCTGAGCCTAGATGGGGACCACCCCTAAGTACTGTGCTTCACTCCTTCTCCAGTAGATACTAATCAGCGCTAATGCCTTTGTTGGCTCTCAAAATTTACAGTTTGACTAAATACATTAGATTATCTGAATGGTCTTCAGTTTTCTTTGCTAGGACTCGAGACCTTAAAATCTCTCTTGAATGAACTGAATTCCATCAATGAATTGGCAAATGTGAACTTCGGAAAAATTTGCCTAGGATGGAGTGACATTTGGGGTCTCTCAAATATTTCCCTGTGATTTGGATTCACGTGTATTCCCAAACTACCTGGTTTATTTCCCAATGTATTTTTCAATTTTAAGGAAGACTTCTCAGTATTTTGCCAAGCTCCAAAGAACAGTAGGGTGACAGCTGCACAGTGAGAGACAGAAAGCATAATCCTTAAATGAGTTTGCTTTATAGTCAGATTATCATTGCCTAGATAAACACAAGTTCCTTTATGTTCAACACAAAGACATTTACAGAATATTGTGAGTCCTCTGTAAACAAGGTTTCCAATTATTGAAAGAACAAAGCTTTTGTAATCCCTCCGCAGCTGGTATATGTTAAGTTTTTACTTAATAGAAATAATTTAAAAACCCGACTTAGCAGCCTCCTACACAGGGCAGCTAGATTGCCGGATTTTCTGAGAGATGGATCAAGTAGGGGAGAAAAGGCTTTTGATGGGGGGATTTGTGCTGGTGATACTGGGGCAATTTCATCCACAAAAAATAAATACAGATAATTCCTTTTTAATTAGAAATCAAAGATTCCCCCACTGAAAAGGAGAGAAAGAAAATGCAAGTACTGAAATTTACACTCTTGTAGTCAAAGTGCAGAGCATAGAATGAAAATTGAGCAGACTCTAAAATCTCCCATTTCTTTCCATTTAGAATCTAAGGCCTAATTTTTTCCTCATGGCATTTCTTTAACACTTCTGGAAATCGAATAGGGCACTGATGAGGTGAATTCCTTCCTGTATTGATTAGAATGTACTATAAATGTCCACTGGTCAGTCTTTCTGTAATAAATCTCCTTAAAAGGTGACCAATTGCTTTGCTAAGTTCTGTACATACACACAAGTTGGATACTTTAGCAACCTGATCAAAACATTCTGTGAACTTACAGATGCAAACAAGTAGATCAGCTTAGGGGTGCTCGAGACAAAAGCAGTTCCCAATCATTTGGTTTATTTTCTGGCTTCACTTCTGCCCCCAAAATTTTCCAGAAATTATGATTATCAGTGATAATATTAGAGCAAACAAACATAAAATATTTTCTTTAGGCCAGTGGTTCTCAACTGGGAGGGGAGGTGATTCTGCTCCTCAAGGGACATTTGTCAAAGTCTGAGGAAATCTCGTCACATTGTTCTCTGCTCAAAATTCCCCACTGGTTCCCCAGTGCCACGTGGTCAAACCTACACAACTCAGCGGGACCTTCCCAGATCCCCCTACTTAAAAGTGGGACCTCCTGTCCTTAGCATACCAGGTCCCTCTTCTTTGGCTTATTTTTTGCCTCATGACAGTTTTGACTGTCAGGACTCGGGGGAGGGTATTCCTGGCCTCTAGTGGGTAGAATCCAGGATGTTAATAAACATCACACAGTACATGTGACAACCCCCTACAACAAACAATTATCCCCCTAAAAGGTCAATAGTGCCAAGGTCAATAAACCCTGCTTTAGACTGGAAGAACTTTGAATTGTTAAGTATTCCCAAGGAAGAATATTAGAAACATTTTTTTTAACCAAAAATGCAAATAAGCAACAAAAACTTTAAATACATTAAGTAAAATGGAGTAAAAGGAAGGCAGAAGGAAATATTTGCTTTTGATAATGCTGATAATTTATAAAGGTAGCTTTTAAGAAAAAACAGTACTGGTGAGAGACCTCCAACTACTTAAGGAAATATATCAGATGAATACAAAATGGAACAGACTAAAATGTCAGTAAGATTAATAAGGGAACCTCCTCCCTCCCTGGAAAAATTTTAAACGAGGTTAAACTACAAAAAACACTAAAGAAGAAATTTATTTCTTGGGAGTGATCAGCCATGCTATGCATACATGTGAATTAATGTTTGAATTCCTTACTGCTATGGGACTCCACACCTCACAGCATGTAGCTTTGAAATTTTGCCCTGATTGCTGGGTTGGAAACAAAACTTCCACCACTCACAGCTTTCCCAGGTCACAGAAGATTTCTCAGGAAGGAGTGGCTAAAGCACTGTCTAATGGCTGTCCAGTACGGGGCTCAGAGAAGTCATGTTTTCTCAGGGTTCATTACATAAGCACTACACACAATAAGTATTAATATCATAACAGAGGAAGGCAAATTGACAAAATTATTTATATTTATATTTTAAAAGTAATGCAAGGGCAACTACACCCAGACACACTCATACAAATACCCATGACTCGTGCATTGAGCCCTTTTGCTACTGGTTCTGATCTTCACCCAGTTCAGTCCTATTGACCTTGACCCAGAACTCCACTAAGGGGAGGGCCAGGAGGAGCAGAGGAGGAGCCAACATTTAACAAGTGCCTTCAGTGTGGGTATTTCAGGTCTCCCAACAAGCAAGTCACATGGAGACTGTCATTCCCATTTTGCAGTCGGGAAAAAGAAGGCCTGTATGGTTAACATTACTTGAAGATCATGCAGAGGCAGGGAGATGAGATCCAAACCAAGGTCTAATTGACTCCAAAGCCCATAATCTTTTCCTACACCAAAAGGAAGGGAAATTGCTCAAGGATAACAGATATAATGTACTTATAGAGAACACTGACTCTGCTGTTACAGATGGGTTGATATGAAAATTGTTAAAACCCTAAAACATGGCCATTCTGGAGACCTGGGTAGACTGATTAGTACTCATCACACTCATCACACCTAATGGCTCAGCCTCCTTTGCTCTTCACCCCTGTGAATGCTACCATCCAGCGTATCACCCACTCAATGCCCAAGCTAGAAATCATAATCTCTGACTCCTCCCTCTTCCCAACCCCACTTGCAATCTGCCACGAAGTCTTCTTCATTGTATGCAATTCCTTAATTGCTCTTAAAACGGTCCCTTTCTCTCCAAGTCCACTGGGCTATCTACTCATCTAGACTACGAAAGTAGTCTCTTTACTGGTCTCCCTATATCCTTTTATCACCTTCCAATCTGTCATTCACACTTAAGTCAGAAAATGCAAGTCTTGTCACATTGCTCTCAGCTTAGAATTCTTCACTGTTTCCCCACTGCTGCATGGTCAAACATACACAACTCAGTCGGACCTTCCCAGACCACCCTCCTTAAAAGTGGTAACTCCCCTCCTTGGCATACTCCATCCTTCTTTTCTGGAATATTTTTTCCCCATGACATTTATCATCATCTGATATACTATATATTTTACTTATGTGTTATGATGATCAATTTTATGTGTCAACTTGTGGGGGCCACGGGATTCCCAGATATCTGACAAACATTATTTCTGGTTGTGTCTGGGACGGTGTTTCTCCAAGAGATTAGCCTTTGACTCAATGACTGAGTAAAGAAGATGGCCCTCCCCAGTGTGTGTCAGTACTATCCTGTCCATTGAGGGCCTGAATAAAACAAAGAGGCAGAGGAAGGTTGTATTCATGCTCCCTCTTCCTGACTGCTAGAGCAGGAACACCGATCTTCTCCTGCCCTTGGTATTCTTGGTTCTTAGACCTTCAGACCCAGACTGGAATCAACACCATCAGCTCGAGAGCTCTCAGGCCTTCCAACTACACCACCTGCAACACACACATACGCACACACACACATACACACACATACAATTGGTTCTATTTCTCTGAAGAACTCTGATGAATACATTTTTTTGCCAATATCTTCCATTCAAATGGAAACTATATAAGGGCAAAGATTACTGTGCTTTGCTTACTGCTATATCTCTAGAGTCTAAAACAGTCCTGGCCCTTCCCAAGGGCTCAATACGTATTTACTGGATGAACACATGAATAGCATCTAGGATCTTCCCTGGATGGTCCTTGCTTGTGTGTCCAGAATATGTTCTTACTGACACACATGCTCTTGCCCCACGACATCCTCACCCCTCAGTTCTTCATGTTCCTCATACATAGCTTCTGTAGTTTCTGAAGCACACCCTCGGCTGCTCATACTTCTAGGATATTATTTGGTGGGGTTATGTCCTCTGCCTGGAATTCTAATATTTGTTCTTCAGTCTCTCTATGCCTTAGCCTGGCAAAATCTCACTGATTTAATTTAAAAGTAAGAGCTGAAATGCTGCCATCCTGGGGAAGTCTCCTGCCTCTGAACTTTATAAAAGGCCTGAGTTAGGGCCGTGGCGATCTTACTGGGATTGGGATTGTTGGCTTTTATGAGCTCTCAATGTGAGCTCCTTGAGGGAAGGGCTCCTGTTTCTTCACCTCTGCTGTCCCAGCATATTGCTCACGGTGTTCACAGAGCTCAGCCTCATGGCATAACACAATAAGTGAAAGGCAGGTTTGCTTATGCTCCCAGATCCCTTTCTGGGGCTCACTGAAATTTCAAAAGGGGTATCCATGGAAAGACTGGCATTGGTGGTAGCTCACACCTTGATGCTTTATGCTTCCAAGCTACGGGACAAAACTTGTTCCCCTGTCTGCTTTCTGAATCTCCAGAGTGAAGACTGAAGACCACAGGCAACAACTGTGACTTCGAGCCAGTGATTCTGCTAATCGAAGTCCCTCACATTCTTTAGAGGGTGAACATGTGAACCAACATAAGCCACCCAGATGCTCTGCCCCTGGAATTTGAGACTTGAGTAGAAACCATTAAATGAAACTGTTAAGAGTTGATTCACATGCATGGCAGAGCCTAATAACAACAATAATCATTAATAGTTATTGAGAACTTATGTACCAGGCATTGTTCTAAGCACTTTCTTTACATATATCAACCCTGTCGATCCTCATGATTACCCAAGAGGTAAGATCAGTTATATCCATTTCCAGAGGACTAACTGAGGCACAGAGAAGCAAGGTGCAAAGGGCAGGTTGGACTACCCTGGAACTCTGACGCTAACCATCACCTCTTATTGCCCAAGGTCTGTCAGTCTTGCTTCAAATCCTTTCTCAAGCCCTCTGACCAGCTTTTCTTTCCATCCAGGGAATTTCCTCATATCCTTCTAACCACAATTGGTCCGCCCTCCTAGGCCCTGCTTTTTTTTTTTTTTTTTTTTTTTTTTTGCTTAGTTTAGTGAGAATAGACTTTTATTGCTTACAATAGAATTCTAAGTGATATTTCCATTAAATCAAAATCTCCAGGGCTGGAGCCAGGGTGTCTGTAAGGTTTGCCAGGCTCCACAGGTGATTCTGACTCACACCCAGGACTGAGAACTATGACTTTGGGCAGCAGTTCCAAAACCCTGAGAGAATAAATATTATCCTAGAAGCTTAGGACACCTTGGCAGCACCTTCCCATTGATTTTGATCCATTCTCACAGTGGGCTTCCAGGAACACCCAAAAGCCCAGCCATGAGTGGCACTCCTCTATCCAGCCCTTCTTCCCAGCAGCTCACTTTCACCCACTCTTCTTTGCTACATCTTCTTTGGCACCGTGATTCCTTGGCTCCATATGTTGGCTCTCAAAATCTGCCTTAGGCCCTCCTTGTTTGGACAACCCAATTAGGCATACTTTTCTGGCACGAGCCTGGCACTCTGTTGGCTAGAGTTTTTTGTACTCATCTTTGGCATCCTGGAGCCACAGGTCCAGGTGAAATGAATGTTTTCTCCCATCAAGCCAGATCCCCAGGAGGCCATGTTGGCTGGGCTGGCTGGCTGACCTCCCAACCAGGGCCAGAGAATCAAACATGATGGGCTGACTTGTCCACACTTCTGATCGACCAAACAGGGATTTTACTTTAAAATAAGAAATACTGTAAAGGAGACTCAAAATCCAGAATTTAATCATGAAGATAAATGTTATCTTCACATCTAATCTTATGTTCCTCCAGCTTCCAATTATGCATCTTCCTTTCTTTTGGTCTTCAGTGCAAATGAGAATCTGAGAATATTCTCTACAGAATAAGGCTTCCATTATTAAAAGCCATCTCTGTGCCACTAGATCGCCTGTTCTTCCTCAAACTAAATAATCCTTGTGCCTTTGACCTTTTCTAATAGGTCCCAATTTCCAATCCTTAATTCATCTTCATTATTCTCCTCCAAACTCTCTTTAAATTCTCCACATACCTTTTAAGCCCAAAGAGCTTGAAGTACCCAACAGAACTGAATCAAATCAAGGGAAAACTCATGCTGCTGTTAAATTTCTAGAGGAAAAAAGATTGGGTGAGTATACTCATTTAATTCCTCACTCTTGTTAGTAAATTCCTTCCATCAAAGCTTAATGGTATTTGGGTTAAGTGGTACTATACGTACTTTGGAAAAGGCAAAGTGTCTATCATTCTTAGTTTTCTCCCAGAAGTTACTTTTTTCTCTCTCTCCTAGAAATGTAAGAGTATTAAGTATTCAAAGTGATGGATAAAATTAATCTACCTAAAGAAAAAGAAAGGAGAACAGAATCTGGGAGATGGTAGAAATTCAAGGCTTGTCTGTTTTTGCATTATAGCTCCCTAAGGAGCCTTTTTAGACAGGTTTTCTCTCAAGCACCTCCCCACAAAGGAATTTTAATATTACATATAGACTGTATATCTGTTTATGTTCTATATAGGTATTTGTGCTTTATACATATAAATAGTAAGGGTTTTTTTTTTGGTAAGAACCAAATTTCTCCACTTTAGGGGTGATATTGCCCCCTTTGAGAACTCATTGTTCACTGATAACGTCATGACCTTCAGAATGCTTTTACATATATTCTCCCACCAGGAGGGTGGAATTGTATCTTTGCCTTCTTCTTATAGACAAGGAAGCTGCAGTTCAGAGTGATTAACTAATTTGCCCACAGTCCTGCCCAGGGATAGCAGCAGATTCAGAGTTAAAACCCAATTCCTGATATCAGGGCCAGCACTCATTGCTCTATATTGTAATGATTACATAAAATCCAGAAGCCTGTTCTCTATTAATTTTTTTTTTACAAATTACCTACTTTAGCATTTCTGAAGCAAGCACTCCTCCCAAAATAATTCCCAACATGGTAATAAATAAAAGAGTAGAAGTGCCTTATTAATGCTTGTCCTTGCTTTCAACTATGCTTTTTCAGAAAAGTTCTCTATTCCACATTAAAAATTCTTGAGCATGGCTTATAGTGTTTTCGACAGCTCTCATGCCAAGTCATCCTCCCACCTGTCAGGGCTGTGCACCCAAGAGAATGTCTTTGTTCCATGGGCCAGAGCACATCCTGCCACTCTTCTCACACAGTCTTCATTTTTTCTTCTTGACGTTTTATAATGAAAATTTTCATACATACAGAAAAGTTGAAAGACTTTTACAGTAAACACCCATATACACATCATCTAGGTTCTACAGCATTTTTACTATTCTTGCTTTACAGCATATATATTTTTTCATTCCTCTATCCATCCATCAATCCAACTTTTAAAAAATAGACTTCAGAGTTAACTGCAGATGTAGCACTCTTTCCTCAAAGGCATTGGCATACAAATTATTAATCAGAATTCAAGAACATATAGGAGGCTAACACCAGCTTTGTTCCTGAAATTTAAGTCAGTTTAGCTTCCATGTTCAGATGTTGCTACCAAATAAACAGATCCCACGCACCCCTTTAACTTCCTGCTGATGGAGTGCTGTGCCACCTTTGCTAACAGGCTTCCATCTCTTGAAGTGGAGAAAGTGACCATCAGAAAGAAGGTCAAAGAACACCTGCGTCTTGTAACTGCTTTGGCCTCTTTCATTAATTTATGCATGTTAAACATGAAGGCCAAGTCATCTCTCAACATGGCTTGGGATCAAATTCATCCTAAATTCCAAGGCTGAAACTCCTTTTTTTTCCACTAACATTTATGTAGTACTTGGGAGATGGTAGAAATTAAAGACCAATGCTTCTGATAAATAAATGTCAGGCACTGTTCTAAGTGCTTTATGTATATTAACCCACTCTTTTTCTTTTTCTTTCTTTCGAGACGGAGTCTCGCTCTGTCTCCAGGCTGGAGTGCAGTGGTGCGATCTCGGCTCACTGCAACCTCCGCCTCCTGGGTTCAAGCGATTCTCCTGCCTCAGCCTCCTGAGTAGCTGGTACTACAGGCATGTGCCACCACACCCAGCTAATTTTTCATATTTTCAATAAAGATGGGGTTTCCCCATGTTGGCCAGAATGGTCTCGATCTCCTAACCTCGTGATCTGCCTGCCTCGGCCTCCCAAAGTGCTGGGATTACAGGCATGAGCCACCGCGCGTGGCCTAACTCACTCTTTAAAGTTACTTTTAGTGTAAGACCAGGGGTCGGCAAACTTTTTTCTAGCAAGGGCTATAAAGTAAATATCTTAGGTTTGGGATCATATAGTTTCTGTCTCAAGTACTCAGCTCTGCCATGGTAGCATGAAAGCAGCCACAGATAATATATAACAGAATGAGTACTGCTGCGTTCTAATAAAACTTTATTTACCAAAACAGTCTCCAGGATATAGCTGACCAACGCCTATGCTAGACGAAAAAGCATGAGAGTCCATTCTCCAAAAACCAGTTTCAGGACCTCTTATTCTTAGCTCAAAACACAGAGCTTGCCAATGCCTCAAAGGCCTTTTTATTTAATGGTGGGTCAAATCATTCCTTGTTCATGCTCTTTCATCTTTTAATGCACTGGGAGGAGAGAATCATTAATTTTTAAGCTACGGCATACTGATGCCAACTTAAGAAATCACAATGAACTGAGGTAGAAAATGGCTGAATTACATTTTTAAGCAACTGAGACTAATGAAACACTAAGGAGTCTGAGCTGCATCCTTGACTTGAAAGGTGTTGATGAAACATCATTAAGCCTGGTCTTTGAGAAGCCATGGAACCCTGAGAACCATGACAGAGCAAAAGGACAACCAGAGTAGTGTAATTACAGACTTGGTAGAAATACCCAGGGAGATCCAAGAACATTCATCAAACAATCGATGTGTAATTACCTAGAAGGACGCAAGGTGCTGGATGGCAACCAAATATGCCTTTGTTGGGCTGTGCCAAGGCTATTTAATTTCTTTCCACAGAAGATGAGGAAATGACACTGGCCATGTAAATAAGGAGAAAGAAAAAGATACTATCGTTGAAGCAGAGCTTGCTTTTCCGTCCAACAAGACAGAGACATGGTGTACTTAGAACTAATGTCAAGTGAGACTGTGATTTGCTAAAGGACATAGCCAAAGAAGATTATTACCAATGGCTCAGTCAGCATCAGCCAGATGCCAGGCGAGTGGTAGACTGAGGCAAGGAGGTGGGCCTTGCCCAAACCACCTGCTCTGGACTGGCTTTTATTAGCAAATTCGTTATCTAAAATCCTGAATTGAGAAATGCTCATTAAGCACACAGAGGATGGACTGAGTGAAGAAACTAGCATCTTGGAAAACAAATGCAATTAAAGCATTTCTGACATACGATAATGAATTTAGTATTTTCATTAAGGCAAGAGGACATTAAAACCAGAAGGAAATCTAGCAAGGATTCATGCATAGCCACAGATAAGGAAAACACCTAAAAGATCCCAAAAGAGCTGGAATTCATAATAGTATATGCTGAATATGAATGAACATGAATCATCATATTAAGACTGAATTTGAGGCGGGGCGTGGTCGCTCACGCCTGTGATCCCAGCATTCTGGGAGGCTGAGGCAGATGGATCACCTGATGTAAGGAGTTTGAGACCAGCCTGGCCAACATGGTGAAACCCCGTCTCTACTAAAAATACAAAAATTAGCCAGGCATGGTGGCAGATGCCTGTAATCCCAGCTACTAGGGAGGCTGAGGCAGGGGGCTTGAAACTGGGAGGCGGAAGTTGCAGTGAGCCGAGATCATGCTACTACACTCCAGCCTGGGCAACAGAGTGAGACTCTGTCTCAAATAAACAAACAAAATAAAACAAACAAGCAAACAAAAAAACCTGAATTTGAAATAGCTTTGTTAATTAGTAACACAAACATAACATTAGAAGTATAATACCAGAAAATGGAGGGTAGAGGGAGGAGATCAGGCTTAATCAAGTACTGACCCCACCCTTACAAGCAGGATTCACATTTGGTCTCTGCAACATAAAAGAGTACAGGAAAGTTAGAAATAGCAAAGAAGAAAGACAAAATATTTTTAAAGGGTGGAAAATAACATCTGGGAGGAAGTACATCTGGGAAAAATAAGGAAGGCTATGGGTGCCTACACTGAAATCCGTGAATAGTCTAGCACAAGTGCTGAGCAAATAGCAAGCATTACCAGGAGGCAAAAGCATCTTGAGTCTTCTATCCTAAGGGATTAGGGAGGAAGGATGAAATAGAAAGCAGAGAGAAGCAAGAACAGTCCTTAGAACAGTAGTTCTCACACCCAAGGCGGCATCAGAATCCCCTGAAGAGCTCGCTAAAACACAGATTGCTGGGCCCCATCTCCAGGGTTTGTAATTCAGGTGTGGGATGGGCCACAGAACCTGCATTTCTCACCTGTTCCCAGCTGATGCTGGGATCACACTCCGTGACTCACTGGATTAGAAGCCCAGCCATTGATATGAACTATCTGGGTTGGAATCTGGCCTTTGCCCCTCTTGTGCTTCCTGTCTCATTTCCTCCTGTGTAAAGTGAGAGGGATAACAAGCCCCATGGGATTGTGGTGGGCGTAGCATCCATAAAACTCTGAAGCCGGTGCTCAGGGCACAGGAAGTACTCCATATGTGATAGCTGTCATTTCTATTAAAAGACTGACAACAAGTAAATAATTAGGTAATATCATTCAGCATAGTCATATTAAAATTGAGGCTGTCTGAGATTGCATCATCCACATTTTTTCCAATGGAAAGCAGAATCAAGGTCAGAAATCTACGTCCAAGCCTCTCAGTGCTTGGTTGGACAGGCCACACGCCAGTAGGAGACATGGCTTATCTGGAGCAAAGTATAACCTGCCTTTATCAGCATTATTTCTCAGTTACAGTTTAACCAGGTGAGCAAAATGTGAAGCATGTCTTTAAATCCTCACTATAGCTCCAGCATTATGCACCTGCTCCTTTTCCTGGATAACCCTGGTTACACCCCAAAACTTGTGGGGCCTGACCTCTGAGTCACAGAGCAGACTTAATATGGGGCTGCTGTAGGTAGCAACTCCTATGGAGGTGTGACATTTGCTCTGTGTTTGGATGAGTAAGGTTGGTGTTACAAAAGCCAGTACCTCCGCATAACAATTGTGTCTCAGTTTGGATCCACACTCTCACTACCACCACCACCTGAGATCAATGAGTAATGGGATCTTGGGTTCCAGCTGTCATAGGCTAGAGGAGGATGGCAGAACACATGTTGTAACACACGATGCTATCAGTTCTTTTTTTCTAAAACAATGAACAATACCACATAGTATTCCAACTCTACTAATTAAGGGAATATACCTTTTCAAGTGAGATGTTAAGAAATAAAAATCAGCCAGGTGCGGTGGCTCACGCCCGTAATCCCAGCACTTTGGGAGGCCGAGGCGGGTGGATCACTTGAGGTCAGGAGTTCAAGATCAGTCCAGCCAACATGGTGAAACCCTGTCTCTACTAAAAATACAAAAATTAGCTGGGCGTGGTGGGCACCTGTAATCCCAGCTACTCGGGAGGCTGAGGCAGGAGAATGGCTTGAACCCAGGAGGTGGAGGTTGCAGTGAGCCAAGATCATGCCATTGCACTCCAGCCTGGGCCACAGAGCAAGACTCCGTCAAAAAAAAAAAAAAAAAAAAAAAAAAAAGGGCCGAGCACGGTGGCTCATGCTTGTAATCCCAGCATTTTGGGAGGCTGAGGCGGGTGGATCACCTGAGGTCAGGAGTTCAAGACCCGCCTGACCAATATGGAGAAACCCCATCTCTACTAAAAATACAAAAAATTTAGCTGGGTGTGGTGGCACATGCCTGTAATCCCAGCTACTAGGGAGGCTGAGGCAGAAGAATCGCTTGAACCTGGGAGGCGGAGGTTGCGGTGAGCCAAGATCGCGCCATTGCACTCCAGCCTGGGCCAACGAGAGCGAAACTCCGTCAAAAAAAAAAAAGAAAGAGAGAAAGGGAGAAAGGGAGAAAGGGAGGGAGGGAGGCAGGAAGGAAGGAAGGAAGGAAGGAAGGAAGGAAGGAAGGAAGGAAGGAAATAAAGAAATAAAAATCACCCAGAGAGATTGAAGAATCTTCTCCGGAAACTTTGCCTATTATCAATCACTGTTTAATTTCCCATTTACTTTCCTCATTCTACTTTTGCCTCATCTTATGTCTTGGCATATGTACTGTTCTCTGGTGGCCCTCTCCAGCTCACCTCACCTGCTCCCCTTGGCTCTGAACTCCATAACAGCTTGGTCTCAACAGCCCTTACCCAAGCGCTTATGACCTCACCTTGGAAATGTCTAAATATGTTCTAGGTGCATACTTGCGGGGATCTGTATTATTTTAGAAGAAGTTCAAAGTATTCCAAAGAGAGTGAATTTGGAGGCAGGGGGAGTATGCACTTTGGTAGATCACAGTACTTGTCAATAAAAAAGAAAGTTTTTTGTTTTTAAAAAAAAAGCAGAAAACATTTGGTTCTATCTTTAGGGAAAAAAATTCATATGTCAAAATTTTATTTCTAACATTGGTGTTACTAGATTTTTCCCCTGTACTACATCAGGTCTAAACCCAAAGCAAGTCCAGTTCAGAAGAAAACTGCATCAAGAAAAAGGCCTGACAGCATCAGTGAGTGAGATGACAGCGTGGAGGAATAATGATGGGAAAGTCCTTCATTCTTGATTGTGTCGGCATTAAGGGGGAAAAAAAGAGACAAGCAGAGAAAGTCTAGGATGAAAAGAAAAGGAATAGTTTTTCTGCAAGGGAAGAAATAGCCTTCTGATTACTACACATAAAGCCAATTAAAAGGTAATGAGATTGATTTTTGTTTGTGGCTTGTAGAATCAATCTCATTACTTTAAGACATACCTTGTCGAGATGTCTTAAATCAGTAGAGTTTTCACGTTCCCCCAAATGCACTTTGTTTTAAAACATTTATTTCAATAAATAAAAGAAGAAAAGGGGGAGAACTGTGGAATGGTAGAAAATCCCTTAGAGTTCATTTAAAATCTGTGATTCAAAATGTACTGAGTTAGTTGAAAATGATATGGTCAATCAATATGGCCTGTTAAGATCTTCCAGACGTGCCTAAGACAAGATAAATGTCCTCGAGCTACAAGATTGTGAAGTCTAGATATGATTAATACAATTTTAAAAAGCATAATGAAGAAATGGAATGCTTTCGAAGGTTTACAGGAACAGTTTTTAGAAATAAAGATAGAAAAGAGTAAAATCAGTAGATATTTAGAACACCAAAAACTAGGGAAAACTGCATAAAAGAGGGTAGGAATACTTAAGCAGTGTTTAAAAAATGAATACAATTCACTGGAAGGTAAAATAAGGTAGTGAGATACTACTCCAACTTAAGATTGGCCACTGCCGGCCGGGCGTGGTGGCTGATGCCCATAATCCCAGCACTTTGGAAGGCTGAGGCAGGCAGATCACCTGAGGTTGGGAATTCAAGACCAGCCTGGCCAATATGGTAAAAGCCTGTGTCTACTTAAAAAAAAAATGAGCCAGGTGCAGTGGGGTACACCTGTAATCCCTGCCACTCAGGAGGCTGAGGCAGGAGAATCGCTTGAATTTGGGAAGCAGAGATTGCGGTGAGTCAAGATAGCGCCACTGCACTCCAGCTCGGGGGCGACAAAGCAAGACTCCACCTCAGAAAAAAAAAAAAGATTGGCCACTGCCATCAGTACTTGGTCTAACTTCTGACCATCAAGAAAAAAGCTGATTCTGATCATGAATGCTAGAAATCTCTACCATCCATTTTTGCATTAAAAAAGTTTTCCAAAATAGACTATTCCACAGCAAGAAGGAAATGAAGCTATATAAAATGGAGAACAACTTGAAATAATAGTATGCCATTGTATTTCCCTTTTTTGAAATTGCTTTTTATAATCCCATATTCACTATAGCGATTTCAAAAAAGACAAATGACACCAAATCATTTACAGTCACAAAAGAACTTCTGCTTATTTAGTGTAGGCTTGAGGTAATTTTAGGGCAACTTGACTTTCAATGAGTCACACAAGTAAATCTTGCCATTTTGGCCTTTTGGAGAGGCCAAGAAGAAACTTGGATTAGTCCAGGAAAAAATTTTAGTCTGTGTTTAAGTTAGTACCTTAACAACTGCCAAAAGTCTAGCTCACTATCCTAATAACAGCATTGAGTAAATCTGATATGCTATTAGTAATAGTTTGAGAATCCCAAATTCCTTATGCTAGCAATCGCTATCCTTTTTTTTCATCATTTTGAAACTTACTGATTTATTTACTGATTCCCCACTGTTGCTTGGCTATGCTCACTGCTAAGGATATATCTATGATTAAGACTGATGAAGTCTCTGGAGGTTGTATTCTCCTGGAGAGGCATATACAAGCAACAATCAAATATGTTAAGAAAGTGTATCAGAGAGTATATAAAGTGCCACAGATACAATAAACAAGGCAATATGACAGAGACGCTCCAAGGGTTGGGGAGGTGCTACTTTTTTATGGAGTTTAGGAAGGGCCTCTTATTACGTGAAATTTGACCTGAAACCTAGACGTGCAGAGAACCTGGGTCTGAGAATTTCAGGCAAAGGGCAAGTGCAAAGGCCCAGTGATAGTGACAGTGCTTTTTTCTTTTTCTTTCTTTCTTTTTTTTTAATGAATGGGAATAGAATCTAGTGGGGCTAAAAGGCAGTGCACTTGGAGAAGAATGGTACAGACAGGGCAGTGACAGACACAGGAGGCAAACTATGGCTCATAGGCACGGCAAGAAATTTGTTACTAAGAGTAACAGAAAGCTATTGAAGGGTCTAATTTATATTTAACGATGATGATTTGGGCTCCTGTCTGGTGACTGGAGTGTGTATGTGTGTGTGTATATGTGAGCTGCAGGGAAGCTGCAAGGAGTGGAAGCAGGGAGATCAGGTGGGAGGCTCTTTACCTGCAATGAAATCCAGGCAAGAAATGACAATGGCCCAAACCACACAACATTCATGGGGATAGAGTACAGTGGACAATGCGAGATATATTTGGAGATAGACTTGATGCTAAGAATGGAGGAGAAAGGGGTGAGGGTAGGGAAGGGAGAAGTACAGGTTTCTGAAGTTAGGTGTCATCCAATGGAGCGGGGCCTAGTTCTATTCTGAACATGAGGCTGGTGGTGGCCTGTGAGACAGGTGGTGGCCTGAGGAGGTCCAGTGGACAGGTGGATAGAGGTGTCTGGAGCCCCGGGTAGAGGTCTTGGCTAGAGAAACAAATTTGAGAGTCAACATTCCACACAGTTTGTGACAGACAACCCAGGCACACATTTGGTAACTAATAAATGCTTATGATGTGACTGACTGATAGTTGATGGAAAAAGCAGTGAGAATTCTGCATATGGGAAGATGTTTTGCATCTGTCGGCATGGAGTGTTCAGGAAGTGCCAGCAGAGCATCAGGTGCTGCGGCTGCCCAATAAATATTAATTTGCAGTAGTAAAGCTTCAAGAAAGCAATGAACTGTTATTTCACGACCTGATCCTGCCTGGCTTAATTGGCGCCAGAGCTGTTGTTCAGCTGCTTGTACCTTCTGTTCCTCATCCTCAGTATCTTTTTTCCTGGTTGCTTAATTCCGGACCTGGGCATCTTGCTTTCTTCTTGATCACTGCCTCTTACCCTTACATTCAGAGAATACTGTCATCACTTCGACTCTGTCCTTAATGACCAGTTCAGAGCCTGTTCTTCACAGGTTTCTGACTCTGCCATGAATCATGAACATTAACTGAGTACCCATTATGCAGCAGGCACTGTATTGGACACTTGACCCACATATGCCATTTATAGCAACCCTGCAAAGTAGATGCTTATCTGTAGGTTAGGCCTTAATCTCCCTGAGAGAGTAAGTGGTTGGCTCTGTGTTAGGTAGCTAGAAAGTGGTGGAGCAAGAAGTCAAAACAAGTCCAAGCTGACTTTGCAGCTGAGCTCCCTGCTTTCCTGGATTTGCTAAGTATGTGGGTTTTGCCTGCTGAATCAGTCTGTACCCTTGACTCACCCAGCTCTGCAGCAAAGTCTACTAAGTAGTTGGTATCTGTTGATAACCACCATGTATCAAGGCAGACTGGCCTACGTCTATACCTTAGAGGGACACTGTTCCACATCTCTCTAATTGCACACTTTGCTTGGTGCTCTAATGTGGGTATTTATCACGTTGAACTGGCAGGTCCTAATCTGGGAGAGGCCCATGGCCCGGGAAAGTATGAGTCATCAGAGAAACAACAGAGATTGAGTATACTGGAGCTACCACGCTAGGGACCAGGGAAGAGTAGCTGGGAAGAGATAGATTGAAGACCAAGAAAAAGGGCCCAGAGCTGCGTAGAAGAGGAAGATGCGGGCTCTTAGCTAACGGATGAGATGTAATAGGAAAACGTACGTAGAAAAAATTATAACTCATTGTTTAAAATAAACAGCCTTTACTGCTTTATGTAAATATGTAAATAAAGCTTCAATCTCCCTGGCCACAAACTCACACAGAAAGGCTTTCTGTCTTCATTAGGCATGTCTCCCAAGCATGCAAGTGTGTTACAAGACAACAAGACGTATGACTAAGCACCGTCTGTAGTAGGGGAAAACTGTTTCACCATCATGCAAGAGAAAGTGGCGCCTTCACTTGCAGGAGGCCAACTCCTGGGAGGCTTGGGAATTTAGGCAGGAACTATCTGCAGTTAACATCACACTGGAGGACCAACTAGAGAACAAAGGGAACTGAAGCTACTCCTGCAGACACTCATCTGAGCAGCACCTGTTCTTCCAGCAAACTTGACCTGTTACTATCTGACACCTGCCTGGCTAGATGGGCCCCATGCTGCCTGCTGAGGAAAGGGAGCTGATGAATCTCCATTTCACGTTAGGTTTCGTGGCAGAAATGGGATATGGAATTCTAGAGGAAAGCAAGCATCAACCAATGTCACTTACTAATATATCAAATTGGTAAGGTCAAAAGGTGAAGAGCATGGTTTAACAGTCAGACAAGGGGGAAACAAGAGACATGGGCACCATATTCTTTAGTCACAGCAGATGGTGATGGCACTGCAACAGCAAACAGACATGCAGTGGACCCTCAGCCCGCTGGATGGTTGAAGAGTTTCAGTGGAACTCTAGGAAGAGTTTGTAAGAGGATAATCCGAATCGCCTACCTCCACTGCTAACACTCCACCTGCCTTAAGGGCAACTGACATGGTTCCAAGGATTTTGAGAAACCGAGAGGTTTTTTCTCTCTATCTCTCTCTTTTTCTGTCTCTTTCACACGCACATACATATACAGGGACAAAATCTTAAATATATATTTAATTACATCATACTTTTGTTGTCTTTTATTATGATATTCAAAATGCCAATAGCCAAGTTCTTTGCTATATTCCCCACAACAAGGCCAGAGCTGAAATACAGTAGGCTCTCCATATATATTTACAGAATAAACAGATAAATGAATGACTATTTACTATCTGTTTGCATTTCAAGTTCTGGTGCCTGATCTTGCCCAGTGTCTTTTTATTAATGCCCCTAGATAGAGTCTTTAGTTGTATTCTAATTTTACAAAGTTTTTTTTCATTGAGACATTTAAACTCCTCTACCTCCTTACACATGGCAATAATTTTTCTGATGGAGAAACACTCAGTAAAAAGCAGGAGTGAAGGAAATTTTAGCAACTTGTGTCTTAATTCACACTGAGAACACCCTTATTTAGTGCATCTCATTCAAAAATTTATATTTACCTATTTTCTCTCATTTGAAAAAATATTGAATATCATTGGATTTGATTATTGAATAACAAATAACATATTATTGAATATATTATTTGAATATATTGACCGCAGAGTTAGTGACAGGACAAGATCAGAGTACCAAATAAATGGAACTCATCCTGGATTTTTCCTTAAGCACCAGATATTTCCTCCTCTCCAGCCACATGCCTAGGATGAGAAAGTCTACTGTGTACTAAAATTGAGATGACTTGATAAATTTCATTGCCCTTCAACAGATGTAAAATTTTATGTAGAAAAATGTATTAAACCATGATAACTTGGCTCTGAGTATGGGTATGCAGGTACCTAAGTCTTTGAAACAGGTTCAAAACCAGATCCAAAAAGTACTAATGTTCAAGAGTGAATCTCAAGAGTGTTGGAATTGGAGCCTTTCCCCCTTGATAAGGCATGCATGGCACTTTAAAAGCTATCCGTGGCTCTATATTTAATCCCATTAATAGCAAAAGTAAGCAAGGACCCATGGGCCTTTGATTTGAAGGATATTAAGTATGCTATTAAAGAAACTGATCAGAATAAAAAGAAAATAGAGCCTTAGTCCTGCCTTTCAAATCTTGCTGGCATCCCACACAATCAGAGAACTGATTAGTGAACTAAGGAAAGTTAGAATTAAAACCTCATCACTTTTTTGTAAGGCTTTATTATTTTAAAATGTCATATAAATATGACAAAGCATAAAGATTTACTAAATATGGGCGTTGAAAGTACCCAGAAGTTTATTATTCCCTGTACTTTCTCTACTGTAAGCATTTCATAATAAAAAATGCTAAAAGAATCAAAAGGATATTAACAAAGAAAACATCCAGAATACACATTTTTTGGTGTTTACAAAGGTTGTTTAATTTGTCTCGGCAATGGTTAAAAATATGAGACATCTGAGTCCAAGTTGGTTTGTTAGTATTTTTTAAATAATGTCTGATGTCAAAATATAGATTATGAAGATGTTAAATTTTTTGACACTCCAACAAATGTTAATAGAAATCAACTCCCAGGAAACCTGAAATCCCTCCACTCTCTACATAGTGCTGACAATTCATCATATTTAACAAGGTGTATTGGAAATAGCTGAGCACTGACCTCCCGAGGACAAATGATTCTCTTGGGACGAGGTGCCTCTTGCTGTAACTGATATACTGCCAAAAAAGAGAGAGAGAGAGAGAGAAATAATTAGAATTAGAATACTGCAACACATATCAACGTGCCTTCAAATATTTCCACCTAAGTACATCTCAAGGATTGTAAATATAAAAAAACAAGAGAATACAGGCACATTTTTTAGACTGGAAAAAGTCAGATTATTTATATGGAAATTAGTCACTGTGAATATAAACTTGCAAAATTGATTTTTTTATTCTTATAAGGCCAATTTAGTTTCATAATTGTTACTGGCATTGTTCATTTTATGGCTTTCGTGGAAGACTAAATATGGCTAAAATTCTTTTGACTATTTTAAAGATGAAATTCTACTTGTGAGTACCTGAGTAGTAAGATCATATAATAGGATTCCTGAATTTAAATGCCGATGTCTCTTGACATACCAGGAAAAGAACTGGCATTTTAAGAGGAGTGTGATTCTCTGAGATGTTAGTTATGGACAAAGACATAACTGATTCTGTGAGTGAATGAAACACCAAGCCATTTCTCTCTCTTTTCTCCCTCCATTTTCCCCCTGTCTATCACACTGCAAATTCACATCCATTTGATGACTTCCCATCCATTGTCATTCCTCTTTCCTAGGCCCTTTCTCATCTTAAATAATAATAACTCCTTCCTAACCTAATTTAAAGACAGACTTTCAGGCTTAGGCAAGGAGGAAGGCAGGTCATTGTATATAAAGCAATCTATCAGACAATTATTTGTGATTTTTCGGAACATAATGAGTGATTTTTCTGCTGCTCAGCTAGTCTGTTTATTTCTGCTAAAGGGAAAAGCTATCCTAAGCAGGTACCTTTGGATTCTACTTCTGTGAAAATACAGGTTGAAAAAAAAAGTTGATGTTCTCTTCAGAATCCTGAAGAGGAAATAATTAATTTTAAATGGAATAAATCTACAAAAAGTTAAAAAGACTAGATCTGATAAAGTCTTTCTAGAAAATGTAATAAGATAAGCAAAACTTTCTGATCTATTTTTAGGTCTAAAAATAAAAAATGTAATTGAAGGGTAGTGATCATATGGAAACACAGATAAAAATGATGGAATATATTTTGTAACTATGGCTCCCCAATGTCTTTGGCTGAATGTGGTTATTTTCTTACCTAATTAGTGTAGACTACCTGGTTTTAGCACAGAGAAGGAGCTATCTAACCCTTTATACATTTTGAAATGTACCACATTTCTAAGTATAGGTCACCCACACTAATGTGTCACCTAAAGATGACTGTAGTCATCTGTGAAAGGAAAACAGAGTTCACCACAACCCTTTAGCTCAGAAGGACACTAAAAATGACAGATAAAAAGAAGGCTTCTACACACCTGCCTCCCTGTAGAGGAAGAGCCTTCAGATCCCAATGAACCAATACATGGAAAGTGGGACTAGTGGGAGGAAAGATGAATGGCCTTGCACATAAGATCATCAACCAATTGGCACCTACTGTTCACCTTGTGCTATCTCTTTCCATTGGCTTCCATGGCACCACCCTCCTGGTCTTCACCCTTTGATCCTGGCTGCCTTTTTCCTATGCATGTTGCTGCGCCTCCTCCTTCTCTTCTACCTGTCCACTGACCATAGGAGAGGCCCAAGGCTTACCTTAGGCCCTCTTCAGGTCGCATTCTCTTTCTTCTCCCTAGGGAATCTCCTCCACCCCTAACGCTTCATTTATCTCCTACACACAAAGGCTCCCACATCTCTGCTCAGAACCCTCCTCTAAGCTCCAGGATGTATATCTTACTTCCTACAGATTCCTCCTGATTTTCTCAAAAGAAAAGGGACCTCAACTTCAACATGTCAAAAGTTGAACTCAGGATCTTTTCCTCCAAATCTAGGCTTCTGGGAATTCTGAGATCAGTGAAGGAGCCATTATTCATCCTATTTCTCTAGACACCAGCATCCTAGAAGTTGTTCATCACACCTCAGATGGTCAGTTCATCGACAGACCTGTCACGTTTGCTTTGTAACATCTCCAAAGTGTGTCGACTCCTCTTCATCACTATCATTAACACCCTACTCCAAGTTCTGGACTCTTCCCACCCTGCAGCCTGTTTTTTCCCTGGTGGCTAGAGTGACTGTTTTAAAATATCAATCAGACCATGTCACTCCCCTGCTTAAAAGCCTTACATGGCCTCACATTGCTCTCAGAGGAAGATCAAATGCCCTAAATGCTTTTGCCTGTCTCCTTCTACAGTGTTACCATGTGTCATGCTCTCTGCTCAGCCAAGTTGGTTTCCTCCCCTTTCCCTAAATACACAGTGTTCCCTTCAACCTCAGGGCCTTTGCGTATGCTATTCCTTCTGTCTATGACATCTTCCTCTCCTCCTTCTCTACCTCTTGTTATCTGCCCCTTATCATCATGTCCTTAGTTCAAATATCAACTTCATGAAGGAGTCTTTCTTGACATCTCTCACACCAGATCCAAAGACATCACCCTAGTCTATGCTCTTACAATCCCCTGTACTTTCCTTTATATAACTTATCAACAACTATAGTTCTGTATTTATTGATGTGAGTTCCAAAAACAATGATTTCTCCCTGCATGTTGTAAGTCCTGCCACGAAGGAAGGGATCATGCTTGTTTTTGCTTTGTCTTGTATCTCCAGGTTTTGCTGAGGTGCTATGGATATAAATATAAATAAAACCACAGCCTCTACTTTCAAGAACCCTATCAGCTTTAGTGAGAGGCCCAAATGTTTTTATGAAATAGTACAGTAAGTACAGGGCTGGCAGGGATCATCTTTTCAAGGCTTGGTTTACCAATCTCTGTTAGAAGGAAATAGTTAAATTAACTATGGTACGTCTTCCGATGGATACCATGCCCCTGTAATGAGGACTGAGAAAGCTCTCTATGCACTGACCTGGAACAATACTCTTGACATTCTGTTAAGCAAAAAGAGCACTGTAAAATACACAGACACACACACAACCAAAAATACATAGAGTACACATTCATTTTAAGAAAGGGAGTAAAATAATAATGCATATTCAGTTTTGTTTACATCTGTATAAAGAAACTCTAGAAGGAACAAGGAAGTAATAAAAGCATTTACCTTCAGGGAATAAAAAGAAAGACAAGGACAGGAATGGGACAAAGATTCCTCAATGTATACTTTATGTTGTTTTGAG
The DNA here is from genome assembly GCF_000001405.40 of Homo sapiens. Classification (NCBI taxonomy): domain Eukaryota; kingdom Metazoa; phylum Chordata; class Mammalia; order Primates; family Hominidae; genus Homo; species Homo sapiens. Next base: position 29,364,788 of record NC_000007.14, on the reverse strand, counting down.
TTTTGAATCATATGTATTGCTTATTCAAAAGAAAAAGAAAAAGCTATAAGAGATAAAGTCAGAGAAGGCTTCTTTTAATACGTGAGGAAGAGTTGGCCAAAGACAGAGAAACAGTTGTAGACATTCCTCTGGCTACCCCAGTATAGCTCGTGCCCTCCTTAATCACCAGGGAGGCTGCATGGAATTCCTTTATTCCTCTGGAATCACCCCCAAAACTACTAAGCTGCTTTTTAGCAGGATGTTACTGTTAATGAGCATGCAATGGCCATCTCCTAAAATCACAGAGGAATTGCAGAATTCACATTCAGAGAATCCTGCCCACTCTTCTCTTCCCATTGTCAATGCCTCTTGAAGCCAACAGTGATATATGGTTGAAATGGCTTTGTGAATACCATTGTTAATGGAGGTGGCAAAGGATGCATACCTGTTATAAAAGAGAAGCATTTTTAGCTAAGTGCTCTTTTGCAATTCTTACAAGCAAATATGTGAGCATCTGCTATATGCAAGATACCACAGTCAGCATTATGTGGAGGCTTTGAGGATGAATGGAGAGTCTGGGAGAAGAGAAGGGCACCAGCATACCAAGTGCCTGCCATGTGTCAGGAATAACATGTATTGAATCTTCTTAAGAAACCAGAAAAAATAACTTTGTGTCATTATCATTCTGGATAGGGATGAGGAAACAGTGCAGAGAAGTTAAATATTTGCTCCAGGACATAGAGCTAACATACAGCCTTTTGATTCCAAAGCCCCTGGTCTGTTTGTTGGTTTAATTTTTTTAAGAGATGGGGGTCTCACTATGTTGCCCAGGCTGGAATCAAACTCCTGGGTTCAAACAATCCTCTTGTCCCCACCTCCCAAGTAGCTGCGAATACAGGCGGGTGCCATCAACCCTGCTTCCCTGGTTTATATCTCCCATGCCTCAGGGCTTTTGCAGTTACTGTTCCTTCTACCTGGATTACTCATTCCCAAGATATCCACATGGCTCGCTCTCTCCCTTCATTCAAGTATCTGCTTAAACCTCACCTTATCAGGGAGGCCTTCCCTGACTTGCCTGTATAAAATTCCACCCTATCCCTCTGTTCTCTTATATAGTTTTAAGTTTCTTCACAGCACTCATCATCATTAACACAATTAATAAACAAGAAATAAATATTATGTTTATTTATTTTGTGTACCATCTCCCTTGATTAAAATGTAAGCTCTTTGAGGGCAGGGATGTTGTTCTGTGCACTGCAGAATCCCCAGCAACTAGAACTGTGCTTGGCACATAGTAGATGGTGGTGGTGGTGGTGGTGGTGTTTGAGATGGAGGCTTGCTCTGTTGCCCAGGCTAGAGTGCAGTGGCACAATCTCGGCTCACTGCAACCTCCACCTCCTGGATTCAAGCAATTCTCCTGCTTCAGCCTCCCGAGTAGCTGGGACTACAGGCACGCATCACCATGCCTGGCTAATTTTTGTATTTTTGTAGAGACAGGCTTTCACCATATTGGTCAGGCTGGTCTCGAACTCCTGACCTCAAGTGATCCACCTGCTTCGGCCTCCCAAAGCACTGGGATTAGAGGCGTGAGCCACCACGCTCAGCCTTGTAGTACATGTTTAATGCATATGTGTCCCTTTATTCCTCTTGAATCAGCCCAATACTACTAAGCTGCTTTTTAGCAGAATGTTACTGACAGTGTGTGTGTAACAGGAGTCAAAGGGGCCATCTCCTAGAATCACAGAGTTCCAGATCTAAGAAGGACTATAGAATCCACAGCGAGAGAATCCTGTTCACTTTTCTCTTCCCATTATTAATGCCTCTTGAAACCAACAGTGATATATGGGAAGTGTGGCTCAAGTGGCTTTGTGAACACATTTTTAATTATTTGGTGAATGAACAGACTGTATCTAATGGCCCATGGGTCACAATCTGTGCCTTCGAGGAGATGCCAGTGATGGGGGACATGCATGGAGACACAAAACCAAGGTGGGCCAAGTACTTTAATAGGGGAAGAGGAGGAAGCTATTCAATGTACTCAAGTGGTCAGAACAACTTCCCAAGGGAAGAGGCAGGGAGCTCTCCTGAAGGATTAGAAGGGTTCTGCAGGTAGAGAAGAGAGAGAGTTACAGATAGAGGAAAGAGGAACTGCAGGGAAAGGAAATGATGAGCTGACTGGTCAGCAAGAGGCCAGTGTGGCTGCTGAGCCAGGGCGTGGGATGTGTGAGAAGGCCATGTGGGGCTGGACCTTGAATGACATGCTGGGGACCGTGACTGTCCTCCTGTCTGTAACAAAGGGACAGTCACATGTTTGAGCAGGAGCCATGATCTACTCTGTTTTAAAATATTGGTAATAGGGATAAGGTTATTCAGAAGAAGAAATGCTGCCCTTTTCTGGGCACAGACCATGTGCCAGGCATATTATATGCATCTTCTCACTTCATCTTCCCAAAAAGCTTCCAAGGTAACTGTTATTCCCCTCACTAATAAGGTAGCGGGGTTGCCTGCCAGCTTTGAAGATGCTCAAGGTCACACAGATCAGAGGATGAAATGAAGATTCATTGCCTTGATTTCCAAAACCCAAAGGCTGTAGTTTTCAGCCTCAGCCAGTGGTTGCCTAACTAGATGGTGGAGAGGTCCCATGAGGAGCTGCTCACATTAGAAACTCCTAGGAGTTATAAAATAATACAGATTCCTAGACTCCATCTCTGGCATTGCTTACTCTCCCAGTCCGGCCAGGGGCCCCCAGATCTGTTCTTTTTAAAGCTCTTCAAGAGACTCATGCATATCCAGGAGTAGGAGCCACTGTCCTTTGCCTTGCTGAAAGAGGGATCAGACATGGGGAACACTGGAGACAAGGAAGCAAGAGAGAACAGTGTTTTACTGGTACACAGATGAGGTTGTGAAAGTGTGAGTTAAGATAACACTGGTGCAAATGCAAATGAGAAGGTGAGTTGATGGCCTCAGAGATTCAAAAGAGAATCAACAAGACTGGTTTACAAAGAGACCCTGAGCGGCTGAGAGATTGAGATGCTACTATACAAATAAAGGATGCAGGTGATGGAACATTTCTGGACAGTTCCTCTCCTATGTCAACAGGCTAAATCCCATAGCTGCATTCTCTAGGAACCCTCTGAGCTTTAGCAAAGAAAAATTTGGTAATTCACCAATCTCACAACCAACAAAGAACAATCCCCAGCCAGGGGCGACTTGGAGGAGGGAAGGGGAAGGCAAACCCCAGAAGCGAGGAACTGCCACCTCTCTCTCCTGGCCCCTCGGCAGTAGACATCATTATTTGATGACTTATTTCTCAATGAGCAGGTCTCAGAATCTGCAAAACCCTGTTCTATGCTGTTCCAAACAACAGAAGTTGGCAAGTAGGCACAGAAGCCTATTTGCCATCTGGGTTACCTGGCTGGCTATAAAGATAATGAGATGACAATCAATTACCACGGCAACCATATAAAAATAAGGCCCAATCTCCTCTCTTAGCTTCAAATGAGAGCCTGCCCATCATTTTCAAGGTTAGCTATAGCATCCATGAAAAAAATCTCTGAGGCAGAGTTGAATATAACAGAAATTTATCGCATAATCTGAAAACGTTGCTTCTTGAATTTTCCTTGTTCAACAAACACATTTCACAAGTCACATGCAATAATGTATGTCAATTCTTGGGTGGTCTGTGAGCTGAGAGGTGACGTGATGGAATTACTTCTGCAGCAATGTCCCAAATATGTGCCAGGAATTCCCAGCCCCGGGCCCTCTGCCGCACACCAGAGAATTCTTAGCACCAGAGTAAGCTGTTTGGCAGGGGTGGCAGCCACTGGGGAACACGGAGGTGGAGCTCCCTAACTCCCCAAGAAACCCAAAGCAGATTAAGAAATTGTGAGCTCACTGACAGACTGTTTTACTTTTTCTTCAGTAAGAAAACTTGACTCACTCTGGGAACAGAATCAGACGGCTAATGGGTGAAAGCCCACAGCCTGGGTGGCCTTGAAGCCCAGGCCAGCCCCATCAGCTCCTAAGAGATCCTGCAGGGATGGCTTCTAACAGTCTACTTCTTTCTAAGGAGGGTATATGGACCCAGGAGCTGAACCCAGGCACTTGGCCATGACGCTGAGCCAGTATGACCCTGCTCACTGCTCATGTCTTCCCGATTTTCATGGGAAAACCTTATAAGCAGGGAATTGTAGGTGCTTTAGGTGTCTTCCTTGGCTCAACCCCACCCTCCACCCTGCCATGGGAAGGCCTTGCCTTCCTAACAGAATGTCAATTTTTTTTGTTTTTTTGAGACGGGGTTTTGCACTTGTTGCCCAGGCTGCAGTGCAATGGCATGATCTCGGCTAACCACAACCTCTGCCTCCTGGCTTCAAGGATTCTCCTGCCTCAGCCTCCCGAGAAGCTGGGATTACAGGCATGCACCACCATGCCTGGCTAATTTTGTATTTTCAGTAGAGATGGGGTTTCTCCATATTGGTCAGGCTGGTCTCGAACTCCCAACCGCAGGTGATCTGCCTGCCTCGGCCTCCCAAAGTGCTGGGATTACAGGCGTGAGCCACTGCACCCGGCCAGAATGTCGAGTCTTAATGGGGATTTAATTATCTTGTCTAATGGCACTGTGAAAAACCTCTAGGAGGAGATGACAGTTGCCCACACACTGAGGGGTTTCAGGCGTAAGTATGTATAAGAGAAACCTGTGGGGTTTGATACATTGCAGATCCCCCCACTTTTCTGATCCAGAGATCTGGGGTAAGGCTGAGGAATAATTATCATAAATATCCTCCCCAAGGGATTCTGATGCAGGGATTCTGCAGATCAGGGTTTTGAGGCTCTAAACTTCAAATCTGTAAAACAGGCACAAGCTATGCCTGAGTGACCTGCTGCCCAGGGGAGCCTCCAGGGAGAGCTGTCAGCCACTGCATCTGCTGCCTAATTGGCACTTGGCCTCTTAAGAAAGAAAATCTTTCAGAGCATAACCATGGTGATTGGCTTTTGAACTTGCCTGCTCGAGGCATAAAGTTCATACAGTTCTGGCTTAAAGTTTAGAATGTAGCTTTATTATTATTTTTAAGTAAACTTGAAAGTAGCTCTTCTTTTAGAGCATTGAAACCAAAGCTTTCTCAGTGACGTCATCAATGTTTCTTGTATTCAGTCTTGAGAGTTAAGAATTAGCTGCAGATGTATGATACTTTGGGACAAGATTATTTTATGGAAACAGCTCAGTAAGCCATGAAGCTTTTTCCTTTTTTTTCCTTTTCTAAGAAAAGGAAAGGAACAGAGAGGGCAGGGACTTAAAGGCCATCCCGTGGCATCACCGTTCCTTGAGTCAACAGCCGACCTTATCCATCTTAGTGGCCCAACTCCAAGCACAGTGCCCGGCTTAAGGCAGAGACTTAATATGCATTTGTTGAATGAAGGAGTGACTAAATTAATGAACACTATAATTTATATAAAATATTGAGAGAGCTGATTTCTTACCCTTCTAAATTTCTTAGCCAGATATTTATGGTTGCCTTCCCAGCATCCATTTTCATCTTCCTCCTTCCAATATTACTCCAAATTTTCCAATCATGTTATACAGGGTTATATGGGGTTGATCCTTTCCTGAATTCCAGTAGTGAGTCCTGATTGGTTTAGGGCAGTCAGCACATCCCTGACCACAGTGATAGAGTCAGGAATGGGTAACCCAGGTCAATTAAGACTGAGACTCAATTCCGAGACTTTGTTAGATGTGTCAAGAAAGTAGACTGTCTCTTTGCCTGTTGCTTTTGGATAAGGAAGCACAGCCCTGATATTGTTGATAGTTACAGGGGGATCCCAAGGGAAGAACATAGTAAGAGTAGGGTGAAATCTAGGAAAGCGGAGCCAAGAAAAGAAGAAATATACACTGGATTTTGGTAATGTCATTTGAGTTGCTGGAACAGTCATGTCTGAAGCCAATGCCTCTGCACTTTTGGCTTAAGTCAATCAATGTGATTGAGAGTAGTATTCTGTTGCTTGCAGCCAAGAATAAAACGTAGAAACCGCTTCTTAAAATCAATCATTAGGCTGGGCGCGGTGGCTCACTCCTGTAATCCCAGCACTTTGGGAGGCCGAGGCGGGCAGATCACGAGGTCAGGAGATCGAGACCATCCTGGCTAACAGGGTGAAACCCTGTCTCTATTAAAAATACAAAAAAAATTAGCCGGGCGCAGTGGCGGGTGCCTGTAGTCCCAGCTACTCGGGAGGCTGAGGCAGGAGAATGGCGTGAACTCGGGAGGCGGGGCTTGCAGTGAGCTGAGATAGCACCACCGCAGTCCGGCCTGGGTGAAAGAGCGAGACTCCATCTCAAAAAAGAAAATAAATAAATAAATAAATAAATCATCATTAGAAATTGACTAATTTTCTTTTATTTTTAAATTAAAATTTTTTTTAGAGACAGGGTCTCGCTGTTGCACAGTCTGGAGTGCAATGGTGTGATCGTAGCTCCCTACAGCCTCAAACTCCTGGGCTCAAGTGATGCTCCCACCTTAGCCTTTTCGAGTAGCTAGGACTACAAGGCATGCCACCATGCCTGGTTAAGACAAATTTTCTTGTAGGAATAATGCCATAATTGGGGCTAGTGCTTCATAACAAGAATCTGACATTAAATAAGTCAAAGTTATGGCCAAAAAAACGTCAATGAAAACAAGGACATAGCTACTTACTTGTCTAATCATTGCAAATAATAAATTTTTAAACCAAGTCCTATGCTATGGCAAAAATATACTGTCTCTAGTAAATATATGAGAGAATTGATAGTACCGAAAATTGCTAGAGTTTAAAAAAGTGTGTGATGGAAGAATATGGAATCCATACATGATATAATGAGTTAGACATCAGTATCTAAAATTAACCTCTCAAAGGATAATTTGTGAACATTTCAAAGAGAAAGGCTTGGTAATTTCTGGGGTTCACAACGGGTTTACCAACAGTTTATTTAAAATAAAACAAATTCAATATTCTGATAGCTTTGTTGGACTTTCATATCAAGAAATGGTATCATTTTAGCATATTTGGATTTTTTAAAAAGCATCTCATGAAGGCCCTCAGATTCCTTCTCCTAGTCATCCTTCAAGACCCACATGCAAATTTGACCTCTTCTATAGTCTTCTTTCCCAGGAGATAGAGGAGTAGCATTTTGTTACCAGAATTCATTTGCATTTTAAGTTTATTGGTTTACATCTGTCTCCTTGACTAGATTGTACATTGGAGGGAAGTATAAGCCACATTTTATTCATTGTTGATTTCTAACACTTATTCTCTGACATTTAGAATGTATTTGCTGAAAGATTAAACAAATGGATGATATTCTTGGAAATAAGATGGAGTAGCATGAGCTCGATAATTCATACGTGGTCTAACACCCAAACTCAAATAACTCATGGATCCAGGATGACCAAAAGAGAGTTCTTCCTCACTGGTGGTCTGTAGGGCTTTGGTCAACATGTTTTTGATGCCGTGGATGGCATACTCCCCTCACTTTTGGAGAGCTACATCACTAGATGCTCTCAAATAGAGCCTGGAGGACTATTAGTTGGATATAATAAAGAGGAACTTTTGCAAGTAAAGTTTTATGATTATAGAGCAAATTTTTAAAACACACAACTTGGTTAGATCCAAAAATCAAACTTAAAACTAATACAGAAGGGTTAAAATTGATACTGTTAAATTTAAGTAGCAAGGATTTTCCAGCTTCCTCAAGACATAGAAGTACTTTTAAGAGATGTTACTGGGTGGCCCAAGGTCTCTTAGAAGAAGGCAAAATGAATTTGAGCCAATGCCATCTTTTCGCTTCAGCAAAGCTTTCGGTGGTGGCATTCTCTCAACAAATATTTATTGGGTCGTTAATGTACGCAAGGCCATGCGCGAGCCAGTGTGCAAAGCACAGTAAGTCATGGAACACCCAATGCCTCTCACTACAGATATTCTGTTGATTTACTGTCAGAGCTCTTCACACTCCATTAGGAAACAAACAAACAAAAACATCCAAGTACTAAGTCATTAGCACGGCCTTTCAAAGTAGAAGATCGGAATACAGAGCATTAGATTGGAAGGGCCCTTAGAGACCCAGCACAGCCCCTTTATTTCACAGATGGAAGAACAGACTTATGTAACGAAGAACAAGGTGCCTCTGTATGTGCTGACAAGGAGAGATAAAAACAAGATGTTTGTGAAGTGAAACAAGCAAGCTGAAGGACACAGCATCAAGCCATTTTTACACAACAACAACAAAAATGCCTAACATGAAGCATGCACTTTTAAACAATCAGAAGGATCTCCCTCCCCACATTCACAGAGCTCAGCTACTGGGAAAGGAGAGAGTGGACTGGAATATGGGGTGGGGAATTTGTGGATGTTGGGAAATTTTTACTCTCCGTTTTATGTATTTCCCTAATATCTGTCTTTTATGTAGCTTTGTATTGCTTTTGTAACAAATACGTACATTCATATTTATATATGTGTGTGTGTGGCTGTGTGTATATATTATATATCCATACATAATATGTGTATTTATGTGTGTGTGTATACATGCACATAGGTATATATAAGATTCTGAATAGAATGGACAAGTCTTGGACACGTGCAGGCTGTGGGTTCCACTCAGAATGCTACCCCACTAATTTTTGTGAAAACTTCACCAAGTTACTTAGCCTCCCTGAGCCGTGGTTTCCTTACATGTGAAATGAGATAATAACAGTCTACATAGGCCTGGTGTGGTGGCTGATGCCTGTAATCCCAGCAATTTCGGAGGCCGAGGTTAGTGGATTGCCTGAGCTCAGGAGTTCAAGACCGCTCTGGGCAACATGGCAAAACCCATCTCTAATAAAAATACAAAAAATTATCTGGGTGTGATGGCGCCTTTAACAGTCCCAGGTACTTGGGAGGCTGAGGGGGCAGGATCACTTGAGCCCGGGAGGTGGAGGTTGCAGTGAGCTGAGATTGAGCCACTGCACGCCAGCCTGGGTGACAGAGCGAGACCCTGTCTCAAAAAAAAAAAAAAAAAAAAAAAAAAAAATAGTCCCATCTGTGAGAGTTGTGGTAAGAATTCGGGACTTGGCTGCTTGGTGCGGTGGCCAGCACAGGGCAGGTTCTTGATGGGGAGTGGTAACCCTGGCAGCTTCGTTAGGAATGCTAATGATGACAGCAGAAGCAGAGCCTGAGCCAGGGCCTGCGCACCCTGGCTCTGGACACAGTGGGCTCCTCCTACCACAGTCCTGCCCTCTCTCACTGGGGAGTTCCTGAGTCAAGCATATAGTACTAAGAAAAGAGGAGACAAGGCTTAGGCAATGATAGCCGCCTGCCTTCACGAGGGGAGCTAGGTGGGTAACTGATGATCAGGCAGGATCTGTTTCTAAGAGTCACCCTTGGTGACCAAACAGGTTCTTCGCTATCTGTTCATTTTTCAGCATTGATGTCATATGATATTTTATCCTTAGAATGATTGGCCAAAAACATAATTCATAGAAGTCAACACATTTGTCCTTGCCGATCAACTGTGTAAAAAAATAAATAAAAGTGGCTGGGCGCGGTGGCTCATGCCTGTAATCCCAGCACTTTGGGAGGCCGAGGCAGGCGGATCATCTGAGGTCGGGAGTTCGAGACCATCCTGACCAACATGGAGAAACCTCGTCTCTACTAAAAATACAAAAAAATTAGCCGGGCATGGTGGCGCATGCCTGTAATCTCAGCTACTTGGGAGGCTGAGGCAGGAGAATCGCTTGAACCCAGGAGATGGAGGTTGCGGTGAGCCAAGATTGCGCCATTTCACTCCAGCCTGGGCAACAAGAGTGAAACTTGGTCTCAATAAATAAAAAATAAATAAATAAATAAATAAATAAATAAATAAAAATAAAGCCCCAAACTGAAAGGCAGAGAGTCAGAAAGTCCACCCCTCTTTTCTAAGCATTTTTGAAATGGGCCACAGCTGGTTCTTGGAGGCCTTGGTAAGAGGAGGGGGCTCTGTTAATCGTCTCTGACTAATCTTTTTCCTCAGTGGAAAGAAAGATTTGGGTTTTCAGTGCTGTGAGGTGGGAACGCTTGTGTGCACTACATCGCTGGCAAGAATTGTTCAGAAAGGCTGGCCTGCTAACGACTTCTGGGGAGATTTTCATTTCAGGTACTCACAGTATGATTTCCATATAGGAGGCTGGTATTCTTCAGCATCTAGAATGAAAAAAAAAAAAGAAATCCATCATCAGCCTGAACGTCAAGCTGTCAACATGTGTCTTCTCTGGAGGAACAACAGTCTGTCCACAGTACTTGCATGCGGGTCTCAGGGGGACTCTCTTCTCATTTAGGGAGCAGTTCCAGACACAGGGGAGGGGATGTGCATGGAAACCTTGTGGACTCAGCACCACTTTCTTCAGCTCATGTACTATGGCAGATCAATTGCTTAACAATTTTCATAGAGCCCAGTAAATCAAAAAAGATTTTTAAAGCAATTAACTTGATTATACCCTCTAGTAATCCTTTCAAATGGTATTTACTTAACTTGGCATAGTAAACATATAATTCATCTCACAGTTTCCAATCAGACCTTTAGCCCATTTATGAAGACTTGAGGGCAAGACGCAAAGCGGCAAGTATGTAGTATTAAATCTGCAGAGCTGTGCAACTCAACCAACTGAACTCCTAAAATACTCGATCTGACAGCAGAGACACTGATGATTCCATTGGAATTGCATTATCTCTTTGAATTAACTCCAACGTGTGACTTAGAAAATTTCCAGAAACCTCTGAGCAATCAGAAATGTCAGACTGACAGAGTTACAACAAAGTGGAGAGGCTGAAATTGTTATTCATCCATCTAGGAAACAGACAATGAAAGAAAACCTGCTTGTTCAGTCGACTCAACCATCCCAATGCTGACAGCTGAATTTATAAATTCTGATGCAGTTATTAGAGTCGTCCTGCACTCACAGCTATAAGGCCTTGGGAAAACACGGTCTAACTCATAGAGCAGAAAAAAATCCTTTTTTTCCAAACTACAGAACGTTGATGTGAGGGAACCTTGAGAGTTCTCTAGTTCAGCACCTTTAGATATGGAAACTCTGTTCTCATCATCCTCTACCGCTGGTGCACCACAAAGCCTGCCCTTAGACTACCCTCGTCCTTGTGTTCCTGTCCTGTTAAACTTTTCTTTCTTTCTTTTTTTTTGAGACAGAGTCTCGTTCTGTTACCCAGGCTGCTCACTGCAACCTTCGCATCCTGGGTTCAAGTGATTCTCCTGCCTCAGTCTCCTGAGTAGCTGGATTACAGGTGTGCGCCACCACACCCAGCCAATTTTTTATAGTTTTGGTTGAGACGGCATTTCGCCATGTTGGCCAGGCACATCTTGAACTCCTGACCTCAAGTGACCCACCCACCTTGGCCTCCCAAAGTGCTAGGATTACAGGCGTGAGCCACTGCGCCTGGCTGTTAGACTTTTCTGAACTCATTCACGAAGAAAGGTGGTTTGAGGATGTTTTTCCACCTGAGAAACAAATATGCTCTTTATAAATAAAAACTAACTCAAGGGTGGTTTTCTTCCCCAAATCATACTCACTTGTGCAGCTTAAATGGAATTCTTTCACAATTATTACCTTGCTCTCTGGGGCCCACTGTATCACAGTGCTCAACTAAATGCCTCCCATGCTCATTTCACACAAACAAATCTGTACTGTTAGGCTTGAATTGTCAAGAACCTACAGAGGGATAGTCAGCCACCTAGGCACACACACAGTCAGTGCGTTAGTGATGGTTTACCATGTTATTCAAACTGGGTTTTGCTAAATCAATGTATTCATGAACTCTGAATATTTTTGTCAAAGTAAGAGAACAGTGTCTTATAATAGCAAGGCTTTAACCCAAACAACCAATTAATTTCATCCCTTAGGTGACACAAATCAATTTCAATGGGTTAACATGAGTATTAGTTTATAAAGAGCATTCAAATAAAATAAGCAAGTTGATGAGTTTACAAAACAAATTCTAGTCCCATCCATACAATGCCACCTCATCAGAAATGCCAGGCATTTCTGACGTTTTTGTTTTTTGCTTTTTTTGTTTTTTGTTTGTTTGTTTTTTGAGACAGAGTCCCACTCTATCACCCAGGCTGAAGTGCAGTGGCATGATCTTGGCTCACTGCAACCTCTGCCTCCTAGGTTCAGGCAATTCTCCTGCCTCAGCCTCCCAAGTAGCTAGGATTACAGGCGTGTGCCACCACACCCAGCTAATTTTTGTATTTTTTAATAGAGATGGAGTTTCACCGCGTTGGCCAGGCTGGTCTTGAATTCCTGACCTCAAGTGATCCACCCGCCTCAGCCTCTCAAAGTGCTGGGATTACAGGCATGAGCCACCGTGCCCCGGCCCTCTATGTTAAAATGTTGAAGGCATCTTCAAAAATATTTTTTTCAAAGATAAATAGAGACACACACACATACACACACACACACACACGACAGACTGCACACAAATGCAAATCCCTGAGATGCCACCTACTCAAAGCTGTAATGTCTTCTTATTTTGGATGAGGTTTACTCTATGACGCAAGCACAACCTCCAGACCAAGAAGTGGTCAAGCAAGTTCAGTATCTAGAGCACCGCCTTCTATATACTCGGGGAAGGTCTCAAGACAGAAGATGAAGTTCCCCTTTCTGCAGATCTTTAGTATAGTCCAGATGCTCCACTTGGATCTAAGGTCTTCTTACCTAAAGTCAGAAGTTCAGCTAAGGTGACCTCTCACTGTCCATTTCAGTCTTGTTGTTCTGTGGAAACCCTAGAGTTTTGTTTCATCTGAAACACTGGCCCCTAAATTAACACTCCTTTAGGCTGTGGGCTACGTAAACAACCCAGTCTGTTCCAGATGCTCCTTGTTGGCAACATAACCTAGAGGAAGAAGTCTGCCTGCAGAGACTGGAGATCACAACACTTCCTGGTGTAAAATCCTCCAAGGTCTTCCCTGCACATGGAATAAATTCCAAGCATCCTACTGTGGCCCATGGGTCCTGCATCACTGGGAGCCTGCCCGCCTCTCTGACTCCACCGTAGACAATTTTTCCCTTTTTTCACTTATCATCCAACTACACTGGCTTTCTCTCTGTTCCTAAAACAAGCCAAGCTCTTTCGAGTCCTTGACCTTTGCTCTGATGGACTCTGCAGGTAAAATGCCCTCCAATAGATCGCTGCATGGCTCACTGGCTCCATCGCATAGGGCTCAGCTTGATGTCATCACTCAGGGGCTCTACCTGCCAGGTTCCTGTAAAGTGGCCTTCCCCCTATGCCAGTCACTCTCCTCACAGAGAGCTGATTTTTCTTCACGGCACTATTACCCTCTGAAATTATTTATTGATTTGTTGGTTTGTTATGACTGCTCTCATCCTCTATTAGCCAAACTCCATAAAAGCAAGAATTTTGCTTCATTCACTTCTGCGTCACCAGCCTTTAGACAGGTGCCTGACGTGTAACAGGCATTCAAAACAAAACAAAACAAAACAAATGTATTAAATGAATGAATGAACTCTCAGGGTTCAAATCCTATCTCTGACAACTAACGGCTAAATAATTCAAAGGAGGTTATGTAGCTTCTTTTTTAAAGAACCTCCCAATGTTCATCTTTGTAAAACAGAAAAAATAAAAGTACCTATCTCATAATCTATCTCTTAGGGGCACTGTGGGAATTTTTTTTTTTTTTTTTTTTTTTGAGATGGAGTCTTGCTCCGTTGCCCACGCTAGAGTGCAGTGGTGCAATCTCAGCTCATCGCAACCTCCGCCTCCCAGGTTCAAGTGATTCTCCTGCCTCAGTCTCTCGAGCAGCTGGGATTGCAAGTGCCCATCACTGCAACCGGCTAACTTTTGTATTTTTAGTAGAGATGGGGTTTCATCATCTTGAGCAGGCTTGTCTCAAACTCCTGACCTCGTGATTCACCCACCTCGGCCTCCCAAAGTGCTGGGATTACAGGCGTGAGCCACCTCGCCCGGCCGCATTGTGGGAATTAAATGAGACAATGCATATGAAATTCTTGGGACAACGTCCGGTCAATAGCAAGTTCTCAGCAGAGCCCCACTAATGTCATTAATGAGTTGTTGTTATTGTTACATCACCTCGCCCTGATCCTTCCCAGGTGAGCCCGTGCTGTTGTCTTCTCTCTCTTCACTGCAGCTAATGTCTGTCTCTATTCTTGCCCCCAGATCTGGAGCCTGTCATTAAGTTCCAGGGCTGTTGTCATGGAAGGTTTTTCTTTCCCATAAAAGAATTCAAAGTGAGGGGCCATTTGTCATGCTTCAGTGGAACAACTATAATTACCTTGGCCTTAGAAATATGTTTCACAAACCACTAAAGCACACTGTCAGGAGGCCTTGGTCAAGCGTCAGAGCACAAAACATTTTTAATATGTTGAAACTAATCTTTAGTGCCTCCAACTCTGCCCCACCAACACACACACATATTTGCCCTAATTTCAAACAATACTTTTCAAAGATCAACTTGCGTCTTGGATAGGCTGACACTTAAAAAAAAAATAGGTTTTCAAGGTCATTTAGTTCACTTTGTCATTTGGCAAATGAGGAAAATGAAATGCAGAATGATTAAGTGGTTTCCTCAAGGTCATAAAACAAGTTAGAGGCAGAGGTGAGAGCTTTGTCTTCTAGACCTCTGACACATCATTCATCCTTGCCAGGCAGTCCCCCCAAATTTACATATATTGAAATCAAGAAAACAAAACTATTATATATGTTACTTGAATTCTTGTGAGGCTTAAAAGAAAAAATAAAATAAAGAAAGAAAATTAGTGGTGTGAAAAATTGTCATTAAGCCAAATGGTGGAACATATTCCATCTGTGCACACACACGCATTGCATAAAGTCCAGGAGATACAAGGTACTGGAAATAGTGACAAGATGAAGCATAATGTGTTCTGGAAATGTATTAGTTTGTTAAACATTTTGAAGAAATAACGAAAGGGGAGGAAGTAGAACAAGAAGCCCCATATTAATAAAAAAAATTATCCTTGAACGCAGAAGACAGTTATATATTTTTAGAAAGGAACAATGAATTATAAAGATCAAAGAGGCTTAGAAAGCATATTGCTTAAAAACTTTGACTAATATGTATCTAACCTTTAAAAAATGCGTCAACCTTTTGACTCAGCAATTCTATTCATGGGAATCTAGCCTAAGGTAGTAATTGAACACATGTACAAAGATATAGATGAACAAGATGTTCATCGCTCTGCTGTGTGTAAGAGTAAACCTAAAAGCACAGAAAGAAGGGAGTGGTGAAATAATTATCATAGATTTAGTCATGAAAATGAGAGTTTGCGGTTGAGAGCATAGCCTCCGGAACTAGATTGCTTAGGTTTAAAACCCAGCTCTGTCACTTACTAGCTGTGTGACCTTAAGCAAGTTATCTTCTCTGTATCTCAGTTTTTAAAATCTATACAATGAGAGTAATAATATCACCCAACATACAGCATTGTCATGAGCACTGGATGGGTTAATATTTATAATGCTTAATCTGTAAACAAAAAATCACAAATATGTTTCACTTCATGAAAGCCATGTGTAGGAGAAAGCTAAAAAAGAAGAGACTAACAGAACGACAACAACAAAAGAGAGATTACTCCAGATAAAGAGTGCCATAAGAAAATTTCCTACTGAAGGGTGGGCGTAAGATAAATTAGGAGAAAAAATAACATACAATGTGTAGTCTCATGCCTGGCATACAGTAAATGCTAAACTTGCTGTTATTATCTACATTTAATGATAAGAAACTACTTATGCTACATTGTTAAGTATTAACAAATCAGGTTATAAAATAATTTATTAAATATAATCTCATTTTTAAGAAAAGGTAAATATTCATATATGTAGAAATTATCAAGGAGGCAATAAACCCAATTATTAAGGCTTGCTATACCTGATAGTAAAAATACTTGTGATTTCTATTTTCTTCTTCTGCTTACTTGTATTTTACAATTTTCTGTATATATTGCTTATATAAAAATTAAAAATAATGAGAAATAAATTTGTAGGAGTGCTAGTTTTTTTTAAAAGTACACTGACTAAATAAATCACCACCTCAAAAATAAAGTAGATATAAAAAGACCCAACAAAAATAACTGTTGTAATAACACACACAGCATGTACAGTATTCGTGCAGGAAGAGCTAGGAGTGAGACAAAAGACAGTTATTTCTGCTGCAAAAGGTCATGTCCGATTCCTTTGGCCCTCTTTTAAAAATTCTGTGAAACAAATATCAACGAGTAATTCTAAGCAGGCTGGGAAACAGGTGTCTCCTCTCATGAAAGGATGGGGAAGGAGGGGGAAGATACAGATGCTTAGAAAATGATCAAAACCTTTAAAAAATGGGTAATAAGACCGTTGAAATAATCCATAAAGAATCTGAACATGTTAAGAAAAGAAAAGAAGAGGAAAGAAAAGCGGGTTAAAGGGGCCTGGAAGTGCAGGTTAAGACTTGAAAGCCACCTTAAGAAAACCTTACGTGCTAAAGTTTTAACTAAACCCCAAAAAGATGATGCTGCTGTTCTGGTCTTTGAGGGAAAACAAAGAATTCTGGGATTAGCCTACAGAAAGCTCCTCCATGTCTGAGAAAGACTAGGGAACAATCGGGGCAATAGGGAATAGGTGGCATAAAAGCTCATCTTCCTGGTTCAAGAGCACAGCAAAAATAAAGTAATACCTCCGTTGTTTTTACTGAACTTTAAAGTAATACACCATTGCTGAAAAACAGAAAAAGTCCAATAATTTAAACATGTACACTGTAGAAAGTTCCCAACCTGAGGGGGAAAAAAAAGCACCATTAAGAGATTTGTGTGAATCCTTCCAGATTTTGTTCTGTGAATAGCTAGAATAAAAATTTACAAAAATGGTTTCATACCATACATACTGTTCTGCAATTTGCTGTTTGAATTTCATGATATTGTTTTAGCATCTATCCATGTCAGCGCACATAGATCTATGTTATTTTCTTTTTATAACTGTTGCTTGGACTTCCATTACATGAGTATAGCAAAATATACTTAGTTCATTTATGTAATAATTTCTAATTGATGGACATTGAGACTATTTTCCACTTTGGGCTATGATATGGCTTCGGTCTGCGTCAATTCAAGTTTCATCTTGAAAACTGTAATCCTTACGTGTTGAGGGAGGGACCCCGGTAGGAGGTGATTGGATCATGGGGGTGGTTTCCCCCATGCTGTTCTGATGATAGTGGGTGAGTTTTCACGAGATTTGATGGCTTAAAAGTGGCACTTCTTTCTTTGCTCTCTCTCTCCCTTGCCACCTTGTGAAGAAGGTGCCTGCTTCCCCTCCGCCTTCCACCATGATTGTAAGTTTCCTGAGGCCTCCCCAGCCATGCAGATCTGTGAGTCAATTACACCTCTTTCCTTTATAAATTACCCAGTCTCAGGCATTCTTTATAGCAGTGTGGAAATGGACTGATACAGTCCACTATAAACAATGCCACACTGATACAGGTGCAGTATAGATTCAGGGAAGTTGAACTGCTGGGTGAAGGGTCTCTGTATTTTTTATTTTAAAAGGTCATTTTATTTTAAAATGGCCTTCAAAATAAGTTAGGTCAATTGAAATTCTCAGCAACGGGTACAAGAATGCCCATTTCCCCACACCCTCTCTCACCAACACTGGGCTGTTATCAATATGCTCTTAATTTTTGATGCCTTAAGACTCAGTTAGAAAACTCACAGATGAGACTAAGTATGCATTTGCAGGGAAGCAAATGGAGACACAGAACGCTCCTGGAAGTGAACCTGTGGAAACATATGGCCATGGAGTGCAGGGAACATACGCGAATCCACACGTTTGGATGGCTGCAGCTGGAAGGCTGTATTCTTCCAGGCATTTTTAGCTCCAGAAATATGTTGATTTGATGGAATCACCTGAGGAGCAAGTGTAAAGGAATTTGGAGACTGATTAATGAAGAAAAATTAAAGAACACATGTGCTCCACTTGGCAAAGTGACAACTGAAGAGGAAATACCTGCAAACATCTGGGAGAGCCAGATTCCTTCACTCGGCTCAGTGGAGGATGACTCGACTCACAGAAAAACACAGGTAGAGGCTTTGGAAAATGAAAGGAGCCAAAGTTTCACCGATGTAGAGAATGAGCTATCAAGGAAGTTGAAGATGACCTATTTTTAAAGAACATTTCAAATAAAGCTGTGTATATGGCATCATTTAAGAAACAGAGGGGAAGGACTGGGTTTCTCCCTCTGCCATCCCCTCTCCCAGAAAAGCCAGATCTGTGCTGTCACTTTTGATTTACTGATGCATACATTTGTAAATGGGCTGCAGTAGGCTTCTTCCAGGGAAGTTGGGTGAAAACAGGTTTTTCAGTCAAGCATGGAACAGCCTCACGATGAGATGACAGTTCAGAATTTGTTGGGTGATTAGCTTAATGGGCCCAGAATGGGTTGGGATCCAAATGAAAGCAAACAACAACAGCAGGAGTGGGATGTTGTGTCTGTGCACATGCTACAATATGTCTTTGATACATACATTATGCCCACGCTTGGGTCCTCAGCAGCACGTCCTCATGGACAGAGTGTACAGCCTGTAGCTATGATCTTGTCAGGCCAGCACGGCCAAATGGTGCCAGGCCTGAGCTGCGAGACTACCTGGAGGTCATCCTGACTGCTGCAAAACACCCAGATCTGAAGGCTGTTAGAGACCTTGCTTGCTAATGCTGGTTCCCTGCACTCCCCTGAGAAATTAGACATCCATGTATTCTCTTTGGAAACTCTGCTTGGGTAAGGGATGAAGGCCTGCTGTCAGTCTGACTATGAAACTCATAGCACGGATTTTTCTAACTGCTTGAGTCCCACTTGCAGAGAATAGTTAGTAAGACAAATTCCAGGAATTACTGCTGGACCCTGAGGCTGGGCCCCAAAGACAAGGGAAGTAAGTGACTTTCTGAAGATGATGAAGCCATGGAGGGCCTTGGGCTGGAGCCTGTGGTCACTAGAGGGCACCGGGGCCACATGGAGCTTCTGTCTTGAGCTACTTATTCTGTACACAGAGGCATGATGAGATTCTCCCATTCAACAGGTACTTATTGGATAAATGCAACGAGCCAGTCCTCGGGCACAATACGGTGAACAGGTAGAGAGGCCTTACGAAACTCTGCACGATCTGGCCCCCGGTCAGCATCCCCTGGTCATCGCATTTGTCTCTCCTCTTGCCCTTTAGCCCTCATCCACTCTGGCTTTTCTTTTGCTCCTCGAACACACCAAGACCATACCAGTCTTAGGGATGTCATGCAGTCTCTTCCCTCTCGCGTGCACACTGCTGGCTTCCTTATCATGGGATCTCAGCGTAAATGCTCTGGCTCCTCAGAGACATCTTCCTGGACCCACCAACCTACAGCATTTCCCCAGATACTCTCTTCAATTCTCTGTAGAGCCTTTTCACCATCCGAAACGTTTTGCTGTGTGGTTATATATTTCTTTGTTTACGTTTTGTCTTCCCATGCTAGACAGATAGCACTGTGAGAGTAGGAACCTATTTATCTTGTCCTCCAATGTGTGGGTCAGCCTTAGCCTGTTGGGTACTTTTTGTGAATTAGAAAAAGCTGTCTTTTTCAGGCAGGTGTACAGCTTGGCAATTAGACAGCACCTGTGTGTAGAGAAGATGTTTCCTCTGAGGGACAGAGCCCCAAGCCAGAGCATGTGGCCTGGAGAGGGGAGCCCAGGCTGTGTTCAGCCCCCACTTGCCCTCTCAGCTAGGCACAAATGGCACAACTGAAGTGGCCATGACTGCTGTATCCCAGGACACAGCAGGTGCTCAAAGTGTTGGACAAGTAAAAGACAGAAACCCAAAACTTGCATTCTTCTGAGGGTCCCAAACAAATAACAAGGCAACTGTAACATAGCAAGAGGATGCATACAAGGAGCATTGATGGTGGTAGGACTCCTCAGCCTTTGGAAGGCTGCATGGGGCAGGGGCAGTCAGGCTCTTCCCACACCTTGACGGATCACCTCTGCCTTGAGTAGCCCTGTCCAGGGTCCTTCAAGAGCAGTCTCAGAGGAGTGAAACCTAAGAGCAAGGCCTAAAGTCCCCAAAGACAAAGAGAAGAGTAAGTTCTGTTACCACAGCACGTGGAGCCCAGTCAAGCAGATAGGCTATTGCCTGGACATCTACTGCAGAAGCCCACAGTAAGGAGTGTCTATGTGGATGGATAGGCTCTTGGAGGATACACAAGCTGAGGTGTGGCCTGCAGGAACCAGAGGCAAGACAGGACATGGCACTGAGAGCCAGAAGTGTCTCAGCTTGCTGGCTGAAACAGGCTCTGTTGTGTCTGGATGGGTGGCCAGAGGGTGTTTTGGAGGGGTGAGGGATTATATTAAAGAAGTAAGTAGGGGCCAGATAATTAAGCGTTTTACAACCATGCTAAGGACTTACCTCTTCTAAAGGGCAGGGAAAATGCAAGCGGGGATAATACAGAGTCCAGACTGTATTTGAGAAGGATCATTGCAGTTGAGAGTGAAAGTGGACTGGAGGATGAGAAGATGGGAGAAAGAGAAGAGAAGAGGCAGTGAGACCAATCAAGGGACTGTCCAGTAACCGAGGAAGGTGACATTAATGATCTGAACTTGAATGGTGGCAGTGGAGACGGAGAAAATGGGATGGACTTGAAGGACACGGAGAAGACAGAATCTACAGGCCTTGATGACAAGCTGGACATGGACAGGGAAGGAAAGGAGGGAACATGACTTCTGGCTTGGGCAGAGGAAGATGAATGGTTTTTGGCTTAAGCATCTGGATGGGTAGTGATGCCATTCACAGAAAGGGGCAGACCAGGGGAGAAGCAGGCCTGGCAGACAGCAAGGCTCTCAGCTTTTGCTGCTGGAAAGCGATGGCTGAGGAATGGCCAAGTGAACATCTCTAAGAGACCTGCAGTTCAGAAAAGAGGCCTGGACTGGAGATCCAGGAATGGAAACCCCAGCATACATATGGCAGCTGTAGCCACTAAAGTAGATGACATGACACAGGGGGAACATGAGAGTGGGGGAGGGAAGGCTTTGACAGAGCCCCTGAGGAGCACCAGCACTGAAGGGATGAGAAGAAGAGGGAAAGAGGCAGAGACCAGAGCGATAGGAGAGAAACCCCAAGATGGGGCGACATGAAAGGCAAAGCACAAGACATTTAAAAAGGGGGAAGTGGTTAACAGAGGCAGCAGCTGCTCCAGTGAGATACACATGGAGAGAGCTGTTGCTGCAGCAACATGGGGGTTTCTCATGACCTTGCAATGGGGTATGGGTGGAAGCCACAGGCAAGTGATGTGAAGGTCAAGTAGAAATTGAGAAAATAGAGCTTGTAAGAGGGAGGTTTGATGGAGAAATGAAAGCAAATGGTGGCAATACAGGGAGACAAGGGGTTGAGGGAAAGAAAAGACACAGGAGCTTCAATTTGGTTATCATCGTCATTACCTTTGCCAAACCACTGGCCATGTCCCTGATCTCCCTCTCTCCCGAGGCACTCTCCCTACTTGCTGGTACAAAATGCAGATTTATCACAGCCAGCTGGAGATGCTTTCCTGGTGGACAATTTCCTCTTTTATTATTCACACACTTCCTCCCCTGCTTTCTTTGGAGACAACCTCACCACCACTACTTCTATTCAACCTAGAGGCCTGTCTCTCCTCCCCAGACATTTGCCTTCCAGTAGCTCCCTGCCTCTTTACAAATTATTTTCATCAAAGGAATGTTTTCCTGGCCTTCCTCCAGAAGAAGCCCTTTTGGGTATTCATTTATTCATCCAACAAATATTTACCCAGAGCTTACGCCCTAACTGGCACAAAATAGTGCACTAGACATGGGTGCAGATATAAAGGCAAGATGCAGAATCTAACCACAGGAATCAGTTAGGAGAAGAAATAAGACATCAACTTATTCATTCATCCAATGAGCACTAACTGACTGCCTGCTGGGTATCCGGCCCCTGGCCACATGTACATATCACCATAACACAAGGTAGAAAGCGGAGTGTTATAAGGGCAAGATCAGACCTAAAGTGCTGCTAGAATGGAGGGAGAAGATTATTTTACTCAGTTATTTCTTAATAGTTATTCTTTTATTCATCTCCTTCCTGAAGAGGTTAGCTCTTAGACAAGGAGAAAATTTAGATATATCCCCAGTCAGCTCTCCACTCTTTCCATTTAGAAGAGCCAGCATTTTCTCCTACTATAATGATATATTTTTTGGTGCATCTTGAGTTCACTGTGGGCATTTGTGTCTCTTCAGATATATGATGGTTGTGGCAATGACAGACAAACCTCTCATTAAAGCAACCCATAGATCATGGCCCTGGCATTGTTATTACTGGCAAGCCAAGAAATATTTTTTTGGCCATAGTATATTCGGAGTCAAGTAGTCCTGAAGTAGAGATGGAAGAGAAGCTGAGGTCCTCCACTACAAGTGGAAAGGAATTTTTAAGTGCCTGGTTATTCCAGATTCTGGGATAGTCCCCTTCCATACATTATCTGGGATCTTTATAACTTTCCTGAATAATCTCTCCATCCATTCATCTGTTCATCCATCCATCTAACCATCCAGCCATCCAGCCATCCCCTCATCCATCTACCCATTCATTCTTTCAGCAAATACTTATGTGCCAGGCACTGTACCACAGGATAAAGATATAGCTGCGACCAACGCAGATCCAGTCACTGCTTTCAAGGTGCCTTCAGTCCAGCAACAAAGGCAAATGAACATCAAACAAGTGATTGTAAGAAACTACAAAAAGCGTTCTGAAAGACAAAGTTCAGGGTGCCCAGGAAGCATGGAACAGAGGTCCCTGAAGGTATGTTTTTATCTCTTAGAAATGAGGGAACTAAAAGAGATTATAGTCACTTTCCCAAGGCCACATGGTTGGTGAAAAGGTAGAATTCAAATCCAGATCTGTTTGGCTCTGGAGTCCATTGATTTTTCTCCCTATGACCCTAGTCCCATAGGAGGAATCAGCAGTACAGAAGCTAAAGTGAAATTTTCAGTTCTTTCTCATGTCTGGTCTGCTTCAATGATAGAACATGGTTTGAACATTGTAGAAAACAGCACTAGAGAATTAGAAAAAACTCATGACATTATTTAATTTTCTGCCACCTTTTAGAACAAATAAAGTAAAATCTCACTAACTGAGATGCCCCCCTCCCTCTCTCCCTCCCATCCTTCTCTCCTCCCTCCCTCTTTCTGTCCCTCCCTGTTCTTCCTCAAGGATCCTCTGCATATCAGGTACTACTTGCAACTCTTCCCCAGATTTCATTGTCAATAGAGATACTATTGATCTCTATTTATACAGATACAGTGCTCAGTGCTGGCCTGGCAACAAATGGGCTCTCTGATCTAGCACAGTCATTTCTCGCAACTGGCACCATCCATAACAATTGGTGCGGTTAATATAATTGTAGTAATTCATATCAAGAATGGGCATGTCGGCAGCCAGTCACTCTGGCCCATGCTTGCCACATCCTTGTTTGTCTTACAGGCTGAAATCAGAGCCCACTGCAGTGGAACTGGACGGACTATCAGAGGGCTACCGACTGTACCTCCACACGTGAAGGAGGGAGCTCTAGAGAGGGGAAGGATGAGAACAAGGCAGAAAACCGTGCTCTTGTCAATAACCAAGAAGAACCTGAAAGATGACAGTGGGTTTCTTGCCCCAGCTCCACTCTCAGTTCTGGGTGATTTGGGGCTACTCCCTCAACCTTGACCCACATGGGCCTCGGTTTTCCCATCTGTGAATATAGAGACGGGGCTAGACACTCAGTAAGCGCTCTCCTGGTGGGAAGCTCAAGGACGCCTTCAATTCTCAGTCGCCTAGCAGCTGCATTCTCCTACCCAGACCCTGTGATTGAAGCTGTTTGACGTGACTCAAAAGTTCTAAGGCAGCATGTGGGTGCCAGCAGTTGTGGTGAAGCCATTCTTCCTTCCTTAAGGAAACAAGCGCACCCTTTATGTGCCAGGGAATTACCTACATGTCCCATATATGTGCCGAGAATTAGTCTAAATGAGGACATGCTTTATGCCAAAACACACTCCTGGCCTGTGAGGGAAACTCAGTAGGTGAACTCCTGTCCTCTATCTTGTCCTATATTTTCTCCCTGGGGAGGTGGGAGCAATTTGTCTCTTGGCTTTGTGCCAGCCCGTAGGAGCACTGTCCAGTTGGTACACAGTTGCCTTCCTGGTGGTCTAGCTCTGCAGCACCTGGAGGACAGTTAAACCTGCTTAATTTGGGGGCTCAGTGGTTAGCAAGCACACATGGCTAATAGCCTTCCTGCCTGCCCTTACTAATGAAAGTGCCACTTCAGCCTGGACCTGCTCTGCAATGTTTGATTTGTTTGTTCAGGGCTGCTAAATATTGAGGCCCCCCCCCAAGCAACCCCCTGCAGAAGGCAGTGTGCATTTTCCTGATGAGATCTTCCCCCAAAAGATTTCTGAATATAAAAACTTTTCATAACATAAAGGAAATGGTCAGATATTTACTCATAACACTTAATTCAAATAGGCATATATACCTGAATTCATTAATTCAGTTATTTGTACAAATTAAAACTCATGCTTAAAATAATACACAAATTTAGAAATATTGCTTTCTTCAACTCGATTTCATGGAACAACTTCAATTTTTCTGCATGTATATTTGAGCTTCAAATGATTTTTAGTCATCTAAGACATTTTTTCCCACAGCACATCATGCTTGCTTGTTCCTTGATCTTTTGAAAGAAAAAAAATTGTAAAGTCCCTGTCCAATGCTGCCACTGGACACTTTATCCACTTACAGTCACACTTTCACATTATATAAGAGCAGCTGGATTTTATTCATCTTGAAGGTGGTCTCCACAACATAGCCTTATTATATTGCTATATTGGCATATATATTATATTATTATATACAGTATTGTTATTATTTTTTTTTTTTGAGACGGAGTTTCATTCTTGTCACCCAGGCTGGAGTGCAGTGGTGCAATCTTGGCTCACTGCAACCTCCACCTCCCTAGTTCAAGTGATTCTCCTGCCTTAGCCTCCCAAGTAGCTGGGATTGCAGGCACGTGCCATCATGCCTGGCTGATTTTTGTATTGTTAGTAGAGACAGGGTTTCACCATGTTGGCCAGGTTGGTCTTGAACTCCTGACCTCAGGTGATCCACCCGCCTCAGCCTCCCAAAATGCTGGGATTATAGGCGTGAGCCACCGTGCCCGGCTAGCATTGTTATAATATGGCTAACAAAAAACAATATTGTTATATTGCTTTTTAAAGATATCTTTTAAAATCTGCTGTGGAATACTATGAAGGCACAAAAAGGAATGAGGTGGCTAATATCGAAAGCTCTCCAAGATGTTCAATTTTAAAAATGAGGCATAGCTCGGGGTTTCAGTGCATGAAACAGGTCTGGAAGAGACTGCTAAGGGCTGAGGTTGTGTCTGTCTGCAGAGGAGATCTGGGTGGCCGAGGGTCAGGAGAGGTAGGGAGATTTGGTTTTCACTTATATCCTTTTACATAATTTACATTAAAAAAAAGTATAGCAAACTTTTTAAAAGGTTGTTTACAATTACATTTAGCACTTGTTTAAATATACCTAGGTTAAATTTCTTAGCTTCCTTTTTTAAAAATGATTCCATGAAGTGACCACTACAAAGGTCCAAAACTATCCCTGATTAACATCATTTCAAGTCTACTGTGACTTTTCCAGAATGTAATTGAGGGTTCAAAATAAATTAACTGAGTAATCCAATAGTATGACAGGCTTTGTATAAAATAAAATCTAAGATAACATTCCTTTTGTGAAAGATAATTTTGACAGATATCATGTAGATATCTTAGCCTTTATTAATAGTCTTTCATTACGTTGTTAGATGTTTTGTATGCAGTGTCTTATTTAATACTCATAACCAGGGCTGGGTGCAGTGGCTCATGCCTG
Source organism: Homo sapiens (assembly GCF_000001405.40). Lineage (NCBI taxonomy): Eukaryota > Metazoa > Chordata > Mammalia > Primates > Hominidae > Homo > Homo sapiens. Next base: position 29,338,854 of record NC_000007.14, on the reverse strand, counting down.
TAATCTCAGCACTTTGGGAGGCTGAGAGAGGGAGATCACTGGAGGTCAAAAGTTCAAGACCAGCCTGGCCAACGTGGTGAAACCCTGTCTCTACTAAAAGATACAAAAATTAGCCAGGCATGGTGGCACTAGCCTGCAATCCCAGCTACTCAGGAGGCTGAGGCATGAGAATTGCTTGAACCTGGGAGATGGAGGTTGCAATGAGCTGAGATCGCATCACTGCACTCCAGCCTGGGTAACAGAGCAAGACTCTGTGGCAAAACAAACAAACAAAAAACTCACAACCAGCTTATAAAACAGGTATTATTAGTCCCATTGTACAGGCAAATAAACAGAGGAATAGTGAGGTTGCCCAGAATCACATAAATAATCACATATATTAATCATATAGTGAAGCTGAATATTCAAATCTAGCATTGTCCGGATCTGAAAAGCATACTTTTCTTCATTACAAAATTCTGTCTCTCATACTAGACACTGCAATGTCCTAGGACTGCACATATATTATCACACTTCATTTCCAAACAGCACTATGAGGTGGGTACTCTTATCCCATCTTACAGACTTGGAATCTGAAGCCCACAGAGGATGGTGCCTTGCCCAAAGTTGGCCAACTCATTTGTATCCCATAAGAATAAATTATGGCCAGTAACATGTACACCCAATAGTCATCTTGGGAAGACTGACCTACCATATTTTATCATAGCAATCAAACTCATTTATGTCACAACATTCAAGCTGTTACTTCAGTCTCTCTGTAAGTATATTAAGCCTGCCTTCATCTATTTCCAACCTAAACCTTACCCCTTACTGTAAGACCAGTAAAAATAGATGGGGCCCAGTCAGGCTGTCTAGTTGGCTCTGATTCTTGAAGCCTCCTGAGACTGGGAGCCTCCAGTTTTCCTTTCCTTCTGGGTTTTGGTGTTCTGTGGTTTCTTATCACTTGCTTTAAAAATAACTTCAGGGAAAATATTTCTAAAGATCACACGCACTGCATTAGCAACACTTCAGACACCCCATCAACCACACCACAGAGCAACAAACAGCACAGGAAGCGTGTCTGTGATGTACAGGAAGAAGCAAGAGTAAGGACCCAACAGCCGAAACAATCCCTCACAACCTGCAAGATGCTAACTGAAAGCTCCACATTAAGCTCTGCATTAGCATGCATTTATCACTTCCATGCCAAATGCTTGAACAAATGTATGCAGGAAGGAAAGCTTTCCTGTCACCCCGTGGCAGCCTGGGTGACAGCATCAGTAGGTCTATGATTAAAGGGTTAAGAGTAAGGCAAACAACAAGTGGTCCCAATGATTTCCGCAAGAGAAAGTATTCACATTACATAACAGAGTGAGAAGAATAGACCCCCTCTCCGCACTCTGCTGTTATGAGTGTTGCATGTCTTCATAGAGTTGGGGACAGCTGTACTGCGTGCTGGCAGCAGTCATATCCTCTTGCTGTTTGCACAGTGGGACATTTGTCTTCCTAATCGCAGCATGTGAAAGTTCCTACTTCCACTACCAGAGTCTGAAACTAAAATTAAAACAAACCTTTCCTTAATAGTTAGCTCCTGTCTGAAGCTGTTTGTACTGGTACCCTCTGTTTATCTATTTTCAGCAGCACGGTCATAAGGAGGAATTGTATATTTACACACCTGTGCCTTTATAAAAGATCATTTGTTCATGTTCTCCTCTCTCCATTTAACAAACATTTACCCATCACTCTATTCCTGATCCCAAGTTAGGCACTGGGTACACAAAGATGACAAAGTCCTTTCCCTGAAGCAGCACCCAATCCTAGAGGGGAAGCAAGCAGAGGGGAGTGTATGAAGGAGTGCATGCAAGGGTGGTGGGTGCCGGAAGACAGGAGCCAGGTTCCTGGCAGGGGCGAATGGGAAGCTAACAAGGAAGACCTCACAGAGGAGATGACATTGGAGCTGGGCAGTGACGGATGAGTAGGAGTTTGCCAGGCCCTGTGCCAGGGAGGGAGAGAAAGGTGGAATGCTTGTTGTTTTCACTTCAAGCATTCTGAGAAGCAAGGAGACTTTCTGGTTTGCATGTGAAGCTTTTTTTTTTTTTTTTTTTTTTTTTTTTTTGAGACAGAATCTTGCTCTGTTACTCAGGCTGGAGTACAGTGGCACAATCATGGTTCATTGTAAACTCAGACTCCTGGGCTATAGAGATCCTTCTGCCTCAGACTCTGGAGTAGCAAGGACTACAGGTGTGCAGTACTATGCTTAGCTAATTAAAAATTTTTTTTTGTAGAGACAGGGTCTCACTATGTTGCAGGTTGGACTTGAACTCCTGGTCTCTAACTCCTAGGCTCAAGAAATCCTTCCACCTTGGCTTCCCAAGAAGCTAAGACTACAAATGCATGCTACCACACCCAGCTAATTTTTGAATTTTTTTGTAGAGACAGAGTCTTACTGTGTTGCTCAGGCTGCACTTGAACTCCTGGGCTCAAGTGATCCTCACCCTTGACTCCCGAAGTGCTGGGATTACAGGTGTGGGTCACCATGCCCAGCCTCAACGGCGTGTTTTCTCACACTGGATAGTTAACCATTTTTATTGGGAGTCAGTTCCTCAACAAAAGCCGTCTTTCAGTACCTGTCTTACATAGCCAAATACTGGAGGGTCAGGCAATCTTTCAAAGCTGACAGATTTCAGGCTTGCAATCTGTCAGAGGGCAATGAGAGGGCCACAAGGGAGATTCTCCAGGAGGAATCTGCTGTCCCACCTTCTCTTGTAGGCAAACGGCCCATTAGCTCTTGCTGCTCATGGAAAAACTCCCATCACGACTGTCCCCAGTGAGTATCTTCTGGCTTCTGGTAGAATGAAGAGGTGTGAGTCCCACTGCAAAGCTACCCCACTGGAGCTGTCCGTGTGTCCCCTCGGTTTTCCCTGGCAGCTTTACTCTCCTCAGCACCAAAGCAGAGCCGAATGCTTGTACACACCAGGTGCTCAATAAATGTTTGTTTGCTCAACCCACTGGGTGACCACTATTAAAGTGGAGGAAGAAAACTAAGATTCTCTTTAGGAATGTCTGCACAGCCATTGGTACTGCTTTTACAGTGCACAGTGCAACTGAGGCAAACCATCTCCACTGTTCACAATGTTGACAGGACTAGTCAGGCACAAGCTGGCAGATCTGATTAAAGAGGAAAAGAACAATCGAGTTTATTGTAAGTCTCCTTCCTCGCCAGGATTTGCAGAGTGCCTTACCTGACACATGCAGGCTCTAGTACAGACTACCAACTAGTATGGTGAGGATCTGGCTGTCAAAACTCAAAAACTAGAAAAGGAAAAAGCAAAGAAAACAGCCAGAAATGACTAGATTTGGGTTCCCTAAATAACATACTGAAAGGTCCTTTATCCTCAGTGCTTGTGTCTGCTGAAGAAGCACTTACTGAGAGCTTCCTATGTCCACAGCTTCATGCCCTCTATGGCAGGAAGTGGGTGCTCCTCTCTGGGCCTTATCAGACCATTTATACCAATTAGTAGTAATGTCTGAGATCAAGAGACTGAGCCTCCAGCAAGGGCTGTTTTTAGGTTTTCATATGCAACCTTTGGCTTTTCAGGAATTGGTTCTATTTTCAGAATTAATCTGTTATATTGCAATAGGCATTTCTACTGGGCCCAGCACCATGACAGAGAATGCATGAGTGACTCCATATTGTTCCACTCCCGTAAGCACCACTACCCTAAATAGATGGCTCCAGAAAGAAGGCATGCTCTGTTCTTGACCACTATTGAAATGTTTACTGATGATTTTAGATGTCTTTTTAGATGCCTTTTATGTCACCAATATTTTCAAAACTATTATATTCAACCTATTCAAAAGGTATCCACTGATTAAGATAACTTATCTCTCAACACTTAGGAAATGAATCATTCCGGGTGTCAGTAATGTCTTAGAAACAATGCAAACACTAAGTATACAAATACACTCCTGCACATCTTCCTGTCCGCACATGGAGGGGTATTTCTGCATTTGACCTTCCCACTCCACTCTAGTCCTTTGACCCTAGCCGTTACACTTAGGGGACAGAGTCACGACAAGCATGAAACTTCCTTTTTTGTTGTTGTTTGTTTGTTTGTTTGAGACAGGGTCTGGCTCTGTCGCCCAGGCTGGAGTGCAGTGGTGCAATCACAGCTCACTGCAGCCTTAAACTCCTGAGCTCAAGTGATTCCCCGACTTCAGCCGCCTGAGTAGCTAGAACCACAGGTGCACACCACCGCACCTGGCTAATTTTTAGAACTCTTTGTAGAGATGGGGTCTTACCATGTTGCCCAGGCTGGTCTTGAACTCCTGGGCTCAAGCGATCCACCCACCTTGGGCTTCCAAATTGCTAGGATTACCGTGCCTGGCTGAAACTTCTAAAACCACAGAATTCCACACAGAATTACATTAAGAATGTTTCTAATTTTTCACCATTGTGGCTTTGTGATGTCAAATTGCCATGACTTGATATGCCAACATTTTCTACACTCATCATGTAGGGTAAAATAGTCACTATGAAATTGAATTTAGGCTCCCAGCACTTTGGGAGGCCAAGGCGAGTGGATCACTTGAGGTCAGAAGTTTGAGACCAGTCTGGCCAACATGAAGAAACCCTGTCTCTACTAAAAATACAAACGTTAGCTGGGCATGGTGGTGAGTGCCTCTAATCCCAGCTACTCAGGAGGCTGAGGCAGGAGAATCACTTGAACCGGGAGGCAGAGGTTGCAGTGAGCCGAGATCGCGCCACTGCACTCCAGCCTGGGCAATGGAGGGAGACTCAGTCTCAAAAAAAAAAAAAAAAAAAAGAAAAGAAATTGAATTTATCATTTGGCTTTTGAGATGTATTTAATCTTTTCTTATAGCAAGGTGGTCAAATCCATTGATTGTCAAAAGCCAGGTAATCTTCAAAATGTCCAGAACTGCAGGACTCCATGCACACAGCACTGCGCATTTTCTATCATCATCTACCTTTTCTCACCAGCTCACACACACTCATCTGGTCCCTGACTCTCGGCCATTACTGCTGAAAATCCAGAACTCACCACTATGAAAGATACTGCTTCCGGCAGCCACTGGTTTATGGGTGGGTTGGGGTGAGGGTGGAGCATAAATTGGAAAACCAGAAAGAAGTCTCCAGCTGGAGAAGAAATCAGCCAGGAAAGCGCTAGTGGTAGGAATAGACCATGTTCAATATGAAACCGTGCCATGATTTCCTGAATTTAGAGCAGCATTCTGCCCCTAATTCCCAAGTCTGCTAGCGCATTATGTTCATCCAACCTGCTTCCAGTTTTTATTTTTAAAACTATACAAATAGAATGGGCTAACTTAAAGCAATCAATTTCATCTGTAGTTCTTTTTTGGATCCTTTTTCCTCAAGAGACCCCAATTTCTTCCTGAAATGCTCTTAGCTGCATGTACCTCTCCCACTCACTGTGTCATCTCCTCTCCAAAGCATGGTCATTTTCTGAGAACAAGACTCTGAGCAGGGCTCTGAGACATCTTTCAACAGCAGCCCCGGCATGAAGCTTTAGCAGCTGTTGGCTCAGAAAAGGGCGGGTCAGGGTATGGTGGCATAGTCCTCCACTGACGCCTGGTGTGGGACAGCCGTGGAGGATGGGATACAGAACTAGATGTGCCTCCCCTGTTCCCATTGCTGCTCTGTACACCCCAGCCCAGCTCTGTTCTGCTGGGAACCTAGCATCCTTCACTTACTCTCTACTTCCTACTTCCCAGCTCCACAGACTACCACTGTCGGAGACAGAAGCATGCCTCTCCCTGAGCTGTGAGAAGGGAGAGAGTGTGGGTGCTTCTCAGCCCACTACAGCCCATGTTTCCTTTGAATGAACATGAATACTCCATGCCGTTATCCTCACCTCCTTTCTGACTCCCTGTGCAGAGAGGACATCTTCCTAGACAGGATCCCAAGCCAAGATCGAGCCGTCGTCTCTGTAGAGTACAGAAGCTCCTCAACTTATGATGGGGTTATGTCCACATAACCCCATCATAAGTTGAAAATATCATCAGTCAAAAATGCATTTAGTAAACCTAACCTACCAAACACCATTTAGCTTGCCTTAAACGTGCTCAGAGCACTTACATTAGCCTACAGTGGGGCAAAATCATCTCACACAAAGCCTACTTCATAATGAAGTATTGAATACTTTACACAGATGGACATTTTGTAGACATGATGGGATGTGAATAACATAAAATATACTATCCAAAAATCACTTGGCAACACAGTACACTGTGGAGGATGGGCTGTTTACCCTGGAGACCGTGTGGCTGACGGGGAACTGTGGCTTACTGCCACTGCCCAGCATTGCGAGAGAGCATTTTAGGCCGTATCACCAGCCCGGGAAAAGATCAAAATTCAAAATTCATAGTACGGTTCCTACTGAATGCATTCCGCTTTTGCATCCTCATAGAGTAAAAAAATTGTAAGTTGAACCTGACTAGTCGGGGATTGTCTGTATTAGCAGCTAGCAGCTGTATTTAGAGTGCTCTGTTCCAGGCTAAGTATTTTACAATTATCTTTTCATTTCAGCCTCCCAAGAACCCCACAGGGTAGGCACGATCATTTTCCCTACTTTAAAAGAGAGCAAACAGAGCTTCAGAGAGAAAATTGCCCCAGAAAGCCCAGCTGGTAAGGGGCCAAGCTTGGGTGGAGCTTGGACAGTCTCGCGCCACTGCGGGAGTTCTCAACCGCTGCTCCATGAGGCTGTTTATTTTCTCCTTTGGATGGATATAAATCATATTAGAATATTGGCCTTTTTTCTTTCAGATCACACAAGCCAAATCTTCACCCAAATTATCCTTCTCTTTTTTTTTTTTTTTTCTTTTGAGACAGAGTCTCGCTCTGTTGCCCAGGCTGGAGTGCCGTGGCGCAATCTTGGCTCACTGCAATCTCCACCTTCTGGATTCAAGCAATTCTCCTGCCTCAGCCTCCTGAGTAGCTGGGATTACAGGCACGTGCCATGTTGGTCAGGCTGGTCTCAAACTCCTGACCTCGTGATCCACCCACCTCGGCCTCCCAAAGTGCTGGGATTACAGGCGTGAGCCACCACACCTGGCCCCAAATTGTATTTCTTAGGGGAACATTGCACTTGTGTTCTTTTAACCACCCTCTGCACTCCTTCCCTCTCCCAGTCAATCCAATGAAAAATCACTGTTCATAATCTCCCGATTTTGAAGGGAAGAACTGATTCTCCGACAAGGGGTAGTGTCTGCTTCTCCCAGGGGTCTCTTCCATGCCAGGGTGTTGACCTCTACCAACCACACTACTTCAATTCCGTTTCCTCTGGCTTCAGGTTCAGTCAATGGAAGGCAGGGCAGGAAAGAGGGGGTGGCGGGAGAAATGCCGGAGGTACTGCTCTCTCCTTGCTCCAGTGCTGCAGTTCAGGCAGCAGACTGGACCCCCTACAGCCACCACTGTCCCAGTTCCTCTTCTGTGGCTCTAGCCGTCCCCAGGCTCCAGTAACACAATTTCCTCTTGTTGCCCCCTCCAGACCCGGGGTTGGGAATGGCTTCCCACTCTTGGCCACTCCCAGATGCTTCAGACTCTCTTAGTTCTCTCAATCTGCCGACACCTCTGTCAACAGACCCTCCATTAACTGCTCTTCAACATCCCAGCTGAGTGTGCCTTCTGTCCCCACAGGGCCTTGACAGATGTCCTCCGTCACCCCCTAGACCATAGCAAAGGCTAAGACAAGACCTGAGTATGACTAAGATAATTTATTTTTTGTAGTGATCTGACTTGCTTTTTATAAACTGGAGTCATATACGTTGCCCAAAAGGAGAGGGAACTTGGACATCCTTCTACATTTTCCATAACTCTGTCTCTGTTCCACATGGCAGCGTAGGGAGAATTTCAGGCCCACAAGCAAATTCACTCCCCACTGCGATGTTTAAATGGGTTAAATTTAGAGTATGAATAAACATTGATCCTTGCTACGTACTACCTAATTTCACATCTGTAATAAACTTCCCATGCTATACCATACACCTTTAAATGGACTCACTGTATGCAACGGGACTTTCGTCTGAGCCTCTACTTTTTCTAAAAATAAAAGCAATAACACCACCAACGCTCTCCCCTTTCCTTTTCTGTGATGTATTCTGAGCACAAGCAAGGCTTCAAAGTTAAGGGGTTGTTTTCCTTTTCTTCATATAATACGCCTGCACACAGCTGCAATTATGGGATTTCTAAGAATTTCAATGATATGTTCTTGATGCTAAATTATTACTTTGTTTTTCTAAAACACACACTTATACACAACATCCAAGAACATGAATTTGTCTCTGGAAGGTCAATCAGAGGCCAAATTTACTTTCAAAAGACAAGTTTCAGCAAGGCCACCTTCATGAATTCTTCATTAATTGCAATAAATAAATAAAAACCATCTAAGCGGGGGACTCTCTTTTTCTTACGTTGTCCAACTGTGTAAGGTTCTCAGAGTGGTAACAATTCCCAACTGTACTCACACAGAAATGACCCAATCTGACCCTGTGCACTGGGATGAAGGTCAACGGTGCAATATCGTAATCATCTTATACACCCAGAGCCCAGTAGGAAAGCACTTTACTACGAACCACTATGTTGAATGAGGCCACTGTTATTTTACAAAAGAGACTGGGAAACATAATACATTTCAAGATGACTTTAGGATATGAACATACACTGAGGTGGAACACATTATTTCAATAAGAAATGGGTTACATCAGTAAATGTGATTAAATACATAAAATCCTATTACAACAACCTGACCAGCTGTTGACGTAGGTACTTTGAGAAATAGGGAAATATAGAAGATGATTCTTACCTTCAAGGAGTTTATAGTCTGGCCAGGTTAGAGCATAAAAAGAGAATTAACAAGCACATGAAAATAGGTACTGAAAGGTGAGATATGAATAGTCCAGACAGTGAGAGCTCTGGGAGTTCAGAAAAGTGAGAAACCACAGAAAACTGTCATCTAGATTCCTCAAGGAAAATATTTCTTCTCTGAAAAGCCACAGTTCCTGTTTTAAGAGTTATAAGAGGAAACTTTAAATGACCTAATTCAAACATGTTTTCTTTATTGTACAGATTTGCCGACTAAACAATATAATATTAAAACGCTTTAGGATCATCCAAACAATGATAAAAATGCACTTATTTCTTAATCTGTTTCTGCAGTTTACAGACACACTATACATTAATTATTACTGAACTGGCAGGAAGTACACACGACTCGAGAATAGCTGGCTTTCAGAGAGTGAGGGCGGTGAAATTATATTCTTTCCTCACCACTTTTCTATTGATCTTCTTACAGCAATTTCAGAAATGCTGCAAACAAATAATTTACATCTGATAAGAAAAGACAGGCCCAGAGAAGATAGGTGATCAAAAAATGAGAAAAATCTCTGGTTGGCCCATGTTCTATTATGAAGGGCACACTGTCCCAATTGCTGACTTTTTTTTTTTTTTTTTTTTTTTTTTGCCTTATCTGAAGGTTTAAAGCTAGTGTGGAAGGTAAGGAGGAGTTAAACTCTTCCTGTCTGTTTGCTGTCAACACTCATAATTTGCCAGCCATACTACTATTTCATTTCACTGTAGTGCATAGCAAATCGTGATCAAGCTCAGTAGAAACAGAAGCCATTCTTGGGTTGGGCTAATGATCTTCAAAGTGCAGAGGAGGGAGTCTCTTTTTCCTCCTCCTTTTCCCTTCCAGTCTATCTGCTGTCCCATTCATTTTGACTTACTTGGAATTGAAAAAGCAACATTTTTCAGTCTGCAATGAATAACCCCAGACAGTTGTGAAACTGCTAAAAGGATTCCATGTGGCCCTTTTAAGTATGAGCATGATTCTTCAGGTAGTTCATAATCAGTTAATGGTGCCCCAAATGATTTTTAGCTGTCATAAGCACCATGACTGTTTTCTGAAGAATTTAGAGATGTTTCTTCAGAAATGACAGCAGTTATTGCAAAACTTTTCTTTTCATCAACAGATGGTGGAATTTCTTTTTTTAACTTCCAATTACGAAAACATGTCTCGACTTGTCATTTTAGGCTATTGTAAGCATTTGACCTCCAGCATAAGGCACAAGGAGAAACAACCGTGTTTACCTGAGACTCGATTTATAAATTAGTATGTTGATTCAGGGTCTGGATTAGCCTTTTTCTGCTGTTTCTTTTTTTTTTTTTTAATTCAGCAATAGTGTGTAATTTAAAATGTCAGGAAATGGTAATAAAAGAGTGAAGGTTTTTTTCCTGCCTAGTAATTATGCTTGAGTATTAAAGTTATAATATACAAAATAAAAACTATGGTTATTTAGCATTTAAAAATTTTTTCTTCACACCATACTGTTGGTATAAAAGCCTCTTTTATACACGTTTCTCTGATTATCTATCCACATGTGCATTCTCTATATAAATTCAGCCCAAGTTAAACTCTCAAAAGAAATGCTCTTGTTATATCTTCATCTCAGTCTTTTTTGGCCATTCATCGGCTTGAGACTAAGGGGAAAGAAAAAAAGACTTTGAACTAGAGTAAAATGAACTAGCCTGTACTCTTGCAAATCTAATCTAAAATGAGTGTGTACATTGGACAAGCAGTCTTGTCTAAAAAAGGAAGTGTTTGCCTAAGTTAAATAAAGAATGACCATGTAGAAAATACGATTCAGACTTCTCGGGTTCCAGATCCAAGGAGGAGGGTCACTGTTACAAGGCCGAGCAGAAATGAAGACGCTGCCCAGGATGAACTCTCTTTAAAGACTCACAGGCTGGAGTCTCAAAGAACAAGCATTTTCATGGACACTAACTATCTCTGTGCCTATGGAGTATCTCAGCTTTCTGTTCAAAACGTCTATAGAATCCATGTCTGACAATCAAACATTATGCTTTGGAGAGGTTATTTTCTCTGAAGGTGCTGATTTTTTAAACTTTTTTTGTCTTACCCATTTTCTCTGGAAGGTTGAAAGAAGCACAAAGAAACAACATTCCGGCTACAAAATGAATAAAAAATAAGTGCAAAGACCAAACTGTTAAATTAACTTTAAACTTTACGATTCAAGGAAGAAATTTTAAATGTGTCAAGTTGTAGGCAGCATTTAAGGCCGTAAACTGGTTATTATCCTATAGCATTTATACGGCGCTCTAGGCTCCAGATGCTTCACAACCACTAATTACACACTTCTCTGGCTATCCCAATATGGGAGCACCGCGTCATTAACCACATTTTACAGGCAAAGAATCAGGACTTAAGTGATGGGCCTCAAGTTACAGACTAAACAGAAGGTAAAAAGAAGGAATCGGATACTTAGAGTCTCCAGTCCAAGCAGACATCTTGCTTAGGCTTATCTTAAAAATGGAAAAGAATTAAATATCGCTCCAGATATAAAATATTTTATCTCAACAGTGAGAAAACTAGAAGTTTCGGCACTCTCCAGAAGCAAAACCGAAGTCCCTGAAGCTGATCCACAGCAATGGCCCTCAATAGCAGACATCAGAGTCCCCTGTAGGGATTAGCAAAACACAAACTCCTGAGCCTTATCTCCAACTTTTCTGGTTCAAACAGTCTGGGATGGGGCCTGAGAATTTGCATGTTTAAAAAGTTCCCAAGGGATGCTTATGTCAGTGGTCTGGGGAGCTCACTTCTGTGAAACCGACCTTCTACTTCACCTCAAAGCCCTTTATCATACACCTCAGGATCATCCCTCTCTCCAGCATTATCTCCACACTGGTGCTTCCCTTCCTGTTGGCTTTGCTTTCCAGCTTCCTCATCCCTGACTTAAGTCAGATGTCCTATAGGCAGAAATGAGGCCATGTAGCAAGGTGATTAATAGCCTTGGTTCTCAGATATATCAGGTTGCCTCCATTCATCTGAAGTTTAAGTACTTCCATTGCTATACTTGTAAAATGGGATAGAATAACATCTATCCTATAGGATTAATTTAAGGGTTAATTGAGGTAACCCATTAAAGCACTGGATACCTAGCATGGAATAAGAGCTCATTCATAATTATTATTATCAGTACATATTCATCCAACAAGCATTTGTGGAACACCTACTATACTCTATGAAGGATCGTGGAGGTAGAATGACAAGTCTGATCCCTGCTCTCAAGGAGCTCAATATCTAATTTTTGAGCTAGATGGGGTCCTCAGAGTCATCTATGATATTACACTACATGGACACTACAAAGACAAGCCCATTAGTAGGAAAAGACAAAACAAACCAAATAAGACAAAGCAACAACAAAAACCTTTCTTCAAATGAAAGCTTAGGCAGAAGACCAATAGGTAAGTATGGAGCTGCTCTGGTGAACAGGGACAAGGGAGGACAGGATGTCTCTCCACATGTCCATCCTGCCTCTACCCAGGCTTCCATGGAATGCAGCTCTTTAGAAAATCAAAGAATTGGCCAGGCGCAGTGGCTGACACCTGTAATCCCAACACTTTGGGAAGCCAAGGCAGGCGGATCACAAGGTCAGGAGATCAAGACCAGCCTGGCCCACATGGTGAAATCCCGTCTCTACTAAAAATACAAAAATTAGCTGGGCATGGTGGCACTCACCTGTAGTCCCAGCTACTCGGGAGGCTGAGGCAGGAGAATCGCTTTAACCCAGGAAGCGGAGGTTGCTGTGATTCGAGATTGCGCCACTGCACTCCAGCCTGGCGACAGAGTGAGACTCCGTCTCAAAAAAAAACAACAACAAAACAAACAAACAAACAAACAAACAAACAATAATTTCTCTAAAATCGACGAAGACCCAAAGAGGTGACGTGACTTGCATATAGGACACACAGCCAACTATAGTGGTAAAGACGGGATAAGATTAGGAGAAAGTATCTTAGAATCACATGCTGGGAATGACCTTACAGATGATTTAAAGTTGATCCAATGTTCTCATGTTATAGAGAAGGACACAGAGGTCTCAGAGTCTATTTAGAAGCAGATCATGAAAATATGGTCCAGTTTTCCTAACTCCTAATTCAAGTTTTTTTCAGCTACATCTCTTACTTCAGTTCCTGCAAACATACTCCAAGATGGAGCATTTCCCCTAAAGAAAATGGGCGGCTCTTCACCATTCAGTGGTGCCAGGTACAGTGTCCTGGGAAGGAAACATTTTTCAGACCAGCCGTAAGTGAGCAATTCAGGGTGTTTTCCTTTAAAAGCCACACCCACTCCTGCAACTGCATAGGCTGAGTTAGCAGCTTTGCAAAGATATTAGCACCTCACTGGTTGTATTATGTTTCAAAGTATAACCCTTCTCAGAGGTACTCCCATTTTAATAAGATTCACTTAAAGACTGAAAGTAACATTTGAAAGAACTTTGTGAGGCTCAGAACCAGGAGAACATCAAAGAAGGCCTGAGACAATTGGCTGCCTTTCATAGTATGGTGCTGATGGAGGTCAAAAAGAGCGCTCAATTCCTTTTCCAGCTGCCATTGGCTTTCCTACTAAGGAGGAGTGCCTTTGGATTGCCAAGGACAAAACAAAGAAAGCAGACCCCAAGGCGTGATGAATGGGTAGGACGAAAACATCTACTGCTCCAAATGAATTCAAATCTCACATCTGGGCAAACTGTGTCATGGGCTTAGAGGAAAATCAAATGACATGGCCAACCCGCTGGGAGAGTCTGTTGAGGAAGACATGATCCATCAGAGCGGGACAGAATCAAGGAATTAGGCAAATGCCTACAATTTTTAAAAGGGAGAAAGGGAGAATTCTCAAAGGTACAGGTGGCTCAGCTAGAAATTGATCCCAGAAATAATAATGGATAGACTGTAAAGGGAGTCAAAAATGGTGGTGCCCTAGGAGCCAACCCAATCCACAAACCTGAGAGACCAGAGAAAATGAAGCAGACAAGGGGGACTTCAGCAAAGCATTTTAGACACAGAGACAGGTAGCTCAATAACTTGATGATTGACAATTATAGAGTTACAAAGGGCATGCATTAGTTGATAGGAAAGTATTTCTTGTTCTTATCCCAGGGAATATTTAATCAAAAGCAGGGAGCATTCTTATCAAAACTATCCATGTACAGTGGATCAAATTAAACTTCCCTATATTTACAAGAAATAAACCCTTTACTCTTTCTAGAATAAATGCCCAGAAGCTTGGATTACCACCTGCAGGGGGTGGTTAATATATTAGACAGCAAAATGTGGATTTAAAAAGACCTGAATAGCTTGGCACCAAATTCAATAAAATTTTCAGTTGAGAGATAGATGTAACTTTCTGTCAAAAATTAAAAAAAAAAAAAAAGTCACAGCTGATGTTAGAAGACACGATCTAGCAGGGGTACATATGGTACAGATGCAGAGATTGTCAACAGTGTCACTCTAACAGTAATGAAATGGCTTTGCAAAAATTCTATCAGTGAGAAAAATTGTAACAGCTGAACTAACCCAACCCCTATCTTGCCTTTCCCTAAATTATTCCTGGGCTTTTGGGCCAAGCGGACTTTGAGAGACATTTAGGCTATGGTTTAAATGATAAAAGGTCTCCCTCAAAATTCAATCACTTTTATAAAGCTAATGGGAGGCCATCAGGCTGTGTGGAGAAGAGATGCATGCGTGCTGCTAAGGTGCAGGTGTAAACGATTATCAGCCATGATTCCAGAAGTTGTAAGATACGCAACTTCAACTACTCCTGCAAATAGCATCACTATTGTAGAACCTAAGATGGGCCTTTTGAGATATCTTTTCAAGTGTTTTGAATGTCTTGACACTTACGGCTCCAATGGACCCACCAACCCCACTCCTGTGCCCGCCCCCCACCTCCCAAAAGTGATTCAACCCACAGGAGGACAGCTTCAACCCCCTATAACTTTTTTTTTCTTTTTTTTGGTTTTGTTTTGTTTTTTTGAGACGGGGTCTCGCTCTGTCGCCCAGGCTGGAGTGCAGTGGCACAATCTCTGCTCACTGCAAGCTCCGCCTCCCGGGTTCACGCCATTCTCCTGCCTCAGCCTCCCCAGTAGCTGGGACCACAGGTGCCTGCCACCACGCCCGGCTATTTTTTCTGTATCTGTATTTTTAGTAGAAACGGGGTTTCACCATGTTAGCCAGGATGGTCTTGATCTCCTGACCTCGTGATCCGCCCGCCTCGGCCTCCCAAAGTGCTGGAATTACAGGTGTGAGCCACCGCGCCCAGCCTCAACCCCCTATAATTTAATCTCTGCCCCAACCAATCAGCAGCAAGCCCAGCCACCCCACCCTTCCCCCTAAACTGCCTTTGAAAAACCCCTAACTCAGGAAGTTTGATGAGATGATTTAAGTATGAACTCCATCTCCCACGTGGCGAGGCGGCCTCATGTCTATTAAGCACTTTATTTACTACAATGCTGTGGTCTTTCTTTATGTAGCAGGCAGGAAGAATCCCTCAGGCTGTTCCAGTAAAGTATGACAAAGCTACCAAAAACTCTGTAATCTTAGGCTGTGGTAGCAGAATAATGAGGGGGCCATCTGCTTTGGTCAGACTACCTGGAGTGTAGTTCTGGGATTGGAATACGTCTGGAGGAGAGGATTCAAAACCTCATCATGTAAGACACAACTGAAGAAAGTTGAGTGAGCAATGTCTCTGAGTGAGCAGGGTATCCATCTTCAAACATCTGAAAGGTCAGATGTTGATGTGCTCTGCGAAGTCCAAGGCTGCAGAGAAAGAGAACCAGTGCCAATACAAGCAAGCACTTTCTTTTTTTGTTGGGGGGGAACGGGGGGGACGGATTCTCACTCTCTGGCCAGGCTGGAGTGCAGTGGCACGATCTTGGCTCAACTGCGACCTCTGCCTCCCAGTTTCAAGCATTTCTCCTGCCTCAGCCTCCCAAGTAGCTGAGACTACAGGTGCATGCCATCACACCCAGCTAATTTTTGTATTTTTAGTAGAGATGGAGTTTCAACATGTTGGCCAGGATGGTCTCGATCTCTTGACCTCGTGATCCTTGGCCTCCCGAAGTGCTGGGATTATAGGCATGAGCCACCGCACCCAGCCACAAGGAAGCACACTAGTGGTCTCCAAAAGTTGCTTCAGGAGGTAGGTCGTTCCCCATTACAAGAAGCTGTTAGGCATGGCTACACAGTGCTTCCCAAATCGAGGCATGTCTATCCTCTAACTCTAGGCCGTCCCTGACTAGGAATAGTGTTGACCTGACTATATTTGCAGTAAATAATTCCTTTGTGGAGTAAAGACCTAGGACTTCATATGACCAGCTGAAAGAGCTACTTCTATGAGCCACAGAACCGTATTGAAATCCTAATAAAGTCAGTGTAATGATATGTTGACATTATAGAGAGCTTTCATCTATGGAGCTCAGGGCATTTTCACACCAATTATTGCTTTTTATCTTCACAATACTCCTACTAGGTGAGGAGGAGGAGGAGTAGGAAGAGGAGGAGGAGAAAGAGAAGTTTTATTTTGCCCATTTTGTAGCTGGAGAAGCTTGGGGAGATTTGGCAAAGGCTGTTCCATCATCACAGGGGTGTGGGGTTTAGAATTTGTAACCTGGTTCTTTACCAATCTCTATTGTCATGGGTTAAAGCCACATCCCACCTTTCTGCAGGACACTGCCCCTGCTACAAAGCATTTGAAAGCAACCATAATCAAGGACTGAGCCCACACATTTCGTTCCAGGGAAGGCAGAGACCTGCTGGTGGAGACAAACAGAGCCTTTAGGAAACGATGTGAG
The DNA here is from genome assembly GCF_000001405.40 of Homo sapiens. NCBI lineage: Eukaryota > Metazoa > Chordata > Mammalia > Primates > Hominidae > Homo > Homo sapiens. The sequence continues at coordinate 29,322,186 of NC_000007.14, read as the reverse complement.
AAAAGCCATTTGGCCCCTAGGAGTGGTGACTGACAAGCAAAGCCAGTTTGAATAGCCCTTTACCTCATATTACTTCATTTTCCTCAATTATCTGAGGGGTTGATAATTCTCTGGGATGGGAAGCAGATCCAAAATGGCTTTTAACAACACATGAAAATATCCAAGGGCTAAGAGCACTCTATTTTATGTTTCTATTATGGTATTTAACACAGTATGCCTTAAATTAGATTGGCAAATGTCTCTCTGACTAATCCATAAGATCTGCAAAGGAGGTGTTAAACCTTCCTTGTCTGTCAGAAGGTATAGAAAAGTGGGTTTGGCTGGGCGCGGTGGCTCACGCCTGTATCCCAGCACTTTGGGAGGCTGAGGCGGGCAGATCACATGAGGTCAGGAGGTCGAGACCAGCCTGACCAACATGGAGAAACCCCGTCTCTACTAAAAATATGAAATTAGCTTGGCATGGTGGTGCATGCCTGTAATCCCAGCTACTCCGGAGGCTGAGGCAGGAGAATTACTTGAACGCGGGAGGTGGAGGTTGTGGTGAGCCGAGATTGTGCCATTGCACTCCAGCCTGGGCAAGAAGAGCGAAATTCCATCTCAAAAAAAAAAAAAAAAAGAAAGAAAGAAAGAAAGAAAAGAAAAGACGGTTCAAGCACTGTCCCTGAAATTAGATTGCTGGAGTTCAAATCCCAGCTCTACTACTCATGAGCTGGGTGACCTTGGGCAAGTGGGTCACCTGCTCTGTGCCTGGCTTCCTCATCTATAAAACGAGGATCATAGAGGTATATCCTCCTTCAGAGGATGGCTGTGAGGAATAGATCAGCTTACCTATTAGTGCCCGGTCCCTGGCATGTGCGTTCCATGTGAGTCTCCATTTTCACTCTATAGACTGCTGAGCACAGCAAGCTCTTAGCATGGTGGCTGAAACAAATCTATTCTCTACTCACCTGCAATAAGATCTTGGGTTGTCTGCACAAGAGGGACAATATTAGAAAAGCATGTATAAATGAAATGCACAGATAACCCAGAATCTTAATTTCTGAAAAAATTTTCAACTATTTTCTGTAATGAAGCTTTGCAACCAGAACTGCTAACAATCTGTAAGCATCTTCCCTAGACCGTTTTGTAAAATAAATAGTGAGGTTTTAAAGCGATCTCATTCTCAAGGAAGTTTTAAAAGAAGCCACTTTAGAATGTCCCATGAGGGAGAAATTTACCAATTGCTCCTAGTATTGGACCTCATTTTAAGTGATTCAGATTCTGGTGCCTGAGAATAAATCGAGATGGGACCCATGTGGTCTCTATGCCTGCAGCAGATTCACCTTTGCAAACAGGATATGAGGTGAAAGGAAGAAAGAACATGTGAGAAGACTGGAAAGAATGGACCAGGTGGCCACCACCTGACAGAAAAAGATGTTCCCTCATCCTGGAAGGAGTGCCAGGACAAAGAGAAAGAAAGCATGCAAGGACAGAACCCCAGGGAAATAGGCATCTAGTGTGGGTGACGAGACAGTTTGATAACAAGATTTGGGAACAGTCATTAATATTACTACTATTCCAATTAGCATCTGGGATCCAACTAGCTGTTAGATGTGAGTGAGGAATGATGCCATATCCTAGAAATTGCTCTGTTGGTTTTGATGTTTCTTTCATATTTACTCGGGTTTCTCTCTTTCCATAAAGAGAATTTTTTATAATAAAGTTGCAGAAAATGTGTGATCACAAATCTGTGGGGAGGCCATCAAAAAGCCACCCTGGCAAACCTTTGCAAGGATGCCCTTGTTATTCAGACCTGCAGGGCTCTGTCAACCTGATTAGCACCCCCCTGCAGGGGGCGAGGGGGTGACAAATGGATATCTTCCCTTGAGACAGAGACTGCAAAAATTAGAAGCCACAGTTTGGTGGCTCTGGGACCCAATTCTCCTGTGTCTCAAGTTCATGTTGTCACTCGGCATGGTGGTTAAGAGCTCTGCTCTGGTCTGGCAGACGACATGTGGTTCTAATCTAGTTCTGCCACTTTCTGGTTTTGACCCTGGGGAAATGCTTTCACTTCTCTAAACCTCTGTTGCTTCCTCTTTAATAGAGAAATCTATTGGACACACTCCTCAGGGAGACTGGAAGGATTCAGTGAGCTGATGTAAGTGCTGAGCAGAGTTCCTCACTGAATATTGATGACCAGCAACCTACTCATCAATTCCCCACTTTACACATATTTTTCTCTAGTAAAGAGTCACGAAAATGCAGAAATAACCAAAAGCCAGGGCCAGTGAGGTCGGGGAGGGGAAGGGGCACAAAGGCACTGGTCACGACAACACTGGCTCGTTCACTGTGAAAAAGCTAGATGTGACGAAGGGCTTGGTGCCACTCGGTTCCAGAGTAAACAAATGCCCAGATGAGCCACGGCCCTGTAAGAAAATCCCAACACTGCAATATTGTGAACAGACAGCCTCAGGCACCCATGGGAGTGAAGAGAAATGCTGGAAATAAAGTAGCTTTGTGGAAATGGAGGCCAACTCGGGAGTGCTAATCTGACAGCGAAATCTCATGCTAACCTAGTGTTATCTTTTATCAAAAGAGCTCCTGGACCCTTTGACCTTATATCAAATATAAATCAACAATTTTGGCAGCTGCATTGTATCTGAACAGTGTCCACAGGATGTTAAATTAAAGGACATCTGGGAAAGCACCATGCACCATGCCTGGCTCCAGAGAATACAAAGCACACTTTGGTGCTAGTATAAAAATAAGGTGATAGTTGACTTTCTGCACCAATAATGAAGGTGCTGAGCTGATTTGCACCCACAACTTTTTTCTCCTCCTCCTCCCCTCAACATGTAGAAATCACTCAACCTCAACTCGCTTGGAGCCTAGTACTTAAAGCGATCTGTGTTATTTTTGTTAACAAAGACGTGCTGAGAACTGATGCTTGAATCTTTTTCTTTTTGTGATGATTCCATCAAAATGTTTCATGCAGGAAGACCTTTACAAAACTCCCAAGAAGTACATAAGAGTTTATGGTAGACAATGGCTTTTAAATGTGCAAATTTCACACACATAGTTGCATGTTTATGCACGAAACCATGTCCTACAGAAGCATCCCGTTTCTCCCTCAGTTCCCGTCTTAGCCTCTGCCCTGTGTCTGAGGGGAGGGGCTGCCTCCCAACTGGACAAAGAGTGGAGAACAAGTCAGCTTGCGGTGTGCACTACTCTGGGGCTTGTATTAAGGAAACTGGAGCTTCCAGGAGCTATAAGCACCTCTGCACAGCCCTGCCAGCCATAAGAGTCAAGCTAAACAAATTTACAAGGAAATTAAATTTTTCCTTTCTATTTCATGGGAAGATGAGATTCTTCTCTATTGTTAGGCCCAAACTATAATGTTCCTTGCAGCTTTCATTTAAAGGTAATAGCTATTTGTTACTGTGCAGAATCTGTTAATTTAGGTTTATAAATTAGATACAAGGTGGTTCACTGAACTAGTACAAGTTTCTTGGCTTAATCAATTTGCAAATGCCAAGGTAAAAAAAAAATCAAATAACTGCAGCAAAAGTTACCAGGAAAAAAATGACTGTGACTGGCTCAGGGAGCTACCTGAGGTGCAATAAGAGCCTGTGAAGAAGTGTCTCTTTTAGGGCTCTGACCTTGCCCTTGTCTCTTCTCACTCTACATCCTCCCAGGACAGGCTCAGCAGCCCCCTCAGGCCTGGATGAATTCCACATGGCTTCTCCATTCCAGACCTCTCTAGAACCCTCTGGGAAAGGAGTCGACAAACTTCCTGTAAAGGGCTGGAGAGAAAATATTTTAGGCTTTGTGGGCCACCTAGTCTCTGTCGCACCTATTCAACTCTGTCCTTATTGTGTGGAAGTAGCTAGAGACAATATGTAGGCCAATTAATTTGGCTGGGTTCCAATAAAACTTTATTTGCAAAAACAAGTGGAGGCCAGGAGTTGGTCTGTGCAGCCATAGTTTACTGATCCTTGCCCCAAGATCCAACTGCCTACTAGACATTTCCACCTGAAAAATTCCACAGCTGCCTCAAAACCCAACATTTCAAGGCTAGACATATTCTCTTTAACCCCTAGTCTTCTGTAAACACAGCAACACTCATGGACCCAGGGCTAACACTGGGGCATCATCTACATTCTCCACCCTGGCATCCTACAGTCAAGTACCACACATCTGTTTTTTGTTTGTTTTTGTTTTTTTGAGACAGGGTCTCGTTCTGCTGCCCAGGCTGGAGTGCAGTGGCACTATCTTGGCTTACTGCAACCTCTGCCGCCTGGGCTCAAGCCATCCTCCCTCCTCAGCCTCCGGCGTAACATGTACAAACACACCACCACACTGGGCTAATGTTTGTATGTTTTGTAGAGACAGGCCTCCTCCATGTTGTCCAGACTGGCCTCGAATTCCTGAGCTCAGGTGATCCACCTGCCTCAGCCTCATATCTCATATGTCCCACTTCAATTATATGTTCCCTGAGTGCAGGGACCATGTCTTACCTATGTTTCTAATGATCTCTCCCTCCTATTGTCTAGTTTAATGTCTGGCATACGAAAGAGGTGCTAAAAACGTTTGATGAATGAATGAATGAACTGTTTTAGCAACTCTGGGGCAGTGCTTCTGAAACTTCGATATGCATGTATATCACCTGGAGACTTTGCTAAATGCAGATTCTGATTCAGTAGGTCTGGGCAGGGCCTGAAATCCTGCATCTCTATTAAGTCCCCAGGATACTGAATGCTTTTGGTCCATGGACCACACTTTGCACATCGAGGATCTGGGAAATATCCTTCGGTCCCAAAGTGCCTAAACACAAAGAGATTCTTCCCCAATTCTGACGCATATGTTGATTTTTTTTCCACAGTCATCATTACTCGTACCAATTTAAAACTCCAGAGAAATTAATAAAATAGTTTATGGCATCAAGTGACTTTTAAATTTGCAGAGTTTACACATATTTCCATTTCTGTGCCTCGGACTATTTGCTGCTTCAATTACTTCCTCCTTCCCTATCTACTTCTATCCCTTGGTGCCCACTTAATTTAATTTAAACATAACTGTGCTCATTATCTGTGTAGCAGTCCTTCTACAGATGCTCTGCCAATGCAAGACTTCCTTACCAAGATGTGTTACTTATCATGATTGTGCAAAATGTCTTAAGCAAATTATTATTGTTCAGAAATTCAAAAGAACAATTTGTTTTCCCAGAACTCTAGTACAATGACTAAATCGAAACCTATTTTCAAGCTACCTACACCCCTTTTTGTAGCAATAAAACATTTTTTTTTATCAGCAGAGCAAATAATTGCATACAGAGTTCCAGGGACCACATGATTCCCCCGCTACCACACACCCTCCAAAAAAGGAGACTATACCAAGATTATCTGGACAGACTCCATACTCTAGAAAGCTTAGCTATTTCTTTGGCAAATTAGAAGTATAATCCCAACATTGTGGAAAAAAAAAAATCACACATCTTTGTATGAATTCAGTAAATGTTGATGTCACATTGGGGGCAGCAGCTCTAGCTACATTCAACTCTACCTGAAAACTGGCTTTTAGTATAAGCCATGGATCCATAACACATAGGCTAGTTTACAACAAGTAATTTCAGCATTTTTGGATAATTACATTCCCTCCGACAATTTCTAAGGAACCTGCATGATACTGAACTGTGTCAGAAAATAGGTGCTACAGTGAATATGTGATTCTAATCAGGCTTTTTTACCATGGAATTATAGTAAAATGCACTATAATCAACTCATATAAATTGCTCTGTGCCTATACTTATCTCTAATGAAGGGAAGCAAATTGCCTTACCTGAAATTATAAAAGAAAATGATTACAAAGGTATGGAAGTTTATAGGCATCTTATAAGACCTGATTTTATTATGCATTATATAGATGGCAAAAAATTCCTATTTATCCAGAATCTAAATGACCAGGAAGCTCAAATAAAATGTGTTTCATGGGAATTTGTTTTTATGTGCTGAACTGCAAGATCCTGAAGGGTCTTTAAGATCATCAAAGAAACATGAATGCTCACACAACTTTAGAGCTGTAAGAGGTGTGGAGTTCACATGGCCCAACCTGTCCATTTGACAGCTGCGTGCTGAGCCCAGGGGAGAGCATGGCTTGCCCAATGAATTTGTGACAAAGCGAGACCTAGATTTCAGTTTCCCTCATACCCCACAAATGGTCTTTGTGCTCTACTAGGTGAATGGTATTAAATACCACAGCCTTTTGTGTATTCTAATTCTTAGAAATTTCCTAATTTATGCATGGTCCACCCTTGCTAAAATTTCAGCATACACCATGATATCTTAGAGCTCCCTTCCCACTTAATCTTCTCTCTTAGCATTTTCACGATTTAAAAAAATCATCTGTATTCCCCATTAGCAGGCAAGATTCCTAAGGACAAATAACTTTTTTTCTTTTATTCACTGCTGAATCACCTAGAACGGTACCCAGCACAAAGTGAGAGGTTGAGAAATAGTTGTTGAATGAAAAAAAAATGAATCGTTTATGATAATCCTCAAATCCCATCACTGCATTATCAGAATACCCCATTTTTTATGTCATCTATTTGACACTTTTCCAGAACTTCTGATGTGCCAGGCATTTTACAAGGCTGAGGTGAACCACAGAGTAATAGGCTTATTTTATTCATTCAGGGAGCTTAATTTAAGGTGATCCTATTATTGTAACCTCCTAATGCAATGTCATCTCTTATCAGCTTAATTCTGCAGACTGTAGCTATGTATTACTCCCTGAAGGAATTATTTTCACCTTCAACCTGAAGTTAGGACTCATGATTCAGCAATCTGCTTTCTGGGATCATACAAGGGAAATTGCAATCTTTGTGCTTGCTTGCCAAAGCTGAGAAAGATGGAGCAGATCAAAATAAGCAGGATTTGCCAGGCAATTTTGACATATTCTTCCTCTCACATATAACCATCACAAAGTAATGCATTTCATAATGAGAAGATCCTTGCACTAGAAGCATACATAGTATCACATGTCTCATCTTCTTGTTTCTCAGGTAATCCACAAAACAGAAATAAATACATCGCTTTGTTTCCCAGAAATATGAAAAAAATAATAATTTCATAAGAATTCAGGATATTATACAATATTTTCATAATTGAATACTAAATTACAGTAAGGTTAACTCTTCTACATTGAGGATGCTGATATTTTACAGTGTAATTAGTTCTGAGGGATTTGGTGGCACTTGGAATTCTCTTGCCCACATAAACCCAAGATGTCGTTTTAATCAAGTGGCAGCTTGATTAAATATAACAATTATATATATATATAAAACAAATATATAATTAAACATAAATAAACAGCTTATAAGACGCTAGAAAAATAAACAGCAGTAAAGGCTCAATTATTCACCCTTCAGTGGAAATGCAAGTAATTTTTTAAAAACTGTTTCCATTTCACTTTGGATCCCTACCTATCCTCCTCAGTTCATCTTAAATGGTCATCTTGAATGCTCTGCCTCCCTGCTCAGTGAACTCTCACTTCTTGGAATTTTCAGTGAATTAATACCTTCTTTGAATATTTTTGTTGGTGGTGATGTTACTTTCTAATTCCTCTTCCAGGTTAAAATAGTTTTACACTTAATTTTATTTTTCATTGTGACAAAATGCACACATCAAATTTATCATCTTAACTTTGAAGTGTACAGTTCAGTAGCGTTAGGTACATTGACATGGTTGTGAGACCAATCTTTAGAACTCTCCTCATCCTGCAAAACTGCAACAAGGCCAATTAAACAACCAATCTCCATTCCTCCCTCACTCCAGCCTCTGAAAATCACCATTCCACTTCCTCTATTTGTGAATTTGACTACTCTAGGTACTTCATATAAGTGGAATCATATTGTTTGTTGTGACTGTCTTATTTTACTTAGCATAATGGCCTCAAGGTTCATCCATGTTGTGGCATGTATTAGAATATCCTTCCTTTTAAGGCTGAATAACATTCTATTGTATGTAGAATCCATATTTTGTTTGTTCAGTGGACACTGGAATTACTTCCACTTTTTGACTATTGTGAATAATGCTACTGTAGCATGGTGTACAAATATCTCTTGGAAATTTTGCCTTTAATTATTTTGGATAGGTACCCAGAAGTGGAATTTCTGCATCATATGGTCCCATGCTAATATCAACATTAGTGTATATACTGGCAAGCACTAAGGACGGGAGATTTAAAAAGAGGCCACCAGGAATACACTGGGCAGAATGGCTCTAACCAAATAGGAATGGCACTCCCTAGACAGAGGCTGAGAGCCTGTGACTCCAAGGAGCTCTTGCATCGTGTACAATTTCTAAAAACGATGAACGCTCGTAGTAAGTTATTTCCATAAACCACCTTAAGACCCCCATCTCTGCTGTAGAGGAGATAAAGGGTATGAACACGAAGAGCCAGAGGGGAGAAGAAGGAGAAAACAAGAATCAAGGTATCAATGAGTCTCTTAGAGGAATTTTCCCAAGTGGACCATTGTAGGAGTGAATGTTTTCGGGTTTAGGGAGCTTAATCTTTGCTTCCAGGGTTGGTCAAATACTGTATCTCTAAAGACAGCATTTCTCTAAATGAGATGCTTTCCTAGAGTGTGGCCCACCTTGGCAGGCAACAGAGAGCTCAGCAGAGGACTGTAGGGAGTGTGGGGCCTCGGGTAGGGCCAGGGCTGCTTCTGCATTTTTCTGAGAGTGAGCTGACACCTCTGGGAACTCAATCAGGAAGATCATCTGCCTCACCTGCTCTGTGAAGATGTTCTCATTACACCAGAGTTCCTCTATTTCAGGGGAATCCTCCCAGTTTGGGTTCATAGGGCCTTGACTATTTCTCCCCCAGTCCTCCTTAAAATGTGACCATTTGTTCCTGGGGAAAAACCTGAATGCAGGCATTAACCCAGGAATTCCACTTATCTCTGGAAGGCTGAGGAGGACTAGGGCTGAGGGAAAAGCTTGGTTTTGGCATTGGGCGGGTCATGGGTGACTTGTGAGCTGGTTCAGTGAGGCTGGAAATCTACGAAAGAATTAAAGAATTGAGTGGACTGACAGGGATAGAGGAATACTGACAATGTTTGGAAGAGAGTCCGATAAAAAAGAATACATGTAAAAGATAAAGTTCTGGAAATATGAGTTGTATGATTACCCAAGATTCAGGGAAACTACTGATAAATGCAGAGGCTTCCTATGGTCACACCATAGCCATCAGAATTCAATGTAGGGTCTAAGGAAAGAGTGCTTTGCATTCATGGAGACTGGAGTGTGGGGAGGCAAAAATGAAGAAATAGCATATTCTGGTGGTATATTTTAAGCTGGTATTTTGCAAGTATAATAGGTTATTTCTATTCCTGTAAGACTCCATTTGTTTTAAAAATAATGCCATTATTTGGGAATAGTCTGAGTTTCTTAATACATCAATTTCATCTTAATAAGTGACACCCTAGAAAAATGTATTCTTCAAGCAGGAGAAGCAAATTTTTTTCAGAGCTCCACTCTCTCTACGGCAGTAAGCAACATGTTGAAGAACATGTTCTTCTGCACGCTCATTATTATTTAGGTCACTTAGACTATTAATCCTTTTGAATCTCTGCTGTGTTACAATAAATCAGAAACCACATCGACATTGTGAGGTTGCTCTGACCTCTATAATAAAGTTAGCTTCTTTTCCCTTCTTCTGCCCCCAGACAAAATCTATGGCATGTGGTGACACACACTTTGGTCAGATTAATTCCTCTCCATTTTACCTACAGTTTGAAAGAGAAAATCACATTGTGCTTGATGAGTTTTGATCAACTGTTCAAAAAAACATATTTGGCAAGGTTCAGGGGAACGGAAATTAAGAAGCAAGGGAGGGAGAGAATGAGGTAGGAAGAAGCAGGAGGGATTGAGATGGTTTCTCAAGAGAACAGGTGGAGCAAAGCAGAAAAAAAGTGGAAAAGATAAGCAAGAAAGAAGAGCATGAAGAAATGAGAAATGTAATGCCATTTCAAAAAACTGTTTTCAAACCATTGAGAAGCAACAGGCAGTCATGATTCGACCACTGACAGCTCGCTTATATGTGACCAGTTACAGAGCTCTGATATGACAAATGAAGGATTTGTATTAATTTCCAGTACTGTAGTTGCCTCAAATCATACCCAAAATTTAAAAGAAGAGAACTAGAGAAGCATGGATACAGGAGTAAAAATGTCATCTAAATATTACCTCAATCATTTACCTAACTTGCCCTTGACATGTTCTTCTAGAATCTAAGTCACCCCCCTCCTCCATTATTGAGGGCAAGACTCTTGATCTGTTTTCTTGCTTATTTATTTCAGGTGGGTGCTTAAAACAATGCCTGACACATGGCAGATGCTGAGTAAATACTCGTTGCCTAAATAGCCATTCAATCAGTGTTTATTATGAGATTCCTACATGCCAGCCCCTGGGCTTGGCACCAAAAAAATACAGATAAATTTAACACATGATCCCCCCTCTACAATGTGGTAGGGGAAGAGAGACAAGTGAAAGACCTTAGAAATATGAGAAGCAGCAGCAGATATATATGCTCAGCATAGAGATGCTGGAGCCACACTGCCTGTGTTTGAACCTGAATCTTATTAGTCCCTATCTGTGATGTCTTTGCAAGTTGCTTAGCCTCTTTGTGCCTCAGTTTTCTCATCCGTGAAGTGGGGCTATGATCCTCACAGGGATACAGCCAGGATACGGGAGAAATATAAAGTACCTGGCACAAAGTAAGTGTCAGGAAGCGCAGTAGAGATTAAAAGGTTCTGTGAGAGGATTCAGAACAAAGAGTGAGGCATAAAGAAGGATCAGTTCTGGAGACAAAAGTGGGGACTGCCAGGAAAGACTCCAAGAGAACACGTGGCCCTTGAACCTCTTAAGATGGATCACATTTGCCAGGTTGTCGGTGACAGGAAGGACAATGGAACGGTGTAAGTGAAAGCCAGGAGGCAGGGAGTCCCATCAACAGGTGACAAAGGCAGGGGCAGGGAGAATATGATGGAGGGACTGGATACAAGAGATGCTAACAAGGCTGAATCTACAATGAATCTACAAGGCTCGGAGACTTATTAAGTGTGCAGTAGGAAGGGAAAACATCTGTACTGAGGACAGACAGAAAAGCAGGTTATGGGGCTTTTTAAATTGCACATTAATGACTTGTTTTGTTGTTTAAGAATTCTTTCAATAGTTTTCTTTTTAATAAACAAGTAATTATTTGGAGAATTTAGTCAATGTCATAAACTGAATGCTTGCATCCCCCTAAAATTCTTATGTTGAAATCCTAACCTCCAATGTGATGGTGTCAGAAGGAGGGGCTTTTGGGAGATGATTAGGTCATGAGGGTGGAGCCCCCAGAAATGGGATTAGTGCCATCTAGAAGAGACTCTGGAGAACCACCTTCCTCCTCCCACCATGTGAGGACACAGTGAGGACACAGGCCCTGTTTATGAATCAGGAAATGGGTTTTCACCAGACACCAAACCTGTAAGAAACAAATTTCTGTTGTTTATAAGCCACCCACTCTGTGATGTTTTTGTTATAGCAGCCCAAATGAACTAAGACAGTCATCTAATTTTTAAAATACCATTTTAGAATTTTATATCACCTTTCAAAACAAATATGTATTAAATACAGAAAATTTGGGAACTACCGTTGGGCACTAAGAATAAAACAACAATCACTCATAATCCCATTTACTGAACTAAGCATCCCGTTTCAATCTTTATATTTTCCATTGTTTATATTTGTATACATTTTAATTGCAAATACAGGATCATATGGTACCCACTGTTTTGCAGCTTGATTTTTAAAAATTAAACATGAATGTGATTATATTCATTCAATATTCTTCTACATGTTCAATTTTAATGGCTTCAAGTATTCCACTCTATGGATGTATCATAATTTATTTTTATCTCCTCCCTTATGTGAATGTATAAGTTGTTTCCAGTTTTTTTTCTATTACTGAACATTCCTGTTGATACATCTTTGTCCACATACTTGATTTTAGTGTTCATTTTAATGTATTTTATCCGTGTAACCATGTTGAAGTAAGGGAAAGTAAGTTAAATGTAGTTTATTGTACTCTTCACAAGAATTAATCCAGCCACAGCTTCTTGGTCCCCCCACCTAGGAAATGCCATGTGCCTGCCCCATGAGAGACAGAACAAGGTGGGAGAGGCCCATTTGAGGCAGGGAGTCCTGCCTGGCCAGTGCTTCCAGGGTACAGGCACTTGGGCCCCTTCAGCAGCATTCCCCAGACCCTAGACAACCTGGATCCATGTAACAGCCACAGCAGGGCCCATGAGCCCGCGAGGTCTCCACCCTCACCTGCAGGAGATGAGGCAGCAACCAGCCTGCGTGGCAAAGTGGCCCAGCACCTCCCTTGGAGCCCTACTCAGAAAATGGGAGGAGAAGCACATTTGGTGGCAAGGCCAGAACCTATTCCCATCAGCTCCTTGATCTTCGTGAATCAACAGAAGAAAACACAAACTCCCGAAGTTACGCAACTGGATTTGATTATGCATCATTTATTTCCTTGGGTTAGGCATTCCACTTCTCAGACTGCCACATGCCACTAGCTCATGCTAAGCCAGAAAGGACAATGACAATGGGAAAGAAAAGGAGAAGCAAAATTAGAAAACTCCTTCATCTGAGGTGGCATGCTCCCACCACCGGGGGCCACTGTGAATATATTAATAGGAACAGGTGGTAGGAGGAGAGGAGCCAAATGCTTTGTCCTCTATGAGTGGAGAAGGGAAGGGTGGGGGAAGAGTTAGGATGGTATCTGAAAGGGTCTACACTTTCTCAGAAATACAAGAGCAGAATTAATCAACCCAAATAAGGAGAGCACTGCTACTCTCAGGCTGCTCATCTGGAAGACTGGACTCAAATTCTACAACCCAAAGAGCGGTGACTTTCCAAACACTTTTTGAACCGTAGGCCAAAGTCCTTTATTTCTAAAAACAAAAACAAAAACAAAAAAAAAGCTTTTGGCTGCTTCTTGAAATTTATTCTTGTAAAAGACTATGACCTATTTATTCTGTCCTTGCTATAATAGTGGATACCCTCTAGACAAGGTCTATGCTTTCCATTCATTCACTTGTTGGGTCATTCATTCATCATCCATTCATCACATACTAATAAACTATTCTTGGTGGGTAATCTACTCTGTGCAAGATGTTGCATTGCCAGGTTTGTGCACATAGTAGTGAGCAAAACAGACATGTTCCTATCCTCACACCCTTCTGGTCTTGGAGAGGAACACAATTAACAAAGAAGCCAAAAAATTATTGAGTATAAAGTGCAATGGAGGAACTAAATAAGGTGTTTTCATAGAGGCTAATGAGACAGATCTGCTTAGCACGGTTATAAGAGGCATCTCTGAGGAAGGGCAGAACAGGGCTATTATCCACCCAACTACTGAATTTTCCTCCTGGGCACACAGGAAGACTACATGCCCAGCCCTTCACATCCAGGTGAGGCCATATGGAATGTGGCCCAGGTGATGTTCATTCCAGGCCCAGCCCACACAATCCTCCACGCATTCCTTGCTCCTCAGCAGGTGACTGCAGAGATCCTGCTAAGGATTCCGAGAAGGCACCGGGGGAAAGAGAGGTCACAAGCTGGAATGGTTGGTGGCTGTGTGGAACAAAGCAGAATCCCAATTCCTATCCCAACACACACACACACACACACCCCAACCACCTTGCACTGTGACGTGAGGGACACGTGCTTTATTGTTTTAAACCACTAGGATATTGGGTTGTAAGTGATAGCACTTAGACTCTTCTGACTAACAGAGGAGGAAGGGTTAAGCTAAGGCCTAAAAGATGGGAAGAAGCCGGTTCTTGGAAGATCTGGAATAAGGGTATTCAAGGCAGAGGAAACAGCATGAGCCAAGGGCCCACGGCAGGAAGTCTGAGGAATGGAAAGACAGCTGGAGGAGTGGGAGCTGAGAGAGTGCAGCGTAACATAAGGTAAGGCTGGAAAGACAGGAAGGAGAGAAAAAGCAGGAGCTTGTAGACAACAATTAGAGTTTGGATTTATTCTACATTCTCCATACTTTTCCAACTCCTTTGACACAGTTATTTGTATGCCGAGATACCCAGTAGACACTATTAGCTGATTTATTTAAAATGACCAAAAATCCAGAAAGATGCAGTGCTAAATGCATTAGTTTTCTACTGCTGCTTTAATAGATTAGCACAAACTCAGTGGCTTAAAAAAACAAGAATTTAATATCTTGAATTATGGAAGTCAAAAATTCAAAATAGGTCTCATTAGGCTCAAATCAAGGTGTTTTCTGGGCTGGGTTCTTTCTGAGCAACATCACCTGGGCCACATTCCACATGGCCCCAATTGGATGTGAAGGGCTGGGCATGCAGACTTCCTGTGTGCCCAGGAGGCAAATTCAACAGCTGGGTGGAGACGCTAAGGAAGAATCTATTTTGTCCACCTTCCTTGACTCCTGGTCCCTTCCTCTCTTTTTCAAAACCCAGCAGCAGAGCATCCTTCAATGACTCTCTGACTCTCACACTCTACTTTGCCTTAAATGGGCTCTTGTGATTACACTTGGCCCACTCGGATAATCCAGGGTAATTTGCCCATCTCAATCAAGGTCACCTGGTTAGCAATCTTACTTCATCTGAAATCTTAATTCCCACTTGACATGTAACAACATATTCACAGGGTCCAGACATTAGAACAGAGACATGTTTGCAGGGACCATTATTCGGTTCACCACAGTAGGAATACCATTACTTGTAAATTGATGTTGACTAATCATACTCACCAACCTTGTAACTCATAGACTCCTTTTATTCTTTCCCTTCAAACTGGATGATTTGAAAGATCTGATCTCCAAAACAAACTGAACTTATTATGTAGTTACTGATAGATAATTATTCCATTAGCTTTTTTATTAGGCTTTTAAAAATGTATAAAAGAGGCTGCAGACCCCTCAAAACATCTGAAGTGATTGTAAGTTGGGAACCATTAGATTTACAGACAACTGAGCTTCTCAAATCTCAGTTCCCTTGGTCTGGTTAAATGATTTAGCTGAAGGCGAATCAGCGAACACTGATAGGATATATCCAGGCACATCTCTTTCCTGCTGTCCCCAAAATGAGAGATTACGGATGTCCTCTTGAAAATGTCACCATAAGAAAATCATACTCTTAAGAGGAAGGAGGCTTGGACGTTACTAGTCACATCTTTAACGCTGAGAGCTAATTATTCCACATGCTTCACACCACTGGATGGAAACACTCATTATTGTGTTAGAGGACAGGAATCTGGCAATTCTGCAGAATGCAAATCACCCAAAGCCATTCCACTCAAGCTGGCCTGATTAAGTTTGCTGTCAGCCCTCAAGGATGCTAACAAAGCTACTGGGACAGGAGGGAGTTCACGGCAATTCTTACATACTGATTACACTGGATTAAGTGATTTGCTACATTTAAATAATAAACAATACACTTGAAAAATCACCTTGAACACAAGATTCCCTGGACATTTGTTCCTGGGGATGAATGTGTCACAGGGCAAGGATATAACAGTTCATTCAGCATGTGCTCTATCGCCTTGGGCTTTAACACCCAGGGTCCCCCTTTCCTGCCACAGCCCCTCCTCTCAGTTTATACTCATCTTCTGACCAATCAGCACTCTCTTAAGTGACACCTCACAAAGGAATTTTGCCTTCCCATCACATCTCTTCTACATTTGCTGCTTTGTGAATCCTCTATTATTTATTAAACAAGCAACTCAATCAGTGCGTTCCTCCTTTCTTTTGCATGATGCCAGTACCTCCATTTTCAGAGATACCAATAATTAACTTCCTAGCAAATGCTTACCTTGACTGCAGTTTTTAATCTTCAGATATCCTCCCAGGAAACTGATAAGGCAATAGAATGCTTTCAAGTCTGCTTCTTAAGACACCACCAGTTTAGGGACCAAAGATTTATTGACTTACACAGTGCGCTATTGAGTAAATCAATGAATAATCACATACCAGCTTCCATAACAAATCCTAAATAGGCCCTAACTTATGACGGGACAGAAAGTAAAATTATGGTATTGGGAACATCCTGAGATACTTGTCTGACAACGATTGTGCATTTGGCCCACAATCTTCACTGCTTCTCCTTTAGCTATACCATTCCAGCAGAGCTAGAAGTGAGCATTCTAGATATGAAACACAGAAATCTAATATAGTAATAAAGATTCAAGTAAGCATGTGTCTAAGTTTGGATGGGGAAAAGGAGAGGGAAAGAGGAAGGGGTTGGAGGGGTAGAAAGAGGGGAGAAAGAGAGAAAGGAAAAGGAGGAGGAGGAGGAGGAGAAAGACGAGGAGGAAGGAACGGGAGGATGGAGGGGAGGAGAAGGGAGGAGAGGGAAGAAAGATTTACATATGAAATAGATGCACATTCTTTTTCAGAAGAGTAAAATTTGGGCCCAAAGAGTTAGCTTCTGGGCAGCCAGTGTGGCTTTCTACACAAGTAAACTTTATCAGGCTTTTCATTCTGCGCAATGCCAATCAAATAGCTAACTCTACAATTGCTTTGATTACTAGTCTCTAAAAATTATC
The DNA here is from genome assembly GCF_000001405.40 of Homo sapiens. Lineage (NCBI taxonomy): Eukaryota > Metazoa > Chordata > Mammalia > Primates > Hominidae > Homo > Homo sapiens. Next base: position 29,305,573 of record NC_000007.14, on the reverse strand, counting down.
CAGCTATTGACCCAACTTTCCATTTTATCATGCTTAAGAATTAACAAATGCAAATTTTCTTCCAAATCACAAGCTTTGTAATAAATAACGATAAGTATCAAAACTAAAAAAAAAAACTGATCTTTATCATAGAAGAGACTATCCCTGTTAGAATGTTGGGTGCTGAATATTTTATGATTTAGAGCATGTAGAATATGGACAGCAGGTAAAGGGATGTTTTCTCCATGCCATTTCTTTTATTCATACGTAATGGGGTTGCCTGACATAGTAAGAGCTTTAAAAAAACATTGTTGGATAAGGATCTTTTATACCTCTTTGAAACCTTATAAACACTCTTCTTTCTCTGGAATGATTCATGGGGTCCTCAGAAAAACACCCCTTTCCCCGGCAACAATCACTGGGAATTTCCTGGCCTGCCTGTCGTATCCTCTGTGCAGGCAAACGCTGGCTGTTTAGAGCTCCTTCCTTGGCCACTGGAAATCTGGAGGCTCACCCTCCCTTCAGTGTCCCTTTCCCCTCCAAGTAGCTCTCCAGGACAGGATCTAAGTTGAACCCATGCCAACTGACCTTGGGGCCTGGCTCACATCTGGTTCACGGGAAACAGACGTATCCTCCGCCCTGACAATTTCTAGATACTCAGTCATCCCCTAAGGCCACAATCTCAGAGCAACCTGCCCTTTAGATTTTTCAGAGTGAGTCAGGTCCCAGTCTATTGTGTCCTTCAAAATGCAGACGACACTTATTTAAACCATTCAAGAGGTCCAGCTGAAGCCTCTCTCTCTGGGCCTGGGGCAAGAGGCTGGCCTCCCCCTATATCTTCCTTTCTGGAGAGGGCGAGATTTAGAACATAGCACACAGTTTGCTCCAATATTCTACATGGGCGAGGGCTTAAGAGTCACAAAACCAGTTCGTGTGCAAATCTTTGTACTCCTGAAAGGGGGTCTTGGACCAAATTCTTAAATGGCACATTTAATGTATTGGGTACCCAGGCAAAACCTGGATTAAAATAGTTCCATTTAACATAGTGTTATATAAGAATACTCCATTTTATCCTAAAATATGAAATGCTAGAGTTCCAAAGCAGATTCATTAGGACAGTTATGGTTCACTTGATTACATTTTACATTGTTTCATGGTGTTTAGTTATGAGGTATCATCTCTCTCTACAATTACAATTTGGCTAAGCCTCTCTGAATATGTTTATTTGCTCCTTCAGTCATTTTTGGTTTCTTAACTCTCAGCTACGTCTCGCACCATATAAATCTCCTGGGGATGCCAAGGATTAGGCTTCAGCAATCTGCAAATTGGGTTGGCTCTGTTCTGCCTCTAATTTATGTCCTCTACACTTCTTGTACTTCTACTAAACCGTGGGGTTGAAACATTCGAATTAGGATATTTTTAAGTACTAACTCCAGTGGCTTTTTGTGTGTTTTTCATTTTGTCCCTCTACCCAGTGACCCTGACCTATTCAATCAGCCAAAGACACTGCTTTTGCTACTTTTTTTTTTTTTCTTGAGATGATGTCTCACTCTGTCACCCAGGCTGGAGTGCAGTGGCACGATCTCGGCTCACTGCAATCTCCGCCTCCTGGGTTCAAGCCATTCTCGTGCCTCAGCCTCTCGAGTAGCTGAGATTACAGGCGCATGCCACCACACCTGGCTAATGTTTGCATTTTTAGTAGAGATGGGGTTTCACCACGTTGGCCAGGCTGGCCTCAAACTCCTGACCTCAGGTGATCTGCCAGCCTCAGCCTTCCAAAGTGCTGGGATTACAAGCGTGAGCCACCATGCCCGGCCTGCTTTCATGACTTCAGAAAGAAGGAAAGAAACACAAAGCAGAAAACTAAGAAATGGATTATCTTCTGCTTCGAAGTCTTGAGCCCTGGCATGATTTGGAAGGATAGGTGTTAAGTGATCCAAGGCTCTGAAGAAAGTCCTATAGGCTGGGGGAAGCTAGTGAATGGATGGAGGTGGTGGAAGGGTATTAGACACCGGGGAGTCCCTACGGAAGGGCCCTAAACTCCACCCACCTCCAGGCAGATCCTGAGAGGAGTGAATAATAACCTCCCAGGTGGAACTGGGAAATAAGAGGGAAGGGGGCATGGCACTTGCCTGTGCTGGTAGAGGCGGGGAGGACAGGGAGGTGTCAGGGTGGATACGTCTGCTTGGTGTGCCTGCGCCAATGACTGAGACAACCCAGGTGGGTCCTAGTGCCCCAGCACATCACAAGAACAGGTGAATGATTCCCGCAGGCCCCAAAGGCGGCGCATCAATGGGAATAAGGCTTATGCAGCCTGCCAAGTTTCCTTCTGGAAAGAAGGATGATCCATATGCATCAAGCGTATCATGAAAATAACTTAGAGAGAGCCAGACTTTAAGCTGTCTTGCTGTGGGGAACGTGGGCCAGCACGGCAATGACTAGGGGGATGAATGACTGGGGACAGGGAAACAGACGCCAGCATCAACGCACAATGGCAAGGCATAGACAGCCTGTTGCCCCTGATGTGAGGTACTGAGTCAGACCCCTGGAACCTAGATGGACCTGGAAGATGGGCGGGACCGGGATCTGTCACTCTAAGCTGAATACTATTTAATCACATGTGTATACGTGTGTATAATGGAACAGTACTTAGCTTGAAAGAGGAATGAAATTCTGACTTGTGCTACAACATGCTAAACTCTGAAGACATATGCCAAATGAAATAAGCCAAGCAAGAAAAGCATATGATTCTACTTATATGAGGTATGTGGAGTAGTCAGTTCAAATACAGAAAGTAGAATGGTGGCTGCCAGGTTCTGGAGAGGGGAGGAGAATAGAGAGTTATTGTTTAATCGGTACAGAGTTTCAGTTTGGGAAGATGAAAAGGCTCTGGAGCTGGATGGTGGTGATGGCCACATAACACTGTGAATGGACATCAAACTGTACACTTAAAAATGGTTAAAATGGGGCTAGACACAGTGGCTTACATCTGTAATCCCAGCACTTTCAGAGGATCGCTTGAGCCCAAGAGTTTGAGACCAGCCTGGGTAATATAGTGAGACCCTATCTCTTAAAAAAAAAAAAAAAAAAAAAAGAATTAAAATTTAGCTGGGTGTGATGGCACATGCCTGTACTCCTAGCTACTCAGGAGGCTGATGTGGGAGGATCGCTTGAGCTCAGGAGTTTGCAGCTGCAGTAAACTGAAATCACTGCACTCCAGGCTGGGCAACACAGTGAGACTCTGGAAGAAGAAAGAAGAAATACGAAGAAAGAAGGAAGGAAGGAGAAGAAGGAAGAAGAGGAGGAAGAAGAAGAGGAGGAAGAAGAGGGAGAAGCAGCAGCAGAAGAAGCAGAAGTAGCTGCAGCAGCAGCGGTGGCGGCAGCTAAAATGATAACATTTATGTTATGTATATTTGACCACAATTTTTAAAATCACGCTCGCTAAACTGTAGCTCTAGAGATCACTCTGTTAGAGAGAGACAGCCACGGGTCAATGCAAAAGGCTGAGGGTCCTTATCCTTGGAATTCTCCAGCCTGTGACATTAGGTCCTGCCTTAGGGCTCCTCTGGCTTTGCCCATGTTCCTCAAGGGGAAGTGCATCTCACAAATTTCAGTGCCACAGGTAGACAGGATGGTGTTTTGCCTCCTATCCCCAAAGTGGCCAGCTTCAGTCTAGCTAGGGCTGCAGATGGCTTCGATGAAGATAGTGGAAATATATGTTTAAGTCGGGATTTCTGTAAATTTTTTTCCTAGACCAAAAAACTCAAACATGGACCTATTTGAAGAGAAAGGGGGAGGAAATCTACCACCATGATAACAAGCACTTCCTTCTGTACAATGTGTTAAAACTCAAAGAGTGCTCTCATTTTAGTGCAATTTTTTAAGATTACGTAGGGTGAGTAGTATAATTCATATGCCATAGATGAGATGAGATGAGGCAGAGAGATGTTAAGAAACTTGCTAAGGTCGCCCAGCCAAGCAAGAGCATGAACAAAGACTTCAGCCCAAGTGCCTGGAGTCCAGATCTCCAACTCTCTACAATGTAGCAGGTTCTCCCTTCAGAAAAGGATAAGAGGCATCCTGAGTGGGCTTGGATCATCCAGCGTTCAGGACACAACAGAAAGGCCAGGAGCATCTGGGATCCTCTTTTAGGGCAAAGCAGTCTACCTGGTGCTGCACTTAGATTCCAGATGAATCCAAAAAACTGTGTGTGTGTGTGTGTGTGTGTGTGTGTGTGTGTGTGTGTGTGTGTACCTGTTTGAGGCCCTGCTTTCAAATACTTTGGGTGGCAAAGAGTAATTTTTAAAAGCATTCTATAGAAGAAAGTAGGAACTGCTAGAAAAACATAAAATAATTAAATTTACCTCATTTAAGGATGCATGAGGGAAGCTATTGTTAGGGTTTCCTGAGCTGACATTATAAAAGCTTTTCTTATCACAAGCTTTTTAAGAAAAAATGACAAAGGACTTTCTGGACTCTGTGTTTATTAGGGGACTATACAAATGACAGTATTCAAAACAATTGACAAATTTTAAACTTGTCATTTATATGTTTAATAAAACATTACAGCTTTAATTCTCAAAATTAACTAAAAGAAAATGGAAAGATACTCATTCAATTTCTGAGAATTTTCATCTTATGGTTATTTCATACATATAAGAATAAACACATTTAAAAAATATTGCACATGGTAACATGTAGCTCTAAGGAATATCATGTTTTACGAGATAAGCTCATTCCTTTCCTGTGTTTCATCAAATGCCTACAAATAAATCACATTTTAAATGGGGGTGAAGACTAGGCATACTTGCTGCTTAAAGAATTCCTGAAAAAAGGGGCTTTTGGAAAATATTTCTTTTGTTATTCAAATAATCACCTGCTAATTTATCTGCTTCATTAATTCAGAATTTCATGTTTTGGTGTTTTTTGAAACAAGGAAACTTTTCAAGTCTGAACACTGAATCACTACTTTTTTTTAGCTTTACAAATTTGACCCACCATATCATTTTGTTGACTCCAAGTATTACGCTGCATCTCTGGCTATTTTGAGCACAATTAGAAGTAGAAAATAGCATCACTCAAAATTGGGAAGAAATATAAAAGGGCAATGTTTTCCCAAGATTGTCCATTCAGAAGCCAGTGTCAAAGGCCCAGGAAGGCATTCCTGCCCTAATGAACTACCTGACCCTTGCCCCACCCTCCTCTCCCTAGCTCACTTTTGTTTCTCATATGTCACTAATGGCCAAGTCCTGTCTCTTCTTTCAGGGTCTTTCTTGCCTCACCCTCACCTCCTATTTTTTCTGAAATGCCCTGAAGGCTTCAACACCTCATTTGGTCTATTGCATCTGGTTCCCTCATCCTACACTCTGCTTACCATTGCTTCTGCTAGAAATTCCACATTCCTTAGCTTGACATGTAAGACGTTCCATAATCTGGCAGCTCCTGCTAGCTGGCTTCCTGCCTCACAGATTGAATCCCAGGTTCCACCCCGGAACAGAAGAGGCCAGGCTCCTCCCCACTGCAAAGGGAAAAACATCCCACGGCTCCAGTCCGTGCTCCCATCTTTCTTCCCAGTCTAATTTGCACTCAGTACTCTGGGCCCCTCTGGGTTCCTGCCTCCAGTTTTTTACTCTATGTTATTTTCTCTGTTTGGAATCCCATTTCCCCATGCCCATGGCCCATCCCCAAGTTGCTTCATCCTCCAGGTCTTCCCTGATTCTCCTTCTCGGGAACTTATGCTTTTATCTGCACTCTCATGGACAGTTGTCTACTTGTTTCTTAAAATGCTTTCTACATCATCAGTTATTTGTGTTTCTAGCTCAGTATTCCATGCCTTCTACTTAATAGAAGCTCAATGGAAATACAGGAATTATGGGACAACAAGCAATATTAGTAACCTCATTTCATAATTGCATTACTCTTATAAGTTAGAGTTTTGAGTCATGTGCATTAATAATAATAATACATTACATCCATGTTGTGCTTTCCAGAACTATTATCTATTATCTCAAGACCCCTGACAAAGGTGACATCCCCATCCTTATTTGATGTATGAGCACAATGAAGCAAAGAGCTAGCAAGCAGCAGAGGCGGTGTTGCTGGATACAGTGAGCAAAAATTTCTGAAAGTACTAGAACAGAAAACACTCCCCAAAATGAAACTCAACCTGACTGCAAATCCTTTGTTAAGGTCTCCCAGACAGCACTGCCTATGGGGTCAGGAATGTGTTGATTTAGGTGCCCCATGATGAACACACATGATAAACAAGATTTCAATGAAACCAGACAGTACATTATCTTATGACAACAGAAATCACCACGGATCAGTACTGGTTATGTTCCTTAGTAAGACAGCCAAGTAGAAAGGGGTCCCCGGAGAAACTCCGACCGGTCTACGCAGTGGGAGCACGGGGTGGAACCATAGGATGTTTGGTCCTTTTGCAGTGGTGGGGAGCCTGGCCTCTTCTGTTCCAGGGTGGAACCTGGGATTCAATCTGTGAGGCAGGAAGCCAGCTAGCAGGACTCTCGCTCTGCGGAGAATCCCTGCTTCCCCTTTTTTCCCAATAAATTCAATTTTGCTCACCCTTCAAAGTATCTGAGAAAAAATAAGAGGCCTTGGTAAAAATAGTTATCCTTGCTGCACTTTATGCAAATAATCAGGCCCAGTATAAAACTAAAGTCTATTTTGCAAACAACTTAGTCCTATCATAATTTTTTTTTTAACAAAAATGAGGACTGGAGAAAGAGAGAAATTATGTTTCAAAACTTATCATACATTTGTCATTAAATTCTAAACTCATTAGTAGTTTTTAAGTTTTTGCCTACATTTTTAAACTAACCTGCTTGTTCTTGTAAACCAACCAGCAATCTCCAGCTGCAGCTCAGAAGGAACAAAAGGGATGAGGCATTTAAAAACCTGGATCGATATTCTAGTTCTAAGCAATTCTCCTGCTAATCCTGCCAGGTGATGGGGATAAATAGGATGCCCATTACTCGGAGGTTTCCTTTTTGGGAAAATGAAAGCAAGGGAGCTAACCAAAGCCAAGCACCGTGCACCCAAATCTCAGCAAGCATTACTGTAGCCACCAGTTACCTGGGCATGTCACAAGACATCCTTTTCTATCCCTTGTTGGAGAAGGACTAAGTTCCACAGCTTCACCTTAGCATTCGGCTTATAAGGAGTCCATGCAACCCCCCCGAAACACATTTTTGTCCCAAACTTAATTCCAAGCTTCGGGTCAAAGCCCTGGTCGCGGGGGAGGGGGGACGGGGGAAACTGGAGCTAAGAAATCCAAAGGCAAACAGTAACCTAGGTTAACAGAGCACAAGTGAGCATGGCTAATTCCTGCTGATGAAGCCAAGCCTCTTGTTTCATAAATAAGGGTGGTGCTACTATCTATGGCATAAATGAGGTCTGGGGAACTCCAAGGCTACTAACAGTAGTGGGGATAGAAACATAAGTGAGAGCAAATAATTCTTATGCTTTAGGCCGCCCTGCTTCATAGGTGAAAGCCGCTTTGGCACCCGTGGGTGGTGCCTGCCGAAGTCACCAAGGCCTCGGGGATGCAAGGAAGATGCTCTTCCTTCTCTCCCTCACGAACCCCAGGTATTTGATAGCAAAGAAGGGAACTAGGGACTCCTGCTCTCCTCTTTCTAGACGGGTAGCCATTCATCTTCAGTCTGTACCCCTTTCAAATGCATCCTGAACCCCTGGGACTCCTTTAAAAAACGCCTTCTTTTTTCCTCTCTCCTCCCCTGTCCTCTTTTCACAGATAGGTAATCGTGTCTCTGTTTAATGGGTCATTCCCCTCGGGTGCATCCTCCAAACTGGGAAAGGTTAATTTCCCAAGCCTTAAACTAGTTGGCTTAGGACTGGGCTCGGTGGGGAGGGAACCCAGAAGCCCAACATGCTGGCAAAAGGGTAACGTTTTTGTACCAGCCGGGCTTTTGGCCGCCCTCTCTCTGTGCAAACTACTAAAAGGCCTCGGGATTTTTGAGCTGTCCTTACCCTCCCCCCACCTTGTTTCGTTTTAATACATGTTTTCTAATAACCTGGTTTGTCTCTTCTCAACTTCAGGCCATCAAACTCCAAATGATCACGCAACCAGAGCCTCAGCTGATGGCCCCTTCTTCCGGGGATCCTCAGATCGGTCTTTGAGGGAGCTCTGACTGCCGTTTCCCCAAAACAGCGCCCCCTGTCAGCAGGAGGCTAAGATGGGTCTTCATCCTTATCCTTTCTAACTGCAGTCAGATGGACTTCTTCAGAGCGGAGAATGAGACAGCCAGGTGTAAAGGGGTCCCCAGAACACTAGGAGAATGGGGGGTGAGGCCACAGAATTTAGTGCCCTTTGCAGGGGCGAGGAGCCTGGCCCCTCCTGTTCCAGGGTGGAACCTGGGATTCAATCTGTAAGGTGGGAAACCGACTAGCAGGAGTCTTGCTCCGCTGAGGGTCCCTGTTTCCCCTTTTTTTCCTTTTCACCCAATAAATTCCATTTTTCTCACTCTTCAAAGTGTCTTTGAGCCTAATATTTCATGGTCTTGTAACAAGAACCCTGTCTTTACCTGAACTAAGAAGAATGTCCTACAACGTTAGGACAGATCCCCTTCTTAATCCAGAGGAGCCATTAACAGAGCATCCTCCTGGACCTGCCCAGCTCCCAAATGCAAATCTCCCCTCCAGCCAGGATCCTGTCATAGAGGTAAGTTTGTGCATGAATTCAGGTTACAGGCAAAGTGTTTACCCCTAAGAAGTCACTCTGTACCTCTGCAAGACAATTCATAGTAAGTTCATTAAACATCTGGCTGTAGTTATGCCCTTGAGGACTGCTAAATAGATTTAGAGCACTTTATCTCTTCTGTCCCTCATTTTTTCAATGGAGTACACATAAGCTATGAGAAAGAAGCACTTTTAAAAAGTATTCAATGAAAGGAAACCCTGCCCTATAACATGCAAATACCTTCAAGGCCAAAGCTAACTGAGTCTGTTTGTTAGGCAAATGAAGCTAACTGAGTCTGTTAGGGAAATGCTCTCTTGAAGGTACCCTTCCTCTTCTCTGGAGTATCTGACATCTCTCTATTGTTTTACTCCACAGCACTCAGAAACTACAAGTCATTTACCCAGTATCATTGAGAATCCTTACAAATACAGCATTTTAGCATATGCTTCAATAAAACACATTAGATATAGCTAGAATTTTTAAAAGGTGATTACGGCTGGGCATGGTGGCTCACACCTGTAATCCCAGCACTTTGGGAGGCCAAGGCAGGTGGATCACCTGAGGTTAGGAGTTCGAGACCAGCCTGGTCAACATGGCGAAACCCCATCTCTACTAAAAATACACAAAATTAGCTGGGCGTGGTGGTGGGCGCCTGTAATCCCAGCTACTTGGGAGGCTGAGGCAGGAGAATTTCTTGAACCTGGGAGGTGGAGGTTGCAGTGAGCAGAGATCACGCCACTGCACTCCAGCCTGGGCGACAGAGCGAGACTCTGTCTTAAAAAAAAAAAAAAAAATGGTGATTACACACGGACAGACCTTTCTCTTTTTAGAGTAATCCTGGCCTAGGGCTTCGCAGCTACAACACATATTTATTCAACATGGACAAGCCTGTGGTGCCCACAGACAGCTCAGCTGCCAAGATTGCACCAACTCTCCTTCCTCTGGGACCCAATGCCCAACATCTCAGGCATCAGTGAAACCTCCCACAAGACCCTGCTGGCTCAAGACCCTTTGCCAATTTGCCTAATCCCCTCTGCTGGCAAAGGCAGTAATGCCACAGAGGCCAGATCTGCATTAGTCAAAAACTTGCTTATCAGGGGCTCACTTAGAGCCCCCAAAAGCACTTGCCTGCTCTTACTAACAAATATTATGAAAAGAAGTAAGTAGGCTCAACAGACAAGTCTCACTGGGATTTGACCATGCTACCAGATGAAAACATTGGTAGAAAACACCTCAATAACCATAAAGCGATTTCCTCACAGTTTTAACTCTCTCATCTTTTTTAATTTTTTTTTTTTTTAAATAGATGGGTGGGCTTGAACTCCTGGGCTTAAGTGATCCACTTGCCTTGGCCTCCCAAAGTGCTGAGATCACAGGCGTGAGCCACCATGCCTGGCCCTGATTTTTTTTTTTAAAGGGGTTGTTTCCATTTCATTACAATTCTGAGTGCCTTTAGTGTCCAAGGCATTTTCTAGGTGCTGAAAATACCAAAAAAGTATGATATAATCTTGCCCTCAATGGGTTTATAATCTGTGTGTGTGTGTGTGTGTGTGTGTGTGTGTGTTCACAGCTAAACTGAGGGATATAGTCGGCCCTTCGTATCCCTGGGTTCCACATCTGTGGATTCAACCAACCACAAATCAAAAATATTTGAAAAAAATGGATGGTTCCATCTGTACTGAACATGTACAGACTTTTTCTTTGTCATTATTCCCTAAACAATACAGAGTAACAACTATTTACATAGCATTTACATTGTATTTGATATTATAAGTAGTCTAGAGATGATTTACAGTTTATGGGAAAATGTGTGTAGGTAATATGCAAATACTATGCTATTTTATATAAGAGACTTGAGCATCCATGGATCTTGGTATCTGTGGGGGGTCCAGGGAACCAATCCTGCAAAGATACAGAGGATGACTGCCCTGTGGCTTGCTTGTTCTAAAGAGCATAGCACACAGCGGGATCCATGAGGACTGCAAGGGTCTGGGAAGGCTTCACACACAAGTCTGCATTTTTGCTGGGCCTTGAAGGGAATGGAATTTCAGCAAGCATAAATAGAGAAGGAATTTTTGAAGACAAAAACATACGTGAGAACAGGCAGGGAGGGGATGGTGCTGTGTGCACTCAATGTGCTGACACGTGTGGGGAAAATAAAGTGGTGACCTGTGACATTTCTACCTGTACAGTAGGCCTCAAAGACAGAAAGCAGGGATTTGCTGCATTTTGAGCAGAGTCTCTCAGGTCTACACTTATAATGCCTCTGAATCAAACGTGCTGACTTAAGATCTCAGCTGCTTCTCTCTGTTTCTGTCCTTGTCTTTCAACGCGGCACAAAAATGGTATCTTCTTGCGGTTACAAGGCAGGCACGAAGGACATATGCCCAATTTACAGTTTTGAGAAAGTGTTTCTGTGGATACAGAAAGGCTGGCAAAATAAGAAAGGCATGCCACCTTCCAAATATTTGTTGTTTTTGTCCCCAAACACCCCTGTTTTTCCCAAATCATGTAACTGTAAGAAAATTATAAATCTTTTAAATCCCTGTACAAAGACTCCCAAAAGTATTTCTCCAAGTACCCTACTAGCAGTCTCGTGAATATTCATTCATTCATTCAACTAATATTTATTATGCACCCATCACATACTAGGCACTGTTCCAGGTGCCGGAGATACAACAGAGAACACAACAGATAAAAATTCCCACCCTCAGGCCGGGCGCCGTGGCTCACACCTGTAATCCCAGCACTTTGGGAGGCCGAGGCGGGCAGATCACGAGGTCAGGAGATCGAGACCATCCTCGCTAACACGGTGAAACCCCGTCTCTACTAAAAACACAAAAAATTAGCTGGGCGTGGTGGCGGGCGCCTGTAGTCCCAGCTACTCGGGAGGCTGAGGCAGGAGAATGGCGTGAACCCGGGAGGCGGAGCTTGCAGTGAGCCGAGATCGCGCCGCTGCAGTCCAGCCTGGGCGACACAGCGAGACTCCGTCTCAAAAAAAAAAAAAAAAAAAAAAAAAAATTCCCAGCCTCGTGGAGCTTATATGCACAGAGACTGACAATAAATGAAATACATACATAAAACACATAGTGAGCGAGACAATGAGATGTGCTAGGGGGAAACAGTGTGGGAAAGGAGCGCAGGTAGCACCTGTGCCTTTCAAGTACGTGCTTGAATGGACAGAGGGACGGAGAGCCATGCGGACAGCTAGGAAGAGCACATTCGAAGCAGGAGGCACAGCAAGTTCGGAGGCCCTGAAACACAGCCTACCTGTTTGCGGGAACTGCAAGGAGGCCTGTGTGTCTGGAGCTGAGTGAGGGAAGGAGAGAGGAGCGTGATGTAAAGACAGAGAAGTAACAGTGACCAGAAGTCTGAGGGATGATAGTGCAGTTTGTGGAAGCCAGAGGAGCACCTTCAAGGTGGAGGAAGTGATCAACATTCGCAAGCGTGGCTGAAAAGCCAAATAAGGCAAGGACTGAGAGTGGACCTTGGAGTTAATATGGGGGGGGGGGGGGGCATTAGCTGCCCTCAGAAGAAGGGTGTAGGTAGAGTGATGGGTCAAAGCCCGACAGTCCTTAATTCAGGGGAAAATCGAGGATGCAGGAGGGAGAAGGGGCCATTGTCAGCAGGGCCAAGGGGACAAGGTGGGAGGGAAAAGGATTTAATGGACCAGTGAATGGGGCCCTTAGGCAGCAGCAGGGACAATCACCTTCAGAAACAGCAGGGAAGGCAGAGCATCTGGGCCTTGAGATTGGTAGCTGCAAACGAGTGCTGCCAATCCAGACTCTCTCCTGACAGCTCTGTCTTTGCAATGGAAGCGGGGAGTGGGGCATGTGGCAGGTGAGGAAGATGAGGCTCAGCATGCAGAGGCTGGCTCTGAGTGCAAAGACGGAGGAGTGACATCATCTGACTTACATTTTGGAAGCTCTCTCGGGCTTCTGGGTTCAGAATAGACTGAAGAGAGGCAAGAGTGGAAACAGCCAGTTAAGAGGTTATTGTAATCCGTGACAGATATATTTTCTTCCCCAAGACTAGGGTGGTGACAACAAAAGTAGAAAAATAATCAGATTCTGAACATATTTTGAATACAGATAAAGGTGGAAGAGTCAATGAAATGCAGGGTGTTTTACTTTTCCCCCCAAACCAATACAACAAAACCAAGAGATGTTATTACAGCATTGAAACAAAAATCAATAACATTTCAGTCGCTTTTACTGACAACGATCCAGTTTTTAACTAGCAAATATTCCAGAACTGTGGCAGTATCAATAAGTGATGCCAGTGAATACATAAAAATCTGTTGGCATTGCAAAGCATTATAGAAGCGGAAGCTGTAGTTAAAAGCAAGGCATCTGTGTCTGTTCCAATATGCCAATTGGCAGGGGTGAATCAATAAATCACAGAAGTAGTGTAGAAAAATATTTCAAGCCTTCCAAGATCAAAGAATAGATTGTAAAATATTAACTTGATGTCCTTTTAACTATTTTTTCTCAATATTTATTAGTGTTTGACCTCCCTTGAAACCTGAGTTCCATTATAAGCTCTTTTGGTAAATGGATTGAAAGGTTGTCTCGGAGCACTCCAGCTTCCCTAAGTATTTTCTATTCTCCAGTGAAATACTATTAGTCTGCATTTTATAGTAATGCTCCTCAGCATATCAAAAACATGCATCTCTGTTCAACACAGAGAAGAATTAAGGGTGCTGGCCCGTCTCTCGCTCCATCCTCTGCCTCCCATAACTAAATGTATGTAGATACTCCTACAGATAAAGTGTGGATATACAAATTTGCACATCATGGTAAAAGTGTCATAAAATCCTCCGCCCCGGTAGTTCATAAGGCCTACTTTAAACATATTGAATTAAATATTTAGGGCTTGCAACAGCCAAAATATAGGAGGAGCCAAGTCCTTCTCTTTGTATTTATAGCAGGCAGTAATACAAACAAAACTTCCGAGAGTAAAGGGCAAAAGTCCTTCCTGCTCTTTCCCTATCTCAGGTTTAGTGTGGAAAACATTCGGTGCTAACTTTTGCTACACAGATACTCTGTGCCATCCTAAAGGGTATACAGGATAGATTCATGTAAGAATCGTGGCAGTTTTTGATCAAACAATTCAACTTCTAGGATTTAATACTTAAAAAAAACATTAAGGATGTGCAAAGCTTTAGCCACAAGAATGTTCATTGCAGCATGGTTTATTAGAAAGAAAAACTGGTATCAACCTAAATACGTAACAATAGTTGACTGGTTAAAAAAAAGAAAGTTCCATCCATGCAACTGAACTATGCATAGCCATTAAAATAATGTCAAATACTTAAAGATATGAAATATGTCCATGGTAGATTTTGAAATTTAATGGGAACAGTCTGACCACATTTAAAAAGAAAATACATATTTACATGTATATATGTACATAAAAGGCAATTAGAAGCATTACCTTTGTTACAGTAGGGAGTCAGGCAGACACAAGCAGGGCAGGAGAGCACCCCTCCACCACCAACCGGGAATGTCAGGAGACCATCAGGTGATGGTCAGGCAGTTGTTAATCTGTCTCTTAAATAATAATTGGTTGCAGCTGGTGCCAGGGAACGGCTGGCTCCCAATAGATAGAAAACACCTGAAACTGGTGATCAGCTGCTTCTCAGTAAGATCTTAGAAGTTGGGTGAGTGGGCCCAAGCATGCGCACTAAGAGGCAAAATGGTGGCATTTAACTGGTATATGACCTTCCTCTAGAAACACTCCGCTGGTAAGGGAAAAGCACCTCAAGTGAGCATGGGTACAACTCCAGTAAACACACTGCACCTGTGGCCCCTCCCAAGTGCTGGCGGGACACTGTGCATGCAAACAACCCACCCCCAGGGAAGAATAAGGGAAGAAGAGATGCAACCCTCGGAAAGCATGCCAACATATAAACCCCAAGTCAAAGGTCTAACCACACGCTTGAATCTCTCAAGTTGCCTGCTTGGCTCTCCTCTGAGTGTCCTTTACTTCCTTTTGTTCCTGTTCTAAATTTTTTTAATAAATTTTCACTCTCGCTCTAAAACTTGCATTGGTCTCTCACTGTGCCTTATGCCCCTTGGTTGAATTTTTTCTTCTGAGGAGGCAAGAACTGAAGTTGCTGCAGACCCGAATGGATTTGCCACCATTAACACTTCTAAATGTAGAATTTGCAGGCAGGTCATCCATTTTGCTTATCTATACTTTGTTCTAATTTGTCCATAAATATCATCTTATTACTTGTGTAATTCGCAAAGTACCAGTAAAACTTACTAAACGTTATTCATGGTGGCACACAAGTCTCACGGGAATACTGCCTGGCCAAACAAAACCCCTATTGCTCCTGACCTTGCTGGCTTTCTAGATATGTGGCTGTGTGTGAATCTAAGCCGTAAGATGGCCCAGAGATGGTCTTCTTCCATGAATCTCTGACAGTCTGCTCAGCAATCAGGCTGACTATATTCTTCAGATATCAAATGGAAAGAAATGGGAACAGCAGCAGAGATTCGCTATCCACAGAACCACAAGGAACAGAGCGATAAACACAAGCTTCAGGTGGGATGTGCCACAGTGCTGGGTTCCTTTGCATAAAAGCAAAAGGGACTGTTCAGAGACAAAATATAGCCAGAACATCTGTTGTTAGGGAATAAAGGTATGCAGAGGCCAAGAGCAAAGGCCCAGAAAAAGAACGTGAATGCAGCATGTTTGGTCAAACGGTCCTTGTGCTTTAAAACAGTGCAGTTAGGGAAATGCCAGGTAATTTCAGGAACAAGGCCCAAGCAATTTACAAAGATTCCTTTAAATTAAGAGTGAAGTCCCTAAAGATCCAAATTCTAATACCTTGAACTTCAAACAAACTGCTTTAAAAGCAACACTAAAACCTTCAAATGCAAAGTAGATTAAGTGCATGCTCCATCTGTAAGAGCTTACTTACCACAAACTCAATTACTTGTTTCAAAATGAGATACAGGTTGGTTTGGATTTACTGATAGGCTTGTCCTGATAACTAAGAATGACAGCTGTAAGGGGAGAAAGCTTCAGTTCTCTTTTTTGGTAACATTTAAAGTCAAACCTCCGGGTAAATGCATATGTAAGTAGCCATGCTTTGCAAAGCAAAACAGTGCGGCGTTGATAGGCAAAGTCAACACCCTATTGACTTTTATCTTTTGTGCCATCTATTTCAATGTAGGAAGTGCTGGGGCATATTTGTCTTTGAAAATAGTCAAGTTCCCCATCCCCCACATCTACCTCCACCCCGCAGGATAATGCTTGTTCCAAAGAAGTATTTTCTTTCCGCCATCACCCTCTGTTCAGTTCTAGAATTTGCTCTTATCCAATGTTCGCCTGTTTTCCAGTTCTGAGCAGAGGGCAAAGCATGTGTGCCTCCCTCTCCCGTCGGCTTACTCATGCCTAACCCGTAGTCCTGCTGGCCTTTGGGATGCTGCCAGCATCCCCCTCTCGGAGACATCTGTTGCCTTGCTTAAACCAAGAAGCCTCCCAAGCACGTGACGGGGCCATGCAGAATTAGAGAGTGCCACCTCCAACAAGAGGCGTATGTCCATCTTGCCTCTCCCTTGTCATTTCCTCCTCTAGCCTCAGCCTCAACAAGTGGCCGAGCCTCACACAAGCTGTCAGGGACAGATGCTATGTGAAAAGAGGAAATTGGACTCAAAGATGCTACAGCTTTTTTAATTAAGTCCAACCTACAAGCCAAATAGCGAGGCATGAAATGAATACTTACTTGCAAATAAGCACCACGTTTCTCAAAAACAAATGCGTTGGTGCGGGTTGGTAGGCACCTCCTTAGCTTTCTCAAAAATTGTATTGTTCCTCATTCAATGCCTCAGATAGTTTCACCTCGGCAGTGGGAAGTGCATTTTGTGCTGGAACCTGGGCATCCTAAGTTTCCTTTTGTGATTTTCTTCCTCCGGCATCCCAGGGCTAGTTGAGTTGGCACGATGAAGCGTGTCCACACACAGCCAAATGCTCAATCTCATCTATTTCTCCCTTGCCCCTCTCACTCCTGCAAATCCCCTGAGTGCCCACTACATGCCTGGCCTGGCTTTCCATTCTAAGAAAAAGGAAGACTAACACTGTTGTGGCTTCTGTCTTCCCAGCCCTCTGAACTGGTTCTACTTATTTGCTTTGTCTCCATTTCTTTGTCTCCATTGTCTCTAGTTTACTATTTGTTTTCAATTCTGGTTCCTTATTGTTCCTCTCTGTGTGCTCCCTGCTAATTAAAGCTGACTAGAGCCACTGCTGCTATTCTCAGCTGAAATGGCCAAGCCCCTTGATTATTAAGACAGTGAGGACTCAGGAAGACCACATGGATTTTTGAGACAGAAGAAAATGGGGGGAAAAAAAGAGTAAACAAATCCCTTTGGATATAGAAAGAAAAGAGATGGGAGTAACCCTAAAATATACACCACAAATTCTAAGGAATCACAAAACGCAGATGAGTCTCATTAACAGCTACATTTTTCTAATTTCTTTTGCATCATTTCACAACCACAGAGAAAATTAAACATGTTATTTAAGATGCTTAAGAAAGCTCTTACACACTTCAAAATTAATAAGGAAGGAACCTCAGCTATCACATCCTGCCTGTTTTACAGACTGGGAAACCAGCGAGAATTGACTTGTCCAAGGCCACACAGCCAAGCAGTTGCTGAACCCAATGGAGATTCCCAGGTTTTCTTATTTGCTCCCTATTCCCACACACAGCTCCAGCCAACTACCCACCTTCCCCATTCAGTGTGTTTTTAAATTTTTATTTATGTCTAATATACTAATATATTTATTTTAATTTTTCATAGTTTATTTTTTCATATTGTCATTTTAAATACTGCATGAATTGGAAATAAAGGACATAAAGTATATGCTTGTTATGAAAATCTAATTGCAGTGTTCTGAGGTTCCTTAAATAATTGTGACATGCAGTATTTTTTAAAGACATGCTGAAGACCAAATTGCAAACAAATGCAAGCAAGAAGATAGGAAGAAGAAGGAAATTAGCCAGTTCCAAGACCTTGCTCATTGCTGGACAATAATCAAGAAAGGAATATCTAAGTTTGGATTATTTCTATCTTAGGGTCATTAAGGAAGACAAAATTTAAACCTGAATATGAATTTGATTTCACTGAGTCTACTAGTTAGGACTCTTTGGGTTAAGTGACAACAAACACAACCCAAACGGACTATCAGCAAAAGAAAATTTATTGTTCTTTGAGCTGAAAAAAATCAAGGGGTGGGTCTCATTTTAGTCATGTCTTGGCATAGGGCTCAAATGATGACTAACACTTGTATAGTACATACCAAATGCTGGGTGCTGTTCTCAGCATTTCACATGACTCACCTGACCCTCACTAAGACTCCATGAGTAGGTATCATAACAATTCCCACTTCACAAATGAGTAAACTGAGGCACAGAGACCAATCTGGATAGAGTGACCACATTTGTAAGTGGCAGAACAATTCAAACCCAAGAAATCTGGCTGAGTCTAGAATGTAGTCACTTCCCCCTCATGCCCCCAGAGTTCAGTTTGCCTCCATCTCCCATCTCCACTTTCTCTGTGTTAGTGCCATCCTCTTTCAGATCCCCACTTCCTGGGGGCAAGGTGGCTCAGATGGCTTGAGCCTCAAAACCTGAAAAGTTCAGTGAAGAAGACCAAGCGTATTTTTGCCAGGAGACTCAGCAAAAGTCTCTCTGCCCTCTTGGTGCCTTGAATCAAACAAGGGAGAATATAAGGTTCTGATTGGCCAGACCTAAGCTGCATACCCGTATAAAGTAGAGCATAGAGGGGACTCCACCAGAAACAAATGGACTAAAAATACAGGAGAAGAAAAGGGTCCCCATCCCCAGGGGAAGGGAGATAGTTATTAGAGATGGTAAATGAATACTAGGTGAATGCTGCACTGTCAAATTTAACCACAACTAAAACACTTCTTTTTCAATGATCAAACAGAAGCTCTTGGTCTTCAGGTAGCATAGGTATCCTATAAGACCCATGGCAACTTTCACGTTTATATAAATGAATGTGAATAAAGGAGAAAGGTATATGAAAAAATAAACCAAGACAGGCTTGTGATATATTTATAATCGCAGACTATCTCCACCAAGCCCACTCATATGGGCTTTATGGTCTCTCTAAAGGAATTGTGGAATCACAGCATCTCCACTTTAGGGTGGATCTGGGAACTCATCCATCCCAAGATGCCACATGGAGCAGTGCTGTCAAGAACAATGACCCCACTTTACAAAGCAAGTCTTATTTTTCCCCTTACCCTCTGTTTTAATATAAGGTGTGGCTGGTAGAGAAATGGTGAAATGAGAGGAAGAAAGGGTAAGGCTGCAGAAGACGCTGGCTTCGCCCCTGCCCCACGGAAACCTCAGAGGTAAACACAGCCTTGTCCCTTCATCTCCCTCCCCACCCCATCCCCACATGCAGACCCCACCTTTCCCTGCACCCCTCCCACCTATGCAACTTGTCCTGACTTTTACACTGGAGCCCTACCCTATTTCTTATGATAAGATACCCCAAAAAGATTCCTCCTCTGAAATAAAGATGAGGCCTGCCACAGTCATTTAGGTACTCCAAGGTTCACTGGTATCCTCTAAGTAGTCTTTACCTTTTCCCAAGGGAATCTGAGTAAGGGGAAAAAAAAAAAAGATGAGAGAGAATGGAATCATGGGGGGCGGGGGGGAATGGTGTTTATCTAAGGAGGAGCAAACTATAAAAGGGTGGGTATGAGGCACATCCTCGAAAAGAGGCTCCTACATGTTTGTGGGCATGCAGGAGGAGCTCTAGTGACCTCCTGGCTTGGGAAGGCAGAGAAATGGACTTAATGCCTGTACTTGGCGGCCAGGAAATAGTTCATTATGTTTCTGGTGGTACCTTTATGAGTTGGATCACTGCCATTAGATGATACAATTAGTTGGATTTGTAAGTTTTTGAAGGACCCAAACACTGGGAATAGTCATCAATATGGTGCTAGAGGGCTCTGACCTCAGCCCTGTCTGGTTCCAAAATTCTGTCAATAACTCCGATGAGGATATTTATGGCATATTTGTCCAATTGAGAGTTGAGGTGATGCTAGGGAGAAGAGCAATATTGTTGGATGACATAATCAGGATCATCCAAGATATGCACCAGATCCCTGATGAGACACAATGGTGATGAATGTGAAGCCTGTATTCAGGTTAAAATAAACACACCTAAGTACATGTTGGTGAAGACATACCCTAGCAACCACATATGTGAAAAGGGAATTTTGATTGACTCTGCGTGTGGTATGAGTCAGCACTGCATTGTGGTTGCGAAAAAGCAAATGTGGTCTAACGCTGCATTCATGGAAACAGAATATTTAGACTGTGGCTTATGCTAGGCTTGCCGTATTTTATGTGAAGCAGACCACACCAAAAATTTTGTGCTTAGTTCCTGACCTGACTCTAAGAGAAACACAGGCAAACACTAGGAGAGAAGGGACTGGCAGCTCCTTTGTGGTCATGGAGATGTTTTGTCTGGAAAATAGAAGGCTTCCATGAAACGTGAGAACTGTCTTTAATGAGTGATGCATTCTCCTATGGAAAAAGAGTTCCATTTGCTCTGTGTATCACCTATGACTGGACCTGGACCAATAGTGGGAATTACGGTGAGCCAGATTTCAATGCCACAGAAGACTTTCCAAAGGAACAAGGTGTCAGGATGTTGTAGAGGGAAATGTAAAGATGAGTTGTTGGATCAGATCAGTGGTTCTCAAACTGTGTTCCCCAGAGATTCCTCAAGGAGAGGAGTGCAAAGAACAGAAGCGGCTCACACACCCCACAGCAAGTAGAGCAGCTCCCCCAGTCTGCTTGCACAGTGGCCATCTGCTGCAAAGGAAAAGTTTGATTAAACAACTGGGCTAGATCAAAGTTCCCCATTCAACCCTGAAGTTCCAGGATTTAGTGATTTTTGAGATGACGTCTCTGAAGAGGCTGCCTGGAGAAGGGAGGATGCATGTGAGCTCTGCAGCCAGAATCACGAGGTTCAGATCCTTGTGCATTCATCTGTTATTGCTACAGAACAAATTAACACAAACTTAGCAGCTTAAAACGACACCCACTCACTAGCTCACAGTTGCTGTGGGTCAGAAGTCCAGGTGTGGCTTGGCTGGGTCCTCTGCTCCAGGTTTCCCAGGTTGAAATCATGGAGTCAGCTAGACCGTGTTCCTTTCTTGAGCTCAGGATTCTCCTCTCAACTCATGTGGTTGTTAGCAGAATTCACTTCGCTGAGACTGATGACTGAGGTCCCCATTTCCTTGCTAGTTGTTGGCCAGGGACCACTCTGAGCAACCTTAAGCCTATTCTCAGGTTCTGGCCACGTGGCCCCTTCCCATAGGCTGTTCACAACAGGCTGTTTGGTTCTTCAGGGTCAGCAGAAGAATCTGGAGCTTCAATTATCTTTCTTTAGGGAAAACCTGGAGCCTCTTTTAAAGAGCTTGCCTAGGCCAAATGTGGTGGCTCATGCCTGTAATCCCAGCACTTTGGGAGGTCGAGGCAGGCAGATCACCTGAGGTTAGGAGTTTGAGACCAGCCTGGCCAACGTGGTGAAACCCCATCTCTACTAAAAAACAAAAATTATCCAAGCATGGTGGTGCACACCTGTAATCCCAGCTACTTGGGAGGCTGAGGCAGGAGAATCGCTTGAACCCAGAAGGTGGAGGTTGTAGTGAGGGGAGATCGCACCACTGCACTTCAGCCTGGGACAGAGCCAGACTCCGTCTCAAAAAATAAAAATAAAATAAGTAAAAATACAAAAATTAGCTAGGCGTGGTGACGCATGTCTGTAGTCCCAGCTACAGACAGGGAGGGAGGCTGAGACAGGAGAATCGCTTGAACCTGGGAGGCAGAGGTTGCAGTGAGCCACTCCAGAGTGAGACTGTGTCTCAAAAAAAAAAAAAAAAAAAAAAAAAAAAAAGAGCTTGGCTGGGAACGGTGGCTCCTGCCTGTAATCCCAACATTTTGGGAGGCAGAGGCAGGCGGATCACGAGGTCAGGAGTTCAAGACCAGCTTGGCTAACATAGGGAAACCCCATCTCTACTAAAAATACAAAAATTAGGCAGGCATGGTGGTGCATGCCTTTAGTCTCAGCTACTCGGGAGGCTGAGGCTGGAGAATTGCTTGAACTCGGGAGGTGGAGGTTGTGGTGAGCCAAGATTGTGCCACTGCAGTCCAGCCTGGGCAACAGAGCAAGACTCCATCTCAATAAAAATGACAATAAAAATAAAAATATAAATATAAAGAGCTTGCATATTTAGGTCAGGCCCATCCCGGACGTCTCCCTTTTGATTAACCCAAAATCAACTGATTAGGGACCTTACTTATTATCTGCAAATATCTCTTTATCCTTGCTGTATAATGTAACCTAATAAAGAGAGTGAAATCCCATCATTTTTACTAGTCCTGTCCACATGGAAGGGGAGAGGATTCTACAGATCGTGTATACCAACCGAGGGGAAACTTGGGGGCAGACCATCTTAGAATTCTGCGAATCAAACCTAGCTTTTCCGCTCAGTGCTTCTGGCCTTGGGTGAGCTGCTCAGCTACGTCCTCTGTCTAGTGGGGAAAATGATTTCTCAAGGGGTTGCTAAGGCAGCTAAACAAGTTAATACACAAAGCACTCAGAACAGTCACCTGCCACCAGGTAAGCACGTAAGGAAAGCTCTAAGGTACTGTTATGCAGGAATACACGGTATTCCCAGGACTGACTGACTCCAGTGGAGGTCAGACATCGACGCACTCTCAGGCAGAAGCAGCACGAGGGGGTCAGATAACACAGCTTCCAGGAGAGGTGGCTTCTCTTTTCTCTCCTACTGGCCAGCTGTCCTCTTTGCTGCCACTTTTGCTATTTGGCTTTCACTTCCTCTACCACTCGGGCCATCCACCACCTGCTGATATTGTTCCTTTTCTCTGTTTTCATTTTCTTCTTCTTCTCCAATCTTTTTCATCTTTCTCTGTTGCTTCTTTCACGATTCCTATTTTTTACACTGGAAGATTTATCGTTATTAGCTATTGCCAGCAAATAAGATTATGTCTTTCTCTGTCGCGTGATCTTCATGGCATTTGTTCTTTTTGTTAGTATAAACTGCTCACAGGCTCTTAAAATATTTTTTAAAGCCTATATTTGGTATTGCTTCAGATGATTAAAGGTATCAAATTTATTTTCCCTTTAGGTAAAAAATTCTCCTTTACTGAACAGATACATCAGAAAATAATGTTTTATCTTTCAAAATAATTCAGCATTGGAATTTGCTTTTAATAGAAAAATCCACCAGTACAGTTAAAACATTATTTATTTTATAACAATTATTTTTCAAAAACAATTTTCAGGAACGCTTCTATAGTGCAAAGTGAATCATCCCTGGTTTGCAATTTAGTTTGTCAATGTAACATATAATGAGCCACTAGCAAAAGGAAAAAGGAAAGCTATTTCAGTCTGCGAAAGTCCATGTAGACAGCCAACAGCTGTAGCTGTAAGCAGTATTTAAAAACATGACACATTTCAGCACTGTACCCTGCACATAGTGGGCACTCAGTGGAAACTTCTGGAGTTAAATTGAGATGTGTCAATCACAATCTGTTGAACTGAACTGAGGAGCTATCTCAATAAGAGACAACCATGAATCCCTGTCATTCTTTCTTTCACCTAATACCAAACTCCAATGTGAAACAGAATTTACAACACAAACAGAAGAACCAGTAGCAATGAACACAGCTTGTATGGACAAATGAGCTGACATGCATTATCAGCTACATCTTCACTGCTTGTCGAAAACCAGATGAGGTCATAGTTCCCATCCCGGCCTGTTCTATCACGCCACTGCCGAGTCAACACAACTGTCTCTATGTTATTTATGGAGGAGGCGGGAGGGAGTCCTGAGTGTTCCCACCACCCAGTGCCGAGGCAGCAGAAGCTGTTAGCTGACATCCTCTGACGCACCGCATACTCAGGCACAACATGAGATGTGTTACAGGAGCCCCACGGCCATCTGTACTTCAGGGAGATGAGGACAAGGAGGCATCTCCCGTGTCAAAACAACCCCTGATAAATATCTCTTAGGGGAAAATGGCTTGACGGGGCTGTACGGTGTCTCCCCTGACATGTAACCATCACTTCTCCCAGCAGCAGGTAGAAGAGCTACTGTGTAGGGGAGAGAGGGGGATAAGGATCCTTTGGATATGTTGACCCATTTTCCAGCTCATGAAGTTGTTTTAAACATATTATTTCATGTGATCCTCATAGCCACGGGAGACCTTGCCAATAGGAGGGGAACTTGGAGCCACTATGGACAGAAATTTGGCAACAAGCATCAAAATTACAAATACACATTCTCCTTGATGCAGCAATTCCAATCCTAGGGATTTATCCTATAGATACACTCACATGTGTGTGAAATGAGGCAGCACTCTTTACAAGAGCAGAATATTGAAAACAACCTAAGTGTCCCTAAATAAGGGGTTCCTTAAGTAAAAATGGTGCTGTATCCTTCCATGGATAATTTTCAGTATGCAAACAAAGCAAGGCACAGAATAGTGAATAGTAGGTTATCATTTCTGCAACAAAAAAAAGAGGAAAAAAGAAGAATATGTGCACACACAGTGCTAGCTTGTACATGCAAAAAATACCCTTTTAAGGGTACACAAGAAAATGGTATCTCTGAGAAAGGAACTGGTGGATTGAGGACAGAGCACAAGGGAGACTTTTCACTATTTACCATTTTATGAATTTTGAGTTTCATAACATCTAAATCTATTGCTTATTCATATGCTTAATTTTCAAAAGCATATGAGGTGGGTCAGTGTATTTTATCATACAATGTATATAATAGTGTTTATAAGTTGTAAGCCTCCTGAGTAGCTGAGATTACAGGCATGCGCCACCATGCCCGGCTAATTTTTGTATTTTTAGTAGAGATGGGGTTTCCATGTTGGCCAGGCCTGGTCTTGAACTCCTGACCTCAGGTGATCCACCTGCCTCAGCCTCCCAAAGTGCTGGGATTATAGGCATGAGCCCCCATGCCTGGCCCCTACAGATACTTTAGTTATGTGTTCCTATCACTCATTGGTTTTTGAATGAAGAACTCAAAGCTGAGGAAGGTAGGCGACTTGCACATGATCACACCATTGGCAGGCTTTCCAGGCTGTTCTCACGTTCCAAGTTTATGGCTGAACATCTGCCTTCTCTGTTCAGCTGTAAGTAACAAAGCCTAGGAACCACTTCTACACCCAGTGCCTTGTAGAGTGTCTTGTACTTAGTAGGTTTGTTTACCTGTAATCCTCTCTCTTAGGTTTCCTGTCTCACATTACCCACAGCCTAATGGGTAACTCCAACTGTAAGTTCCTCAGATGCCCAAAACCAACAAGCCCCCAAACTCAAGCCATTAACTTTCCTGTCCCTCTAAAACACTGCTCCTCTTCCCTATTTTTATTTATTTATTTATTTATTTATTTATTTATGAGACGGAGCCTCGCTCTGTCACCCAGG
Organism: Homo sapiens; assembly: GCF_000001405.40. Classification (NCBI taxonomy): domain Eukaryota; kingdom Metazoa; phylum Chordata; class Mammalia; order Primates; family Hominidae; genus Homo; species Homo sapiens. Next base: position 29,280,355 of record NC_000007.14, on the reverse strand, counting down.
CTGGAGTGCAGTGGTGTGATCTCAGCTCACTGCAACCTCTGCCTCCTGGGTTCAAGCAATTCTCCTGCCTCAGCCTCCCGAGTAGCTGGGACTACAGGCGCCCACCACCACGCCCGGCTAATTTTTGTATTTTTAGTAGAGACGGGGTTTCGCCATGTTGGCCAGGCTGGTCTCAAACTCATGACCTCAGGTGATCCACCCGCCTCAGCCTCCCAAAGTGCTGGGATTACAGGCGTGAGCCACCGCGCATGGCCTCCTTTTCCCTATTTTAAATCATAAAGAACACCTCCTCACTGGCCTTCATCATCCCATCAACTCTGTCTCTTAAGTGTGATCACACCTTCCAGTTGTCATCCATTCTAGCTTCCACTTTCTCACCTAGGGGCCTCTTGATTTTGACAACAGCCTCTTACTAGGACCCCTGCTTCTTTTCTTACCCACCACCCTAATTCAGACCCCCACTGCTGCTAGAATCATTTTGCTAAAACAGACTTGATTGCATTTCTCTTTTACTTAAGATCTTTCTTTTGGTCTGCATCACCCACAGAAGTTGGGACCTCTAGACTGGTTTCCAAATCCATCTTCCAGATTCAACTTGCACAACTCCCCTCCCCATGAACCACACACTCCAGGCCCACATCACACCCTGCTCCTGCCTTAGACACACTGGTCCCTAACCCAAAAATGCCTTTCCTCCTGTTTTCCGACTGGGGAGCCCCATTCCCTGAGTTCCCTGACACCTCAGCCTTTCACTCCAGCCTCTCATACCCACAAGAGCCATCTGTATGTACCTCTATTACAGCACCTCTGAAACCGTCTTGTAGTTAAGTGTTTCTATGAAGGTCTTTCTCTAGTGAAGGTATTCCCAACATGTGGAACAAATTCAGGTCTCCATAAATGTTTGTTGAACAAATGCATTCCAATGTCTAAACAACTAACTTGGCACTTCGTGCATATGAACTGTTAATATCTAAAGTGCCACCTATAGCAATAGTTTTCCTTCAATCCAATATGTTTGTGGTATCCCTATTAAGAAGGACAGCTGCCGCGTGAGGGATGATAAGGAAAGCATACTCTGATTTCTATATTTTTCGGGGGTTGGAGCATAATTCCAATAACCAGAGAAATTCAGTTGCCCTTTTGACATTGTAAATAATTTCCAGTTGCCCTTTCAACTCTGTAAATAATCACAACTTACAGTTTTGGGAATACTGCATTAATATTCCATAAAAGAAAACTGATGTGCTGAATCCCTTGGGTGAAAACGATGCTGCCGCTCAAGCTACAAGCATGGCTATGGAAGGTCCATTGCAGAGAGAAGGAAGCAGGACCCTGAGTGAAGGTGGGGGTTGGGGGGGGACAGCTGGACCTCCCTGGGGACTTCCTCTGGAGGGAGACAGGCCTGGGGGGAGGCAGCAAGGGGAGGCATGTTCATGAAGGGCAGTCTTCTTTATCAAACAGGTGGCAGCCTCGCGAGTCTAGCTAATCCTTCTAATTACAGAGGAGCTGGCTGCCAGCCAAGACCAAGGGGGCCAATTTTAACTCCTTATGGGGGAGGGCTAGCAAGCTAGACAAGACCCCCGCCAAACAGGTGGCGGTTCATGGCCGGATTTCCAACTCAGCAGGGCACTGGGGTCCCTCGGCAAAATAGAGGCCATCATAGAAGTTCAGTCACAGAAACTGGGCCAACCCTGTGGAGCCTGCAGCAAGGTCGTGGTTTGGAGGGTATGGGGTGCCCAGGGCTCTCCCAAGATGCCACAGATACCAGCCCTAGAGAAGCAAGATGAATTCTAATCTCACTGGCAATGGGATAGAACCTACTAATGAGCTGCCTGACTTGATCAGTCATTGGCAAACTGTGGCTCATGGGCCAATTTTGGGCAGCCACCTGGTTTTTTTTTTTTGTAAATAAAGTTTTGCTGGAACACAGCCATGCTCATTCATTTATGTATCTTCTATGGCTGCTTTTGCTCTACGAAGGCAGAGTCGAGTAGTTGAGACAGAGACCATATGGTCTGCAAAGCCTAAAATATGTATTGTCTGCCCTTTACAGAAAAAGTTGGCGAAACCCTGGTCTGGTAAATACCCAGGCTGCACCTCAGATCAATTGAAATCAGAATCTCTGGTGGCAAGACCCAGGCATAAGTACTTTTTAAAGCTCCTCAGTTGATTTCAATGTGCAGTCAAGGTTGCAAACCACTGCTCCAGCCTGATGCAGTGACTCCAAGGGGCAGCTGAAAAAGTCATAGTAAGTTTCTGCCTGGGCTGAATACGTCACAGACAAGGTGGTTCAGCACTTGGGCTCTGGGGAAACACAGGCCTGATCTGCATCTTCACTCTACCACATACTCGCTATATGACTGCACACACTCAACCCCTCTACACCTCAGTTTCTCCGCCTGTAAAATGGGGATAATAACAACACCTAACTTACAAGGTCATTGAGGGGCTGAAGGGGAGAATGTGTGTGGAGCTCTGGCATTGTGACTGGAAAACAACTACACTCAATAAATGGGAGCTAAAAGAGGTAGTGGCGGAGAGTTGGGCTGAGAGGCTGATGCCATCATGGTTTAGAGCAGCTGAAAAAACTGCAGAAACTCTCAGGCCTGGCACATGTGGTGTAAGAAACTGCCTTGAAGACGCTGCTGGGAAAAGCCACAGTATGTGTGCAATGACTTTACAGCCAACAGGTGTGGGCAGGCTGGTGTATGGTTCAGGACAGCTCAAAGACACTCCACTGCTAAACTCTGCCCACTTCTCCCCATGCTTGAAAGGGTTCCCTGTTCTGGGCCCTAGCTGACATTCCAGAATACAACTGTAGCTCCTGGTGAATGCTTGTTAGAGACTTTGATACTGAACCCTGAACCCTACTGCTTGGATCACATACCGGGGCTGTGGAGCATTTGTGGGTACCTGATTCCTGCTTTGCAGATGCCTCCTGCCTGCCTACCTTTGTCCTGCCTTCATGCCAGTATGGGCTTGACATCAGCCTGCCAAACTTGTAGTCAGGTAACACACGGTGGACTCTGGTTGGCTATACACAGAGGACTGTTCCCTTGGGCAGACAATCTGGCCCCTAGAGATGCTCCAATGATATCCATGCCTTGACCATTCAATTACAAAGTGAAAGTCATGCTGCAAAATTCTGGGGGCTCCTTGCTCAGCTAATGATCTGCATCTGGGGTGGCGGGGAGGGTCCCTGCATTTCACAGACACAGGACCGGGTCTTGTTCAAAGTGAGTGACCTCTCTCCTGTCTGGTGTAAAGACGAGTGTCCCCTTAAATGCATGATCAGTGAAGTGTTCTTATGAATCCTGGCAACATGTGGTAACCCACTAAATCAAGAAATGGTGAGCCACAACCTTCATCAGCTGAGCCAGGGGCATGGCTGTTTGCAGTTGTCCAGCCCTTCTTGCGTATTCATTTAAGGCTTGTGTTAGAACAAGATCAAGCAGAAAATCCTGGCCAATACCACCTTGAATGTAAACAATGCATCTGTAAGGAAGAGAGGCTTAGCACCATACCAGTCCTCTACCTGTGGGGTCCTGCACCTCAAACTGGCATCATATATAATGATCTAAAATAGCTGGGGGTCAAGCCACAATTTTAGGGCCAGCGCCTCAACACAACTGGAAAATCCAGGAAGCAGCTAGTGGGAGGATCTAATTATAATGCTAATGATGACGGCTATTTACTGGGAGCTTACGAAGTGCCAAGTGATTTATTTACATGCAATTTCTTATTTAATCTTTACAATCATCCTATGAAGACTTGGAGAATTCAGTACTTGTGCAACCACACAGTTTTTAAGTGGCGGAACTGAGATTCCAATTCAGGTGTCTCTGACCCTAAAGCTCCCAGGAGCCCCCACTTAATACCATAAGCTGTACAGCCTTGGCAGAGAGAGCCAGTGATGCCTGCCACAGAATCATCCTGCTCCACCAAACTGCCTTGGACAGAGACAGGGAAATAATATCCAGGCCCCATGGGACAGCCTCCAGTCAACCTGAGAAAAACTGCATCCCTCCACACCCTGGAAAGTTCTGCCTCACTCCCAGGGCTCTTCTCCTGGGTTACAGCCTCTACACCTCTTTTCTACATTCTCAGGTTCCCTTCAGAAACTCCACGTGGATTTCTTTCCCAGCCCCTCCTTACACTGTCCTACTCAGGTGCTGCTTGGAAAGCTCTTGCATCTGATCTCTCCCATCTCAAGTCAATGATTTACTCATTAAAGAAACAACCACTTCCTTCCCCCAAATACTAATGAAAAACTATCATGCGTGTTTTGTTTTTTTTTTTAAGTTTTAGATTCGGGGGAACATGTGCAGGTTTGTCATACAGGCATATTGGGTAATGCGGGGTTTGGGCTTCTAGTGAACCTATCACCCAAATAGCGACCATAGTACCCAACAGGTATCACATCTTTTACCTTACCAAAAAAGCACAAAAAATCTAATTCTGTCACCTGCAGAGCACAACATTGCAACCTGCTGAACTCAAACTGGGATGTAATCCCTTTCCACCTCCCTCTGGACCACCAGCCCTGCTACTGCACTGGTGAAGGACACCAACTCCGGAACCAGACTGCCTGGGCTCAGTCCTGGCCCAGCCATGTGCAACCTGAGTGACCCTGAGAGGCCCTGAGAGACCTCACTTTCCTCCTCTGCAAAACCGGAATAATAATAGTACCTCCTTCAAAGGGCTGTGGTGAGAAGTGAGACCGTATATTACATACCGAGTACTTAGCTCAGTGCTGGCATGAGATAAACACTCCACAAATATTAGCAATTGTTCTTACTAGTTGTGATTATATTGCTATTCTTGCCCTGGTTATTATATATTCATTTATTTTAAAATTACTGCCCTGCTTTCAAAACGGTGCAGATAATCATAGAGTCTTACATGTGGGAAAACACTCAGGTACAAAGTTAAAGTGTTCTCTTGACTTGTCCTCAAAATATAGTGCAGTACTTTTAATGGTACTTGACATTTTCTCCAAGACTTGACCATATATTCTCTAACTTAATTCCCATGCCAACCTGGAAAATCCTACTTTGCAGATGAGAAAACCAAGTTTCAGAGACACCAATAATATTACAATAATGTCTGATATCTATTTTGTACTTTTTAAATATTATACACTATTTTAAGAAACTTATACGTATACTACCTTTTCATTCTCAAAACAGCCCTATGAGACTAAGATTATTGCTATACCCATTTTACAGGTGAGGAAACTGAGATCCAGAGAGGTTAAGTAACCATCAAGATCACAGGGGGCAGAGAGAGAATGCTGGCTTTCTAATTCCCTAGTGTGTGGCTTGCACGCTACAGTTAGGTTTAGCAGGGGACAAAGAGAGACCAGACCCAGGGCCTTGCTATGGTGGCATAGTCACCACCCTGCCCAACACCCTCCTCCCACACCCTTTCCTCTGCGCTGGGTGATCTCTGACTCTCCTCACTGTAACACTCCATGATTGTAAATGAATCTACAGACACCATCCTTCCGCCAGCCCTGGAAAGATCAGAGCACTGATGCAGGTAGTTTTCCTAAAGGACAAAGAACAAAGCTGAATATTTTTCTAGCCACATTAAAAATGATATTCCTGTGTTAGAATAACATCAAAATGTGTTGTGTTTTGTTTGTTTTAATAGCTTCTCTTTGATCTGCACTTTGGCCGCAGAACTCACTGGCTGTACCCACTGTCATTCTCTCCAGCGGGCATAGACTGGCGCTGAGTGAAACTAGCCCACAATCCTTGTAAATCACTGCTTTCCATTCATGCTTATTTCGCTAATGCCACCGCTCAGCCACTGTCTTGATTAATGCAGGAAAAAGGAGGTTACAATTAAGTGAGATGATTTTGCACCCAGGAAATAGCAGATGAGTTGGATAAACTGCACAGTTATTGGTGAGTAAAGAAGCAGATTTAAGCTGCCCTTGGGTACTGGAAACAGGAAGCTCAGAGAGACCTTGGAGCAACTGCTCCTCTCTTACAAAGCCTTTGGTAATTGTGAAGAGGAAAAACGTATGTGTTGTGCAGACGAAGTGGAGCACATGCAATTTGAGATTCAGATGCTGAAAAGCAGGGAAAGGAGCCTGTCTCATGCTCTGGATTATCCTGTTGCCAGTCCATGAGCAAGAACTTGGCCAGCCTGTCCAATAGGACGTTCAACATCAATCTTATTCTAGCTTGTCTCGGGGATGCTTTCCCGAATGTTCGTAAGCACTATTCAAATGCCAAAAGCCATGAAAAGGATTATTTGCTTGGGACACCATGCCCATTTTCTGCTAATGCAGAAATGTCATCATACAAGATGGCCACATATTAAACACAGAGAGAGGCAAGTTTTGGGGAGTGTGCACCTAGGGAAGCAGTTCTCAAAGCATGGTCTAGGGAACCCTGCAAGTCCTTGAGGCCTTTTTACAGGGGATCTGAGATATTGAGACATTATTTAACTTGTTCACTCTTATTCTCTCTCAAACACACAGTAGAGTTTTTCAGAAAGTGCATGACATGACATGGCAACAGACTGAATGTAGAAGCAGATATGAAATCCAACCACCTCCCATTAATTCAGACACTAAACAGAGCTGCAGTAAAGTAAAACAATGACACTATTTTGAAAAATATTTTTCAATAATAAGAATTTATGAAAAAGACAAGAGGCAACAAATGTTGGCAACAATAGGGAGAAAAGGAAAACCTAGTATAATGTTGGGGGGAATGTAGACTGGTACAGTCATGGATAACAGTACAGAGAGTCCTACAGAAATTAAAGTTGGAATGATCATAGGACCCAGTGATCCCTCTTCTGGGCATATACTCAAGAGAGACAAGCTCATCACTTCAAAAAGATAGCTGCACTCCCGTGTTCACTGTGGCATTATTCACAATAGCCAAGATATGGATACAAACTAAATGCCCACTGATGAACGAACCAATAAAGAAAATGTGGTGTGTGTATATATATATATATATATATATATATATATATATATATATATATACACATATATATATATATGCATGATGGAATATTATTCAGCCTTAGAAAAGGAGATCCTTCCATTTGCCACATCATGGATGGACCAAGAAGACATTATGTACAGTGAAGTAAGCCAGACAAAGAAAGAAAAATATTGCATGATCTCACTTATATGTGGAATTTAAAAAGCTCAAATACACAGAGATAGAGAATGAAACAATGATTACCATGAGTAGGCGGTAAAGGGTGGGGGAGAGAAAACGGAAAGATGTAGGTCAAAGGATACAAAACAGCAAATATGTAGGATGAACAAGCCTAGAAATCTAATGTACACCGTGAGGACTACAGTTAATAAAATTGTATTATATTAGGGATTTTTGTTGAACAAGTAAATTTTCTTTTTTAAGCCAGTCACACTTAGATTTTTAGCTGCTCTTTCCATACACAAGAAATGTAATTCTGTGAGATGCTAGGTATGTTAATTTGCTTTACTATTGTAACCATTTTACTGTCTATATATATCCTATAATATCATGTTGTAAACCTCAAATATACACAATAAAATTTGTTTTTAAAAATGCGTGTTGGCACATAATAAGCATATGGTTTGAAGTAAATTGACAAATCATTTTTTAAATTTCTGAGTTTTAATTTCTAATACGGCATATATTGACTGATACAAAATATTTTGGCACCTCAATTATTCTTAAGAGAATAAAGATGTCCTGAGCCCCAAAAATCTGAAAACCACATAGAAGAATGTGGCAACTTTCTTTTTAACCCAGTGGAAGCCTTCCTTCCTCCTCCAGCCCCATAGACAAGCATAGGGCTTCAGATTCACCCATTTTCTTGGTCTTGGGCACAGGTTCTTTCTTTAGTAGCCTCATTGCCTGCCTTGCCCCAAATCTATATGACTGAATTGTATTTATTCTGCTCATGGCTTTGGTCCAGGAGGTTCACAATAGTTTATTCTCCCTGGCAAGGCAGAGAGAATGGCTTTCCTTAGCCCCTCAGCTCTCAACGAGGCATAGTCCAGTGCAATGAGAACTGTCATTTCCGCCTGGACCATCAATCAATGAAGATAGATGCACTTCTGTAGGCTGACTGCAGGAGGGAGGTGAGTTTAGACCTGGGAAGTGAGATGCTATCCTGAGCCTGGGCTACAGAGACCGTGGCGGACTCCGTGTCTGTCACGGGGCAGGAGAACGGCCCATCCAGTCGGCAGCATGTTACAAATCAAGCATCCCCTCCATGTCTGAAAGTCACGGCAACACCAAAGCCACAGGAAGAGCCACATTCTCTGCAGGTTCCACGGACCTTGGAAGCCCTCCTTGCAAACAAAGCTGGAGCCCTTTCTCCATGTCTCTCCTGCAATCACAGTGAAATAGTGATTTCACCTATAAAGAACTACTGTGTGGATTTCATCTATAAAGAACCAGTGAGCCCCAGCTACATGCAGTATGAAGTGTTGGTGGGGAGGAGAAGTGCAAAGGTGAATAAAAAATGCTCCCCCGCTGCCCTCCAGGAGCTGCTCAAAAGCAGCAAAATGATCAGACTCCAGTTTTAACTCACGTCTCTTACTTGGCCTGCTTTTCAGAGGCAATGAGAATGTTTGATGAGAAAAGGCAAGGCCACCAAAGAAAGCAGTAAAATGAAAGCCCTAAATAATTCACAACACTGGATAACCAATGTCTGAAACAGAATCGATTCTGCACAAGAAGTCACTCTGTTTCTTCCTTATAAGTGTTATTTCTTAACCTCAATTTTCAACCTGAACAGCAAGCACCTGATTTCCTACCAAACTGAAAATTGTCCTGTGTTTCCTGGATGGGCTCAGGTTCCCAGGAAGGATTCACCAGAGGGGCTCTTAGGAGGCACCCAGCCAAACAGACACCCAGCCCAGAGGGCGTCTGAGAAACGGAAAGGGACTGGGAACGTTTTTGAATTGCAAAATGCTTCATCTTTAGAGGACACTCCAGAAACATGAAGTTTTGTTTTAAAAAGGCTGCCAGTGAAAATACGTTTAATCATTACCTGTTTATCTAACACAACCAGGAGCAAACAACCAGAGGGTTTTCACTAGATGCAGACAATGACCAGGGCCTTGAACTTGTCTCCGGACTGTTGGAGTTAGGCAGGGACCTACCACAGCCAAAGTTAAATCAGGCTTGATGCTTAAAGACCAGGACGCTGACTAAAAGAGGGAGTTGGTGACACAACTCCACCCCTTTCAGTCCACTTCCTCTCACTTCTTCCACCCCCACCTCAAGGTTAATCGTTTCTGTTTGGCAGAGTTTTGAATCCTGGGAACTGTCTCACTTTAAGCCTCTTCTAATCTTTTACAAAGATTATCAAGATAATGTAGTTCCACATCTCTGGCACTAGGAACATCAAAAGCCCATTAATTAATTATATGCTTTTAAGGATTATCTGCATGGAAAATATGAGAATTATAAATGCAAATACATATTACAAAATCACTATTCCTATCAGAAAAAAAAGCCATCTTTTTCTCTTGGTCATGAATTCCTTTCTCCCGCCTTCCCCTGCTCTCTCTTTCTCTCTCTCCAGTGCCTTATCTCTCTCTTCTTAATCAGTAACCACAATTGCATTCTATGATTTCTAGCCTTCTGCTATACTCAAACATTAAAAAATGACTCAATAAACTTTTAGATCATTTTTTATTTTATTATTATTTTTTGAGACAGAGTCTTGCTCTGTTGCCCAAGGCTGGAGTGCAGTGACATGATCTTGACTCAATACAACCACCACCTCCCAAGTTCAAGTGATTCTCGTGCCTCAACCTCCTAAGTAGCTGGGATTACAAGTGCGCACCACCAGGCCTGGCTAATTTTTTTTTTTTTTTTTTTTTTAGTAGAGATGGGGTTTCACCATGTGGGCCAGGCTGGTCTTGAACTCCTGGCCTCAAAATGATCCACCCATCTCAGCTTCCCAAAGTACTGGGATTATAGGTGTGAGCCACTGCGTTCGACCTAGATCATTTTTTAAATGTCAAAATTGAAAATCATGAATGCAGCTCCTTCATTTAAAATGCAGCCTAAAGGGAAGTGCATGAGCTTTTCTAGAAGAGCATGCTGGATTCAGAGTCCAGGTTCAACTGTGGGGACTGAAACAATAAGACTACCAGCGAGCAAGGTTATCATGAAGATAAAATAAACTAACACCTGTGAAGCATTTAGCTCAATGCCTGGCATGGAGAAAGTGTTCAACAATTGACAGCTATTATTATTATCAGGAAGCATTTATGATTTAGGCCACAAGTCAGAAAAGGCAGAGAATGAGAAGGACAAAGATCATACATAGCAGGAAGTGTTTCTTAATTCATCTGTGCCTTCTACTTAAATTGGTTTCACAGTGGATAAAGCACTTACATTAATTTCTCCAATCCCCAGAAGCAGGTAGGTAGATAGGACAGGTGGTATTATTTCATCTGATGAACCAGAAAATGAGGGAGGGTCAGAAGCCTATTAGAATGATTTGAGGGGAAGGTTTCACGGTCATTAACTGGAAAAGCTGAGACTATGATGGGAGCCACACCGTTCCCAGCCCCTGGAAGGGGACTGTTTTCTCTGTTTGCCTGACATCCTCAGTCCTTTTGATTTATGATCCTTCCTCCTCTTATGAACTGGTTGCTAAAGAATTTAAGATTAAAATGCTAAAGTTCCTCTTACATTGCTGGTGGGAATGTAAATTAGTACAGCCACTATGGAAAACAGCATGAAGTTTCCTCAAAAAACTGAAAATAGAACTACCATATGATCCAGGAATCCCACTGCTGGGTATTTATCCAAAAGAAAGGAAATCAGTATATTGAAGAGATATCTGCACTAACAAGTTCATTGGAAGACTATTCACAACAGCCAAGATATGGAGTCAACCTAAGTGTCCATCAACAGGTGCATGGATAAAGAAAATGTGGTACACGTACACAATGGAATATTATTTAGCCACAAAAAAGAATAAAATATTTTCATTCTCAACAAAATGAATGGAACTGGAAGATATTATGTTAAGTGAAATAAGCCAAACACAAAAAGACAAATACTGCATGTTCTCACTCATATGTGAGAGCTAAAAAAAAGTTGAACTCATGGAGATAGAGAGTAGAATGATGGTTGCCAGAGGCTGGCAGAGTAGTGGGGAGAGGGGAATAAAGAGAGGTTCACGGGCACAAAAATACAGTTAGATAAGATCTAGTGTTCAGTAGCACAATAGAGTGACTATAACTAACAATAATTTATTGCCTATTTCAAAATAACTAGAAGAGTGGAATTGAAATATTCCTAACACAAAGTAATGAGAAATGTTTAACGTGATGAATATCCCAATTACCTTGATTTGATCATTACACATTATATGCTTGTATCAAAATATCACATGTTCCCCACAAAATATATGCAACTATTATGTATCCATAAACATTTTTTTAAATTAAAATGCTAAAGTCAATGCAATAAAAAGCGAATCTCTAATTATCTGACCGTGGCCCATTTGAGTGAATCAAGGTGTTTCCTCTTACCCATCAGGTAGAAGCAACAGACTCCCTTCCTTTCCTGGAACAGTGCACCTTCTTTAGGGGGTGAGGCTGCTGAGGATGGGTGTTGGGGAGAGAGCTGTGCCTCGTGCAGGGCCTTGGCTCCCAGCAGCCCAGCTGTTGTGTTGCCTTCTGTGGCTCCAGCTCCATTTAGCACAGATCATTACAAGCTGGCAGCTGTCAATTATCCAAGCCAGACAGACTCCCCATGGCATTCCACATCTGGAAAAGCCTTCCCTGGGAATTGGTGCAGAAGCATCCGTGCATTCCACATCTGGAAAAGCCTTCCCTGAGAATTGGTGCAGAAGCATCCGTGCATTTCCACCTCTATTTATTATCTTCAAATCTCCCTGGAGATTATTATCCTCCAAATGCAAAGATCAAGAGAAGTTGAAAATGCACACAGTACTTTTTACCTTAAAAAAAACTCTAGCCAATCCTAATACTCAACAAGATTATTTTTCAAATGGTATGAAATTGAAGGACATTGTGTGTGTGTGTGTGTGTGTGTGTGTGTGTGTGTGTGTTCTGGTGAAGCCGTGGATGAAGGACATTTTTTAAAAACCATTAGAAATGGCTGATAAACTAACAATTTACACTTCCTCCTATGTTATCAAAAATGGATGACATTTTTTAACCCACCACATATACTAAATATGGATAATTTGTTCCCACACCCTTAGTTTCAGGAGTTTCACTAAACAAATAAAATAAAGATACTCAAAAGGACTTCTGTCCTAACACATATATAGGAAAAATATGCTGGGTACAGGAAGTAAAAGGTTTCAGTATAAAATATTCAGTCTCCTCAGTGGAAAAGAACCTTCCATAACACAGATCAATAACAGGCTGCTTCCTGTTTACTCTGCCTAACTGGGGACTTTAGTATAAAACCTGATTACTGTTATCAGCAAGAAGCTGATTTGGCTGCTCTAAGGAGAGTCATCCAAATTAAAGATTCCCCAAGTCACAGCTTGAATGATCCTAGCTCATGTACACAGAAAGCTCTTGAGTCTCTCCTTGTCCATCGGGAGGACTCTGTCTTGAAGAATGGCCTGATTCAACTTAAATTGTTCATCTAGGCAGCAAATAACAGATTCCCACAACAGGGACACATTGACATTCCAATCAATGGAAAACTGGAGAAAATTCAAAAGGGTATTAGTGCCTTGTTCTGGGTTTTAGGATTCACTCCATCAAACTCTTCTCTGTGGAAAAGTAGGTGGCCTTTTGTATGCTTTAATAAGCCACAGAAAAATATGCACTTAGGCCGGGCATGGTGACTCACGCCTGTACTCCCAGCACTTTGGGAGGCCAAGGTGGGAGGGTCACTTGAGGTCAGAGTTCGAGACCAGCCTGGCTAACATGGTGAAACCCTGTCTCTACTAAAAATACAAAAAATTAGCCAGGTGTGGTGGCAGGCAACTGTAATCCCACCTACTTGGGAGGCTGAGGTAGGAGAAACACTTGAACCCAGGAGGCAGAGGTTGCAGTGAGCCAAGATCACACCACTGCACTCCAGCCTGGGCAACAGAGGGAGACTCTGTCTCAAAAAAATTAAAAAAAAAAAAAAGAAATATGCACTTAGTGCCTAATGTACAGAGGGCGCTGAGTTGTCCCATAAAGATACAGCGTTGTGCATTGGATGACATGCCTGCTGGGGAGAATGCAGGAGAGGTCACAAGGCACTCCAGGCAAATGCCCACGGAGTAAAAAGTTCTAAGAGCTACTACAGCAGAGGGGTGGGTGGGGCTTGAGACAGGTAAAAAAGCATCAAAGGGAAAGGAGGGATTGGACCCATATTGATTCTTTCCATTAAAAGACTTCAGACACAAAGTGTCCTTGGCTTCTCACCTTGAGGAGGGAGAAGGGCCAATTGCACTTCATCTGTGCTCTTCCAAAAGAGGAGACAGAGGCCCAGCCTAGGTTTCTGGCTAGGTTTCTCGACTAGAAGAGGTGGAGGCTTCCTGGAAGGAGGTCTGGACCTAGTTTGGATACGAAGGGATGGCAGCAAGGAGAAAGGCAGGCAGTGCTCAGAACCTATCTGCCACTCCTGTGGAAAATGCACTACAGTGGAAAGAATCAGGGAGTGGACCTGAGTTTCAAAATCTTGCTCCACTTTCCCTGGCTGGATGACCCTGGGTAAATCATAGTCCTTTCCAAATCTCAGTTCCCTCGACTGTCAAATGGGGTCATGCCTGCCATGATAGGGGGCCTGTTAACATTAAATAATGCATTTAACACTTGAAACACAATCTCTTGCTCATAAACGATCAATAAATGCTAGATCCCACCTGAATTTCCTCACACCATCTTGCGACACATTAGAATAACAATTACAAAGACCACAGCCTTGTAATTGACCGACAAAAGCTGTTGCTGGTCTCTCTGGCAGAAAAGATGGTTAGTCTGTGGTTTAGGAAATATACTCTTCCTATTAGAAGGTAATACCATCTCCTGTTTCACGTCTTATTGGATCACCCATTCCTTAGACCCTTTGTCGGTGTTGACGGAATGAAGAAGAGGGAGGAGGGAGGAGTTACAGAAGAAAGAAGTATTTATCAAGACTTTATACTCTGGACCAGGCCCTCTGGTGAATGCCTAGTGAGGAAGGCCCAATGGTGTTCCAGTTTCCTAGGAAACTCTTCTTGGCGCCCTCATACTGGAAGTATGTGGTTTGTTTTGGGGAACACACACACATTTTACACACATCTTTGACAGCCATTCGGGCAGGATGTCTCACTGCCAATGGCAGGACTAATATCTAAGTTGGATCTTTTTTGGGGGGAAGATGGGGTCTTGCTACTTTGCTCAGGCCTTGAACTTTTCATCCTCTCACATCAGCCTACTGAGTAGCTGAGACTACAGGCACAAGTCACAGTGCTCAGCTTACTGTACTGGGTCTTCTTGAGGTGACTCTTCACTCATGTGACAGTCAAATTTTTACCTTTTAAAACAGACTTCATGGGCCTTTTCCTTGTTGTTACGCTCATCCATCAAGACAGAGGATGCTCTCTGTACTACAGTAGCTGACATCAACAGCCTTTCCTCCTCAGCTGTCACTCACCAACCAGGCCCAAGGATTCTCCTCCCTACATGCCAGCCCACTGCTTTCCGAAACCAGAGAGAGAGCCCTCTTCTCTCATGTCTCTCTCAAGCCTGCCTCCTGCCTCCAAGAAAGTAAAGAACTTTATTCGGGGAGTGACAAAGGCAGGTACATCCATGCTAACCACAGAAAGTTTCTATTTCAGTCATTCTGTCTTCACTCCAGGAGTCCCTATTGTCTACCCACATCTCTTAAGCAATTTACAAAGCTCTGTTAATTCATTCACAGCCTGCTCAGCTTCAGGGGCCTTAAGGAGGCAGAAGTCAAACTCAAAAGAGCACGAGGTTTCCAGAGGTTTCAAGAGAGTGGGTTTGGCCAGTCTAAGTCTAGCAGAGCGAGTGGAAGTTGTGCCCTGTTCTTTGGCAACAGATCAGATAGCAAATCCAATGAGTAATCAGAGAGTAAGGAAGCCAGGCAGGAAACCAAGAGCGTGCTGAGGAAATGGGGAGACTGCACAGTCAGGAGGCAACTTGGAGCTTTCTGGAAACTTGAAGTTGCTTCTAGAGTCAGGAGAAGTTGAAGGAATAGGGGCAGCGTTGTGGACTGTGCTGGGAAATAGCCAGAGACACCACAGAAGGGCAGCCCATGATGCCGTCCCTATTCCTTCAAAGTCTCTAGACTCTAAAAGCACGTCCCCCATTTACTCAACATAAAGTTGCCCAAAGGCTCCACAATGGATACTTTCTACACTCCTGATTTCACTATGATTTCAGAGAAATGGTTAGTTCTGAGATCATTTCCCAATAGATTAAATTTTTGCTAAGAAATAACAGATCTCCTTTAAAAAGTCTAATGATTTACTCTACCTAAATTAACTTGTTTTTTTTTTTTTGCTTTTAACAGTCAATTGACTTTTTTAATTTTTAAATTCTTTTTTTTTTTTTCCCCTTTTAGTATTTATTGATCACCCCGGGTGTCTCTCGGAGAGGGGGACTTGGCAGGGTCATAGGACAATAGTGGAGGGAAGGTCAGCAGACAAACGTGAACAAAGGTCTCTGGTTTTCCCAGGCAGAGGGCCCTGCCGCCTTCCGCAGTGTTTGTGTCCCTGGGTAGTTGAGATTAGGGAGTGGTGATGACCCTTAACGAGTATGCTGCCTTCAAGCATCTGTTCAACAAAGCACAACTTGCACCGCCCTTAATCCATTCAACCCTTAGTGGACACAGCACATGTTTCAGAGAGCACGGGGTTGGGCGTAAGGTCATAGATTAATAGCATCCCAAGGCAGAAGAATTTTTCCTAGTACAGAACAAAATGGAGTCTCCCAGGTCTACTTCTTTCTACACAGACACAATAACAATCTGATCTCTCTTTCTTTTCCCCACATTTCTCCCTTTTCTATTCCACAAAACCGCCATTGTCATCATGGCCCGCTCTCAATGAGCTGTTGGGTACACCTCCCAGACGGGGTTACGGCCGGGCAGAGGGGCTCCTCACTTCCCAGACGGGGCTGCTGGGCAGAGGGGCCCCCCACCTCCCAGACGGGGTGGTGGCCGGGCAGAGGGGCTCCTCACTTCCCAGACAGGGCGGCCAGGCAGAGGGGGCCCCCCACCTCCCAGACGGGGTGGCGGCCGGGCAGAGGGGCTCCTCACTTCCCAGACGGGGCAGCCAGGCAGAGGCGCCCCCCACCTCCCGGACGGGGCGGCGGCCGGATGGGGGCTGCCCCCCACCCCCCACCCGGGGCCTGCCCCCCAGCTCCCGGATGGGGCGGCTGGCTGGGCGGGGGCTGCCCCCCCACCTCCCAGACGGGGCGGCTGGCCGGGCGGGGGCTGCCCCCCAGCTCCCGGACAGGGAGGCTGCCGGGCGGAGACGCTCCTCACTTCCCAGATGGGGCGGCTGCCGGGCGGAGGGGCTCCTCACTTCTCAGACGAGGCGGCCGGTCAGAGACGCCCCTCACCTCCCAGACGGGGTCGCAGCCGGGCAGAGGCACTCTTCACATCTCAGATGGGGCGGCGGGGCAGAGGCGCTCCCCACATCCCAGATGATGGGCGGCCGGGCAGAGACACTCCTCACTTCCTAGACGGGATGACGGCCGGGAAGAGGCGCTCCTCACTTCCCATACTGGGCGGCCGGGCAGAGGGGCTCCTCACATCCCAGATAATGGGCAGCGAGGCAGAGACGCTCCTCACTTCCTAGACAGGGTGGCGGCTGGAAAGAGGCGCTCCTCACTTCCCGGACTGGGCGGCCAGGCAGAGGGGCTCCTCACATCCCAGACGATGGGCGGCCAGGCAGAGACGCTCCTCACTTCCTATACGGGGTGGCGGCCGGGCAGAGGCTGCAATCTCAGCACCTTGGGAGGCCAAGGCAGGCGGCTGGGAGGTGGAGGTTGTAGCGATCCGAGATCACGCCACTGCACTCCAGCCTGGGCAACATTGAGCACTGAGTGAGCGAGACTCCGTCTGCAATCCCGGCACCTCGGGAGGCCGAGGCGGGCAGACCACTCGCAGTCAGGAGCTGGAGACCAGCCCGGCCAACACGGCGAAACCCCGTCTCCACCAAAAAATACGAAAACCAGTCAGGCGTGGCGGCGCGTGCCTGCAATCCCAGGCACTCGGCAGGCTGAGGCAGGAGAGTCAGGCAGGGAGGCTGCAGTGAGCCGAGATGGCGGCAGTACAGTCCAGCCTCGGCTCGGCATCAGAGGGAGACCATGCAAAGGGGAGACGAGGACCGTGCAAAGGGGAGGGGGAGAGGGGAGAGGGGAGAAGGGATTCTTATTTTAAATTGTGGTAAAATACATATAACATAAATTTTACCATCTTCACGATTTATTTTAAGTTCCGGGGTATATGTGCAGGATGTGCAGGTTTATTACATAGGTAAACGTGTGCCACGGTGGTTTGCTGCACCTGTCAACCCATCATCACCTAGGTATTAAGCCTGACATATATTAGCTGGTTTTCCTGATGCCCTCCCTCCCCCTGCACCCCCATCTTCACCATTTTCAAGTATACAGTCAGTGGCATTAATCACATTCACACTGTTGTAAAACCATCACCACCATCCATCTTCAGAATTGTTTCTCTTTTGCAAAACTGAAAGTCTACACCCATTAAAATCTAGTTTCTTTTTAGTAAGGAAGGTTCACTTTAATTGACAAAAGTAAGAGAAACAATTAGTTAAAGAAGAAAAGGATTAGAGAATTGAATGAAGTCAACACAAAGAAAACAATTATATTTAATCTATTCTCTCTACTGATTTCAAAGAAAGATCTTTATCATCTAAATTGACACTCTAATCCTGATATAATTTAACTCTCTTTAATACACTCTCTTTAGTTTAGCCTAGTATAGAGAAATAGTTTAAAGTATTAACCACAAGGGTTACTTTTGTAAGTGACACAAAGCAAGGTTAACACTTTCTTTGACATGTGTTAAGAACAACTATGTGTATTTGTGATATGAAATATTCTACATGGTGCTAATTCCAAATACCTGAAGTTTTCCTTCTAAGTATCTTATCAAACTAGTACTGTGATACACAGAAGAGACCTTCTGTGCAGTTAGATAGAAAGTTGTTTTTTTGGTTGTTGTTTGTTTTTTGAGGCTGAGTCTGGCTCTGTCACCCAGGCTGGAATACAGTGGCACAATCTTGGCTCACTGCAACCTCTGCCTTCCAGATTCAAGCGATTCTCCTGCCTCAGCCTCCCGAGTAGCTGGGATTACAGGCTCACGCCACCATGCCTGGCTAATTTTTGTATGTTTTGTAGAGATGAAGTTTCACCATGTTGGCCAGGCTGGTCTTGAACTCCTGACCTCAAGTGATCTGCCTGCCTCAGCCTCCCAAAGTGCTTGGATTACAGGTGTAACCCACCACGCCTGGTGCACCACTTACTTTATTGCTCTTTAAAATAATCTAATTTTAAAAGGTTTGTGTATAACGATATCTAACATACAATTTTGTGAGGGCAGAGCCCATATATAACCACTAAACTGTGCAGATTTCCTTCCTTTTTAAAGTCATTCCATTAGGTGACCTCTATGAGCATCCAATGCTGGTATTTATTTGAAGTAATTTCAGTAATGTGTTCTGCCCAAATATTTTCTGTGGTTCAAAGAAGTGAACTATAGTTCTAGTTAAGGCAAAAGACCTTTGTAAGGATTCCAGTATAAGGCAAAGTCCTAAATTCTGAGGGATAATGTTTTCAAGAGAAAATAAATTATTGTACATTTGGATAGATACTCCAGACAACGTGTGTGGGCTAGAGAAATACTTGTGGTCCTTAGGGTGGTAAGCAGGAGCTCAAGGTTCTAAGAAGGAACACCTGAGACAGGGCCCTGCTGGAGGAAATCCCAGCGTCCTAGCAGGGGAGGTGAAGATAACCGCCAACTGCTCTCAATGGGTTTGGAGATGAAGTGGAAGGTACTAGCAGACAGGGAAATGACAGAGCTTGGCCAAGTTAGGGAGGCAATGGATACAGTGCAAACACCAACCCCCTCCGCCGGTCATTAAGTAGGCTGCATGGCCTCAAGCAAGTTACTAACCTCTCTGAGCCTCCATGTCCTTCCCCATTCTGTAAAAGAGTTGTTTGGAGAATAATAGGAGATAATACATAAAACACAAGAAAAAGTAAATAGCTAGCTGGATAGAGAATTCCTGAAGACACTTGATGAAGGATATCTATTATGACTGAAAAGTAGGTGGGGGGGTATCATTATCACCTTCAGAGTTTCTCTTTGAATAGGTCATTCCCAAATCTGCATTAAAAAATCATGTTCTAATTTCCCCATCAAAAGGGTCAAAGTATATTAGAAAGAAAATACAATACAATTGCAAAGTGGCTTATGAATTGGGGATTATTTCTAAATGACATTCTCAAAGAGCTGTGAATTACATGTGTCAGAATGAGATGAAACGTGATGAGGGCAACAAAGGATTTCTTTCCTCTGCTATTGGGAGAAACTACCACAGACACCACCTCATAAAACAGGTCCGGTGTCCAGAATTAGCAGGCTGGAAAATCACACTGCTGAATAAAATATTCACCTGAAAAATGTACTCCAAAATCGTGAAGGCTAAAGGTAGTAAGAGGAAACACTGAGCTATGGAGTCAGAAAATAGCTGACCCATAAGGAAGCTTCTTATAAGGGATCCCGGCTGGCAGAGCTACATCCAGGGCTGGAAGGTGGAAGCCCTGGGCACTTTTTCTGCACCTTTCCCTCGCCCCACCATGGCCACCCCTTCTCCAGATTCCCCCCTCCTCACTGCAATGGACCTTCACTCAGTGGCCCAAAAAGCTTTCTGAAGCACACCTCTGATGCTCCTCTCCAGAAGGTTACCCAGTTCCGCAAATGAAAATACTGCCAATGAGAGATGACAAAATTAATCACATGTACGCTACTTTACAAAGAATTTTATAAAATAAAGTACCTGATATTTTATTTTTTAATGGATAATGCACTGACATGACTCAAATCCGAAGTTAGATAGAAGATCCAGGTGCGGTGGCTCATACCTGTAATCCCAGCACTTTGGGAGGCCAAGATGGGCAGATCACCTGAGGTCAGGAGTTCAAGACCAGCCTGGCCAACATGGTGAAACCCCGTCTCTACAAAAATACAAAAATTAGCCGGGCATGATGGTGGGTGCCTGTAATTCCAGCTACTTGGGAGGCTGAGGCAGGAGAATCGCTTGACCCTGGGAGGCAGAGGTTGCAGTGAGCCAAGATCGCACCACTGCACTCCAAGCTGGGCAACAGAGCAAGACTCCATCTCAAAAGAAAAAAAATTAGATAGAAGAATCTACATAGAAAAGTCTGACCTCCACTCCGGCCTCTAGGGGTAATCATTTTTCATTAGTTTCCATCTATATTTCCACTGTTTTCCTTCCAGCTATACTAAGGTATAACTGACAAATACAAATTCCATATATTCAAGATGTATGATGTGACAATTTGATATATGTATACATAGCGAAATTATTACCACAACCAAATTAATTAACACATCCTCACCACACTTTGTTTCCATTGCTGTGTGTGTGGTGGGAGAGTGAGGCCACTTAAGATCTACTCTTTTGGCAAATTTCAAGTATACAATACAGTATTAATTATAGTCACCATGCTATATGTTAGGTCCCCAGAATTTATTTATCTTATAACTGAAGTTTGTACCAACTTCTTTTTGCAAATAGTACCAATATAAAAGATGTGTATACATATGACATATGTATATATATTATATAGTGAATATATAATGAATATACACACACACATTCTTACCACACCCTATTTTACACAAAACGGAGCACCCAATATCCAATCTTCTTGCACCTTGCTCTCTTCTCTATATCCTACAGATCTCTCCACACTCACACATAGAGATCTTCCTTCTTCTTTGGTTTTGGGTTTTGTTTGTATGTTTGTTTGTTTGGGTTTTTTTTTTGAGACAAGGTCTCAGTCCGTCACCCAGGCTGGAGGGCAGTGGCACAATCTTGGCTCACTACAGCCTTGAACTTCAGGCTCAAGTAATTCTCCCACCTCAGCCTCCTGAGTAGCTAAGACTACAGGGGCACACCCCCATGTCCAGCTAATTTTTGTATTTTTTGCAGAGTTGCAGTTTCACCATGTTACCCAGGCTGGTCTCAAACGCCTGGGTTCAAGTGATCTGCATGCCTCCGCCTCCCAAAGTGTTGGGATTACAGGCATGAGCCACTGAACATGGCCCATTCTTTTTTTTTTTTTTTTTAAGCTACATAGTACTCCACTATGTGCTACACCACAGTCTATATTCTACTAGTTCCCTATTGCTGGACATTTGGTGTTTACAACCTTTTGGGATTACAATAATGGCACAGGCAATAACCTAATACATATGCTATTTCACACTTGTAAAGATAGAAAGATGGAAGTGGGATTGCATGTGTACTTCTGTTAGATGATGCCAAATTCCTCTTTGCAGAGGTTGTACAGTTCTAAGTTCTACACACTCATCAGTAAAATAAAGTTCTGATTTCTCTTTTGAAAGTTTTGCTCATTTTATGTTTTTATCTCTGTTATTTTGTGGGTCTCACGCTTTTGTAGCAGGCATATTTATAGAAGGAATAATCAGAAGCTGTGTCCTCACTACTTCAAAAGAATAAAAACACTTCATTTCACTACTCAGAAGTGTCAAATTAGTAGTACAGATAGCAAGTGCACAACTTTGGAGGAGCTAGACATTCTGGGAGATGCAACAGACTTAGACTTTATGGAAGAAAAGGGAATTAACAGGCCGTGGAGAAAACAGAAGATGAGGCGAGCAGAGAAACACTTCCAGATCCCAAAGCAGAAATAGTCAGAAAGTGAGCCAAGAAGGATGAGCAAATTGACTGGACCAAACAAAATATTGTGTAGACTCTTGAGCACAAAGCTTAGAAGTGTAGTTTGAGGCCTGATTGTAGAAAACCTTAAATTCCATAAGGGATCATCTAATCTTTAAGACTTAGGCTATATAAAGGGTATCCAGATGTCCTGGTTTTCCCAGGATAATCCTGGTTTATCCCTGTTGCTCTAGCAACTCCTTCACTCTCAAGAGACCCAGTTTGGATGACAATTACATAGTTGGTTGTCCTAGCTATAGGGACCACCAAAAATCTGTAGGCAAGAGAGAGAGATGAAAGTAGTATTTCATCAAGATAAATCTGAGGGGCTGGGCGCAATGGCTCACACCTGTAATCCCAATACTTCGGGAGGCCAAGGCAGGAGGATCACTTGACCCCAGGTGTTTGAGACTAACCTGGGCAACACGGCAAGACCCTATCTCTAGAAAAAAAAAATTAGCCAGGGGTGGTGGCACGTGCCTGTAGTCCCAGCTACTCTGGAGGCTAAGGTGGGAGGATCACTGGGGCCCAAGAGGTCGAAGCTGCAGTGAGCTGAGATCACACCACTGCACTCCAGCCTGAGTGACAGAGTGAGACCCCGTCTCAAAAACAAAAACAAAAGCAGATAAATCTGCATACTTGAGTGTACAGAATGGATAAAAGAAGAGAGGCTGGAAATAGGGAGAGCAGGATATCGCCAGGCCGAGTAGCAGGAGGAAGGACAGAAGGCCTGACTCTGCTTCAACTAGTTTAGAGCAGGGTCATTTGTCTAACCTCTCTGAAGCTGCCATTTCCTCATGTGTAAAAAGAAGACAATGGATTGGATGCAAAAACATCTTTTCAGTTATAATTCTCCAGGGCCCAAGAGATTAGAGCTGTAACCTAGGTGCTGGGATATGTGGAGGAGTGGAAAGGAGAAAAGATGAAGGGATGGTGGAGGAGAGGGAGCAGTCAGAACAGTTGTGCCCAAGGAACAGGGACAGCAGAGTTGCTGACACTGGCATATGGAAGAAGTGAAGACCACCAAACTGCTGTGAGATACTCCCTGGGCTTGGTTTTTTTAATACATGTGCTGTATTGAGATGACCGCAGGCCACTGAAGTGGCGATTGAAAGACACATATAGGACACAGTGGTGTGACCAAGCCAAATGGAAACCAGGGCTAGGATGGACCACACTTAGAGCCATCTGGCAAATGGCCTCAGTGAGGGTTGGTGGTCATTCACGGTACTCAGGTGTGGTCAAGGAAGATGGTGGCCAAGACAATGGGTGAGTAAACCTATTTTCTGGTGGAGGCATCTGAATTTCAGACCAGGCAGCCTGGGAAAGCAGGGCAGGTTTTTAACAGTAAGCCTAGTTGACAGCCCCAGTCTTAATTGCCAAATGCTCTGAAGGAAATCTATTGCCTTACTCGGGATGTATTTAAAGAAAACTCATGCTACCCAGATGGCCTGGGCTCCAAGAAAGTATCACATACATTGCTTAGGGTTTGTTTCCCCCAATGACAAAAGGAATTTTCAGCCAGAACTCCTTGCTAATACAAGGTCTTTGGTTAACAGAGGGCCCTGTAGGTAGGTTTGGATCGTGGTGGGGGGGCGATCGGTTCCTCCTCAAATACTATAGAATTGGCTCCCTGGCCTGCCTAAGTTCCTCTAGGTTCCCTACCCTGGAGCCCACATGGACAGCTTTCAGAAGATCATCGAGATCACCTGTGCCAGACCAGCCTGATGTAGCCATAATTTACCTTGACTAGAAATTGAACTTTAAGTCCTTGAACAAATGATCCATGAGCACCAGCTTCTGGCAGAATATACTGGGGAATGAAAAGATCCACCCAGCTTCCACCACTTCTTTGTAATGAGGTCAGAAACGAACAACTAAATCACCTATAGGCAAGCTGCACTGCATACACCCAAAAATCACAAGGTAAAGGTTAAAATATTGTACTTGTGTTAAAATTGAAAGAACAAAAAATGCCCGTTGCTCTTCTTTCGAATGTTCACATACAAACCTTTTCTTATCAAGAAAGAACACTTGAAATCGATAAACATTAAAACTATGTGAGAATGAGTCATTACACTCCAGCTTTATTAGAGATAAAGTGTTCTCATACTGTCACATGATTCAGTGATTCTGAAATAGACTGAGAAGTTATCTGGGGCTTGAGGGCATATGTCTCATTCATTCACCCAAAAACACCTGGCACACCCATGGCATTTAAATCAAGTTTATGACATGGCAGCCTCTCACTGGGTCTAGAGCTGACCACAACCTAAAGGTGAAAGCTCACTGTAACATCACACCTAATTGTTTACATGAAATGAACGAAAAGAAAGAAAAAAGGCATGTGTTACAAGTCAAATCACTCTTGTCTGAGAAATGTCTGCTCTGGCTGTCAGGAACTTAAATACCAAAGGAAAGGTAAATTGGATTAAGTTACATTTGGAAGAGCATTCCAGTAAGAGGCTTGGTAACTTCTGATTGCATTTAATAGCATTAAACTGAATCAGTTTCTAGATAATGGTTTTTGCATACTGCAAGTTGCATTGATAGATTCTGTCCTTACAGAAGGTATACCTGTGTAAAGGACTAAGATGAAATCAGCCTGCAAAGAGAGAAATGATGTCAGTAAACCAGTCCAATTCTCCACAACTGCCCATAAAAAAGGATATATAAAAGATGAGAAGGGAGACATCAATCATGGCTGTTTGTTTGTTTTTATAAAAAACCCATTCTGAACTTGAGTCACCCAGCTTGCCGTCTTGGCTGTCTGCAAGGTCAGTTCCAACTAACTGCCCAGTTGTCCCATTGCCTGTATCACACAGTCTATAAAACACAAACCTAGATTGAAAAGAAAGACAAGAGAAAAAGAAAACCCCCAACTAATATATATATACATATTTTTTTAAGAGATCACTCAGCTTCTTCCTCTGACCTCATGGCTGGAAGGTTCTAACAAAGGCTTCTCAGTGTGGAGGGTGTTCCGTCTCCTCCTTGCCTCGTGATTATTCCTTCCCACGCCCCAAGATTTAGGACTGGCTGGGGGTCACATGGGCCAGGCCACAGGAGCCCTGCCTTTGTCATCCTGACTCTGCCGGGATGGGGCTGGCTGGGCTCTGAAGTGAGCTCGATGGCCTTCCCTGGAGCCACATGCCTGTCTGAAACTGAGTGCCTGAGACAGTGACCAGGCAAAGGGAAATGCAGAAGCAGGTCTCCCTCTGCACACAATCCACCGGGCATGTCCAGGGAAAATTACTTCCACCCCTCTCCTCTTCTGCCCCTCTCTATGACCATCAGTAACCCACTGTCCATTCTTGGGTGCCTGTCTGGCAGGCTCCTGGTGTAAATGGACCTGAACTCTTTCCTGTGTTCCCCTGGTCTTCCAGTACCTCCTCCCAGTGGTCTCACCACTCTATGACCTGCACGCTCTCTTGGTAGGACAACTGCATGCCGTTGCTCAGAATGACTTCTGTGCTAGACAGGGTGTTGCTAGTTGAGCACTCTGACCAATCTCCTTTAAGCAAACCTGCTTGAACTACAGAAACTGGAAAGCTAAAAACTACATTTCCCAGACTCCCTTGCACAACAAGTCTAAATGTGACCCAGGCTCTGAGGAGCAGACACATTTACATGACATTTGAAAGGAGACGGTGCCAAGCAGTGGCTGTACAGAGAGATTGGCCCCTCCTAGAGACCTAGTATGTGTGATTTTTCTGGGGCAGCTCGCAGAGATTCTCATGTCCAGTCCCCGGTAACCAATGCTGGGTGTGAGTGGTGGTGACAAGGGAGTTACTACTGGAGCAGTCGTGGTTCTCTAAGGTCCCTAAAACCCTGTCATAAGTCATTTTCTGCTTAAACTCCTTAGAGCGGCTTCTGTTGTCTGCAACTAACAACATTAATCAAAACAACTTCTTACCTTATACCTTAGGTTTTTTAATCCTTAATGTAGTATCTCCTCCTCATTGTTACAGAACGTGCTTGAGATACATGCCTCAAATTTCACTTGAGAAAAGGCAAGTCTCAGTTACTTTGAATATGTTTTATATCAGCTTTATAGACTAGCATTAGCACTAGTCTCCTCCATTAATTCACTTAACAAAGATCTATTACAGGGGTACTGTGTACCAGGTGCTGAGATGACCATGGTACACATATAAGACACAGTTCCTGCCTTCATAGAGCTTATCATCTAGTAGAAAAAGAATAGCGGCTGGGTGTGGTGGTTCACGCCTGTAATCCCAGCACTTTGGGAGGCCAAGGCAGATGGATCACGAGGTCAGGAGTTCGAAACCAGCCTGACCAACAAGGTGAAAACCCGTCTCTACTAAAAATACAAAAATCAGCTGGGCGCAGTGGCGCAGGCCTGTAATCTCAACTACTCAGGAGGCTGAGGCAGGAGAATCGCTTGACCCTGGGAGGCAGAGGTTGCAGTGAGCCGAGATCATGCCACTGCACTCCAGCCTGGGCGACAGAGCAAGACTCCGTCTCGAAAAGAAAAAAAAAATAGCTACATTTATTTAGCATCTACTCCTACCAAACAGTATAATTGACACTTTAAATATTTAACTCATATAATTATCAAAATAACAGACACCATCATCCTTATTTTACAGTTGAAGGAACTAAGGTTCAGAGAGGATAAATAGCTTGCCCATGACCAGAATTTTATACCTAGTAAGGGATAAAACTGAATTTAAATTCACATAGTTGACTCTAAAAGCTGCCTCCAATATAAACTGTCAATGCTTTGAGGGTAGGAAATCTATTAAGTTCATCTTTGAATCCTATAGTTGGAAGGCTCATCTAGCCCAATCTCCCACCTATTCCAGAGTCCCTTTTATAGCAGATGCTGCTAGTTTCCTACCCCAAATCCATAATTCCCTGCTTCCTCACAAACAGAATGCCTAGTTTGTTCAGAGCACCACTGAATCCAGCTAAAAACTAAATTTCCCAGACTCTCACATTTATTAGTGGTCATGTGACCCAGTTCTGTCCAATAAGAATTCAGCTGAATGTGCTGAGGATTTCTGGAAAAGTTTTGCTTTGTCAACATGAGCCACCTCTTCCTCCTTGACACTTCTTTCTGCTGGAATGAGCAAGTGAGGCTGTAGGTAGGGCAGCCATCTTCAGGCAGCATGGATGAATGCCACATATAAGGATGACAGGCCGGAAGAGAGAAGAAGCCTGGGTCCCTGATGGCATCAGGAGGCTTCTACACCAGCCTTGAAGACACAACTCAGCACATCTTATTATGTGAAAACTTTCTTGGGAATCCCTATTTGATGAAGCCCCTATAGTTGAGTTGCTGTTGGACAGGGACTGAAACTCAGTCTCTAACTGATACACTGTCTTCAACACTCTGGATGACTAAGAATCGACTTATATCTTTCCCGTGATGGGAAACTGTCCCATGAGAAGCCACTTACATGTTTGGATGGTCCTGTAGAAAATATTTTTTCTTCTCCTTAAACTGAAATCTCACTCTCTATAAGATGCATAAGAATGCAATTTTAGAGGGCCGGGCGCGGTGGCTCACGCCTGTAATCCCAGCACTTTGGGAGGCCGAGGCGGGTGGATCATGAGGTCAGGAGATTGAGACCATCCTGGCTAACAAGGTGAAACCCCGTCTCTACTAAAAATACAAAAAATTAGCCGGGCGCGGTGGCGGGCGCCTGTAGTCCCAGCTACTCGGGAGGCTGAGGCAGGAGAATGGCGTGAACCCGGGAAGCGGAGCTTGCAGTGAGCCGAGATTGCGCCACTGCAGTCCGCAGTCTGGCCTGGGCGACAGAGCGAGACTCCGTCTCAAAAAAAAAAAAAAAAAAAAAAAAAAAACAAAGAATGCAATTTTAGACAAACAGCAAATAAATACCAACTGTGCATGTACCAAGTACTTACAGACTATCTCGTGTAATCCTGTATAATCGGCCGGGTGCAGTGGCTTGCGCCTGTAATCCCAGCACTTTGGGAGGCTGAAGCTGGCAGATCATGAGGTCAGGAGTTTGAGACCATCCTGGCTAACACGGTGAAACTCCATCTCTACTAAAAATACATAAAATTCACTGGGCATGGTGGCGGGTGCCTGTAGTCCCAGCTACTCGGGAGGCTGAGGCAGAAGAATCTCGTGAACCTGGAAGGTGGAGGTTGCAGTGAGCTGAGATGGCACCACTGCACTCCGGCCTGGGCAACAGAGCAAGACTGTCTAAAAAAAAAAAAAAAAAAAAAATCCTGTATAATCTTATGTGGTAGGTTTTATTATGCCCAATTTGCATAATGAGATCACAAGATCACATTCTAAGGTTCTGGATGGACATAAATTTGGGGGGACATTATTCAACTTGCCACAGTGGCAAAATTTTTACCTAAACCTCAGTTTCTCTCCTAGCCCAGAGCCTTTCTATTGCTGTTTGTGGGTTAATGAGAATGAATTTGGTCTATTTAAGTATATATAGCATGTGTAAGATTTTTGAGATGGATATAAAATTTAAAGCACCTTCAAAAACCACTGTCACCCTTATTTTACATGTTTGAATCTCTAAAATAAGTGCCATGCATCAAGCCCTATCTTCAATTACATATAATTAGGTTCTATTTTTGTGATGAATACCTTACTAGTTCCAAATCTGGCTTCGTTTTCACAGTTGAAAGTAAACACTCACAGTTTTCATGTACTGACATATTTCTCTTCATTTCAATCTCAGAACACTATGTTGAGGAAAGAGTGAAATCTCTGTTTATCAAATATTACTAATATGTCTGAATTATCTTATTCTCTCTGAAATTCTGTGTAAGTGTTAGTTACACGAAGTTACCTTGAAAACACTGCCTCGCATTTATTCAGTACTCACCATGTTCGGTGCTTGATATATATCTCATCCCTATAACAACACTAAAAAGTAATCTTATTAGAAGGCAGGTATTTTATTTATTTTATTTTATGTTATTTTATTTTATTTTTTTCAGACAGAATCTTGCTCTGTTGCCCAGGCTGAAATGCAGCGGCATGATCACGGCTCACTGCAGTCTTGACCTCCCAGGCTCAAGAGATCCTCCCACCTCAGCCTCCTAAGTAGGTGGGACAACAGGCACATGTCACCACACCCAGCTAACTTTTGTATTTTCTTGTAGAGACAGGATTTTGCAGTGTTGCCCAGGCTGATCTCGAACTGCTGGGCTCAAGCGATCCGCCAGCCTTGGCCCCTCAAAGGGCTGGAATTGCAGGCCTGAGCCACATGCCTGGTCTGGTATTTTATTTTAAATCATAATCCCTTGCAAAACATCCTGCATGGTAGATATATAACAAATGTTTACTGATTAACTTTAGTATTTCTATTCAATTTTGCCATCCTTGCCCATAATTAATAAGTGATCAAAATATTACTAAATTGTAAAGAAGTTCAGGCAAGCTGGGTGCAGTGGCTCATGCCTGTAATCCCACCACTTTGGGAGGCTGAGGCGGGTGGATCACCTGAAGTCAGGAGTTCGAGACCAGCCTGGCTAACACGGTGAAAGCTCGTCTCTAGTAAAAATACAAAATTAGCCTGGCATGGTGGCGGGTGCCTGTAATCCCAGCTGCTTGAGAGGCTGAGGCAGGAGAATCGCTTGAACCCTGGAAGCAGAGGTTGCAGTGAGCCAAGACTGTGCCACTGTACTCCAGCCTGGGTGACAGAGGAAGACTCTGCCTCAAAAAAAAAAAAAAAAAGAAGAAGTTCAGGTAAAAAAAGGGAAGAGTCTTCTTACTAGGTGTGGTGCTCCATGTACATTATTACACATCAACAAGTAGGAAGCAACTTAAGGTTTAACCGGAAATCAGAGTTCCTAGTCTAAAATAGTCTAATTATTTGTAAAGTACTTTTGTATTATTTAAGGAGTCATGTTATAATTCATGAAAGTCTCATGTCTTCTGTACCTTCCTACATCAGACACCTCTGTTGCTGTTGCCTGATTCTGTGAGACATGCACTCCTTACATGGGTGAAGCATAACTAGGTTAATCTCCTATCTGTAACATTTCAGGATAAAAGGAATTTTAACTCTGTTATAGAATTATCAAAGAAGAACCCTTTGGTCATTTAAGGATTAGAAAGAAAGCACTTCTGATCCAATGAATCTCCTATCTAATTTTGGTAATGGCTATATAATTTCATTTTTGCAATGCAGATAAAAGGATATTTTTAAATGGGAATATATTGATAAAGGTGGTGCTGTAAAAGCTACAAATGGCTAATTCCTGCTCTCTTTCTTTCATCCCAGGGAGTGCCATGACATTATGCCTGTTAATAGAAATCTGAGCTAACTGATGTCTCTGGTAGTGAACAGAAGCAAATATAACAGACAACATAGTTGCAGATGAACAATAAAATCACATGTTGTGCTAAATATGGTTAAGTCGGTAAGGTCTTGGCAATGCAGATATATTCAGAAGCCTTAGACTCTCTTCACCAGGCAAGAGAGTAGAAGAAAAGGTAATTCTTACATATGGTTTTACAACTAAAATTGCCACTTGTTTAAATTCACATTTTTAAATTTTTAAAGAATGGAATTGGTTATTGGTATTCATGTCGCTACCATTCCTGAAAAGTCTTTCCTATTTTTTCCTTATAGATGTAAACTATCACAAAAGTAAATGTAATATCTGTCTTTTTTGACAATTTATTCCATAATATCTTTCACATTGGAGCGGCTATTAAGCTTAAGTTGCTTTCCTGGAAGCTGCAAGATACACGTGGATGAATACATTCTCTACACTCAAATAACCTGTAATCCAGCAGGAAAAAGACAAATGGCTTAGAGCAGAAAGGCCGCAGGACAACCTAGCGGGTTGTGACGGTTAGGTGTCAACTTGCCTGGTTAAAGAACACTTAGAAAAGAAACCTAGTAAAGCATTATTTTGGGAGTGTCTGTGAAGGTGTTTCTAGAGGACGTTGTCATGTGAGTCTGAGTGGGTTAGGTGGGGATGATCGGCCCTCCATGTGGGCAGGCACCATCCAACCAGCTGGGGGTCTGGAAAGAACAAAAACAGAGAAAAGGTGAATGTGTCCATCTGTCTGCTGGAGCTGGGACACACTCTTCCTCTCCTGTCCTTGAACAATAAGCCCAGGCTCCCTGGCTTTTGGACTCCGGAACTTACACCAGCAGCCCCGCCGGTTCTCAGGCCTTTGGCCTCAAACTGAGAGTTATGCCATCGGCATCCCTGGCTCTGAGGCCTTTGGACTTGGACTGAGCCATGCTACCAGCATGCCAGAGTCTCCAGCTTGCAGATGGGCTGTCATGGGGCTTCTCGGCCTCTATAACCACAAGAGCCAATCCCCCAAATAAATCACCTCTCCTGTCTCTATATCTATCCAGCTAGCTAGCTATCATATTGAGTCTGTCTCTTTAGAGAACCCTGACCAAAACAGGGGCAAAAGAAGAACTTGTTTTTGACTACTGGAATCACAGAACTCCTCAAGAGGAAGTAACAACTGATCTGGAACAAGAAGAACAGATAGGCCTGGTGATGAGAGAGGGCACACAGGGTACAGGAATGGCATGACAGAGACACAGGATTCTAAGCCCGGCTCATCTCCAGAGTCACATGGCCAGAGCTTAAAACATGAAGTATTCAGGTTCCAGCACCCAACTTACTGGTGTGTGTCTCTCAAAGTAGAGCCTGAGAATCGTATGTTTCGTTTCCCCAGTAGATGCTGCTGAGGGTTCAGGTTTGAAGCACTGGGAAAAAAGTAAGAATCTACAGGAAATATTCAGAGCACAAGAGAGGCAGAGAAGACTGAGGCCTTGAAATGCCAGGCTTAAGAGGGAGGGAACCACCAGAGCTCTGCGGATAGTGCGATGACACGATCAGAACTGTGTTTTGGGGAATGACACCTGGCAGTGGCCTAAAGGCAGACCTGATGAGGAGACTCCAGGCAGGGAATTCATCAGCAGGTTGATCATGGCCATCCGGGTGAGACGCAGGGCCCAAACTAACGTCACAACAGCAGAAGTTAAGAGGAAGAACTGAAAGCTGCAGACAACAGGGTGGGAGACTTGGTTAATGAGCTGGAGGAAGACTAGGGTCGCAGGTTGGCAAGGGAGCAGGCTGAAGGCAGGTCTGACTGCAAGAACCAGTGTCCCATGTGGCTGCCAGTCTAGAGCTCAGGTCTCTGGTCCGATAGCACATGTCACTTCTTCCTGATATTGCCACCAGCTGCTAGGACCACTGCCTGCTCTAGTACTTTCTCTCCAGACGCTCTGGCCCACACTTTCAACTGCCTGGCCAGACTTGTTCCCATCACCTGCAACACAGTCAGATCACATCTAATGTCTGTGCTTCGCTGCAAGGGACAGGGCCTACTTTCCAAGCCCCAGACGCCCTCCAGCCCTCCTCAAACCCACTGCCAGCTGGTTGGTCTCTGAGCTCTGCTCTTACAGACATGGTGGACTGGCCTACTCTGGCATCACTGCCTGAACAAGGCAGAGAAAGCACATGGTTTCACATGCAATGATGCTGTTTCTATAAAAATGATGACTCAACTAAAATCAAAAACAGTATAAACACTGACCACCTGAGGATAAAGAGCAGAGAGGATTTGGGGGTTGCATGATTGTTGTTTTGCTTTGTTGTGTTTTTAATTGGAAAGCAAAGCCATGGAAAGAGAAAGCTGGCAGAGGAAATAACAGAACAGCTCCTTTCCCAGTGGATCAGGCGGTGATACCACCAAGGTCAAGGCTGGCTGTGAAAGGGCAGGGTTCGTGAGGCACCATCGGGGCGGTGAGGCTTTTTTGCGTATTTTGTTTTGTTTTCTGTCACCCAGGAGCTGACAATCTTTGCAAGGGGAAAGAACAAATAAATTCTGGCCCCTTCTTAGCCACTGCACAGACAGTAAACAATGCTGGGGCACTGAGGCAGTCTCTGGCAAGCTGAGCTCAGGAAGCAGGTCAAGGAGGGCTGTGGGCAGAAGGCTGGGGGAAGCATGTGGCCCTGGGGCAAATGGGCACCTGATTCTGTGGAGGGTGTGGGCAGCCACTTCCCTGAGTGCCGGAGAGGGGTGAAAGGAGGCAGCCAGGCCTGTGTGACACATGTGGCAGGGAGGAAATGTCTGTTCTGGCAACCTTGGGTCACTGTGTGATCACATAAACATCAGTAATATTTGAAACAGAAATCCAAAATTTGTGATTCTTACTATGCCTCTGATCTCAGTCCCCAAGCTCAGATGCCAAACCGCTCTCCCTACTCTTATCTCTGCACTTGCTGTTCCCTCTACCTGGAGTGCCCTCCTATCCCACCTTCTCAGCCTGATGAAATCCCATCCATCTTTCAAATCCAGGCAAAGATGCCAACACTTCCATGAAATACTCTGACACTCCCAGGCTCAACAGACCCTACAGCCTCCTCTGATCTCATACAATACAAGGTACACACCTCCATTATGACCCCCACATGATACATGCCACTCTACACTGCTACGGACTGAGTGTTTGTGTGTCTGCCAAATCCTAACCCCCAAGGTAATAGTACTAGGAGGCGGGGCCCTTGTAAGGTGTTTAGTTCATGAGAGCTGGCCCTTCATTACAGGATTAGTGCCTATAAAAGCAGCCCCAGAGAGCTCCCTCATCCCTTCCACCATGTGCGGGCACAGTGAAAAGGCACCATCTATGAGGAAGAAGGCTCTCATCAGACACTAAATCTGCAGGTGCCCTGATCCTGGCCTTCCTGGCCTCCAGAACTGTGAGAAGTAAATTTCTGTTGTTTATAAGCCACCTAGTTTAGGGTATTCTGTTATAGCAGTCTGAATGGACTAAGACACGTACTTAAGTTATGTGAGCTACCTTTCAGCCATGGATGTGCCTTGTTTACCTTTGACTCCATAGCACCTGCAAGCAGGTGCTCAATGGCCCCTGTGAGCCATATGGATCACATTTCAAACCCATCACTTACTAACAGGGAAATCAATGAATAGAAACTATGCCAATAATGGCTTTACTTTGACCCTTCACTCCTTGGAAACAAGGAGGGAAGAAGTTCTGATGGTCTTCCAGAAGACTATTCTGGTTTAGCAACTACCAGCAAATAAGTCCCTCTGAGACTGTCCACTCCACATCAGTGCCCACCTACCCCCAACCCTCCCAGCCACGTGGAGCAGGACCAGGAAAGAGACAAGAGATCTCTGGGAACCTCTCCGGTTCTGCCTGAGACAAGAAGTAATTCTCTCCAGGCAGCATAAATCCTACAGGTTGATGTCATCATGGGTGTTGCCACAGCCTCTTTTAGAAAGCAGGGGAAAGTTGCTTTACACTAGGGGTCTTCCTCTTGGTAACACAACTTCCTTGGTATGCTACCAAGACTTTGCCAAGTGCTCTATGGATGTTTGCTGAATGAAACAAAATTCCCTCGTCACATTTTATTAGATATCCTTACCTCACCCTTAGAGCCTTCCTAATGGAAAAGAAGATGAAGTTGGCATTAATGCATTCATTTTGCCTATGTGCACAGAGCCCCTCCTTATCAGGAGCCCAGCAGCAAAGGCTTCGACAAGGAGATATCCAAGATGTATTTGAAGCATGGGAAGCAATTCCACAAGCTGAGAGGTGTGGAAGAGAAGTGTTCCAAGTGGCCTGAAGAGCGGAGTAAAGGCGTGGAAATGTGAAAGTCGTGAGTGTGTGCACAGGGTTCTGCTAGTCCTTGTCATACAGTCCCCACCAGGGAGGCAATGTCAGTCCTGTAATTAGCTCAGGTTCTCAAGCCAGGCATCCAGGTACTGGCTGTGTGGCTTTGGGCAAATCCCTTAAATTCTGTGGGCTACATCTTTGTTATTGGTAAAATAGTGATGATAATACCTTGCAGAGTTGTTCTAGGAATGCATAATGCACGTAAAGGGTGTGGTTAAAAATGCATAAAATAAATGGAAAATATTATCATTATCATTATTATGTTATAAGCTCCTTGAAAACAGACTATTTCTTACTCTTACTTGTCCCCACTGAAGTACCTACCACCTTGTTTTGCCCAAATTCAAAAGATACTAAGTATGTGCTAACTTAAATGTATCTTCTTGCCACTTTAATTCTATCATTGTTCCCTGGTTTCTGTTTTCCTCTTTAAAGAAATGTTCACTACCTTTTGTTAGCCTGATTAGACATTGAAGAGAGTCCACGGACACTGGATGCTTGAAACACAGATCCTATCCACCTTGAATTTACAGATTAGTTAAGGACCGCTTGAAAAATCCACAGTCAACTGTAATAAATAGTAAAGTAATAAAGTTCCCATAAAGAAGAAATTCTATGAGGCGCAGAGTCTTAATAAAAAATAGGTAGGATTTTAATAAGCAGAGAAGAGGGAAAGACAGAAGGCATTGCAGGTAGAGACCTTACTGAAGAAATCGATACAGGAAAGTGTGTGGCATGTTCAAGAAACCATAGGTAATCTGGCCTGGCCAGTATGAATAAGAAATTGAAGACACGGCCCAAAAAGTAGTGTAAGGTCACACTGGGAGAGAACTAAAGACCAAGATGAAGATTCAGTACTTATCTCATGAACAATGGACAGCCACAGGTGATGGGGCCTGGGATCACAGAGTTTGAGGTCTAGAAGGTTTATATAGAGGGAGAGTTCACGCCTCCTTAAAAGACCAGGAAACCAAAGTAAGGGAATTTAACTTGCTCAACGTTACACTGGTCATTATGGCAGAATTGGGATGAAAACCCCAGTTTCCTGATTACCAGTCAAGATCTGTAAGCTCCATACCAGGGAGATGACAATATATGGTGTTCACATAGTACCAGGGAGATGACAACATATGGCGCGCACGTACACCACTTCCTTCTTCCTTACCCAAGGCAGACATTTCTAATCGATCGGGGCTCCTTCCTGGTGGTGCAGGTCCAGCCTCACCATCCTCAATGCACAGCTTCAGTATCTGCCGATAGTCGGCGCTGCCCCTAGAGGTGAAACCTATCAGCCTTGAAGCCCTCACCTTGCTGCCTTAAGACAAAAATGCTTGCTTTGAAATTCCCACAGAGAATAGCAGAAATGACTGAGGGAGGACTCAGTCACTTACAAGAGTAACTTGGTTGGTGCATCCCTCTGTGTGGGAGGTGGATTGTATGCTTCATGGTCTTAGACATTCTGTCACCAGCCAATGAGAGGGGTTACCCAGGGCCACCTCTATCTGTTCTCTATACCACCTTGTCTGCTCATCAAAATTACAACTGAAAAGCAGAAGGGGAAATCCCAGACTCGGAAATGACAGCCCGAGAGCATCAATAAGTAAACACATCACTTAAGATAATGATGAGGAAAGGGGAAAGTGGGTGTGGGGAGAGAAAATAATGCATTAACCCACAGACTTAAAACTAAGCACCATTCAATGTTTCCTTTTTAGTTTAGAAACCACTAACTAAAAATGAAGAAAAAAATCAGGAAGTTCCCTCCTTAGTGTTAACAATAGAACAATCCAGTGTGCTGTTACAGGGGCAACTTCTTTTTAAAAAGAGAGGCACTGAATGTTCAGATCGGCAAGATCTTGACTGGTAGTTTGACTTGAGTGCACTTTGACATCTAAAAATAGAGTTGTGATGGAGATAAACTGTAATTAATTTCAGACTTATTTAAATTACGTATTCAACATTGAAAGGATATACTGGCAAGAACGCTAACAACGAATGTGGGAATTTTGGATTCTCTTTCCCTCTGTAGCCTTGAGGCTGGTGAAACTCTCCTTGTCTGTCTCTTCTAATTTGTCCCACCCCAACCAGTGATGAGCACCTACCTGCAAATATTTTGCAAAAAAACTTCTGGAGTATTTTAAGATCCTTCTCATTCAAAATCTGTACAACATACACAAAGTAAAATTATAATAAACTATGATAAACTCCCTACTTTATAATAAACTGGTAGATTAAAATCCGAATGTAAAAATAGGCAAATGAAGATATTGTCATATAAATGGTTTTATTCATTTCCCCAAAGGACTTCCCATAGAATCCCCTTGGAAAAAAAAGTGCATGCAGTTTAGCTGATTCAACTTAGAAAACTCTGACTGGTCTACAATTTTTCAGGATTACACTTGTGACCCAAAGTGAAGGGCATCTATATTCAGTGGACTATGATGGTCTCAAATTGGGTGGAAAATGCCAGGAATAGAATTGTTCTATGAAAAATGAGACATAAAAACAAAAGAAGTCACATATTTGTAAAAGATTGCTTTTTTTGTTCTTGGAGTTTTCCCATAACATTAAAAAAATTGAAAAAATTGAGTCCTATTTTTCTGAAAAGTAAAATCCTCCCCATGCCGTATTTACATCTTAGTAATTAACTGATTAGATTAAAATAGATTTCTAATAGAACTAACCCAGCTCACAGAAAACACAAAATATGTCCATTAAAAATTTTCACAAATATCTCCCTCAGTGATATTTATTTGTATGCTTGCTTGTCAATTATATAAATAATTAAGGTATTAATAAAATTAATCTGTTTCCCTGCACGTGAAAATATTTTTTAACATGTGTGGAAAGTTTAAAGCTCATTTCCAGAAAAAAAAAAAGTTGTCATGAAATAAAAAGACAAGCATTCACCCTGAGAATCACAATTACCACTTTCCTCATAGAAATGTCATCTGAATCTTTCACTTTTCTTCCTGTCCTTTTTTTTTTTTTTTTTTTTTTTTTTCAGAAGGAAAGTCAGTTCTGTATATTTTTCCAGACTATAAAGTATCTCACTTCAGGATTTTAGCATTTAAACTTGTACCCTTCTTTATCTAAGTTTGCTCTTAATTAATGTAAATAAGCATCAAAGAGAAATTGCAATACTTTCTGAATATAATTGGCATTGGCATGGTATTCTATTTAGAGCCTATCCACCTGAACCCAGTTCTAGAAAGAAAAAAAAAATGCGTAAAAAACTGAGAAGCCCATTCTGCAAGCAAACGGCTGATGCCTTAAAGATGCTGCCATTGGCTGAAGGATTTCATATAAACACAGTGTTGACATCACAGCCAGCAGTATGCAGAGGGCAGCCACAGTTAATGTGCAGCTCCCATTGCCCTTTGAATTAAGGTGGGGTCTCTGGTGATTGGCACTTTTAATTTTTACTCTCAACAACGCCAGAGAGATAGTTTTATACAGACACAGCAGCACAGTCTCTGGTTGCTGGAGGTTTGCTATCTGCCTTCCAAAGCCTTTGGTGAGGATTGTGACATGGTAGAAATAGATATATGTCCTTTAGAGGCAGCCTGCCTAGGTTCCATGCCTGTTTCTGTCACTTATAAGCTACATGACATTTGGGCAAGTCGCTTAACTACAAAGAGAAATAGATGAGTTACACAACCATAGGATGGTTGTGAGAATTAAATGAGTTCTACAAATGCACCTGTGTATAGAGCCCTTGGGACAATGCCTTGCACATGGTAAACACCATGGAAGTGTCTGATATTACTATTATGTTCCATATCTTATATGCATAGCATGAGATCTCTAGGTAATTAATGAAGATTACATCAAACTTTCTTCTTAAGTTGCCTAGGTGGATGGTGGCTCTCCTCTTGGCATAAATTTTGGGAGAAGAAAGGAGATTTTTGTTTATTTGTTTATTTACCTCTCAAACTAAAATTATGTTTGCCACTCAGCCCTCTAGTTTGCC
Source organism: Homo sapiens (assembly GCF_000001405.40). Classification (NCBI taxonomy): domain Eukaryota; kingdom Metazoa; phylum Chordata; class Mammalia; order Primates; family Hominidae; genus Homo; species Homo sapiens. Next base: position 29,241,790 of record NC_000007.14, on the reverse strand, counting down.
ACTAGCCCATCTAGCAGATGGGAAACTGTGAGGCCGTCTTTCCTCCTCCTGGACAAGTTCCTTCAGGACCTACTACCTGGCACTCTCTCCTACCCTCTCTCCCTCCCCTCCTGCCCAGCTTTGCCCTTTCCTTCACCCTTTAAGGAAAAGTGTGACTCTCACTAAGACTACAGAGTTCCTGAACTGCCCCCATGTTCTAGAAGGTTTCCCCCCATGGTCTGCCTGGTAGGCTCCTTTTCATTTTCCAAAACTTGGCTCAGCTACCACTGAGACAGCCAGGCGGGAGAGGGTCCCCAGAGAATCTCTAACCAGCCTGTGCACTGGGAGGAATGCACACTGGGGTGGAACCTTGAGAAGTTTGCACAGTTTGCATTGGGGAGGAGCCTGGCCCCCACTCTTTCTATGTGGAAACTGAGATTCCAAAGGCCAGGTGGGAAGCACTCTAGCAGGGACTCTGGCCTAGTGAGAGACCCTGTTTCCCCCCTTTTCTTCCTTTTCACCCAATAAAACCCTGTTTTAGTCACCATTCAAATTGTCTGCGAGCCTGAATTTTCATGGCCATGGGACAAAGAACCCCGTCTCTGACTGAACTAAGAAAAAGTCTAGGCCAGGCACTGTGTCTCACACCTGTAATCTCAGCACTTTGGAAGGCCGAGGCGGGAGGATCCCTTGAGGTCAGGAGGTCAAGATCAGCCTGGCCAACATGGTGAAACCCTGTTTCTACTAAAAATACAAAAATTAGCTGGGTGTGGTAGCATGCATCTGTAATCCCAGCTGTGCAGGAGGCTGAGGTGGGAGAATCACTTAAACCTGGCAGGTGGAGGTTGCAGTGAGCTGAGATTGCCTCACCGCACTCCAGGCTGGGTAACACAGTGAGACTAGAAGAAGAAAGAAGGAAGAAGAAGGAAGAAGGAAGAAGGAAGAAGAAAGAAGAAAGAAGAAGATGAAGACGAAGACGACGACGACGACGACGAAGAAGAAGAAGAAGAAGAGGAAGAAGAAGAAGAAAAAGAAGAAGAAAGAAAAAGTCCTGCAACACCACACCTTGTTTGACAGCCCTCCCACTCCCCACCGCCCCCCACCCTCATCTTTGGTCTGTGGCATTGCTGGCCTGTGGTTCTTTTCATGATGCTATGATTTGTTTCTTTTCATATTTGTCTCCTCCAAGAGGCTGTGAATCTCATAGGAGTAGATGGCATTTTATCTTTTTTCTGTACACACAGCACATAGTAAAATAACTGGTCCCTAGCAGGTATTCAATAAATAATTGTTGAAAAAATATATAGTTTCTTCTACCTGCCCAAGACTAGCTTTCTGCCTCAGACTGTCATTCAGCTATGATTTTGCAATCTTTTTCACCATCAAGCATTTAAGACAGATGTCAGATGTGCTGATTCAATAGCTCCTACCTGTCTCACCTAAGAGATGGAGTCAATACTCATTCTGCTTTTGAAGTGAGATACAACACTGGAGGGAAGGGGTGAAGGGGAAAGGGGACCAAATGCTCTTCAAATAGTTCCCGGGGAAGGCACCTCATCCTCCTTTTCAGATAAGCAGGTCCTTGGGGGCCAGGCTCAGGGGACAGTGTACCCCAAGAGCCTTCCTAGGGTGTGGTGGTTCATGGCCTCAGCCTGCACTAGGGAAGCCCAAGGTGGATACCTCAATTGGCTCCATCCAAGGGCCAAATGCCAAAGCCAGCCAGTCAGCCCATTCAGTGGGATCATCATTGGTAAAAGGGTGGCTGCCTGCGGGCTGGATCTGGCCCCAGATATATTTTGTTTGGCTCACAGGGTCTTGAAAAAATGTTTGAGTTAGTTGCCAATGTCTAAAAATTAGCAGATTATGCATTTTTTTAAAAAAATCTAGATTTCTAGCTTAACTAGAAGAACGGGCAACAATGGGTCCCTCTCCCTGATAGGAGCACTTTGTGGGAGGGGACCAGTGCTGCCCTCTTTAGGTGGGGCATGTGCTCTGCAGTTGCCCAAACTCCCCACCTCACTGAATTACTTCAACTCTCTGAGCACTATGCAGAGGAGTTTGCAACTCCCAGGCCAGGCTCAGCAAGAGAATCCAAGCACTGAGGCCAGGATATGTGATCTGGAGGAATCAGATCAGAATGTGGGAAGAAGCCCTGAACCAATGGGACAAGAGCTTTTTGTAAGAACTTTGAGACTTAGGCCAAGGTAGGGAGGTGATATGAAAGGTAGGGTTGAATGAAGGCTAGAATTAATGTGACAGATTTTTTAGAAAGTGTGAGAGTGGATGGCTTGTTGAGGGGTGTGTGTGTGTAAAATTTCATATCTCCAGCCAGCACATCTTTTCTGAATTCCAGATCTGTTTATCCAACTGCCTATTTGACACGTCTAATGGGCATATCAAACTGAACATGTCCCAGTGGAACTATAGATGATTTCCCCAAACCTGCTTCTCCTAACATCTTTTCCATCTCAGTTAATGGCACCTCTATTCATTCTTCAGTTGCTCAGGTCAACAACTTTAAGATTATTCCTGATTCCACATGCTCTCACCCCCATGTCCAGACAGTCAGCAAATCCTGTTCTAGCTCTACCTTCAAACCCCTCAAAATTCAAGCATATGTCACTCCCACTGCCATCACTCTGGCCTGAGCAATCATCTCCCTTTGAGATTATTGGAACAGTCCCCTAAATGCTGCACCTAATTCTGCCCATGCCTCCTGTAGTCCCTTCTCCATACAGAGGCCAGACCGATCATATGAAAATAAAAGTCAGGTCACATCATTGCCAGTTCAGCTGCTTCCAGTGATGTCCCATGCACTCAGAGTGACAGAGCCTCTGCTGTGACCTACACGATCTCCTAAGATCTATGAACCACCCTCTCCTCACACACGCCAACTTCCTTCTGACTACTGCCCCGCCTTGCTCATTTTCTCCAGCCACTCTGGCTCTCTTGCTGTTCTTTGAACACTCCAGGCATGTTCCCACCTCAGGGTCTTTGTCCTGGCTCTTCCCCTACCTAGTATGTTCTTTCCCCAGATATCCACTAACCAGTCCCCTCATTTAATTTAGGCTTTGCTAAAAGTCCCCACCTTGGGAAGGCCCTCCCTGATCATCCTATCTCAAATTCAGCCCTTCTTAATACTTTATATCCTCATATTTGCCCCATTTTTTCTTCCCTAAATTGTACCTATTTTTGTTGTTGTTGTAACTCTCAGCTAGAACATAAGCTCCTTAAAGACAATCCTCAATACATTTATGTGTCTTGTTAACTACCATACCCTCGGTGCCTAGAAGAATCCATGGCACATAGCTCATGATCAATATATGTTAAATAAATGAATAAATACATATTATTTCTATAAGCTATTTTTAAAGATCATACTTACATATGATCATTCCCCATGCAAAAGTATTTAATGGTCTGCCTGATGACATGAAATTAGGGGATAATACACATAACAGACCCGAAGTTTTAATTTCATAAAGAATATATATGGGCGGGTGCGGTGGCTCACGCCTGTAATCCCAGCACTTTGGGAGGCCAAGGCAGGCGGATCCTGAGGTCAGGAGATCAAGACCTTCCTGGCTAACACAGTGAAACCCCATCTTTACTAAAAATACAAAAATATTAGCCGGGCGTGGTGGCACACGCCTGTAGTCCCAGCTACTCGGGAGGCTGAGGCAGGCAAATCGCTTGAACCCGGGAGGTGGAGGTTGCAGCAAGCCGAGATCGTACCACTGCACTCCAGCCTGGGTGACAGAGTGACACTCCTTCTAAAAAAAAAAAAAAAAAAAAAGAGAATACATATTAAAGTATGAGTGTGTGACACAGATTCAGATGATGGAGTGACAGAGACTTGCAGGACCACATAACACAATGCTGTGCCGTGCAGCAGGAAAGATAGTTCTGCTCCTTTTAAACTTCCTGGCCCCTCGGAAGCACGTACAAAGGATGACACCATGGCTAGAATTTTTCATGTGCGAGAGCTGTCCACTCTGCAAGCATTATTCAACCCCTCCTTTGTCCACTGGTCTCCTATATGCATCTCTCATTTATCTGGCTTTGGAACTTCTGTTTGTCTGGCTCTGAGGCCTCCAGCTCTATTGCCTAATCTCCTGGCTCAGAGCTGATCTCCTGCCTCCAGGCTCAACCCTGCAACCTCCTTTCCTGTCTGCTTTAGCCTAGAGGTTAGATGTTGGACAGAAAGGAACCCAGAAAAGTTTCTGGCAAAGGCACTTACTCCATTGAGATGCTTTAAATTTTTTCCTTTCTCTTTTCCATTAGACTTTTGAAGTTATCTGGAAAAAAAAATCAAGTTTTGTGATGACTTCTAAGAAGACATAAAACTGAAATCTTCAGAATAGCTTTAGACAAACACGTGTTGAAAAGGTATGTCATATTCCTCCAAAAATATGCGGTTTGAAGCACACTTTAAAAGGCATGGGATGAGGAGTTACTGAAACATCAGGAATCTGATGAGGAATTTACAGACCTGCAAAGGCAAGGCACAGAGCCTGGAAATCTAACACTTTCCACCAACTTTTCCCACTGAGCCAAGTGTGAGATAAGACACTGCTAATTCTAATCACATTGAAATATTTTCTATCTCATACATTATAATGGAAAATGGAAAAGGGCCATCCTGGAGTTATAAAGGTTTGTGTAGCTCCAAAAACTAGGTGGAGCTTAGGTATTGGTTGGCAGGCTGTTAGCAAAGAAAGCACTTCAGCTGTTTCGGTACTGTCATCCTTGGCACCTTGGGGTAGGCAGAATAATGGCACTAAAGATGTCCATGTCCTCTTCCCTGGAACCTCTGAATACCTTACATTACACAGCAAAGGGGACTCTGCAGCTATGATGAAGGATTTTGAGTTGGATGATTATCTTGAATTACCAGGGTGAGCCTAATGTAATCACAAGAGGCTTTATAAAAGGGAGGCAGGAGTCAAGAGAAGTGATGACAGAAGCAGAGGTGAGGGTGATGTGGGGCCATGAGCCAAGGAATATGGTCAGCCTTTAGAAGCTGGAAAAGGCAAGGAAATTGATTCTCCCTTAGAGCCCCTAGAAGGAACCCATTTGCCAACCCATTTGAGAACTCTGACCTTACATAAGTGCAAGCTGGTAACTTTGTATTATGTTAGCTATTAGATTTGAGATAATTTGTTATAGCAGCAACAAGAAACAATACATGTCTCTGATCTCACTCCCACGTTCAGTCCTTCAGCAAATCTAGTTGGAGAATGTCCTAGGTCTTCTAGGGTCCAGGCTAAGGGAGAAGATATTGCAGTTGTGTGTGAAATCACAACTCATGTAGTGGCAGCTCTTCACTGACTGCACAGGAGCAACCTTGCAAATGGCCACGGCAAGTTCCATGCAGAGGGCTGCAAGAAATGCCAGACACACTAGGACAACCAATGTATTTACTGAGTCACAAAGATGGGCTTCAAACCAGGCCTGGGATGATCTCACTGTCAATTACTCTATAGGGGAACTTGTAAGAATAGTCAGGATCCACTATTGGAGAAATCCAAGAGACAAGTGAGGGTATTACTCACTGGCCTCAGTATACACTTATCATGCCTTTTATCTTCTCACAGAAATTCTACTCTTCCCCTCAGGCTCTCCTTGTACTTCTAAACTCCTTTCTCCTCCAGGGAAGCTTATTTCAAGACAAGATCTGATAAACCTATTTGCTAGAAAGTAAACAATGGCTGCAACATTTAAACCATACCTCCAGAGGGTATCTGCTTTTTATTTTTTCCTGTCCGACTTTTATTTTAGGTTCAGGGGATACATGCACAGGTTTGTTCCGCGGACAAACTGTGTGTCATGGGGGTTTGGTGTACAGATTATTTTGTCACCCATGTAATGAGCATAGTACCCAATAGGTAGTTTTTGAATCCTCATCCTCCTCCCACCCTCCACCTTCAAGCCGGCCCAGTGCCTGTTGTTCCCTTCTTTGTGTCTGTGTATGCAGTGTTTAGCTCCCACTTATAAGTGAGAACATGCGGTATTTGGTTGTCAGTTCCTGTATGAATTTACTTAAGATAATGGCCTCCGGCTCCATCCATGTTGCTGCAAAGGACATGATTTCATTCTTTTTTATGGCTACATAGTATTCCATGGTGCACATGTACTACATTTTCTTTATCCAGTTTGCTGTTGATAGACATCTACATTGATTCCATGTCTTTGCTATTGTGAATAGTGCTGTGATGAATATGTGCTTGCATGTGTCTTTATGGTAGAATGATTTATATTTTGGGGGGTATATATCCAGTAATAGGGTTGCTTGGTTAAATGGTAGTTCTGTTTTATTAGTAAGTTCTTTGAGAAATCTTCAAAGTGCTTTCCACAGTAGTTGAACTCATTTACACTCCCATCAGCAGTGTATGTGTTCCCTTTTCTTCATACCTCACAAGCATCTCGTTTTTTTGACTTTTTAATAACAGCCATTCTGACTGGTGTGAGATGGTATCTCATTGTGGTTTTGATTTATATTTCTCTAATGGTTTGTGATGTTGAGCATTTCTTCATATGCTTGTTGGCTGTGTGTATGTCTTCTTTTGAGAAGTGTCTGCTCATGTCCTTTGCCCATTTTCTTAAATGGGGTTGTTTGTTTTTTTTGCTTGTTTGTTTAAGTTCCATAGATTCTGGATATTAGACCTTTGTCGGATGCATGGGTATTTGCTTTTTAACAAAGATCAGAATAAGACTATAAGTGCCTTGAGGACTAAAACTACATCCAGTTTCTCTATCATTGGCATCTCTCATCCCTAATACCATGCCTGGAACTAAGTTGGCCTTAGATCAATACTTACTAAATGAATTAATAGAACTGTACCAGTAGACAGCATACCCCCTCCTATGCTATCTCCTCTAAATGTTGACACTTCCTGATACAGAGATAAAAACCTGTTTTCGTGACAGCTCTAAAACAAATGAGACCTTGGGAAAAGGCTTATTAAAAATAACCATCATGCTAATGTTACTTTAGCTTTCAAATCACTTTTTAGAACACCAACTTAATTATTCTAATGATGCAAAATCTTTCTTAAAAGTGGTGAGTACAGAAGGCTCATGTGACGGGACATGACATTGCCACAGTAGATGAGAAATGGAAAAGAAAATTTTAAAGTTTCAGTTTGACTGAACAACAAGGGGTACAGATCTCTAAATTACCATGTAGCTTTGATGAGCATTCACAAAGCCTTCATTTACTTAGAACTTCAAAGCATAAGATCGCTCTGTCCAGAAAGTTCCTATGCTCACCATTAAAACCTCACCACTGACTGAGCCTTTAAAAATCCCATGCAAACTTAAGAGTTATAACCTGGGGCCAATGGAGGGCTTCAGTGAGGTTTATGGGCCCCATTAAATTTTATGATTTTGTGCACTGAATTATTTTAAAAGAATGAGTCTGATCGAGGAAGGTTTAGAATCTGCTGCTTTAAGAAATGGTACCAGACATTACGTCATTACCATAATGAAAATCTGCCCTTTTTTAGTGTCATGATCTCAAACAACTAATATTTTCATTCACTCGGTCACTATATCAGTTTCTTATTGCTGCAGCAACAAATTACCATATACTTGGTGGCTTAAAATAACACAAACTTATTATACAACAGTTCTGGAGGTCTGAAGTCTGAAATCGTTCAAGGTAAAATCAAGGTGTTGGCCGGGCGCGGTGGCTCACGCCTGTAATCCCAGCACTTTGGGAGGCCGAGGCGGGCGGATCACGAGGTCAGGAGATCGAGACCATCCCGGCTAAAACGGTGAAACCCCGTCTCTACTAAAAATACAAAAAATTAGCCGGGCGTGGTGGCGGGCGCCTGTAGTCCCAGCTACTTGGGAGGCTGAGGCAGGAGAATGGCGTGAACCCGGGAGGCGGAGCTTGCAGTGAGCCGAGATCCCGCCACTGCACTCCAGCCTGGGCGACAGAGCGAGACTCCATCTCAAAAAAAAAAAAAAAAAAAAAAAAAATCAAGGTGTTGGCAGGGCTGCATTCTAGGGAAAAGAGAATCCATTTTCCATTTCTTGGCCTTTTCCAGCTTCTACAGGCTGCCAGCAGTCCTGGGCTGGTGGTCTCCTTGCATCTTCAGGGCCAGCAATGGCCCGTTGAGTCTTTCTCACTTTGCATTTTTCTGAAACTGACCCTTCTGTCTCCCTCTTTCACATTTAAAGGACCCTTGTGAATACATCAGACCCACAGGAAGATCCAGGATAATCTCCTTAATCTCAAAACCAGCTGAGAGAAACCTTAAGCCCATCTCCAACCTTAATTCCCACTAGCCACACAACCTAACATGTTTACAGGTTCCAAGTGGAAGTCGACATCTTGGGTGGGAGTGCATTTTTCTACCTACCACTGTTACTTCACACCTGTTTTGAGCACCCACTTCTAGTATGAGGTTTTGTAAGAGATTTTGAGGATAAACTTTCTGATGTGGTCCTCACCAGGTGACAACAATAAAAGATGAAGACAATAGCTGCCGCTGTGGAGCATTTGCTGTGTGCCACTCCATTCTAGGCATATTACATGACTTAACTAATTTAATCATAAAACAGCCTAGGAGTTAGGTGATATGATTATCACTATTATAGAGAAAAGGAAATGAGGCACAAAGAACCTGTGTTTCCTGCCCAGGTCATATAACTAGTTTGGTGGCAAGGTGCAGTTTAAACACAGGCACTCAGACACTGGTACCTGAGCTCTGAACCTGTACTAGTTTGTTCTCTAGTATGACATTGAGAAAACTCAAAGCAAGAGGGGGCTTTAATTAAGTAAACAAAAGTAATATAAATCGTTGAAATAATGTAAATTTTCAAGCTAAATAAGGACAATGGAAATTAAGTCATAACAAGGATGTTAAAAAGGTTGGACCATAATATGTACACATGAGGACAATTCAATAAAAATAATCAATGGATAGTCACTGTCACCACTGTCCGTTTAAAATAATGTCTGTCACAAAAATAACTGAAGTTTTCACAGGGAGTATAAATAACAGTTAGAAAGAAGCCTGCAAAATTTAATGGTACCCTGCATTCAATGAGCATTCAACAACTCTAAAATATGTGAGTGCACACCGATGGGATACATGATCAGCTCAGATGGAAAGGAATGACCTCAACCAAGCCCCAACACTGTGAAAAAGACGCACCGCTATTCTTGGATGGAAATAAATATATCAGATCACTCATCGTGTTTTCAAGTTTGAAGCTACCAGAATGAAATTAAATCTGCAAAATTCAAAGATGACTGCTTCTTAGACAAGGAAATAGTATCTGTTGAATATAACTCTACAGGAAAGAGAAAAAGGAGAGCTAGAGAATATTGTTTCTCAAAGGAAGAAAGCAGCTGTGACTCCAGGAGAGTAATTTACTGAGGCTTCCTGGCTGTAGACGTAAAAGGATGAGAAGAAATCTGACAAGATGAAAATAAGAGCTGGCCACTAAACTAGAGAAAAGGTTAGGAAAGTACAATGCATTTTTTTAAAATAGCTTTGAAAGGAAGACTGAAAGAAAGAGTAAGAAAAGAGAAATTATTATTTTAAAGTGTCATTTCACTCTAATTCTGACTATAAAAAAAAATGACAGCAGGGTCCTGAATCTATTGTCTCCTAATGAAGTCCTCATAAAACGTCCTAGGTTTACAAGTCTGTTTACAAATCCAAAGAGGAATTTCCTCTCTGGCCTTTCTCAACCATAGCCCAGGGTCTCAGTAGTCAAAGCGTGCCCTTTCTGCTCCTAACACAATCACCAGGAATTCTATGATTCAGAAACAAAGACACTGGAGGGAAAAGTTGTTGCTGTTTGTGTAAGGAAAAGCGGTTTACCCTTCAAGTGATTGACCAGTTCTGTAATATTATTAGAAATAAAAATAAATACTTAAACTGCAACAATCTGCAGACACTCAATTAGTAAGATGATCTGTTCAGATAGGAACCATGATCACATGTGATGATAAGGATGAACAACAAGCAACATACAACCAAAAAAGGAAACACCCTGTTTAACTAAAAATGCGGAATGTTCAAGAAGCAGCTTGTATTTCCCTTATACACTGTAACCAATAATTTAAAGTGCTAATGATAGTATCAGAGCTATAATTTGGTCCCAAAAGAAACATCTAAAAGGCTAAAATAAATAAGTTGGAAAACATCCACCCCCAAAAGTGCAGTACTAACTTTTTTTTCATATTTCCACAGCAGTGCCCCTATGCAATCTTTGGGCTTTGCTGAGGACAATATGTTACCATTAAGGAGATATCTCTTTGTTGCTGTTGCTTAATAGCTCAGAGCATCAGATGAGGGGAAATAAATGGCACAGCACACAAGGTGGGGATGGGCTGCCTATGCGTAATGCGGTAAAGACAGATACGTAGATAAGACTGTCCTTTTATACAAAAATGATGCCATTGAACATCCTCCTCCTCCGAAACACACACCTTTTCTCCTACCGGGGATGAATTTTTGCTCATTTCACCGCACTCTCCCAGTTCTTCTGCTAACACATAACCTGTTTGCTGTGGCTGCAGAGTACCGTGGCAGTATTTAAACAGTGGACCAAGTACCAAGGTCACACTGGCTCCTTGTGCAACTTTGAGCCGAAAGTAAGCCAGCAGATACACAGTGATGTACAGAATATTTTTCCCCAAAGCAAGCACAGTACTGGGTCAGACACATGCCATATAGCTTATTGGAACTGTTTCGTGTCCTCCCGCCAGGCTCATCACAATGCAGTCTGGTATGCTGGAAAAAAGGTTTATGAATTCCTGGCTGTGTGATCACAGACCAGACAAGAAACCTTGCTGTACCACATCTGCAAAACGGGCCTAATACAAATGCTTGCTGGCACCATAAGGTATTTTAAGATGCAAACTGATTATACACCTGGATGCACTTTATAATAGGTAAATATTAGAGTACAATGTGTAGACCTGAGTAAATAAAGAATTGTCACTACAGGAAATGAAAAAGGTTTTGTAGATAAGACACAAAAAAAATTTCAAGATTTGGGAATGTTAAACAGGGATGGATATTTGGTGGAGAAAAAAAGAAAAATCAGATCATTTGATCATCTTTAAATATGTAAAAATCTTTCATTGAGCAGCTGAAATAAAAACAATTGAATTAAAGATTTGTTTTTATTTTTAAGAAAGAGGAGGCCTGGCATGGTGGCTCACGCCTGTAATCCCAGCACTTTGAGAGGCTGAAGCAGGCAGATCACTTAAGGACAAGAGTTCGAGACCAGCCTGGCCAACATGGTGAAACTCCGTCTCTACTAAAAGTACAAAATTTAGCCAGGCGTGGTGGCACATGCCTGTAGTCCCAGCTACTCGGGAGGCTGAGGCATGAGAATCACTTGAGCCCGGGAGGCACAGGCTGCAGTGAGCTGAGATCACGCCACTGCACTCCAGCCTAGAAGACAGAGCGAGACTCTGTCTCAAAAAAAAGAAAGAGGAATTGGGTTTACACTATTTTATAAAAGATTTAGGTAAGTTATTTTTACAACGAATTTTTGTTTAGTAAGACAATACCATGTGCGTCCCTAGAAATCTTAACTAGGCAAACACTTTTCTGAGGCAACAAAATACAAGCATTCCAGAAAACAGCCAAATGATCTTAGATAGCCTTCTAAAGCAAATTTGGCAATTTTTTCTCTAAAGGGCCAGACAGTGAATACTTTACACTTTCCAGGCCACACAGTCACTATCACAAGTATTCATCTCTGCTAGGGTAGTGGGAAAGCAGCCATCGACAATACCTAAACAAATGGGCATGGCTGGATTCCAATAAAACTTATTTATTTATTTATTTATTTATTTTTGAGACAGGGTCTCCCTCTGTCTCCCAGGCTGGAGTGCAGTGGTGTGATCTCAGCTCACTGCAGCCTTGACCTCCTGGACTTGAGCAATCCACCTACCTCAGCTTCCCAAGTAGCTGATACTACAGGCACATGCCACCATGCCCACCTAATTTTTGTACTTTTGTAGAGATGGGGTCTCCCCATGTTGCCCAGGCTGGTCTTGAACCTCTGGGCTCAAACAATCTTCCCGCCCTCTAGAAGAGTTAATATTACAGGCATGAGCCACCACGCCCAGCCCCAGTGAAACTTTATTTACAACAAAAGGTGTCAGGCTGGATTTGGCTGGTAGGCCTTCGTTTTCCAATTCTTCATCTAAAGGTTCTTTCCAGTCCTAGGATTCTAATCTGCAAAACACAGCTGTAGCAAATGGTGATAAACCAAACGAAAATGAAAAATACCAGTATACTACTGAATCTGAACGGTATGTCACTGGAGCCAGTGCCATTCTTTCTATCTAGATCTTGGGAATATAATTAGTAAATCTTCGTAATCAGCTCATTAGGATAATACATCATCAGTGATTTTTTTTTCCTTTTTAGCAAAACATAAAAATGTTTACATATGTTTATAGCTGTGATATCCAGACTTTGTAATCCAAGTGTATAATATTACAATCTGGTGCACTAGGAAGCATATGCCATCTGCTCAGCTTCTTCATCCTGCCTGCCAATGGGAAGTATTTTTAGATAAGGTAAAGACATGTGTGGGTAGACACTACCTTTGTCCTTTTTCTAGCTGCTACTCTTTTGTCACTCTTTTATCTCATCCTTGTTCCTCACCCCACCCCACTCTTGCAAAGCACATTGAAACAACACCCTTCTTGCAAGAAGGAGGTCAACAGCGGGGAGGAGCTGGTCAGTCCAGGTGAGGGGGCCACAGCTGGGCAAACCACTCCAGAGAGCTTTCAGGGTGAAAGCTGGCAATCGAGTCCATCCCTGAATCCATGGACCAGAAAGGAGAGCATGTCACTCTGCTCAGAAATCAGGCCCGACTGGAGCAGAGCGGGAGCAAAAGGAAGAATGGGCGTGAAAGCAGAGCTCAGGAAGGAGGGCGGTGCAGCGCCAGAGGCCCATTTTTTTGGCACCCTGCCCCAGGGCATGTGGGTGGATTGGCCTACTTGAAACCTTGGGGTCAAAGGAGACAAACAGCCCCCCTTACTACTGTGCCTGCAGCCAAAGCACCTTGGACTTTGATCACATCAAATTCTCTGCCCTTGATGTATTTATTTCCCAATATTGCCCAATGAGGTTTTGTGTTTTGTTTATTTGTTTTGTCTAACGAGTGAAAGGAATCACATATTGCTGGTCTAGTCATTTTAAAGATGTAATACACACACATATATGTTTATGATGCGTATTCATGTTACACATTCACATAGAAATATGTGTATATGTATACAGTCATTTGTGGCTTAACTCACAGGGTATGTTCTGAAAAATTCATTGTGAGGGGAGTTCATGTTGTGCGAACATCATAGCGTGTGCTTACACAAACCTAGACAGCGTATGCTGGAGCCTATTGCTCCTAGGCTACAAACCTGTACAGCATGGTACTATACTGAATACTGTAGGCAATTACAGCACAATGGAAAGTATTTGTGTATCTAAACGTGGGAAAGGTATACTAAAAATACTGCATTATAATCTTACGGAACCACTGTGGTATATGCAGTCTGTCGATGACGGAAACATCATGGTGTGGCACATGACTCTCTCTCTGTCTCTCTCTCTCTCCACAAACACACAAACACACACACACACGTGTGTGTGTGTGTGTGTATATATATATATATTAGTGTGTGTACAGGTTTTTTTTTAAGGTAGCTTCTATGTTAATTAGAAGCAATGACTTGTAGATATCTGGATTTTAAGGTAACTTGATATCATGTTTAGAACTCAGAAAATATATAGGGCTGAGAATTTGTCATACAATCTGAAGCCTTTAACTTAACAATAAGCTTGTTGGATGCCAGCATCCATGAATGAAGGAAGATTTTTCAATCTTGATTTATTAATGGGAAACCCAGGCTAAAACAATGAAAGAGTGAAATTCTTTTGAACTTGGACTACAGATACTTGGTGTGTATCACTTGGGTTGTTTCTATTCCAAGTGACAGATGACAGAAGCACCAATTCCAATTGGCTTAAGCTAAAGAGGGGAGGGAAAAGTGCTGAGGAAGTCAAAAGGTCAGGAATAGAACTTCAACCACTACTGGATTCAGGTTCCAAAAAGGAAAATCAGAATTCAGTTCTCCATCTCTCAGCTCTGCCTCCACAGGTGTGTGGTCTATCTCGGGTCCCAGGCAGGTGACAGCAAAATGACTACAGTTCAAATCCAGCAAGCAAAAGCTAGAGCAATGGCCAATAATTCCAATGAGGTCATCTTCCCTTTCTGGCCCAATCCCTGAGGTTCTGGGCGAAGCTGGTCATGAGCCACCTCAGGAAGCTGCAGACCTATATGGACTTACGATAAAGTGGGCACCATAAGAAAATTAGGGGCTTTTACCATGAGAAGGAGTAGTTCTAGACAGCAGACAAACCTTTAACAGGAACTCAGTACGTCCATCCCTCTAGAACAAGGAACAATTTAATGATGTACAGGATGCTGCTGCCAGAAAGGAGATCACTGAGTTGGGAAAGTGACTCTAAGTCAGAAAAATATGAAAATGGAATCTGGATAGTTTAATGTAGGCTGCAGTGCCCAGCAAGGCATGGAGACATCTTCTCAATAAGCTGCCTGCTGCCAGCGGGGTGCACCACTATTACAGTGGGAGCTATTGGGAAAACAAGATCCACAAACTCTGCTGAAACACATGGTCTGCAGTAATGCTACACTAGACACTGAAGTAGAATAGGCCTAGAATAGTCTAACAAAATGACAGCATCATGTCCCATATTGCCATAGGTCTAATGTCTTGAGGTCAGGGACCATTTATGACACCCTCATGTGCACAGCAGTGACAGGAACTGTGTGTGTGTATTCATTACAACTCCATTCTGAAAACACGAATGCCTCCTACCTATGTTACAGTGTTGGCAGCCTTTTTCATTCTCCATTTTGTAGATAGGACACTTAAGGACTAGGTGAAGGACACTCATTTCAGGGGAAAACAAAGACAAAAATAAGTTATCAAAAAACCTTACAATAAAATTATCTTCGTTATGTTAATTATTTGGGGCATACATGGAAGACATTAAGAGCAAAATTAGGATCACCAGGATAATTCCAGAGGAAATTCGAAAAGTCATAGCATAGGCAAATTGATATAAATTTGACTCTGATTGTATAAATGGATTTTGATTTTGATTTTTTTATATTGAGTGAGTGTTCCACTCCCTACGTTGCTATATATGTAACAGCATATGACATTTTAGCCATGCTCTTAAAATACACAGACTCAAACTGATGCTGGTGGTTACTGTGCACTGAAAATAAATAGGATAAAGCTCTGTGACGTTTCCAAGATGGAACTAAGACAGTAACTGTCTTCATGGCAGGAAATATTGTTTATTTTTCTATTTAAAAAAAATTAGATGTGCTGTTTTTCAGCTGACTATAAAAAATCAGTGACTCTTGTTTGTGTTTCATGCTGCTGTACTCTGTGGGCTTGGCTATCCCCAGTATTACCTAGTTTACATAATGGAAGTTTTCAAAAAGCCTAAATACTTAAGGACTTTTGTTCATTTTTCCCCGCTCATAATAATAGATTTCTGAAAGATCATTTTAAAATGTTAAATTTCCCTTCATTTTTCAAAGTATTTGTAACACTACAGGCAATCAATTGAGAAAAGACAGCTCATTGTTCTGTGTTTTTTCCCCACAGAGAATTTATGTCTCAAAAGATATTTTTTAAGAAGAAAGGTTATTTAATACGTCTCCCTTGCCAGCCCAGAAATTGTTATAAATTCAAAATTCATTCTTGTACAATGTTCTTAATTATAAGATAAGTAATCTTTCTGTGTTAGTTTAATTCTATCCTATTTATGTTCTCAAGTAGAATGACACATTGCAAATACCATTTGGGGAGTTTTATTAATAAACGCCTAATCCCATGCCTTGTAGGACATGTCTCAGAATAATGTTTTAACTACAGTAATGCTCAGTGACTAACACCCTTTCAATAGTAACTGTCCCCTCAACGTGAGGCAAGGCATCTTTTCCAGTGTGATTAGTGGTGATTCCTCAAAAAAGGGTCTCAAAGTGCTCACAGCAGGTGATTAGCTCCAGTCTCCTTGCACCTTCATAAGGTAGCAAGGATTATCAGCTTTGCTCTACTTCTGGATTAGGTTTTCCATATCCTGTAAAACCAGGATAGGAAACGAAGAGCGATGCTAAACTACAGCACTAATGTCCTATACAATCAAACTCAGTTTTGCAAAACAAATATTTGGAGATAATGCTCTAAACATGCATATACACATCTCTGTTGAAATGGATAGTCAGAAGGCACTCAGGCACACACATTTGCACACAGTTTTTCATATATTGGTTTTGGTGGGCTGATCTGGGAACTTCATCACTGTATATGATATTGTTTGCTATTGTTTCTTTTAGAGTCCGTACATATATATGAGCCCAAACAACTACTCTATAATAAAGTTTGCAGATTTGGTAGCAACAAATCTTTCCAGGCTAATTCTCTATGTCCAGGTACAACACAACAATGTTATGATTAGGCCATGCTTTCCTCCTCTTGATTTAGACAAATTATGGATTAATTTAAATTATTCGTGAAGTATTTGATGACAATCAGGAGAAAAAATTACATTCATATTCTATCTGTTTTAAATCTATAAGGAGTTTGAAAAGGGCTCCTTTTCAGATCTCTGGCTTTAGCAATTGCCTGCAACTAAAAGCAATCTTGCTGTGATTGAAAATGGAGGTGTCAACTCAGGCAGGCTACAAATTGCCAACACAGGGAACAGTCATTTTAAATTACTTCCAAAGCCCAGATAAATTCTCCTGAATGGAAATCTGCCTTTATCCTTATTTTCTCTCTCCGGAGATGATATGTGTTTTACTCATTATGAATCATTCTCTCCATTCCTTTCTACTAAGGTAAAGAACAATGAGAAAAATACAGACAGCACTATGCTGGGCTCTGTTTATGGCATAAGGCATATAACAAATAAGATTATCTTGTGATTTAACATATGAAAAAATATAACATGTTTGAATAGCACTTTAGCAACTATAAGATTATTTTAAATATAGAAATGAAAACATGGTGGAGAATTCTTTAACTTTATCCCCATATGGATTAGCTGTTATAGGCCATTTCAATTGTTCCTCACAATAATCTCTTTGGTAAACAGAGAAGATATAACATTCCATAATTTCTGCAGATATTTAAAACTGAGACAAAGATATTAAGTGACTAGGGTCACACAGTTAGTAATGGCAGAAATGGCTCCTGAACCTTTAGCTTCTGAATTTCTCTCCTGTAATCTTTCCTTAAACCAAGCAGGATTTAGAAATAAGCTCGGAGCATTCAACACACATAGAAAAAAATGTTTGTACTGTGAAGTTCCTTCTCACTATAACTTAATGTTACTTAGTTATGAATATAACTTAACTAAAATTTAACAGTATCTGACCATGGCCTAAAAGTCTATCCTTTTCAGTTATATTTACTGTGTTTACACAGAGTATCACTTAATCACAAACTGTTTCATAATTTTTCATAATTGGAACATTTCTGGAGGAAAAAGGAACTATATTAATGATTAAGAAGTAAGGGCTTCTTAATTTGGACAGCAATCCCACCTAATTGTTCGTGTTTCAGAAGTAGCCCTTAGAATGTTCCAATTTTAGAACATCAGCTGTGACAGTCCTTCCCGCCATGTTCATTTGCTGCTGCTACTCCTGCAGTGTTTTCAACAGTCTGGCCCACCTTTCCCTTGATGAAAGTCTTCCTGTTCTTGAAATAGAAAAGATTTGAATTTTACTGCCTATAGGGTTTTAGAGAGCCAAGTCAAAAGAATTTTAAGAGTTTTAAGTCAATAAGAAATGGTGCATGGGTATGGTGTCAATACATCGCAACTAAAATTTTTGTTCACTGCTGGTGGAAGGGCAAACTAGTGAAAGCACTTTAGAAACCTGCTGAGCAGTATTGTGTAAAGCTGAATATATTATATGTACCTCATGACCTAGCAATTCCATGTGTATATAACAGAAATCTGTGCATATGTGCATATATAAGAATATTCATAGCAATATTTTTTGTAATAATCCCAACTTGGAAGCAACCCAAGAGTCTATCAATCACAGAATTACTAAGTGTATACAATTAAATTTATAGAAATTGGAATCCCCTACAGCAATAAAAAAGAATGAACCACAGGTAGACATAATATATAGATAAATCTCAACATATGGATGTTGAGTAAAATAACCCAAATATGAAAGTGTACATAAGTAAATCTTATATGATTCCATGCATATAAAATTCAAAAACAGGCAAAATTAATTTACAGCTATGAAGTCAGCATAGTGATTGATATGGGGAGTGGTGATAATTAGTGTTTCATTGGAAGACCTGAGTATATTAGCTACATCTACCTGGATGGTATGAGAAGGCTGTGGACACAAGGCAAGACTAAATGAGAGGGGTTTGGGATGCCACTGCCAAAAATTGGAAGAAGACCTGATCATATAGGGTTTGAACCATAAGGACAGAGTGGACAGAGTGAATTATTTTCTCCAAGTCACCAAAAATCTGTGATAATAGCTTGACATTGTCAGTCTTTTACATGTTAGCAATTCTGGTGGGTGGGTGGTGATATATCATTGTTATTTTTATTTGCATTTCTCTCATGACTAATAGTGTTGAGCATCTTTTTATGTTTACAGTAAACTGTGATATTCTCTTCTCTGAAAGCTTTTTCAAGTATTTTGCCCAAATTTTAATTGGGTTGAGTGTACTTTTCCAACTGCTGTGTAAGATTCTTGATATATTCTGGATACAAGTACTTTGTCAGATATGCATATATCTGTAACCATTACTGCTGAACTCTATTCTATTCCTTTGCTCTATTCATGTATCCTTGAGCCAATATCATACTATCTTAATTATTGCAGCTTTATAATAAGTCAATATCTAACAACATAAGTTCTCCATGTTTTTTCTTCTTTAGTTAGTATTGCTTCAGTTATTCTTGGTGTTTTGTATTTCCACTTAAATTTTTGAACCAGCCTGATAATTTTCACAAAAATTAACTGATTTTTATTGGGATTGCATTGAATCTATTAATCAAATTAGGGGAAACTATCTTTACAATCCTCTAATCCAGGCACATGATTATATCACTCCATTTATTTAAATAATCTTCAGTTTTTCTCAATATATTTTGCAGTTTTCACGGTGAAGGTTTTGAACATCTCTCATTGGATTTACTGTTTCTTATTTCTGAGTTCTCTATTCCATTCCATTGCTCTGTGTGTCTGTGCTGTTTTGGTTACTGTAGCCTTGTAGTATAGTTTGAAGTCAGGTAGCATGATGCCTCCCACTTTGTTCTTTTTGCTTAGGATTGTCTTGGCTATTCAGGCTCTTTTTTGGGCTCCATATTAATTTTTAAATATTTTTTCTAATTCTGTGAAGAAAGTCAATGGTAGCTTAATGGGAATAGCATTGAATCTATAAATTACTTTGGGCAGTATGGTCATTTTCACGATATTGATTCTTGCTATCCATGAGCATGTAATCTTTTTCCATTTGTTTGTGTCCTCTCTGATTTCCTTGAGCAGTGGTTTGTAGTTCTCCTTGAAGAGGTCCTTCACTTCCCTTGTTAGCTGTATTCCTAGGTATTTTATTCTTTTTGTAGCAATTGTGAATGGGAGATCCTTCCTGATTTGGCTCTCTGTTTGCCTGTTATTTGTGTATAGAAATGCAAGCAATTTTTGCACATTGATTTTAAAGATCTAGAAGCAGAAATACCATTTGACCCAGCAATTCCATTACTGGGTATATGTCCAAAAGAATATAAATCATTCTATGATAAAGATACATGCATGCGTATGTTCACTGCAGCACTATTCACAACAGCAAAGACATGGAATCAACCCAAATGCCCATCAATGATAGACTGGATAAAGAAAATGTAGTATGTATACACCATGGAATACTATGCAGCCATAAAAAGGAATGAGATCATGTCCTCTGCAGGGACATGAATGGAGCTGGAAGCTGTTTTCCTCAGCAAACGAATGCAGGAACAGAAAACCAAACATCCCATGTTCTCACTTTTAAATAGGAGCTGAACAATGAGAACACATTGCCATATGTGGGGAACAACACACTGGGGTCTGTTGGGGGTCGAGGAAGGGAGAGCATCAGGAAGAACAGCTAATGAATACTGGGCTTAATACCTAGGTGGTGGGTTGATCTGTGTAGCAAACCACCATGGCACATGTTTACCTATGTAACAAACCTGCACATCCTACACATACATCCCGGAACTTAAAACAAAAGTTGAAGGAAAAAAAAAGATTTACTACTAGGTACTTGATTTTTTAACGTTACTATAAATTATGGTTTAAAATTTCATTTTTGAATTATTTATTGCTAGTATAAAGAGACTTGATTTTTTTTACACTGACCTTGCATCCAGCATTCTTGTTAAAGTCACATTATTTTCAATAATTTTATATTTTCTATGTATATAATTACATCATTTGTGGAAAACAGTTTACTTCGTTCTTCTCAACCTTCATGACAATTTTTTCTTGGCTTATTGCATTGGCTAGAATTGCCAATTGGTGATCTTTTCTTGTTCCCAAACTCGGAGAAATCATTTATTACTTTATCATTAAGTATGCAGTTATATAACATCAAAGAAATTCCCTTCTATTAGTTTGTTGAGAATTTTTATTATAACCAAGTGCGGAATCAAATTAGTCTTCTCTACTGAAATAATTACATAATTTTCCTCTTTGATTCTTTTAACGAGGCTTTGATTGGTTTTTAAATGTTAAATCAACCATGGATTCCTGGAATAAATCCCATCTGATCATGACATATTCTTTTACATATCCCTGAACTTGATTTGCTAATCAAATATTTTAAGATTCATGAAAGATACTGGGTGGTGGTTTTCTTTACTAGTAAGTTCTTGTCAGACTTAGGTTAGGCTGATTTCACACATGATTTAAGAAATGTTTTATCTTTTTCTATTTTCTATAAGAGTTTGTGTAACACTGGCATTATTTCTTCCATAAACATTTGGAAGAATTTATTGCTAAAGCAATATTGGTCTGAAATTAAATTTAGGGGAAGGCATTTAATTGTCGCTTCAATTTAAATAATAAATTTAGGATTTTTCAGATTTTAAATTTCTTCTTATGTCTGTTTTGGTAAGTTGTGTTTTTAAAGAAAGTTGTTGATTTTCTCTAAGTTGTCAAATTTATTGACATAAAATTGATCATAGTATCTTATCTTTTTGATCTCTATGACATATAGTGGTGATCCCCTTGTTTTTTTCTGAAATTCATTGTATTTTCTCTTCTTTTTTCCTTGATTGGTTTGCTAGAGATGTATCAATTATATTAATCTTGTCAAAAAAAGCCCCAGTTGTTTTTGTTAATTTTCAAATATTATATATCGTTTCCTACTTCTATAATTACTGCTTATTTTGGCTTTCTCTCTCTCTCTCTCTCTCTTTTTTTTTTTTAAGACAGGGTCTCCCTCTGTGGCCCAGGCTGGAGTACAGTGGCATGATCTTGGCTCACTGCAACCTCTGCCTCCCCGGTTCAAGCAATTACCATCTTTGGGTTTAATTTGCTGATTATTTTCTAGATTCTGGAGTTGGAGGTTTGAATCATTTATTTTCAACTTTTCCTTTTTTTTTAAATTTTTTTATTTTTTTGAGACAGAGTCTTGCTCTGTCACCCAGGCTGAGGTGCAATGGCGCAATCTCAGCTCACTGCAACCTCCGCCTCCTGGGTTCAAGTGATTCTCCTGCCTCAGCCTCCCGAGTAGCTGGGACTATAGGCGTGTGCCACCACGCCCAGCTAATTTTTTGTATTTTTAGTAGAGACAGGGTTTCACTGTGTTAGCCAGGATGGTCTCCATCTCCTGACGTGGTGATCCGCCCACCTCGCCTCCTAAAGTGCTGGGATTACAGGCATGAGCCACGGCGCCCAGCCAACTTCCTTTTATCATTAACAAATATCCCTCTTTATCTCTCATGATAATTTTTGCATTAAAGTCTACTTTGCCTGATATTAATATGGTTATAGCTTTTAGTTAATTTATGCATGGTATATATATTTCTAACATTTTACTTTCAATCTTTCTCAGTCTACATAGTATATCTTAAATTTTAAACTTAGTAAAGTATCTTAAAACCTACTAGATTTAAACTTACTACAATTGGTTATCTGTATCCAGTCTGGCAATCTTTTAATAGGAATGTTGAAACCACTTATATTTGATACATTTACTGATATAGTTTCTTATAAGCCTACCATCTTAATTTGTTTTCCATTTATCACACCTATTCTTTGTTCCTGTATTTCTTCTTTTCACTTTCTTTTTAGTCATTCAAGTGTTTTTAAAAATATTTTTTCTCCCTTATTAGCATTTTAATTGAGCTTCTTATATTATTATTTTAATGATTACCCTAAAGATTGTAAAATACACCTTTGACTTATTTCAGTCCTCTTTAAATTAGTAATTTTAACCTTTCCTAAAAACGTTTCTAAGCAGCTTCCTACACAGTGGTGGGAAACGGTGAGTGTTTCTTTCATTACCTTGACTACACATGAGTATAATTTGGCCTTGGCTCTAGGAGAGTCGACTTTTTCAGGTCTGAATGTGGCCTGGGCCACTGCGGTTTCAAAACCCATTCCTCGTGATTCAGGATTTATAATACGCACTGCATCAGTCTCCGACAGAGCCTGCCCACATTTAAAACAGCCTAAACTTCTTGTCTGTATTAGAACCTAACTTTTTTTTTCCTTCTATTTTTTTTTAAATTATATTATTATTATACTTTAAGTTCTAGGGTACATGTGCACAACATGCAGGTTTGTTACATATGTATACATGTGCCATGCTGGTGTGCTGCACCCATTAACTCGTCATTTAGCATTAGGTATATCTCCTAATGCTATCCCTCTCCTCTCCCCCCACCCCACAACAGTCCCTGGTGTGTGATGTTCCCCTTCCTGTGTCCATGTGTTCTCATTGTTCAATTCCCACCTATGAGTGAGAACATGCGGTGTTTGGTTTTTTGTCCTTGTGATAGTTTGCTGAGAATGATGGTTTCCAGTTTCATCCATGTCCCTACAAAGGACATGAGCTCATCATTTTTTATGGCTGCATAGTATTCCATGGTGTATATATGCCACATTTTCTTAATCCAGTCTATCGTTGTTGGACATTTACGTTGGTTCCAAGTCTTTGCTATTGTGAATAGTGCCGCTATAAACATACGTGTGCATGTGTCTTTATAGCAGCATGATTTATAATCTTTTGGGTATATACCCAGTAATGGGATGGCTGGGTCAAATGGTATTTCCAGTTCTAGATCCCTGAGGAATCGCCACACTGACTTCCACAATGATTGAACTAGTTTACAGTCCAAACGCTTATCTTACTAGGATATAACCTTTTAACACAGATATTGTATGATTCCACCACTCCACATGCCTACCTTCACGAGGCATGACTTTGGCTGTCTGGTATTTATGGTTACAGGTAAGAAGGAAAGAGAGTCATGCTGGCGAGTGAGGGGGTGGAAGGGGGTGGGAGATGGGTGGGAGGGGACATCACAATCCCTAATGAGACTAACATCACCCAGGGCCCTTTAGAGCTTTGTAATTAGTTCCAATTCATTGTTTCCTTTTAAGTGTCTTTTTTTTCTTAAATGTAAGATGAAAAGGGTTAAAACTACAGGCTAAAACTAGTTTTATTAATATCTGAACTCTACCAGTCAATTTCATGTTTTAAGCAAAAGTGAATGTCTTCTGATTGCAATGCTAGCTCATCAGGATGATAAGCCATCTAGGGAATCCTGGTTAAACTGCTCTACTCTCAGTTCCTTCAAATCCAGGAAGAGACATACATGTCTTTGCGCATAAGCATTAGTTCACATTCAGATTAAACTATTGCCTTCCAACCTGCTGCCCAAGGGATGATGCTGAGATGGCAAATTATCAGATACGTATCTTTTATTCAGATATCCTTAGGAGCATGTGCACATTCTAAAGGAAATCACTTTTATTTGCTCCGAGCTATTAAAGGAAGAACTAGAATGAAAAACAGTAAATCCAAAGGACTTCAGGGCCTTAAAGACATTCTATAACCTATATCCCAACTAAATATTTGTATTCATATAAAAAGCGCTGTTAGGATTCTTTCATCATGAAGATTAATTTTCTATTTTAATTAGAAATATTTGATACGTCATAAACTTTCAGGGCATTTTCAGCTAACAAAAGTGCCAAGTGCTTGTATTAAATATTTCCACAATGGCCCTCCCAGTCTACACATTTTAACGCAGGTCATGATTTTACAGTCTCTTTTCCATTCAAACTGAAAGACTGATAAAGAGCCCTTGAGTAGTCTCCAGATAGGCTGCTGAAGCTAAGGAATGTCCTGCATGCATTTAGTTAGTTAAAAACATGCTGAGTCTTACATAATTACTGTGTTGAAGCAATGGCAGTGGTAGAGCAATAGGTCAGATAACTACCGTGGTTTACTCATTGCAAGGCACAGCCTGAGATAATATAAAAATAATTATATGCACAAACCAGATTTTCCAAACTGCTTATTTCATTTTCTAGGTCAGTATAGCTGGTCAAATCCCTCTGAAAGTTAAGTTTTCCAGCTGACCACAAACGGTTAGTTCGCTTACATTATTTCTGTAAAATGCTGCATATATTTAGATGTTCAAAGGACTATGATATTTATTCTGACTCTCTGGAGGTTTTTCCTCCTAATAAGTACTGTTAGTACACTGGGGAGAAAGAGCAGATCAAAAGCCGTGCTCCTGTAAAAGCTTAACACCATCTTCATTACCATGTAGTTAAAACCTCAGGTACATACAAATAAGTTCCAAACTGCTTAAGACTGAATCCATCCAACAATGCAAACATAGCATTCGCATTTCATAAGTATAGCCGGTTAATTTCCCCTTCGTTCTGATTCATCTGAGCCTCAATAATCTGCACTAAAAAATTGCCATGGTATTATTTTACCTTTATAGAAGAAAAATTGATAAATCAATTGGTCCTTGTGATTTCCAGGCTAGATCAGCGGTTTCCACTACCTTAAATTTAAAGCATCCGTTATCTGAAACCAACACAGACCTGAACCAGCTCACTGAGAGGCTGGGGAGAGAGAAGAGCTCAGCCTCAAGGAGGCAAGAAGCAGGAAGAAGGGCAGGGGCCAAAACCTTGGCGGAATGATAAGCTAAAAAGTGACAAAGAAAGAAATGTAATTTGATAACAGATCTTATTTGAACATTTCCACAAAGTGATAATAGACAGTTTTAGGAAATATGGCCAGTGGGTTTCAAAATGGGCACACTTGCCCATTAGGAAGAGACAGCACTTGATACAGTTTTTGGCAAGCTTCCAACCTTGTCAATTATCTCAATCCTAGTGCAGTCTTCAATCCTGGTGGGATTTCCACCTACCCAAGCGCCTCTACCAATTTCCCCAACCCTAATTGTCTTTTCCTTCCTCCCAGATATACTGCAGAGTCTCCATGTCTCTGGAAATTAATCACTATTTGAGAGATTAATTGGAATTTCCAGGCTATTAATTGTAATTTCCTCTTCCTCTGGCTTTTTTAATTTTGAGGAAAATCTACAAGGACTCTTTCAGCAACTAAAATGTATACTAAAAACAAAGAAGTTCCAGCCTCTCCCAACAATAGCTGCTTCTCTGCCATTTCTACTCGACAGCTTGCCAGTCATTACACCTGGAGAATTACTTAGGCGTAGTTACAAACTCCACCTGGGGATTTTAAGAAATTGGCTTACATAATAAGATTTAATATTTAAATGTTAAATGATATCATTTCCACTCTTTAAAAGAACGCGTTCATATTCAGAATCAGTCACTTAAGGAAGAAGAGTGCATAATTTAAAGCCAAAAGAAAAGATAGTAGCTAACGCTTTGTCCCATAGGTTATGGTCCTTGGAACATTTTCTTTCCCTGAGAAATTGAATCTGCCTTATTACACAGACATACACTTATGTGCAACATCCCACAATGACATACACATACACTCACATATACTCACACACTAAAGACCTAACTTCCAAGCAGAAGCAAATCCTTGCCCTGGAATGACATAGCAACAAGTACTTTTAATTCCTATTGAACCAGAAGTAAATGATTCCTGGCACAGAACATAAAATTGTAACTCAGATAGAAGAAAACACCTTAGGAAACAGACTTAGGTGAGTGTGCTGATTTTAAAAAATGCTTTCCTGGCATTAAGGAGTTACAACTACAGTTCTGGCTCCAGGCTAAATAAGACCCTTAATTGGGACCTCTGGGAGGCCTCCCAAGACTGTGACATTTACAGAAGTCGAAAGAATGAGAAGTTGGGAGTGCCTCAAGTAGCTAGGACCACATACTCTGGGAAAAATGGACAGTGAATGCAGAGGACGGCCTCAGGCTTCTTTTCTGTCTAAGGGCTGTACCTGTGCCACTGTAAGACTCCCCGTGCAGAACTTCTGCTGGCATCTATGAAACGGCACAAAAATCTCAGACTGGGTAATAATTTAAGGGAAGAGTTTGAACTAAAATATTTAATTGTTAATGACTTCACAAGTTCTGCAGAGTTTCACAGAGTCCAGATTCACTCTCAAACTTTGGACTGTGAACTCCTTTACAGTGAAGTTCATGTCTCCATTTACTCAGTCATTCATCCAAAAAAAAGTTTCCAAGAAGTTCTGGTGTGGCAGTGTCTCTGCTAGTAGCTGGTGACCCAAGGGCCCCTCCCTTCCTGGAGTGACAGTCCACTGAGAACAGACCGAATAAAGAGTTACAAATGGACTGCTACGTATCTATTTATGTCCTCAAAGCCAAGCATGGTGGCTGGCATCCACTCTGCACTCACGTTTTATGAAAGAGAGATGAGAAAGAGGAAAGAGAAACAATGAGAAAAATAAGGTTCAGGATATTGCCATCTCCCTGCCAAGTTTCATAGATAAAATATTTGGGTGATTAAGTAAGAGGCATTCAATGGTGGATTCTTACATAACATATATTCAAGTGTAAAAATATGTCCCTACCTCCGCCTGAAATTAGGACTATTAATCATCTTCAGAAATGACGAAGTTTTCAGTAACGTAGCCCCTATCAATTAGTTTCTGGCCAATAAACTGTTGGTGAAGATTAGGAAAGACACCACAAGAAGATGAGCATTACAGTATTGACTGAGGATAATAAATTCATGGAATAGAAGGAATTCTGTAAGAGTTGAGATTAACTTGAAGCCTCCTGTCAAAGCGTCAATACTGATCCACAAAGGCATCCATCCTGGTAGAAACGAGGTTTCCTAGAAAAGTCAGACTTTAATGAGGTTATAACATATGGATAAAAGGGAATGACGGGCCAGAGGACTAGGGAGAGGGTACTCCAGCTCCTGCATAGGAAAAGAGGTAAAACATTAACAAAATGTGAGGGATGCTGCTGGGTGCCAGTAACCATGCTAAGTCACTGGGGTGGTACCGTGATGACTAAGACCTAGGGCCTTACTCTAGGTGTTTACTGATAATTACTCAAGAGCCACAGAAAAAGAGGCCATATTTGAGCATAAATGGAAGTCTAAAAAGGGAAATCGGATCGAATTGACTCATTTCTGGAGATGAGAAAGTATTTATTTACCAGGGGGCTTTAGCAGCATCCAGAAACACCATCTTTGGAATCAGGAAGGAGAAAGCATGACCACGGCTTCATTTCATTAAGGTCACTTGTGTTTCCCTTCTGAGACTAATGAATAAAGACACTGCTGATCAGACTAAAAAGCGCAATTATTGCTTGTGTGAATGTATGCACAAAGATTACAGTAATGCAGTATTCTTTTTTTTAATGTTTAAGCTGTATTTTTACTCATTGAAACACTAGGTGAAATCAGGGTAAAATCAACTAAAGGAAAAATAGTTGTTTCATTCATTTGTACTTAAACCAACTAAAGGAGTACTAATGTCATCATGATGCAGTAAATACAAGACCTCCTTCTACAAAGATTAGCATCACCAAAAAATTAGGGGATATAGTAAAACAGAACCAAAAAAGGTGAGGAAATCAATGAAGTATATTACAGCTTAACCCTTTACCTCAATAGTTTTTAAAAAATAAGTAAAGCCTCCCAATCCCAAAAAATAGGAATATGCCTTCATCACACAAATTTGTACTTGTATTTCTTATTCTTGAGGTTAGATTCTAAACCCTGAAGATATTCAAACTAGTATTAGATCTACTTATCTATAGCCAGAGACAGCTTCTATCATGTTGTCCTTAGTAGCCAAGGTTATTAAAACGTCTTTTCTCCGGAAGATCCAATAGGAAAAAAAGAAAGAAACCTCTCTGATTAGGCTCCAACCATACTGTATCCTCCATCAAATTGACTGGATAGGCATAATGGAAGCCAGAACACATGGTTTCCATACAAGAAAAATCCTATCAGGGAGGGGAGGAGGGGAGAGGAAGGATTCAGCCACTACCCAGAGTGAAACTGAGTAATATCAATTTCACTCATCTTCACACATCTTCAGGTTGCGTGTTCGTGGAGTAGTTTAGGAATAAATCCATGGTTTGTGGAGTACTAAAATACCTAGTCATTTGCTTATTACATTAAGGCCTTCCCCTGCAGCTTCCAAGGCAGCCTCCAAGTCACTGGAAGGTGAATTTGGCTGGAACTGCATGCAGGACTGCAGAGATTCCTCTCCACAGTTATAGAAGGGACTGTTCCAGGCCTGATTGTTCCAGGACTGGGTGCACCAGGTCTGAGTGTTCCAGGAGTGGTTGCTCCAGCACTAGATGTTCTGGGTCTGGTTGCTCCAGGATGAATTGTTCCAGGTCTGGTTGCTCCACATTGGAAGGTTCCCAGTCAGGTCACCAGTCATCCCTGGTGGTAGGAAGAGTAGTGGCTGGGGTAGGTAGGTGCTGAGGCCTTCCGAGTCACACCATTGCTATTCTTCGGCCAGTTGTTTTTCTGCCACCTCTTAGATTTCATTCTCTGGTTCTAGAACCAGGTCTTCACCTGTTTGTAGCTGAGGTTCCAGATATTGGAGAGTTCTTGCATCTGCTGGAGGCTAAGGTATTTCTGTCTCTGAAATCTATCATTGAGTACACACAGCTGGGTGGAAGAAAACACAGTTCTGGTCTTCTGTTTCTTGACTGGGACCTCGTCTCCCTTTTTTGGGGCATTATTCTCTGCAGCAATGGGTTGTTTGCCTTTGGGACTGGTGGAAGAATCAGGGCTGTCCTGAATAAGCAGATCCATGGAGGAAGAAGAGGAGAGACAGTCTCCGTGTGAGGCATCTCAGCAGAAGACATTTGCAAGGATGGATAGTTTTCTTCAGGCCCACAAATCACAGCCATAGGTTAAGATTCTTTACAGTCGGATGCTTCGAAGCAAGGCAAGCTTTGCAGACAAGCCAGATCCACACTCATGTTAGTATTGAGGAAGAGGGGGAAAAAATTTAAGAGGTGGACTGGAAAAAAGGTTAAGGCAGCTTTAAGACTTTTCTGGAAGATGTTAGAGAAATATGACTTCCAGAAGCAAAAGTATCAAGAAGTTGGGATGAAGTGAGTTGCCTCCACAATAGCAGGAGGTAACTAGCTCAGTCCAGCCCAGCATTCTTTTTTTAAAAAAGAGTCCCTATCTTTTAGAGATACCATCTGAAATATTTACAGATGAAATGATGCCAAGCCTGGGATTTGCTTCAAAATAATCCTGGGTATGGGATGGAGTGGAAGTGAAACCAGGCTATGATGCGATCATTGTTGAAGTTGGATGGTAAGAGGTTCGTTATAGTTTTCTCTTTACTCTAAATATATTTGAAATGTTCTTTATAAAAAGTTATTAAAATATACATTTGTAATAAAAGCCCACTGTAGGGAAAGACGAAACTTTTAAATGATCATTCAATAAAATAGTGCTACGCAGTGTAGCAAGTTAAAAAAATTAACAAAATCTCCTTGAACATTATGATTAAATAGTACTATGGGCCTATAGGGTGTTCTGTATACCGCAACCATGCCTTGAGCAGGCTAACTGAATCTGCTACATCTTTGGAGTTCTGGACCAATTTCTAATCTGTTTTCCAAAGTGCCCATCACCACTCTAGAGTGGATTCTGAAATCAACTTGTGGGCCCTGATAGTTTTTAGATAAATGAAGAGAAATACAATAGAAAAGACAGTCTCAGAGCACATCATATATAACAGGATGAACTCTCTTTGTGGAACTTCTGTTTCTGTGTGTGTGTGTGTGTGTGTGTGTGTGTGTGTGTGTGTGTGTGCCAACATGCAGCATTTGTGTTTAGTCTAATCTCAACATAATAGCCAGAATGGATCTGTTAAAACCTCAGTCAGGGCCGGGCGCGGTGGCTCACGCCTGTAATCCCAGCACTTTGGGAGGCTGAGGCAGGCGGATCACGAGGTCAGGAGATCGAGACCATCCCGGCTAACATGGTGAAACCCCATCTCTACTAAAAAAAAAAAAATACAAAAAATTAGCTGGGCATGGTGGCAGGCGCCTTTAGTCCCAGCTCCTCAGGAGGCTGAGGCAGGAGAATGGCGTGAACCCGGGAGGCGGAGCTTGCAGTGAGCCGAGATCGCGCCACTGCACTCCAGCCTGGGCGATAGAGCGAGACTCCGTCTCAACAACAACAACAACAACAAAAAAAAAAACAAAACACCTAAGTCAGATCATGCCACTGTCTTCTAGAACCCTCCAGGGACAACCTATCTCAGTGTAAAAGCCAAAGTCCTTAGGGCGGCCTACGAGGCCCTCCATGATCCGCCTCCTCCTCCCTGCCAGTCCTATTTACCCCTTTCTCACTCTACTGGCCTTGTTTCTGTTCCTGGAACACACCAGGTACACTCTCGCATTGGGACTCTGCAGCTGCGGTTCCTTCTGTCTGGAATGTACTTTCTCCAAATATCTGCATGGCTGGCTCCCTCACCATCAAGTGTCACCTTCTCAGTAAAGCCTTCTCTGACCACTAAACTTAACACTCAGACCCCCTTACCCCCAGCATTTCCTGTCTCCCTTCCTGCTTTATTTTTCTCCATAGAACTTATCACCCTCTAATATACCATATAAATTAATAATTAGATATAATTATATATATAAGATACACATTTATATATACAAATTATATATAGTTCCTTTGGTTTATTGTCTGTCTGTATTTAGAAATTCCACAAGGTCCAGAATTTTTGTCTGTTTTGTTCATTGCAGTATCTCTAAAATCTGGAACATGGTAAATAATAAGTACATATGGAATGAAGTATTGGTGTGTGCACGGTGTGTGTGTGGGGTGTGTGTGTGTGCCTGTGTGTGTACGTGCTGGGTTTCATAGTGTAGGTCACATTCCAAAAGGCTTGTATGATACCGCCTTGGAGCATACTTGGACTACCTCTGGGCTTACTAAGAGTGAAGACTGAAAAGCAATTACGGTACAGACACCCAACAGTCCTCATGTCTTACAGGCTGGGTGCCTGGAACAAATGATGCCACTGGTAATTGCTATTTGAAATATGTGTATATGTGAGTGTAACTGATTTACACACAAGAGGGTTGTTCCCTTGGGGGACCACCAAGGCACCATAAATTGGCAAGAGGAAACAGGCAGATCAGAAAAATCATAAAATTTTAAGACCCTCAGAGATGATCTGGGCCAAACTAATAATTCTACACATAAGCATCAAAGTCACAAAATGATAACATAATTTGCCCCTGGACACACAAAAAGTAAATGCTGAGAAAGAACTACCATAGACTTAGGTCACGTGACCCCTCATCCAGTGATCTTTACGCACCCTGGCCCATCACAAAACTGAAAAACAGGAATCTGCTCTCCAAAACCCTCTGCCTGTTCCCTTTTCCTTGGGAATAACCTGAAATTATTTCTCCAATTAGGCACCAATACATTTATTCCACTGGACTTGACCGTTTGTAGGAATCTCTGTTTTAAAAACAAAGAACTGCTAATGATCACTATTTCTCATAAATGAAAGCCTTAAAAATTCCCTCCCATAGCAAGCGGCAGTGGGCTGAATCATCTACTATTATTCCCTGCCTTTCTAATAATATAGTTCCAACTTACATCAGGCGCAGGGATGTTAAAGCCTGTCAAGAATCAAAACCTTCAACCCTCACTGTCCTACTTCTCATTAGAGCTAAAGACTCTATCCAGTTTTAAATTAATGGATTTATATTTTTTTCATAACCATAAAACAAAGTGCTTCAAACCATAAAGCACTAACAAGTGAAAACAACATATGAGTTGTCAGTCATCTTAATGTAGTAGGTTAGCAGAACATTTTTTTCAGGGAGTGATATTATTACTAAGTGAATAGTTGCACTAATTGCTTGGCTCTCAACTAAGACTATAATAAGCTTTTTGACTATGAGAGGCCATGCGTCTTGGAATTCTCAGTGTTTTGTTGGTGGCCTTAGAGACTCTAAGGGCTGAGGACATTCATGACATAATTGTGGCGGATGTTCTTGGTTCCCTCTTCCCCCTTAACAGAACCCTGTTCCGTTCAGGCCTCCTCACCCCTTCAGGAGAGGCTGGACCATCTGCACTCCAGGAAGGGGGTCACAACTGGACTAAGTACATCCAGGGAATCCTATTCCCTTGCCAGTGATTGGTTCACACCTAAGCATATGACAAAGCTGTAGCCAATGAGGCAAGGGGAACTTTGCTGGGGGGTGGGGGTGGGGCAGGTGTGTCTGAGAAAGTCTTTTTTATCTTCCACAGGGTGAGGAGGAAGAGATTTCCCCTTCTCTGTTTCAGATATGATCCCAGGGGACTGCTATTGTCATCTTGACCCTGTAAAGACAGTGAGGCTGAGGACAAGGCCCCCCGACCAAGAGGGCAGCGCTAAGAGAAGGAGACAGAGCCAGATACTGCAGTGTCTACAACCACGGTACCTCAGCACTTTGTTTTAGAGTTTTCTGTATTTGCGGTGAAACGTCCTAATCCTTACAATAATTGCATCCTGGAATGGTCTGGTCAGGATGTGAGGAGGTGTGAATGTGTTATATGTGTTGGTGTTAGCATGAGAAAAGTTTGAGTGAACAGCAGGTCCCAGGAACAGTGAGTCTTTTGTTAGAGATGGCTTAGCCCGTGACATTAGAAAGCAGGAGGAGCAAAGTCTAAAATCTGATATGTCAGGGGAACCGCAGAGGCCAGCGCAAGGCACAATATCATCCCCACGTGTGCTGCTGTCATAGGGTGCCCAGGGTGGCCAGATTTCACCTGAGGGAAGACACAGAACAACAGAGTCACTGTAGCCCGTGCCCACTTCCTCTAGGGGTTGCCAGGAAAACACTCTGAATGAGACCTTAAGGAAGAAGTTCTAGTACTTGCTTTGTCTTCACACTCCCGTGAAGGGGCATTTATTTGTATTTTGTGGGGGTGCCTGTCTCAGGTGTCCTATGGGAAAAAGGAGGAAAGGCCATGAACAACTTGAAGGGGAGCCAGCCATCCTATACATTCACGCAGGCCATTGGATACTGAAGCCTGCCCAAAAAGTGGCTACCCAGGGACTCAGTTCCCCAAAGACGTCTGTCTTTAGCTTCATTAATTCCATGACAGGGCCAATCTTCCTCCAATTAACAGAAAGTTTATCTACCTAGAGGAGTCTCTATACTTGGGAGGAAGAAGAGGACTTTTGCAACAACCTGGCACTCAAAACCAGCAAGTATTAAAAAATGTTCATTGACTAGGTTCCTTACAGTGAACAATACATGGTTCTAGAAAATTTACTATTTATAATCACTCATATTTTCCATGTGATCTGATCAAATGCATTTTTTCTTTACTTGTGTGGGGTAAAAGTAAATACTGTCAGAACCTCTGTGACAGCTACAAGCGTGTAAAATTTAAGTCTTTCTAACAAAGTCTTTGTAGTACAATACCGTGATCTGTTGTGATCAAAGGGTGTCGGTTCTTTGATTAGAAACAACAAAAGAGCCAGCAGATGATATCCTTGGAAACGTCTGTACAAGCATCCATCTAAGTGGGGGCATATGGAGGCAGCCACAGACACATCACTGTGCGAATAATACTCAGGAGCATCAGGCACACAGTAGAGAAACTTGCTTCCTGGATGACTCACACTCTACTTCGAGGCCATAGAGTTGTGGCCAGAGTTTAAAAAGCTGGATAAAAAGCTAATTAACTAGTCATAAGAAATGCACTAATTGCTTTGTCCAGCATTAGCAGAGGGGACCTACTGCTCTCCCTCATTCTTCAGTGAGAAGGAGGGTGCCATGGCCTTTTGGGGATACTGGGGAAGGGAGGCATTTATCTAGTGGAGGCTGAACTAACCAGCCCTAGAGAGCAAGTCTCTATGGAACTATCTGAGAAGGTCAGGGGCTGGCTGCAGAAAAAGATGAATGTGGAAATGAAAAGGGGAAGAGAAGGGGCACCCCCATGTATTGAGCAAGTTATCAGTGAGTAGGGATTGAAATGCCTCCCATCTGATTGCAAGCATCCTGTCCAGGAAGGCCTTAACCTATGGGTTTGTATTTTCTGTTTGCTCACGTTATGACTGATTCACCTTCTCTTTCTTACAATATCAATTTCTATGCTTTCTTAAAGTAATGGCTTTATTGAGCTATAAATCGCACACCCTACAATTTACCTGTTTAAAAGCAAACAATTCAATGACTTTTAGTTTATTCACAGATATGTGTAACTATTAAGTATTACCACAATCAAATTTAGAACAATTTCGTTACCACAAAAAGAACTCATACCTATTAGCAGTCACTCCCCATTTCACTCCAAACCTCTCAGCCGCAGGGGACAACTCATCTACTTTCTGTCTCTAGGATTTGCCTATCTTGAGTGTTCCATATGCGTGGAATCATATAGTATGCAGTCTTTCACTTCTTTCACTTAACATACTGTTTTCCAGGCTCATCCCTGGTGTAGCATGTATACAGCATCGCTTTTTGAGAATCTCCCTGTGGCTCTCCATGTTGAACTCTAGCTTTACTACTTATGTTTCTTCAGTGTTCACTATTCACTCCTGAAATGTGCTTGTGAACCACAAATCAAGGTAAAAAGTCCTGATTCAGATAAATTCATGTGATTCTGCTCAGAGTCTCCTGTTGCAAGTACATGCAAATAAGTTAAAAAAAAAATTTCTAGGCCAGGCGCGGTGGCTCACACTTGTAATCCCAGCACTCTGGGAGGCCGATGCAGGTGGATCACGAGGTCAGGAGTTTGAGACCAGCCTGGCCAACATGGTGAAACCTTGTCTCTACTAAAAATACAAAAATTAGCTGGGTGTGGTGGCACGCACCTGTAATCCCAGCTACTCAGGAGGCTGAGGCAGGAGAAATCCTTGAACCCAGGAAGCGCAGGGTGCAGTGAGCTAAGATCATGCCACTGCACTCCAGCCTGGGCGATAGAGTTTTTTCCATCTTGGGGGAAAAAAATTTTTTTCTAAAAGTTACTGAAGGCCTGTGACTAATGTGAACTGGTGACAGGGTCCTTGCAGAACTGATTTACAAACAAGAGATAAAGGAGGGAAGGGGCTACAGTTGCACTCCTATGACAGTAACTGAGTGCTTGTATATGTCAGACACTGTGCTAGGCACTGGAGATCCAGCAGTGAACAAAACAAAAATAGCTGCCCTTGTGAAGCCGGTATTTTAGTGATACATGATAAAATTATTTTAAAAAGAAAAGCAAGGGAATAAGGTGAAAATTCAGAGTAGTGGTTACCTTTGGAAGGAGGGAATGAAATATGATGGGGAAGGAAAGAGAGAGGAATACAGAGGAAGACACAAGGCTAGGTAATGTTCCTAAATTGGGTGGTGGCTTTCCTAATAATTATGTGGCTACGCTATTACTGATTTTTTTTGTATATATTGCATCTTACGTAAAATGTGTATAATTTTTTTTTACATAATAAAGAACCATTCCTCTAGATGGGAAAGTATAAACAGTGGTGTTCCTTGGATTGACTGAGCTAATTTAAAATGTTGGGACTGCAGGATGCATATTGGAGCTTTACATAGAGTAGAGAAACTCTAAGTTGGCACGATTACACTCCAAGGATTTGAAAGGCTGATGAAGAAAAGCAAGGTAAGGTATTTAGGAGAAACTTTTCCAGTTACCTTAGAAGATCACGAGTTCTGAGTGGTCACTTACCACTCAGGAAAGGAACCTGTGGTGCATCTTATTAGAATATGAGCTTTATGAGATCAGGGATTTTTAGGTTTTGTTCACAAATTTTCAAGTTTTTTCACAGCCATTCACACATTCGATTCTAACAACTAGTATTATTAGCCCATTTTACGGATAAGAAAATAGAAACTCTGAGAGCTATTTGGTGCTGGTGTTTGGACCAGATCCCCAGCTTCCTAGAGCTTATAACACAACGCCACCCTTGGACTGTGTGGTTCCAATGAACCCACATTAATTCATGAAACCCAAAAATGGATGCTAAAAATAAGTTTCAGAGAGTTAAATTTAAAGCAATAGGAAGAAACACCAATTCGCTCTATAGGTAGAAAATGGCTGAAACTCATTCCTGTAAGAAGGAGCACAAGCTGAAACTACAGATGGATTCAGACATGTTTACATTAACTCCTGAATGACAGATTTACACTCAGCTATTTATGAAAAGTAAGATGTCTGCAGGGCATTTCCTCCCTGAAAGGCTGTTGTGCATTTTTACAAAATACCCTTACTGCTATTACTTTAGAATGCGGAACCAAATAAGTACTGTGGCAATTACTATGTTCTTAACCCAGATGACATCGTTTAACTCAAAATCATGTCTTACATGTGTAATTGCCTAGGATTTGCTGTGATTCTATTTCTAATCTTAATCTGATATTAATTATTTCAGGAGAGTTTACAAAGCTTCTGTCAATTGCTTTTTCCACTGAAGAATTCATATTCCGAAAAAAGGCATGTGGATTAGTTTGGCTGCTTAAAGCAAGCATAGGACTCGGGCTCTCCTGAGACCAAAGTTCAACCCTAGGGCATATTAACATCACAGAGAACAAAAACTTCTGTGCCCTGGTCACCGGGAGTACCTTCAACCCTAGGCATTGATCATGAGGCAGATCCAGAGAGGATATTTGGCTAGAGCTAACCAGGACCCCAACCAGAAATTAACAACTCAAAGGGTACCTACTGAAAGAGAATAGTGCTCTCTGTGTATATGAAAATCAGCAAAAATAGTATTATTTACCAAATAAGTATGGTTTACTGGATCTCACTGTCTCTGAGGACAAGCACTGTAAAACAAAATGGTTATTTTTTTGTAATAAAGAGAATTTGAATGAGCAACTTAAATCAATATTAGGCAGCCAAATTATGTGTATTAATATCTACATATCATTAGCATAATCCCAAGTGAATTATTTCATTACTAAAAGTAATGCTAGAACTGACTTTTCATTTCCCTTGATATTAACTTATATACGATATAAATTTGACTGGAAATAATTGGAACCTAATCCACTTCCACTTTCTGTGTATACATATATACACACACATACAGAAATACAGATATGTGTGGATGTGTATGTAAACCCACATACTTATCCATGGCAGGACATCACGGTACAAAGGCTATGAGGCAAGAGTTTTCTACACACACACACACACACACACACACACACACACACACACACACACACAGAGAGAGAGAAAAACGTGTGCTTTGTTTCCTCAGCTTCTCTTTCCAACTTCATAGCATTGCAGGCTTTCTTTGGAAGGAGGCGTATACATAAATCTAACAAAAATACATGAAGTCTAGAATTAAACTGAAGCCCAAACAAAACAAAACACAAAATCTGTCTAAACAAGAATGTGACAAATGTCCCAACCTGTTCCTCTTTATAGAACTTCACTTGAAAGTCACTATAAAGATTCAGAAAAATTAAGGACATCTCTCAATGTCTGGGACTAAAACCAAACAGGGACCTGAGAATCAGGGCTGAGTTGCCTTGGTAAGTTTCTGCCTTGGTGAATGGAGGATAAGTAGACAGGGCTACAGGAGCCACTGAGCAGTGCATCAGCAGGTTTTGTATGGCAGATTCTGCGATCAAGGTTAGAACATTCTCACTGGAGTCATCCAGACCACAGCTGTCCAATACAAATATAATGTAAGCCACGCATGTAACTTCAAATATTCTAGTAGTTACCTTAAACACATTTTTAAAAAACAGGTAAAATTAATTTTGTAAATATATTATATTTAGCTTAATAGATCCTTTTTTTTTTTTTTTTTTTTTTTTTGAGACGGAGTTTCACTCATGTTGCCCAGGCTGGAATGCAATGGCGCAATCTCTGCTCACTACAACCTCTTTCTCCCGGATTCAAGCGATTCTTGTGCCTCAGCCTCCTGAATAGCTGGGATTACAGGTATGCGCCACCATGCCCAGCTACTTTTTGTATTTTTAGTAGAGACCAGGTTTCACCATGATGGTCAGGCTGATCTCAAACTCCTGACCTCAGGTGATCCACCCGCCTTGGCCTCCCAAAGTGCTGGGATTACAGGCGTGAGCCACCGTGCCAGGCCTAGATCCAAAATATTATCACCTAAACATATATTCAATATTTCAAAGGTTATGAGTCAGATATTTTATATTTTTTGGCTTTGTACTAAGCGTTTGAACTCTAGTGTGAATTTTACACTTGTAGCACATCTCAATTCAGACTAGCCATGTTTCAACGGCTCAGTAACCACATGTGGCTGTCACACTGGACTGTGCAGGTCTAGGTCTTGAGAATCAGGCCCTTAGAGGTCAATGGCACACCCCAGCCTCTGACACATGCTGCAGGAGATCTACTGCAACAGCCACGCTCCCTGCTTCCCATTTCTTTGCTGTCCCAACAGTCTCTTGGGCTTATTTCATGGAAGCAACATCATGTAAGAAAAAGCATTTCACATTGCTAATATGGCATTATGTGAAGTAATAAGGAAGCGCTAGGTTTCACTTCCTTGAAAAGGACAATACCCAGCCAGTACTGAGGGTGCAGAGGGCAATGATGGGGCCCGATAAAATCCAGGAACTGGGCCTCCGATGAGAAAAGAATTGCATAAGGTTATCACCCAAGTGCTTCTGTGATTCATATTGCCCTAAATCAATGATCTAAGTTATGTCAATAAATAATAAGCCACCATGTCACAGTCTTTTGGTTATTATAGTTTCTGAATCCAATGGCCTCAACATTCACCTCTTTCTTGACAGTTAACTTGACACTTTAAAGACACCTTCCACCTTCCCATTTTGTTGCACTTGAGGATGGTAACAGAAGTTCAAGGAGAACTGTTTCCTTTTCTTAGAAACTGTCATATTCCTGCATCTTATTTGCATGCATTTCCCCCCAATTAAATGTGCTGAAAATTCCAAAAGCTAACTTTATTTTCTAAAAACCAATGCATTTGCTTTGCCCTGATGTGGGCTTTTTGTAGAAGTAAAAATCCTTCTAGCTAGCTGCTGATGGCCAGGTTGGTAGAAAATCTCTTTTAAATAACACGGCTTGTATATGCCACTAGCAACCTCAGTCCACACATTCACAGTTTTCCTTACGATGTCTTTAAAGGAGATTCAATGGTAAGATCCAAACTTTTTGAACATGGGCACTTTTTCCTCTTTGAGGGTGAAATCAGAACTCACTGTGGGTTTATTTGAAAAAGAAATTGAGTTGCCATTAGGGAAACAACAAACCACTTTTTAAATAAAGCTTGAATCATACCTCAGGACTACAGAGTTTATAAACATTTTCAATTACCCTCCCCAATATCATCCTCCAGCTGTCATTCCACAGTTTCCCTCGGGGTCATAAAGAAATTACTTTTTTAAAAAGTCAATTTGCAAAATTAGTAAAAGATAACCTAAACAGCACAAGCAGCACACACAGCAATGGGAGCGCTCTGGATCAGATTTTCTCTTTTTAGCTTGTTGATTTTACATTAGTTTTGTCTCTGTCTTAGAGAATTTCCTGTAAAAAATGATAAAAATGTTTTGTGTCTGTGTAGTCCAATATGGTAGCCACTGGCCATGTGTGCTATTGAGCACTAGAAAGATGCCTAGGGTAACTGAGGAACTGAATATTTTTACACTTAAATTTAAATAGCCACATGTGACTAATGGTTACCATACTGGACAACACAGCTATACACAGGGCAGACCTAAGCCACTTAAATCTTTGTGCCTTTATGGGTACAACAGCCTGGAGATCTGAGGCCCATTTAAAATATAAAGCGCTTTATGACTTCTTTTTTGAAAGTATTAAGTAATTAAATAGAGCAGCCTCTATGAGGCCAGAGAGAAAAAAAAAAAAGTCTACAAGAAATTCTCTAAGGATGATGCTACTCTTTAGGATGAGCCAGGAAGTGGGTGGGGGGAGCATTAATGTCACAGGAGCTTGGGTCCTAGATGACAGTTCCAGCTCTAGCTCTGCTGTCAAGTAACTGAGTGGCATGAGACAGTTTCTGAGTTCCTTGGGCTCTGATTTTCTTATACAATGTTGGAATCTGTGAAACAACTACCAAGGTTCCTCCTTGCTCTCAGTCTAGTCAGTCCAGCTCTTATTTCTTAGGAGATTAAAACTACTGGTTGATTTAAAATAATACTTTACACTGCAGTACAAACAGGCTGAGGTTGAGTGATTTTGACAGGCCAAACTGTTGAAGCAAAGGAATGCTAAAATTAGTCCAAACTATAGAGACTATATTCAGATTAGTCTCACAAAGGTGTACAATTAATTATAAATGAGGAGAAAGGCAGGGTATTTGCACAAACAGCTAGTGGCTGGCCCTCCCAGAATGCACAGCTGAAAGGTTAGTGGCCAGTTGATGATACACTCATCCCAATTCTTCAGCTTCAGGCCCCAGAGGACAGCCACCTAGGTTCCATTGCAGAGCACCCTACCTATAGGGCCGGCCCATCTCTGACTGCCGTTTCCTCTAGCCATGGAGACTTTAAATGAACCTCTGCATTTGTTTGTAGCTTGGAGACACATCATTGTGTTCTGTCACACCAACCAGCCTGCACCAGAGACACAGGTATCCATCTTGACCCCCTAACCTGAATCCATGTGAGAGACAGAATACCAGCTTCCTTCCCCATGGGCCAAAGGGAAGGAAAAGCAGGAAGGTGCCTAGAGGATTTGCAAACTACGAACAGTAAAGAAAACCAAATGTGGGATTGATGAAAACATCTCTAAATAGAAATCTGACCAACAACAGATGAGAGAAGAAAAAGAGACAAAAGGGGGGGGGAAGGGGGGAGGGGGGAAGGGGCGAAGGGAGGGAAGGAAGGAAGGAAAGAAGGAAGGAAGGAAAGAAGGAAGGAAGGAGAAGAAGGTGGATAGAGGGAGGGAGGAGGGAAGGTAGGGAGGGAAGAAAAGAGGGAGGGGGAGGGGAAGAATGGAGAAAGGAAGGAAAGAAGAGAGGGAAGGAGGGGGAAAAAGCCATTTTGTTTTGAAAATTAAATGACATATTTCAGAAGCCATGAAATGAGAATACATACATTCATAAAAGATAAATGATTGGTGGGTGATAGGGGATGCTATTAATCATATGTCTGTCTATCACTAGGTTCATGTCTTTTTCTCTGTGTTTGCCTTGACAGGAATCTTGATCTTCTGGCAGAAAACTCTTCCAAAACATTCCTATGTGACACTGCTCATGTATAGGTGCTCCAAACCAAATGTCCAGTTGCTTCCACCATTGTGCAAAAATGGGAGACCCTGCCGAGCAGCAGATGGCCCTCAGCACGGCTGACACTCAGGCCAGGCCCCAGGTGGCAGCTCTCAGAACACACTGTCCAGCTAAACCCTGCACAGACTGGCCGTTGAAAATACCTGGTGTTCACATTCCCCAAAAGTTGGGCAAATGACAGGGTCACCCAGTGCACTTCATGGGGTCAGTGGGGAGAACCAGCATTTCAGCACAAGTTCACAAATCACTGGGTCCCCCTTGTCAAACACTGCAAATATGTAGCATGCTAAGAAAAATCTCCTTACCTCTCAGACTCTGTATCACTCAGTTCATCTGAGTTGCTACAATGGACAATAAAATCTAATAAGTTAAAATGAGGTATGGAATGCTCAGGAGAAAAACAACAAGGACTAGTACTCCTCATCTGAGTAAATAATTTCTCTCACAGGGTTAATTTTAGCTTTGCAAGTTTTTTATTTGAGATTATATTTTAAATCACAATTTGTGCACGTGTGATTTAAAATAAAAAAGGCAATCAAGTCTTTCTGCCAGTCTAGGTGATGTGAAATTTAATTATCGAGCAGTTATCATTAAAATAAACGCAAAGCAATTTTTTAGACATAATTGAATATTCCAGAAGAAAATTTCTGAAAAATCCAAAGGTCCAAAAGAAAACTTCTCAGTGAGAATGTCTGTTTCAGTAAGATACCCTGTTTTGTAGTATTGGATGCAGAGAATTTCTAGTTAGACATACATAAGTCTTGCCAGAATTACTATAGTTCAGTTTTGCCACCTGCATCTAGAAATATGGAAGACTTATCTACGTTACTGGTTTTGACTCCCCAATAATGAGTAATGAAAATTCCTATTTATCATTTCTACATCAACATCAG
Source organism: Homo sapiens (assembly GCF_000001405.40). Lineage (NCBI taxonomy): Eukaryota > Metazoa > Chordata > Mammalia > Primates > Hominidae > Homo > Homo sapiens. Next base: position 29,199,141 of record NC_000007.14, on the reverse strand, counting down.
TGTGATAGCAGAAAACAGCATGATTTACCTGGCCCACAATACTGTTGTATAGAATTTAAAGAAATAAATACCTCAATCCATTCAGGAATGTTCTTTTCCCAATTAAGGTTTTGAAGACTGCACCTAATACTGACTTGTTATCTTTTTCTGTTTGCATTTTAATTTTAAAAGTCTGTGTCAACTTTATTTTGATAATACAGTGGGTTTACGTTTCCAAATCTTAACTTCTTATCCCCAGGGTTCCTTTAATATTTAATGTTTTACCCTTTTCAGTTACTGAGAACATCTCATATCTTCTTTATTTATTGATTTGCTTGGGTTGATTTTTTTCTTGACTGTGAAATTATCCATTTGGCAATCATATTGCTAATATGCAAAAAGTTCTTATTTTAATTATACAAGCAAATGTAACCCATGATTATTAAGAAGACTATTTTGCAAATTGGCCGTTGTTTATCTCAGAATATAACCAAGAACCACAGGCTAAATTAGAAGCTTAAGGATAAGAACTTTTTTTTATTTTTGCAATTTAAAATAATAAAGGTAATCAAAGCTTCCTGCCAATCTAGGTGATTGTGAAATTTAATTACCAGTAGTTATTAAAACAAAGGTAAAGCAATTTCTTTTACACATAATTGAATATTCCAGAAGAAAATTCATGAAGAGTTCTCAGAAAATGTATTTTTAAATTAATTGTAACCTGATTATTTCATTTGTTATGTCTCAGTTGGTACCATAGAATAAATGACACATTTGGGCGATGTAGTTTAACAGCAGCTAGTGAGAGCAAATTCTCAGGAAAATCAGGCAACTTTGACCTTAATGCTGAGCAAATTATTAGATCTTTACTCTGCAAACACAAACATACCTAAATCTCCCGCAGCTATTCCTCTATGAGAGGTATAACCCATGTTGACTTCACCTCTGTCTATGCTGGATGCTACAGAATTAACTGTTCCTTTTTCACTGCTCAATTGCCCAAATGTCCTACGGCTTCCAGAGCTGTTCCATCAAACCCACTGCTACCTGAACAGAAAGAAAACCTCCTACATCAGCAGCAGCAATGAGTGAGCTGGCAGCTCTGTGCATGATGCTGCTTATGGGCCTGTAAGCATAACTTTCCCAAGAAAGAAAGTCAAAATAATGCCATGAACTTACCCATCTCCAGGCCTTTACCTAAGCTCTTCTCTCTTCCTGAAATGTCTTTTTCTCCATTTGTTTTCCGGAAAAATTCTACTCAGCTTTCAAGGCCCAACTCATATGACATTTCCACTGACCCCTCTAATTTGACTAAGTCAATTCCTCTCCTCTGCACCCTTCTCCACAGAATTTGTTTTATCAAACTGGAATAGAGGTTGCTGTTTGCATGTTTGTCTCGGCTGCTGGAGGATAAGGGAAAAGGATCTTGACTCATCTTTCCATGCCAAACACTCAGGGCTATGCCTGAAACCTGGAAAACACTCGCGTGCTTATTTAATGAAGCCCAAAATTCAAGATCAAATTTAACGTGTGATGAAAGAAGTGGATTGTGTGTTGGATTCATGTCTCCACCTAAATTCTGAGCCCGTGAATGCCTTCTTTTTCATTCCTCAAAGAAGTAAAATTTATTCACATTAAGCATTTATTAAATGCTAGGCCCTGTGCTAAATACTCCACACACATTATTTCATTCAATCCCCAAGACACTCTACCAAGTAGGTCTTATCATCAGTATCAGCCTCATTTACAAAAGAGGAAATTGAGGCTTGGAGAAGTTAAGTAACTCACTCCAAGATACCCAGCTGGTCGGTGATGAAGCCAGAATTAAAAGACAATACTCCCAGAACTTCAGAGCTAGAGGGAATCCTACAATTATCTTTCCCCCTTAGCCTTCTTGAAGCTGAGGTTTATAACTTACTGCCTGGCACATAGTAGGCCCTTGAAAATAGTGATTAATACATTGACGGAGTGCCCTAATTTCTCAGATTCTGGCCTTCCCCTGAGAGAGCCCAGCTGCCACCACAAATAGACTCTATTCTTTCTGCCCAACACCTCTCACAGGTGTGAATTGCTTGTGTCATCTGAATTATTCATGATCCACACAATGGTAAGTGTGCTTTAAAAGAGAACTACAATGCTGTATTTTTCAAGACAAAGTGCCTGATTAATTGGGGAATTAGGCAGTATAAACTCATGGGCTAGGCTGATTCATGCCAAACAATACATCCATGCCCACTTTTTGAATTTCAGTTTTCACATAATTTCCCATTTTCCCTTAGGATTAAAAATAGGGGTAAATAAAGCAGGAAAAAGAACTATCATGGGCATCTCTAACCTATCTGAAAGCAATTACCATCATCTAAATCTCATACTGTGTTGTTTCAAACCAACGTATTCTTCCGAAGGCTGACTTAGGATTTTCAATCAGGTTTCTTAAGCTACATCAAGATCTGGAAATTCAGATGCCACAGCAGCTGTAATTCATGCCACCAGTAAATCATGTGACACCACCAGCTCCTTGTCCTTTCTCCTTTCGTCTTTTCTTTTGCCCCACCAGTTCATTTTCTAGTGGGCAGTTTTCTGAGAGGGATAACCATATGCTAATAGAAAGCCAACACCACTGTATTTTAAATTCAATGTTAGTCAACCAAAATGAATTGAAAAACAGCAGCAGTGGTTTGAGGGTACTAAAAATAAACTGTAGCATTTGCTGAGTTCTCAGAATTAAAACCACGGCGGTCAACTTGTTGCTGCTCTTAATAAGATATGACTTCTGCCCCATTGGCTGCCACTACTAGAAACTTGAACTATATCACACACCTAACAACAACGTGTTTTCAATTAGTTGGCAGTGATCGAGAAAGGAAGTGCCATTTCCCAGGAAGTAAATCTGCCAAGAAAGATAACAGATGGCTTTCAAGTGATCACCTTGTGCCACATCACAATTGCACCTTAGTCAAATTCACCTTGCATTTATGATTTAGTGAGTTACACATCTAAAGCTGTGGTTGCCTTTTTGCCCTGCTTGCTATCCAATGCCTCCAAAAAGGTGTTTCTTCCTTTGAGTTTAATTCGCGAATAATAATAAAAACAGCCCAATGGGACTTAATACAATATTAATATATTGAAGCACTTCCATTAGGACTTCATGACCTTCTTGACCCTTAAATACTGTATACTACCCTAAATGTCTTATCAGCTATCCCTTTGGGTTTGTCATTAAAGTTTTCAATGACCAGAGAGGTACAGGAATTCTACCTAATGCATCATTCTGATTAGAAACCTGTCATACTCAGAAACCAGTGGGTCTGCCTCTATTGATTCCTACTCCTTCAGATTCATTAGCAATTTTTTTCTCTTCAATTAGACCCGATGATCAACCATAGAAAAGCTGAAAGAAGCCTTCCCTTTGCTCAACCATTCTTAAAAGGAAAAAAAATGCATGCCTTGCTAGTGAAATTACAGCCACTATTATCAGAAAATCTCTAAGGAGTCTCTCTCTCTCTCTCTCTCACACACACACACACACACACTCTCTCTCTCTCTCTCTCTCTCTCTCTCTCTCTCGTAAATGTGCCAAGAGTCAGAGGATGGGCTCGACCTCTCTTCCCCTAACCCACTTCAATCAGGATCAGAAAGATACATCCCTTCATTGCTGCTGTCTAAAACCCATGCCCAAGCGAGTGTCTCCATAGAGCTAATTTCTGAAACAAACAAAGAAAATCAAGTCTGCGAGGAGCGAGGGTTTGCTCCCCTCTGCTCCGGATTTGGGTGTCCAGGGTAGCGGGCGCGGCACGGCAAACAGGTCGGGGCGCTCTGCTTCACCCCAACCTTCTCCGCCCCGCCAGCCCCCGCTCCAGCTGCGCCAGAAAGTGCGAGCCTGCCCGCTCCTTTCGCTTTTCGCTCGCTGCACTCCAAGCCCCGGAACACCCGCGTCCGCACACTAAGGGCACCACCGCTCTCCCACCTCTGCGCTGTCAGATGTCAGGCGCGGAGGTGCTCTGGGCACCGAGGTGCTGGCGAACCAAACAAGTATCACCCCGGACGCCTGCCCCCATTCCGAGAGAGCGGGCGGGATGGCCACAGGTAGGCTCTGTCCATCCCAGGCTGCGGGGCGAGGGCAGTGGGGCGAGACCCGGCGCGGCAGCAGCGCCCGACGGGCTGAAACTCACCGGAGGACACCGACGAGCCGGACAGGCTGGAGTTGCTGGACGCTGCCATCTCCGCGCGCCCCTCGCGTCGCTGCTCGCTCAGCCCCGGTGCGGACGCCGCCGCCGCTGCCCTCGCCCGGCCGCTCGCAGCCTCCGCGGCCCCCAGCCCATGGCAAAGTCCTGGGGACGCGCAGAAAGCACCAGCCTCCGGACTCTGCCTGCACTTCCTGCTCCACCAGATGACGCGCTGCCGCCGCCGCTATTTATTTGTGGTTTCCGTCCCGCTCCGCGCCTTTGCACGCTTTTCTATGGGTGTCAGGGGGTAGGTGGGAGCAGAGGGAGGCCGAGGGGCAGCCGGGACGGGCGGATCTCGGCTCCCGCCGAGCCCCTCTGCCGTCCACGCTCCCCTGTGCGCGGCTGGGACCAGGGCGTCCTGGCAGCTCCGAGCCGCCCCGCCAGCTCCCGCACCCTCTCCTGGGCTCCCGCCTCTCCCGCCGCACTTCGAGTAGACCGGGCAGAGGCGGCGGGAGACGGACAGACAGAGCGACCTCCCCCTTCTCCCTCCGCCCCAACTCCGCTCGCGCACACACAAAGGAAGAAGAGGAGACGCGGTCGCTCGGGGGGTGGTTCGGCTGCTGCGGGCTTGACAGCTCCCGCCACTGGGGCTGGAGGGGGAGGCTGCGGACTGCTGGACAGGGGGAGGCGGGACGGGGGACCGGGTCCCCGGGGTGCTGGGGAGGCCGGGGCCGGGCGCGGGGCGAGCGCGGCTGCTGCGCGCAGCGCTGCTCCTAGGATTTGAAGGGGATGGGGAGGGAGGGTGTGGGGGAAGGTGGTGGGGCTCACCGCGCCCCGCCGGGCTCTCGAGCAGCGAGACAGTGGGGGTGGGGGATCCAGAGGGCGAAGGCGGGATCACTAGGGCCACGGTGCTAGGCAGAAGGGAACCTGGGATGACAGAGCCACTATGGAGCGCTCCTTCCACTCCTCTCCAAATTGTCCTTTGTTGCTCTGGAGCTGACGGTCCCTGCCCTGCAAGAAGGTGCGTTTCCTAAAACACCCGGGAAGCCAACCCAGCTACACTTAAGTAACCCAGCCACGGACAGTGCCCGACGCGTCCGTGGGCCTCTGAGGTTGGCCTTCAAAGAAATAGAGCCGTCCAAACGTGTCATCAGGCCCACACAAAGCTGGTGTCAAAGAGAAAGAGGTTCTCCGTGCCTTGCAAAAAAAGATTCTCACAAAAGACTTAAGACTTGGCAGCAGGTCCGACTGTGCCCTTTCAGGATAGGAACTGCTCAGGTGTGTGAGAGAAAGAGACTCGAGCACAAGGTGTGTCCCTTCCCCCTGTATTTAAACCTAAATTAATTTCACTGGGAGGAAATACCATGCAGATTTTTTTTAAGTCTGTTTCACGCTCCCAGCGGGCTAATCGGTTCTTTCAATCCTAAAGCAACAGAAAACTGTGAAATTTGAAGAGAAATTGTTAGATCAAAGGAAAAAGCAAACATTAAAGGAATGAAAGTACTCTCATTATATAGCAAAAATGGAAAGTGTTCACATTGGGGTAGTTCAACTTTTTAAAACATGGTTAAAAGAACATAGTCAATTTAAAAATTATCAGGAGTGACACAGAACAGCAGCTAGGCCCTGGGGATCCACATCAACCAAGGACCTAACATACAGTGAATAATGAATGTTAAATAATCACAGTACGCACCCACGTCACATTTTCTAGTTGATTAGAACTTAAAAAAAAAAATCCCTCCAGGATACTATCCCAGTGTGTCTTCTCATTAAGGTCCATTTTTTAAAAATACACCTTGCTAAACTGTTAAAGGAGTGTGAGCACTCTTCAGTCACGTGGGACTGCGTCTTCCTACCCCTCAACTGTATGGACCTTGAAACAGCCCTGGCTGGTCTAAGGAGACCCAAGCGCCCGCATTTTCCCAGCCCCTACCACTATCCTTCATTTTGTGGACTGCACGAAATGATGCAGTTCCTAATCTGGAGCCTTCAGGGACACGTGACCCATCACACACTTGGCTTGTTGATCAGATCAGAAGGAACTTACTGTTTCCCCAGAGTTCTTCTGATAGAAAACAGCACTTACTTGTTTGACTAGTAATCTATGTAGCCCCCCAGATCTTTAGATGGTGGACTATCTGACTTGGCTATGTCGCCCGGTAGAATTTTACCATCTGGGCTTCGAAGACAACTGGGTTCAAACTCTGGTTCTGTCACTTAGCTGCGAACTTGAGCAAATTACTTAGACCTACTGAGCCTCAGTTTCTACACCTGCCACAAAAATCTGATAACACAGGATGCTGTGAAGATTAAATAAGATGCTATGTGGAAAGCTACAGTGTACCTGGCATGAAGTTTGTGTTCCAAAGTGATTGTAAGTTGCTCACTTTAAGGAAGGAATGTATAGTTTGAAAAATTTTTGCTTTCTTCATTGCATCTGGAGATAACTAATCAACTGTGACCTGTTCTACTAGGGGGAAATGTCTTATCTTCAATCTATGGCTTATATTTCTTGTCCCAAATTGTGCAATAGGGTAACAGGTTTCATTATTCATCTCTGAAATTTCACAAAAGGACAACAGATTATGTTTCTGCAGTTCGGATACTCATATTTCCCTTCATAGTGTTTTAACTGGAGAAAGTAAAGCATGGCTCTGTGAGGCAGATTATTTTTATTGTCCTAAATTGACAGATGAAGGGACGGGGGTATTTGCTGTGAAGGCACCACCTGAAGGCCCTGTGCTGTACAGAAGTAGAAAAAAGCTGAGACTCATGTTTTCCTGGATCCTGGGGCCAGAAGAGGAATACAAGGCCAACAAACACGCTTGCTGAACAGAGAAGTGCTGATGGGGGAGGCCCAGTCTGTCGGTGTGATATGAGCTATAACTTTGACACCCATTATTTTGAATACCAAACAGAAAGCTCCAGGTTCAGAACTAAAATCTGAAAGTTGATTGATCATCTGGATTGATAAAGCCATAACCAATGCAGAAAACTCAACATGAATAATCATTCACTATCATCCTTCTTAGATTCAGGAGCCTGAAGGCTGGCTGCTCCTTGCAAAAATGTTTAGTATCAGTAAGTTATCAGGACATGCTGGAAATAAAATGCTAACATCCCTCTTTGGTAGGCTCAGGGACCTGTTTGTGGACCTTCTAAAGTATTTCTCCAAATGAAACAATGAAAAAGTTATCATCTATTTTATTCATTTATGTGTTGCCTTAATTCTAGGTAATACCTATTTGCCAGTGGAAAGAATATTGGTGCTACAGAAATCTTAATTGTTTGGAAAGTAGAATTTTAAAAGACATTTCTGCCTTTTTTCTTCAAATATTAAAAGACTTATGGGATAAACGGAGTCTTGTGGATAATGTGGGCTTCTTAAGAATAAAAATTATCATTTTGTTTTAACTTAGCTTTCACCTGGCATTCAAAGCCTTCCAAACTTACCTTTCCAATCTAATCTCTGTTCCCCCCTTTCACAAAGGCAACCCTCTTTCATGGTGGCCTATGCCCTTGGGGCTAGCAGCACTGGATTCTGCCATTCCTTCCTGCTTCCCATCCTACATACCAAAAGGGTTCAACCAGAATGCACCTTCTCTGGAAAGTTTTCCCTGATTCCCAAGGCAGAAAATAACTCTTCTTCTGTTGGATTTCTCTAGTCCATCTACTGTACCTCTCAATGGGCAGATCTCATGCTCTGTCTTATTTTAATGGTACTTTTGGTATATATTTCATTACCTTAGTCCATTAATAGCGGGCTTGGCCTGGTGGCTCATGCCTATAATCCCAGTGACTCAGTAAGTTGAGGTGGGAGGATCCCTTGAGGCCAGGAGTTTGAGACCATCCTGAGCAACATGAGGCCTCATCTCTAAAAACATAAAAAATAAATTAGCCAGGCGTTGTAGTTAACCTGTAGTCCTAGCTACTTGGGAGGCTGAGGGGGGAGAATTGCTTGAGTCCAGAAGTTCAAGGATGCAGTGAGCTCTGTTGATGCCACTGCACCCCAGCCTGGGAGACAGAGTGAGGCCCTGTCTCAGGGAAAAAAAAAAAAGCATGGTGGGGGCAGGATCCTTGTTTGCCCAGCCCCTGTATTGTCTACCATACTTTGCATACAATAGGTGCTCAGTGGATGTTGTTCAATTGTTTACTCATTGAGTAAATGAGCAAATTAAGGACATCTGTAAATGGTTCTCTTGTATGCCAGTTCCTTTCCACGTTAGTAGCTGTGACCACTGAGCTACAAGACAATGAGTAACAACACATCTGCAGCAAAAGAAAGAACTTGACGGTCATGTAAGGATACTACCTTTGCTGTGATCAAAAAAGACTGAAACGGTGAAACATAAGAATAAAATCTTGATGGAGTAAATATTTGCAATCCCCACCCCACCCTCCTTCACCGGCTGTTACAATTCACATGATTTATTGTTTGCAGGGTAGCTCTTATGGTGGTGTAATTTGTTTATTTTGTTTCACCATTCTTTTGAAGTTTAAAAGCAGACAAGAAAGCACTGCAGGGTGAACGTGGCTGTCATAGCAGGAGCTGTGCTCCCTCACTGCAGGCATTCTGGAGTGTTTTTTAGTGAAGGTCATTCCCTTTCCCTGTGCTAAACACAGAATGAAATACTGTATTCCTTACTTTCAAGATTAATCCAGTGGTGGGCATTCACAGGAGAATAGCAGGGCTATTCGTCAACTAGCTTTAAATATTTTATGGCAAGTACTCTACCGTACCCTGAAAGTGGTCCTTTTGCCATCAATTTCTCAACATCAAAATGCTCTTTTGCTGTAGTGAGAAATATTTCGCTCTGTAGTTTAAGCCTTATTTCAAATACAAAGACACCTAGTCCTGAGAAAGAGAACGCATTGGCTCTTCTGAGGCAGGCGTCACTAGGGGCAGGAGCTGAGAAACCCGCTGTTTCCTCAGGAGGTGCACAGACGGCCCAGGATGGGTTAATGAGCAGGCAGCTCAGACGCCGCAGGTAGCGGCCCTGCCTCTGAACAAAGAGGAGTCCACACCTGGGGTGCAGACAAAGGGAGGCCGCCTCTGCTACCCAATTCCCAGTTCACATCGCCTGCTGCTGGGGACCCCTAGTGGCGGCACACGACGCAGGCACAGGTATTCCTGCATCGTCTTTCTCACTGAGCTGCAGGGGGGCTTGGGGGTATTGCCTGGAGTATCCTATTTGGCCACTTAGCTTGGGCGGATCAGATCGGCACATGCAGGCACTTAAGGCATGCCATCCGCTGCAGTCTCTTTGACTGGAAAGACAGAGAGGGAGAAGGGGAGTGTAGGGGGTGGGGGGCCGAGAGAGAGAGAGTTTTTCTTTCTGTTTGAAGAGAAAAACAGGATAGCATTCAGAAACTCATTGAATATGTTTTCTTCTGCATGTTGCACCTTCTGGCTTTGTTCCCTGACACTTCAGGTTACAAACATCTTTTCTGTCTTCAATGTCCTAAGAGAAATCTAGGATAAACTAAAGTGAAGCCAGCTGTAAGCCTGCTCTGGGCAAAAGCAGGGAGTGAGTTTGTTTTTCGTGTCTTCTGCGGGGGTTCCTATGGCTTTATGCTCTTTTTCTATGAAAATTTGCTTTCATAACGATATCCAATATATTCATTCTCTACTACCTGTTCATTTATTCAAGCATTCATTAATTCACTCAGTCATGTTGACTAAACACTCATTATGTGCCAGGGAGTATACGAGGCCTGGGGAATAAAGATATGAGGGAAACTGGCTGGGCGCGGTGGCTCACACCTGTAATCCCAGCCCTTTGGGAGGCTGAGGTTGGGCAGATCATTTGAGGTCAGGAGTTCGAGACCAGCCTGGCCAACATGGTGAAACCCCGTCTCTACTAAAAATATAAAAATTAGCCAGGCGTGATGGTGTGCGCCTGTAATGTCAGCTACTCGGGAGGCTGAGACAGGAGAATTGCTTGAACCCAGGAGGCAGAGGTTGCAGTGAGCTGAGATTGTGCCACTGTACTCCAGCTTGGGCGACAGAGCAAGAGATTCTGTCTCAAAAAAAAAAAAAAAAAAGGTATGAGGAAAACTATATCCTTGCTGTGGGGGATCCTACAAAACAACCTTGACTCCTTCCTGTGACATTTACATTTCAACTGGGACAAATTTTTAAAATAGCTATAGAAATGATTTCTGTTTGGGAATTATAGCTATTATCCATGCCGGTGACGACTTTCTTTTCAGCAGTTTTGTTGTTGTTGTTGTTTTTAACAAAACGTCCAAAATCAAGCCTCAAAGACTATTTCTAGACAGCTGGCATTTTCTTATCCACAGTTTTAGCTTGTCAGCCCAGGGAACCGAGCAGATCCTGTACTCTGAATGTCCTCTGCCTTCACTCCCCAAGAAAATCTGAATCAATATTTTCATTTCTTTCCCTGTAGCAGCTATACGTTCAATAACAAAACAGAAATCCTCTTTTTTTTAAAAAAAAAATAAAAAAAGGAGAGTAAATGGGCATTGAAGGAAAGCTAACAGACACAATATCTGAGCCAATCTTCTGATACAGAAAACATATTTTGGCCTTTTACAAATATTCCAGATTGTCTGTAAAACAAAGCATGAGAAAATGATTCTAGGAAAGTTTAATATGTATTTATGGAGTCAAAAAGACCTGGGCTTCACTCCTAGCTTGTCATTTATTAGCTGTGTGACCCTGAGCAAATTATTTAATCTTATATTCTTGGTCTCTAAAATGGGTTAATAATCCCTATTTACAGACTTTGTGATGATGGAATGAAGTGATAGATGTAATATAGTGTCTAAAGCATAAAAGTCCAGTTAGGAACTCTAGGTGGCCTCTGTTCCTTAGAGCAAAGTATAGCGTGCTCACATCTGCTTTTCTGGAGTAATCTGTGAGAATTAAAGTCTGATGCAAAAGTAATTTTCATCTCTCCCTACCACCCCCCTGTTACATCACCTCTATGCGAGTATATTAAGACATAGGAGCCAGGCCTGGGCTTTGAAGATAAATCTGAGTTCAAATCCTAATTTAGCTACAGATACTTTGGTGATCTTGGACAAATAACCTTTCACATTCACAGTCTCCTCATCAGGTAAAATGGAGATAATAATATACCTCATATTTATGTAAATGAATGTATGCCCAACAATAATGTTATTAGCACTCAATTATATTCTGCACGGCAGGTAGTTTTTAACTGTGTATTAATTCCTGGGGAGAGAGTGGATGTTGACAATACATCAGGATCTTTTTTTATTTTTTATTTTTATTTTTTGAGAGGGAGTCTTGCTCTTGTTGCCCAGGCTGGAGTGCAATGGTGCAATCTCGGCTCATTGCAACCTCTGCCTCCCTGGTTCAAGCGATTCTCCTGCCTCAGCCTCCCGAGTAGCTGGGATTACAGGTGGGATTACACCACAACACCCAGCTAATTTTTGTATTTTTAGTAGAGACGGGGTTTCTCCATGTTGGCTAGGCTGGTCTCAAACTCCTGACCTCAGGTGATCCGCCCACCTCGGCCTCCCAAAGTGCTGGGATTACAGGCGTGAGCCACCGTGCCTGGCCATACATCAGAATCTTTAGGAAGTGGCATGTATAATATAACAGAGTACACTCAAGTGCTCTCTGTCTCTCTCTTTGTCACACACACACACACACACAGACACACAAACACACACACCACTAGATGATAATGTCTTACATCTGGACATTTCCCCACCCAGTCCCATTGGGTGAGAAACCTGGTGGAATTTCAAAGTAGATTTCAATAAAAGTATAGACAGATTACTTAAGCTCTCTGCCAAATTTGGCCCCTATAAGATAAAGGAGTGGAAACCAACATTTGATGACCACTACTACTGCTCCAGGTATTATGACCACTCTCACCATGCTTTCTGCCATTAGTGATATAGAAAAGTCACTCTCCTTAAGTAATCATTTCCTATGTGCCAGGATCATGCTAAACACTTTGTATACATTGTCATATACCCATAACAATCCTGAAGTGAGAATTGTTATCCTCATTTTCCATTTGGGGAAACTGAGGCTAGAAAACTTATATAATATCTTAATTAAAATGCTCAACAACTCCAGCTGTAGATATTATCATCCCTGCTCTTTTTGGTTAAGAAAACAAAAAATTAGGGTAAGTAATTTATCAAGGTTACAGGCATTAATTTGAACCCACCTTTGGCTGATTCATTCCAATACACACTAAAAAAAAAATTACCCTTTAGTTTTTACTTGAAATTTCAGCCTGCTGTTATGGTAAGTATTTTCCTGTTTGAGACTTTAGTCAGTTGAGAAGTCTTTAAAATACATGTTCTTTGCTTGAATACTCATGTTTTTATTTTTATTTTTCCTTCCTTCTCTCCCTCTCCCTCCCTCCCTTCCTGCCTCTCTTCCTTCCTTCCTCCCTTTCTTTCTTTCCTTTCCTTTCCTTTCATCTCTGTCACGCAGGCTGCAATACAGTGACACGATCACAGCTCACTGCTACAGCCTCTACCTCCTGGGCTTAATCCATCCTCCCTCCTCAGCCTCCCAAGCAGCTGGGACTACAGGCACGTGGCTGCTTTTTAAAATTTTTAGTGGAGACAGGGTTTTGCAATGTTGTCCAGGCTTGTCTCAGACTCCTGGGCCCAGGTAATCTATCCACCCTGGCCTCCCAAAGTGCTGGTACAGGCGTGAGCCAACACGCATGGCCTACTTATGTTTTTCAATTTGAACCTATGATGATACTGTCATTTTTTTTTTGCCTAAAACATAAACTTTGGGGCAGGCCAGGCTCTGGGGAACTCATAGGACTTGTACTCCTGACCCCAAGGGCCCTGGCAAGGACAGGCACAGTATAGGAAGACTAAGAAGTCATTTGCCTGAGTGCAGGAATTTCAAGGGATCAAAATTATTCCCTAATCAAAAACTCCATCCTGTTCAACTTCCAGTTGCTCAGAGTTCCATAGTTAGAACTTTTACTTCTTAAACTTACTCAAACAATACAGTGAGCATCTGCCATAATTTGATCACCTCTGGGGAACTGAAGGAATTAAATAACGATTTTCACATGGGCGAGTTTCCCTATCCCTAAAAGCTAAATTTAATTGCAAGGAGGGACCAACACATAGGACAGGGCTGTGCAACCTTTAATATATCTACATATTGGTCTTGCTAAAATGCAGATTCACATCCAGGGGCAGGCCCCTGAATTTCCAACAAGCTTGGAGGTGATGTGAATAATTTTGAATAATAAAGGTCCTAGGGCGATGGTTTGCAACTCGGGGTATATATGAGAATCACTCAGAAGGCTTTTAGAAATCCCAATGCCGAGATCACGCTCCAGAATAAACAAATCAGAATCTGAGGGTGGCAGAAGGTAGAAACCAAATATCAGCCTTTTTTTTTTTAATTCCCAGGTGATTTTGATATGCTGCTAAGGTTTGATAAGAGAAATGAGATTCAGAGAACAGATTATATTGTTGAAGAGCTTGACTGGAAATGGTAAGAGCTAATGTTGCTCCATGTTTTTGCCGGGATTGTCTCTGGTCATGAAGGAAAGAGAGGGAATCAAATTCTTATCAAGAGCGTGTAACCACAGACATCATGATATGAGAAAATAGAATAAAATCTAACATTAGCATGACATTTTCTCAGTCAATGTGGGGCAATTCTTCTTCAAATTTTGGTCCATGTTATGATCTTTAAAAGACACTTCTCAATGAATAAGCATAAACAATAGGCACTTAGGGTCACTCCCACAAGAACAGCCAGCTGTCAGTGAGGCAGATGTTTTCCAGCAAATCTACTCTATCATTTCTCAATCATAAAGAAGATTAGAAATGGGATTTTCAGTTCAGATGGGGTTGAAAGGTGATGTTTATGCCTGAGAAATACTTCACACCACAGCTAGAAAAATTGGTTTGGAGAAAAAATATCTCACAACTTCTTAGGTGTTCTGAATATATGAAAATAAAACCCTCAGCTTGGACAGAAAGAGGGGGTATCACAGACAAATGCACTTAGAGACATCTACTCTCAATGGTGGCAGCAACAGAGAGGCGAAAGTATTTTAGCTGACTCTTTATGCCCAAAGATTTTTGTCCTTATCCACATAAACTCCCATTCCTCAGGGCTGGCATTGAAAGGGTGAATAATTAAGTCAACCACAATGTTTACAGTGGTTAACTCAGGTGTGATGCTTAATTTTATGCGTCAACTTGATTGGGCTGTGGGGTGCCCAGGTATGTGGTCAAACATTATTTCTGGGTGTTTCTGTGTGTCTTTGAATGAAGTTAAATTTAAATCAGAACACTGAGTAACACAGATTTTCCCCCAGTATGTAGATGGGCCCCATCACATCAGTTGAAGGCCTGGAGAAAACAGAAAGGCTGACCCTCCCTTGAGAGTAAGAGAAAACTCTTGTGATGGCCTTTGGACTGATCATCAGCTGTTTTCCTGCCTTCAGATCCAAACGGAAACATTGGCTCTTCCTGGGGTTCCAGCCTGCTGTCTTGACAGGAACTATACCATCAGCTCTCCTGGGTCTCTTACATGCCAAGTCATCCTGCAGATCTGGGACTCACTCCGTAATCAGTGAGCCAATTGCATATACTAAATCTCTCTTATCTGTATATCTCATACAGTCATATATTTTCTCATATAAATATATATATGAGATACATAGATGTATGAGATATGAGATATACCATATATAATATTCCTAAATATATATATCATATATATCCACTATATATCTTATATATAGATTGTATATGTATATCTCCTATATATATTTCTTCTATAAATATCTCTTTTATCTATCTATCTATCTATCTATCTATCTATCTATCTATCTATCTATCATCTATCTGTATCTTCTGTACAGTTAGTAGTCCTTTGGTATCCATGGGAGATTGGATCCAGAACCCCCACTCAGATATCAAAATCTGCATATGCCCAAGTGTCTTATATAAAATAGTGTAGTATTTGCAGATAACCTATGCATAGCCTCCTGTATACTTTGAATCATGTCTAGATTACTTACAATACCTATACTATGTAAATGCTATGTAACTCGTTGTTATGCCCCATTGTTTTTTATTTGTATCATTTTTAATTGTTGTTTGTAATTTTTATTGTTTTTTCTAACATTTTTGGTTGGTTGAATGCATGGGTGTGGAATCTACAAATATAGAGAGCTGACTGCATATGTATCTCCTATTAATCTATATCTAATCTACATATATCATATATCCTATACATATATCTTCTATATATCTCTCTTATTGGTTCTCTTTCTCTAGAGAATGCCACCAATTCAGCACTTAAAAAATTCTGGGCCAGGTGTGGTGGCTCACACCTGTAATCCTAGTACTTTGGGAGGCCAAGACCGGCAGACCACTTGAGGCCAGAAGTTTGAGACCAGCCTGGCCAACATGGTGAAACCCTGTCTCTACTAAAAATACAAAAGTTAGCCAGGTGTGGTGGCACACACTTGTAAACCCAGCTACTTGGGAGGCTGAGGCAAGAGAATTGTTTGAACCCAAGAGACAAAAGTTGCAGTGAGCCGAGATCATGCCACCTCACTCCAGCCTGGGCAACAGAGCAAGACCCTGTCTCAAAAAAAAAAAGGCTAGGCACGGTGGCTCACACCTATAATCCCAGCACTTTGGGAGGCCAAGGCAGGCAGATCACCTGAGATCGGGAGTTCGAGACCAGCCTGACCAACATGGAGAAACCCTGTCTCTACTGAAAATACAAAATTAGCCAGTCATGTTGGCATATGCCTGTAACCCCAGCTACTCAGGAGGCTGAGGCAGGAGAATCGCTTGAACCTGGGAGGCGGAGGTTACAATGAGCCAAGATTGCGCCGTTGCACTCCAGCCTAGGCAACAAAAGCGAAACTCCGTTTCAAAAAAAAAAAAAAAAAAAAGTCTGCCATGTTTTCCAGTTGCCTTCGTACCTGTCTCATATAATGGGAAGATTCTGGAGGGCAGCAATGGTGCTCTGCTGTTTTCATATATCCCTTCTTTAACCCAAGAATCTTTCCTGTAATAGAATTTCAAAAATGTAGAATCCAGCTGAGTGTTTATCTTTGTTCTGGATTCTCAAGCCATTTAAAGGCAGCAGGCTGTCATGATTTTCCACACAAAAGGGCAAAAACGGGATTAACACAATAGGATGCTGTCTCTACTCTCATCTACCCTGTCCAAGGAATTTAATTTCCTATAAGCCTACCTCCAATTCTCCTTGGGACAGTTATATTTAAGAACCTTAATGCTTCAGACCCTCTTTTGACATTAAATCTTTGTCTGCTGAATGCTAACAATCTTGAGGGACATTGGGTTTACTCAATTTGTATTTTTAGACATGAGTGTACGTAATTGTGTAGACAAAGTATTTGAACGTTGAATTGATATTTTAAAGTTTTGATCCAAATGTGTGATATTGGATAAAAATACTCTAGGAGGCTTAACGTGGGTAATACAGACTAAACTTGTCAAGTAGTTAAATAGGATGATCTGGCAGGACTTATGAAAATGTCTGAAGAATATTACAACTTTCTACGTTTTCTTTTTGATCTGGGTCCCCATAGCCCTATTCTGCTACACTCTATGTGTCATATCACAATGAGGAGCTTTTGCTTTTTACTGCTGCTTATGATCTTATTTCATTATTGGTAGGTGGAACACTATCAGATTAATACAACTCTTTTAAGGCATTGAATAGAAAGATTCCACCACTGCTAACCTTCCTCTGCGCTCCTATTTTTCAAACTCTATCATTACCTTCTCTTCTGTAGAGCATCCTGTCACCATCTTATAATAGAAGTTCAGTTCATTTGCATATGCATTTGCAGGTTTTCATTAAGAGGAAGACAGCAGAGTGATTAATGAGTGTTAGTTCTCATTTTGCAAAAGGAATATTGTCTTTTTAAAAAATATTCCATCTTTCAGAGCACTGAAAGAAATAGTTATAATTTAAGTAAGAAAAAGTCATTTACAGCATTTATGTTATTTAAGATGTTTTGCTTATAAAGTAATCCATGCTTACTGTAGATATGTTAGAGGCAAAAAAGAGATAAGTAAAACAAAAAAAGAAATCATCCATATTCCCTCCACCATGAATAAATACTTAGGTACTTTTCCCCCCCTTAGGAATTAGCAGTTTAGCAGCCTGATTTTTGCAGTTTACATTACATAGCAATATGAACATTCATGTGGAAAAAAAGTTTGTTAGGACCTATATAAAAAAGTGTCTATTTTGGAATGTTAAGATCATTAGTGTCTACTTTATTTAGTTTTTCTAGATTGTGTAAT
Source organism: Homo sapiens (assembly GCF_000001405.40). Classification (NCBI taxonomy): domain Eukaryota; kingdom Metazoa; phylum Chordata; class Mammalia; order Primates; family Hominidae; genus Homo; species Homo sapiens. The sequence goes on along the minus strand of NC_000007.14, from coordinate 29,181,694 downwards.
TTTTAAAATGAATACATTTTACTTTTCTAGTTGGAGGCCATAATAAAGCTACTTTCCTTTTGGAATGAACTTGTACAATTATTTCCTATGTCTTATAGATTCCTAATGTGACTTTTAATGGCAATATAAAATTCCTTTCTATTAATCTACAATAATTCATGTTGTTATTCCTCCATTGATTGAAATTTAGGTTGTTTCACAGTTTTTGGCTTTTTCTGAATTACTCTTGGACAAACTTCCTTACACATAAATCTATATGTGCCTTTCTGTTTATTTTCTTAGGCTTGATTGCTGTAAGTTGAACACGTCAGTGGCATGGGCACCAGCTGCACAACCCTAGGAGCCACCAAACACAGTATATTCTATATAAATGTTGCTGCCAGGAGCCCCAGTTCAAACTACAATGTGAGTAACGCCTGCTGGAGTAGAGCAATAGCTGAAGCCTTGGTCAAAGGCTATGAAAATGTTTAAAGCACTAGATAAAAATTGCCAAGCTGCCTTCTGGAAAAATTGTCTGAATTTATATTCATTCCAGAACTCACCACATATATCATGACTGAGAATTAGAATATATTTTAAAACACAAATTCCCTAGGAAAAAATGGCCTCCCATTGCTGTATTCATTTGTATCTAACTGATTACTAGGGAGATTAACTTTTTGCTTATGTCTACTAGTCATTTGTATTTCTTCTTTTGCAAACTGCCTATTCATCTCTTTTGGCAAAATAATAGTAAGTACTGGGTACCAGTGATTGGTACCAAGAGTTGTTTATGTATGATCTTACGTACTCTTTTCAATTACACTGCAAGCAGTCATGCTTATTATCTCCATATTACAAATTAGAACTCCAAGAGGTATACGGATGATACGAGTCTTGTCCAACATCACACAGAATGTGACAGGGCCTGGATTTGAACCCAGCTCTAACTCCAGAGCCTGAGCTCTTAATCACTGGACTCTAGTGCCCCTTAATTAGTGTGTTAGTGTTCTTCTTATTAGTTTGTAATAACTCTTTACATAGTAATTATAATAACTTTTAATTGGTCAAATTTGTGCCAAAGGTATTTTTATTGGCTCATCATTTGCCTTAATTTGATTTATACAGATTTAAGTCATTTTTATATCAATTTAGATGACTTTTTTTTTTTTGAGATGGAGTCTTGCTCTGTTGCTCTGTCGCTCTGTCGCTCTGTCGCCCAGTGCAGTGGCGCGATCTCGGCTCACTGCAACCTCCGCCTCCTAGGTTCAAGTGATTCTCCTGCCTCAGCCTCCTGAGTAGCTGGGACTACAGGCATGTGCCACCACGCCTGGCTAATTTTTTGTATTTTTAGTAGAGATAGGGTTTCACCGTGTTAGTCAGGACGGTCTCAATCTGTCCTGACCTTGTGATCTGCCCGCCTCAGCTTCCCAAAGTGCTGGGATTACAGGCGTGAGCCACCACACCCGGCCTAGATGTCACTATTGGTACGTTATCACATTTTAAAAATATTCTAAATTTGATTCACAATATTATTAAAATGTTTGATGTGAAATATTTTCCTTTCTAATAAAAAAACTATTGGGGAACAGATTGACTTCGGAATATTAAGAATGAAACACATGTAAGCATAATATGTGAATATTTGGAAATGAAATAACCTACATCATTGATGAAAGGACATCTTATTTCTCATTGATATTTCCACTGTCTGCAGGGAAATATAATCATTTGAAAATACAAGACAAATAGCAAAAGATCAATAGAATGCTTAGCAATGTAAGTTATCTTAATGCTTTCAAAATAACAGTGACCAGATTTTTTGTTTGTAATACTTAAGTTGATTTGCTTGCAATAATAAATAAATCCTCACATGCACTAACTCAGTTTTGCAAAGCATAAGAAAACAAATGAACCTCATAAATGCTATATAGCCCCTCCACAAATGTCCAGTTCTTACCCGTGTTTTGCATTGATATAAAATAGAATAGCTATTAAGTATTTTGTAATTTGAGAAATAAAAAACCTGGTAATTATTGATGGTTTCTCTACTTAGAAAAAGGAGAATATTTATTTACATATATCAGAGTAATTCTATTTGGCAAAGGATATATAGCAAAATAATCATTTGTGTTACTAACATCTGCCTTGTTCTTGCTTATGAAGAAGACTTAGGACAAGTATCAGAATCTTTCCTTCTCACTCCTGAAGAATTTGTGTTGAGTCTGGGTTCCTGGATTTTCTAGCATCTGAGAGTGGTCAAAAAATTCTCAGACTGCAAAACTTCAGCCTGAGTTTCTGTGCAGAGCATTCTGGAGTCTTTTCTTCAACAAGGCTGACTGAAGAAGGCTGACACTGTGTGGGAAGGAAGGCAGAACTGATCTAGCAAAGAGTGAAGGGAGCACTCTTCCTCATGACTTGGCGTGGGATGGGGTGGTTCTTAAGGATGGCATCCCATGCCCACTCTCATGCAGTGCTGTGTGAGGGGATGGAGCCTTCTGAAGGGTTCTCCCAAGATGGCAGCATGGCCTAACACAAATAAGCCTTATGCCCAAGCTTGGCAAAAAGAAAATGGAGGGGCTGTTTTCAAAGGGTCCATGAGGACTGTAAGTGTGTCAGCATGATATTGGAGGATCACCTCCTGTTTTCTGACACCAAGAGAGATGCTGGGTCCCCTATAATCCTAAGGAGGCAGGAGACCTCAAAACCATAACTGAGGAGGTGCAAATGCTGGTTAGCTCTGGTAGGTGGGGTCCTGCCTGGACTATAATGTCCCTTAAATGGTGTGTTAGTGTTCTTTTTATTAGTTTGTAATAACTCTTTACATAGTAGTTAACCTTTGATTGGTCAAATTTGTGGCAAACCCATTTTTATTGGCTGATTATTTGCCTTAATTTGATATATCATAGGGATTTAAGTCATTTTTCATATGAATGCAGATGGCTAATTCCACTCCAAGTTGTGAAATTAATTAATTAATGCCAAACAGTCATTCAACAAACAATAACTGAGCCCCTACTATGATCCAGGCATAGGTATAGACCCTGAGAATATAACAATAAACAAAGTCCCTGCCCTTAAGAGGCACAGACAATGAACTGCTTTTTTTAAAAAGATAACTTCAAATGCTGAAAAATGTGTTCAGATGAACATAAAACAGCATGTCAGGCAACGTCTCTCGGAGGATGTGACATTTCAGCAGAGACTTGATCTTGCAGGTCTGGAGGAGGGAACAGCAGATTTAAAGGGCTGAGTCAGACACGAGCTGGGCATGTTAGAGGAACAGGAAAGGCGGCCAGTGGAGCTGGCGTCAAAGGAATGAAACCGCACGCAGAGGAAGACCAGGTCAGAGGCTGAGTAGATGTCAGATCCTAGCAGCCACGTGGGTCATAGTGGAGACTTTCTGTTTATTTCTAGACACAATGGGAAGCCACAGAAGCTTTTAGGAAGGGGATAACATGTTCTGATTCATACTGAAAAGATCACTTTGGCAGCTATGGAAAAGGATAGTAAGAAGAGCAGGGTGCACGGTGGCTATGTGACTATTCCAGTGGTTTCAAAGAAAGGCTGATGGTGTGGACAGAGGATAGTAGCAGTGGAGATGGCAAGACACCATCAGACTTAGGGTAGAATCTGACAACACTTGCTGATGATGGAATGTGAGGCATGAGATAAACAATCATCAAGGTGACTCCTAGGTTTTTAGCTGAGCAGTTAAATGGCTGGTGGTGCCACTTGCTGTGATGGTGAGGGCTTGGGGAGGGGGAACTTTGTGTGGGGATGGAACCGAGGGTTGTGTTTCGGACATGTGAAGTTTGAGGCACCTATGAAATGTCTAAGGAGATGTCAAGTAGCAAGGTTTGGAGAGAGGTCTGGGTTGGAAAAAAAGATTTTGGTTATAAAGTGAATGAATGAAAGAACAGATAGATAGGTGGGAGCATAATGAGATGGGTAGGTGTTTAGAAGTAAAGAGGGTTGGGGTATAGCTGGTAAAGTGGATGGATGGATGGATGACTGCACAGATGGATGGATGGACAGATAGATAAATAGGTAGATATTAATAGATGGACAGATAGATAAACAGATGGAAGAAGGAAAAGAGAGAGAGAAAAAATGAGGGGACAGAGGAAAAGCCAGTAAATTAAAAAAAAAAAAGTGAGGGGGCCAGGCACGGTGGGTCATGCCTGTAATCCCAGCACTGTGGGAGGCCAAGGCAGGCAGATGACTTGAGGTCAGGAGTTTGAGACCAGGCTGGCCAACATGGTGAAACCCCATCTCTACTAAAAATACAAAAATTAGCCCAGCATTGTGGTGTGCACCTGTAATCCCAGCTACTCAGGAGATTGCGGCAGGAGAATTGCTTGAACCCGGGAGGCAGAGGTTGCAGTGAGCAGAGATAGCACCACTGCACTCCAGCCTGGATGACAGAGTGAGACTCTGTCTCAAAACAAAACAAAACAAAACAAAACAAAACAAAATAAAACAAAAAAAGAAAGAAAAAAGAAAAAGATCTCCTATATAGGTATAAATTACTTTAAGCAATCTGAAGATTAGAAAGGAATAAGTTTCCCAGTGAGTAAATTTTTTAGTGTCTCTGTGCTAGAAGACAATGTTCACTAAACTAAAAATATTTTATCTTAAGGAGATAACTATTTTATATTTGCCTCTTCCATCTATATTTTTTCCCCTCTCTTTCTTGCTTTCTTTTGTATTAAATGATTTTTTTTCATTCCCATTTTCTCTGTATTTATTTGGAAGTTATAAACACTGTTTCTATTCATTTAGAAGTTAACCTAGGCATTTTAACATATAAGCTAACGAAGCCTAATGTTTATCCATATTCTTACCATTCTGACCAATGATGAAAGAGCAAGAGGTTGCTTTCCCTTTCCTTCCTGGCTTCCTATTTATATGCTCTTCCTTCTAGTATTTCAGCTCAATCTCGTTTTTTAAACACCAGAAGTTAGCCATTATTTGTTGTTTTATACTGTCAACGTTAATTTAGGTTTAAACAGAAGTTTCCCATTTTCTTGGCTCAAAATTCTTTCTTGTATATTAGATCTTCCTTCTGTATTCTTTTTTCTTCCTAAAAAATACCCTTTTAAAGCTTCTTTGTAAGGGTGTCTTAGTAGTAATCCCTTTCAATTTTTGTCTATAAATGTCTTTACTTTGTCTTTCCTTTGGAATCAAAGTTAGATTTGTATAGGATTCAAGCTGACAGTTAATTTCCTTCAGCAATTTGAAGAGACATACTGCTAATGAAGACATACCCATTGTGTTCTGACATGTTTTCCTGCCAATAAGAAGTCCACTATTAATCTAGTTATTATTTCTTTTTGGCATTTTTTTTTCTTTTTCCTCTCTGTTTGGGGGAATCTGAAGCTTTCCTACAGTGTATCTAAATGTGACTTTATTTTTATTTATCCTGCTCAGGACCTATTGGCCTTCTTGACTTCTCTTCTGGATCTTTGTAGTCAGAATAAATAAATAGTCATGGTCTTTTTTTTCTTTTATCTGTTTTTTTTTTCTTGAGACGGAGTCTTGCTCTGTCGCCTAGGCTGGAGTGCAGTGGCGCGATCTTGGCTCACTGTAAGCTCCGCCTCCCAGGTTCACACCATTCTCCTGCCTCAGCCTCCCGAGTAGCTGGGACTACAGGCGCCCACCACCACGCCTGGCTAATTTTTTGTATTTTTAGTAGAGACGGGGTTTCACCGTGTTAGTCAGGATGGTCTTGATCTCCTGACCTTGTGATCTTCCCGCCTCGGCCTCCCAAAGTGCTGGGATTACAGGCATGAGCCACCGCGCCCGTCTGGTCTTTTTTTCAATTATGGAAAATAGTCATGATCTCTTTGAATATTGCCTAATCTGTCCTAAAATGTCAGTGAATTAGACATGTTAGACTTTCTCACTCAATACTTCCTAACCCTTCTTTCATATTTTTCACTGTTTTTTTGTTTTGTTTTTTTCCCTGTGCTCCGCTTGGGTAACTTATCTTCTACTACTCTCCTTCCCGTTGGCTATCAATCAATTTATCTGTGTTAGTCTGTTCTCATGCTGCTAATAAAGGCATACTCAAGATTGGTAATCTACAAAGATAAGAGGAAAAATTGACTCAGTTCCATACGGCTGGGGAGGCCTCACAATCATGGTGGAAGAGCAAGGAATGTCTTACATGGCGGCAGGCAAGAGAGTATGAGAGCCAAGTGAAAGGGGAAATGCCTTATAAAATCATCAGCTCTCAGCCAGGCATGGTGGCTCATACCTGTAATCCCAGCACTTTGGGAGGCCGAGGCGGGCAGAAAACCCGAAGTCTGGAGTTTGAGACCAGCCTTGCCAATATGGTGAAACCCCCTCTCTACTGAAAATACAAAAAATTAGTCAGGCGTGGTGGCATGCGCCTGTAATCCCAGCTACTGAGGGGGCTGAGGCAGGAGAATCACTTGAACCCAGGAGTCAGAGACTGCAGTGAGCAGAGATCGTGCCACTACACTCCAGCCTGGGTGACAGAGAGAGGCCCCGTCTCAAAAAAAAAAAAAGGAAAAAGAAAAAGAAATCATCACATCTCATGAGACTTATTCACTGCCATGAGAACAGTATGGGGGAAGCACTCCAAAGATTGAATCATCTCCCACTGGGTCCCTGCCACAACATATGGGAATTATGGGAGCTACAATTCAAGATGAGATTTGGGTGTGGACACAGCCAAACCATATCATTATCTAATCTGCTGCTTATCAACTGAGATGAATACAATTTTTATATTTTTCATTTATAGAATTTTGTTTATTTTGTGTCTCTCTCTCTTCTAGCTTCTTGTTCCTGTATCTCTCTAAAAATTCTTTTTTTTTTTTTTTTAGATGGAGTTTTGCTCTTTTTTGCCCAGGCTGGAGTGCGATGGCACAATCTTGGCTCACTGCAACCTCCACCTCTTGGGTTCAAGCAATGCTTCTGCCTCAGCCTCCCAAGTAGCTGGGATTACAGGTGTGTGCCACCGTGCCCAGCTAATTTTGTATCTTTAGCATAGATGGGGTTTCACCATGTTGGCCAGGCTGATCTCGAACTCCTGACCTCAGGTGATCCGCCCAAGTCGGCCTCCCAAAGTGCTGGATTACAGGCGTGAGTCACTGCACCTGGACTCTCAAAATTGTTTAATCATTGTGTTGGGTATTTTCTTTCTGCCCCTTCCAAATCCACTCTACCATGTTCCATCCTGCTTTGTGCCCCCATGGCTAATCAGCTGAGCAACCTGTCCCTTGTCTGGACAGGTTCCTGTCCCTCTTGGGGGAGAAGCAGACCTTGGCTATGTACTGGTGTAGCCTCCAGGCCTCGAAAAGCTTTACTGTCTCTCCTCAGGGACTGATGACTTTTGCTTCTGTCCTTTCCCCAGAAGCAGATATGTGCCTGCATACCAAAATATGGAAAGACGGGATTGCTGGCCCCCCTCCAGAGGCAGAGGGCTTTGCTTCTCAAGGGCTTGCTGCTTCTTCCTGACAGCTTAATTAAGGCTTTTGCTCCCATGAGAGGAGCATCAAGGTGTGGGGGCAGCCACCTCCTCCTGCATCCTGTGCCACCAAACGGGGGGGTCTCTCCAGCCTTTTGCCCTGCCCTAGTCTTCCTCAAGAGCACCCCCTCTTCCCCATGGAGACTATGAAGAGAAGCTTGGGAGTGTGTGTGAACTCCGCTTGTGTCTGGGCCTCTCAATTATTCTAAATTAATATGAGATATGAGTGCATACTCAGTCTTTAGAAATTCTTTTTTTTTTTTTTGAGTCAGTCTCCCTCTGTCACCCAGGCTGGAGTGCAGTGGTGTGATCTCAGCTCACTGCAGCCTCCACCTCCCAGGTCCAAGTAATTCTAGTGCCTCAGCCCCCCAAGTAAGATGGAATTACATGGGATTACAGGCATGAACCACCACACTCGACTAATTTTTTTTTTTTTTTTTGGTAGAGACAGGGTTTCACCATGTTGGACAGGCCGGGCACCTGACCTCAAGTGATCTGCCCGCCTCAGCCTGCCAAAGTAAGGAATTCATTATTTTTAAAAAAATATTTCTTCTTACTCACTCCATGGCAACAACCCCCTCCTTCCTCCCATACTCTGCCAAAGGTGCAACAATTTCATATCCTGCCTCTCATTAGAGATGCTTTTTATCCTTTGAAGTTTACTTTCCTGGTTGCCTTGTGACCTCAAGTCTCTGATGAGTTTAAGGAAAGAAAGTTATAATATTGTACACTGTTCCTCATTTTCTTGTTGTTAGGATGGGGGTGACATTCTCTCGTAGCTTTCTATATTCCAAGCAGGAGCAGAAATCCTCATGTATTATTAATAGCACCACCTTTCACTTCATAATCACTGTGGGCTGGAGGATAAATTATATGGCTGCAGAAAGTTAGGCCCCCACTCGAGGCTACCAGCACCTGGCAGATGCATTCAGGGCAATGCCAGCTACAGGGCTTTTTTTCCTCTGGGTTCCTGCTTAGCTTTCTGGCCTTAGAAGATTTCCTTGACTTTCCTATAAGCTTAGGTGTGCATTTTTAAAAATGTTTTTTTAAAAACTATCTCATCCAGCTTTTTTTTTTTTTTTTTGATACAGAGTCTTGCTCTGTCACCCAGGCTGGAGTACATTGGCGCAATCTCAGCTCACTGCAACCTCTGCCTCCTGGGTTCAAGCGATTCTCCTTCCCCAGGCTCCTGAGTGGCTGGGATTACAGGCACCCACCACCATGCCCAGCTAATTTTTGTATTTTTAGTAGAAACAGGTTTTTGCCATACTGGCCACGCTGGTCTCAAACTCCTAACCTCAGGTGATCCACCCACCTCGGCCTCCCAAAACGCTGGTGAGCTACCACACTCGGCCTTATCCAGCATTTTTAAGTGGCAGAAAAGCTTCTCCAGATATCTAGTGAGTCATACAGCTGGAAACAGAAGTTGAAAAAAAAAGTTTTATAATATTAAAATGTTAAGGTTTTACTTCTTTCCCAATTAACATTAATGATTCTTGAAATCGTTGGTCAGATGACTGTATGTCAAAAAGCAATGGTTAATATGAAATTAATATTTAAAAAAAGGAATCTGTTAATGTCAAAGATGGACTTTACTAAGCTTTTCTTAAATATTCTAAAAATTCAATTTATCTGGAGGGTGTTAACATGAATAATTTAAAATTCATTTCCCAACTGCAAGGGAAATCAAATTGATTCCAATGGTTTTCCTGAATCTGAAGGCTTGGTTATTTTTAATAATTTTTTTTGGATGATAAATGGGTGGCAATATGATGATAGATGAGACAGAGATTATTGTTACAGCATATTAAGAAAACTTTAGACACTGATGCTATCATAACCAAGGGTGAGCCTAGGTGTAGAAGTCACAATGTTCCTGAAGCAGAATGTTGGTCAACTGGATGAGACCAGTCAACTAACAGAAATCAGCTGTGATGCCCACAGCAACCATGCTTTCAAGAACTCAGTGGGCCGGATGCTGGAGAGTAGGTGGTGCTGTTTTAATGATTTACAGTAAGATGCCCCATTAAAGGACTGAATCATTGCAGGAATCCCCCCATATATGGAAACCTAGGTACTCCCTGGGTTCCTTCTAGGTGGCAATGTAATCCAAGCGTATAAACGTGATACTGCTGACCCTACATCTGATTTGGCCCATCTGGCTGACTAGGGGGCTGTCTCCACCATTCCATGAGTTTTTTCTCCTGTGTACCACCCACTGCACCCTGCATTGTGCACTCTGTTGAGGAGGACAATTACTTCAGATACAGCTGGATTGTTCTTTAAAGTCAAACATATGGGAATTGGGGGCTTCCCTCCAAATCAGTTCGTAAGTCCATTTGTAAGAACTATATGTGACGGCATGCTTGAAAGCTTCAGCTACAACAACTTCATTTCTTAAAAAGTGATGGATTCAATAATGTTAGATGGATTTGATAGGCATGTATTATATTATGGAAAAATGAAAATGCATTCTCTGGAGACACACTGGTAGATTTCTAAATTATGTCATATGCTTGGATTTAGCCTGCAACAACTGCTATACTCTGAATTGTTCATCTCCGGACAAGTATTTAGTTTGTGGAATTTGATTTAATAGTGCCCCTTAAGGTATTAGAGTTTGTCTTTCCGGTCCACGTTAAAAGTCTCTGACCTTAAACTCTGTACAAAGAAAGCCCTTCAAAGAAAGCTCGGGGCTGAATTGAGGAGGATTCTGGGTAGAATCCTCTCCGTCTGGGATCCCCACCCTATTAGTTTACTTGAGGTGTGGCGCTCCTTCTAACAAGTTCAGCTTGAAGACTCTGAACTGGCTAATGCCGTTGTTTATTCCATTACATATGTATTATGTTGGTTTGTATCCCCACAGAATCACCAAGCCCAGTTTACAGGTTGTTCTTCTTTATAGACCTGTGAAATCCCCTGGGTGTTCCAAAGAGCTTTGGGGTTTCTGGGAATGTGGCAGAAAGAATACAGTAGGACGCGTATTAGGTGATGTCTGCGCTGTTCCTTCATGTGAAAGAGCAGTGCGTATGTAAGCAATGTTAGGGCTCTGCAGGCAAGAGTCAGAACTGGGGGGAAACCGGCAGTTCATTATGTCCAGCACCTTCCATCTCAATTGACACATCTCATAAAGTCGTTTTTTAATAAATCAGCTGAGTCATAGAGAAGTGTAAGTGATATGGTTTGGCTGTGTCCCCACACTAATCTCATCTTGAATTCCGACATGTTGTGGGAGGGACCCCGTGGGAGGTAATTGAAGCATGGGGGCAGGTCTTTCCCATGTTTTTCTTGTGATAGTGAGTAAGTCTCACGAGATCTGATAGTTGCTATAAGGGGAAGTTTTCCTGCACAAGCTCTCTCTTTACCTGCAGCCATCCACATAAGATGTGACTTGCTCCTCCTCGCCTTCCGCCATGATTGTGAGGCCCCCCCACCAGCCATATGGAACTATAAGTCCAATTAAACCTCTTTCTTTTGTAAATTGCCCAGTCGCGAGTACGTCTTTATCAGCAGTGTGAAAACAGACTAATACAGTAAGTCATTTTTGCCTGAGATTAGATATTACAGAAAGTCACACAGAAGTGTTCCATGAAGTTTAGAAATAAAAATTCTAGAAGACATACATTTGTCATGTAATGGTTGATTTTTCTTCAAAATATTCAGTGAATGTACAAAACCCATTTTAAACTAAGGACATGTACAAATTACTTAAATTCGTCCCCAGATGAACAATTGGAGAAAATATGAATAATGGGGGAAAATCTAACATGTGCAGTATTCAAAATTAATTAAAGAAAGGGCAAATCTTTGGCATCAAATGGAACAATGTTTTACTAGAGGTATGCATAAAAGGAACACTGACATGAAGGAAAGCATATTAAAATCTTGTGTTTGAAGATTCACTGTTCCCTAGAGTTGCTCTAGTAATTAAGATTAGCAAGAAATTTGTCAGATATTAAAACAAAAGAAGAGTTTCATCAGTATCACCAGCAATCTATTGTTAAACATAAAGTAGCCAAGGAAGCACCTTAGGACCATGTTTAAGAGCTCAGGGAATCCCCCTCCACCCCATAGGATTCCTGTCAGTTTACCTCCAGAGAATGGGCTTCTGCTAGAAGTCTGGGAGCACTGGATTAGTCAAGAAGGCCAAATACAAGGATCAAAAGGACACCACAGCTGGGCATGGTACTCACACCTGTAACTCCAGTGCTTTAGGAGGCAGAGGCAGGAGGATCACTTGAGCCCAGGGGTTCAAGGCTGCAATGAGCTATGATGGCGCCACTGCACCCCAGCCTGAGCAACAGAGCAGCAACCTGTATATACATATATATATACACACACACACACACACACGTATATATACTTATATATATGTGTGTATATATATATATACATCTTATCCCTGCCAGGTAGCCATGGAATAAGGATGTGAAGGTCTATAGGCACACCAGCTCTGACTGAGCAAACAGTGGTCAGAAGGGAGGAAGAAGCTTTTCTGGATCAAATGTGTCAAGCAGGCCCTGAGAAGAAAAGACAGAGCAGCACATGATGGCAGCCATACATAGGACATGAAAAGGCAGAAGCCAAAGAAGAATAGGTAGAAAAAGCCAATGGTCCTGTTTTGGTCTTTTCAGTTACTCTTCAGTACACCGTCAGCTACTTAATCTCCCTTTCCTCTTGTTTAAGTGAAAGATAATATAACAATAACAAAACAGTTGTATTTATTTTTAACATAACATTATTGTATATAAACATTTATATAAAAACAAAATAGGACAAATCACTAATGGTAAGTTTTTAAAAATAATTAAAATGGTGTGTTTAGAGGGGTATGAAAATGGAATTGTTAAACTCTAAAAGAGCACACTGTACATGAATGCCTTAGAAGAAGCAACTCAATAGGATGATATATTTTAAGGGATTGAATAATAGAATGTTCTTCCCAGAATCTTCTACAATGGTAATATCAGCATAGTGCATTTATTCGTAGTACAACCATGTATTTTGAGTAACATGCCTTTCAAAAACAGTACTGAATATACAATGCATAGACCACCTAGAATAGGTATGAAAGAAAGAAAACTGAAATGAATAAAATGGGGAAAATTCCATGTTTTATTCTATGGGAGATAAATTTCTTATATATCCATTAGAATTGCCTATGAAAATCAAACCACAATTTGAGTCCATTTTCCTCATGATATTCTAATAACCAGGACTTCCATTTTCATCAAATAGAATTTATTATACATTTACTTTTGAATCACATTGGGCTGGGTATTACTTAAAACATGGCGAATAGAAATAGTTCATACCTCTTAGAAGCTTATAGATTAAATGGATAGTGGTAAACACGCATATGTAAAAATCATGCACACATAATACATACTTAGTAGTACATGTCTAAACAACATGAATACATGCTAAACTAAATTACTTCTAGTGCTTTTAGCATAATATAATGGAAAAATAGTTTTTAAGTGTGTTTAGCCATCTGATTAGCTGAGACACAAACTCTCCCTGGAAGCCTACAGCTGAGGTTTGAGGGGGAAGAGGGAAAGCTTTCAGCCTATACAGGTTGGGGGATTGGAACAGAGACCCTCACATAACACTGGACCTCCAAATTGCAAAGAGTTCTTACCTTTAGAGATACACAGATGAAACTATAGGATGTCTGGCATTTTCTTCAAAATAATCCAGGGGTGGGAGGAATGGGTAGAGATTACAGATGCAAAAAAGATTGACTATGAGTCCATAATTATAGAAGCTGGGTATGGCTACATGGAGGCTTATTAGAATATTCTATTTTGTATGCTTGAAATTTTCTAAGATAAAAAGTTTTATTTAAGAACCATTAAAAGAAAAACCAAAAATTGTGTAATGGAATTGAAACAAAGCTGACACAAGATGAGAATCCAAAATGTCTAAAGAACTTCTAGAAATCAATAAGAGAAAGACAAAGAAACCCATTGAAAGATGGTTTAAACAAACAAATAAACCGACATTTTATGAAATAAAAAAATGCCCAGACCAAACGTCAGAAGATGTGCAGTCTCATTAGTAAGCAGGAAAAAGCAAATTAAAACCACAATGAGATATTCTGTATGTTATGATATGCTAGGTAATATTGTTGCCACCAACACCCAAGAATCATACCAACAAAATTTTACTTCTCACTCACACAAATGTCCAGTTTAGGTCATCTGGGAACTGTGGTCAGTCATCTGTTCATTATGATCACTCATGTTCCCAGGGTCACACAACAGTTACCTCCGATGTTGTAGGCCTCCTTGTCAGAGGGAAGGAAAGCATGGGGGTTTTTGCATCAGTAAGTAATTGCTCCAGCCAGGAGCTGGCAGACATTCCTTCACAATTCATTACAAGTCAAACTCACTCATAACAAGGATTTAGGAAGTGCAATTCCTTCTACTATGTGCTTGGAAGCAGAGAAAACTGGAAATGTTTAGGGAAAACAAATGACTTTCACAGATGCCAGTTTTTTTCTATCAGATTGGCAAAACTATATAGTCTGACAAAACCAAATATTGGTGAAGATGTAGAGCAATAAAAACACTTACACACTTTTGACTGAAGAGTAAATTGGTACCACTACTTTAAAAAACAATTTAGTGTTATTTAGCAAAGTTGAAAATTCATATAGTCTTCGACTCAGCAATACCACTCTAAGATACATACTTTAGAAATAGTTTTGCATATGTGCACCAAAGACATATTCAAATATGGTCATAGAAGCACTGTTTGTACCAGCGAATCAAACAAGCAAAAAGAAAAACTGGAAATAGCTCTCATGTCCGCAGATAGTGGATAATTTTTTGAATATTCATTTAATGAAATACCATTTAGGATAGAATATGAATGAACAGATACATGTTCATCTGGTTGAATTTCAGAAACATATTGAATGAAAAAAGTAAGCCTAGAATTATTGTATTTGACAAAGGTCTAAAAAAGTTAAAATTAATATATTATTTTAGGATTACATACTTAAGCAAAAATAAATAATTAAAAGTTAGTTTAACACAAAATTCAAGATATTGTACCTTTGAGTACACTTTGAGTGTATCAAGGTAGGGATGTTACCAGGGACAGATTTAAGGTATTGATAATATTCTTTTCGTCAAGTTGTTTGGAGTTGTAAACATTGTTCACTTTGTTATTATTCTTTAACTTGTACATATACAGTATATGTACTCTATGCATGCAAAAAAGCATAGAAATATATCTTATATTGTGGAGAAAAATCAGTCAATGGAAACAGAACAAAAATGACACAGATAGTAGAACTAGTAGTCAAGGACATTAAAAGAACTATTATAAATATGTTTCAAATGTTCAAGAAGGTACAGGAAATAGAAAAACAAAAAATAGAGAATATCATTGGAATAAAAAACTGGTTTTTTGAGATCAGTGAGTGATAAACCTTTAGCTGGATTCATCAAGAAAAAAATAGAAATGATACAAATTATTAATTATAGAAATGAGAGAGAGGATACCAATACAGTTGTAGATACTAAAAGTATAAGAAAATATTACAACCATCTTTTTTGCCATAATATTTGACAACTTAGATAAAATGGACAAATTCTTTGAAAGAAACCACCTGCCAGAGATCACTCAAGAAGACATAGATTACCTGGATAGCTCAATAGCTATTAAAGTTATTAAAGGCTTCTAACTAT
Source organism: Homo sapiens (assembly GCF_000001405.40). Classification (NCBI taxonomy): domain Eukaryota; kingdom Metazoa; phylum Chordata; class Mammalia; order Primates; family Hominidae; genus Homo; species Homo sapiens. Next base: position 29,166,514 of record NC_000007.14, on the reverse strand, counting down.
AAAGCTATTATAGTTAGAAACCTCCCCATAAAACAAACAAACGAACAAACAAACAAAAACCCAGAAAACACATCAAGCCAAGATGGCTTCTCTGGTTAATTCTACCAGACACTTAAATCAGAAAGAATATCAATTCTACACAAAACTTCAAGAAAATCAAAGAGGATAAAACACTTTGCTATCCATGTTGGGCGCAGTGGCTCATGCCTCTAATCCCAGCATTCTGAGAGGTTGAGATGGGAGGATTGAGGCCAGGAGTTTGAGACTAGCCTGGTCAACATAGTGAGACCCCACCTCTACAAAAACAAAAACAAAAAAAAACTGGATGTGGTGGCACACACCCGTGGTCCTAGCTACTTGGGAGGGTGAGGCAGGAGGGTCACTTGAGCCCAGGAAATCAAGGCTACAGTGAGCTGATATTGCACCACTGCACTCCAGCCTAGGCATAGAGTGAGACCCTGTCTAAAAACAAACAGACAAACAAAAACCCACTTTGCAACTCAATCTATGAAGCCAGCATTACCTTGATACCAAAACCAAAGATATTACAAGAAAAGAAAATCTACAAATCATGTCCCCTGTGAACATAGTGACAAACACTGTTTATAAATTTTACCAAATAAAAGGTTTATCTCAAGAATGCAAGGTTGGTTTAACATTTGAAAATCAACCCATGTAATTCACCATATTAATACACTTAAAAAGAAACACCATATGGTCACCTCAATATATGCAGAAAAGCATATGACAAAAATTCAACATCTATTCATGATGAAAAAATTTAAAAAAGAAAAGAAGAAAATTCAACCACATAAAGGGCAGCTATGAAAAGCCTACAGTTAACACCTCACCTAATGGTGAAAGACTGAATGCTTTTCATTTAAGAACAGTGCAAGTATATCCATTCTATCACTTCTACTTGTCATTGTAACAAAGATTATGGCAAATGTATTAATGAAAGAAAAAGAAATAACAAAGGCATACAGGTTAAAAAGAAAGGCATAAAGCAGTCTCTATTAACAGACAACATGACTGTGGAAAATTCTTTGAACCAGTATAGGTGATTTAAAAAAAATCTAAGAAACCTACACACACAAAAATATTGGAACTATTCAGTGAGTTTAGCAAGGTTAAAGGATAAAGAGTAATATATAAAAATCAATTTTGTTTCTATACAGTAGTAAAGATCAATCCAAAATTGCAATAAAAATACCATTTAAAATAGCAGAAAATATGAACTTAAGTATTGGTTTGAAGAAAACTTATGCAAGACCTTTATATCAAAAACCATAAAACATTGTTGAGATAATTGAAAAGATGAGATATACATGCCCATAAATCAAAAACTATATTATTTAGATATCTATTCTCCCCACATTGATCTTTAGATTAAATGCAATGCCAATAAAAAAATCAGCAGGCTTGTTTTTTAGAAATTGACAAACTGATTCTAAAATTTATATGGAAGTTCAAAAGATGTAGAATAGTCAAAAACATCTGAAAAAGAATAAAGTTGTAGAACTCACACTATACACTTGAGTTTATATTTAGGGTTTATCATGGAGCTATGGTAATCAAGACAGTGTGGTATTATCATAATGATAGATATACAAAGATCAATGGAACACTCTAGAAAGTTTAGAAACAGACCCACACATATATATCAGTTGACCTCTTTCAAAGGGAAACTGGGTGAAGAAATAATAATCTTTGTTTTTTTTTTTTTTTTTTTTTTGAGACAGGTCTTGCTCTGTCACCCAGGCTGGAGTGCAGTGGTGAGATCTCGGCTCACTGCAACCTCCGCCTCCCAGGTTCAAGTGATTCTCCTGCCTCAGCCACCAGGGATGCTGGGATTACAGGCATATGCCACCACGCGTGGCTAATTTTTGTATTTTTAGTAGAGATGGGGTTTTGCCATGTTGCTCAGGCTGGTCTCTTCTGAGTTCAAATGATCTGCCCGCCTCAGCCCCCCGAAGTGCTGGAATTATAGGTGTTAGCCACTGTGCCTGGCCAAAATTGAACACTTTTGCTCTTCAAAAAAATGAAATGAAATGAAAAAGAGGAAATGAAAAGGCAAGCCAAAATCTGGGCAAAATTATCTGCAAAATATATATTTTATGAAGGGTTTGCATTTTATATAAAATAAACCCTTACAACTTAATAAGAAGAGAAACAACCTAATTAAAATACTGTGCAAAAATCAAATAGACATTTTACAAAAAAGAAACTGTACAAACAGGAAATAAGCACATAAAAAGATGCTGGACATCATTAGTCATTAGGAAAATTCAAGTTTAAATCACGGTGAGTTGACACCTAGCATGATGGCAATAATCAAAAAGACACAATAAGTGTTGGGAAGGATATGGAGCAACTAAAACTCTCATGCACTGCTGGTGGGAATGGAAAATGGCACAACACTTTTGAGAACAATTTTATAGCTTGAAAAGTTAAACATTCTCTACTATATGTGTCAACCTAGGTATTTACCCAAGAGAAACGAAAGCATATGTCCACATAAGGACTTGTCCACGAATGTTAACAGCAGCTTTATTTGTAATAGTCAAAAGCTGGGAACAACCCAGATGTCCTTGAACAAGTAAATGGACAAATATATTTCAGTCCAATTCAGCAATGAATTCAGCAATGAAAAGGAGTGAACTATTGATATGCATAACATAGATGAATCTTAAAGTAACTACACAAAGTGAAAGATACCAATTAATATAATTGTATTTATTTAAAAATTTTAAAAATGCAAGCTAATCTATAGTAATGGAAAGCTGATCAGCAATTGCCTGGTGACAGAGATGGCAGGAGGGAGGAAACTTTTGGGGGCAATGAGAATGTTTGTTATCTTGTGATGATGGGTTTCATGGGTTCATACATAGCTGAAACTGATCAAATTGTATACTTTATATTTAGCTTATTGTATGCCAGTTATACCTTAATAAGATTGTAAAAAAAAATGGATATTGTCTCTTAGGTAATAATTGCTCATATGCATATGCCCATTAACATATGTGTCAATTTTCAGGGTACCATATTCTTTGCTTAGAGCAGGAAATAGAAATATAATATGAATCACATATGTAATTTTAAATTATCTAAAAGACACATTTTTAAACATTTTTAAGGTTGAAAATAATTTTAATAATATATTTTACTTAATTCAATATAGAGTATTTTAATCAATATAAAAACTATAAGCGAAGTATTTTACAATGTTTTTCATACTAAGTCTTCAAAATCCAGTATATACTTTACACTTGTAGCACGTCTTAGATTTAATAACATTTACAATGGAGAAACAGATTCATATATCAAACATGCTTAAAAATTTTCCCATAATAGAATTGAGTATCTTTTTTTAATTTTTAATTTTGAAATAATTACAGACTCATAAGGAGTAAAAGTAGTATAAACAGATCCCATGAATCCATCAACCCATGGTAACGTTTTACATAACTATAGTTCATTATCAAAACAAGGATATTGATTGGTACAATTAACTACACCTCATGCATATTTCACTGTTATTTATATGTATTCAAATGTTTTATCTGTCTCTGTGTATATTTCTATAACGTTTTATCACATGTACAGAATTGTTTAAGCACAATCACAACCAACATACAGGACTGTTCCATCACACAAATGATCTCCTAGTGCTGCTCTGTTATAGTTAGGCTCTCCCTCCTCTTCCCTAACCTTTGGCAGCCATTTCATTTATCTGTTTTCTCTGCAACTTTGTCATTTTAAGAATGTTGTGTAAATGAGATCATACAATGTGTAATCCTTCGAGACTGGCTTTTGTCACTTGTCATAATGTTCTTTTTTTTTTTTTTTTTTTGAGATGGAGTTTCACTCTTGTTGCCCAGGCTGGAGTGCAATGGCACGATCTCGGCTCACTGCAACTTCCGCCTTCCGGGTTCAAGTGATTCTCCTGCCTCAGCCTCCCAAGTAGTTGGGATTACAGGCATGCGCCACCATGCCCAGCTAATTTTGTATTTTTAGTAGAGATGGGGCTTCTCCATGTTGGTCAGACTGGTCTTGAACTCCCGACCTCAGGTGATCTGCCCGCTTTGGCCTCCCAAAGTGCTGGGATTACAGGTGTGAGCCACCACGCCTGGCCATCATAATGTTCTTAAGATCCACCCTAGCTGTTTCATGTATCAGTAGTTTGTTTCTTTTTTATTGCTGAATAGTATTCTACTATATGGTTGTGTGTTCAACTATTCACCTTTTGAAGAGCATTTGGGTCATTTCCGGTTTTTGGCTATTACACATACATTTGTGAACAGTTTTTGTGTGAATATAAGATTTTACCTGCCTAGGATAAATGCCCAGAGGTACTGTTGTTCAGTTGTATAGTAAATGTGTGTTTAACTTTTTAAGAAACTGCCAGATGCCCAGAGTGGCTGTACTGTTTAACATTGCCACCAGCGATGTCTGAGAGATCCAGTTTCCCTGCATCCATGCCAGTGTTTGGTATTATTAGTATTTTTTATTTTAGCTATTCTAATAGGTTTATAAGTGATCTGTCTTGGTGATTTTAACTTACATTCCCCTGATAGCTAGTGATGCTGAGTATCTTTCATGTGCTTATTTGCCAACTGTCTATCTTCTTTAGTGAAATGTCTGTTCAACTCTTTGGCCCATTTAAAAATCAGATTGTTTTCTCACTGTTGACTTTAGAGAACTCTTTATATATTCTATAGATAAATCTTTTACATATGATTTGCAAATATTTTCTTCCAGTTGGTGGCTCATCGTTTTCATCTTCTTAACAGGGTCTTTCACAAAGCAAAAGTTTTTAATTTTTAAGTATCTATTTTTAAATTCAAATGGATTTAAATTAAAAATTCAGTGAAAAGGCCAGTCTACCCATCGTGGTTACCTACTGAATAGCAGAGGCTTAGAGAATACATGGAATTTGGTTAGGGATCATTCCAGGTCCGGGACCACAATAACCAGGACCAGGAGCATGAATGGGTATGAAAAGTTAAAGTGAATAGACAGACCCAACTGGCAAAAATGTGGGGTTCGAGATAAGTAGAGGGGGTCCAGCTGGAAAGGGAAGTTGGGTGTAGATTGTGAAAGTTGCTGCATGCTAAGAAAACTGTTGAAATCTTATCTGGCAGGCTCAGTGAAATCCTTAGGTTTTCCTGACCAGGAGAAAGATGTGCTATAGGGAGTGTTTTAGGAAGATTCACTTGGTAACGGGGTTCAAAGGGGACTGGAAAAAGAGTAACCATGCTGTCCTTCCTTTGCTTCAGTTTCCCTGCACAAACCCTCATGTGCTAAGACATGAGCCTGGTCAAGGCTAATGTTGAAAACATTTCAGTTTTTCCCCTAACCTTGAGCACCTTCCTCTATCTTGCTCATCATAGATAAGGTAGAACGAAGGGGTTTAAGATAATATCTGGTAAGAAGTCAGGTAGCTTCTAGGTATTATACAGAAAATAAGTTTATAGAGTTGAAAAGAAGGGTGAGAAATTAAAGTTTAAAAAAGCAGGAAAAACTCAATCAGAGGAAAGACTCAAGAAAATGACACTTGTTCTTAATATTATCTCAGGGGTGACAGATATTTATAAAATTAATCTGTAGCTTTTCACGTTAATCAAAAAATAGAAAAGACTATCAACCTAGTGTCAATGATTAATAGATATTATCATTTGAATGTGATAAATAAGTCAAGAGGTAGACTGGTCTCAGGGTGGGTTTGTTAGATCAACGTCATTAAGAGCCCAGGCTCTTTTAGCCCTTCCTCTCTGCCTCAGTGCATATGTGGTTTTTCCTCATGGTCACAAGATGGCTACCACAGCACCAGGCATCATCACGTTTTCACAACACACCACCCAAATTAGGAGTCAAGGTGCTGGGGTTAGGGCTGAAGATTGTGGTACTTCCCCTACCTTCTGACAGGGAGAAAAATCTTTCCCAAGCCCTCCATTAGAATTCTCATTATATTTCACTGACCAGGACTGGATTACACACCCACTTGTAGACCACTCAGTGGCAAAGGGAAAAGGGGTAGCCATGACTGACTAGGGTCAAACATGACTCAACTCCTGGGTACATTATTGCCCAAACTAAAAGGAGATACCAAACAGGAAGGGGAATGACATGGATAAGCCAGTAACGTTGTCAGCCACATACAGGAACAGGAAAATTGATGGGAGAACATCAGGGAATCAGATAAGTTTTATGAAACATTAGTCTAATAGGTTCCAGAATGTACTGCTCATGTCTGTCACCGTGAACATCTGGCACCAACTTCACACACTGTGGGTGGCCAGTACATATTTTAGATCAACTGACTCTAGAAAGTAGCAAACTGAGTAAGATTTAAACATGTAGAAATATTATGAGGGCCAGGAAACCATGTTGATCTTAGGAAAGTGAGCTTTCTTTATCAGAGAGCCAGAAGGACACAATGTTTAACTTTTAGTGAGGCAAGATAATAATGAAGATTGGCTCTCCACAACACTGTGTGCTGATGGACAGGGCACATCTAGTCAGAAGATGACCACCAACCAGAAAATGACGTGCACCCATGGGCACACAAAGGATGCCATTTGGGGACAATTAATTACGTCCTTCCACAAATACTTAAGCATTATTTTATGTCAGGCACTGTTCTAGGCACTTGCATTACACTAGTTGAGACAAATCACAATAATTTCCTGTTTTCATGGCTTATTTTCTAGCATAAGAATGAGTGAATTACATAGTAAGTCAGCAGGTGATAGGTGCTTTGAAGAAGAGACAGGACAGAGTAAAAGGGATCAGTAATCCCAGGATGTGTGCTGTGAGGTAGGTTAAATAGGGGGGTCAGGGTAGATCTCACTGAGAAGGTGACATTTGAGCAAAATGTCCTCTGCACGAAGCGGGGAAGGAGGAGGCATAAGACTTGTGTGGGAAGAGGTTTTCTCGAATTAGCCACCCCATTTCATCACTCTACATAGGAGAACTACAATGATAACACATACATGTTACATGATAAAACACATTTGAAGTGCTTTACTTTTTAAAAATAATAGGTTTTCATTCATCTGAAGCAACTTTCAAGGCAGATAGTTTTCCAATACTGCCATCCAAAACATTATTCTGGTATAGAATAATTCATCCCACCTTTAAGACCATGAAGGCTCTGTGATGCCAGGATGCTGCAGGCATTTGGGTTTCAACCCTTATTCTGCTTCTAACCAGCTGTGGATAGTGGAAAACCACGTGACCTCTTCTGTGCTCAGTTTCCTCTTCTGCAAGTGGAAGAAGCTGAATAATTTTCAAGGTCCATCTCAGGTCTAAACTTCTGTGACTCCCAGATAAAGAAATCTGCTTGCAGGAGTCTGCACAATGCTTTCTCACTGGCTCTGGGAGGGCTCCTTGTGCTGTGTAGCCCATTAGGAAAACACTGAAGAGCCACCTAATGACTTAATGGGCTTTAAAATGGGTGGCTAGGTTTTAATTTTCTCTGATAGCAGATTCCCTGAGGGAAAGTGTACTTTACAGTGGATAATAACTACATAGGATATTTCGATTGCCGCAGGGTATCTTATTTGGAAATCAGTTTTCAGTTACATTCCTCTAGCAATTTTTACTATCAGAACAAAATGAAAGCCCCCAAAGGAATGTTTATACAGAGCTGAAATGTGTTGGAATGTCAGAAGTATCTCTCTAAGAGTTAAGCATCTGTAAATATTTAAAATAGGGTGAAATCACAAATACTGCTACTACTAATCTCTTTCACATTTGATTACAGTCCAAAAAGAACAAGCAAAATCTCCAGGAACACTTTTATATTAAACTGTTAACTCTACGGCCATGTCTAATGACTCAAATTATAAAAGAAAGTTGGGTGAAATGCATAATTCACCTATTCAGGCATACAGTCAGCTCTACACATGTGAAAACAGATCTCGTAGAGGATGTTGAAGGAAATATTTTCCTCTCTGGTAAACTTAAGTATCAATATTATCACATAAAGACTAGGCTACACAATAAAATAAAGTGAGCCATTCTGCCTGAATTTTCAGGATTCAGCTATCCCCACTCTTACCCACACACATCATAGCTTTACACATTCCTCTAGTTTTCTTTGGTTATGGATCAGACATCATGTTACATGTTTTAGTCACATCATCTGATTTAATCTGCTCTACAGCAATAAAAAGTAGCAATTATTTGCTCTATTATAGGATGGTGGAAACTGAGGTCCTAAGAAAATATGTGTGTGCTATAAACTGCTTTTCCTTCAAATGGCAAAGAACACTGAAGGAAGATAGTCCTTGATTGTAGACATTCATTCATTCCGGAACTCATGCTCTTCTTAATATACTCAACTCTAAGGAAACCTTCCTACCAATACAGCCCACTCCCCTCTTCTTAACCAGTGTTCAGTGGAGATGGGAATTTGGAGGAGTGATGAGCTCATTGTGTCTTTTTTCTCCTTTATTTGATTACCTCCCTGCCATCTTGCCTTTTCTGGGCTAAATGATAACACTTCCTTCCGTTTCTCTTTGGAACCATTTTCAAAAAACATCTCTTTAGGAGTGGAATCACAAATGAGAAACAGTATTTTCATAAGGAAGAGTAAAATGAAAGGACTGCCGGAGCATTTTTACATTAGCACATGACATTTCTAATAATCTACATAGAAGGATTTTTTTTTTAGCATCCTCCTAAGTGCCTCTTTGAAACCTCTGTGACATATGAGATAGCTACTGACTAATTTGTTCTGGCAGAAAAATGAGTTTAGTGTTATTGAAAATATGTTTTCTATCACCAGATCTTGTTCAGGTCATTGAGTGGCTTTTCACTGGTGAAGGGGAGTAGGATTTATCTCCAATGAAACATTATGGAGCGGAGAGAAATAACATTTGACCTATCCCAACATTAGCAAAATGCAAATCATAGTCAATTTTCCATAGGGTGATATTTTCATACTTTGGATTTTTGTAGTTGTGCATCAGTCTGAACATTTTAAAGCAAGGTGAATGAAGGGTCCATGAAAGAGACTGTGAATAAGCCACTGTGCGAAGCTAACTTTAAAGTTTCCAGCTTAGTGACTGAGATAACGCCATTTCTCTAGAGAAGTTCTAAATATAGAGGAATAATGGATAGCAGTTTACTGCAAGCTATGTAGTGCCCTAAACCAGCAGGGGCTGGGCATTGAGTGGAGAAGGATTGCAATTTTGAGGTTGATTAAAGATGCAGTACTGACAGGTTCCAATGGGTGTAGCAGGGTGGGGGAGGGGTCGCATCTCATTCTTTTTTTCCTCCCCACTCAGAGGTGTGGGTAGCTGCAGTGTAAACTGCTGATGTGGGTGATTAGGATGTTAAGTGGGAGAAAAGACAGCTCTTCATTATTCTTTTGGAAATAAAGAGGGATAAAATTCAGCAATCATCAAGCCTTTTCATTTCCCTACAATTTGTCGGTGCAGCTAGGAGGCTGGCTTCCTTTCCACAGACGAGATTACTTCCTGCTGACATCAAGTGGGGGTAGGGTGGACCAATGTGTGAAAAAGAAAATTGAGCTCGAAGGGTAGCTTTTGTTTTGATGTTTGTTAGATGTCTTTTCTTGTGTTAAAATTAGATGTATCACCTACTGGCAGCCACAGGATTTTCATGTTGAGAATGCAAGGCAGATTTTGCTAGATAGATCTCCAGGTGCATAATCCACTGTCAGTTTTGATAAAGAATTATGACTTCTTGGACTTTTTCTTTAGCTATGCAGAAGCTAAAAATCTGATAATTTAGCATAATGCTTGTGTAAGCTGTGCTGGAGAGTAATACATAGTCGCTTTCATACTAACATAAAGCTCCTTGGTCAAAATTACACCAATAATGCATATTTAATTAGCGTTTATAGATATCTAAAGAGGAAAAAAAACCCACAAAGTTTCCCTCACAGATGACCTTTATCGGGGATGCCTTAGCTGAGTTCCTTCAGATGCCTCAGGGCAAAATTTCAGCCCCAATAAAAGGAGATGACATATGGCTGGTTATTTCACAAGATCGCCATCTTTAGATTGAATTTAACTTTTTTTTCCTCAGAGCTAGAGCTTTATGGAGTTTTCGGGTTTTGGAGGTAGCTTGATGGTACAGTGCCTCAGATTTATAATTTCTAATTAAAATGTGTCCTTCATATCAATTTTAGAGAAGTACCAAGCTTAATTTTGGCATTTAATCATCGAAATTTGTTTTGACATTTTTGAAACACAGATCCCAATACTAAGATGTAATTACTTTGCAACAGATTTGCAAGGAAGGCGACAGGCCACAGAAGAACTTCTAAACACAGGCAAAACCAGACGAGTCCAGTGGGGGAATGGAAGATAGACCTGAATGTCAAAAAACTCAAAAGTAAATATATGGTTTTCCAGTTTTCTCTGTCTGAGGGCTCACCTTGCACACATTAACTCTTCCCTCTCTCACCATGCTTCGCCGGTTTATCCCTCAGCACTCTTTTGATTTAAGGGAAGAAAACCAATATTAAATGTAAAAGTAAGTTTTCTCACTAACAGCCCAAGGGGCACAGCTGGCTAGGCTGTGCAAGAGCACGTGGCCGTCTCTAGATCTATCGGCTCAGGGCCTATTTCCCAGCTCACAGACCCTGACAGGACGCTCCGATGTGGTCTGAAGGACAGAGGGCATTTAGAAATGTCCTCGCCTTTCCAGGTGTCCTGAGGCCTAGAAAAAAAAAATCCATCACAAGGATGAGATTTGTCAACAGGACCCCTCCAGCCAGCCTACCCTCCTGGCTCCCGATGAGGGAGGACTGTCCACGGTTGACCTTGCTAAAGGACAGGATTTAAAAACACGGAAGCAGGACGATGATTGGAAGAATCCAAAGCTTGTATTCCAAGCTTCAGATTGGAGTGGAGGCAGCTAGACAAAGAGGTGAGAAAAATGGCAGTTTTGGTGTCAGAGAGACCTATGCTTGAATTCCAGTTCTGACACTCAGTAGCTCTTTGATCTTGGACACATGTTTGAACATCTCTATTCTTCTGTTACATCCATTAGAAAATGGAGAATATAATATCTACCTTTTCGGGTTACAGTAAGGGCTGAATGACCTCATGTGTGATACACTTAGCATGACTTTGGCTGGTAGTAAGGATTTAATACCTTTTAATTTCTTTCTTTTCTCTCAGCCTTGTCTTTCCTCTTAGCATTGGAAAGAGTTCTATTTATTTATTTTTGATAATGGCTTTTTAACTTATGTTGTTAAAATGTAGTTGTTTTCCCTGAAATGGTGCAACCCAAGTTTAGATAATAATAATACTTCTTTATTTTCATTTATTTATTTTTTTGAGATGGAGTGATATGGTTTGGCTGTGTCCCCACCCAAATCTCATCTTGAATTCCCACGTGTTGTGGGAGGGACCTGGTGGGAGGTAATTGAATCATGGGGGCAGGTCCTGTGCTGTTCTCCTGACAGTGAATAAGTCTCACGAGATCTGATGGTTTTAAAGAGGGGAGTTTCCCTGCACAAGCACCCTTCTCTTTGCCTGCCACCATCCATGTAAGATGTGACTTGCTCCTCCTTGTCTTCCACCATGATTGTGAGGCTTCCCCAGCCACATGGAACTGTAAGTACAATTAAACATCTTTCATTTGTAAATTGCCCAGTCTCGAGTATGTCTTTATCAGCAGTGTGAAAATGGACTAATACACGGAGTCTCACTCTGTCGCCCAGGCTGGAGTGCAGTGGCGTAATCTTGGTTCACTGCAACCTCTGCCTTCCGGGTTCTAGAGATTCTCCTGCCTCAGCCTCCCAAGTAGCTGGGACCACAGGTACGTGCCACCACACCTGGCTAATTTTTTTTATTTTTAGTAGAGATGAAGTTTCACCATGTTGGCCAGGCTGGTCTCAAACTCCTGACCTCAAGAAATCTGCCTGCCTCGGCCTCCCAAAGTGCTGGGATTACAGGCATGAGTCACCGTGCCCAGCCTAATAATAATACTTCTTTAAATATCGATCAGGTGTGAACTGTTTCATGACATCTAGAGTATAAGAAGTGTCATCTCTTTTTATGTTTTTGAAAAAGAATCCAGTTTGAGCTCACACCTGCTGAGTTTGGCAGGAACATCCAAAATCTACAGGTGAAGGGAGGCAAAGAGAAGGGATGGGGAAGCCCCACCCATTTAGCTCATACAGACATGCTAGAGGCTGATTCACTGCATACGAATGGAGAGGGGCCTGATCTCCAGCATTTACACTGCTGTTGCCCTTATTGTTCCTTCACTTACTCAGAGCTGCTGGCTGGGGCCCCTCCTCTGTCTGCTGGCATCCTGTTCCACAGATTCTGCAATGAGAAGCCCACCACCCTCCTCCCCAGGGGCAACTGTCAGAATAAATGAGGCTGTGATGTGGTGACAAACAGGTCCTAGATATTAGTTCAGTTGACTCTCGAGAAATGCAGAGGTTAGGGCTGTCAACCCCCTGTGCAGTCAAAAATGCACATATAACTTTTGACTTCTCCAAAACTTAACTACTAATAGCCTACTGTTGACCAGAAGCCTTATTATAACATAACAATTAATATATTTTGTATTTTATACATATTATATACTATATTATTACAAGAAAGTAAGCTAGAGAAAAGAAAATGTTACTAAGAAAATCATAAGGGAGGCCAGGTGCGGTGGCTCATGCCTGTAATCCCAGCACTTAGAGAGGCCGAGGCAGGTAGATCACTTGAGGCCAAGAGTTCGAGACCAGCCTGGCCAACATGGTGAAACCCTGTCTCTACTAAAAATACAAAAATTATCTGGGTGTGGTGGCACACACCTGTAATCCCAGCCACTCAGGAGGCTGAGGCATGAGAATTCCTTGAACCTGGGAGGCGGAGGTTGCAGTGAGCCAAGATCATACCACTGCACTTCAGCCTGGGCAAAAGTGAGTGAGACTCTGTCTAAAAGAAAAGAAAATTATAAGGGAGAGAAAATGTATTTACTGTTCATTAAGTGGAATTGGATCACCATAAAGGTCTTCATCCTCATTGTCTTCACATTGAATAGGCTGAAGAGGAGAAGAAGGAAGAAGAGGGGTTGGTCCTGATGTCTCAGGGGTGGCAAAACCAGAAAAGGTAGAGAGGTGGGAGAGAAGGTGGACACACTCAGTGTCACTTTTCTAGAAAAAAATCCGTGTATAAGTGGACTTGTGTAGTTGAAACACATGCGTTCAAGGGTCAACTGTAGTTTAAATCAACAGATGTTTATTTATTTCCAAGCCTGCCTCTTTCTTTGGAGGCTTGGGGCAAGAGTACACACAGAGGCCCACATACCATATGTCTAGATATGTAACACTTATAAACCAGGGAACAAACTGTTAAATGAAATATACCCTCTTACCTTGAAAGATATACCTTGATAGCAACCTAGATAATCAATTTGAGTTTATAATTCTGAGACTTCCTGAAGTTCTGTGCTACAACATGGTGGTGTAGAGTGCTACCTTTACACCTGTCCTTCTCCTGGACATCCTTCCCTGTGCATCCCAGCTCTGTAAGCATGGCCTTTGGCCACCCCTCAGATAGAGGATGACTCCAAGGAAGAGTGGCATGCAGGCTCTGGAAGCAAGCTTGTGGACATTTGGGCAAAGAATTCTGAGGTCCTTGTTATTCAGACCATGGAGGAGAATTTGCAAATATGGAATCCACGAATAACAAGGATCGAGTGTATTTTGTTTTGCTTGCCTGTTTCTTGTCAAAATTTACTGAGAGAAACTTAACAATGGGGTGCACCGAAAGAGACAAAATGGCGTTAACTCTTCCAACCGTCTCAGAGCAAAAGAGCCCAGAATTTAACAGCTCTGTGTCAGGTCACTTTTCTACTGAGAAGAAGGGATAATTCCTTTTTTCTTTTTGCTGATAGATCTCTGGGTGGGGTGGATGGGAACAAACTAAGCCCAGGCAATTTATATCACATTAGTGATCATGGTGTCACATGTGGCATAAGACAGGCACTGTATCATTTAGCTAGTGCATTCAGACTCCTTGGCTCAGTAAAGGTGGATAGAGTGGGTAAGTTGTTATGACTTCCATTTTCAAATGAGGAAAGCAAGAAAGATTTAGCCAGGAACTGAGAATAGAGAACAAAGAGACCTGGGGACTGGCTTTCTGGCACCTTTTCTCTTTCTCACTGCTTGGTGCTCCTAGGTGTAGCTGTCTCAGAATCAAGGGGGAATCCTTTAAATCCATAGCAGTTAACCCAGCAAGAAGTTCTGAGCAGTCTAGCCTGAGCTGCCACGCATAAAAAGCAACATAAGGTTTTATGCAATTGCTTGAGCATTCCTACCAAGAAATACCTTTTGCCCATTTTACTTGTATTCCTTTATTTGGTGATGTGACCTAGTTCTTGAAGTTCTGGAAAACCCTTCAGAGGCTATAGAGTCACTTTTCTAGATAACCCACTTTGGATCATGCAACTCTTCATAGGCACAATATGAGTAAGCAGAGCACCTGCACTAACCACTATTTCCATTCGAAGAAAATAAAATAAAACCTAAACAAGAGAAAAAGAGGAGACTCCAAATACTACTTCACCTAAGGGAGTTTGTTTACTATCTGTTTGTCCTTTGCAAATGTCTTTCCTTCAACCAGTGAATGACCTGCTTGCTATGGGCCAGACATTGTGTTGATGGCTATACATACAATTTCGTCAAATCCTCAGATCAGCCTTGTAGGATTGGTGGTGTTCTCTTCCCATACATGAGAAGGCTAAGGCTTAGAGAGGTTAATTAACACAGCAAAGGTCACACAGCTAATGAGTGGCTGAGCTGGGATTCAGATGCCATCGGTCTACTCCTAAGGCCATGCCCTTAATCAGATACTATCCTGAGCACACTGGCAGGTTCATCATAATATCAATATATACCTCGCAGGGCTGATGTGAAAATTAAAAGAGATGATATATATAAAAAGTGTTGGGCAAACCATAAAATCCTTACAAAGTTTCACTATGATTATTTCTCTTGGTTTTACACAGGGCTTGCTCAGCTGTCCTTAGTGGCCATGTCTATATTAATCCCATAATTTATCCTTAAATCACCGAAGTCTTATTTGCCTGGCTTTTTCCATAGCCGAAGGGAAACTGAAAATATGCCTTTTGTAAGAAAGCCTTAACACCTGCTGCTAAAGGGCGCTAAACCATCTGGATCGTCAAAGGAGTATAGGCTCACTTACAAAAGACGTAGATTAATTTGGACATTGTTTCCCTACATAAACCAGGCATAAGGAGGCAAGCAACCCAGGGAAGGATAATCATGCTAAGAGTGGAAGCACTTATTAGAAATAATTACCATGTAATTATCCACAACTTCCCTGGAGTCTGTAGCCTGTGGCTAGTCTTAGGAGGTGCCCCTTCCTTACCAAGTACAAGGAGACTGAAGCACTTCAATAAGTTGATCAGGGCATGTGTCTGTGTCTTAGAGCTTGGTTACCGCCACCTGGGCCTACTTCTCACTTAATGAAGCCTTCAATGCTTATAGCTGAGGTGCAGAACAGCTGTAGACTTTCTTCAGCTGGATCTACCACCCACCCCTCCCTTTTTTAATAGCACAGTGTT
Source organism: Homo sapiens (assembly GCF_000001405.40). Lineage (NCBI taxonomy): Eukaryota > Metazoa > Chordata > Mammalia > Primates > Hominidae > Homo > Homo sapiens. The sequence goes on along the minus strand of NC_000007.14, from coordinate 29,150,935 downwards.
GTTTTGCAAGTGTGTGGGTGTGACACATCTGGCTTCGTTCCTTAAGAAAAGTGTTTATTGAACAATTAATTGTGGTGCATGGGGGCTGTGACATTTCTCTTTTCGCTGTGCCTCTGAGCTGTGTTTCCAGGCTACCCGGTGGCCCCATTGAAGATCAGTAACAACACTGAAAAGGAACAATGGCTATAGAAGCCTTGACAAGTGCAGGGAGAGACCTAGACACTTCCAAGAGGGGCATGATTGCCTACAAGGTTAATCAATTCCCCTTGTTTCCATTGCAGCTCCACATTTATCTTGCTGGCAGCAGCTGCAAATGTAAAATCAGACCTACAAACTTAGACAATTGGAATTGTATTTACCTGATCAAGATGTGTAAATGATCTATTCTCTGTGTCTTCTTAACTGGAATTTAAGGAGTTCAGCAAAGCTCCGGCTATAGGTCAGTGAGAAGCATGTTTTTGTGTGGTGTCCAGATACAATTTAGTTGTCTTGGATAGACAGTTGGAAAGAACTGCAGTCACAGCCTAGAATCTTGATTGTCATGATCACCATTATTATTGTTACAGCTGCCATTTTTTGAGCCTTTATATATGACAAGCACTTTATATGTACTACTATCTTATTTCTTCCTCTTGATAATACCGCAAGATAGCTAATAGTATTTTTATCATGTACAGATGAGAAAACTGAGATTAAGTAACTTGCTTATGGTCATTAGGTGCAAGGTTCTAGATTCAAACTGAGTCTGACCCATGCTCTGAACCACTAGGGCTTAACAAACCCAAACCTCACTAGAATATGCAGGTGCAGAGAACACAAGGGCTTGTGATCGACCTGACAGTTTTAAATCTTGTTTTCAGGAAAGCCAATCAAAGAAGGCTTAACGAATCTCTTTGCAAACCGATTTGTTGGCCAACCTTTGAATATTCTCAATACAAGAGAAGGGCTAAAAATATCTATTGCAGCAGTGAAGTGGCCTTATTTTGAAAATGAGTCTTCATAGAAGTAATCAAGCTAAAATGAGGTCATTAGAGTGGACCCTAATCCAATGTCATTGGTGTCCTCATAAATAGGTGAAATTGGGACACAGAGACAGACACATGGAGGGGAGACACTGTGAAAAGACACAGAGAGAAAGCCCTGGAAGGCTGAAGCAGAGATTGGGTTGATGCTGCCACAAGCCAAGGAACACCTGGGGCTACCAGAACCTAGAAGCAGCGAGGAAGGATCCTTCCCCTCCAGGTTTCAGAGGGAACCTGGCCCTGCTGGCACTTTAATTTCAGACTTGTAGCCTCCAGAACTATGAGACAATAAATTTCTACTGTTAATAGCTGCTCAGTTACAACCTCCCTGGAAAGCACATACTCCTGTCCTATGGTTCTATTCTGTTCTGTACTATTTTGTTCTATTTTATTCTCTTTCATTAAGAAAATGGATTTCCAGGCTGGGCACGGTGGCTTACACCTGTAATCCCAGCACTTTGGGAGGCCAAGGCAGGTGGATAACTTGCGGTCAGGAGTTCGAGACCAGCCTGGCCAATATGGTGAAACCCCGTGTCTACTACAAATACAAAAAATTAGCTGGCTGTGGTGGCGGGTGCTTGTAGTCCCAGCTTACTCGGGGGGCTGAAGCAGGGAATCGCTTGAACCCGGGAGGTGGAGGTTGCAGTGAGCTGAGATTGCGACATTGCAGTCCAGCCTGGGCGGCACAGTAAGACTCTGTCTCAAAAAAAAAAAAAAAAAAAAAGGGAAACAGACTTCCCAATCTACTAATTTTGAACAACATCAGTCTCTAGAGCTCAGCATTCTTGCCCTTTCCAAGCTGGCTCCAGTCTAATTTTCTAACCTCAGTATTAGTTAACCCCCGACCCACCCTGAACACGCCTGGTGTCGCACAGTCCATCTGTCCAAGAGCACAGCATCAACCTGAGTGCAGGTGGCCTGCTCATTGCCTGTGCTGCCACCTTTCCCCTCAGTGGCTATTCATTTTTTAATGTCTAGCTTCAAGTCACCTCCTCTGACAGGATTCCCCTGGCTCTTCGGGCAGAGTCATTTGGTCCCTGTCCTCTGTTCCCCCACACACACACTTTATCAGCCCCAATTACAGCTCTTATATTGTATGATGGGATCAATCTGTGTGTCCCCTTCATCCCTTCCCCACAACTAAACTTCAAGTTCCCTAAAGAAGACTATCTTTTTTCTTGTTTTTTCTTTTTAATCAAGTGTCTAGCACAGAACCTGACACACGACAAATCCGAATACAGGGTACCCCAAAAAGGTCAGTGCAGTTTTAAGCTTTAATAACTTCTTAAGTCGAAATGCTACAAACTTACAAAACTCATTTGAACGTTTACTTCTTTTGACTCTGTTTTAATTATTTTAATAAATGTAATTTTCTCTTCTGGTTAATGTATGCCATATTTCACTCAGGGGAACTGAAACAAAAATTAAAGTTAAAACGTGTTATTCAACATTCACAGAGATAAATAGTGTTAAATTAACTTTCAAATGGTGTTCTTATAAGTTGCAGCATTTATAGCCTTGAGGTTACTAAAACTGCAGGAAGACTTTTGGGACACCCTGTTTTTGAATAAATATGCTTACAGCATGGCTCCTCCTGTGTTTACTGTAAAATTCAGTTTAGTTTTTAAGTGGTTCCACGTGGGCACAGGTATTCTTTGGCCAGTAGTTGTCCTTATACTTAGACCCAAGGAGCCCTTGTCCAGGGCCCACACTTTAGAAGGCAAATTCCAAATTCCCTCCCCAAATGGCACTGAGCCTGCTTCAAGGGTCTGCACGCCAGCAGCAGTGTTATCTGCTAATGTCTGTACTCCCATGGGCGAACATTGCTGACTCTGGTGTTCATACTCTTGTGCCCAAGAGGTGGCTGGGGGACAGCTGCTTCTGGGAAGCTTGACCGAGCTTCCACCAATGGACTAGAGCCCTGTGGGAAGAGAGGAGGTGGCTGCAAACCAGGAACTGGAAATCGCCTCTCCCTGCACCATCATATTTAAGTGCAGATCATCCAAAGTTTCAATCTGGCCTTTCATGTCAATTCCCAAGGTATATTTGTCTAGGTAGGAAGGTAGAACTTATTGTACTTAATCATTTGTTAACTTTGTTTATAACTTTTAAATATTTAGGTATCTGGCCTACAGATCTCTGTTTGTACTTTTGCCCTGGGTCCTGCATATATTAAAGGTGGGCTGATTTTGGCCTTAAAAGAATTATTTTCCCACAAACAGATTTTTCTCCTTAAAGAGCTAGGTGGGTAGGAAGTACTTCCATATGGAAGGTATGATAGCAAAGAATGACTGCAGTCACTGAGCACATACTTTGTGCTGGGTGATTTACACATAGTTTTTCAGTGAGTCCTCACAACAACCCAATAAAGTAGGTACTTAGGAGAAAACAGATATTCAGTGACATTAGTTTGTTCCAGCTCGTAAAACTAGTGCTTTAGTTAGCCTTAGTTGCATAACAAACTACGCGAAACTGAAAGTGGCTTAAAACAATTTTTCCCCCTGACTGTCGGGTTGGCTGGGCTGCTCTACTGCGGGTTTCCCTGGGCTCACTCCTGCAGCTAGCTGTGAGGAGATGGAGGTTGGCCCGGGACAGTGCAGAAGATTCCCCGTGGCCTCTCCCACCTGTCTGGCAGTTGACGCTGCTGTTGCTGATAATGATGACCCTCCTTTATTTTGTGTTATCTACTTGCCATTGCAACCTCCTTGCCTTTTTTAGTTCTTGCTCCCGTACTGTCTGGCTCGATGCCCAGCACCTGGTGGTGGCTAATAATATACACTCAGGTCACTTACAAGCAATGTGACCCTGGATGGGTTACTTAACCTCACTTAGTTTGTGTCCCCCAATTGCAAAATGGGTATAATGGTACAGAACACATCAGGTGGCTCTGAGACTCCAGCGCAGTGATTCAGGAGAGTGCTTGGCAGGACAGTGGCACTTGGTGCGAGCTTACTGCTAGTGCAGCTGGAATGTAGACCATCAGCGAACGTGTGTTGCCTTTTTAAACAGTGGGAATCAAACACCACTCGCTTTCCAAATGTAAATCCTGGGCTTGCAAGTAAGTCCTAGAGTGCAGAAATAATTTCAAAATACAGGGTTGAAATTTTAAGATAGCAGCTTTTAAAAACTGGGAGACAAAATCAAAATAAAACAAAGGGACAAACCAACCTGAATGGCACCCCGCCGATGCTCTTCATTAATTTTTAAGATTCCACCCTGGGGCTGCTTGCTTCTTCCAGCATGGGAAGCGCTGACTTGATGCGGCCAGGTTTCTGGGACCAGGAGGTTGGGACACGACGACGCACTTTTTGCCCTGTGGGTCTGGGTCATGTGAGCCTAGAGGAGCGCTTAAAGGCTCGAGTTCTGCAGGGTCCTCGTGACTGGGTGGGGCTGCCTCACTTCTGCCTGATTTGGGAAGCGCTGCAAGGACAACCGGCTGGGGTCCTTGCGCGCCGCGGCTCAGGGAGGAGCACCGACTGCGCCGCGTAAGTGCCGCCTGCCCTGCGTGGGTCGTGCCAGCTCAGCGGGACAGGTCCTCGCCTCGGTCCCTCGGACTTAGGGAGCGCGGGGCAGGTAGTCTCAAAAGCCCTCAGCACCAACAGGGGAGAAAGCACCGTAGAGTGAGACTGGAGTGGGGTGGTCGTGGCCGAGTCAAAGTTCAAATTGGAGCATTGGGGATGTACTGCGTGCGCCCAGCCGAGGGAATACTCTTGAAGTTTCCTGGCACAACTGTCGCACCCGGGGTTCTTCCAGGCTAGAAGCCGTCTCCTACTCCAGGAGCTCCTCCGGGGAAGTACGAAGCTGTGGGGTCCTCTGCCGCTCTTAGCGCGGGAGGGTGGCGGGTGCAGGACACTTTCCCTTACTCCCTCAACGCGTGTTTTGGGGATGTGTTGATTTCGTGGGTGCTCAGAAGCAAGAGAAGCGGAAAATACCTTCTATTTTGAACGTGCCCAAAGCAGGGAAACTTGGCTTCTGCCTAGGAACGCATAGGAAGACTTTTATTCTTGGAATGTAGGATTAGCAGAAACCAAGGGCACAGGAGACAGGTGGAAGCAGCTCCCTGTGAAGTGATACAGAAACAAAAGGACTTTGGAATATTTGTGGATTTAAATCCCAGTTCTGGCCTTGGCTAGTGAGTGACCTCGGGCAAATTATTTAAGCCTACTAAACCTCAGTCTTTCCATCTGAAAGATGGAGATAATAAGTTTTTCTTTTTAAAGAATTGTTTTATTGGAAATAGAAATAACATACAGAAAATGCCTCCCTAGCACGGGACTTGGCTTTTCAGCTAAGTGTAATTTTCCTTATCAGTTATGATTGATGATGAAGTCTATGGTGAAGACAGAACAAAATAATGTTTAAAACTCTGGCCATATAATGACTGTGGCTATGCATGACCCGTGTGCAGTCACCTCTGAGCCCCCCACCTTCACTGCAACCCCAGTGGGTCCCAAGCAAGGTGCTTGGGTTTTGGAGCTGGACAATTCTGTGCAATTCCTGGTTCCGGTATCCACTACTTGGATGACATCAGGGACGTAACTTATCTTCCACAGCCTCAGTTTTGGCATCAGTAAATGAAAAAGGAGCCCCTCAGTACTTGCCTTTCCCTTCCCCGGCTAAATGTACAACTCATTTTTTTTCCATTCTTTGCTTTGGGATGAGTAAGAACAAAGATGTAAGCAGAGTAAAAAGTCCATTGAGAATACATTTTATTAGCTTGGTAAATAACGTTTAAGAAAGTTGTCCAAAAGGAGAATTGGAGCACTTTTGGAAAAGTACACTGCACCGGCTTTGTTGGCATATGAAAGTCTGCATGGTCGTCAAGACCGTTTGGCTAACTGGGCATTCTAGATGTGTACCTCATGCTAGTCTAAGTACAGGGGCAACCCTTTATAATGTAGTGTCAGTGTTCTTAACCAGATGTTGTTTTATTAATCTTTTATAGGAGATGATTGTTTGGGAGGGGCAATTGATCCCCCAATTTATATAAATCCAGTTTATAAATCACTTTATAGTGGGATTCTACTAGCCTGAGAAATAGGTGGGTTTTGACTGACAGTTTGAATGACTTAGAAGAGTGTTAAGAAAGTCCACTGGGTTTACCAGTTCACTCCCCACAAAAAATAAAAACAAGAAGCAAATAATATAACAGAATTCTAAAAATGAGTTTGTTTTTGTTTTGGGAAGCATCTAGTTTGTCAGAGGAAACACTGAGTGTTGAATACTACCCTGGGATGCACAGAACTAAGGCAATGAGAGGGGAGGAACTCAGTTCTTGCCCCAGGTATCATCAGATATCTGTTTATTAGCACCCAAATACTCAAGGTAAATAGTAATGACCCATTCTTTCTTTTTTTGAGACAAGAGTCTCACTTTGTCACCCAAGCTGGAGTGGCACCATCTCTGCTCACTGCAACCTCCATCTCCCGGGTTCAAGGGATTCTTGTGCCTCAGCCTCCTGAGTAGCTGGAATTACAGGTGTACACCACCATGCCCGGCTAATTTTTGTATCTTTGGTAGAGATGGGGTTTTGCCATGTTGCCCAGGCTGGTCTCGAACTCCTGACCTCAAGTGATCCTCCCACCTCGGCCTTCCAAAGTGCTGGGATTACAGGCATGAGCCACTGTGCCTGGCCAGTGACCCCTTCTTAATAGGAAGTATGGTTCACTAAAGAGCAAACATGATTGTTTTAGTTTACCATTTCCGATGGCTTTATAATGTGAGATTTTCATTGACTGAACTAAGAACATTTAAAAGAAGTAGGCAAGCTTCTCAGAATTAGAAAGATACCTCTAGAACAATGACTCATTAACGTCTATATTGACTTGTGAGAGAGGTAAGCTGGGCAAAAAGCTAAGAACTGTACTTTCCTGGTAAAAACAGTAGTGGAGTTTGAACTTTTATACTATATTTGCAAGCTCAAAGATGTAAGCCTTAATAGACAGTTCACAAGACAGCTGTTACAGCGTATCTGAACTGAAACCAGGGTATTGAGATTGCTCTCCCTTAAGAGATATTAGAGGTATAACCTTGAACATGAAATCACATGCTTTCATTGCTTTAACTCAGACCCTGGGGTGCAGGACAGGGTGGTGGTAGTGAAAGAGGGGGAAGGACTGTGTCCTTAGATCTTGGAGCCTGAAAAAGCAAATTCTTAGCAGCTTATCTTTCCAATATAGTTGGAACTTACCTCCTACCTTTTTCTCTCTAGTCTGATTCTAGTTATTGGTTGTCTTTAAATTGCTTAGAATTGTTTACAGGCCAAAATATTTACTTTGAACCCTAAAGGTAAGCTCTTCCTCCTTTCCTTTTTGGGACTCTGTATCCCATTACCCCTCTTTCAAAAAGATAGTGCCACATATCTTTTTGTACTGTATGATTCTTGGGAGAGAATGTAACCCAGGTCCCAAGCGATTCATTTTCTCATTTATTTATTCATTTAACTAATTTTTTCCCAGTGTTTGATTATGAAAAGGTTTAAACTTTCAGAAAAGTCAAAAGAATTTTGCAATCTAGAATCTACCTAGATTCTATTATTGATTAGAAGCCAGGGTATTGATTTCAATTGATTAATCAACTGGCATTGATTAGTTCCTACTGTTTGCCTGGAGGTTTGCTCAGCAAAGCTGTAAAAACATAAAAGGCAGGGTAGGGTTAGGGAACAAGGAGAGTTTTGATTTGGCGGAGCATAGGCTAAGAGTTTGTGAAGGAATCATGTAACTTTGGTTTGAAAAGTTATGTTGAAGTTGTATCATGGAGGACATTAAATTTCATCGTAGAAAGTTTATACTTTTTCCTGGTTGCAGGTGGGAGCCATTGAAGGCATGGGAGGAATGGAGTGCCTTGTGTTTTAGAAAGCTCACTGAAGCATCAGTGTTAGGCTAAATTGGAGGGAAAAGGACCGGAAGTCTGAGAGATGTGTTAGGAAGCTTTGTAAATGTCTCGGGGCAAGTAAGGGTTGAACTGTGGATAGAATGGAGAAAAAAGGAAGTAGAATAGCACTTGGTGACAGATTTGACTTGAGGACTTCTGGTTTTAGAACTCAGGCATCTGCAATTATAAGGGAGCATCATTAAGAATCTGGAAGTCGCTGGGCATGGTGGCTCATGCTTGTAATCCCAGCACTTTGGGAGGCTGAGGCGGGCAGATCACCTGAGGTCAGGAGTTTGAGACCAGCCTGGCCAACATGGTGAAACCCTGTGTCTACTAAAAATACAAAAATTAACCAGGCGTGGTGGTGCATGCCTGTAATCCCAACTACTCAGGAGGCTGAGGCGGGAGAATCGCTGCAACCCGGCAGCAGAGGCTCCAGTGAACCGAGATTGCACCACTACACTCCAGCCTGGGCAACAGAGCAAGACTGTGTCTCAAAAAAAAAAAAAAAAGTATCTGGAAGTCATAGAAGGAGGAAGTTTGAGGAGAATGATGACGTCCTGTTATAGAGTCAGTGGGTTTGAGGGGCTGATTGGTTATCCTTTTGGAGGTGACAGCTGACAGTGGTGATACTGTCCTGAAATGCCCAATAGCAATGTCAGGACTGAACAAACATTTGGACTAGTGATTAATACTCAAGGGGTGGTTGAATGGGAATGTACGGAAAGAGAAAAAAGGATAAGATCTTGAAGAAAATCTGAATATATGGAGTCCTTGGAGCAAAAAATAAATACAGGTGTTCAATGATCTGTTAGTATTTTAATGCCTGTTTATCTACAGTGTTACTATAGCTGCAGTTCTCATTAATAATTGACCACAGTTCCTAACTAAAAGACCATATCTGCACTAGTAAAGTGAAGTAAGTCTTTCCTTTTCCCATTCTGGGAAGTTCAGGGGGTAAGGTGAGGCAGAGGAAAGAAGAAGAGAAAGTTAAATAAATTTTTTTATCTAGGACTTTTAGAGCATACAACGCTTTTTCCAGGTAACCCACTTGCAGATCAGAAGCCAGGTAATTTAATGAACTTGTCTATCTTTTCACAAGGCAACAGCTACTTTTTTTTTTTTTGAGATGGTGTCTCACTCTGTTGCCTAGGCTGGAGTGCGGTGGCACAATCTCAGCTCACTGCAACCTCTGCCTCCTGGGTTCAAGTGATTCTCCTGCCTCAGCCTCCTGAGTAGCTGGGACTACAGGCGTGTACCCCCACGCCTGGCTAATTTTTATATGTTTAGTAGAGACAGGGTTTTACCACGTTGGCCAGGATGGTCTCCATCTCCTGACCTCATGATCCGCCTGCCTTAGCTTCCCAAAGTGCTGGGATTACAGGCGTGAGCCACAACGCCCGGCCAAGGTACAGAGTTTTTAAGTGGCAGAAGCCACATTTGAAGCTGTGAAGGCATACTTTGTTTTTTTATTTTTTATTTTTATTTTTTGAAATGGAGTTTCACCCTGTCGCCCAGGCTGGAGTGCAGTGGGGCGATCTTGGCTCACTGCAACCTCCGCCTCCTGGGTAAAAGCGATTCTCTTGCCTCACCTTCCCAAGTAGCTGGGACTACAGGCATGTGCTACCATGCCCAGCTAAGTTTTGTATTTTTAGTAGAGACGGGGTTTCACTATGTTGGCCAGGCTGGTCTCCAACTCCTGACCTCATGATCCGCCCACCTCAGCCTCCCAAATTGTTGGGATTACAGGCATCAGCCACCGTGCCCGGTCTGAGGGCATACTTTAAATCTTTCATGCTATTCCCACCGGACTGCATTGCCTTCCTATATGCTACTGACTGTATGCTAGGTACTGTGTTAGGCGTTTGCACATGTAGGCTCCTTACTGTGGCCCCTCTGTTTTGAGAAGGTGATCAGCAGGGAAGCTCAAAGCACATTGCACAATTGGTTGTTGCACAATTGGCAGGATGTCTGCCCTCTGATTGTGCCTTGTTTTCACCCAACTTCTTGAACTCTACAGGAAGGGCCAGCCTCTCTCAGAAATGCCAGCCCCTAAAGCTGGTACAAAGGTCATGCAACCTTCCTACTTCCCTGAGTTCAACAATCACTTCATTCATTCTCCTTAAGATCATACCTAAAATCCTGGCTTATTTAAGGGTGAAGTGGAGAAAAGCTCTATTTTCACTTATGCATTTGTTTTACCCCATCAATCTTCTGCCTTCCCTCATTGTCCCACAGTTGTGCCTGTCTAAGGTCACTTTTTGCTTTTTTCTTATTTTCCTTCCCTGGGGAGTCTTTGGAGAGAGGGTGCGATAGAATGTGTAGCCTGGAGCAAGATTACCCCCAGTTGACTATGGAAGCCCTGAGAATTATGCTGCTTCCTCAATGCTTTTTTCCCAAAGTTAGAAGTAGCAAGTTGTATAGTGAGTAATAGGATTTGCATTGTGAATGGGGTCTTCCTCCAGTGAGGACTTTACTAAGTGCAGTGTTTATTTGTAGTGGGGCACAGAACTGCATTCCTCATGCTTTATGACAGTATTTAGGGTTTACTGGTTTTCATGCATGTCTCTCTTTGCTAGAATGAGGGCTCCTTGAAGGTGGATACTGTCCCCTTTTCATCTTTAACTACTCCACAAGTTTTAGCAAAGTGTCTCACCCTTTACTGTATGGTTAGAAAATCTCTGAAGAGTTGAGTTCTGTTAAAGGAGAGAAAACTATTTGTATAGAAGAGTGTGGGTAGAAGCCTGTTTGTTTGTTTGTTTGATGTGAGACAGGGTCTTGCCACATTGCGTAGGCTGGTCTTGAACTCCTAGGCTCAAATAATCCTCCTGCCTCGGCCTCCTAAAGTGCCGGGATTACAAGTGTGAGCCACTGTGTCCAGCCGAGGCCTGCATGTTTGAATGGATCAAGAAATGTGATTGTTTAGTGCTGAGGGAGGGTAGGTAGGTTGCAGGGAAAGGCCTGGCTAGGGAAAAGCTCATATGCTCCTAAGTCAAGCAACAAGAAATGTAGAACGTGAAATAAAGATGAAGCCATTCTGAGTCATGTGCAGACCGTGGGAAATATCTCCCTGTATTTGACAAAAGGGGAAATGGCAGCCATAGCTAATTCTGAAGATGAAAAGTGTTCCTGCCTGGGTTACTTGATGAAGAATATTATTAGCAATCAGCAAGTCAAGTGGAAATAATTTGTTTTGTTTTGTTTTCTCCCCTTCTAACTATTGGCATGTTGGTAGAATTAACTTGGCTGGCAGGAGAATGAACCGCCTGTGCCGTTGGGACACAGGAGATTTCTGAGCTGGCAGACTGCACACTCCATGTAAAACCATGACTCTTTCCACCATTCTTGTGTACACGTGTGCCTGAACATTGGTGTCTGCAAAATCCGAGACGTCTGTTTCAGAGAAAAATTGCTGGAAGCCACTGATTTAGAATTTTAATAGGATTTTTAAAAAATCTGTGCTTAAAAAACATGTAATTTAATCAGTGTTGTAGCCCCCCTGCCCCCCCAAGAATAGCCTTTCTTAGGTTTCTTAGGTTGTCTTACGAACACTGACAGAAATGTGTAGGTTCAGGGCACCTAGAGCAGATGTGGAAGTTCTTTCATTAAGGTAGCCTGCGTGAATCATCCCTGTGACTCAAAGCCTGAAGCAGTTTTAGCCTGATCTCCTTGGCTGCATTTTTAGAATCTTAGACATTCCAAGCTGAAAGGGATTTTGGGAATTATATAGTCCATCTAATCTCCAGAATTTACAAATGAAGGAACTGAAGTCCAAGGGGAGAAGTGAATTGGCTTGCCCAAGGATATACCTGTTGGCAAAGTGAAGGCTGGAACTTTTGACCTTGTACATTCAGGAATTGTGGCAGAGCCTTTCCTGCTCGTCTTAGAATGTAATGTACTATAGGGAGCCCGCAGCCATCCTCTACGGTCTGGCTTTATTGTCTCTTTTCTCCCTATTTTTTAGTCTCCTTCTACCTTTTCTCAGCACACCTTTCAAGTGGGATGGAAGTTGAAACCCACTCAGCAGAGAATATGAGAAATACATGTGTAATGACACAAAGTTAGGTGTGTTAGCATTATGTCCAGCAAAGGAGGACACATACCCAAAGGTTGGGAGAAGTGGGAAGAGGCCTCTGAAATATTTGGCCTTGTGCTGAATGAGTCGAAGGAGGGATCAGGGAAGAGGTACCCGCTGGATTAGCTGCTGCCAAGTGCCCGTGGCAGCTCAGGAACTTAGACTCTCAGCAGTCTCTGTTCAGGAGATGGGAGGGACAAAGCGCTATCATTGGTAAGAATACAGCAGTTGCTCAGAAAAAAGGACTGTCCATCATACTGCAGCTGCAGAGTGGCCTTGGGTATATAGAAACATTGTTAATGTTCTGTTGGGAGCATCTTAGACTGATTAGCAGCAGAGCTGATTTTCACTCCCAGGGATCTGGGTCTCTCTCTTTCTCGGTTAATGGCACCACTGTCCACCCACCCAGCCATCTAAGTCACATCTGGGATCATCCTAGATTCTTTGTTCTATTTCAACTCTAATATATAATCACAAGTTTCTTCCAGTTTTACTTTCTTCTTCTTCTTCTTATTATTATTATTTGGAGACGTAGTCTCGCTCTTTTGCCCAGGCTGGAGTGCAGCAGCGTGGTCTTGGATCACTGCAACCTCTGCCTCCGGTGTTCAAGTGATCCTCCCACCTCAGCCTCCTGAATAGCTGGGATTACAGGCACATACCACCAAGCCTGGCTAATTTTTGTATTTTTTTGTAGAGACAGGGTTTTGTCATGTTGGCCAGGCTGGTCTGGAACTCCTGACCTCTGGTGATCTTACCCACCTTGGCCTCCCAAAGTGCTGGGATTACAGGCGTGAGCCACTGCTCCCAGTCAACCTTCTAATTATTTTTAAGTCTGCCCTCTCCACGCTATTATTACTAGTTTCCAGCCCTAGTTCAAACTCCTGTCATCTTTATTCTAGATTATTGTGAAACATATTAACTGGCCTTCCTGCCTGCTGTCTTTCTGGCTTAAGTCCATCCTTACATTGATGTTCATAGTACTCTTTTCAAATTATCAAGCCCTTCAGTAGTTCCTAGTCACTAGAGGATAAAGATTCTTAGCATATCTAGAAAACTCTCCCTGATCAGCTCTCTACTGACTTCTCTAGATTCCATCCTATTTCTCCACTTCCTACTTATGCTTTTCTCCTGCCTCTGTATTGGTTATCTATTGCTGCATAACAAATTTTTAAATGCTATAAATTCTATGACCTCCCAAAATAGTGATATAGGCGTTAAGAAGAAATTATTTGGGCAGATAGTGAGAGTACAGGAGTCCTCGGTAAGGTTTTCCTTTTAATGAAAAGCAGACCCCAAATCATTTTCTTTTCTAACAAAGAGCAGCCTGCCTATAAAATTGAGCTACACACATAGACAAGTAAGCTGGAAGCTTGCACAGGTGAATGCCGGCAGTTGTGCCAATAGGAAAAGGCTACCTGGGCTAGGCATGTTCAAAATGGCAGCTCCGTCTTCCCTTTTCCTTTCCAACCATGTGTACAGTAGGGAACAGACAGTAATGCTGGCCAAGTGGAAAGCCCATTTGCTTAATAAGGTTAGGGTGAGGTGGCCAGCTTCCCTGCATGCTATGTAAATGTCACACCTGGTCCAGCCAATCTGTGGGCCAATCTTTGTCTATATAAATCAGACACCACCTCCTCAAGCCTGTCTATAAAATCTGGTGCACTCCACGGAGGGCCAGATTTCCCATTCAGATGCCCCTCTCTTGCAAGAGAGAGAAGTGTTCTCCTTTCTCTTTCTTTTGCCTACTAAACCTCTGCTCCTAAACTCACTCCTTGTGCGTGTCCATGTCCTTAATCTTGGCATGAGATGGCGAACCCCAGGTATTTACCCCAGACAGTGATGCCACCTCAATAGGAGAGACAGCAGCACATGAGGGAAGTATAGAGGGATTCATTTAATTAGGAGTTAAAGTCAAGGTTGGAAACTAGTTTGGAGGTTTGCAGTAGTCCAGGCAAGTCACAATAAAGAACTGGATTAGGCCATGAGAGTAGATTTAGAGAGGTGAAGGTGAATTTGAAGAACATCTAGGAGATTCAGTTGGTGATTGATTGGCTGTGGGAATGCAGGGCCAGAGAAAAATGGATAAATAAAGAATACATCCTGGATTTCTGGCTTTAGTACTTGAGTTGATGGGAGTATTTCCAACCAAGATGAAAAATAGGGAAGTAAGGACAAGTTTAGGGAAGGAGATAATAAGTTTAGTTTTTGAGTTCTTCTTAACTACTTTTGATTTTTGTCAATATAATAAAAGTAATGTTATAATTCTCATGATAAAAAATTTTAGTCTTCTTCTCCCCACCTCCCCATCCTTCTCTTATCTCTGAGACCTCCTCTCATACTTTTACCTGTCTGTTCTAGCCTTTAATTCCAAATTTCCAAGTAATCTGCCTAATCTGTTTCTTGATTTATTGGTTTTAGGGTTACACCTTTTATTTGAGGTATTTTCTATTGACTTATTCAACAAGGTGAAAATTCACCACTTTTACATACCTTACCTCCTGACTTTCCTACCCTCCAACCTGTCCAAATGGTGATATAATTTTCTCTTTTGCCAAATCAATATCTAATATTTACCTTATTATGTAAATATGCTCACTGCTGAGCCAAGTAGTATACTATAATTGCAATCCATGTCTTGTACAGTTTTATTTTCTTCATCAACTTAAAAATTTCCTCTTTGGATTGTTCTATTTTCTCTATCACTCTTATAACTTCTGTCCAAACTTGCTGACAGAACTGTAATATCCTTATTGATATGATTTTTTACAAAAACTCATGCGGTAGTCAGTTATAGATATATTTCTTCCTTGAGGACATCTCATGTGGATCCCCCTCTATCTTACTGCTCCAATATGCAGTGGTTGCTCTTTAAATATAACTGTTATTCTGTGATTTCACTTCCCCTCTTCAGTCCTAGTTCCCCTGTTAGTGGGCTCCCATGTCTTCCTCTTTCTTGGTTTACATCCTTGCTTTGGTGGACCACATTTGCCAGTAGCTTTCTGAGAAGTGGTATATGAGAAACAAACAAACAAAAAAAACTGGCTGGTTCCCAAGCTGTATATGAGGTGAAAAAAATTAAATTAAAAATAAAAATCAAAATCTAGCTGGGTGTGGTAGCTCACATCTGTAATAGCAGCACTCTGGGAGGCTAAGGTGGGATGATTGCTTGAGCCTGCAAGCTAGAAGCTGAAGTGAGCTGTAATTGCAGCATTGTACTGCCACTGCAGCCTGGGTGACAGAGTGAGACCCTATCTGTAAAAATAATAAATAAATAAAAATAAATAAATAACTCTTATGTATTTCTGAATATTTATTTATTCTCATGATTGATATAGGCTGGGCGTGGTGGCTTACACCTCTAATCCAAGCACTTTGGGAGGCTGAGGTGGGTGGATCACGAGGTCAGGAGTTCGAGACCAGCCTGATCAACATGGTGAAACCCCGTCTCTACTAAAAATACAAAAAAATTAGTTAGGCATGGTGGCGTGCACCTGTAATCCCAGCTACTCAGGAGGCTGAGGCAGGAGAATAGCTTTAACCTGGGAGGTGGAGGTTGCAGTGAGCCAAGATCGCGCCACTGCACTCCAGCCTGGGCGACAGAGCAAGACTCCGTCTCAAAAAAAAAAAAAATCTAATACAATTTTGGCTTTTGATTCTTTTTATGTGATACCATTCTCTTTCTGTCTTCTTCTCTGGAAAGTTTCTAATAGTCACTTCTGAAATGTGTTCTTCATCTTTTCATTTCTTGATCTGGGAACTTGATGGTTCCTTTAAATCTGAAAAATCATATCTATACCTCTGCAGATATTTTCGCAGTATTTCTTTGATAATTTCTTACCCTGATTTTTTTTTTTTTTTTTTTGAGGCAAGGTCTCTCTCTGTCATCTAGGCTGGAGTGCAGTGGTGCGATCATGGCTCACTGGAGCCTTGACCTCCTGGGGCCCAAGTGATCCTCCCACTTCAGCTCCCTAAGTAGCTGGGATCACAGGTGTGTGCCACCATGTCTGGCTAATTTTTTAAACCTTTTTTGTAGAAATGAAATTTCATTATGTTGCCCAGGCTGGTCTCGAACTCCTGGGCTGGAGCTATCCTTCTGCCTTGGTCTCCCAAGGTTCTGGGATTACAGGTATGAGCCACCTGATCTCCCCTGAATTTTATCTGCCATCTTTTTCTGGAACTCCCATTAGTCAGATATTGGTCTTCTGGAACCAATCTTCTAATTTCCTTATCTTTTTTCTTCCTATTTTTTAAAGTTCTATTATCTTTCAATTATATTTTCTGTGAGATTTCTATAACTTAATTGCACTGTCCTTTTATCAAATTCTTAAGATTTCTTAAGATTATGTTTTTAATTTTCAGAAGCATGTTCTTGTATTTTATTCTGTTGTTTAATGGATGCAATATCTTCTCTTATCTCCTTAAAGACATTTTGGTTTTTGGAGAGTTATTCTGCTTCATACATTGCTATTTCTTGTGAGTTTTTATTTTTGTGCAGTTTCTTTTGGATTTTCTACCAAGTTGGAGGCTTTGCTCAAATACCCAATGGTTCCTTGAAGTCTATTTACATATTAAGTGTGAGAAACTAAATTGCTGGTTGGACACTGTGTTGAAGGGATTTGTCAGCAGTTCACTGGCTCCCTGCAGTTGATTGGTGGATTCAACATGCTTCATTAGAGGATCCTACATGTCATTATGTGTAGGTTCTTTCTCTAAGAGAATGCAGTTGTTGCAAAGAAGAATTCTTCAGTCTCCTGCAGAGGCTGAAGAATGAAGGTATAGAGTCCTTACTGCCTACATTCTTTCTGCTGAGTGTTCAAGGGGCTGGGGTCTGTCAGTGTGTAGAATTTCTGAGTTTTCAGTAGGGTATCTCTTCCCCAACTTTCACTGTTTCTTATATTCCCAAGTCTAGAGTGTCTCTACTGAAAATGTCCAAATAATGAATTTGCTGCAGAATAAGGCTTTCACCTCTCTTTTAGACTGGGGAGGGACTTGAGGATCTAAATGCTGTTATAGACTCTTGCCAATTCCTCCATTTTCAGCCCCATACTTTACTTTTGCCTTCTGCAGTAACCAGTACTTACCATTTTTGACCCTTTCTGTAGTTGTATGGTTTGAATTAGCTTGTTTCTTATTTATATTCTGCCTTCATTCTCTGCAAACTATCTGTTCACTTTCCATCTAACAACAAAAATTTGATCTGCCCCATTTACTGTTATCTCTTCTATTTTCTTGGGTATTGGGATTTATAACTTTAAAAAATGTCTTTACTCTCATTTTAGAGAGGTTTCATGAGGGGACAGAAATAAACAAATGTTTCTGATTCACCACGTTTCAGCAGGATTAAATGCCATTTTGACATGTTGAGTTTCATATACCCATGGGGCATCAGGTAAAAATGTTAGGCAGGCAGTTGGATGGATGAGGCAGAAGCTTTTGAGAGGCACTCTCATTTTGAGTGGTGTCCACAGAAAGTGCTGGTTAAAGTGATGAGACCACTCTTTAGTGTGTGGAAGTGTGATAAGCTGTGGGCCAAGGATAGACTTCTAGAAGAATTTTAGAAGATCTATGAAAACACAAATTACAGAAGGCAAGGCATCGATAAATTTGCCAAAGGGGCACTGTCAGCATGTCAGAAAAGTCAATAAAGATAAAGACAGATTTTTCTTTTGAATTTAGAAATATGGAGATTATTAATGATTTTGGCAAGATGATATGCACAGAAGTCAGAATACATTAAGAAAGAAAACAGCGTTTTTTGTTTTTTTTTTTTTTGCCTTCAGAAACTGCTGACAGAAGCAATAATAGAGGGTATTCAGTGGCTTATGAAGCAGATGAACCAGCCTGTGGGCTTTTTCTGTTGTCTGCACCTTGGATACTATACGTAGTGGATTTTCAAATACCTAATGAGGGAATGCATGCAGTGACTTTGTTGCCCTTGCATTAGCTGTGTGAAGACATTTTGGCTGGTTTGATCTGAGATGTCATTTCTCATCCTCCACTTTCTCTTTTCAGGGTTGGTGTGAGCAAGCCAGACTGTATGGGGCTTTAAATTCTGGGTATGACTGATGAAGCTGATACTATTAACCATGTCTTTCTTCAATTGTATATATGATGAAATTTTGCAGGATAATAGAGACAGTGGAGTATAGGGGTTACACTAGAATAAGACCTAAATTCCATTTTTGAGGCCTCTGAGGGAGCTCAAAACACAGCACTTTGTCTTTCTTTCATGAGTTCTGAAAAAATTGAGAAATAAGAAAGAAGAGCAAGGCAGGAGGACAGTGAAACATCAGCTTGATTAACGAGGGAGGCTGGGCTGGAATGGCACTTTTCCTTTTGGGCAAATGGGTTTCCTATGACTGATGCCTGACTGAGCAGACTTGCCCAGCAATCCTCAGATTCACACAGGGTTTAGAGAGAAAAGCACCGTTTCATGTGGGGATGGGGAGTGAGGTGAGCCCAACATGACCAGTTTATCCAAATGTACCCATAAGGTGAACCTTTCTGCCTGACACCCTACCCCTACGGAGGGAAGAAGGCAGCAGCAAGGGGCCAGCAGTGTTACACTGTTGGACTTCCTGGACACTGATAGAGATATCCAGAGCTGGGAAGAAGCAGTGCCCTAAAATACAGGTTAGCTTTCAATACCCAGCACGAGCCTGTACCTGATCCCCCTTCGAACCACTCCGACCATCGCTCACCTGGCCCCCACCATGGGCTTCCATCTGCATTGTTTCCTGTTAATGGCCTTTGTAGTCACTGTTCTCCTGCCAGGAACTCTCTTCTTCCTAGACACTGTCTCATGCCCTCAGATCTGCTCAGATGTCACCTACTCAGGGGGGCCTTCCCTGACCACCTATCTCAAATAGTGCCACTGCTTGACCCCTTTCCTCTCTATTCCGTTTATCCTGCTTTGATTTTCTTAAAAGCTCTCGCCTATCTCTCTTCCTCAGTTCATGAAGGCAGATGCTGTCTGTTTTATTCATTGTATGAGCTAAGGATATATTTATTCAGTGAATGAGTGGATGGTCCAGTCAACTTGGAGTCTGTTCCAGGTCAGCTGCTGCCTGGAGTATTATCACTTGCAAAGTGGCCCAGTCAGCATGGGCCTCTATTGAAGTGCTACACTAACTCCTTTCAAGAGTGGAGGTGGGCCAAGGCGCAGTGGCTCATGCCTGTAATTCCAGCACTTTGGGAGGCCAAGGCAGGTGAATCGCTTGAGCCCAGGAGCTCGAGACCAGCCTGGCCAACATGGCAAAATTCCATTTCTACAAAAAGTACAAAAATTAGCTGGGTGTGGTGGCATGCACCGGTGGTCCCAGCTACTCTGGAGGATGAGGTGGGAGGATCATTTATGCCTCAGGAGGCGGAAGTTGCTGTGAGCCAAGATTGTGGGTGACAGAGTGAGACCGTGTCTCAAAAAAACAAAACAAAACAAAAAAACACAAAGAGTGGAGGTGAAGCTTGAATGAGACAACATATGGAAAAGAGCTGAGAAATGTACTAGAATCATGGAAGCGAGTCCTATAGAGTGGTTACTGCTACAAATAGTAGTCACTCTTTTAGAATCAGGGAGAAGTTTCTTGTCACTTCAGGGAGTGGTGGTTAAACTGATGACATTGCCACATTTACTAGGATTATCCTCATATAAAATGTTCTCATTCATTGTTCCCAATCTTAGCCTGTATTTGCCACCCGGTGTATCCTAATGTTCTTATTTGAAAATGCTAATTATAGTAGGCAATAGAAAGGAGGCAATTCTTTTTTTTTTTATTTTTGTTTATTTTTATTTTTTGAGACGGAGTCTCACTCTGTTGCCCAGGCTGGAGTGCAGTGATGCGATCTCGGCTCACTGCAAGCTCCGCCTCCTGGGTTCACACCATTCAAAAGGAGGCAATTCTAAAGAAGAACAGAGCTACACTGACTTGAGCAAAACTAACAAAAATTTCTTAGTGGAAGACACTGACTTTGCCATGAGATTTTAATGTCCTAAAGAGTAGAGAGCTTCACTTACCCCAAAAAGTAATTTCTGAAACTGAAAGAAGTACACTAGAAATCCATTATGAAGCAATCTGTGGACCTGTGATTTTCACTTCTTTACAGATAAATATGCCTTTCAGTCATTTGCAATTTCAGTACCTATAAATTCTGCAAATGGACAAAACAATCCAGTTTATTCAGAATTCCGTTTTTATCAACAGTTGCATTGAGGCAGATTTCGTTATATTCTGTCGTTTATATAGTGGTATATGGAAAATACGTGGACTTTGACATCACCTAGATATGGCTTCAGATTCCAGCTTTGCAACTCAATAGCTGAGGGGGCATGAGAAAATTATTTAACCTGGGACTGAGTTTACTCATATGGATATGTCTCATATAAAGCTCTGGCCTTAGGGCTTGTCTAAGAATAGTGTCACAGTCAAGAAAAGGTGTGCTGTCTGTTAGTGAACGGCTATGAGATGTTCTGTAACAAGGGAGCCCATTTAATTGTATTTAACCCAGACTTTCCCAAATGTTTTTCCTTATAAAATCTGTTAATATAGACAGATAAAATCTGTCTATATTATAAAATCTGTTAATATAATACAGAATTGGTATTCCATAAAGGACCCTGTGGGAAATCCTGGCTTGCATAATGCCAGACATATTTGATGTAAGAAATCAGTTTTGCTTCCCTTTTCCAGCTTAGTGTTGGCCAGTCAGAATTTTCACTGGACGCCTACCAGGCAACTTAAAGTAGAACTCTTGGGGTTTTGTGCCTTCACACCCTCCATCCCAACTCCTTCCATAGTCTTCCTGATCTCCAATCATGGCCCCACTATTCATGTATTAGTTTCCTAGGGATGCTGTAACAAAACACCACCATCTGGGTAACTTAACAGAAATTTATTGTCTCACAGTTCTGAATGGTAGAGTCCAAAATTAATGTGTCAGCAGGACCATGCTCCTCCTGAAACCTGTAGGCTACGATCTTCCCTGCCTCTTCTAGCTGTTGATGTTTACCAGCAATCCTGGGCTTCTTGGCTTGTAGATACATCACTTAGTGTCTGCCTCTTCGTCACATGGCATTCTCCTCTAAAGTTCCCTCCTCTTATTATAAGGACACGAGTTATATTGGATGAAAGCCCTGCCCTAATCCAACTCCAGCATAATCTCATTGTAGCTAATTATTAGGTTGGTGTAAAGTTACTTTTAATTAAAAGTAGTGTGGCTCACACCTGTAATCCCAGCACTTTGGGAAGCCGAGGTGGGCAGTTCACAAGGTCAGGAGATCGAGACCATCCTGGCCAACATGGTGAAACCCCACCTCTACTAAAATGCAAAAAATTAGCCAGGAGTGGTAGCACACACCTGTAGCCCCAGCTACTTGGGAGGCTGAGGCAGGGGAATTGCTTGAATCTGGGAGGCAGAGGTTGCATGAGCTGCGATCGTGCCACTGCACTCCACCCTGGCGACCGAGCGAGACTCGTCTCAAAAAAAAAAAAAGTAATGGCAAAAACCACAATTACTTTTGCATCAACCTTACTACGTCTGCAAAGACCCTATTTTCAAATAAGGTCATATTCTGAGGTACTAGGAGATAGAACTTCAAAATATCTTCAGCTCAGCACATAACAATTCATGCAGTTACTCTGGGCAGAAAACAGGTGCCATCCTTGTACTTCTTTTCTTTCCCTTAGCCATTATGTCTGGTCTATGAGCAAATATTCATGGATCTGCCTTCACAATGTAGCTGACCATTTCTCATTACCTCCCCTGCTACTCCTTGACCCCAGCCTTTGTCATATCTCTTGGGTTATAACAGTGGCCTCTTATGAGGTATCATGGTTCCATCCTGATTCTCCTTAAGCCTACTTGTTAGATAGCAACCAGAGCAATCATGTCACAGTGTAAATCAGATGATATTCCTCCCTTGCTCTAAACTCTCCAGTGGTCTCCCATTATCATTAGAATAAAATGCTAACACAGATGAAGGAAGATAAGACTCTAGGAGCTCTGCTTTATCTGTCTCTCCAGCCTCATTGTGTACCACTCCCTCCCCTATTGACTGTGCCCGCCAACCCACAGTAAGCACCTTGTTTGCACTGCAGGGCTTTTGTACTGTTTCCTCAAGGCTGGCTCCCTCTCAGTCTCAGATCATCTACCCAGAGATGTGTTTCCCACTCATTGTTAGCTGAAACACTTGCACCCCATCTGGCAGAGAGCAGAGAAAGTTTTTTTCTTTTTTTTAATTTTTTTTTTTTTTTTGAGACAGAGTCTTACTCTGTTGCCCAGGCTGGAGTGCAGTGGTGCAATCTCAGCTCATGCAACCTCCACCTCCTGGGTTCAAGCGATTCCCCTGCCTCAACCTCATGAGTAGCTGGGATTACAGGCGTGTGCCACCATGCCTGGCTAATTTTTGTATTTTTAATAGAGACAGGGTTTCACCGTGTTGGCCAGGCTGATCTTAAACTCTTGACCTCAAGTGATCTGCCTGCCTTGGCCTCCCAAAGTGCTGGGATTACAGGCATAAGCCATCATGCCGGGCCCAGAGAGAGTTTTGTCACCACTCATGAAGCGAAGCACTCAGGAAACAAAAGGAGAGAAACAGGAATGAGATAGCTGTCCCTGGGAGGGAAAGGATCAATAACTAATGGGTATCCCCAAATCAGATTTACATGAGTCACAATCCAAACAAATGATTTTCTTCTGCTAATCTGAATTTGGAAAGGAAATCCCTACCTAGGAGCAGAGATCCAAGAGAGCTGATCTTGGTTTAAAAAAAAAAAAAAAAAAAAAAAAAAAAACTCTTAACTTTTTGTTGTTTTTTTATTGGTTGTCCCAGGATCTCATCTGCAGGTTCTGGAACTAGTGGGGTGTCACAGCCACCCCATGTTGGCTGCCAGAAACTGTAAGGGGAGAAAAAGAATATCTTTTCCTCATCCATCACAAGGTTCATGGCTGAGCCCCTATAACAAATAAAAAGAAAAAAAAAAAAGATTAAATGGGAAAAGTATAAAAGTTATATTTAATGTAAGTTTTCAGTGACACAGAAACCTTCAGAAAACGAAGCCCCAAGGACCCAGGGAAAACCATGTGTGTTTAGGGACAGTTGTGCAGAAGTGTAATTGGAGGACAAAAGAGTGTGATCTAATAGTAATAATCTGGGGAACTCAGCGAGGCCTATTTGTTCAGATTCCTTTCAGCCTCGGTGTGACATTCCTTCCCTCTGGGTATAGGGCAGGACCCCTCTGGAATGAGGGTCTTATGACCTACTTTCAGGGGAAGTAGGTCAGAGAATTCTTTCATGGCCAGCTCTCAGGAGAAAAAGGTGGGAAAAGGTCAGAGAGCAGCCTTCCTGCTTCTGCTGTTTTTTCAATTTCCTGCTGTTTAAAATACTCACTGTGCCAAGGTGCCATTATTTTGGGTTATCATGTTGTGAGCCCCGACACCTCAGTTCCTTGCTTTACCACTTACTAACTGTGAACCTGAGCAAATCACTTAGATTCTCTGAGGATCGGTATCTCGTCTATAAAATGAGATGACAAGGTAAGGTTGTTTGTAACCCTTACCTTCCTGGTTAGAAATAAAAAATATAAAGCAATCAGTACAGTTTTTTGTACATAGTAAGCATTCAGTAATTGGTAGCTATTAACTGGTATCATTATCATGATGGTGCCTTTAGTCACAGGCATGGCCCTTCTATTTCAAAACTGTTGAAGAACATGTTGGGATAATGTTTACATTTTACTTTCCACCACATGCCCACTTAAATTTCCCTTCTGGTTGGAGTGGGATTTCAAGGAAAAGCTCTAGACTGTGGTGTCAGATTATATTATTTTCTCCTCTTCCTGATTTTTCTCATTCTCTCCCTGCCACACACCTCTAGTTTCCTTTTCCTGCACATCCAAGGATATGGTGGCAGAGACAGGGATGACTAATTCGTTAGAGAGATTAGACATCACTGTCTGATGCCAGAGAGGAACCTGTGAAAAGGAGATAGGCGTGTCTCAGTGCCACTTCAGCAAAAGGTTGCCCTTTACCTTGCATGCCATGACTGTGTCCTCCCTGGGAAAAGAGTACTTCAAGAGTGTTGTCCAGGGTGTCAACATAGTGAGACTCTGTCCCTTAAATAAATAAATAAATAAACTCCTGGGCTCAAGGGATCCTCCCGCCTTGGCCTCCCAAAGTGCCAGGATTACAGGCATGAGCCAATGTGCCGGGCAATAACTATTTTAATTGCAGCTACAATGGTTATTATATGAAAGATATGTATCCTTTGATTGGAGTAATCGATAGTGTAAAGTGGGGAAGTGGAAACGAGTGAAGGGGAGAATATAAGGCTGGTTTAAATACCTGCTCTTTGTTTGTTTGTCCTCATCCTGCAGGTTTTGTTTTTGATTCTTTTTTCTTTGGCAAAACACACACCTCCAGTGGCATTTTCAGGTTTCTTTTCTTGAGGTCTTGCAAATCTGATTATGCTACTGGTTGATCAGGTAGGGGAGAACTGGCCAGGATTTTCCCTTTTTGTCTCTTCTGATGGTCAGGTCGATTGGAATTGGAGTGTGAGCTAATGGAAAATAGCATCTAGCTCATTTTACCAATAATGAAGATGAGCCCAGTATGTGCAGGTAAATGTTTAACAATTGGCAGTCTGAAAAAAAGAAGGCCTGATTTCTGGTGTTTGCTGGTTACTGTGGTATAAATACTCCTACCATAGTTGATTTCAAGCTACCAACAAGATTACTGAACACATAGTTGGAAAAAGATGCCCAGAAGCAAATCATCATATGTGTAATCTGTCTACCACACAGATACAAAAAACATAACTCTAGATCACAGATAATAGTAAAATGTAGTAAAATCATTAGGAAATGATAAGTTTTGAGTACTTTGAACATATGTTTTAAAATGTAACTTCTTCAATAACAGTTTAATTGTTAACGGTGGCTCTGTTGAACAACTGACTCTCAATATTTCTGAAAATTTAACCATCAGCTCTCTTGCGCTGGCTTGAGCACATCAGGTGGGACCCAGAGAAGTTACTGTCTTACCAAGGTCCTCGGATGAGTCATGGCAGGACCTGGGTTATTACAGAGTTGTTTCTAAAAACCAGACTACTCTAGACAGATTTACTTATCAACGTTTCTTTTTATTCATTTGTTTATTTATTTACTCCATCCTTTAACAATCCATAAAAGGGATTTAAGACTATTACAGGCTGTTATTATCTATTGAGACAGTAAGAGTCAGAATATTTGAATATATCTGGAATAAAGGTGGGAGAGTAGGCCGGGGGCGGTGGCTCACGCCTGTAATCCCAGCACTTTGGGAGGCCGAGGCGGGTGGATCACCTGAGATCAGGAACCTGAGGTCAGCCTGGCCAACGTGGTGAAACCCCGCCTCTACTAAAAATACAAAAATTAGCTAGGTGTAGTGGTGGGTGCCTGTAATCCCAGCTACATGGGGGGCTGAGGCAAGAGAATCGCTTGAACCGAGGAGGCGGAGGTTGTAGTGAGCTGAGATCGCACCACTGCACTCCAGTCTGGGTGACAGAGCGAGACTCTGTCTCAAAAAAAAAAAAAAAAAAAAAAGACGGGAGAGTGGAAAGCAGATGAGATTTAGAGCCATAAGTAAATTCTGGCTTTGAGTCTTGGCCTTGTCATCTTGATCAAGTCAGTTACTCCTTGGTAAAAGTTTTCTAATCTGAAGATGAAGGAACTGGACCACATGAACATTTAATATCTTGTAGGTCTAAAATATGGTTCCTTATTTAGATTCATCAATTCAATAATATTTGCTTAGTACCAACTATATGCACTCTCATTATGAACTGTACTCCAGGCAGAATGAAATTCAGATATGATAATAAATATTATTATAATAGCATCTCACATTTATGCAGAGCCTTCTGATTTGCCGAAGAGAAAATTTACTTTGAGTCTCTGGGATTCTGTGGCTTTAGGAGATCAGGACATATCTTAACAGAATGTTAGAGAAAGAAGAAGCTATTCTAGAAGTACAAATAGAACCTTATTCCTAGGAAACAGAAGAGGTCATACCCAGGTAGTAATAAGGAATAAGCACTTTTTCTGCCATGTCTAGCAGTTGCTTCACTTTGTTTTTTTAAAAAAGCAACAAAATTACCTTTTTTCTGAGTATAAAATTTTTGTAGAAAATTTAGAAATTATTAAGAAGTATTAAATAAGGAAAAAAACCATATATCCAATCTAATATCCTGCTTTTCTTTACCTAATAATATTTTATCATATTTTTCAAAACATTCTTAGTAGAATCATTTTAATTGCTGTATGTATAATAATTTTATCTTTTTGGTATATAGTAACTTATCTGATGTCTTACTGTTGGAAATTTTATTTATTGACAATTTTTATTATTCTAAAGAACACTGTGGATAAATAGCTTTGTTCCATATCAAAAATCATACATTGGACACATGATTTTCAACTTTAATATTTAAGGTTTAGTAAGACAATTTTAGCAAATTATATACTTTTGACCTTTAGAGTCTTTGATTCTGTTGATATTGTTTTGTATTTACCCAGATTTTATTCTGTTTCTAAACATTTATTAAGAAGAACATTTTGTTTGAATTCTTCAATATGATATGTTTGAACTGGAAATAGCACCACTGTTTTCATATTATTTCAAGTAGGTATGATAAAGTGTAGGGTTAACAATTTTCTTTTTCAACTTTCTGTGGGAGATATCCTCTGTCTAGTATAAGGTTTGTTGGTTTAGAAATTGCTCAATAAATGTTCAATAAATAAAAGGACTCATGCTAATTTAGGATAAGCAAAAACATATGAGAGGGTGTTTAAAAAACCCACTTCTCCATTTATGATAATAGCTTTCATTCTCATAAGGAGAGATAACAGCTAAGCACAGTTCAGGAATTCTGACTGTTGAATGAGAACTGTAAAATGAAGTATGTCGGTGCTTTAATTCACCTGAATGGGAAACCATGACTCAGATAGTTATTTGATTAAATGTTAATGAGATCTACTAAATTGACCCAATTCTTACTTTTATGTATTAGATTTATATCAATTAAAACAGGACCAGTTTTACCTGTTTTCCTTTTTTAACATCTTTGAGTCAACATCTGCTTACAAGGGAAGTGCTGTAACTACCCTGGTTATTTAAATATTAATGGCTTCCATTAAAGGGAGCTAGGGATTGGCAGCAGGAAGATTGAGAAATTAGATGGCATGATTGGTTTCTTGTTTCTGTCCCCAGGGGAAAAAAAAAAAACAAAAACCTCTTACTGGAAGAGCTTCTTCCATTATTTTTTTTTAATATTGCATATATATATATATATATATATATATATTTTTTTTTTTTTTTTTTTTTTTTTTTTTTTTCTGAACCAGTTAGAGAGTAAGATTGTTGATTTCAGGCATCCCTTGAAAGTAGCTGTGCTATAAAAGCATCAGTGTAAACAAGTTCAAGTAATTTAAAAAAATGTTTTCACAGTGCCATAGAGGTCATTACCCTGGGGCTTCTTGGGAACCTAATTTCAGTTCCTAAATTCATTTTGTTCTTTATTATAGTCAGTAATAGGCAAAAGCATTTTTTAGCTCCATCCTGGATTTGGTTGGCCTTATTTACATTAAGTGTGGGGAATTCTAGTAAGTTAACCCTGAGAGACATGACAAGGGTTATATATTCAATCACATTATAATTATAAACCTTTATCTTACTGGGGAAATGTGCCTGAAAAGCTTTTAAAATTTGCTATAACCAATATTTTCATGTTATGCCAAATTGGGTTGTAATAAGCATGTCGTTAAAAGATTTTTACACGTTTTGTATTTTTAAGATGTTCTAATGGCTTGGCATTTTAAAGCACTGAACAAAAGCAGGCATTATATTTGCATAATTGTGTATCTCTTTTTGCATCCAGAAATGTGAATGTGTGGAGTACCCTTTCATTTCATGTATTTGATTTAGAATTTACAGCTAAGAACATAGATCATGCTTAAATAGCAGGAGTGCAGAGTCATGTAACGGCCCTGGTGTGCTTGTCATAATTCCCTACTTAGCAAGGTCAGGATTAGGGTGAGACAAGAGAGGCACTACCTCAGGTGTAAAACTTAAGAAAGTGTCAAAAAAAATTCAAGACTAGTAATATGTTAATGTAATAGTTAAAAAACTGTATAATGCAGAGAAAAATTAATGATAATAAAAATGGTCAACATTTTAGATCAAGATGAGATCTGACCCTGCATCTGTACCTCCCTCGCTTCTCCCTAGTCCTGGCCTTCTCTACTTTCATGTCCTTGCATGAGACACTCTTTTGATTCAAGTTTTCCTTACCTGAATTTGGTGACAATAGTCCTCACTTTCCTGGTGACAAGGATTTTTTTCCTTGGCCAAATTTTAGTCAGGCTTCTGAATCTCCTGCTAGGCCTGTTTGTGCACGTCCTTGTAAAATCCAGTTTTAGCAAAGGACACTAGCTAAGTCGTTTTACCAAGAACCAGCAACATCAACATCCGATCGCCTCAATGTCTGACCAGGTTTCTCATCCTGCACCATCCCCCAGGTGATGTCTGATCACCCTGGCCTGTCTTCAGTGAGAATCCTGTTAGGTTTAGCCAGATCCACCTTACCCCAACGCTTCCTTTGAGTAATTTTCCATCCACTGACCCCCACACTGCTCCTTGGCTATAAATTCCCACTGGCCCGTGCTGCATTTGGAGTTGAGCCCAATCTCTCTTCCTTGCTGCAAGACTGTTGACTGCAAGGTCCCTGTGCCTGTCATTATCCTGACAAAGTCTTTGTCTCCATGCTTTAACAAATACCATTCAGTCGTTTTTCTGTAACACTGGTGGAATTAGGAGATTCAAATCATCTACAAATACATGGGAAAGCCCACTATAAATATAATTTACATATTGATGTTCAAGTAAATAATTATACAGTTTTATGCCATTATTATTATAATCTCAGATGAATATTCTAAGCAAACATCAGATCTGAAGATCTTTGGAAAGCTTTGTGCTAATGGTTTGGGGCCTAATGTCTTTAATTTACTTATCAGCTAGCAATAAGGGGAGGAACCTAAGGGTAGTTGTAGGACCCTCCCCCCTTTCTTTCTTCCTTCCTGTTTTTGTTTTTGTTGTTGTTGTTCTTTGATACAAACTGGGGCTTTATAAGAGATAGAGAACATAACCAGAAATCCATTGCTTCTTTGAAATTTCCCTGAAAGGTGTGCATGGATGCCTGAGGTCTCACCTTTGCTTAAGCTGTTTCCACCCACCCATGATGCCTTTCCCATTTCTCCCACCTGTCTGAGAACCATTCACCTTTTATCCATATCCAACTTGGATAAGGCCTTTCTGTGATCTTTCGGCCTGAAATGTGCTTTCAATCCTCTGCCCTTCTGTGGTGGCATAATGGTTTCTACCACCCATTTATGGTCAGTTACAGAGTTCTTGTTGTTCTGAGTCTTTATCTAATCCTCCATTGAATTTACTTTCCAAACTGCATTTTAAAAAATGTCAGTGGTTCACTCCTATAATCCCAGCACTTTGGGAGGCTGAGGTGGGAGGATTGCTTGAGCTCAGGAGGTCAAGGCAACAGTGAGACGTGACTGTGCTACTGTACTCTAGCTTGAGCAACAGAGCAAGACTCTGTTTAAAAAAAAAAAATCAGTAATTGAAAAATTACTGACACTGTAAATCCCTTGAAGAGTCTCCCATTAGCCTTTGAATTTAAGAGTAAGCAGGGATTGGGTGTGCTTATTTATGGTGCTATCCAAGGTCCTTGCAGAGGGCCTTTACACACAATATTTTTTTTAAGTGAATAAATGAATTTCTTGCATGTAAAAGGGCCAGGTAAATATTTACTCTTATGATTCATTTTTGGAATGCTGTTTTTATCCTAGACCCTGAGAGATGGTTGGTGCCATGTGGAAGGTGATTGTTTCGCTGGTCCTGTTGATGCCTGGCCCCTGTGATGGGCTGTTTCGCTCCCTATACAGAAGTGTTTCCATGCCACCTAAGGGAGACTCAGGACAGCCATTATTTCTCACCCCTTACATTGAAGCTGGGAAGATCCAAAAAGGTAAGTAAGTTTAATTAAATCAGAAAACCACTGGCATGAGTTCAACAGTTTCTCTTTTTTTTTTTTTTTTTTTTGAGACGAAGTCTCGCCTGTCACTAGGCTGGAGGTCAGTGGCGCGATCTCAGCTCACTGCAACCTCCGCCTCCCGGGTTCAAGCAATTCTCCTGCCTCAGCCTCCCAAGTAGCTGGGATTATAGGCACAAGCCACCATGCCCAGATAATTTTTGTATTTTTAGTAGAGAGGGGTTTCACCATGTTGGCCAGGATGGTCTCGATCTCTTGACCTCGAGATTCACCCACCTCGGCCTCCCAAAGTGCTGGGATTACAGCTGTGAGCCACTGCACCTGGCCAATAGTTTTTCTTAAAACAAGTAACCCATAGGATGCAAAATATATTTCAGTATTTTTACTCAGTTGTTTTATTTCAAATATATATATATATATTTTGTTTGTTTGTTTGTTTGTTTGTTTGAGACAGAGTCTTGCTCTGTTGCCCAGGCTGGAGTGCGGTGGCGCAATCTCTGCTTACTGCAACCTCTGCCTCCTGGGCTCAAGTGATTCTCCTGCCTCAGCCTCCTGAGTAGCTGGGATTACAGGTGCCCACCACCATGCCTAGCTAATTTTTGTATTTTTAGTAGAGATGGGGTTTCACCATGTTGGCCAGGCTAGTTTTGAACTCCTAACCTTTGGTGATCCACCCTCCTCAGCCTTCAAAAGTGCTGGGATTATAGGCATGAGCCACCGCACCCAGCCTATGTCAAATATTAATGACTTGATGTCATATGTTGTCTGAGTTTTTAGCTAAAATGAGAATTAGCCGGGGTTGAATTACCTGCATGGTTGAGTTGCAGCATTTTATTTATAAGACTAGTAGAGTGCCTGTCCCCCAGTGGTCACTTAATGCTAATACTATCCTTAAAACTTACTATGAGTCAATCACTGGTTCCAAGCTTTCTGCATGAACTTATTTAAACATCTCAACATCCCGGGGAGGTGGACCCATTTTACACATGTGAAACCAAGGCAGAAAGAGATTGAGCTACTAGCCAGAGTTCATGCAGATATCAGCTGGTGTGTAGGCTTCATACTCAGCCTCACTGCAGCCTCCCTGCTGTGCCCCGTTATCCAGCAAGTCTGGGCCTTAGTTTTCTCATTAAGATAAGATGGAGCTTTAACAACTTACCCAACTTACAGAGATGTTATGAAAATCCAATGAGATAAGGCACGTGAAAATCTTTTGTACTCTATAAGTTGTTCTCCAAATATGAGTGTTTGCAATTGGCTTTATTTAGAGATTGTGGGTTTTTCTATTGTTATTACCAATAGGAAAAAAGGTATCACTTAGTGTTATCAGAGGCTAAAATTTATGACCTGCATCTGCTCTTTTTTTTTTTTTTTTTTTTTTTTGAGACAGAATCTTGCTCTGTTGCCAGGCTGGAGTGCAGTGGTGCAGCCTCGGCTCACTGCGCTCTGCACCTCCTGCGTTCAAGCGATTCTCCTGCCTCAGCCTCCTGAGTAGCTGGAACTACAGGCATGTGCTACCACGCCCGGCTAATTTTTATATTTTTAGTAGAGATGGGATTTTGCCTTGTTGGCCAAGCTTGTCTCAAACTCCTGACCTCAAGTCATCTGCCTGCCTTGGCCTCCCAAAGTGCTGGGATTATAGGCGTGAGCCACTGCCCCCGGCCCTGTATCTGCTCTTAATGCTTCTTTGCGCTTAATCACTGTGCGAGTAAATGATTTCAACTTTCTGGACTTCAGTAGGTTCCTAAGCTATAAAACAGTAGACAGGTAGCTATTCTGAGGAGCTGTTTGCAAAGAGCAGCAGAAAAATGGGGTAGTGGCTGGAGGGAGCACTGGGGTCCAGGAAGGGTCTTTAACAGAATAGGAGAGAATGTTTGTTTGCTGATGGAAATGATGAGTGGGGAATTGGTTTGGTTTGGGGAACCATTGTTGGAGACTGTGTTTAAGAAGGTGAGAGACAGGGATCTGGCACACAGGGGCCCCAAGGTTGTCCCTTGTCACAGGTGGGAAGGCAGAGATGGTGCCTGTGAAGCTGGCAGGTTGGCAGATGTGATGGGAATGAAGAAGAACACCGGAAATTTTAGACAAATGGTCATTTTAAAGATCAAAAGCAAATCTAAATACTCTATAAAGAAGTTTAAAATAAAGCAAGTTTTATTCGTTCAAAGTGTTCTCACAGCCAATAGGATGTCATTGTTTTTTGGTTTTCGTTTTACACGAAGACATTCTTGTATTTTAAGGGTATGTGTAAGTGCTGTTCATATGTCTTTTTCTGAAATACACATTGGCTTCAAGTTTCACCATCTCTTTTCTAAGGAAAGATGAAAAACTTTGATAATGTATTTAGTGTATTTTAAAAAGGACTGATTTTTACCTCACAAGAGAAGTCTTGGGAAGATGGCTGCCCCACCATATGGGCTGATACCATTAAGATGCTTGTGAAGAGGCAAAGTGTCGTTAAACCCTCCAAATTGGATTACATGCACGTATTTCAGCTTCCTTAACAAGTGGATTCTGATGGCTTAGATTTCTGTTCATTAACAGTAAATCAAAGCAAACCATTTAATGTAGGGATGAAAAGGAGTTAAGTAATTGTTATAACCAAATTCTACCAATCCACATATGAGGAAATTGAGACTGAAATACTTTATCCGAGTTGCCCAACGGGATGTGTGCAGTAGAGTTGGGTAGCAGAGATGGGTTTAGGACCCAAATCTTCTGACTTCTGCTCTGTGATTTGCCTACTATAATTTAGTTCTGTTTGTTTCAGAAGCTTCTAAAGTGTTCTTCTAAAGTGACCAGATGCATACACACAAAACAATTAAGGAATTAGGCAGTGCATACTAAAGTACTAAAGTATTACATTTAAAGTAAGTGCACTGGAGATTCGGAGGAGGAACCTATCCCTGTCGGTTGGCATAATCGAGGGAGAAAATACTAGAGCTGTCGTAGTTGTAAAAATAATAAGTAGCTAACATTTAGTCATTATATCCCTAGTACCTAGCATAGTACCTATACATAATAGGTATGTATAAATATGTATGGAATTTAAATTTGGGTACCAACCATGTGCCAGGCATTGTGCTTTACATCCATTAGCTCATGTAGTTCTCAGAGCAACCCTAATGAAGAATCCATAAGCATTGTTCCCATTTTACAAATGAGAACACTGAGGCCCGGAGAAATCAAATATCTTGCCTAGGGCCATAAAACTAGTAAGTGGCAGAGCTTGAATTAAAACCTATACTGGCCAACCCCAGGGCCCATGGTATGAACCACTATGCTATATGAGCAGCTCTGAATTAAACCCTATACTGGCCAACCCCAGAGCCCATGATATGAACCACTATGCTGTATGACCAGCTCTGGACTTCAGAGTGTCGGGTAAGATTTACGTAAATAGCGAAAGGTCTGTGCGTACCAAATGAGAGAAACAGCTTAAACAAAGGCATTAAGTGAAAGTGACCATGGTGTTTCTGTATCATACATCTGGTGGAACCAAGTAAAAAGAATACAGAGAAATCCATCTGAGAGACTACTGACATCTCTCCTGTTCTTGTCTTTCTTGCCTATGAGCATTTCTCAGTTATGGGTATTAGCAGCAGCCAAGAAAGATTCCAAGGGAGGTAGTTTTATCTTCCACCCTCCCATGTCAAGATTGGTAGATCTTCATCTGATGATTGACAACATTTAAAATATTAAATCTGTGTATAATATCACTTCCTGAAGTTATGTTACACAGTCAAATTCTTTGAACAGAATTTTAAGTGGCTGATTCAAAATCTGGTACATCTGGGTATTCAAATGTAGCCCTGACAACATAATTAAGGATAATTTTATTCATCCGCTTTGCTGAAAGTTCAGGAAGCTCTGGACAGATGGTCAGCTCACTCCCCTAAATCCCTTTTGTTTATCGAGTCTGTCAAAACCCTAGGAACGTGAGTCTTATTATTGCAATGGAACATTTTCGAGATAAACAGTAGCTCGCAAAAAAACAAGGGAAATTTTTAATTTTTAAATCCTCATTTAGCTGGCTTAGTTTTATGTAATTGTAATTGCATGTTTACTTTCTCTGAAGCTAGAATAAATCTTTACTCCCTGAAACAAAATGAAGTAGGAGGCACATTTTAGCTTGTTTATAAACACTGCATTTTCACACTTTAAAGACTATTTTACTGGTAGGTCCTAATTTATTGTTACTTATGATCTGATAATGTCTGTCCACACTGGTGATAACTTGAGTGTTTGTGAATCTGGCATGCATGCTGATTAGCTGGTTCAAGCCCTTTGTTGGTCACATTCCAATGTTTTTGAAAGTGTTAATATCACAAACATTGGTTGCAGCAGTAAAAAACAAGGAGGAAGTAAAATCACTTCAAAGAAAACCTTTTCCTTTTTAAAACTGTTCTAAACATTTGTATTGTGAGTCATGGTGCTGGAAAGATAGAAACTCCTCCATCTTGGGAGTTTGTTTTCCACATTCCATTAATAGAAGGATGCACAGGACATTTGAAAATATAAAAAGTCATTTTAGTTGATGACATTTTAAATTATTTTACTGGGATTTAGTTAGTGGAAATTTAAAATTTGAAACAGGGCAAAACTTTTTTTATGGGCTAGAGAAAAGTTCTAAATTTCTTAAGATCTTTTAGCAAGGTCTGCCTTAGGAGGTTTTTGTAGAAATAAGCCAATCTTGGTGCCTTGTCAGTAGGGCTTGTTTTAGTTCATTCATTTATTGACTTGTTCATCCATTCATTTGTTAACATTCATTCATTAAAAAGTATTTATTGAATGTCTTAGGTGTGTAAGTCAGCATGCCGAGTCCCAAGGTATGCAAAGTTAAATAACACAAATTCCCCACTTTCCAACCTCCTGACCTAGGAGGGAAGGTCTGAAACATACTCAAGTAAAAGGTAGTAGAGAAGCTACTTTGGCATCCTCAGGAAGGGAGGGATGAGTGAACATCTGAATCATTTGAGAGCAGTCTGTGGACCCTGTGTGGTGCTGGTCTTGGGAGAGATAGATTGATTGAATCATCCTTTCCTCTGTTCCATTCCCTCCAGCTCCTTTCTATTATATATTTTCTCTTTTTCTCATTATACTTTGACCTTTCTCATTTTTGTGTTGTCTTTCTCAAATCCTCTTCTTCCCATTTACCTCTCTGTGGTCCACATCTCACTCATTTCCAATCCACAGTTTTTACTTCTCTACTCTCCTTTTTTTTTTTGGGAGGCAGGGGGTGGTATCTGTTTGATTTTGAGAAGATTAATAGTTTTGCTAAAAATATTTCAAAAGCATTTTAAAGGCTGCCCAGCCCTGGGGGGTGATCTTTCTCTGGGCTAATTAAGAGTGGAAGTGAAGAAAGGGAGAAGAAAAACGACAGATGGCGGGAAGAGTGGGAGGGGAGGAGTGGCAAAAACCACTTTCCCCAAACACCTCCCTTTTCTTTCTCATAAGATCCTCACCTCTCTCTCTTTTTCTCTGGCTTTTTTTCTGATGGAGGAGGGATAGACCTCATTGGGAACAGAATGTGAAGACCAACAGAGGTTGCATTAAGCAATCTTCCCTGGGAGAACCAGGCTGAGCCAGAAAAAGGAAATTCTTCTAGACTTCACTTGGAGTGGCCAAAGGCTAATGATAACTTTCCCTTCCAATTGACTGAACCCATATTTTATGTGCAGTGCTAGGCTAAGGGTTCATATGCATTTTTGTTGTTTGATCCTCACAGAAAGCCCAGGATAGCGGAATCAGTATTTATATTTTGCATAAAAGGAAAGAGGCTCAGAGAGATGGAGCAACTTGCTGGGGAGTCCTAATCTAGTTAGGATTCCAAACCCAGGTCTGTCAGGCTAGGAAACCCATGCTCTTCTATTGTGCTAGCCTAACAGGACCCTCAAGGACCACCTGTTGAGACCTTTCTTTTGTCCCCATGACCTCCTCTGCTCAGAGGTGCTCCCTGTTCCTAGTCAGCAGGTGCATTTCACAGACAGCAACAGTAGTTCTGCTCCCTACCTGCCAGCTTCTTTATATAGATTTTACATGTGGGGGCTCTTTTAATCCAGGTGGCCCACAGGCAGTACATCTTCCATAGAGGAGAAACTGAAGAACAGGGAGGTTAAATGCCTGTATGGTGGGTCACCAGCTGGTCTATAGGAGCACTAGGATCAGCAAAGGAACTGTGTGGTCTAGATGAGAGGTTTTCCTTTTGAGAGGCATGCCTATATATATGTTTTTTTTTTGAGACAGGGTCTCGCTGTGTTATCCAGGCTGGAGTGCAGTGGCATGATCATGGCTCACTGCAGCCTTGACCTCCTGGGCTCAAGTGATCCTCCCACCTCAGCCTCCCGAGTTGCTGGGACTACAAGCACTGCCACCATGCTCAGCTAAGAGGCATGCCACTACTTCCCTTCCCACTCCTTGCCACCTGCACCTTCTGACTCACTCTAGTTGAAAGCCCTGGGGGAAGGAACAAACTCTGCAGCCTGACTGCTGTGTTTAATCCCAGCTCTCCTCTACTAGCTGGCAAGTCACTTAACCTCTCTGTGCTTCAGCTTTCTTATCTGTAAAGTGGGAATGAGAACTATACTTCCCACATCATGTAAAGCCCTGGTATTCTGGCCTTGTAAAATAGGAACTAGTGGTCCCAAAACAGCAGTGTGCTGGTAAAAGTTTAGCAACCAGCCCTTGCAGTCAGGACCCTGACTTGTAGCATCTATTCCCTTGAGTGTTAATATTGTCACCTTGGCTTATTTTATCCTGTCAATGTCTCTGAATGCTGAGCTGGGAAAAGATGCTAACAATTAGCCTTCCAGAGCCTAAGGGCTCCACCTACCGTCAAAGGCATCTTTAGTCGATGGCATGTGAGGAGTCAAGCTTCCTGACCTACTAGCCAGTCTCCAACTTAATATGGCTCAGACTTACATCGCTTTTCTTGAGTGACTGGTTCCTACTGGGGACACATTCTTTGTCACCACTAAAGGATTCTTCTTCACCCAAACTTTCCCTTTTACTTCGCCACCACATTCTGCTGTTTTCTGTTCCTTTGCCACTCCCTTCCTGACCACTACTTCCCTTCCCACTCCTTGCCACCTGCACCTTCTGACTCACTCTAGTTGAAAGCCCTGGGGGAAGGAACAAACTCTGCAGCCTGACTGCTGTGTTTAATCCCAGCTCTCCTCTACTAGCTGGCAAGTCACTTAACCTCTCTGTGCTTCAGCTTTCTTATCTGTAAAGTGGGAATGAGAATTATACTTCCCACATCATGTAAAGCCCTGGTATTCTGGCCTTGTAAATGTCAGCTCCTAGTAGCATTCTTTACTCCTGGGCATCCTTGGCTGTCTAAGCATCCCCAATTACTCCTTCCCTGTGCCTGTCCCAATGGTGCCATAAGAACGCCAGGACCCCTGGCCCCCACAACTGCCCCATTGTCCTATTTGGCTCCCCCTGAGTAGCCATGAGGTCACTCCCAGTCTCCCCACTGTCCACCACTGTCCACCTTTCCCCAATGTCCACAGCCACCCACACTCCCATATGCCTCAGCCCACTCCTCTTAGTAGATGTGACAGGCTTTTTGCCTTCATGAAAACAAGAGCGTGAAGGACACAGGCCTTCTCGGGGCGAGGCCGAGAGCTGCTTCACCACATTGTTACTCTTGCACCCCACTGTTTCAGGTCAGGTTACTTTATCCTGCTCCTTTCCATGTGGCCCAAGGTGATCACCTTGGTTTATGCAAGGTGTAATGATAGGAGATTTTCTTTTCTTCTTTTTAAAAGAACTTAAAAAAAACCTTATTACAGCTTATAAAATATATTTGGGCACCCCTCCCCAAAGGCTTAAAACTTTCACATATCCTTGGCTAAATTGTGAACGTGGACTATGTGGGATTGGCCAGGGGCAGGCTGGAATTTGCTGAAGGAACTACCTGTCATACCAGTTCCCTTTTAGCTTATCTAATCACTCCATTTCATCCAGACTGAGATAGATGGCTCACATTTTTGTTGTTATTGTTTTCTGTAATCCTTGGGTAAATTTTTTTTCCCCCACTAGGAAGAGAATTGAGTTTGGTCGGCCCTTTCCCAGGACTGAACATGAAGAGTTATGCCGGCTTCCTCACCGTGAATAAGACTTACAACAGCAACCTCTTCTTCTGGTTCTTCCCAGCTCAGGTAGGTGCCCAACAGAAAGAACACCAGTGTTCAAGACCTGGCTTGCCGTTTGAGGGTAGAAATGTTAGCCTACCGAGCTACAGGTCTTTAAAAAAAAATCTCATAGATTTTTTCTAAAAATAAGATTTTTGTTTTTCTAAAAATAAGCAAACCTGCATGGTGTTCCTATTTATGGGCAGGAAACAAATGTTTTCTGCGGGAGTGGGAAGTGTCCAACTTCTAAATTTCTTGCAGCCTTATTTGGAGTGTTAATACTACCACCTTCTTCCTGCCACAGTCTTCTTCCTATCATTTTGTTGTATTTTTGTTCTAAAAATACTTAGGGCAGGGATGGGTCAGGGGAGCCCAAGGAGGATAGGAAGTAAGGAGATTCCTGAAGTGAACAGGTAATGCGTGGCTAAGTATGTTTATATCTAGTCAGCCATGGCCTTGTATAGCTGCGCTGTCTGTGGACTCCTTCATGCACTCAGTACCCACTTATTGAGCATATTCTGTTCTGTGGGGGCCACAGAGGAGACAGAACTGAACTCAGACTCTATGGATCTTTAGAAGATTGGGAGGATTGCCGATCTAGGAAGGCTTCTGGCAGGAAAGGCCATCACTTTCCCAAATCTCTATAGACAGAGGTGGGTATGTTTTTCTACTTCACCAATCCTATGTAGTTCACCTCTAGATTATGCCATTCTTCTGTATGAACAAGACATTTTTAGCTTAGAGGTGCTGTTGCGGGTATTGCTGGAAGCGCTGAGAAGCAAATCTTATTCCACTGCAGAGTAATTTTCTGTTTTCATCCTCCAAATTGGATTTGTTTTACAGGCTAGAGAAAGCAAAGAAAAAGCTATCCCTATGGAGGGTGTTATTTATATTTTCATGTGATTTGCATATAGCTGGGTTGCATCTGTAGTAACTGAGTAAATTGCTTGGTCCAGGGTGGTTTTCAAGTTACGTTGTTTCTCCTGGTACTATTGAGTTATATTTTCTTGACTTTTCTTTCCTGCTCTCTCAACTACATGGCCTCTGACATAGTTCACCCCAAAGCAGCCTGTGGTGGGATGTGGTCAGGTTGGGGCATGTAAGAAATGGTGAAAAATTCCAGATCCTTTGTCGTTGGGCTCACAGTAGCCGTCAGCCTGTCGTCTTTTCTGGAAGGCTTTCTTGGCCCCTAGAGAGGGCTTCTTATTTCTTCGTCAGTGTTGTGTTGAGTGAGGCAAGTGAGATGCCTAGAGCTTGCAATGCAAGGAGACACTCACCCTGAGGGTCATACAAGTGCAAGGTCAGCACTGGAGCCTGAGCACCCTCCAGTGTCTTGCTTGGTGCCTCCCATAGGTAGAGCCCAACTGGGAGCCAGGTGGAATCGGGTGGTCTAGCCCATAGGGGTCTGCCTAACAGGGCACAGAGCGGGATGGAGGAGAGTGATAATAGGCCTTCCCAGTCTCTTAAACTTTATGCCTTTCAGAAATATTCTGTATGTGTGCATTTTTTATATCATATCTATTGATGTCATTGAATGCAGTCATTTATCTGCAGTAACTTCTTTATATTAGTTTTCTCTTGCTGCTATAACAAATTGCCACAAACTTAATGTCTTAAAACAACGCACATTTTATTTCACAATTCTGCAGATTAGAAGTCTGACACAGGTCTCCCTGGGCTGAAATCAAGGACCAGTAGGGTTGTGGTACTTCTGGAGGCTCTAAGGGAGAATCTCTTTTCTTGCCTCTTGCAGTGTCTAGAGGCTGCTCGCATTCCTTGGCTTATGGTCCCTTCCTCCAGCTTCAAAGCCTGCAAAGGCAGCCTGAGTCCTTCTCACAGCACATAATCTCCATGGTCATGTTTCCTTCTCTGACTCTTGTCTTCTACCTCTGTCTTCTAAAAGGACTCTTATGATGACATTTGGGCCACCTGGATAATCCAGGATAATCTCCCTATTTTAAGGCCAGTTGATTAGCAACTTTAATTCCATCTGCAACCTGAATTCTCTTTTGCCCTCTAACCTAACATATTCTAGGAATTAAGACACTAACATCTTTAGGGAGTTATTATTCTGTACAAAATGGATACTTGAACATTTGCCTAGATTATTGAGTCTCGATATGTTTTCTCTCAGGGATTCTCACATGTTATTGCATACAAGAATTCTCTGACTTCCCCCAGAGATTCTGACTTGTAAATTGGCAGAAGCCAGCAGGTTGCAGAATTACCAAGTGAACCATTCTCTGTGAAACCACTCCAGCCTATGGGCCACTACCCTCTGCCTGAAGCTCCTGGCTGAAAAGTGACCAACACGCCTTTTACCAGAAAGAAATGCCTACAGCAGCCAAACCCAGACAGAGGTGATGTGTTTCCCATGTTGAGGGTTGAAATGAGGGGAGTGAAGAGACCTGTGCAGCCTGTGGAGGTTGGCTTCCCTAATCCAGCTTGCGGATTCTCTAAGAACTGTTAGGACTGCTTCCCCATCTTCTTTCCACTCTAGTCCTCCTCCCCCACTCTAGCTGGAGAACTCCAATTCCTTACTTTCCCTTCTGCTTTGTTACTTGTTTTTGACACCAGTCAGTTCCTTGTTACCCTCTGAATGTTGAGTCTTCTTTGGTAATGATCCAGATTTGTAAAAACAGGAACTAAGGGTGAGAGAAGAGATCAGATGGAAACAAAGCAAAAACCCAGTTTTTTTCTTTCTCAGGTTGCCTCTGGGCAGGTGAACAGCTATGTCTAGAATGTAGGTGGTGCTTTGGCACCGTAAACCTGTTCATGGAAAGGAATTTAGTTTGCATGCTCTACTGGTTGCCAGACTGAAGTCTGAAAACCCCCTTCATTAAACAATGACTGGACTGTTGGTTTTTGCTTTTTCCCCTTAATTAAATGAAAACCTAGCTGTGCATCCCCTGACCAGGTTATGTTCTTTTGAGTCCAGTACTGTAGCCATAAACACAACCTAAGATGATCCCAGGAGACACAACGGGAAAGAATGTCTTTAAGTGTACATGGTGTTCTGGTGAGAGTGATAGATGAAGCTTCGGGAGAAGAGGGGCAGAGATGAAAAAACGGTACCCACAGATGGGTACCACCATGTGGCAGCCAAGATAGATTGTTCCAAGAACCTCTTACCAGGAAGCCCACATGCAGAGCCAGATATCTGAGGCTTCTGGCTATAAATTATGGAGTCACACCAGTTTGGGTGAAGGAGATAAAGCAGGTGTGACAAGAAGAAGCAGTGGTCACTGAGACACATTTGGCAGAGATATTAGTTCATTGTCTGTCATAGGGAAGCAGCTGATATTGTCACCAGGGGAGAAATGACCCCTTTAAAAAACTGAAGGTAGAGAAAATAAGAGATCCAGGAAGGATGGCACACTTGTCATATCCTCTGAGTATTTTTTGGGGGGATGCTGTTTCTTAAATTAGTTTTGTTTTCCTGTTATTGCTGTGAGACTGCCCTGTTATTGTATACAAATCAGTGCAGAATAAATTCCAGAACTTGAAATTGGTGTGCAGTGGGAATACAACCTGCAAGAGAAAGGAGTAGGCATTTTGCATGGGATAAAAAGTATAAGGAAACTAGCAGAAATGTAGCAGTTATAGCTGCTGGTAATTGAACACTGACTATGTGCTAGGCACTGTGCATTTTCTTATCTAATCCTTACCTGAACCCCATGAGGAAGGAATTGTTATCCTCATTTTATAGATGAAGAGATTAAATAATCAGCCCCAAGTTACTCAACTAGAAATTGGCAGAACTGGAATATAAAATTAGGCCTCCGATGTGGAAATCCTTGAGCTTGGCCGTCATGTGTTAGATCCAGAGAAAACGAGTCATGGAAGGCACTTGAGTATAGTGGCCAAGACTACAGTCTCTTCGGTAAGTCAGGCTTGGATAGAAATCTTGGCTTCGCTGCTTAAGCTAAAGGTGACCTTGGGGAATTTCTTAGTGTCTCTGAGCACTGGTTTCCTCATTTTAAAATGGGGACCAAAATACCTACTTGGCAATGGTTTTGAGACAGAAGAGATAATAAGGGAAAGCATTAGAGTGGCACCTAAAACATAGTAACTATAGTTGCTATTGTCATTATTTCATTATGATTACGATTATTATGGTTATTATTACTTTTAAAATTATTAACACAAATAATGTCAAGAACTAAACCAGTCACAATTTGAGAGGTTACAGATGACAGCAAATAGAGGGAAATTGTAAATTAGAAGGACCTGAACCCCAGCCATCAAGGTGGATTAATTGCTACCAGGTCAGGAAATTACTAAGTGAAATTGGGATTTTTTTGCACTGAAGAAGATAAAAAAGACATAGAGATTATTACTCTTTAAAGTCAGCATCCTTCTCATTGGAAAAAAAATAGCTAGTATTGGACTTTGCCTTATAGATGTAGGAACATAGATAATTCATTGGACACATTTAGCCAAAACCTGCAGATCAGTTACCTCAAATGCCATGGAGCCAAAACCTGGGGCATTTAGAGTCAGGCCTAGGCCCCTTCACGGAGGACCCCACCTTGATCCTCAGGCCAAGAGGAAAGGCCCAGATTCCTGGATTTGAGAATCTAGTGTCTATGAAAGATCAGGATTACACTGCTGAGGCCCGTGAGGTGCTGGGGCAACCTACAGGAAGGGCTCCCTCTCAGGATCCTGCAGGCTGGGCCCTGCTGAATCAGATACTAGGATGATCAGATAGCACAATCAGCAGTCAATTGGAGAGAAAATGAACCGCTCTAATGCTCCTGGTCCAAAACAAAAGGCGTTCTCTCTGGCAGTAGAAGAGCATGTCCCAGAGGTGCCTGGAAGCCAACAGAACAGCCCTTCCTGG
Source organism: Homo sapiens (assembly GCF_000001405.40). Lineage (NCBI taxonomy): Eukaryota > Metazoa > Chordata > Mammalia > Primates > Hominidae > Homo > Homo sapiens. The sequence goes on along the minus strand of NC_000007.14, from coordinate 29,107,887 downwards.
GGGTGAAGGCGTGGAATCAGGCCCCACCATACTTCAGCATGGTGCCATGTACACTCCCTCATCTGCACATCTGAACTTCTCCAGTAACACAGTTAATGTGGAAGAGGACAGGAATTCCCAAATGTGCTACTGCTCACCAGAAATACCTGGAGAGCTTTGGAAATATGACAGATCTCCCAGCTCATTGTCTAGCTGCACCCAGCAGAGATTCTGATTCTGCAGATCTGGAGAGGGCCCAGGGATCAGTGTTTGTAATGTGCTCCACAGTGGTCCCAGTGCAGCCAGTCAATGGGCTGGAATTTGGGAAAAGAGATCTAGAGGTTTGGATACAGGGATTCTAATTCCAAGTCTGCGATTCCCGGCTGTATAACTTGGGAGATGGCATTCGTATTCTCTGGGCCTCAGTTCTCTCATTTAGAAATAAAGATGTTAAACCTAGTGGATTGCTAAGGCTCCATCCCAGCATTACATTCTGTGGTTCTATAGTTAAGTATAAAAATATCCAGTAACTCCAAATCAGGATGTGGATTGAATGAAGGAGCCCTTGAACGTGTGGCCTGTGTGGTAGCCAGCCTTCAGGCTAGTTCCCAGTGCTCTTCATTCATCCCTTGGTGTATGTGCCCTTGGGCAGTCCCCTCCCATACTGAATCAAGGCTGGCTTTGTGACCAACATGCTAGCAGAAATGATGATGTTTGACTTCCACGGCTACCTTATAAAGGGCAATATTACTTGTGCCTTGGTCTCTTGAATCTTTCAGTCTGAGGAAAGGATGCCATGTTGGGAGGGCACTCAAACAGCCCCATGGCTGAGCCTCTGTGGAGAGGAAGTGAGGCCTCCACCCTCCAGTGGGTACCAACCTTGGAAGAGGTTCATCTAGTACCAGTCAATCCTTCTGATGACTGCAGCTCTGGCTGATTCCTTGACCACAGTTTATGGGAGACCCTGTGCCAGAACTGCCCAGCCAGACACCCTCAAATTTCTGACCCACAGGAATCCCGAGAGATCAAAAATTATTATTGTTGTCTTAAGCCATTAAGTTTTGGAGAGATGTTGTGCGGCATTAGATAACTAACATAGCTTCTTGTCTTGTACTTCTAGGCTGTGGCTGTGAGATCTTGTGACAACTAGCATATACTCCCTGCCTGGGGGAAGGATGAGGACATAAGGAGTGGGGATTACTATGCGAGCTACTTTTAATTTTTGTTTTTTTTTGCCTCTCAGCTCCAATTCTACCCTCTTCCCTGTTCTGCCATAGTAGAGCTCTCAGCATTTCTCCTTTGCAGCAAGCACAATATTAAGCTTTGTCAGTAGAGGGTGCTGGAGAGACATTGCAGGAGGAATTTGTCTTCTCTTTCTGTGCCTATGTCCTGCCTTTGGCTTTTTCTTGGCCCCACTGCCTAGTCTGTCAGCAGTGTGTTGAGGTGGGGGGTGGGGACATCCAGTGACACTCTGCCTTAGCTATGCACCCAGACCACCAAGACTCTTAGCAAGATGATATCCCTGGCTCTGTCCAGGTGATCACCTGGCTGTGGCCCTCCCAGTATGAACACAATATACCCTAGGCCTTGCCGGTGAGCAGGCTCCCTACAGCCCTGCTCTCTCTGCAGCCCTCTCACTAGCCTTGGCCATTTGCACCCCAGAGGGTCGTTCCCTTGTCCCTCCCAGTGTGGACACCGTGTGCTCCAGGCTGTGTGCAACCTTTCAGGCAAGCAGGCTCCCAGCCTCCTGAGTCTCTCTGTGTCCACCTGCCAGTCACAGCCCACCTGTTCCTATTTACCCAAGGATGGTTGACCAGCTTTGGACCAGGGTACTCAGTGAACTTCTCAGCTACTCAGAAGGCTGCAACCATACCTTCTCCACCGAGGTCTGGACAGCAGCCTTGGGAAGGGTCCCCTCCCTAACTTATGGGCTTGTCCATCTGTGAGCACTCTCCCTAGCCCAGGGCATTCTTTGGAATTCTCTTTGTATATGTATGTTTAGTTCTCTGTAATAATGAATACTTCTAGGTATTAACATTTCCTTGTTCCTTAGTGGACATAGGAAGCCTACCCAGCATTCTGGTCTTTGGCCAACACTGAGGATGTGGCTGTGGGAGAACAGGCCCCTCTGGTGTTTCATCTTCACTTTTGCCCAAGGGTGTCTGTGATACCCATGGCTGGCTGGGGCCAGAGTAAACACTGGAACTTGTAACAGAATTAAAGGTGAATGTTTCCAAGTAAAAAAATAAATTAAATAAAAAATTAAAATGACTCTGTGGTTTTTGACTTCTGATTGGGCCTTAACTGATGCAGGTACCATTCTAAATCTTTCTCCAGCCCTGAGACACCAAGGGCTGGACATGTGGTCTGGCCTAAGGAACGAGTAATAGAAAAGCCTCGGGAGGAAAGGCAGTCAGTCTTTCTGTCTCAGCCCTATTCTGTCTGAGACCACAGGATTCCCTCATCTGTGCTTCATTCTTCTCCCTTGACAGATCAACATGCTTTGCTTCTCCAGGCACTCGGCCAAGTATGGCCAACCTTTCATTTCCAAGTTTACCTGTCCTTGCATCATGTAGCCAGCAGAGATTAACTAGCACCCATGGCTGCCACAGTCTGGATCACGTCTTCTTCCTTGGTCCAGTCAGCTGAGACTGAAGGTGCTGGGTATTAGCCATGATATAAACATGGCTAGCAGGCTAGCCATGGATGAATGGAGACTCATTTCTTAGAGAAGGGGACATGGACTGGACAGATTTATTAAAATATATCTCAAAATGTATCTAACACAGGTGGATACAAATCCACCAGCAGTGCAACAAAGATTTGGAGATCACAGATAATTGTCTTCTTCAAACTGACTCTATTTATCTTCTCTTTGCTACGTACTTAATGGCATCAGAGATATAGAAGAATAGAGGGTGTCAGAGACAAAATAAAAAGAAAGTAGCTTAAGGTGATGTTATAGATCACCACCCATAGGTATAGGTATATTTGAACACTCTGCAGAAACTTTTGCATGCCTGATTTCCTTTGTGGAAATGAAATAACATAGAGAGAAAGTAACTAACTTTTGCATCAAGAAGGGAAAGTAAGGTGTCTTCTCCACACCTCCCTGCATCCGCCCACTTCCCTATTCCTTATAAAGTATAACTTTCTGGCAGGAGGCACAAAGAGAATAGCCATAACTATCTCATGAAGGAATGAGCCAGGTAGAAAGGTTAGGAAGGAGAAAGTTAGGATTCTAATGGGGTGTAAGCTGGTACAAATCAATGAGACAAGCCAAAACTTGATGAGAGTCAGGAGCTTCGGAATGATGCAAGAAGGCCTCAAAACAAAAAAAGATTTTGAGGCTGGGTGCAGTGGCTCATGCCTATAATCCCAGTACGTTGGGAGGCCAAAGCAGGTGGATCACTTGAGGTCAGAAGTTCGAGACCAGCCTGGCCAACATGGTGCAACCCCGTCTCTAATAAAAATACAAAAATTAGCCAGGGGCTGTGGCAGGTACCTGTAATCCCAGCCACTCCAGAGGCTGAGGCAGGAGAATCGCTTGCACTGGGAAGGTGGAGGTTGCAGTGAGCCAAGTCGTGCCATTGCACTCCAGCCTGGGTAACAAGAGTGAGACTCCATCTCAAAAACAAAAAACAAAAAAGATTTTGAAAAAATTAATTTTCTGTATGATGGTGCCATGGCAGCAGTCATAGTAAAGGAAGATTTGGTGAGTAGTCAACACCAACCACTTGAAATAAAATTTCTTTGAAAAACATGAATGTCTTTAGCAACTTGTGTGTATGTGTTGAGTGTGTGTGTGTAGAATTAAAATGTTATGTACCTATTTAACAATTCTAGTCACAAAATTAATTGCTTTAAATAAAAAGCTCTGCCTTGATTAATACCATTAGTGTAGCAGCTAAAGTATTAGCTGAACTGGGATCTGTATGGCAAAATGGGAGTCCATTTAAACATACTTGTGGGAATTTAAAGACATTTACTTGGGGTACTAATGACTTCAATTAAGGTAGAACACATTACTTAAACCAAGCAAATGATCAGCCTCTGCATATAGAAGTGTGAAGAGGGCCTTAATTAATTTACTAATTGCACTTCTCATCTTAAGCAGTGCCATTGATTTGGATCTGTTAGTGGTTTAGTTGCTGTTTTCTCTAACCAAGCGTGGCATTCCTTATTGGAGATAGGAAGAAAGGGGTGCTAGGGATATGTAACCAGTCCTGAAGATTGGCAGATGCCTGTCTACTTTAAGTGACTTTCCGGTCCAAAATGTTGCCCTAACACTTGTTGAGATTCCTAAAATTTCCAAGGGTCACTCCAATAAAGTCCTCTTATAAAACACAATCATGAGGCTGGGTGTGGTGGCTCATGCCTGTAATCCCAGCACTTTGGGAGGCCGAGGCAGGCAGATCATGAGGTTAAGAGTTCGAGACCAGCCTCACCAACATGGTGAAACCCCATCTCTACTAAAAATACAAAAAAAAAAAAAAATAGCTGAGCATGGTGGTGCACACCTCTAATCCCAGCTACTCAGGAGGCTGAGGCAGGATAATCACTTGAACCTGGGAGGTGGAGGTTGCAGTGAACTGAGATCACGCTATTGCACTCCAGCATGGGCGACAGAGCAAGCCTCCATCTCAAAAAAAAAAAAAAACAAAACAACAATTATGTTTCTTAAAAGTACTGAAATTGGCAAGTTTTTAGCACCCCCCCCCCCCCCCCAGTATATTAACTTACTGTTTCAGTGATAGGCATATGGTCTGAGCAGAAGGTTATCTCTATTCTCTCTTTCTCTCTGATGCAAAGGAGGGCCTGGGGGATAAGGGCTGATGGAAGATGAGGGTGGAAAGGAAGACTCAGGGCAAAGGTGATGCTGTCCAGGGAGGGTATATCAATCTGGGGAACAATAGGGCAGACAGGATTTAGTACTAGTTTTGTTTCAATGAGTTTCACTTTCTTTGAATGACATTCCATTAAGACATGGAGTAGATTTTTCATCATCATTGTGAATAAGCAATGGAATTTGCTAATGTGAGAAATTGTGAAATTCCTTTTTGTAGAGATTCTGGCAGAATAGATAACTTCTCTCTTTCTGGGCCGTTCCTTCTGGAAGAAACCCTGAGGAAAGAGTGTCCAAGTTCATGGGTTGGTCACCAGGGGTCGCCAGAAGAATCGAAAGGGCTTCTGAGGCAAAGCCATAGTTGCTTCTTGTGCTCCAATAAAGGGCCCAGGTTTGTGGGACCCGCGGGCCGACCCTCTTCTGTTGCTAGGGAGACTTCTCACTTAAGTATTTAGGATTCCTTTGTTCTTTCTTTAATATTTAGAACTTTTTTGTCCGTTCCCTTTTAATCATCAGTTCTTGCTGCAGGACTTTGACCTTTAAGTCATTAGTAGAGGTTTTATTTTCTTCTTAAATATGTAGTATGAGGGAATTACTCATATTTTAGATCTCAGCTCAAATGTTACCCTACCACCAGAGGCCTTCTTTAAGTACTTAATCTAGTGTCTCTCCATTCCTCTTTCATATCACTCATTTATTTAGTTGCTTGTTTACTGTCTTCCCACACCAGCAGAAAAATCATCAGAGCTGACACTTAAATAGATGTGCCAGGCACTGTTCTCAGTGCTGTGCATATATCGACTCTAAAACTGCATGAAAACCTTAGGAGACAGACATTAATAGTATCCATATTTTCAATCAGAGGACGCTGAAACACAGAGGAGTTAAGTAACTTGCCCAAGGTCACAGAGCTACAAAATAGCATAGCTGGAATTCAAACCTTGGCATTCTGGCTCCAGAATCCATGCTCGTAACTATAAAGTATTCTGCCTGCTCATGGGTAGGAGTTGGTCTGCATCCACAGCCTTAGACAATCCCTGTGAGTAGTTGGCGTTGTATGTTAAATGAATTAATACATTGTGGTAAATTCGTAGAGTGCATACTGTTGAGCAAAATAATGATATGTATTGATATAAAGAGATCTTCACAACATATTGTTAAGTGAATAAGCATATATAGAGTATAGCCTGGTTCTATTTTTGGAAAAAAAACGTGTGTATGTATATTGCATATATAATAGCTATAGGATATGTCTATATGTGTATGTGTAGAGGAGGACCATAGAGAAAAATCTGGAAGGGTAAACATAAGCATCTCCATGATCATCTCTAGGAAGTAGAATTTGTCGGGGAAGAGGGGCTGTTAAAAATACCTTCACTGAAGAAAAAAAAAAACCTTTAGTTAAGAATAAGTACTGTTTTTATAATAGAAAAAGTTTTAAGAAAAATTTTAAAGCTTTTTTTGTTTTGAGACGGAGTCTCGCTCTGTCGCCCAGGCTGGAGTGCAGTGGCGCTATTTTGGCTCACTGCAAGCTCCGCCTCCCGGGTTCACGCCATTCTTCTGCCTCAGCCTCCCAAGTAACTGGGACTACAGGCGCCCGCCACCACGCCCAGCTAATTTTTTGTATTTAGAGACGGGGTTTCACCGTGTTAGCAAGGATGGTTTCGATCTCCTGACCTCGTGATCCACCCGCCTCAGCCTCCCAAAGTGCTGGGATTATAGGCATGAGCCACCGCGCCCAGCCACATTTTAAAGCTTTTGAAAAAAATAAATGCATTAATTGTCTTGCTTCATACACTCTTGAATTACAACTTCAATATGGTAAATGTTTTTAAATTCCTGAATTTTGTAATGCTGTAAATGAACTAAAGTGGTCATTTCTTCATTCGGTCTTAAGTATTGCAATGTGGTTTTGTTCAGGAAGTCTTTTATTCTTTCCAAAGTTGAGAGTTGGCTAAAGGCTGCATTCTCACAATTGACAGCTGAATATATCACCCTAAGGATTGTCACATAATAACCTCATGCCATTACTGTGGACATAATTAATATTATACTGCATATCATGACATTTGATGCCATATTATATTACAAAAGTCTGCATGCTGTGACACAACTGACTCTTGGGGTTTTGGCATTGAACACATATACTTTTATTTTCCAGATCTGACTTTTATGTTTTATTACAGATAAGGGTGACATTAGTTCACAGGTTGGTTGGCCCATCAAAGTAGAAAGATGTATGTGTGGGCTTTTCTTTAAAAACAGGCTTCTTCCAGGGTTATTGAGCCTCATTCACCTCCTCCAGGAAAGTAAATCAGGAGCAAGGTCAGCTGAGGCTGGAGGTGTGTACACAGATCTTGTTATTTAAGCATTCCAAGAATGCAGTGTCCTGTGCTTCAAAGTTGCATAATAAAGATATTTGGCACTGAGGTGTTTGACTTGACTTTGTAGTGTGGGCTCTCAGGGTCAGGCTATTTTTCTGAGTCCAGAGGTCCGGTTCATTGTGCCAGGTCACAGGAAGGGACATGGAAGGCCAAGGGAGGATAGGGTGGAGGATAGGGGAGGACAGGCTGGAGACCAGAGGCCTGAGATATTTAGAGGGCAAACTCTCCATCCACCTTCAGACCCTTGGCGCCGCCTGCACATTAGAACCACCTGGGAGCTTTTGAGAAAGACTGATGAGGCCTCCTCCCCACAGACCAATGGAATTGGAATCTCTGGGATTTGGGCCTAGGCAGTAGTATAAAAATACTACTCTCCAAAAGAGAAAAGCTCTCCAAAATGTTTTAATGAGCACATTGCAGCTTCTGGGAGTTCACATGTAGTTTAGGAAGGAAGTGGGGCTGGATATCCGCTGGAATCAGTTGGACTCGCAGCATCTCACACTCCCTGGGAGGCTGGGAAGAGCAGGGGCTACCTTCCACCCAGATCCCATTGTTTTTCTACCTCTCATATGTGTAATTTGCTCCTACTGCTGAGTGAATACAAGTGGAAGGCAGTACTGGTGAGTGGATCTGAGAGGAGATAAAAATCACTTATTTAAACAAAACACAGCTCCACAGGCAGGTTGGGGCAGAGCTGGTTATTTTTATTCAGCACATTGGAGTTTACAGCATCATTTCATGTACATTTGCTCCTCAGAGCCTTCAGGCAATCCTGTGAGGCAGGCATTATGGTCATTTGACAGACGAGGAAACTGAGGGCCAGGATGGCACAGCTGTTATGTGGCCAACTGGAACCACAGCCTGTCTGGCTCCCAATTCCACGGCTCACTCTGCTTCCAAGCAGCAGCTTAAAAAGGCTGTCATTGATTTTCATTTTTTCTGCTTTGACTTATTATTATTATTATTTGAGACAGAATCTTGTTCTGTTGCCCAGGCTGAAGTGTAGTGGCATGATCTCGGCTCACTGCAACCTCTGCCTCCCAGGTTCAGGTGATTCTCCTGCCTCAGCCTCTAAAGTAGCTAGGATTACAGGCATCTGCCACCATGCCCAGCTAATTTTTGTATTTTTAGTAGAGATGCGGTTTCACCATATTGGCCAGGCTGGTCTCGAACTCCTGACCTCAGGTGATCTTGCTGCCTCGGCCTCCCAAAGTGCTGGGATCATAGGCATGCGCCACCATACCCAGCCTCTGCTTTGACTTATAAAACAAAACCCTCATTCTGTTGACTTGTTCATAGACATTTGAACACTTGAGGCAGGGGGAATAACTAGTAAAACTGATCAGGGAAGTTGTGGGCTACAGGAGCGAGAATAAAACCACCACACAGCCCACTTTCCTATTCTGTCATTTACAGATAGATTGTGTTCAAGCCATCTACAAATTCCTCGTGATTATCTATTATAGCAATAGCTAATATTTGGAGAACACATACTATACAGCTGAGGTTTATGAAAAGGAATTCATTTAATCCTCCCAGCAAGCATACAGTGTAGCTACTATTATTGATCTTTTTTCAATTTTTATTTTATTTATTATTATTATTATTTTTTTGAGACGGAGTTTCACTCTTGTTGCCCAGGCTGGAGTGCAATGGCGCAATCTTGGCTCACCGCAATGACCGCCTCCTGGGTTCAAGCGATTCTCCTGCCTTAGCCTCCCAAGTAGCTGGTATTACAGACACGTGCCACTAGGCCCAGCTAATTTTTTTGTATTTTTAGTAGAGATGGGGTTTCTCCATGTTGGTCAGGCTGGTCTCGAACTCTTGACCTCTGGTGATCCGCCCGCCTCGACCTCCCAAAGTGCTGGGATTACAGGCACGAGCCACCGTGCCTGGCCTATTGATCCCATTTTTATAGGTGGGGAAACTGAGATCCAGAGAGCTTAGGCAACTTGCCAAAAGTTACACACTGGTGGGTAGTAAAGCCTAGATTTGAATTCAAACAGTTTGGGGCAAGAGCTTCCATGCTTATTTGTTATATAATACCGCGCTGACCCCTGGAGCTTCAGGCTGCTCATCAGAGGCCTCAGTCGGACTCTTGGCTTCTACCATTTCTACCTGTTTCCTTAGTCATAATAATCATTTATATTTATTGTGCTTTTATCATACATTAGGCATTGTTCGAAGGGCTTTAATTATGTTGCTTAATTTGTTAACACTCAAGAATGAGCCCGAGAGGTGGCGCCTCATAGGAGGGGTGTGCCCCAGCTCATGGCCATTCTTCCCAGCACCTATCTTGTAGCAGGTCCCCCTGGGCCCCTTTCCAAAGCCGTGAAGGACTCTATCAGGCTCTTGGTGACTGGGAAAGTTCCTCTGTGCCCTCTGTGGCCATGGTTAGAACTCTGCTCAGCTCTTCCTGCAGGTCTTGGCGGTGGCATCCCAGTCACCTTCTCTTGAGTCAGTCTTGCCTTCTGCCTCAGCCTTCTCCCGCCATCCAGGTCAATGGAACGCATCCACTCAGACCTTCCAACAACACCTTGATTTGTCTGTATAGCCAGGCCAAGTCAGAGGTGGTGGGATTTTATTCTGGGCTGAAGCCAGGGGATCCTTGCTGACTAACCATCCAACGAGCCATGCCATCATGCAAGGGCCCACTGTTAGGTCCTGCTAGAAGCCAAGCAGGGGAGCCAAGTAGAGCTTTTTCAGGTGGTTCTGGGGGATTCGCCTGGCGACTGTGCCTTCCTCCCTTTCTAAGTCTGTTCTGGTGAGAGGGTTTCCCTTGTCATTTCCCTTGTGCACAGCTCTGCTGTCTGGCTCTGCTCCTGGCTGGATCCTTCTCAGCTTTCAGGGCTCAGGGCAGCGCTCAGACCTCATTGAAGCCTTCGCTAATCACCTTCTCCTTTTCAGCCTCCAATGACTCTTAAATCACCCATATTTCCTTTTCACACTCTCCAATCATTGTCTTTAATTATTTATTTATTTGAGACAGAGTTTCACTCTTGTTGCCCAGGCTTGAGTACAGTGGTGCTATCTCAGCTCACTGCAACCTCTGCCTCCCTGGTTCAAGGGATTCTTCTGCCTCAGCCTCCCAAGTAGCTGGGATTACAGGTACCCGCCATCACGCCCAGCTAATTTTTTGTATTTTTAGTGGAGATGGGGTTTTGCCATGTTGGTCAGGCTAGTCTTGAACTCCCGAACTAAGGTGATCCACCCGCCTTGGCCTCCCAAAGTGCTGGGATTACAGGCATGAGTCACCGCTCCCAGCCTTGTCTTTATTTCTTACTTACTGCCTATATTGCCCATGCAATTCTAAGTTCCAAGAGGACATGCGTTTTCTTCTTCACTCAGTGTTCTGTGTACTTAGCTCCCGGCGCTATGCCTGGCCCATAATGGGTGCTCAATAAATACACATTGAATGAAATAGTTGAAAAGGTCTCTGTCATTGAAGGTGATGGTATTGACACTACGGCCAGTAGCTCATTTTCAACATCACCGCCCTGCCAATACCCTTTTCTAGTTTATGTCTCCCACATCTCCTAAATAAATCTGTACCTTGTTCAGGGTTTTGTCGTTGTTATTTGCGTTGGCTAAAGGCCCCTGGGGCTGTCTGCTCCTCCTCATTTTTCCACCATGTTGAATGAAGTTGTCCTGGTCCCTATGGACACATTCTTTTTTTTTTTTTTTTTTTTTTTTTGAGACAGAGTCTCGCTCTGTCACCCAGGCTGGAGTGCAGTGGTGCAATCTTGGCTCACTGCAACCTCCGTCTCCAGGGTTTGAGCGAGTCTCCTGTCTCTGCCTCCCAAGTAGCTCGGATTACAGGCATGTGCCACCACGCCTGGCTAACTTTTTGTATTTTTAGTAGAGACAGGGTTTCACTATGTTGGCCAGGCTGGTCTTGAACTCCTGACCCCAGGTGATCTGCCTGCCTCGGCCTCCCAAAGTGCTGGGATTACAGGCGTGAGCCACCGCGACCAGCTGTGAACACGTTCTTAGTGAGTAAAATCAGAAAGGCGTTTGGGCTCTCAGTGCAGAAGGGAAGGTGTCACTGAGAATGGATTCTTTGTTGTGCCTCTGTTGGGAATATGTGTGTTAAATGGAAGAGTCCCAAATTTTAGTTTAAACAGCTAAAAATATATAACCATGCCCCAGGCAGTATGCTAGATGTCTGGCAGCATGCACAAGCCAAGCATCTACATTTAAGGAGCTTTCTGTCTCTTGTTGGGAAAAGACTTGACTGCATGATAAGAAGACACCAGCATATGAGGCACAGCCTCATTCAAAGAACCAAAGATGATCAGTACTTTGCTCATAGTGGAGAGTGGTTACTGAGGTCTGGGGAGGTTTTGTAGGATTTAGTCACAGCCCTGTAACACAGAGAGGATTTGGGTAAGTTTGCTTGTGTGTGTTCTGTAGCCTTAAGTGAGTGTTCTGTGTGGTCACTGGTTTTACTGTTTCCTCTAGATACAGCCAGAAGATGCCCCAGTAGTTCTCTGGCTACAGGGTGGGCCGGGAGGTTCATCCATGTTTGGACTCTTTGTGGAACATGGGCCTTATGTTGTCACAAGTAACATGACCTGTAAGTATCCCTTGCACTGTATTTCCTATAGAATCTTTCATCTGAGCCTCATACCTGCTCCAAAACTAATTTAGAGTAAACACTGAACCACTATGAATAGCTTAACCGTTCCAGATTATCAAAACACAACTTTCTGGCAATATCCATCCGAGAAGGAGGAGCCTCGGGGTGAGTGTCCTGACTGGGCTGCTTTCTCCCTTGAAATTTGGGTGAAAAGTTCTAATCCGCTTTCTTGCAGTCTGCTGCTGACTCAAGCATTCTGGGTTTGCAAAACAGTTGGTATTTATTACTATTTGGGACAGCTCTTTGCAGTGGACTAATGGGTGGAATTATATTCTTAATTACTCACATGAACTAAACACTTTATGGTTCAGTCACACTCATTATCTGATAACTTGGAAGCAAGACGCTATTCCCGGTGGGGGCTGAGGCGGAGGAAGGATAAAGAAAGAGCAACATCTGGCTGTCACTAAGTTTACCTTCATCTCATTTTGTTTTTTTTTTTTTTTAATTTTGTTTACTTCCCCTGGGTCAGAATTTGGAGTGTGAGCCAGTTTGTGACTCAGTATAAAGGCTTATGTGCCAGTTTTGTTGAAGTAGTTCTGTTCAAGAGATGGAGCATTAAGGATGATTGATTTAATTGGACATATGGATATTATTGCAGAGGTGGTTGGTGGGTGTTTTTTCATGAACCAGCTTTGTTCCAAGCTTTTGCTGGGTTTTGTTTCCAAGCTTTATCTCAGGTGTAGAAACACTCTGGGCTGGGGGAAAGTAAAGGAGAGGAGTGGGGAGGGTAAAGGTGCAGGTGCCTGTTCCCCACCATGAGAGTGTGCAGCACTGTTAGAGGGTACGCCAACAGCTCATGAGGACCGTGGGGTGTGTTGGGCTTCTGACCACCATGAGGCCTCGGTGGAATGCTTGTCCACGACTCTATCTCACCCCTCTTCTTTGTTTTCACAGTGCGTGACAGAGACTTCCCCTGGACCACAACGCTCTCCATGCTTTACATTGACAATCCAGTAAGTCCGGGATGACCCTGTGAGCTGTCAGTGCTGGCGTCTCCTGTCTTTTATTTTTTCCTTTTTATTAAGTACATTTAAAAAATAGATTTCGTTTTTCCTTTTGAAAATAGAATTTAATCTGTAAAATTAAAACCATTTTGAGATTTAGTTTTTCTGTTAACATGTATAATCATATCGGAGTTTGGCAATTTTCCTTGCTGCCTTCTCTCATTTCCTCATTTTTTTTTTTTCTATTGAGATGGAGTCTCGCTCTGTCGCCCAGGCTGGCAGCTCACTGCAACCTCCGCCTCCCCGGTTCAACCTGGTTCTCCTGCCTCAGCCTCCCAAGTAGCTGGGATTACAGGCGTGTGCCACCACACCTGGCTGATTTTTGTATTTTTAGTAGAGATGGGAGCGTGGGGTGGGGGGTGTTCACCATGTTAGCCAGTCTGGTCTCAAACTCCTGACCTTAGGTGATCCACCTGCCTTGGCCTCCCAAAATGATAGGATTACAGGTGTGAGCCACCACGCCTGGCCCATTTCCTTATTTTTAATCCTATGAGATGTCCTGTTCACTGAATTAGGTAACCCAGGAGGAGGAATTCATTTCTTTTCACTAACAGTTTGGGTTCCTTATATCACAGGTTATTATATAGTGTCAGAACTTGTAATCTTTCACAATCGTCTAATCTTTCACATAGAGTTATAGATATAAAAAGTCAAAATGGGTCTCCACTTTTTTTTTTTAATTTTTATTTTTTTGAGATGAATCTCACTCTGTCACCCAGACTGGAGTGCAGTTGCACCATCTCAGCTCACTGCAACCTCCACTTCCCAGGTTGAAGCAATTCTCCTGCCTCAGCCTCCTGAATAGCTGGGATTACAGACTTGCGCCACCATGCCTGGCTAACTTTTGTATTTTTAGTAGAGATGGGATTTCACCATGTTGGCCAGGCTGGTCTTGAACTCCTGACCTCAAGTGATCCGCCCACCTCAGCCTCCCAAAGTGCTGGGATTATAGGCATGAGCTACTGCTCTTGGCCTCCTTCACTTGTTAAGACAAGCAACATGCTTCATCTCTGGACAAAAAGTGATACTCTCCTTGGGGAGGTCTTCTGATATTGGTTCTATTAAGGTGCAAAATAGGAGAGAAACTTAGGGTCAGCTTCTACAGATTTGGAGTATCTTTGCCCTCTTAACTAAAATCTTTAACTTCTCTCACTTTTCAGATGGTCCAAAAGAACACAAATAAAAGCGGAAAAAAATGTCAACATGCTCTTTCCCCCACCTTGTTTTGTCAGCCTTCCATTTTCCTCATCCATAACTGTGTATTTAAGTAAAAGATGAATTAAACATCCTTGGGTGTTTGGAAAACAAAAACACAAAAATCTTTATACCAGATAGGGAGTGCATTCCTTATGCAAATTGTTGACATAAAAATAGTAGCTTCTTCTTTTGAATTTGCAGTTCAGTTTCTTTTGAATTTGCAGTTCAGTTGTCTGTGAACTTCTAGGTTCTAATAAGAAAATATTAGTTTAAAATTAGTCTTAATTATGTTAAAACTCCTTACCTACTGAAGATGAAATGGCTTAATGGCCATATTTCTTGCAAATAAAGACAAGAAGGGGGAGGAGGAGGAGGAAGAAGAAGAAGAGGAAGACAATGTACAACTACCTTTTTCTTCAGCCTAAAGAGTTTCTTTCTTTTTTTTTTTTTTTTTTTTTGGAGACGGAGTCTCGCTTGGTCACCCAGGCTGGAATGCAGTGGCATGATCTCAGCTCACTGCAATCTCCGCCTCCTGGGCTCAGGTGATTCTTATGCCTCAGCCTCCTGAGTAGCTGGGATTACAGGTGCCCGCCATCATGCCCGGCTAATTTTCGTATTTTTAGTAGAAACGGGGTTTCGCCAGGCTGGTCTCAAACTCCTGACCTCAGGTGTTCCGCCCGCCTCAGCCTCCCAAAGTGCTGGGATTACAGAAGTGAGCCACTGCGCCAACCAAGAGTTTCTTCTTGGCAGGACAGAGCCATGCACTCTCCAGGTTTCAGAGAGGAGACAACTTTGGATCTTTTGATACTGTAGCAGGGGATGGAAAAGATGAATCCTTCTTCCTTAAATCAACATCTGGCAGGGTCTCCACTGAGGCACAGGACAGCTCAGCCACTGACCCCAGGGCAAAGCTCTGTGTTGCTGTTTTATTTGGGCTTTAGGGGGTGGAGAGAATAGGTGGCACCTAGCATCCTCCTGGGAGGAGGGCTAAAGGCATAGGGGGGCAACGGCAAAAATCTGAAGTCTGAGCTTGGCCTTTGGAACAAGGTCACCTTCCAGTGTGGGACCTCTCTGCAGGTCCCTAAGGCATGTGTTTCTCTGTGTTTATACCTGCGTGTTTATTTCTCCTGCAGGTGGGCACAGGCTTCAGTTTTACTGATGATACCCACGGATATGCAGTCAATGAGGACGATGTAGCACGGGATTTATACAGGTAAAATGCTCCTGCTTTCTCTTGGCTTTCCTAAGACCAAACATTTTTCTATCTCAATAGGAAAATTATTCTAGTGTTGGAATTTTTATTGACTGAGCCTTATAGTCCAATTCCTGAAGATAATTTAAGGATATTTTCACATCCACACACACAGAGCAGAATTTTTCAATTAAAGATTATTTTTTAAACCTTTCAACCAGACATCTGAAAGGTTTCTACTTGTTTTCCAAATTTGTATTTAACTTTGCATTTGCAGGGAGACAACATCTTTTCAGATATTTGTTTGTTTCTCAGGATTCTTCTTTTCGTGGCTTTTGGATGCAATTTTTTACTTTTTGCTTCTATTTCATGACTTTTCCAGGCTGAAAACTTAGCTTGTTAGTCTCTAGTATTCTCTCTTCTTCTTATGAAAGTTTTGTTTTGCTTAAAAAAAAAAAAAAAAGGAAAAATGTAAAGTTGTAAGTCTGGCCAAACAGTGTCCATATAATTTCTCCCTTTTTTCACTCATATTAATCATTGCTATTTTTAGCATTTTTAAAAAAAAGCAAGTGACCTTTCTTATTTGGTCAGATTTTTCCAGTCTACAAATTATTACTAGAGACCAAGTCCTAGATTCTTTCTGGTCACTAGGGCACCGCTTTATGTATTATAATAATTTACTAAAAGAACCCTAGTGGCCAGAAGGAGTTAACTAGCTCCCTACCCCACACCTCCACCAAGCACTCTGTTAATTACTACCAATCCTCAAAGCGAAAGTGCATCTAATAGGAGTCAGAGTTTGCTGATCTCTGACAAAAGCTTTCCGTTTTACTTTTCTTTCTCTCTGAGGCAGATAGGTGGCCGGGGGGAGAGAAGAAAGAACTACTTCCAAGCCCCTTTCCCAAAGATCTCTCCCTCTGCCCACCCAGAAAAGAATATGGCTGTTGTCTTCTCCACTTTTGTTTGTTTTTCACATGTTCCATGATTCGATCACTTCTATTCAGTTTCTAGGGGGATGCCCAGGGCCCCACACTTCTGCTTCCACATACAGTGGGGTCCTAGGGACATATTTGCCAAGATGCTGACGGGGTGTTCCCCCCAGCACCTCCTCCCCTTCCCTCCACAGACGTAACGGACGGCAGTCCTCCTCACAGGCTTCTTCAGAGCCAGGGCCAGGGCTCTCTTGGCACTGTGTGCTCTCTTTCTTCAGATTAGAAACCTACTCCCCGCCCCCACCTCCCATCCCTCTTTGGTTTAAATCCAAACAAGCTCAGTGGTTAACTAGCAAACACCCTGAGGGCAGAGGTTCTGTATTGAAGAGATGCATCGGGCCCCCTCTAAGACAGAGCATCACTGCCAAGCCGTTTCTGTCTTTCCTTCCCCTCCCCCAAAGACAGTTACAGCTTCCAGTTGCCCCTCCATATGGGGATGTCGACTGCTGACATGTGGTCCATCTCCTCTTTCCTGACATGTAAAGGGAACCTATTTCAAAGCATCTATTGTTTATAGCTGTTGTAGTTCTTTTTGCTTCGGGCTCTTAGAACTGGAAAATAGCTAATCAAGGGTGGTGCAGAAAACTGATTTCAGCTGTTTCCTTTATAGTTTACACTATTCATTTCCCTTTGTGACCACATTCTTCTCTCCAGCTCTCCAGATGGGTGTTTGGAATAAGAGGGTCGCTTCAAAACCTGCAAATGGGCTACTACAGGTTTAAAGAGTGGAGCTTTCATTTTCTCCCTTTGAAAACCAACTTTCTTTTTTCAGAAAATCTCATTCTTTTTGACTATTAATAGTGCATGGCTGTAAGGAGACATTTACCGTTCACAGTTTTGCTGCTTTTGTGTTTGGAAATAAAACTTTTTCACGAACAAGATGTTAAAATACTCTCCCACTTTTCTTATTTGGAATATGCTATTTAGTCACAATGCCTCTCTGGTTTAAAACAAATTATGAAATGTATTAACTTTGATTTGGAGTACACTAGCTGGTGCCAATCTCCTTCTGCCATTGTTTACCAATTGCCTATTATGTGCCAGCTGCTGTTCTTGGTGCTGGTGAGACAGTAGTAAGCAGTCCTCAAACCCCCTGCCCTCCTGGTGCTCAGTCTAGTGGTGGACCTATAGTTATTTTCTTAGCAGCCAAATGGAAGTGCTGCTATAGTTTTCTCCTACATGTTGGTTTGCAATGGGAAATGATATGTAGTGTTGCTAAACAAAGCTTCATAGCAATGCAGCTAGGAAGCAGGCTTCCTATATTAAATGAGAAAACTCTGTGTCCTGTGCCAGGTGGAGAGGATCATGGCTCAGCCTTGCTAGATGTAGAGTGAATGCAGAAGAGGCTCCCTTCACGGGTTCCAACAGAGCAGCACTGCCAGGATTCCTGTTGCTGAGCTTGTATCGGTCCAGTGCAAGGCAGATGAGCCCCAAAGTGGGGCTTAGCCTGTGAGGGGTTTTGGATTTGCCCAGGAAAGAATTCAAGGGTGGCCAGGTGTGGTGGCTCACACCTGTAATCCCAGCACTTTGGGAGGCCGAGGCAGGCAGATCACCTGAGGTCAGGAGTTCCAGACCAGCCTGACCAACATGGAGAAACCCCATCTCTACTAAAAATAGAAAAATTAGCTGGGCTTGGTGGTGCATGCCTGTAATCCCAGCTACTTGGGAGGCTGAGGCAGGAGAATCACTTGAACCTGGGAGGCAGAGGTTGTGGTGAGCCGAGATCACACCACTGCACTGCAGCCTGGGCAACAAGAGCGAAACTCCATCTCAATTAAAAAAAAAAAAAAAGAATTCAATGGTGAGATGGAGGTAGAAGAAAATAGCTTTATTGAAGGGGCAGTGTTACAACTCCGTGTCTGCTCCTGCAGGGCTACTGCCTAGTCCGAGTAGCAGCTTAGGGCAATTTTGCAGTTGTATTTAAACCCACTTTTAATTACATGCAGATTAAGGGTTGGTTCATGCAGAATTTTCTAGGGAATGGATGGTAGCTTTTGAGTCTTTGGGTCATTGCCATGGAAAGGGGTGGTAACGCCTGGGTGTTGCCATCACAATGGTAAACTGACATGGCCCACTGATAGGCATGTCTTATGGAAAGCTGCTTCCGCCCAGGCCCTGTCTTAGCTAGTCCTCAATTTGATCCAGTGTCCAAGCCCTACCTTTGTAGTTGAGTCCCACCTCTTACCTCAAGTCCACTGCCAGTGACTGTAGGTACACTTTGCTTGGCTTTTTTGGCATGGAACTTTTGCTTAGATTATCTGAAACTCGATTATCCTGAATGTTGCTTGTGTTTATGATTATGCTTCTGACTCTATTAGAACTGACCAGATTCCAGTGCTGTCTTTGGGTCTACAATGCATGATCATGTCCACTCACCTTTTCTGCCCTGCATCCACCCAATCTCTGTTTAAAAACTTATCTGAGGAATAATTTTCTCCTAGTCATTCTTCCTTGCAATCTGTTTCTCTTTTTGGTCCTTTAAGGTACCTTTCTGCGAGCAGAGAGCCCTTAACTAAAATTCTGTTTATGAGACAAGTCCTTAGCACAATGCCAGCAAGGTGGCCAAATGGAATCACCAAGAAGAAGCATGCTTCTTGTGCCATGTAGCTCTTGTACCTGAATAAATGCATGGAGTGTGCACTTGTGAACACACATGCTTATGTATTATTATTATTATTGAGACGGAGTCTCACTATGTCGCCAGGCTGGAGTGCAGTGGCGTGATCTCGGCTCACTGCCACCTCTGCCTCCCAGGTTCAAGCAATTCTCCTGCCTCAGCCTCCTGAGTAGCTGGGACTACAGGCGCCCACCACCACACCCAGATAATTTTTGTATTTTTAGTAGAAACGGGGTTTCACCACGTTGGCCAGAATGGTCTCAATCTCTTGACCTCGTGATCTGCCCGCCTCGGCCTCCCACAGGTGTGAGCCACCGCGCCCGGCCACTTATGTATTATATATATGTTTAGCAGATCTGCTTCTAAAATTTGTAATTTCATGTGGGCTTGATTCTAGATTCTATTTTCTAGAAAATGCTCACCATGTAATAAGAAGAGTTCTTGACTAAAATACAGTTAAATGAGCAAATGGCATATGTAAATCTAATTTACTAAATTTACTTTTTTCATTCTTCACTCTCTTTTAAGAAACAGGAGTGCTACCACGCTACTAAGTGCTTGCTTAAAAAAAAATAGCCAGTTTTTTGGCTGTGAAATAAAAACTGAAATTGAAACTCGATGATAACTTCCTCAAGTGGAACTTGAGCTGGAGAATCCTGCCATTTTCGAGATAGAAGTAACCTGGGAGATTATCTCTGACCAAGATTATCAGATAAAACACAAAATACCCAGTTAAATTTGAATTTCAGGTAAACAACAAATAAAATTTTAATGTAAGTATATTCCATGCAATATTTGGGACATACTTATACTAAGCCATTATTTGTTATCTGAAATTCAAAATTAAGCCATGTCTTATGTTTTCATTTGCTAAATCCAGCAACCCTAATGACTCTCCAGCAAATACTACAAGGAAATAAGCTTTAAGCTAAAGCCAAAGGCTTAATTGAGATTTACTATGCTAAATTATCTCCTGCCATTCCAACAAGCAGGAAGAGAGAAAAGGAAGTAGATTTTAGCCTGAAGGTTGGAGAGGGAAGGGTGGAGAATGAATGCCTATTTTTATCTGCACTCTAAAGCCAGCTTATTGCCAGCACAAACATAGAAGCTATAAAATGCAGCTTCTCAGATTTAGTTGCTACAAAGGCCACTATAAATAATGAATACAGAAATACACCGAAACTCTACAGTAGTGTTTCATGGTGAATTTTTATGCAGCCTTTGAAAATTAAATATAGCTAGGATCATGGTGATTGTAATGACCCAATTTTGCCTCTTTGTAACCCTTGAACTTCGCCATCCTCCTGGGTTTTCAGAGCCTCCTTGCCTTTCATCTTCCTGGATGGTTCATGGCTTTTAGTCTCTCAGCAGGAAACTGGGCCAACAACCTCCCCTAGCTTCGCAGGCACTGCAGTCTGGGTCAAAACACTCATAGAGCTACTGAGTTTCACAAGTTTTTGTTTTCCTTTTTTTGAAATATTTTGTTCAGGTAAAGAATCATTTAAAAATCCACTGTCTTCTTGCTTATTATGAAATCACTCCTTGAGTCTGTTAAAATCTATTTCATCACTGAAGTGGCTATTGGCATTCTTTTTTTTTTTTTTTTTTTTTGAGACAGAGTCTTACTCTGTTGCCCAGGCTGGAGTGCAATGGCGCAATCTCAGCTCACTGCAACCTCAGCCTCCCTGGTTGAAGTGATTCTTCTGTCTCAGCCTCCTGAGTAGCTGGGACTACAGGCGCGCACCACCATGCCTGGCTAATTTTTGTATTTTTAGTAGAGATGGGGTTTCACTATGTTGGCTAGGCTGGTCTCGAACTCCTGACCTCGTTATCCGCCCACCTTAGCCTCCCAAAGTCCTGGTATTATAGGCATGAGCCACCGCCCTGGCCGGCTGTTAGCATTCTTTAGTAAATGTGTTTTTCTTTTTTTTAGCCCAGAGCCTACTGTACATTTATTTCAATATCTGTGACCATTTGCTGTTTTTCTTTTAAATTATAGTCATCTTACAG
Organism: Homo sapiens; assembly: GCF_000001405.40. NCBI lineage: Eukaryota > Metazoa > Chordata > Mammalia > Primates > Hominidae > Homo > Homo sapiens. The sequence goes on along the minus strand of NC_000007.14, from coordinate 29,087,024 downwards.
TTTTTCTGTTCTTTGGTTATTAAAATGTGGCATTCTTGGAGCTCCATCAGAAATGTTCAGAGTCCCCCACAGTGGGGGTTGGTAAGCAACTAAGACTTCCCTTACTTCACCACAAACCCGGGCTAATGGGATCATAAAGTTTGCAGAACTACCTCCAAGAATTGCTACGTAACATGTGAAACCTGTATTATTTGCTCAAGGTGCCCTCAACAGTTAGATGATCCAAACTGGTATATCAGTAATTTGGAAACATGCCCAGAGTATTGATGTCCACTTGTCCAAACTTCTTATTATCACAAAGTAAGCCCACATGTATTGTGTAAATAAAATGTCCTACAGGAGCTCATAGCAGAGTGGTATCTTATTTCAAGTGTGAAACCTATTGCCAAAGAGTTAGATTTGATATCCTAGCATGAAGAGATCCTGAATCATTTTTCTGATTAATTTGTGTTGTTCTTGTTCTTCTTTTTGCAGTGCACTAATTCAGTTTTTCCAGATATTTCCTGAATATAAAAATAATGACTTTTATGTCACTGGGGAGGTAAGTAGAAGTCACGTTTCCTTGTGTGCTTCAAACATCACCAGAACTGACATATATTATGAGTGTAGTTTGTTCATTTAAAATCTATATATGTATATACATGTACACATACATATCAATATTGATTCAGCCTTTATTCAAAATTCTCCCAATTATCAAAATGCCCTTCATATATATATATATTTTTTTTTAGTTGGAGTTTTGCTCTTGTTGCCAAGGGCTGGAGTGCAGTGGCGTGATCTCGGCTCACTGCAACCTGCGCCTCCTGGGTTCAAGCAATTCTCCTGCCTCAGCCTCCTGAGTAGCTGAGATTACAGGCGCCTGCCACCATGCACGGCTAATTTTTGTATTTTTAGTAGAGATGGGGTTTCACCATGTTGGCCAGGCTGGTCTTGAACTCCTGACCTCATGATCTGCCCGCCTCGGCCTCCCAAAGTGCTGGGATTACAGGCATGAGCCACCATGCCCAGCCCTTTCATAACATTTTTTAAATCCCAGGGCCCAATGCATGCTCACATATTACCATGGGTGCACTAGGTAGGCTCAGTCATCTGCCTTGTTTGTTGTCCTCATCATTCATGATGATGATTTGAAGAGTCCAGGCCAGGTGCTTTGTAGAATGTCCCATTTTCTGAATTTGTCTGATTTTTTCCTCAGTGCTTAGGTTATGTCAAAACATTTGAGCAAGATCATTACATAGATGGTGTGTACTTTCTGGTGTGTCACATCAGGAGGCACATGAAGTCAGTTTGTCCCACTGTTGGTGATGCTAAACTGGATCACTGCGTCAAGGTGGTGTCTGCCAGATCTTGCCATTGTGAAGGCACCTGTTTATGTTTGTAATTAACTCATAATTAAAGACCATTCAAACACTGTTTCCTCAAAAAATGCCATCCAGTAGTTTTAGCATCCACTGATCTCTGTCTGAATCAGTTATTACACTGGGGGTGATAAAATGGTGATTTTTCTAATGTATCTTTCTGTGGATATCACCTGGCATTCTTCCATAGGGAAGATTTTTCCCTTTTCCTCCTATTACTTACATTTAAAAATAGTACTGTGGATTCACAGATTGTTATTTCTATTTGATCTGTTAAAATTTGTTTTTTATTTTTGATGTTTACATTGCTTTAAATTTGGTCACTGGGAACCCCTTCAGTTGGCTCCTGTGCCCTTTTGACCGGTCCCCATTAGCCTCCAAGCATGTCCTTGCTTTTTGACACAAAGGTGTGTTCCAGAAGCATCTTGTACTTCTTGTACTTTCCCTGCCCTAGCCTTGGAATCAGTCAGTTCTTCACAGAATGCTGTTTCTTTTTCCTGGGGAATGGCATTTAAAAAGCAAGTGCTAAGCACTAAGTGGCCCATTGCTGCTGGGATGTCATTGCTTTTAGACAGTCTGTGGGCAGAGCTAGGAAACAAAATGACTTCATACTGATACCCATAATTCTAATTCCATACCACAAGGTTCTCTTCTCTTTTCTCTGTTCTGTATTTTTTTACCCCTTCTCCCACATTGAGGGCTGTGGTTCCTAATGGCATCAGTGTGTTTCCTCTTTTGATTGCTTTTACAATATGCCCAATATGGTTTCAGAATTACTACATGTGTACCATTACCAACAAGAAACATCAAAATTACTTTTAATATTTTTTGCTGCAATGATTTTTATCCTTAAATTGTATCTCACTACACACCTATAATCAAAGTACTGTGTTTAAAAGTTAAAAGAATTCTATTTTTTAAGGGAGATTATGTTAAAATTTAATACACAGTTACATTCATTTGTCTATGTTGGTTTCAGTTTTAGGGTTTGCTTTTTTCATCCTTTTTAAGATTATTTTAAAAATGTGTACCAGCCAATCATTTGAGAACACAGGTGCAGTTCTAGGTGCTAGGAACATAATGGTGAATAACACTGAAAAACAACAAAAAAATCCATGCCCTACATTCTAGAGAGGTAGGCAGTGATAACTAAAATATGTGCTAGGTACCACCATCAGGCAGGGACAAGTGTCATGAAAGGATGCAGTAGGGCAAGGGCTGGAGAGTGAAGGAGGTGCTATTTTGGATAAGATTGTCTGACGAGATAATGAGCAGAACCCTGAATGATGTGGTGGGGTAATTTCTGCAGTATCTGTAAGAAGAGCTTTCCTGGCAGAAGGAACAATGAATGCAAAGACTCTCCAGTGGGGACAGGCTTGGCAGGTTCAAGGAAAAGCACAGAGCTGCTGTGGTAGGAGCTGAGCAGAAAGAGGCCAGTGGATCCTGCAGGGCCCGGCTGCCTGTGGCAGAGTTTGGACTTTATTCTAACGGTAATGGGAAACCATTGAGGGTCCAGTGTTCACTGAAAGAACATTTAGAATTGAATTCAACTGAGCACAGATATATTGAGTATCTGCTATGTTTGAGGCACTGGACAAATATTAGGAATTCAGTGATTTATGAGATATTGACTCTGCCCTAAATCTGAAGGTCGAATAATTACAATACAGATGAAAGGCACAATTAGAGAAATATTATCTCTGATCCACGAGTCTTGAAAAAAGAAAAAAAAAGGAAAAAATTAGACAAGTAACTGTAAAGACTAATAGCCCCAGGAAAGGTACCAGTAGCTACCTCAGTGTGGGATCCTCAGGAAAGGCCAAGCAGAGGAGGTGACAATTAAACCGGGTTTTGAAGGATAAATAAGGGTGTGTTAGTTAAGGCTCTTGGTTGCAAGTGACAGAAACCCTATTTAAAGCAGCTTTAGTGAAACAGGGCATTGATTGATTTAACGTCAGGTGTGGCTGGACCTGGGTGCCCTTACTTTGTCATCAGGATTCTGCCTGTCATTCTTTCCTGATCTATGTACTTGGCTTTGTACTTTTCTGGTTTCATTCTCAGGCAAGTTCTTTTCATGTGGTACTCCTGCTTCTCCATCCATCCCAGGGCAGGTATAGCCTATCCATTCAACTTCCCTTTCCCAGTAATTCCAGCCCTCCAGATTCCTGAATCTCAGATGATCCACTTGGATCCCATGCCTATCCTAGAACCACCAGCTGGACCCAGGTGGTTGGAATATACAAATTGGCCAGAATGGTGCCTGAGGCCCACTCCACACCCTGGGAGGGTAGGGACCAGGATGGGGGGCCCTCACACTCTGAATCATAAGGCCTGAGAGTTGGAAATGAGTGGTCTCCAGAGGAAGATCCAAGTGATGATGCCAGAGGAAGGGCTGTAAAGATGCTGGCAAGCACATCTGCAATGTCCACCTTCAGCGAGGGAAAGAGAAAAATGGTCCGAGTTTTTCCATGGGAATGGCAAGTAACTGGAACTAGCAACTTCTCTCTTTCTTCTCTTTATAAGCTATTTGGAAGGGATGTTCTGACTGATTAGCATACTACACTTTAGGTTTTTTTAAGCCAGTTATGCAGTCAGGACAACTTAGAACCTCTCCTGGTAATTTCTGCCTGTTCCTTGTCTTTTAACCAATTTCAGAGCCAGGTTAGGGAAGTGAATAGGAAGTGACACTCCCATTATTTGGCAACAACCCTGGAAAATGCCCATTCTCCACCTCCCACAGAAGAGTGGTCTACTTCGTGTGTAATGCCTTGTCTTGGAAATAATGTGGTGATGTTGTTAACCATGATGTTGATGTTGATACAAACCATGATGTTTGGCAAAACTGCCAAATCCCAGATGAAAAATTTGACTTGGTTATTTCACATCTGCCTTGTGGTTTTATGCATATAATTTCCTAATGTGTGTAGAAAAGGACAGTTTTCTTTTTACCTTCCTTGCTGCCAGGATGAATACTTTTAAGGAAACCTGTGCCTTCTGAGTGGTGAAGGAAGATGTGAGGTAGAGATGCCATTGTCAGGAGATATCATCCTCCCCGAACTACATGGGATACGTTCAGTCTGGGGGCACTGCTCTTTTCAGAAGAAAAAACACTAAATAATGATGCCTTGATGGTTTATTATGAATATTAGAATATTATGAATATTTATTCAGTCTAGTTTGTCCCATCTGGGTTGTCTTCTGTTTTAAGGCCATGTGGCAGAAAAGAGAAGTGGAAGGCGTTCTGGATTAATCATTTGGAGACCTGGGATTCAGGGCTGGCTTTGCTCCTCCCTGGATGATTTCAGAAAAGTCTTTCAGCCTCCCTGGGCCTCTGCTTTTCATCTAACAATCAGATGAGTTGTTAAACTAGATCACTTCCAGGGATATTTTGCTTTACTAGAAAGTTCAAATTCAGTTATCTAGACTCACTCTTTAAGTATCTGTATGTAATTGCAGTTTTAACGTAATACCTACCCATTTTCCCTCTCGCTGCTGCCACCACACAAAAAAAAATTGTTCTAGATTTTTCAAGAAAGAAAATTCCTTTCTCTTCTAAACTCTTAATTTTCTCACACTCTTAGGAAAGCTGAATAGTGCTGCTGAGTTTGTAGAGCCATCTTCAAAAAATAAATGCACAAATTCAGAAATGGTTTTCTGCTTTTCAATGTAAATGCACCAGACCTAAATATCTTCACATTTGTGTGCTATGAATGAGAGGAGCCTGATGCTCAAGGGGTCTGGAGCAGCTGTTCAGAACCTTGATTTGGTGTGAAGCAGTCTGGAAATAATAATAGTACCTACTGCATAGGGTTGTTTTGAGCATTTAATTAGATAACCCTCCTCAGATATTAGCATAGTGACTGGCTGTGGTGAGTACCCAACACATGATGACTATTATTACCATTCATGCTGAAAAGCTGGGCTAATATATTATGACTCCCAAGCATACAGCCTAATGCCTGGAGACAAGAGCTGAAGTGTTAATAGAAGCTCCGCTAACTCATTGCTGGGATATGGCATTTCCCCCTCTACTCTGTGTCTATTATTTTGAAATCATTTTTAAAAGCAATAGTTACTTTGTCTAAAAAAAAATGGAGCTTAGCAGTTGACATTAGAAGTTGTGCTTGTTTTTTATATGGACAGCAGCAAAATGTGTCAGGACCCACCCCAGGCTCCCTGCCTCACCGTGTGGACGATGGTGTGGCCACACCAGAGAAAGTGGCGTGGGCCTGCCCTCAGTGCAAAGGAAAGGGGAGAAGCTGCTTTGTCTTCTTCCTCCTCCTCTTCATTTCTGCCCAGAACACCAACTGGAATTAATTTTCTCTAAAAAGAGACAAATGTGTCTGTAAATCACCCTCCTCAAGGCATGAAAAAAACATACTTCAAAAAGAGAAATAAGCTGTGTTTAATTCCCATAATTAACTTTCTTTATAAGTGTTATCCTTTCTGAGCCAGTAGCTATTAGTGAGATTGCCCTTGTTCTTGAGGCACGGACACATTTAGCATCCTCTCAATTGTACATGAGCCCAGGTAGAAGTTAAAGCAAAACAGCCCTCACGGGAAGGCAGGTAGGTGACAGGATCAGGGGGACCGCCCATTGTTCTCTGAGCCTGTGGCTTTATGTGCCGCTCAAGGGAAAGAGTCAGTGCACGTGGGAGGTTGTGGCAGTGGATGGGAACGCTTCCAAACTAGCAGGGCATGTGGTTAAAACAGAACATCTCTTCTCCATCAGCAAAAACGGGCAGACTCTCTTTATAAACAGTTTTGCAACCATAATTTATTTGAGAACCCAATAGAGACAAAACTTTGAAGCTATTTAAAAATGAATTAGGGAGCTTAATGGGACACTTTATCTTCATCTGCATGGGTGAAGTCCCTGTTGGAAGTACAGTGTCTGACAACCTTTATTGAAATCATCATGGCCCATTGGGTTAGGTGGCAAGCTCCCAGTATGCGAGAGCCATGTTTGTTTCTTATTCAATACTAAGCACGGTGCTTAATGAATATTATAGAATGGAGTTCATGCATGGCTGCCTTTAGATAAAATAAAAATATTGATATTTATTTCCTGCATCTTTTCACCTACTTTTTTTTTTTTTTTTTTTTGAGACAAAGTGTCACTCTGATGCCTAAGCTGGAGTGCAGCATTGCCATCTCAGCTCACTGCACCCTCCAATTCCCGGGTTCAGGTGATTCTCCTGCCTCAGCCTCCCGAGTAGCTGGGATTACAGGCACGTGCCACCATGCCCGCCTAATTTTTGTATTTTTAGTAGAGATGGGGTTTCACTATGTTGGACAGGCTGGCCTTGAACTCCTGACTGGGTGATCTGCCTACCTCAGTCTCCCAAAGTGCTGAGATTACAGATGTAAGCCACTGCGCCCAGCCCCTTTCTTTTTTTAAAATTTTTATTTTAGGTTTGGGTGTACATGTGAAGGTTTGTTACATAGACAAACACGTGTCATAGGGGTTTGTTGTACATATTATTACATCACCCAGGTATTAAGCTCAGTACCCAATAGTGATCTTTTCTGCTCCTCTCGCCTCCCTTTCATTGCCCTTCTCTCCCTGTACTATGTCCCAGGCCCTGGGGACTCTCCTTTGGCCTCCGTTGTTTTCCAGGGCCATCTTCCCACCTCAGCCATCCTCTCCTCAGTCTATTGTGCACAGCTTCTATTTCTCCATGCTTCTTCCATCTGTATCATGATTGTTCTGTTTCTGTCCCCCATTCTGACTTGTTGTCAACTCATTGTTCCATAGAAAGGATCTGATAAATTAAACCCAATAGGGTGGACTCTCAACATGTTTGCATTTGAGTAGAGAGCAGAGCCTACCTGATGGGTAGATATTTGTAATAGGGTAATTTCAAGCACTAACATGCAAACAGAAGGGTGGCAACCAAGGTGGGGTGGGAGAGCGATTCTAGAAGTAGGCTTATAATTATTAGCATTCTATGTAAGCCTGTACCATCATCCTGTTAGCCTGGGCTTGGGATCATGTAATTTGATGGCTAGAAGTGATACTTCAAGAACATCTAGTTCATGTATTTTATCTGTAGATTTTACTAGAGAATATTTATTGAGAATGGACTGTATGGTAGACATCATGCTAAGCACTGTTTTATGCATTACCTCGTTTAATCCTAACAGCTGCCTTATGAAATAGGTGCTATGATTATTCTTCCCATTTTACAGGTGAGGTGACCGAGGCTTAGTGAGGTTAGGTATGCCTTACCAAGGTCACCCAGCCAGAAAGTGGAGGAGCCAGCATTGGAACCTAAGCAGTCAGACTCCAGGGCCTGAAGATGGTGGTGAAGAAATGAGCTAGTGGTGCAGCCTTGTTCACCAAAATGCTTGTTCACCAAACTGGGTGCTCTCACCTTGAACTTGCACTGTCTCTAGGACCTGCTTCAGATTCACTTTGTGTCTGAAGGGGAGTCAAACATCCCCTTCCATATTTTATGCTGAATCTCTAAGGTTATTAACCTTACACAAACAGAAAAGAAGTTCTCTAGCTTCTTGAATGTCTCTGTCTTTCTGGCCAAGACTGTTTTAATCATAAAGACTTGGCTTTGATCATTAAGTTTTATAGAGTAAGTGGAAGTTTCAAGTGATATAAGGACTTGAAGTCTTTGGAATGCAATTATTTCTCAAGGCTTGGAACTTGCTGAATTTTATTAGATAGCATTCAAGCTGTTTTAACTCTTGAACCTATGACAAATCTCTATTTTCAGTTATGTTCATCTGCACTTGCCAATATTTTCTTTTTGAATTGAAAATGGATTTGTGACTATTTAATGATTTTAATATTACAAAAATCAGGGTTTAAGCTGCAACCGAAGAACTGAACAAGGGCATATGGAAATGTTTGCAAGTTGGATCTCTGGCTTTTGGACAGCATATCCAAATCAAATCGATACATATGTACTGAGGTTGCACAGAAAAGAATATGAGTAAATCAGAAGTCATTATAAGCTTTGTTGGAAATGAATTACCATGCTGGAGCAGGCAGCATAGAGACATAAATAGTACCTGATTAGATGAGATGTTTAGGTTGAGAATGAGAAATGCTAAGTTACATCCATTATGCAGCTTCATCCTTCTGAATTGTATCTACAGTGAGCAAACAAAGATTCAGTTTGTTGACTGCGGCCCAGTGTGTTCAGACTCTTTATTTAAAAGTCAAATTAACTGTAGTCTCCATTTTAAACAAAAGGGTTTATTCATCTCATTGAGTCACCTGGCTTCACGCTGGATTTCTCCAAACTGGCACTGAACTCAGAGTAGGTGGGAAAAGGATGCATCTTGTTCACCTATGCCTGTCAATGATGGCTTTTTCTTTTTTAAGGAGTATCTTCTCAATAGAAAATAAGAATATATCATTTGGGAAGCAGCATGTATTTTTGCATAAGTTTATGTGACTAAAAATTGGCTATAGATCAAAATGTTTTTGCTATATGTCTATGCCTGTAGATTTTGCAAGTTTCTTTTTAAGCCCATATTAAAAAAGAAATAGATACTTTGATAAAGTCATATTCTTGTTGGAAGGCTCTTTTTTTTAATTGCAGCAGTATGGTCTTGAAATTAGATGACGCATGGTCTGGAAATGTCTAGGAAGTTATAGCGATTACCACAACACTGAAATTCCAGCTTTCCTCATTCATTAATTTTCTAAACTGGCCATTTTAAGGCCACACTTCTCTCTTCAGAGAAAATAATGGTACTGAGGAAGTAAGATTCTACCCTAGGCTAGATGAAGCCAAGGTAGGTCGCCCTAGCCTAGTCTTGCCCTCATGGTGCCCATTACACCGAGGTTTTCACCAGGTTTTGTGGCTTTCCTGGGGTGTTCAGTGTGTGTATAAAGTTCTCTGTGAGGCATTGAAGCTGTCTTCTTCCCTCTGGTCTTCTCCCATAAATGGGTGGCAGCTCTATTGTAGTCTGTGCCTGGGATGAGCTGGAGAACAAGGGAATGATATGACTGATTCCAGAAGGGCAGTGCGCCTTGATGCCTTCTGGGGATACAAAGGAGCTCTCACCAGCCCAGTAGTGAATTCTTCAAAGAAGGATTTTTTTTAGTTCTGTGTAGCTGGGGAGAGTGGGGTTCAAGCAGGGCAGGGAGCTTAGAATGACCCTCAGGGTCCTCAGTGTACCATTGCTGAAGTTGACAACTCCCTCTTTCCACCTGCCAGGCAAAGGGTAGGAACTAAGGCCTGTGGATGGTGAAACTTTGTGTCTAAGTTTAGCTGTGTCTCATTTCAAAAGCCATTGCTCATTATCACTGACAAAGTTCTGAATTTTTTCACCATGAAATGTGTACCTAGAAGCAAGGCAGAGAATGAGTGTATAAGTGTATCTATTTTTTTTTTCTACTAAACTTCAGAGAAATGTAGTCAACTGAGAGTAGCTGAAACAATAGTAACTGCTACCATATGTGAAATTTCTGTAAGAGGACATTGTTTCCATTTTAATATTATTCTCTGACACTATTTGTTTTCCTCTGGAGGAGCTGATTGAAGCTGGACTTTAGCTATGAAATCTTTTTCCCTTCCTTGAAAGTAACCAAATGGCAGGTTACAGTAAGTAGGCTGTGAATGTTGTTGAAACATAAAAGAAAAGAGAGATTCACGCAAAAGACACGATTACAGGTTTTCTCTACATCCAATTTCATTGTGTTTTTACACATCTGGATAATTAACCAAACATTGCATTCTCTCTATTTTTACAAGTACAATGTGCTCCTCACGGGATTTCCATTAGGCTGGAAAAAAAAATCGCAAACCAAGATTCAAAACTACTATTCAGCTATGATGTTGAGGCCTTTTTCTCTCCTGGGAGAAATAAAAGATTGAGAGCTGAATTCTGAGATCCTTCTGATGTAGGAGGAGAATTGGAAGTTTATAGCCTCTTTAAGCTCCAGCAAATACAAGCATGTACAAACACACCCTAATACCTCTGGTCCTTCTTGTTGGAGGTGAGCTCGAAATATGGTCACCATGGGAAAAATTAACCAAGTAAGAGCAGTGCTGGAAATCGCAGCTTGAAGCTCCTTTAATTATTAGAAAGGAATAATAAGGGCACCCTAAAAATTCTGATGTGTTGAGTGCTAACCTAGTTTGAATTCTGTTAGATGTGTTATGTTTATCCGGCTGAGCTTCTCATTCGAAGGTCACTGCCAAATCCTAAAATAATATGTGTTCAGTTAGTTTCTGGCCACACTTTTCCTCTTTCTTTTTAAAATTGCTTTGGTATTGCTCTGAGCTTTTATGAGACCAGGGTCTGATCCCATGTTAGGTTAGTGTTAATTCACAGACCTCAGGGGCTTCATTGACCAGCTGCTGCCCACACTGGCGAACACCATGGGGAGGTCAGAGAAGCCACGGGACCAAGAGTTCTGGTTGTTGTTGCTGTTTTCATTAGAACTCAGAACAAAAGAAGCAATAGTTCATAAAATTACAGAATCACTGTTATAAGCCTAAGGGACCATTTAGTTGATTTCTAATCCATAAGGCAGTCACACCTAAATTCTTCTCCTGAAATATGGGGTTCTATAAAATATATACAGGAAAAGGCAAATGAGGTAAAATAAAACACACTTGATTTATTACCTGGTTGTCTTTTGAAGTACTTAATGGCGGTCAGAGAATCATTAAATTGAGAAATAAATGATTCAAGAAGAATAAATGAGTCTGATCTTGCCAAAAAAAAAAAAACTATCTCAACAAGGAGAGTGAAAATAACTGAAATTTTATTACAATATTTCAGTGCCTGTTTTCCATAAAAATAATTCTATAATTGTCTTCTCTGTGACAGCCTGAGTCACTCAACCAATGGAATGATTAATGAAAAAGGCAATGACGGATTTGTCACACTGACACAAAGCAAGGAAGTGTGATAGTCATTAGAAAGTTAAAAAAAAAAAAAAGCTAAGATCATCACTGTGAGGTTGGCAGATGTGGACTGAATATTGAAGAATTTCATTTTGGATATGGTTATAGTACTACTCATCTGTTTTGTTTTTCATAAATGATCAGCTTAGCAAGCTTGGAGTAGATAAACCCAAGATGTAGTTCCACCTTGGGGGACCTCAGACCCGTGGTATATTCCAGGACCATTGACTGTCAGTGATGGCTTTTTTTTTTTTTTTTTTAAGAAGTATCTTCTCAATAGAAAAGATTTCGTTGACTGAAATGCAATTAGATATGACAAAGGGGAGCTGCAGAGACAGCCAAGCCAGGGTAGAATTCCAGCCAGGCATGTGAATGAAATGCACGGGCCCTTGTTTTCATCACTGTAAAATATTGGAAAACAATGTTTATCTTAAATTGGCTTAAAGTAGGTGAGGTAGCCTGGCTCATAGTAATGCTCAAAAACTGAGTGGGTGTTCCTTCTTAATTCCCTGCCTGGATATATCCCAGATACCCAGATACACATGATGGTCACTGGGGGAAAGTGCCACAAAAATGCAGATGTTTCAGCCTACGTTTGTCATGACTACCTACCTAGCAACTTAAAGTACATGCCCTTCCATGTCAGAAAGGGTCAAGAGAGATGTTTTATTACCAGGTCTTATAACAAGAAAATTGGAGTGATAATATCACTGGAAGATAAACTTTTTGGCATTTGTACCAATTTCTGATAGGGGAAAAGTATTTAGAAGTAATGCCAGATAAGTCATTCATTTATCAAGTGTGTTTTTATTTACCTATTTTGTGCTAGGCAATGTATACATTATAGAAATTCTAATCTAAGAAATCGTAAACTTTGCTCTATCATGTGTCAGTCATGGTTTCCATAATATAGTTTTGAAAGAAATTGTGACCTTTATGAGGGCAAGTTTTGTGCTTTATTCATTTTTGTGTCTCCTCAAGTATCTAGTATAATGCCTGTATTAGTTCATTTTCACGCTGCTGTAAAGGTACTACGAGAGAGAGAGAGAGAGAGCATGGGCAGGGGAAACTGGCTCTTTTAAAACCATCAGCTCTCGTGAGAACTCCCTCACTATCATGAGAATAGCATGGGGGAAACTGCCCCCATGATCCAATCACCTCCCACCAGATCCCTTCCTCAACACATAAGGATTACAGTTGGAGATGAGATTTGGTTGGGGACACAGAGGCAAACCATGTCAATGCCTTTGACAGAAGAATTGCCCAATAAACTATCATTGAATAAAGACTATATAACAATACATTTTTACCAGTAAAATGGTTACTCAGGGAAATGTGCTTTTTTGTCATTTTACAGAAATTGTATTTGATAAATGTTCACTTATTGTCACTAACAAGAGAATGTAGCACAGTTAGACAACAAACCAAATTTCAGACATATGAACACACCTTTATATTACACAAGGAAGCTAAAATGTACTTACAAGTATGAATGGATAAATTGCTTTGATTCAATACTTTACCTAAATAATTATTATTGCACAAGAGAGCTGTATCAATGAGGAGTTCTTGGATAAATTACATAAATGATATTGTTTTATCATTGCTTGGAAGGAGTTTAGGTTTTGGAGTCGGTCAGCTCAGGTGTAATTCTGGCTCTACAACTTAACCTCTCTGAGCCTCAGTGTCCTCATCTTGAAATGGGAGTAATGATTATCTTCAGCATATGATTATGGTGTGGATAAAATAAGAGCTTTCAGGGGTTCCCAGCCTTTGAACTACAGACCCCTGGAGGGCCTTGGAGATGCTGTGAAGGGTCTGTGAACTCACAGGTATCCACATAATGTCTCTAGTCTGTTTTGAACATAGATGCATTGCTCTTTTTCAGATGTCTGTAGATTCATTTTAAGATTCATTCATTCAACAACTATTTATTGAGCACTAACAAATATACGCATCAGTCATAGTGGACTCAAGTAAACAAAACAGACAAATGTCCCTGTATTCACGGATCTTATATTCTAGTATGGGTAGGAGAATAACAGTATATAAGATAAGTAAGTAAAAGTTTGTTGGAGAATGATAAGTATTAAGGAAATACTTAGGAAAGAAAAAATATAGGACATTGAGGGAATTTGCCATATGGGGGCCTGTGAGAAGAGCATTCCAGGTGGAGGGAATGGCTGGTCCAAAGGCCTGGCAGACATGTGCCTGGTATGTGCAAGGAATAGCATGGAACCCAATGGGCTGGAAAGGAATGAGCGAGAGGGTGGCAGGGGTTGAGGGTAGAGAAGGGAGCAGATCATGTCAGCCCTTATGCCTTTGCTTTTGGGAAGATGGGAAGTCATTAAAGGATAAGGGCAAAAGAAGGAGGCCAATGAGGAGTCTACTGCAGTCATCCAGGCCAGAGATGATGTGATGGAGAAGGGGTTGTGAGAAGACATTGGACTCTGGACAGATTTTGTTAGAATAGGTAGAGCTGACAAGCTTGGCTGATTGACTTCTGTGGAATACGAGACAAAGAGAGATATAACGAATGGCACCAAGATTGTTGGCCTGAGCAGGGGAGAAACAGAATTAACATGAGATGAAAGGGAGGCTGCCTCAGGGTTGGGGATTGGGAGCTTTATTTTGAACATGTGCAGTTTAATATTAGACATACAAGTGGAGATATCAAGAAGGCAACTTTTGATGGAAAGAATGCAAAATGCAAAATTATTTGAAAAATACTGCTGAGTCAATAGTAGCTCTTCCAGCACAGTCTTAAAGTAGAACCGTTACCATGTTTGTTAGGGGAAATATATCTACAAAATATTCTGACCTTGAAAAAGGACCTTGTGCTGGAAAAGTTTGGAAATAGAGATGAGTTCAAGTGAAAATTTTAGTGGCCAATAAATATTATTTTCCTTTTCTGCTTCTCCTATTCCTTTAGTACATGTTGATTTCAAAATTTGCAGCATTATCAGATTTTGAAATCTTAATTTTAAACTTGAGATTTTTTTCCCTCTAATCTTTGAATAGAGCTTTCTGGTAAGAGATGCCTAACACATGGCAGAATTGTGTTCTCCCAAGTTATTTTATTTTGGAAGGAAATTAGAATGTTCACTTATTACATGTTCACTTGTGATTTTTTGTGCATCGAACCTGTTCATGTCATGTGGTGCTATTTGAGACGACAAAAGAATTGGAAGACAGAGGTTTTTGCTATTATGGAATCTATAATGTGGGGTTAAGAAACAGATGGTATACCTCATGTGGAAAGATTGCTCCTTCATTGTTATTTTAATTAGCTTAAGTACATTTAATTTTACTAGCATCCATTTGTGATTGGCCATTTCAACATCTGTCCTTCTCAGTCTTATGCAGGGAAATATGTGCCAGCCATTGCACACCTCATCCATTCCCTCAACCCTGTGAGAGAGGTGAAGATCAACCTGAACGGAATTGCTATTGGAGATGGATATTCTGATCCCGAATCAGTAGGTTTCTCCTTCTGACTTTCTATTTTGTCTCTTAGGGGGATTAAATGCCTTTTTATCAGATGGAAGGCTCCTCTTAGAGGTCTAACTTTTGATAAGGGAAACACCAGTTGACTTTATGACTTAAATCTCCTAATTTTTACCAAATGTTTCAACGTATCAATTTACTGTGTCAGCTTACATTGGCTGTCAGTGCAAATGTGTGTGTGTTTGTATTGTGTTGTGTTCTGTTGTGTGTGTTGTGGGGTGTATATGTGTGTGTGCATGTAATTATCCTACTTGGCTAACCAGCACAATATTAACAATTACAAAGGATTATTTCACCAAGCAAATGGGCTTCCTTAAGGTCTCTTTCTCTCCCTTTGTCACATTGATGTGTGTCTTTTTTGTCCTCAGATTATAGGGGGCTATGCAGAATTCCTGTACCAAATTGGCTTGTTGGATGAGAAGCAAAAAAAGTACTTCCAGAAGCAGTGCCATGAATGCATAGAACACATCAGGAAGCAGAACTGGTTTGAGGCCTTTGAAGTGAGTTCTGGGGGCCCTGTGCTGCCCTTGAGCAATTAAAACCATCTGGGGAGGGAGGGCGGGTGAGCAGGAACACCTTGGTGCTCAGGCATTTTTTTGTTAAGAAGGTATATCTGTTATTCCATTGGAGATCGGGAGGCGAGTTGAGTGGCCTCATAATGAAGAAAAGGACTGTCTGTGTTCCTTTGAATTTACTTTGGCTATATTTTAAGCCTGAGATCATCTTGGAGTGTTTATCTAACTGTGTCTTTCATTAACCGTTTTGATTTCTTTAAATGCTGTGGAGGCCCTCAAGGCAGACTCTATCATATGGAAATCAGAAGAAAGGCAACCCAGGAAGTAGAGGCATATGCTTCACCATCTGCTCTAAACCATGTAGAAGAGTTTTATATCCACAAACAGGGTTTCAGCTGGGAGAAATGACCACAGTGTGTAACAGATGACATGTGACACACGTGTCAGGAACAAAGATTATAAAGTGTAGTAATTTGAAACTCTTACAAAGGGCCATTGGTATTTGTGCATATCCTTTCATTGCTCCCCTAAAATTAAACTTGAGAATCAATAATTACGTTCTTCACTCTTTTCTTTCTCAGTTATTTAAAATGTAAGAATATACTAAATATTAGGATACAGGAAGTTGGGTTTTTTTTGTTTTTTTTTGCTTTTTTTGCCAATGCAGACAGAGCCATGTGTAAACAATCTCCCTGAGGGGCTTTTTGCCGTATTTACTATACAGCCATCATGTTTGACATGGTAGTAAATGAGGCAAGGTCTGAATTTCGAGGGCTTTAATTTGTTTGTTATTAGACACATATTCTGTAACAGTATATCTAATGTCGTTATTGTTATTAAAGCAGAAATCTGATATTAAGTCTTAAGGGCATTGCAGATCAGCCAGTTCAGATCAAAATAGGAGACATGCAACCTTGGAGAAAAGGGTAGAGGATAATACAAAGTTATTTTTCATTTTACAAGTAGGGTGTTGGGACACTATCAGAAATCCCCCAAGGCAGTGACCGCCCTTGCCGTGAATTCTGATAGCAGCTAGCTGTGCAAATGGATGGAGCAAAGGGAGTCCTGAGCCATCCTACAGAGCTCCACCAGGCTCTCCTTTCTCTGTGTCAGGACACTAAATGTGGCTGCAAAGTGTGGATTCAGAATTTCTTATGCAATTGTAAACACAAAGGAAGAGGGGTCTCCTGGGGCACATGTAGGATCATGCTTCCACTTGCAATGACAGTATTTTCAAGGCTTTCTGCTGTGGTAGTCACAGAGGGGACGAAGGAGTGAAACTTCAGTATTTAGAATTAATACCAAATTTTATGTGGCATGAGACCAATTTGCAATTGAAACATTTGATATGTTTTTAAAGAAGCACACAGGATAAAGCAATTGTCAAGAGCAAGAGCATTTGAGAGGCCCATATTTAGAAAAAAAGCAGAAAGATGACTGGTACATAATGCAGCAGGCTAAACACCTACAGGATTAGTGAAGCTGTAGAAAAGTTCAGGTGTGTTGTGTATTCAGAGATAATGAGAACATGACCCACGAGGTGAGAATCTCTCCCAAACCGGATACGTCAGAAACCGGAACCCCAAGCAGGTAAAACGTTTGAAGGCTTGGAATGTCTTTTTGACCATTGGTCCCGTATCTTGAGTGATGAATTAAAACAAGACCTTTGCTTTTTCAAGGAAAATAGATAAAATGATACTTAGGACAGTAAACAACTTGTGGTTGAAATGTGTTTCAGTGACTGCAAAGGAAGACTCCAACAAATCCTGAAACCCAGGGGAATATAAATGTCAGAATCTCAAGCCTAAAATGATAAAGCCTGTTTGACGCTCTGATCCTTTAAAATGATTTAATTAATCAAAGAGTAGTAACTCAGAGCTGGAGAGTACTCTGGAGATAGGTCATCTACTGTCCCTATGCATTTACATGCACACACACACACACACACACACACACACACACACACACACACACACACACACACACATTTACTGGTGAGTGGAGAGGATGCCGAGCCCCAGGGGATAGCAATGAATTGCCGAAGGATACACAAATAGATTGTGGCAGGCTGAGGACTGGAATTGCTTCCCCCATTTCCACCACAGTATTTATCCTATGGTAATTTTCAGGCATTCTGTAAAAATCCTGGATCGTCTTAGATATTCTGCAAGATGTGAAATGACTGATCCTCTGTCCAGTATTACCTCCCTTTCCATGATGATTTTCTGAATCACAAAGTTCTTAGTTTCACAGGTCTTGACCACCCATGTTATTTTTTGACAACAACTGACTTTTTCTTTTTTTTTTTTTTTTTTTTGAGACGGAGTCTCGCTCTCTTGCCCAGGCTGGAGTGCAGTGGCAAGATCTCAGCTCACTGCAACCTCCACCTCCCAGGTTCAAGCCATTCTCCTGCCTCAGCCTCCCGAGTAGCTGGGATTACAGGCACTCGCCACCACGAATGGCTAATTTTTCTTATTTTTAGTAGAGACGGGTTTTCACCGTGTTGGCTGGGCTGGTCTCAAACTCCGGACCTCAAGTGATCCGCCCGCCTCGGCCTTCCAAAGTGCTGGGATTACAGCTGTGAGCCACCATGCCTGGCCAACAAATGACTTTTAACTCTTTCTAAAAGCAAAGTTATTCTTCAAGGTTGACTTTATATTCCCACTGGTGTTGAAGATAATTTCTAACAATGAGTTCCAAAAATGATGTGTGCATTCAGAATGACCCTGGCCTATGGTGCCCCATCTGGGTGAACAAATTAGAAAAAGACACCTCGGCCGGGCGCAGTGGCTCACGCCTGTAATCCCAGCACTTTGGGAGGCCGAGGCGGGCGGATCACGAGGTCAGGAGATCGAGACCACGGTGAAACCCCGTCTCTACTAAAAATACAAAAAAGTTAGCCGGGCGTAGTGGCGGGCGCCTGTAGTCCCAGCTACTCGGGAGGCTGAGGCAGGAGAATGGCGTGAACCCAGGAGGCGGAGCTTGCAGTGAGCCAAGATCGCGCCACTGCACTCCAGCCTGGGTGACAGAGCGAGACTCCATCTCAAAAAAAAAAAAAACAAAGAAAAAAAAAAAGAAAAAGACACCTCCTCTGTGGTGATGCAGTCCTGTGGGTTCAGGACGGGGCAGGCAGATGCCTCCATTGTGTGAGGATAAGAGGTGGCCACTTCTCCAGATGCAGCCCTGAGCCAGGCTCTCCAGCTCAGCGAGCAGAACTTTGGCTGGTTCCCTGTCCCTTTGCACCCCTTAGCCACAGGCATCGCATGGAGCTGCACAACCAGATGTGGGGCCCTGAGCAATGGTAGCATTGGTAGAGAATACTTACTACCACCTCCACCCACACCGCCTTCTATGGTGATAACCCTTTTCATTCTTGGCCTCTAGCCCCATGGCAATAGGAACTTGAATAAGTTCTTTCATGTTTGAAAAAGAATATGAATACAGGCCGGGGGCGGTGGCTTACACCTGTAATCCCAGCACTTTAGGAGGCCGAGGTGGGCAGATCACAAGGTCAGGAGTTCGAGACCAGCCTGATCAACATGGTGAAACCCCGTCTCTATTAAAAATACACACACACAAAAAAAAATTAGCTGGGCGTGGTGGCAGGCGCCTTTAATCTCAGGTACTCGGGAGGCTGAGGCAGGAGAATTGCTTGAATCCGGGAGGCAGAAGTTGCAGTGAGCTGAGATCTCACCACTGCACTCCAGCCTGAGTGACAGTGCGAGACTCCATCTCAAAAAAAAAAAAAAAGAATATGAATATAATAATTAGTCTATTTTCTCAAGCATTGAAGCATGGCCAGAAGGAATTGGCAAGTAGGAAGCATTGCAGGCTGACTGCTGGGAGCCAGTGTGTGCGTGGTTGAGTGTGCAGGCTCAGGAGTCGTGGCCTAATCATCTCATCTCTGACATTATTAGTGAGGTGTCCTCGGCAAGTTGCTTAAACTCATGTGTCTCAGTTTTCTCACCCATAAAATTAGAATAATAATACCTTATCTGATAAGAGACCTAAATTTGTACTTGATAGATTGTTTTTAACATGTGCTGACTTCATTTCTTTGAATTCTTTTGTAAGAACTCCTTACAACTTAATATCATCATCAACAACCCCCCTCCATGTCTTCAACCTCTTCTGTGACTATTTTCTTCTCTTCATCTTCTTGCTTTGCCAGAAACCTGGCTCTCCCCTGATGCTGCAGTCCCTGTGGTCCTCTTGAGTGGGGGCTGTTCTCTCTCTTAGCTTGTCTGTATCACTTGGTTCATAGGTGGAGTAGGTGTCTTCCTTGCTCATCATGTGACTTTCAGATCATGTTCCCTGCCTCCTCCTAAAGCATTGAGCTTTGACTCTCCTGTCCTCAGACAGGGCCTCTGACCACTTCCAACTGTGTCTGCCTACCAACCCCTGGTTACTCCCTCTCATTTGAATAGCTGAGCTCCTTCCTCCCTGTCACTCTCTGCAGCATTATTCTTGTCATAATTCCTGGTAACTGCAGGATCCACATTGACGATCCTTTTGGGACCTGGTCCTTGGTGCCTCAGCCTCCTCTTTTTCAATGATCTTGTTCTCCTCCTCATCTTAGCTGCTGATTCTCATACCCTAAAATGCTGGCAGCTGATCCACAATCACACATTCAAACATCTTTCTCCAACTACCACCTCCTGTCCGAATCTCTTCTGCTAATGTACTGATCTTACAGCCCTGCAACCTCACTACCTTTCAATCCATTGATCCTCCTGCCTCTCCACTATCTCTAACCCCCTCAAGTCTCCATTTCTCTAATTACCTGTCTTCAACCCAGGGTCAGTCATTCCATACATTTCCAAGCCCAAAGCTCTTTTGCATTTCTTCCAACTCCTTTGGCTGAACCACAGCCCTGGCTCAATCTGCCTCTCTGTCAGGCTGTGCTTGTCTCCACACAGCTGACAATGGCTGGAGGAAAGCATGCAACCATGCTGACTGCTCTCCCGCTCAGCTGGTGACTGGGTTTTTTAATGTCAGCCCAAAGATAACTTCCACCAGCTCCAGGAACCTGCATCTGCACCATATCCTGCGTCTTCTCTCCATGTCATCTGGTGAGCAGTTCATGATCCATGTTAAGGCACCCTTCCCACAAGGCTTACTCCCATAGGCAAGGCCTTTGAGCTTACTGTGTCCTCTGCCTGGAACCTTCCTTCCCCTAGATGTCTGCATGGCTCTATTCCTCTCATCCAATATGTCTTTACTCAAATGCCACCTTCTAAGTGAGGTCCTCTGTGACCTCCTCTCTACATTGTCCCATACACACATGCACACACATGACACTTCCTACTCCTCTTTAGTTTTCTCCTTGTCATTCCCTAACATACTCAAGAGTTTATCACTGTCTACCATATGATATAATTTACTTAGAAATGCTTGTTGTCCCCCACCAGAATAAAAGCTCCATGGGGGAGGACCATTGGTCTGTTTTGTTGATGGCCATTTCTCCAGTGCCATGACAGTGTCTAGCACAGAGAATATGCACAATAAGTGGGCGCTGGATGAAACAATAAAGGAATGAAAAAGTTGTTGAATAAATGAAATGACAAATGTCTGTACATTTTTATCCACACTGATGTTTTCTTTCTTTCTTTCTTTCTCCCTCTCTCCCAACCTAGATACTGGATAAACTACTAGATGGCGACTTAACAAGTGATCCTTCTTACTTCCAGAATGTTACAGGATGTAGTAATTACTATAACTTTTTGCGGTGCACGGTAATGACATTTTAAAAACCATAATAATGTTTGCTTAAAACTTTTGGCAAAACCGAACTTCCTTTGATTTGGGAAATATTATAGATGACTTTATACTAGACCAACATGTCCAAACTGTACCGCGTGATGTGGTCTACTAACCCATAGAATCTTTTCCTCATCAGTGTTGTATACGTTATAATCTGACCACTGAGAATGTGTGATATTTCAGATAACTCAAAACAACTTCTGATGAACATGATTTCCCCCAAGTAGAGCTTGTTATAGAGGCACTTTTGTGAAGGACACAGGCTGGGATTGGAGTTCTGGGTCTCAGGTCCCAGAGCTTCAAGTCTGTTTACGAGTCTCTTGAAAATGCCCACATTCTTTGTTCTGTACTTAAGACGCTTGGATAATCAAAACTGCCAAAGCCTTAATGAAAATATTTGCTTTGTCTTACTTTTAAGATGTTTAATGCATTTAGTATGGCCCTCACTTCAAGCCTTCTGGAATATTTCTCAAAGTATTCAAGTAGTTTGTTTCATAAAAGTAGGCCAAAGTTGATATCTTTTGTGTAGAATTAGTCAAACAGAAGGAGCCAAAGTAGGTGTTTGAATTTGTATAATCTTTGTCTAATGCTTATGACAATGCATTCTGTTTTTAAAATTGCCTGATTTATGAACTAGTTTGTAAATAAAGTATAACGTTAGTTTCAGTGGAATTCGCCAATGCTGCAGTTTTGGATTTAGATTCTACTAAGAGAAAAACATGTGGTAGACAAGACAGAAACAAAATTTGTGATGATACCTTTTTTTCTTTACAACAATATATTCACAGTTAGTAAAAATTGTTGATGAAGCACAAAGTTGTCAAACTCAAACTTTAACAGTTTTTTTAATCCTTGTGTAACTGTTTTTTTTTTAAAGCATTTACTCCTTTCTTTCAGTATAATGATTATTACAGAGACTTTATTGCAGTTTTTTTTTTAATAAGCTTCATGGACAACTTTTCTTCTGTCTTGTGTCCTTCATAAAGTATCATCTCTTTTCACATTTGACATATTTTCCCCTTTATTATAGTCAATCCAATTTTGTGTGTGTGTGCGGTTTTTTTTATTTTTTAATTTTATTATTATTATACTTTAAGTTTTAGGGTACATGTGCACAACGTGCAGGTTTGTTACATATGTATACACATGGACACAGGATGGGGAACATCACACACCGGGGACTGTTGTGGGGTGGGGGTAGGGGGGAGGGATAGCATTAGGAGATATACCTGATGCTAAATGACGAGTTAATAAGTGCAGCACACCAACATGGCACATGTATACATGTGTGTGGTTTTAATAAACAGCAGAACACAGAAAAGAAATTCTTAGCTTTAAATCCAGCACACCACCAACCTGGCCCTTGTGATCCATTTGACCTTCTTTCCAAAGAGCCACCAACAAGGAGTGAATTGATTTTGATAATCTCATCTCTTTTGTTTTCTCTCTCTTTGCCTCTAGTGGGGTTGCTAATGGGAGTCACAGATTGCAAAAGATTAGTTTCTGCAAAGGAAAATCCTGTATTTGCAAATTGGGTATTTTAAGAGTATTTTAAGGGTATTTCAGATTTCTAATTAGTAAAAAGATTCCACCTAAATTATCTCAAAACCTCCGAGTTAAAATTTCAAGAATGGCGACAAGTTAATAGTCCCGTCACGTTTCTCCATGTTGTATGTTATGAGAAATTCACAGCTTTTCCCAACATACTGTTCCTGCCACCAATCATGTTCCCTATGTCTTTCCAATGCCCCTTCTGCCAGGAACCTGAGGATCAGCTTTACTATGTGAAATTTTTGTCACTCCCAGAGGTGAGACAAGCCATCCACGTGGGGAATCAGACTTTTAATGATGGAACTATAGTTGAAAAGTACTTGCGAGAAGATACAGTACAGTCAGTTAAGCCATGGTTAACTGAAATCATGAATAATTATAAGGTAAGAGAGCTACTTCAGTTACTATTTTAGGAACTTTCAGATTACCCAGAGCAGAAGTGATTTGTAATTTGAGTCCTGCCTTTTTTTTTTTTTTAACTTTTATGATGTGTCATTAGCATAAATAACAGCCCCTTTCTTTGTTTGATTCCAATTCAAAGTTTTATATTGTTCCTTTTAATTTAACCACTTTTGCCGTTGTGGTGACTTATACCTGTAATCCCAGTGCTTTGGGAGCCTGAGGCGGGTGGATCACCTGAGGTCAAGATTTTGAGACCAGCCTGGCCAACATGGTGAAACCTTCTCTCTACTAAAAAATACAAAAACTAGCTGGACATGGTGGCGGGTGCCTGTAATCCCAGCTACTTGGGAGGTTGAGGCGTGAGAATCACTTGAACCCGGGAGGCAGAGGTTGCAGTGAGCCAAGATCGCAACATTGCACTCCAGCCTGGGCAACAGAGCAAAAACTCTGTCTCAAAAAAATAAAAATAAAATAAAATAATTTAACCACTTTCCCCTGATTATTCCTTAAAATGAAATTCCCTTTGGCACACACCACTTCTCATCCTTTCTTGAGAAAGGAAGAGTTGCAGAGCCAAAAAGATGACTGGCCGTGTGTAAGAGCCAGATTTCTCTTATGTGTTGCTTTGTTACATGAATCCCAATGACGTCAGGGATAAATGAAATCAACTGGTTATTCTGAAAATGCATTTTGCCTAATGGTTGTATTCATTCACTTTACCCAATCACAGTGTTTTGAGTCTCTCCTTAGGGTGTGAGGTTGAAATGATGAATGAGAAAGGGTCCCTGTTTGGAAGTAGGTCAAGTCAAGCCATTGTGCTGTCTGGTTGAAATGCTCTGCCTTTGCTGCCAGTGGAGGTGCCAGTGGAGAGTGAGGTCACAGAAAAGGAGCCCTGGAGGTTCAGGCAAAGAAGACATGGGCCCTGGAACTCCCACTGGGAAGGAGGACACCAAGAGCAAATGACATGGGGAAAGTCAGCCTGTGTATTATTTCTTTCCTGGTACTACGCTCTCAGCTCCTCCTCTGGTCCTCCAGTGCTGTTAGCCTTTGCCCAAGGGATCGTCTCTAGGGCAACTCCGAAGGATGCCTGTACTGATGACTGGGGAGACCACCACTGAGTGATCCACTTCCTCCCTATATCCTGTTTTGAATGAACAAAAAACAGGGCAGTCGGCAGCCCATAGGATTTTTGTATGAATTAGAATAAAGGCATCCTCTCCTCAAGATACTTTATTTCGATCTTTCAGAAATTGTCCTGATATACTGCCTTAGTTAAAACCAGACTCTTTACTGCCATTTGCTGGCATGCTGAATATTCATTTCTACAATGTGTATATTAGGAATGGTGTGTCTTAGGATTGTTCAGTGCACAATCTGCAATACTATCCAGGCAGTCCCTGGCCAATGCACCCTAACTAGACTGTGGTTTAGAATATGCCAGACCTAGGAGGCCCATTTCTGGGTCCTGCTTCTAGTACAGTGTTGGACACGTAACCATTGTTGAAAATAGTTTAAGACCAATTATATGCCAAGTCTACAAACCCATTATAAACCTGCAAAACTTGATGAAATACTTACTTTCTTGGAAAGAAAGAGTCTAACTAGGTCAGGCCAGCATTTCAGCCATCCTTGTGTTTGGTTTTCTTGGGGACATGTAGTGGCCCTTAGTGCTTGCTGCTTCAAGACTTCTCAGAGGACCTCCAGAAGGCACTGCTGTTTGTCCTCTCCTCTGAGCTCTCAGAACGCGTTGTCTTTACCCCCATAGGTGTACATGGCACACTCTAACGTGCAGACTCTCAGTCTGACACCCATACCACCACCAGCCTGGAGCAGATGTCAGGAATGAATGAATGATTAGTGCTGTATCAAAAATATATCTATAAACCTGTCCATAATCCATTAGGTGCTTATTATCCACAAATTTATTAAACCAAAAAGAGGTTAGCGTTCATGTCTTAAAGATGATGTTCTGTAATGTGATGTTAAGGAATGGAACGAGTGAATTTTTTTGAGAGGAGAGCAGATAAGTTTGATATGTGTTATTTGTGCCCTTGGGAGATATATTTTCTCACTGTACACACTTTTTTTTTTTTTTTTTGAGATAGAGTTTTGCTCTTGTTGCCCAGCTGTAGTGCAATGGTGCGACTGGCTCACTGCAACCTCCACCTCCTGGGTTCAAGCAATTCTCCTGCCTCAGCCTCTCAAGTAGCTGGGATTATAGGCATGTGCCACCATGCCCAGCTAATTTTGTATTTTTAATAGAGATGAGTTTTCTCCGTGTTGGTCAGATTGGTCTCAAACTTCTGACCTCAGGTGATCCGCCCACCTCGGCCTCCCAAAGTGCTAGGATTGCAGGCATGAACCACCGCACCTGGCCTCACTGTACAAATTTAACTAGAATATGATTCCTTTCTCAGCCATGTGAGGGTAAGGTGGGACAAACAGCTTACCTGATGACATAAACTCTCCTTATGTTTTGACTGATAAAGGAGAATATATTGATTAGAGGTGATCCTGCATTTTGATATTTAAACTTCTCTGTCCCTCTTGCCCATGTATCCTAAACTTACCACTATGAATTCCAATAAAATCAAAATCCAGTATTTTCTAAACTTTTCTTTTCTTTTTTGAGACAGAGTTTCACTCTGTTGCTCAGGCTGGAATGCAGTGGCACGATCTCGGCTCACTGCAACCTCCACATCCCGGGTTCAAGTGATTCTCCTGCCTCAGCCTCCTGAGTAGCTGAGATTACAGGCACATGCCACCATGCCTGGCTAATTTTTTTTCCGTATTTTTAGTAGAGACAGGGTTTCACCATGTTGCCCAGGCTGATTTCAAACTCCTGACCTCAGGTGATCCACCCGCCTCGGCCTCCCAAAGTGCTGGGATTACAGGTGTGAGCCACCGTGTCTGGCATAAACTTTTCAACTCTGAATCGGTTGCCAGAAAAAGAAAAGAGTTTAGTGGTATAGATAAACCATATTTCCATAAAGAAACAGAACAAAATATGCCACCAAAAAGTGGCTGCTGCTAAAACAGACAGCATGTTCACTCACGCAGCTGGCAAAGCGCTTGGGATAGTGATTATCTTTGGCTTGTCTGTTAATGATGTTGAACCTCAGTGTTCAGAACGGGAATCAGAACAACCTAGGTTGGCTTAAAACGTTAGTACCATTAAAGTCATATTTATGTAAGACTCGGTACTAATTTGTCATAGAAAATAGCATGCCTGTTTCTATTCATAGGAACTAGAGGTCTTTTTCCAGTACTGGGTTCATTTTGGCCAATGTGGAGCATCTCTGATGGTTGAAGGAAGACCTTCCTGGGTTTCTGGAATTACGTTTTCATGTAGTTTCTGTATAAAAATTAGCTTCTCTGTAAACTACGTTAGTTTCTATGTAAGCTACGTGAAAACATAATCCTTTTCTTACAGTGATATACAGGAGATGCATACTCAAAAGTCATTTTCCTTTCAGTAATTTCAGATGTTTGGGTGGTAAATTGAAATATCATATTGGCAGTTTCAAAAATAACTAGAAAGAGAAACAATCTGTTGGGCTATTTGAATTCTTTATGACTGAATGAAGTCAAAACATGATCAGGACTTTTAGGAGTTAGCTGGTTAATAGAGTATGGTGGTTATGAACATGTTCTTAAGTTGCATATCTTGAGTTTGAGCTCTGGTTACACCAGTCACTGGCTATGCTCCTTTGGGAGAGGAAACTTAAACTCTCTGCGCTTTGGCTTCCTTGTCTATAAAACAGGAATAAAAACAGTATTTATGTGTGAGTTTCTGTGAGGTTTAAATGAGATTATATATGTAAACACACTTAGAAGAGTGCCTGATGGTTAGAAGGTGCTTATTTATATATATATAAGCTATTACCAAAAATGTTCAACAAATTTTGTGAAAGTCTTTAAGATCTTGCTACATTCAAAAGTTATACAAGAAACCCTGGAAAACACAAAAATAAAAAAGAATGGACAGGCTTCCAGTTTCCATTCCAGTGTGTAAGAAGCTTAGAAGTCTCCACTCCATTGTAACAACAGTAAAAAGCCAAACAAACTGAAATATAATCAAGAACTCTTTTTAGATTTGTTGAAACTGAGGTCACAGGGCAAATTGCTGCCCTCCAAAATTAGAGAGAGAGATGAATATAGGGAGTCAAAACTTAACAGGAGCAAACCTGTAAGTAGAACCCTCCATGGAAACAAATGGTGAGGAAGGGAAACCTGAACAGTAATTGGTAAATTACTAGAGGCTCCATAGGGACAAGTCTGAGAGTTTAAAACACCATGGGTGGGGAGAGGACTCAGCCAAAGGTCACTTGTAAATGACCTTTATTATGTTGAGGGACTTTTCTTGTATACCCAGACTGTTGAGTGTTTTTATCAAGAAAGGATGTTGGATTTTGTTGAATACTTTTTGTGTCAATTGAGATGATCATGTGGTTTTGTCTTTCAGTCTGTGATGTGTCACTTTGATTAACGTACCTATGTTAAACCAGTCTTGCATGCTAAGGGTAAATCCCACTTGATCATGCTGTAGAATCTTTTTGGTGTATTGTTGAATTTGGATTGCTAATATTTTATCGATAATTTTTGCATGAATGTCAGAGTTACAGCCTTGCAGTTTTCTTTTTTCTTATGATATCTTTGCCTGGCTTAGGAATCAAGATAATACTTGCCAAAAAATCTATGATTAATATGCTAAGGATTTTAATGGAAAAAGTAGACAACCTGCAAGAACAGATGGATATTGAAAATAGAGATATGGAGATTATAAGAATCAAAAGGAACTGTTAGAGATCAAAAACACTGTAACAGAGATAAAGAATGTCTTTGGTGGGCTCACTAGTAGACTGGACACAGCTGAGCTAAGAGTAGCATGAGGATGTAATAAATAAAAGCTTCCAAAACTGAAAAGTAAAGAGAACAAAGACTTAAAAAAATTTTTTTTGAATAGCCTTAACTGTGGGACAACTACAAAAGATGTAACATACACATAAAGGGAATACCAGAACAAGAAGAAAGAGAAGGAAATGGAAGCAATATTTAAAGCAATAATGATTGCAAACTTTCCCAGATTAATGTAAAACATCAAAGCACAGATTCCAGAAGCTCAGAAAACATGGAGTCAGATAAATGCCAAAACAAAATAATCAAGAAAAGGAGGCAAGTCATATGGAAGCTTCAAAAAAATCAAAGATAAAGAAAAAAAGTCTCAAAAGAAGCCAAAGGGGAGAAAAACCTTACCTATAGAGAAGCAAAGGTAAGAATTACATCTAGGTTCTCCTCAGAAATCATGCCAACAAGAAGAGCATGGAGTGAAATATTTAAAGTGTTGAGAGAATAAAACCCACCAACTTAGAATTCTGCACCTTGCAAAAGTATTCCTCAAAAGTGAAAGAGAAATAAAGACTTTCTCAGACAAACAAAAATTGAGGGAATTTGTTGCTAGTAGACCTGCTTTGTAAGAAATGTTAAAGTAAGTTTTCAAAGAGAAGATAAGTGATATAGGTCAGAAACTCACATCTATATAAAGAGAAGAAGAGCATTGGATAATGATTAAATGAAGATGACATAATTATTTATGTAGAAAATCCAGAAGAATCAACAAAAAAGCCTCTTGGAATTAATAAGTGATTAATCATAACAAGGTTGCAGGATATAAGGTTAATATAGAAAAGTTAATCACTTTCCTATGTACTCCCAATAAACAAGTGAAATTTGAAATTAAAACACAGGACTATTTACATTAGCACCCTTCAAAAATGAAATACTTAGATATAAATACAACAAAATATGTATAAGATCTATATTAGGAAAACTGCAAAACTCTGATAAAAGACATCAAGAACAACTAATAGTTGGAGAAATATTTTGTGTACATGGATATGAAGACTCAATATTGTCAAGATGTCAGTTCTTCCCAACTTGATCCATAGATTCAATACAATCCCAATCAAAATCTCAGTAACATTTTGTAGATAAGGATAAATTGTTCTAAAGTTTCTAAGGAGAGGCAAAAGACACAGAATAACCAACACAACATTGAACAAGAGGAATAAAGTCAGAAGATTGACATTACCCAACTTCAAGACTTACCATAAAGCTACAATAATTAAGATATTATTTATTGTAATAATTAAGTATGGCATTGGCAAAAGAATAGGCAAATAGGTTGATGGACTAGAATAGAGAGCCCAGAAATATACCCACATAAATATAGTCAACCGATCTTTGATAAAGGAGCAAAGGTTATACAATGTAGCAAAGATAGTCTTTACAACAAATGGTGCAGGAACAAATGGATATATCCACATACAAAACAAAATAATGAAATAGACACAGATCTTACACCCCTCACAAAAATGTTCTCTGAATGGATTGTAGACCTAAAGGTAAAACATAAAACTATAACACTTGTAGGCATTAACTTAGGAGAAAATCTAAATGACCTTGGGTATGGTGTTGATGTTTCAGATACAATGCTAAAGGAACAATCCATGAAAGAAATAATTGAGAAGCTGGACATCATTAAAATTAATAACTTCTACTTTACCAAAAACAATGTCAAGTAAATGAGAAGATAAGCCACAGAGTGGGAGAAAATATTTGCAAAAGACACATCCGATAATGGACTGTTAACCAAAATATATTTTTAAAAACCCTTATAGCTCAACAATAAGAAAATGAACAACCCAATTTAGAAATGGGAAAAAGACCTGGGCACCTCACCAGTGAAAATATACAGATGGTAAGTAAACATATGAAAAGATGTTGGCTGGTTGCCAGTGGCTCATGTCTATAATCCCAGCACTCCAGGAGGCCAAGGCGAGAGGATCACCCAGGAGTTTGAAACCAGCTTGGACAACATAGAGAGACCCTGTCTCTACAAAATAAAAATAATTAATTAATTTATTAGCTGGATGTGGTGGTGTGCACCTGTAGTCATGGCTACCTGAGAGGCTGAGGTGGGAGGATCACTCGACCCCAAGAGTTCAAGGTTGCAGCAAGTCATGACTGTGCCACCGTACTCTAGCCTAGGCAACAGAGTGAGACCCTGTCTCAAAAAAAAAAAAAAAAAAAGAAAAGGAAAAGATGTTCAACATCATATGTCATTAGGGTATTACAAATTAAAGCCATGAGATACCACTTCCAGACCTATTGGAATAGCCAAAATCCAAAATACTGACAACACTAAATGCTTACAAGGATGTGGAGCAATAGGAACTCTCATTCTGGTGGGAATGCAAAATGATACAGCCACCTTGGAAGACAGTTTGAAAATTTCTTACAAAATTTAATATACTCTTACCATACCATTCAGCAGTCATTCTCTTTGGTATTTACCCAAATGAACTGTAAGCTTGTGTCCACACAAAAATCTGTACAGGGCTATTTATAACAGCTTTATTCATAATTGCCAAAACTTGGAAACAACCAAGATATTCTTCAGTAGGTGAATGAATAAACTAGTCCAGACAATGAAATTTTATTCAGTGCTAAAAAAAACGAGCTATCAAGCCATGAAAAGACATGTAGAAAACTTAAATGCATATTTCTGAGTGAAAGAAGCCAATCTGAAAAGGCTACGTACTGTATGATCCCAACTATGTGACATTCTCTAAAAGGCAAAACTATGGAGACTGAAAAGATCAGTGGTTGCCAGGAGTTGGGGGAGGGAGGGATCAATAGGCAGAGCACAGAGGATTTTTAGGGCAATGAAACTATTCTGTGTGATACTTCAATGGTGGATACAAGATGTTATGCATTTGTCAAAACCCATGGACCGCATAACACCAACAGTGAGTTCTAATGTGAACTGTGGACTTTAGGTGATTTGATGATGTTTCAGTGTAGCTTTGTTAGTGTAACAAATACATCGCTGTGGTGAGGGATATTGATAGTGGAGGAGGTTGTATGGGAGAGGGCATAAGGGGTGCATGGGAACTCTGTACTTTACACTCAATTTTGCTATGAACCTAAAACTGCTCTGAAACACAAAATTTACTAATTTATTAATTTACCTTTTTTTAAGTTAATTGTCTTCCTAGTAAAGGGGATAGATGCTAGTATATTTGATAATGGGTAGATTCAATTCCTACATCCAGCAGACTGGTAAAGTAGACTCTGTGAAGGAAAATACAACTAAAATACAATTGAATTCAGGATAAATGACAACAAACATAATTGTAATGCCTTTAATAAAATGAAAGTGGATCTGAAAACAAAAACAACACCAGAAAAACAAAAGGCAGAGAAGGGAATTCTGTGGAGCAAGAGCAATAAGGCAGGGTGGCCCTGAGAACCAGTGTCCTCAGTGCTGGGCTGGCAGCTGGCAGCTGGGCTGTGGGCCCAAGTAAAGTGACACTGCTGACCTGAGAGCCCAGCACCAGGGCTGGGACATGTGGAGGGCCCAAACTGGTCCCACAGTGCTAGGAACTCTGGCAACTAGCAGAAGCAAATACACTTAACTTAGTGGTAGGGCCGGGCACGGTGGCTCATGCCTGTAATCTCAGTGCTTTGGGAGGCTGAGGTGGGCACATGACCTGAGGTCAGGAGTTCAAGACCAGCCTGGCCAACATGGTGAAACCCCATCTCTACTAAAAAAGTAAAAAATTAGCCAGGTATGGTGGCGGGCGCCTGTAATCCCAGCTACTTGGGAGGCTGAAGCAGAAGAATTGCTTGAACCTAGGAAGCAGAGGTTGCAGTGAGCCGAGATTGCACCACTGCACTCCAGTTTGGGTGACAGAGTGAGACTCCCTCTCAAAATAAATAAATAAATAAATGAAAAGAAAATAGAGGTGTTTACAGTCTCTCAGATTTTTCAAAAATATAAAGCCATTTTCAACAAAAATGTAAGCTTGTAATCAAAAGTCACCTAACACAAAAGTAAACAGGCTACAGCCTGTGAATAAACAGAAACAAATATAAGAGAGAAAGATAGCCAAGGCACTTTCAGATATAGGACATATGAGAGATAAAACAACTATGTATGAAATATTTGAAGGCATAAAAATGGAGTTACAAAACAAGCAATAAATGAGAAACTAATAAATATGGCTAGGCAAATTTGAAAGAGAACAAATTGTAATCATTAAAAATGAATGATACAGTTGTTGAATTTAAAACTCAGTGCATGGGTTAAAGAGTAGATTAGACAGTGCTGAAGATAAATTTAATGAATCAGAAGATAGATCTGAAGAAATTACCAAAATGGAACACAGGAAGAAAAGATAAAAAGTTTGAAGGGAGATTAAGAGGCATTAAGAAGAGAATACTATATGTCTAAGCAGAGTCAGAGAGGGTAAGAACAGAAAGAATGAAAAAAAGCCATTTTTAAGAAACAGTGGCTGAAAATTTGCCATATCTGATAAAGGTTATGAATGCACAGACACATGTACTGAAGCACATATACAATAAGCAGTGGGAGAGAGAAAATAAATTCATATTTTAGGTGGTTTTAATGAAATTGAATAATAGCAAAAAGCAAAGAGAATGTTTTAAAAGTCAGAAGGAAAAGGCAGGCCATCTACAAAAGGAGGACAATCAGACTGACAGACTTGTCAGTGACAGCAATGGAAGGCATAATATCTTCAAAGTGCTAAAATGAGATAACAATCTAGAACTACATTTCAAGTAAAATGGTAGAATAAAAGTATTTTCAGATTTAACAAAAAAATTATTTCAAGTGCATTTAGAATCAACAGATTTTCACTAAAGGAGCTTCTAAAGAATATATTTAGGAAAAATAAATTACTCCAGAATTATTCCAGGAAGAAAATCTGAGCTACAAGAAGAAATACTAACTATAGAAATTGATAGAAATAATATTTTATCAATGTTAATGTTCTGGTTTTGATCATTGTACAATGGTTGTGTAAAATGTTAACATTTGTTAAGGCTATGTAAAGGGTATACTATTTATTTAACAGATTTTGTTTGTTTTGTTTTGTTTTGTTTTGTGACAGGATCTTGCTCTATTACCTAGGCTGGAGTACAGTGGTGTGGTCATATCTTACTGTCTCAAACTCCTAGGCTCAAGCTCTCCTCCAGCCTCAGTCCCCCAAGTAGCTGGGACTATAGGCATGTGCTGGCTAATGTTGGCTTTTCTTTTTCTTTTTTCTTTCTTTTTTTTTTTTTTTTGTACAAACAGAGTTTTGTTCTATTGCCCAGGCTGGTGTCAAACTCCTGGCCTCAAGCAATCCTCCCACCTCAGCCTTCCAAAGTGCTGGGATTACAGGTGTGAGCCATTGCAGCCAGCCTCTGTAGCAGATTGACTGAGATATAATTTACATACCACAGAATTCACTCATTTCAAATGTACAAGTTAGTGGTTTTTGCAACTGCAATTTTCTCTGCAGCCATCACCACTATCTAATTTCTGAACATCTTCATCACATCTGAAAGAAAAAAGAAAAAATCCCCTATTCATTAGCAATGATTTCCACTTCCTCTTCCAGCCCCTGGCAACCACTAATCTACTTTCTGTCTGTATGGATTTGCCTATTTTGGATATTTCTTATAAATGAAATTGTGCAGTATATGGCCTTTTGTGACTGTTTCTTTCACTTTGTATGTTTTCAGGGTTCATACATGTTATAGCATGTTCATTCTTTTTACTGCAAAATAATATTCCTATGTATGGTTATACCACATTCTATTCATCCATTCATCTATTGATGGACATTTGGCATGTTTCCACTTTGTGATTATTGTGAAAAATGTTGCTATGAATATTCATGTACAGTGTTGGTGTGAACATATGTTTTCCATTCTCTTGGGTAGATAGATACCTAAGAGTGGAATTACTGGGTCATATGTTAACTCTATATTTAACATTTTGAAGTTCCAGTTTCTCCACATCCTTGTCAGCACTTGTTATTGTCTGACATTTTGATTCTAGCCATCCTAGTGATTTAAAGTGCTATCTCATTGGGCTTTGATTGGCATTTCCCTAATGATGAACGATGAACATCTTTCTATGTGATTTTTATTTTTCATTTTTATGTTTTTTGGAGAAATGTGTATCCAAATACTTTGCCTATTAATTGGGTTGCTAATTAATTGGGTTATTTGTTTTTTATTATTGAGGTGTTAAGAGTTTTTTTGTTTGTTTGTTTGTTTGAGATGGAGACTTGCTCTGTCGCCCAGGCTGCAGTGCAGTGGCATGATCCTGGCTCACTGCAACCTCCACCTCCCGGGTTCAAGCAATTCTCCTGCCTCAGCCTCCTGAATAGCTGGGATTACAGGTGCATGTCACCACACCTGGCTAATTTTTTATATTTTTAGTAGAGACAGGGTTTCACCGTGTGAGCCAGGATGGTCTGGATGTCCTGACCTCATGATCCGCCCGCCTCGACCTCCCAAAGTGCTGGGATTACAGGCGTGAGCCACCGTGCCCAGCCTGAGAGTTCTTTATACATTCTGAATACAAGTCCCTTATCAGATATGATTTTTTTTCCTATTCTCTGGGTTGTCTTTTTATTTTCTTGATGTTGCCCATCAAAGTCCAAAAGTTTTAATTTTGATAAAATCCAATTTGTGTTTTCTTTCATCATTTATGCTTTTGGTTTGGTTTTTTTTTTTTTTTTTGGAACTGAATCTTCATTTCATTTTAGTCAAGTTAAAAATAGGTTTAAAAACTAATACTCGAGTTGGTTATTGGAAAACATCCAAGTATTCACAATTTGGGTGTGTGAATCTACTTTTTTTTTTCTGTCTCTATTTTATAAAAATTTTTTTCCCCATAGGTTATTGGGGTACAGTTAGTATTTGGTTACATGAGTAAGTTCTTTAGTGGTGATTTGTGAGATTTTGGTGCACCCATCACCCAAGCAGTACACAACACACCCTGTTTGTAGTATTTTATCCCTTACCACCCTCCCATCTTCCCCCAAAGTCCACTGTATCATTCTTATGCCTTTGCGTCCTCATAGCTTAGTTCCCACACATCAGTGAGAACATATGATGTCTGATTTTCCGTTCCTGAGTTACTTCGCTTGATAGTCTCCAATCTCATCCAGGTCACTGCAAATGCCGTTAATTCATTCCTTTTTATGGTTGAGTAGTATTCATATATATATATTCATATATATATTTGGAATATATATATGTGGAATATATATATATATTTATATTTATATATACCACAGTTTCTTTATCCACTCGTTGGTTGATGGGCATTTGGGTTGGTTTTGGTTCCACGGATTTTGCAGTTGCGAGTTGTGCTGCTATAAACCTGTGTGCAAGTATCTTTTTCATATAATGACTTCTTTTCCTCTGGACAGATACCCAGTAGTGGGATTGCTGATCAAATGGTAGTTCTACTTTTAGTTCTTTAGGAAACCACACTGTTTTCCATAGTGGCTATACTAGTTTACATTCCCACCAACAGTGTAGAAGTGTTCCCTGATCACTGCATCCACGCTAACATCTACTGTTTTTTGATTTTTTGATTATGGCCATCCTTGCAGGAGTGAGGTGGTATCGCATGGTGGTTTTAATTTGCATTTCCATAATCATTAGTGATGTTGAGCGTTTTTTCATATATTTGTTGGCCATTTGTATATCTTCTTTTGAGAATTGTCTATTCATGTCCTTAGCCCACTTTTTGATGGGATTGTTTGTTTTTTACTTACTGATTTGTTTGTTGTAGATTCTGGATATTAGTCCTTTGTCAGATGTATAGATTGTGAAGATTTTCTCCCACTCTGTGGGTTGTCTGTTTACTCTGCAGACTGTTCCTTTTGCCGTGCAAAAGCTCTTTTGTTTAATTAAGTCCCAGCTATTAATCTTTGTTTTTATTGCATTTGCTTTTGGGTTCTTGGTCACTAAATCTTGCCTAAGCCAATGTCTAGAAGGGTTTTTCCAATGTTACCTTCTAGAATTTTTATAGTTTCAGGTTTTAGATTTAAGTCCTTAATCAATCTTGAGTTGATTTTTATATAAGGTGAGAGATGAGGATCCAGTTTCATTCTCCTGCATGTGGCTAGCCAATTATCCCAGCACCATTTGTTGAAAAGGGTGTCCTTTCCCCACTTTATGTTTTTATTTGCTTTGTCAAAGATCAATTGGCTGTTAGTATTTGGATTTGTTTCTGGGTTCTCTATTCTGTTCCATCAGTCTATGTGCCTATTTTTATACCAGTACCACGCTGTTTTGGTGACTGTGGCCTTATAGTATAGTTTGAAATCAGGTAGTGTGATGCCTCCAGATTTGTTTTTTTTTTTTGCTTAGTCTCACTTTGGCTTTGTGGGCTTTTTCTGTTG
This sequence comes from Homo sapiens, assembly GCF_000001405.40. Classification (NCBI taxonomy): domain Eukaryota; kingdom Metazoa; phylum Chordata; class Mammalia; order Primates; family Hominidae; genus Homo; species Homo sapiens. Next base: position 29,050,764 of record NC_000007.14, on the reverse strand, counting down.
TTGTTCCATATGAATTTTAGAATTGGCTTTTCGAATTCTGTGAAGAATGATGGTGGTATTTTGATGAGGATTGCATTGAATTTGTAGATTGTTTTTGGCAATATGGTCATTTTCACAATGTTGATTCTACCCATCCATAAGTATGGGATGTGTTTCTATTTGTCTTGTTTATTTGTATTTATGATTTCTTTCAGCAGTGTTTTGTAGTTTTCCTTAACATTTTGAAGAACTGCCAAAGTGTTTATTGCAAAGTATCTGGGCCATTTTACAATTCCACCAAAATGGATGAGTTCCAATTTCTCCAGGTCTTTTGCCTCCTTGGTTAGGTGTATTCCTAAGTATTTTATTTTTTTTTTTTGCAGCTATCGTAAAAGGGGTTGAGTTCTTGATTTGATTCTCTTGTTGGTCACTGCGTATAGAAGAGCTACTGATTTGTGTACATTAATCTTGTATCCAGAAGCTTTGTCGAATTATTTTATCAGTTCTAGGAGCTTTCTGGAGGGGTCTTCAGTGTTTTCAAGGTAAACTATCATAACATCAGCAAACAGTGACAGTTTGACTTCCTCTTTACTGATTTGGATGCCCTTTATTTCTTTCTCTTGTCTGATTGATCTGGCTAGGACTTCCAGTACTATGTTGAAGAGGAGTGGTGAGAATGGGCATCCTTGTCTTGTTCCAGTTCTCAGAGGGAATGTTTTCAACTTTTCCCTATTCAGTATTATGTTGGCTGTTGGCTTTTATTACATTGAGGTATGTCCCTTGTATGCCAATTTTGCTGAGAGTTTTAATCATAAAGGGATGCTGGATTTGTTGAATGCTTTTTCTGCATCTGTTGAGATGATCATGTGATTTTTGTTTTTAATTCTGTTTATGTGGTGTATCACATTTATTGATTTGTGTATGTTAAACCATCCCTGCATCCCTGGTATGAAACCCACTTGATCACATGATGGATTATCTTTTTGATATGTTGTTGGATTCAGTTACCTAGTATTTTGTTAAGGATTTTAGTGTCTATGTTCATCAGGTATATCAGTCTGTAGTTTTCTCTTCTGGTTATGTCCTTTCCTGGTTTTGGTATTAGGGTGATGCTGGTTTCCTAGAATGGATTAGGGAGGTTTCCCTCTTTCTCTATGTCGTGGAATAGTATTAAAAGGATTGGTATCAATTCTTCTTTGAATGTCTGGCAGAATTCTGTGTAAATCTATCTGGTTCTGGACTTTTTTTTCGTTGGTAATTTTTTAATTACCATTTCAATCTCGCTGCTTGTTATTGGTCTGTTCAGGGTATCTAATTCTTCCTGATTTAAGCTAGGAGGATTGTATTTTTCCAGGATTTTATCCATCTCTTCTAGGTTTTCTAGTTTATGTGTGTAAAGGTGTTCATAGTAGCCTTGAATGATCTTTTATATTTCAGTGGTGTTGGTTGTAATGTCTCCCGTTTTGTTTCTTAATGAGGTTATTTGGATTTTCTCTCTTCTTGTTAATCTTGCTAATGGTCTATCAATTTTATTTATCTTTTCAAAGAACCAGCTCTTTGTTTCATTTATCTTTTGCATTTTTTCTTGTTTCAATTTCATTTATTTCTGTTCTGATCTTGGTTATTGCCTTTCTTCTGCTGGGTTTGGGTTTGGGTTTGGTTTGTTCTTGTTTCTCTAGTTCCTTGAGGTTTGACTTTAGGATATCAGTTTGTGCTCTTTCAGTCTTTTTGATGTAGGCGTTTACGGCTATGAACTTTCCTCTTAGCACCGCCTTTGCTGTATCCCAGAGGTTTTGATAGGTTGTGTCATTATTGTCGTTCAGCTTGAAGAACTTTTAAATTTCCGTCTTGATTTCATTTTTGACCCAATGATCAGGTTATTTAATTTGCATGTATTCACATGGTTTCGAAGGTTCCTTTTGGAGTTGATTTCCAGTTTTATCCCACTGTGGTCTGAGAGAGTGCTTGATATAATTTCAATTTTCTTAAATTTATTGAGGCTCATTTTGTGGCCTGTCGTTTGGTCTATCTTGGAGAAAGTTCCATGTGCTGTTGAATAGAATGTGTATTCTTTGGTTGTTGGACGAAATGTTCTGTATATATCTGTTTTTTCCAAGGTATAGTTTAAATCCATTGCTTCTTTGTTGCCTTTCTCTCTTGATGACCTGTCTAGTGCTGTCAGTGGAGTATTGAAATCCCCCACTATTAATGTGTTGCTCTCTGTCTCATTTCTTAGGTCTATTAGTAATTGTTTTATAAATTTGGGAGCTCCACTGTTAGGTGCATATGTGTTTAGGCCTTTGACTGTTATATAATGTCCTTCTTTGTCTCTTTTAACTGCAGTTGCTTTAAGTTTGTTTTGTCTGATATAAGAATAGCTATTCCTGCTCACTTTTGGTGTCTCTTTGCATGAAATGCCTTTTTCCACCCCTTTACTTTATGTGAGTCCTTATGTGTTAGGTGAGTCTCCTGAAGGCAGCAGATAGTTGGTTGGTGAGTTCTTATCCATTTTGCAGTTCTGTATCTTTTAAGTGGAGCATTTAGGCCATTTGCATTCAATGTTACTATTGAGATATGAGGTACCATTGCATTCATCGTGCTATTTGTTGCCTGTGTACCTTGTTTTTTTTGCCTTTTATTTTTGCCTTTTAAATTGTATTTTTGTTTTATAGGTCCCGTGTGATTTATGCTTTAAAAAGGTTCTGTTTTGATGTGTTTCCAGGATTTGTTTCAAGATTTAGAGCTCCTTTTAGCAGTTCTTGTAGTGGTGGCTTGGTAGTTGTGAATTCTCTCAGCATCTGTTTGTCTGAAAAAGACTGAATCTTTCCTTCATATATGATGCTTAGTTTCACTGGATACAAAATTCTTGGCTGATAATTGTTTTGTTTGAGGAGGCTGAAGATAGGGCCCCAATCCCTTGTAGCTTGTGTGGTTTCTGCTGAGAAATCTGCTGTTAACCTGATAGGTTTTCCTTTATAGGTTACCTGGTACTTTTGTCTCACAGCTCTTAAGATTCTTTCTTTCGTCTTAACTTTGGATAACCTGATTGGACAATGTGACTAGGTGATGATCTTTTTGTGATAAATTTCCCAGGTGTTCTTTGTGCTTCTTGTATTTGGATGTCTAGGTCTCTAGCAAGGCCAGGGAAGTTTTCCTCGATTATTCCCCCAAATCTCTTTTCCAAACTTTTCGATTTGTCTACTTTCTCAGGAACACCGATTATTCTTAGGTTTGGTCATTCAACATAATCCCAGACTTCTTGGAGGCTTTGTTCATATTTTCTTATTTTTTAAAAATTTATCTTTGCTGGACTGGGTTAATTTGAAGTCTTTGTCATCAAGCTCTGAATTTCTTTTTTCTATTTGTTCAGTTCTATTGCTGAGACTTTCGAGAGTATTTTGCATTTCTATAAGTGTGTCCAATGTTTCCCAAAGTTTTGATGTTTTTTCTTTATGCAATCTATTTCCCTTGACTTCTTGTATCGTGCTTAATACATTTGACTTTATTTAATCTTCCCTTTTCCAACCATTCTGAAACTGCATGGTTTCTAATGCAAATGGCTCCCTTTGCATTAGAAACACCTGGGGTGCTCTAACAACACCTAATCAGGCCCACTCCACCAAAGATTCTGATTTAGCTACCTACTATAGCAACCAGCACATAGTAGTATGCAATAAAGTTGGAAAGAAGGAAGGGAAGGAAAAGAAAGGATGGAATGACGGAAGACAAATGGCTTGTTCATTTGTACTATAAACCACCTTTACAATAAACATATATTCAATTATAAGTGCAAATAATCCACCACCTCAAGTACCATTGATTATATCATGTATATTCCTTAGTCCTTAGTCTTAATCAGCAGCATTAAAAAAATGCGAATGCACTCTCATACACTGATTGTAAGATGTATCCTCATTTTAAAAATAATTAAACATGGTGATGAAAGGATAGGGTATCTCTAGAATCTAGGAAATGCAACCCACAGTCTCCAGGAGCTTTGGCTTTGAAATCTCTGCTCTTTGGAGAGGTCCCCTGGTCCCGTATTCCTTGTGATATAGAATTTACATTGTTATTGTTTTTCTTGAAGATTCTGAAAATGTTTTCAACCCCCTTTTCTCTGTCTGGTTATAGTTCCTGCCTTGCTTAAAAAAAAAATCATTTGTGCTGTATTTTCAAAGACCGTGTATGAGTATGTGTGTGTGTGTGTGTGTGTGTGTGCACGCGCGCACGTGCATGTGTGTGTCCTTGAATTTGAGGTTGTTTGTGTTTCTAAGTGGTCTGGAAGGACACTGCAGTTTTAAGAGGAACCATCTGCAAATGCCAATTCTTACTTGCACTTGTGCTTTTGAAGGTTAAGTTGCCTTTGGGTAGGGCTTAATATGCTGTATGTAAAAGTTTACCTGGTCGGGCGCGGTGGCTGACGCCTGTAATCCCAGTACTTTGGGAGTCCGAGGCTGGCAGATCACAAGGTCAGGAGTTTGAGACCAGCCTGGCCAATGTGGTGAAACCTGTGTCTACTAAAAATACAAAAAAATTAGCCGGGTGTGGTGGTGCATGCCTTTAATCTCAGCTACTTGGGAGGTTGAGGCAGGAGAAGTGCTTGAACCCGGGAGGTGGAAGTTGCAGTGAGCCGCGATCACGCCACTGCACTCCAACTTGGGTGACAGAACAAGACTCCATCTCAAAAAAAAAAAAAAAAAGGTTCATCTAGTCAGGAAATGGTAAATATAAAGTTACATTTCCCTGTCACTTATCATTCTACAGCTCATTAAATTTCACCTAATTGCATCTTCAGAATTCAGGATGTTAGTGTTTCTTAGCTTCACTACCAGACTGAAATCTTAACACCCAGGTCATTAGAGTTCTATTTACTTATCCCAGGCTATCAAAAGATCTTCCTTTAGGAATGGCGAGTTCCTGAGTAATAAATGTGACTTAGAAGTTTGAAAGGTAAATATTCCAGCAAATCTAACTCATTTTGTTAGTCATTCTAATTGCTTGTGGCATTTTCCATCATAACATTTTTTGATGGCAAAATGTTGATGGTAATCATGGCCAGGAAACTAGATTTGATAAATGTCTAGCATATCAAGAAAAATTTAACACTTAAATGATACTAATTCTTCAACTGTTAGTTGGACTTTAAGCTTCTGTCAAACCATGATGGGAAAAGTCTGACTGTGTTGACTGTGAGCTGTATGTGATTTCCCCCTAGCCCTTTGAAGACAATGAAGAGAATGCCAGTATCATTTCACGAAAACTTCTGGGAGGAGGAAGTAGCTCCCAGTGAAGCATGACTTCTGCAGAGAAGGAAGCTAACTCTAGGACATTTATTTTATGTAACTATAGTCTATAGATAAGCAACTGCCACATTATAGGCAGATAAAAATAGTGTACATTCGAAAACCAATTTATACTGCAGAGTTCCTTGTGAGTTCATTTTATCTGTATCCGTTATAATCCAAATGCAAGAGTAGCATTACTTTTTTTAATGAGGCATACTTCTGGGCTTTTTTGATTTTTAAGCATTTCAGAGAATAAAGGGAAAAGAGAATACCTATAAATTATGAAATTGATTTCGATTCACCTAAACTTGCCATGCTTTCGACATCTTCTCTTGTTCATACTTTATGTTAGATGAAATGTTCACATGATAACCCGTGTGTGTTTGTATTTTCTCTTCATTCTTTCATTAAGCCATTTAATAATATATTCTTCCCCATGAGATGGTTTAAGTTGTTTTTCTTGGTGCACACCACCATCATGTCATAAAGGCTTTATTTTGTTGTTGTTTGAAAGTGTCTCATGCTTAAAACATTAGAAAGTACACTTGTGATTGTGGCTACAGGAAATGTAGAATTTCATCTAGAGTTACTTAAACATGGCATGGTGAGAGTGGTTCAGAGAGAAAGATAATAAATGACAATACCATTTGCTATGCAGATTCCAGAGATCTAAAACCCAGTAAGCTAAGAAATGTATATTTAAATTCAGTTGCTATGAAACCCAACTGGTATGAAACACAGGCGATTACATCCGTTGACTTTACTTTGAAAAGACAAATCGAGAAAGGGTGGAGAGAGTATTCTTTTCTGGATACAATTAGTAGTATCTGTTGTGCAATAAATGTCACATGCTGTAGTGGCTACTCCATCTTTATTCCTTATGTCATAGTATAATAGGAGATGTAAAAAGTCGACGTAGATGTTTTAAAAGACTGGGCCACTGGGAATCACTGGGAATCCAAAGCAGTGTGTGCCCACCACCATCTAATAAAGTGTGAGAGGATATACGAAAGGTTTAATTTTTTAATTTAAAACAAAAGGAAATAAAATAAGCTTTGCTGACTCTTTTTATTATTATTTTTTTGAGACAGAGTCTCACTCTGTCACCCAGGTTGGAGTGCAGTGGCATAATCTCAGCTCACTGCAACCTCCACCTCCCGGGTTCAAGTGATTCTCATGCCTCAGCCTCCCAAGTACCTAGGATTACCGGTGCCTGCCACCATACCTGGTTAATTTTTGTATTTTTAGTAAAGATGGGATTTTGCCATGTTGACCAGGCTGGTCTTGAACTCCTCACTTCAGGTCTTGAACTCCTGCCTCGGCCTCCCAAACTGCTGGGACTAGAGGGATGAGCCACCATGCCCAGCCTCATGTATAATGTACAGATTGGTCCTAGGGGGCTGATTTGGTCTGTATGTCACGGTCACACATCAGATGGTCTAGAGCCAGAATGGAAAGCCAATGCTTTTGTCTTTGTTTTTCCATCATCATCATCATCATCATCATGATTTGAGTCTGTTTGCCATACAGTCTGACTCCAGGCCCCATGCTCTTTCCACTCCAGTTTCCTCTTCTTTCGTGTGAGAGTGGATGACTTAATTCTGTGGCAGTTGACCCTGGTCTGTTATCAAAAAGAGAAAGCCACGTTGTCACACTTCCCACTGCCGACAGAAGCCCCAGTCATATGTTCTGGGCTCTTCCTAGGGCTTTTTCGTTGGATTTGCCTGGTCTATGTTGTAGAAGTTGTCTAACCACCCACACTCCTGCCATGAGTCAATCTGTGCCATCTACTTGCTTATGACTGTTATTATTATCATTGTTCCCAAGTCTTGTCATTGGGTAATGATCAACGCAGCAGCACAAAAGCAGAAACTTTTTGCTCTGGGCAGAAGCTCCTGATGCCCTCCTTCTTGATTTCTGGCTTTCCCCTCTACTCTTTTCACTCTGAAGATTCTTGTCTGTTTCTTCAGCCTCCTGACAGTCCCCATATTTGTTACAGTGATTTGCACATTCCTTCTAAGCCTGTTTGACATTCTCTGGAAAGAAAAGGGAAAAGGATGCTTTAGTCTCCCAACAGGGGAGAGTTGTGTTTTTGGAAGAAAAACAACACCAAAAAACCTAATTGCAAGGTAATGGGGTGGCTTTGATGAATAGAACCATTGAGAGCATGGGGCAGAAAGTCTTGCACCTGACTGATACCAGGTTTTCCTGTCTAGATAAAAACATAAAGAACACAGAGCACAGACTTTAAAAAAAAAAAAGGTAAAGAAAAGTAAGCTGTGTAACCAGGCACTTGCCTTCTTTTATGAGGAGATCAACCTGGTTGGAAACCTTCCACTAACTTTGCTATCTACCAGGGAGGGGGTGTGGGGATTGATAACAACAGGTGGGAATTAGACTCCTGGCAGTAGCTTTTCTGGTTCTTTGGATGTGTGCCTACTACTGTCGCTCTCAGTCCTCTTCTCAGAGAAAGGCAAAGTAACCTTTATTCAAACTGGAATTTTCTCAAGCTGGAAGGCAAGTTTGTTATGGGAGGAGAGAATGCCAATGGGTCAGCCAGAATCCAAGGAGGGCTGCACTTTGCGGAATGCTCTGCTCCCTGACCACACTAGGGCCTCCCCGTCCACTGTCCATATCCGTTTTGAGAGCTTCTGAGCATCTCTAGGTTAATGCTTTTTGCAGGCTGTTTAGCATTTCTCCTGTGATGAGGCTGTCCTGCTCTCTGCTGGCATTCGGGACCACTTTAGCTGGGAAGGATCATTTCCTTCCCATTAGTGAAAGGGAGCACAGCTTTCCTGTTTTATTTTTTCCCTTTCTTCATAATCCTTAATGTATTCACTCAATTACTAGTGGTACTATTATTTTTTGTTTTTTCTTTTGTTGTTTTGTTTTGTTTTAGAGACAGGGTCTCACTGTTGCCCAGGCTAGAGTGCAGTGTCATAATCATAGCTCACTGCAACCTCAACCTCCTGGGTTCAAAAGACCCTCTCACCTCAGCCTCCCAAGTAGCTGGGACTACAGGAGCATGCTGCTGTGCTTGGCTGATTTTTTTAACTTTTTTGTAGAGAGAGGATATTGCTGTGTTGCCCAGACTGGTCTCAAACTCCTGGCCTCAAGTGATCCTCCTACCTCAGCTTCCCACAGTGCTAGGATTAAAGGTGTGAGCCATGGCACCTGGCCCATTACTATTATATTTTGAACTTAAGTGACAGTAGTAATGTTGGGGAGCAGAGAGCTGGCAGGGCAAGCCAATAGCAAGCAGGTTTTCCCATAGTTCCTGTCTGCTCCCCTGTAATGATAGCTATTATGGGAGTATCTGCTGCTCCTCCTCCACATGGACATAGTTTCCAATTTCCTTAATCCAGCTTCATGAACCGCAGACCGCTCCTCCGAGAGTGGCTGTCCTTGGAAGTTACTTACTTCTGTTACTTCGCAGCTATTGACAGAGAGGACCAATTTTCTTTCCAGTATATACCAAACCCAAGGTATAGCAGTGCTGTCCAATAGAAATATAATGCAAGGGAGATATGTGCATTTAAATTTTCTAGAAGGCACATGAAAACTATAAAAGAAACAGGTGAAATCAATTTTAACAATATATTGTCCTTAACACTATATATATATAATGTCATCATATTAATTTTAATTGATACTAAGAAATTATTGAAATATTTTACATTCTTTTCTTTGTACTGAGTCTTCAGAATCCTGTGTGTATCTTAGATGCACATAACAATTTTGACTAGCCACATTTTAAGTGCTTATAATACACTTTATTGAAGAATGTAGGTCGATACCATAGATTTAACTGTCTATAAATTAAAGCATTTTTTTCTTTGCTCTTGCAGGGCCGTTTCTTATTGGTTGGGTTGTATGCAAATGTGTGTTTGTTAATTAAATATATTTAATGATGTGGAGAAAGAAAGAAATTGGCTCCTTGACCCACCTCCTAGTAGGGTAATAACTTTGTCAAGCACATTGCAGTCTTTGGAGATGACCCTTAGGTGTGACCTTGAAGCTGACCTTCTGACAGGCAGGGGTACATTCCTCCTCTGGAGAGATTTGTCTGTGGGAGTGGGTGAGCTTGCTCCTGGGACAGTCAGTTTATTAAAATTCAGTTATTGGGCCAGGCGCGGTGGCTCATGCCTGTAATCCCAGCACTTTGGGAGGCCAAGGCGGGTGGATCACTTGAGGTCCGGTGTTCAAGACCAGCCTGGGAAACATGGTGAAACCTTGTCTCTACCAAAAAATACAAAAATTAGCCAGGTGTAAACCCGGGAGGCAGAAGTCGCAGTGAGCCGAGATCGCACCACTGCACTCCAGCCTGGGTGACAGAGCAAGACCCTGTCTCAAAAAAAAAAAAAAAAAAAAAAATCCAGTTATTGATCATGGTCAGAGGAGATTCTTGAGAGGCAAGGGGATCAGAAAGCAGCCATGAGAGCAGACCCTGAAACAAGAAGCAGAGTAAAGGACTGACTAGAAGGGGCCCCAGGACTTTTATATTCAAGCAAGAGGACAAGAATTATTCTGGATCATTCTTAAAAGTCGTTTAAGTGTGCTGTTCTAGGTAGGGAGCTTTTTTCCAAAGATCATTGCATCAGAATGATGGCTTTCTGGATCCTTTTCAAGTTGGCTTTGTTGTTCCCCACTAAAAGCAGCAAAATAATTTAGAGTTAAGGTGCAAGAAAGCAGGAATAATTTTTTTTGGCCAAAAGACATTATTTATATAATCGCTGGACACTGACTCAAACTTGCTGTTCCACTTCCATTCTTCTTTATTCATCTTGACAAAACCAGCTGGTAGGGGGATGGGAGGCACATGGGGCTGTTTATTCTAAGTTCACTTACTCTCTTGTCTTCCCTTTTCCTTAAAACGTGAAAGCAAAATATGTCTCTTTTTAAGAACAACTTGGTTGCAGAAATGACTACTGTTTCATTCAATTTTTCTACCAGTCTTCTTCAAGCAGGCCTTGGGGACTCAGGCCTCCTGAGTATTACATCCCTAAGACTCTGCACAATTACCAGGAAGAAGTATGGCCAACAGTGAGAGTGATGGACAGCTGAGGTCAACGCATTATCCATGGACAGATAACAAGTCTGCCCCCAGTCAGGGACATTTCTTAAATGTTATACTCCTCAGCTGAATTAAAGTTTTCTTCTGCAGCTGAGCTTTTGGGAAACCCATGGGAATTATTGTTTGTTGAGCTGGATAATAGTGAAATTAATTCTTTTCTGCTTAGGGGGAAGGCACTGGTGGGACATGCTAATTGCTTCAGTCCAAAAGAACTCCTGGCCACATTAGAGTTTGTAATAGAAGAATGATAAGTAAAGCAGCCAGAAGAGGAAGTTTGGAGGGCTGATTTGCAGGAGTTTCATTGATTTAGCATCTGTAGGGAAAATTCCCTTAAAAAAGAATTTTTTTTTTGGATTAGTGAACAGGAGAACATTCAAAACTAAGACAGATAGAGGCCAACTGGGAATGCTGTGCAGCCTGGAATAGCTTAGGCTGCTGTTCAATCATTTCCCCAAACAGGAAACCACAGAATGTTAGAGATTAAGGTCACTAGATCATTGGGAAAAAAGCATAACTTTGTCTGCAAAGTATTATGATATATTGTAAATGGACCAGAATATAAGCATAAATCTTTCGTCTAAAAATGCAACAACAAAAATCCATCCTTCTCACAAAAGCACAATTTGCTTTCCTGTTGTGCTGAGATACCAAAGCCTCCTTCTCTGGTATTTCTGTAATTTTCCTAATAAGTAAGAGCTGTAAGCAGGGAATAAAGAGAAAAGTTTTGTGTTCTCTGTCAGTAACATGTGTGCTTTTTTTTTTTAACCACAACAAAAAATGGTTAAAGTTTAGAACAGTAAGTGGACCTCACATGATTTATTTTCAGTCTTAGCCTTTCATGCTAGCAACAATGAAAATAAACTAAAATGCACACTTATATACATTTCTGTCTCTAATCTCTCAGGCTGTATTAAAAGCACAGAGTTCTTTTTTCACCTCTGATTATCATCATGGCACTGCCTGACTTAAATTTTAAGTGAAAATCTGTGCTTATAGAGTGTGGAATCTTTCTAGGTGTCTGTAAACGTACTCTTCTGCAGGTATCTTTGGCTAAAATGGTTGCTTTATATCTGCCTTAAATTATTTACCCCTCAGAGGCATACTCTATTTAAAATAAGGGTTAATTCTCATCTGATTCTGTTCATTAGGTCTTTACTAGGAGAAGGTTTTCTTGCTGAGATAGTTAAACTCATGAATAAACTGCTGATTTATGTGCATCTAGAACCTGAAATTCAATTTATGATTTGAATTGTTAAAAGGACTAGCATTTTAGAAAGGTTTAAGTGAAACTGACTTTTCTTGGCCCCTCTTCTAAGGAAAACTTAAAGAATGAAAGCATAAATTTCCCTTTCCTTTTCTGAGTATTCACTGCTTTGAAAAGTTAAAAAAAAATCTGAAGCATTTGAAAGACAGGGGTCACAGCTTTCCATACCTGTTCCCATGGTACTTAGTCCTTAGTCTCTCCATAAACGTGTCTGTTGAATAGGCAGAGATCTCATATGAGTAAACTAAAAAACAAACAAAACACACTACATACACAAGTGAGCATGCCCTCTTCTCCAACTCAGACAAAAGGCCACTTCCCTTCCATTTCAGATGGAGGGAACACTTAACCACCTGCAAATCCAGGAAGGAAGTGAAATAAATGGATAGTGTTGGATTGAGACCTACTGATCTTTTTTACCCATGACAGAGGTATGGATACAGAGAATATTTTTCTCTTCTAAGAAAAACAGTAGCATAAGCATTGAATAAATGACAACCACCCTGTGCCTGTGTGTGTGAGGATACCAGGGCAGGGGTGGGGGTGTGCCTCAGGGTTACAGCTCCGCAAAGTGTTAGCTCATTGTGGCTGAGAGGAAATACAGGCCCAGCCTGGTCAGATCTCCGAATATTTAAATGCTGACTGTCTTAGTTCAGGCTGCTGTAACATAGTAACATAGACTAAGGGCTTAAAAACAAGAAAAAATTGTTTCTTACAGTTCTGGAAGCTGGAAATCTGAGATGAGATTACCAGCATGATCAGTTCTGGTGAGGATCTCCTGGGTTGCAGACTACTGACCTCTTTTTGTATCCTCACATGGTGGAAAGAGTAATAGAGAGCTCTCTGAGGTCTCTTTTGTAGGGGCACTAATTCCATTCATGAGGGCTCTGCTCTTATCCCCTAATCACCCTCCAAAGGCCCCATCTCCTAACACCATCACTTTGGCTGTTAGGTTTTCCACATTTGAGTTTTGGGAGGATACAAACATTTGGTCCATAACACTGGCATCTAAATGGAAAAACAGTTACAACAACACCATTTGGACTAACCAAATACATCTGCATGCTGAATGCAAGCCTCACACAGCCAACTTAAGACCTCTGCACTCCAGTATAGGAATTTATTTTTTAGTTTATCTTTGATAAAGAGCAATAAAAACATTGGTAAAACCTGCTCTTCAAGTTATAGGAAATCTTTAGGTTTGGTATCCTATTTGCCCTCCTGACAGCTGTGGGATGTAGCTATTTCCACTATTTAGAGGAGAAAATTAAAGCTCAGAGTGAGTAGATGACATATCCAAGATCACTCAGTGAGCACAGGTCTTGCGGGGCTGAGGCAGGGCCAGAGGTCAAGACTTCTGTCTGAAAGTGTCGGCTACTTTTATAAGCTTCTGCTGTTAGTTCTGTCCAGTCAGTGGCGTGCCTGGTGCAGTTATTTATGGAGTTCTAACTCCTCCATCCTAAGTCACAATTCTAATCCATAGGTAACATTTCATTTGGAAATTGTTGTACCGTTGTGTACTTTATCATGCTTCACATGCATCATGTTTCATAAATACTCCCGATTCATATGTGCTTTTCTTTTCTTTTCTTTTTTTTTTTTTTTTTTTTGAGATGGAGTCTCACTCTGTCACCCAGGCTGGAGTGCAGTGGTGCGATCGCAGCTCACTGCAAGCTCCGCCTCCCAGGTTCACTCCATTCTCCTGCCTCAGCCTCCCAAGTAGCTGGGACTACAGGCGCCCACCACCATGCCCGGCTAATTTTTTTTTTTTGTATTTATTTTAGTAGAGACGGGGTTTCACCGTGTTAGCCAGGATGGTCTCCATCTCCTGACCTTGTGATCCGCCCACCTCGGCCTCCCAAAGTGCTGGGATTATAGGTGTGAGCCACCACGCCTGGCCACTTTTCTTATACCCATTGTGCAGATGAAGAAACTGAGCTCTAGATGGGCTAACTCAATTAAGATAATACTGCCAGTTAGTGGCAGGGGTCAGATTCAAACCCAGCCATAGAGTTTATGCACATAACTATAAACATATATCCTTAATGTCAAAGAGTCACACTTTAGGTTTGCCACTTGCTTGTGGAATTACAAATATAGAATAAAGCACCTGTTCAATGTGTTCTTATGGAGGTTAGTGACCTTAGACAGTAGTGAGGCAATGTGGAAGAGCACTTAGAAGCACACAGTTTGGGCTCAGGTCGATCTGAACTTGAATTTCAGTCACCTGTTGGGGGATCATGGTACACTGACTTACCTCCTTACACCTCTGCCTCCTTGTGCCTAAAATGGGATAAATAACACCTGCCTTCTGAGAATGCTGTAAAATGCTTAGCACAGTTCCTGGAACATAATAAGAAAAACAACAAGAGAGTCTTATTATTACTCAAAAACTTCCTTTTAAAAGCCATAGTCTTTACCACACTTTTCTAGCATTTAAGTGTGGGGGAATTCCATGTGATTTTGAATTCCAGGCTTCAGAATTAGAAGTTCCTTTAAAAGAGTAATACATGAATTTATGGCTCTAACTTTCAAGAAAAGACTGAGATGCAGTGGCCAATGCATGCAAAATTAGTAGTCAAGGGTGTGTTATTATTTCGAGAGCTTGAATATATATAGAGTTCAGGTTTATCCTGGCTGGATTTCTTCCTACAGTCGGCCTTTTTCTGAAAGAGTGAGATTGACAACCAAGTATTTGACACAGAAAGACCATCCCTATATTCTGAAGGTTTATTTAGAAGAAGTGCTGTGTCGAGTCTCTCCAATCATTATCAGATGATCAACTTGCTTGAGAAGGAGGAGGACCTAATACTCACTGACCTCTTATTCTGTGTCAGGCACTGTGCTGGGAACTTTGTGTACATGGTCTCATTAGTTCTCGTTACAATTCTGTATAGTTCGTCGCATCCTCATGTCCAGAAAAGGGGCTGAAGCTCTTGGAAGTTCACCCACATGTCTACGAGTTCCAGTTATGGTGTGTTGGCATGCACTGCACTGGTCCGAAGGTGTATGAGTTTGGATTTCATGGTTTCAGTGACAGAAATAACTCTGCTTACTTGAAGCATGAATGGAATTGATTGGAAGACAGGATAGGTCTTAGAATTCATGGAAAAACTGAAGAAGTGGGGTGAAGAAAGAACAGCAGATTGGGGAAAATTCTAGGGATCTAGGAAGCAAAACTAATGAGTAGACTTATCAATGAACTCTGTGTCCTCTGCCCATGATTCCAATTCCAGGGAAAGAGCATTTGAGTGCCTTTACTTAGGTAATGTGCTTATCCTTTGCCAGAGGAGGCAGGACACTGTGATTGACAACTCCCACCAGGGCTGTATCCACTGAAGGTGTGGGTGACCCACAAAGTACAGTTTCCAGGAGAAGGGAGAGTGGACCTGGGCATGCAAAAGCAGCAGATGGTCACTATACAGCACCACATGAAACCATTAAAGAGCAGAATCCATACCCTGTAATTGTCCATCGGTTTTATGGGGTACCAGGCACTGTGCAAGGCCTGGGGATGTAGCACGCACTCGGGAGCTCCTGTTTTTAAGGCACTGCTGGTATTTCACAGCGGTTTAGCAAGGCCACTCCCCACCAACTGTGAGTAATGCCCTCACACACATCCTGTCCATAGAGCCAAAGTGAGAGGTGACTAAGAGATGTCACCAGGGCCAGACAAACAGAGCAAGATTGTTTCTGAACCGGAGATGTGAACTGTGTCTCATATGCAACTAACTCTCAGTTTCCAGCAGCTTTTGGTAGCACTAAATGGTTAGCTGCAGGGAGTCAATAAATGCTTGTTGGTTTGAAGGAACTTTAGCTCTTTTCTTAAGGAAAAATTTTAGGTAGAAGGGTGGAAGTCGGGATCTAGGACTCATTCTGTTGCCTCACAGTATCACAGTTTCCATAACAGTAAAGTGGAGGCGGACAGTGGAACACTTCTGTTCCTGACCTTGTGAAGCAGTACAAGAATAAAGCTCTATGCACATGAAAGCAGGTTGAAAAGCAAGAAAGAATTAATAATAATAAAGATGCTTTTCTCATCTCTGCCTTTTGACAAAGAGGAAGAAAAAGATGCTTGTGGTCCAAGTCACCAAATGCCGTCTCTTGGAAAGGCTTGAATTCTGGAATGAGTTTTTAAAGACTGTCTATGAATTAAAATTAAGCTTTTTACCTAGTTGTCATGAAAAAAAAAATGAGAGCTGGTATGGTAGTATTTGAATTCTTACAAATTATTTCTCCAAAAGACTCATCTTTTGCCAAACTGAGGTATCCAACCTCATAGCATTATTGTTCTTTTTTTTTTTTTTTTCCATTATAAAAGCATTCTAGGCTGGGTGCAGTGGCTCATGCCTGTAATCCCAGCACTTTAAGGAGGCAGGTAGATCACTTGAGCCCAGAAGTTTGAGAGCAGCCTTGGCAACATGGTGATACCCTGTCTCTACCAAAAATACGAAAAATAGCCAGTCTCATAACCTGGTCTCTAAATTAATTAATTAATTAAACTTTTTAAAGAATTATTTTGTAAAAAACGATGAGAACACATGGACACATGGGGGGAACAACACATACTGGGGCCTGTCAGGAGGGTGCAGGGGGAGGGAGGTAATGGATGCTGGGCTTAATACCTAGGTGATGAGATGATCTGTACAGCAAACCACCATGGCACACATTGACCTATGTAACAAACCTGCACATATACCCCTGAACTTAAAAGTTGAAGAAAAATAAATCAATAAATAAAAAGCATTCTATGGCCAGGTGCGGTGGATCATACCTGTAATCCCAGCATTTTGGGAAGGAAGCTGAGGTGGGCAGATTGCTTGAGCCCAGGAGTTCAAGACCAGCCTGGGCAACATGGCGAAACCCCGTCTCTACAAAATATACAAAAAAATTAGCTGGGTGTAGTGGCATGCACCTGTAGTCCCAGCTACTCGGGAGGCTGAGATGGGAGGATGGCTTGAGTCCAGCAGTTGGAGGTTGCAGTGAGCCAAGATTGTGCCATTGCACTCCAGCTTAGGGGAACATAGTGAGACTGTCTCTTAAAAAAAATTTAAAAAAAGGATTGTAACCACATTTGCCAAAAACAAAACAAAACAGAAACCTAGAAGATAGCCAATCTAAAATAAATCAACCATAGCTCAAATAACTGTATTTTGATTTGTTCTTTCCCCAGGTTTGAAGCATTTTTAAATATGTGATAATTAGAGTACAAACAAGTGAAGTCTCAGTTTTTCATTGATTTTTTTCATAAGATAAGCATTTTTCTGTGACATTGCATAACCATCAGTTTCACTAAGCTAAGCAGCCAGCCCTCTAAGGAGTAAAAGAAGTCTCTAAAAGCAGTGGCTTTGCTCCCTTACCAGAGGCCTACAGCTGACCAGAAAGGAAAGTGAGGAAATGCATGTTCAGGGCACTGCCTAGTACGTCGCTGGAGACCAACTCCAACCAGCTCTTTCCTTGTTCCTTGTTTTGTTCCAATCACTATTGACAAGGGAAGTGTAGCTAAAAGCTGCATTCATCTCTGTCTCCTCCCTTCTGTCTTTAGACCTTGTTGCTTAAAATACCAGCAAGCCTTAGGGGTAAGTTTGCTCCAGAGTGTCCCAGTTTTAGCACTGCATGTCTTGCTGGGCAACTCCTGTCCAGGGCAAACTGGGACAGTTGGTCACCCTACCGGGGGAGAAGTGGGATGAGTGTGTAGACATATTTGGCCAACCTGTCCTTGTCAGAGCTAAGTTCCTCCCTGGAACTTTTCTATCAGGATGTGGGTAGCCAGCGTGTGCCCTTGGGCTTCAGGACCACCCCTATGCCGTGCCCACCTGCTTCTCATGCTCAGCCACTGGGTCCTAGGCTATCTCATCCACTCACCCAGCCTAGAGGCACCTAACTGGGATATTCCTATAGGGGCTCATGAGAGTAAATGTGACATTTAGGTGCAAATAAGAGCTCTGGAATTCTTATATTTAATGCTGGCCTGCCTTTGAAATCACTTCTCATGATCGTTATTCTGATTTCTTTTTTGTTGCATTTGACTTATGTGCCCTTCAGAAATACAAAATGGTTTCCTTGCTTTGCAAAGGAAGGATTTCCATTTGTACCCAAAAGTAGACCTTCTACACATTGCCTGTGCGAGATTGTGCAATTCAGCTCTTTGCTGTTTCTTGGTCCAGAGAGTTGGTGCTCTTGTTATGATAAGTCTTGACTAACAAGATAAGTCTTGACTAACAACTCAGGGATGGTCCTCATTCCATGTCAGTTCAACATGTAATATAATGCTGTACATATAAATGTGTTTTTGCTGTAACATGGGGACTTTGCTATTGTCCCTTAAGGATGAAAAAAACATCACATTGATTTCAAAATATAGTAATGATTGTCAGTAAAGAAAGCTGTGGGAGACACATGAGAGATGCAAGCTGCCTGTAGTGGCCATGGAGAGTAAAATTAAATGGATGCACTATGAATTTGCTGATTGATCAGCATCTTTTACACTGAATTCTAGAAGAAGAATCACTTTATGCTTGATGATCTTTGCTAATCAGCTATAATCAGGTCTTCGTAGAATGGTGAAGTAATTAAGTCTTGTTCACTGGTACTAATCATATATAATTGTTTCCATACTGTTGGCCAAAACAACTATAGGAGGTTTTGCAGAGGCCATGAGTACTCAAGGTCTTTGAGGTAATTTCTCTATATAAACAATGCAAATATTTTATTACTGGAGTTCAGTTGAATTTTTTTAACAGGCTTTAAATCTATCAGGATTTTCCTGTGGGTTTCTTCTTAGGAGAGTGGGGGTGGTGATGGTGACTGAGTAACATGAAAGGCCCCGTGTTCCTGCAGTGGGGGCCCAGGGCTCTTTCATCTTAGTCTGACTGCTGTCCCACTGCTGCTTGAGGATTTGGAGTGTGTAAAAGTCCTGGGCTTTTTAATTATGTTTGAGCCTTTTAAGAACCCGCACCGTAAAGGGAAAGACGGAAACTTATGCAGTGAAATATTTTATATCCAATTTGAGGATTCAACCAAAGGTCTCCACTCGGGCCAAATCAGAGCCTTCAAATAGATCAAAAGTAGCATGGAGTTGAGGCCGACCTCTTTGTTGGAGGTGGAGTGGCAATACTTTATGATAATTAATATGTTAGTTGCATAAAAGTAGCGTAAGAGTAGAAAAAAAGGAGAGTATATTACTCAGATTTCCACCATCTAAATATTAACATTTTTCAAACTTTGTATTCCATATATGTGAATATGTACATTGATTTTTATAGTTATAGTTGTGATATACATTATACTTGACTTTCTGCTTTCATACTTAACATTATGTGATAAGTATTTCCCACATTGCATCATGGTTCAATGAAACATTTTAAATGGTCTTATAATATCCTATAGAATTCTTATACTGTTGTGCATTTACCTACTCAATTATAGGACTTCTGGATTGTGTTTGAGTTTTTCATTATAAGACTCAATGAATATATATAATTTTTTAAAATTTCTTTGGACCTGTTTTCCTAGAATATATTCTACAAGTTGAAATTACTGGGACAAGGAATTTCAACATTTTTAAGTTTGGGGGCAGAAAATTGGCTACTGATTTTCTGAAAAGAAGAGCCATTTTATACTGTCCCCATTAGTTCTACAACTTTATCAGAATTGGGAATTATCTGAATTATTTTTTCAAGCAAATTGAAAATTGCTTTAGGATTAATGAAAAGAGTTACCTCAGTGTTGTTTTTCCTATGATAAACATCAGTTTGACACATACAAAAAATTGTATTCTAGGAAGAAAGAACATTCCTCACTGTTGACAAGCAGCTATCATATTTTTAAAAAGGAAGTTTTGCAAGTGGCATGGCAGGCATAGTTGCTTCCAATAAGAAACAAATTTGAGGCACCTGAATCTCTCTGTCTGCTGCTGCAAAAAAATTATACTTGCTACTGAAATCAATGTAGGAGAGGAGAGCAATATGGATTAGCAATACCCAAGAGAAAGCTCAGCTTGCCAGCGACTGCACTGCCTGAAGTTGAAGTTAATGAAATGCAGGCTTCATGAAAATCCTAGGGGGTAGTATTCCTTAGTTCCACTAAAATGTAACCACAGTCTTCCTTCTTAACATAGCCATAAGTCCAAGTAAAACCTGTATATATGTATCACTGAGTAATACAACACAAATGTTTTTGCAACCAAGAGAGGCCTTTATGCAGATTACTATGAAGAATTCAGTGGTAGAGACAAGGCTTGAGTTTATTTCGGATTGTTATTCTTTATGGCTAACTAGAAGAAAATCTCAGAGAGATTCATGTCTCTTTTTCTCTCTCACTGGCTCACTATTTATACCTAGCTCGATTCATGAGCTTCACCTCCTGAATCTTGCATTTGCTGATGGCTTGATTTCATTTCAGGTTCTGATCTACAATGGCCAACTGGACATCATCGTGGCAGCTGCCCTGACAGAGCGCTCCTTGATGGGCATGGACTGGAAAGGATCCCAGGAATACAAGAAGGCAGAAAAAAAAGTTTGGAAGATCTTTAAATCTGACAGTGAAGTGGCTGGTTACATCCGGCAAGCGGGTGACTTCCATCAGGTAGGAAGATGCTTGGGAGCAGGCAGGTTGTGGGAATGGGAGAGCGGGATTGAAAATAAAGCCTGAATAGCAATGAGACATGGCCGACCTTAAGCAAAGCCATACAACAGCCAGTGTGTGTCTTCTGTGGCCCTACTTTCCACAGAGAAGAGTGGTCTGAGTTCAGACATACATAGGACTAAATATAAAACCAGACAAAAGTTTAGGCATTGTTCAAGAGGTAAGGAGACAATTCATTAAAAAGACAGTGCTCAGTCCAAAGAGGCAAATCATTAATGAGAGAATTGCAGTCTATTTGGGGAGAGAACTTGGCAAATTATAAAGGAAGTTTCAACACAATCTCCTCTGGCAAATGTATGATCACATTTTTATATTACATGTGGAGCCTCAGGACAAAATCTCTCTAGCTGACACCCTAGTGCAACTTCCACTGCGGGGTCAGATGTTACTCTCATCATCTTCCTTTCTTGCAATGTCCTCTTCAAGTGTTGGAATCATGGTTATACTGGCCTCATAAAATAAGTTGGGAAGTGTTTCCTCTTTCTGTTGTTGGAAACGGTATCTTTAAGTGTTAGGAGAATTCACTGGTGAAGCCATCTGGGCTTGGAGATTTGTTTGAGGGAAGGGTTTTGTTGTTGTTGTCGATATGTAAGTGTACATCTTTATAGAATACATGTAATATTTTGATACATGTATTTAATGTTAATGACCAAATCAGGGTATTTAGGATATCCATCACCTCAAACATGTATCATTTCATTATATTGGGAACATTTCAAATCTCTTCTAGCCATTTTGAAATATACAATATATCGTTCTTAACTATAGTCACCCTACTGTGCTATTGAACACTAGAATTTATTCCTTCTATCTAACTGTCTGCACCCCTTAACCAATCTCTCTTCGTCTTCCCACCCATCCCCACTTCCCAGCCTCTGGTAACTATCATTCTATTCTCTACCTCCATGAAATTAACTTTTTACGCTCCCACATGTGAGTGAGAACATACGATATTTGTCTTTCTTTGCCTGGCTTATTTCCTTTAACATAACGACCTCCAGTTCCATCCATGTCACTGCAAGTGATAGGATTTCATTCTTTTTTATGGCTTAGTAATATTCCATTGTGTGTATATGCCACATTTTTAAAATCCATTCATCTGTTGATGGACACTTAGGGTGATTCCATGTCATGGCTATTGTGAATAGTACTATGATAAACATGGCGTGCAGATATTCCTTTAATATACTGATTTCTTTTCCTTTAGAAAAATATCAAGTAGTGGAATTGCTGCAGCATATGGTAATTCTATTTGTAGTTTTTTTTAGAAACCTCCATATTGTTTTCTATAATGGCTGTACTAATTTACATTCCTACCAATAGTGTATGAGTTCATTTTCTCTGCATCCTCATCAGCATCTGTTATTTTTTGTCTTTTTGGTAATAGCCATTATAACTCCAATGAGATGATACCTCATTGTGGTTTTAATTTGCGTTTCCCTGATGATTAGTGATGCTGAGATTTTTCCATATACCTGTTGGGCACCTGTATGTCTTCTTTTGAGAAATGTCTATTAAGATCCTTTTCTCACTTTTTTTTTTTTTTTTTTGAGATGGAGTCTTGCTCTGTTGCCCAGGCTGGAGTGCCGTGGCAGGATCTCTCGGCTCACTGCAAGCTCCACCACACCGGTTCGCGCCATTCTCCTGCCTCAGCCTTCCGAGTAGCTGGGACTACAGGCGCCTGCCACCACACCCGGCTAAGTTTTTCTATTTTTAGTAGAGATGGGGTTTCACCGTGTTAGCCAGGATGGTCTCGATCTCCTGACCTCGTGATCTGCCCCACCTTGGCCTCCCCAGGTGCTGGGATTACAGGCTTGAGCCACCACGCCTGGCCCTTTTCTCACTTTTTAATGGTATTATTTATGGTTTGTGCTCTTCAGTTGCTTGAGTTGCTTGTATATTCTGGATATTAGTCTTTGGTCAGATGGATAGTTGGCAGATATTTTCTCCTATTCTACAGGTTGTCTCTTCACTCTATTGATTGTTCCCTTTGCTGTGAAGAAACTTTTTAGTTTAATATAGACCCATTTGTCTGTTTATGGTTTTATCACCTATGCTTTTGGGGTCTTAGCCATAAAAGCTTTACCTACACCAGTGTCCTAAAGTGTTTCCCCTGTTTTCTTCTAGTGGTTTTATCATTTTGAGTCTTATGTTTAAGTCTTTAATCCATTTTGAGCTTATTTTACATGGATATGGTGAGAGATAGGGGTTTCGTTTTTGAGCTTATTCTATGTGTATATGGTGAGAGATAGGGGTTTAGTTTCATTCTTCTGCATATGGATCCCAGTTTACCCAGCACCATTCATTGAAGAGGGTGTCCTTTCCCCAGTGTATGTTCTTGTCAGCTTTGTCAGAGATTATTTGGCTATAAATATGTGGATTTATTTCTGGGTTTACTATTCTGTGCCATTGGTCTATGTGCCTGTTTTTGTACTAATACCTTGCTGTTTTGGTTGTTATTGCTTTGTAGTATATTTTGAAATCAGGTAGTGTGATGCCTCCAGCTTTGTTCTTTTTGCTCAGTATTGCTTTCACTATTTGGGGTCTTTTTATTTCTGTGACAAATGCCATTGGTATTTTAATAGTTATGCATTGAACCTGTAGATTGCTTTATTCAGTATGATCATTTTAACAATATTAATTTTTCCAATCCATGAGCATGAGATGTCTTCCATTTGTTTGTGTCCTCTTCAACTTCTTACATCAGCATTTTATAGTTTTCCTTGTAGAGATCTTTCACCTCCTTGATTAAATCTATTTTAAGGTTATTTATTTCTTTTGTAGCTATTGTAAATGGGATTGCTTTCTTGATTTCTTTTTTAGCTAGTTCATTATTAGTATATAGAAATGCTAGTGAGTTTTGTATGTTGATTTTGTATCCTACAACTTTACTGAATTCATTTATCAGTTCTAAAATTGTTTTGGTGGAGTCTTTAGTTTTTTCTGTATAAAAGATCGTGTCAGCTGCAAAGAGAAACAGTTTGACTTGCTCTTTTTCAGTATGAATGCCTTTTGTTTCTTTTTCTTACCCAGTTGCTCTGGCTAGGACTTCTGGTACTATGTTGAATAGGAGTGGTGAAAGGGGACATTCTTGTCTTGTTCCAATTCTTAGAGGAAATGCTTTCAGCTTTTCCCTATTCAGTATGATGATGTTTGTTGTATATGGCCTTTATTACGTTATGGTATGTTCCTTCTATGCCTGATTTGTTGACAGTTTTTATCATGAAGGGATGTTGGATTTTATCAGATGTTTTTCTTAATCTATTGAGATGAACTTACAGTTTTTGTCTTTCATTCTGTTGATGTGATGTATCATGTTTATTGATTTGCATATGTTGAACCATCCTTGCATTTCTGGGATAAATTCCACTTGATTATGGTGTATTATCTTTTTGATGTGTTGTTGGATTCTGTTTGCTAGTATTTTGTTGAGGATGTTTACATCTATATTCATTAGGGAGATTGGCCTGTAGTTTTCTTCTTGTGTGTGTCCTTGTCTGGTTTTCGTATCAGGATGATAGCCTTGTAGAATGAATTAGAAAGAATTGCCTCCTCTTTAATTTTAAAGAATTAGTTTGAGAAGAGTTTGTGTTAGCTCTTTCATATAAGTTTGGTAGAATTTGGCAGAAAAGTCATCCAGTCTAGACTTTCCTTTGTTGGGAGAATTTTTATTACTGATTCAATCTCATTATTCTTTATTGGTCTGTTCAAGTTTTCTATATCTTCCTGGTTCAATCTTGGTAGGCTGTATATGTCCAGGAATTTATCCATTCCCCTAGGTTTTCCAGTTTGTTAGGCTAAAGTTGTCCATAATAGTCTCTGATGATCCTTCGTATTTGTGTGGTATCGATTGTAATGTCTCCTTTTCCATTTCTGATTTTATTTATTTGGGTTTTCTCTCTTTTTTTCTTGATTAGTATAGCCTAGTCTAGTTTATTGATTTTATTTATCTTTTTTAAAAACAGGCTTTTTTATTTCATTGATCCTTTGTATTTCTTTTTAGTTTCTATTCCATTTAGTTCTGCTCTGATTGTTATTATTCCTTTGTTCTAATTTTGGGTTTAGAACAAAAGATAATGGGTTTGGTTTGTTCTTGCTTTTCTAGTTTTTTAAAGATGCATCTTTAGGTTGTATATTTAAACACTTTCTACTTTTTTGATGTAGGTATTTATTACTATAAACTTCCATCTTAGCACTACTTTTGCTGTATCCTATAGGTTTTGGTATTTTGCGTTTCCATTTTCATTTGTTTCAAGAAATGTTTAAATTTTCTTCTTGATTTCTTAATTGATTCAATGGTCATTCAGGAGCATGTTTTTAATTTTCATGTGTTTATACAGTTTCCAAAGTTTTCCTTGGTATTGATTTCTAGTTTAATTCCATTGTAGTCTTAGAATATACTTGATATGATTCTGATTATTTTACATTTGTTGAGATTTGTTTAATGGCATAACAAGTGATCTGTCCTAGAGAATGTTTCCTGTGCTGATGAGAAAAAAATGCATTATGTAGCAGTTGGATAACATGTTCTGTAAATGTCTGTTAGTTCCATTTTGTCTAAAGTGCAGTTTAAATCTGACGTTTCTTTCTTATTTTTCTGTCTAAATGATGGCCAATTCTGAGACTGTTTGTTGAAGTCCTCGACTATGATTGTATTGGAGCCTATCTCTCCCTTTAGATCCAATACTATTTGCTTTATATATTTGGGTGCTCCAGTGTTGGCTGCATATATTTAATATAATTGGGATGGTTATATCCTCTTGCTAAATTGAAAACTTTTTTTTACAATTTTTATCTTGAAATCTGTTTTATCTAAGTACAGCTACTCCTTCTCACTTTTGGTTTCTGTTTACATGGAATATAATTGTTTATTCCTTTACTTTCAGTCTGTATGTGTCTTTGCAGCTGATGTGAGTTTCTTGCAGGTAGCTGATATGGTTTGGATGTTTGTCCCCTCCAAGTCTCAAGCTGAAATGTGATTCCCAATATTGGAGATGGGGTCTGATGGGAGGTGATTGTGTGATGGGGAAGATTCCTCATGAATGGCTTTGCACCAATCCCTTGGTGATAAGTGAGTTTTCACTCAGTTCATGTGAGACCTGGTATTTAACAGAGTCTGGGACCTCCTCCATCTCTGTCTCTTGTTCCTGCTCTTGTCATGTGAAACACATGCACCCACTTTGCCTTCTGCCATAATTGTAAGCTTCCTGAAGCCCTCATCAGAAGCTGAGCAAATGTTGGTGCCATACTTGTATAGCCTACAGAATTGTAAGCCAATTAAACCTCTTTCCTTTATAAATTACCCAGCCTCAGGTATGTTTTTATTATGATGCAGAATGGCCTAACGCAGTAGCATATAGTTAGATCATATTTTATTTTTATCCGTTCAGCCGGTTTATGTCTTTTATGTGGGGAATTTAATCCATTTACATTCAAAGTTATTACTGATAGGTGAGAACTTATTTCTGCCATTTTGTTCATTGTTTTCTGGTTGTTTTATATATCCTTTGTTCCGTTCTTCCTCTTTTATTGCTTATCATTGTGGTTTGATGGTTTTCTGTAGTGGTAACATTTGAATCTTTTCTCTTTCTCATTTATGAGAAGCCAGTGAGTTTATACTTTCATGTTTTCTTGATGGTAGGTATCGTCTTTTCACTTCCAGTTATAGGACTGCCTTAAGCATTTCTTGTAGGGCCAGTCCAATGGTAATGAATGTCCTCAGTTTTTGCTTGTCTGGGAAAGACTTTCTTTTTCCTTCTTTTTTGAAGGATGGCTTTGTGGGTATAGTAATCTTGGTTGTCAGTTTTGTTCTTTCAGCACTTTGAATATACCATCTCATTTTCTCGTGGCTTATAAGTTTCTGCTGAGAAAACTGTTAGTCTGATGGGGATTCCCTTATATGTGCCTTGACAATTTTCTCTTGCTAATTTTAGAATTCTTTCTTTGTCTTTGACTTTTGACAGTATAACTATAATATGCCCTGGAGAAGACATTTTTGGATTGAATCCATTTGGAGATTTTTGAGCTTCCTGTTCTAGATGCCTATATCTCTTGCAAGACTTTGGAAGTTTGGGGCTATAATGTCATTAAGTAAGCTTTCTATGCCTTTGCTTACCTCTTCTTCTTCTGGAACACCCAAAATGTGAATATTTGGTTGCCTGCTTTATGGTGTTCCATATGTCATGTAGGCTTTCTTTGTTCTTTATTAAACTTTATATATATGTACTTTTTTGTCTGAGTTATTTCAAAAGACATTTCTTCTACTTCAAAAAGTATTCTGCTTGATCTCTATTATTGAAGCTCTTGATTATATTTTTTTGTTTCATTCATTGAATTCTTCAGTTACAGGATTTCTGATTGGTTCTTCTTTATGTATCAGTCTCTTTGATGAATTTCTCATTCTGATTATGAACTGTTTTTCTGATTTCCTTCTATTATTTATCTGTGTTATCTTGTATCTCGCTAAGCTTCTTTAATAACACTATTATGAAATCTTTACCAGATATGTCATAGATTTATTTTTCATTGAAATCTGTCACTAGGGAATTATTGTTTTTTTACACATATCACATTTCCTTGCTTTTTCATGTTTGTTTGTTTTTACATTGATATCTGTGAATCTGGTGTAACAGTCCCTTCTTCTGATTTTTTGAATTGACTTTTGTAGGAAAGATGTTTTCCAATAGATGTGTCTGTAGGGTTGGTTGTGTAGGGCACTTTGGTTTTGATTTTGGGTGGGCACAGTAATGTAGTCTTCAGATGACTTCTTCAGCTATAATCAGTGTCAGTGGTATCTTCGAGTTCCTCAGTGGGTTAGGCTGTGGTTTTTAGTAGACACTGTAGTGAGGTTTTGCTATGGATTGGGACACCAGGTGGGCCAGTTCTTTGGCACCAGTATGCTGTTTCTTGGGTTCCCAGGTGGCATACATGGAAACTGGTAGAAGCAGGTCTGAGTGGGCTGATCCTTGGGCCTTCATATTATTTGGCTGAGTCCCTACCCAAATCTCATCCTGAGTTGTAGCTCCCATAATCCCCACATGTCATGGAAGGGACCCGGTGGGAGGTAATTGAATCATGGGAGCAGGTCTTTCCTGTGCTATTCTCGTGATAGTGAGTAAGTCTTGTGAGATCTGATGGTTTTATAAAAGGAGTTCCTCCACACAAGCTCTCTTGCCTGCTGCCCTATAAGATGGGCCTTTGCTTCTCCTTTGCCTTCCATCATGTTTGTGAGCCCCCCTGCCACAGCCATGTGGAACTGTGAGCCCATTAAACCTCTTTCCTTTATAAATTACCCAGTCTCAGGTATGTCTTTATTAGCAGCATGAGAACAGACTAATACAGGCTTCCAGGTGACTTGCTAAAGTGCTGGCAGTGGCAGCAGTAGGCCAGGCTGGCAAGTGGATCACTGAACTCCTGGGCAGTGTGCATGGCATCACCAATGGCGATAGCAGTAGTGGGCACTAGCACTGATGGCAGCAAACTTGGTGGGCCAGTCCCCCAGCCCCAAGGTGGTACATATACAGGTGACTGCTCGTGGAGGTGATGGCAACAGGCTGGGAGTGGACATCCTCAGGTCCCTGGAAGGAATGCATGGGCTCCAGCATTGGCGGGAAAGGTGTATTGATCTCTAGGCCTCTGGATAATGTGCATATGCACTGGCAGGCTGGGGAGGCCTGTCCTTAGCACCCCCAGGTGTGGATGTGCAGGGCAGGCATATTCCCAGGCCTCTGGACAATGCCCACAGGCACTGGTGAGGGTGGGGCCAGGTGAGCTGGAGCTGTCCTCAGGCCCCTCAATGGTGTGTGCATACAAAGGCTGTGGCAGGCAGGGCTGATCAATTCCCAGGCCCCCAGACAACATGCACAGGCACTGGCAACCTGTGCGGGCCCATTGTCAGCTCCATAGAAGGCATGTATGCATGCCAGTGGCAGTGGGTGGGGTAGGTCAATCCCTAGACTCCTGGATAATGTTCATGGGCACAGGTGAAGGCAGTGCAGAGGCAGGCCTATGCTTAGGCCTCTAGATGGCATATGTGGGTGATGCGTGTGGCAGTGTGTGTGGTTGATCAATCCCCAGGCCCTCAAATGGCACACTAGGATGCCAGTTGTAGTAGCAATGGGTATCTTTAGGCACTTTGATGATGTATGTGGGCACCAGTGGCAGTGGGGGTGGTAGGTCGGCCTCCTGGTTCCCAGATGATGCGTGTGGGCACTGGTGGTGGTGGCAGACAGGCAGACCTGTTTTTAGGTCTCCTGGTGGCAAGCAGACCGGGTTGATCTCCAGGACCTTGGATGGTGTCCTTGGGCCAAGAGGCAGGCTAGATGGGCCTGTCCTCAGGTCCTTGGACAGTGCCTGGGTGAGCCAGTTCCCAGGCCCTGTTAAGATATGTGCAGGTGTGCAGCCACCCTGCTGCTGGGGGGTAAGGATTTGCTGTCAGTGGCAACAGCCCCAGGCAGGCAGCTCTCAGGCTCTGGAGAGTACATGCTTTGGCTCCCTTTGTCCCTAGGGCAGCCTCCCCAGTGTGTTTCACTACCCATTCCTTGGGGCGTAAGACATTGCATGAGCTAAAGTTTTGGGGACGCATCTGCACTGCTGGCTCCAGCCAGTATCGTGATGCTGTAAACCTTTGAGTAGATGTAGGGGGGTGTCTGCAGGGGTTCAGGGATGTAGATATGTAGTGGGTATTGGGCCCCAAAGGTGTGATGTAGTCTGGTGGGGGCCGGCCTCTCAAAATGGCACCATGCCGTAGCTGCTTGAATCTCAGGGGATGTGTGGGACCCAGTGTGAACATCTTCTGTAGAACAATGTCATTACATGGACTCCAGGCATCTCTTTATACTAGTCTCAGGGCTTGTGAGGGCTGAGGGGCTCTCCTGTGGCTAAAATTATAGGAGTCTGTGGTGGGAATATGGACTGCTGACTGCTGGGAATCTCTCATTTACCTTTTACCCACAGTGGGAGTTTCCCCTGGCTCTGAGTTGATCTTGGCTGGGTTAGCTGCTTCACTTCCCTTTCCTTCTATGCCTCAGAAGTTCCCAGTCACTTTCCTGCTGAATTCCATTGTTTTCTTTAGATGTTCTATTTGACATCTAATTATCTATTTGCCATTCTGGTCCTTCTTCGTGAAGGAGGTGACAGCCAGGTGCGTCAGGCAGCCATCTTGAAGCCCCTCCAACGGAGGGTTTTCAATTGCAGATTCAATTTCTAAAGTAGATATGGGATTACTTACCTTTTCTGTTTCTTCATGTGTCAGTTTTCATAGGCTGTAATTTTTTTTCAGGAATTTGTCTATTTCATCCAAAATTTCAGATTCATTGACATAAAGTTGCTTTATAACATCATCTTTTTTTTTTTCTTGAGACAGAATCCCACTCTGTCTGCCAGTCATGATCTTGGCTCACTACAACCTCCGCCTTCTAGGACATGAGGTCATATCTCAGCCTCCCAAGTAGCTGGGACTACAGGCATGTACCACCACACCTGGCTAATTTATTTGTATTTTTAGTAGATACAGGGTTTCACCTTGTTGGCCAGGCTGTTCTCGAACTCCTGACCTCAAGTGATCCACCCACCTTGGCCTCCCAAAGTGCTGGGATTACAGGTATGAGCCACCACG
Source organism: Homo sapiens (assembly GCF_000001405.40). Classification (NCBI taxonomy): domain Eukaryota; kingdom Metazoa; phylum Chordata; class Mammalia; order Primates; family Hominidae; genus Homo; species Homo sapiens. The sequence goes on along the minus strand of NC_000007.14, from coordinate 29,020,900 downwards.
CTCGGCCTGTAACATCATCTTAATATGATTTAATGTTTCTTAAGATCTCTGGTGTTTTTAGTAATTAGCACCTCTCTTGCCTGAGGTTTAACAATTTTATTCTTTTCAAAGAACCAATTTTTATCTTTATTTTTCTTGATTATATTTTTGCTTTCTCTTTTATTAATTTGTGCTTTATCCTTATTATCTTCCTGCTATTCTTTTCATTGTGTGTGACTATTGTTTTTTTAAAAACAACATGAATTTTTAGCCTTTATTTCTAAAATATGCATCCAATGGGAGAAATAAATTCCTGTTGTTTAAGCCATCCACTATGGTATCCTTATAGGACTGTTGAGAGGGTTTGGATAAGTTAATAAGCTTAGAGCAATTCCTGGCTCATAGTAAATTTTGCTATTTTTATTTTTATTATTATTACCCTGGATTGCTTACAAGAGTACATATAACGAAGAAAAAATTATAAATAGTAATAGTCAGGATTCAGGAAAATATGTTTATTGAAAGTCAACATATAAGGGAAAGTTGGAATATTAATATTCAGGCCATTAAGGGCATATTTGAATGTTGAGCTGCCAGGGAGTGGTGGACATGTTACCTCCCCCCATCTGCTACACTACTTTGTGATAAACATCTCACCAGGCACACACACGATCTCCTCAAGATTATTTGATGGCTGCCTCCACCACCTGTTATTTTATATCCCCTGAACCAGCCTTGTGAAATGCTCCCAGGCCTGGCATCCCACATGTGTCCTGCTTGGCTCTTTGCATAAAACGTCCAGCTTGGGAGGCCAGATTGCTGCTTCAGGGCGACAAGTCCCACAGAGGTGGTAAAAGGAATTGGCCGCCAGTCAGAAACTGGTGGCAAATATCACACTCAACCCGCTGACTCTTCTTGTGAATGCAAAACACATTTAGAGATGAAATGGTACTCCTCTGGCTGCCAAAAAAACAAGTAACAAAAGAAGCAAGGCCCACATATGTTTGTGATAGTGAGTGTTTTACCACGCAGCAAGGGATCTGCATTTTGTATAGGTGATTTTAAAATGTTGGCAAAGATCCTTCCCCCTTAGTGCCTCAGCGTTGGTTTGGGGTGGTTTGTGGAGATGAGGGTTATGAGGAGGGAAAAGCACTCCCGTGTGAACAAAGGCATTCTCTGTGAGGTTTATCTAAGAATACTGTCCAAGTGTCAAGCGTCTGATAATGAAGAAAACGGACCTTAGCCATGGACTTGCTTTTCAGCATTAGACACACAAAACAGAAGCATGGGTATGTGTCTGCCAAAAAAGCAACCTCATTCTCTGCCAAACACTACAGCTCTTAATTTAAAAAATTGAAACCAAAGTAGACTTGTCTCTGGATGGTTACCTAAAATGTCCACTTAAAGAAATGACAGCTCTCCTAGGGGAGCAGTACGGTACCGAGAGAGGGAGCAATTTTCCCTGTGTATTCACATCAAGCCATGCCCAGAGAAATCAAACACAGCTCCCACCAGCCTTCAGAGATCCGATGAAGAGCAAGTGCTTCTTGTTCCTCCTTGTTGGCTCTGACCTAGAAGGTAATAAGTTTTTGGTATTGGTGCCATTTTAAGGATTGGACACTGCCCTGTTATATAATCCGAGCAGCAGACTTTCTGAGCGTCTGTCAAATTTAGAAGTTGTCTGTCAAATGCAAGGTCTGGACTAACTTATTTCTAAGATATCACCTAACAAAGATCCAAAATATCTATATTTCATTAATGCCCAGAGGGGCTCAGCCAGCAATGCAATGTGGAATAGTGTAGTGTCTTTCAGCAAATGTCATAATGCTCTCTATGCTTACATAGATATGTAAATATATATATATATATATTTATACCTATCTCTATATACCATATACCTATCTCTAGCCACTGAGATAGAAATATACACAAAATGTAAATCTCAGGCTACGTGATAACCAAAGTCATGGGTAGCCTCTGCACTGGCATTGACCATAAACCCTTACAAGTGTTATCTCTGGGTCCCAGAAGTTGAGTCCTCTTTCTCCTTGTCTGTTGACAACCCATGGCCATTGCTCTCAAGGCCACCCTTTTGGGATCTTTCTGTGCCTTTCTCCAAATATCAAAGTTGCTGTTCATTATCTGAGTTGATATTGTCACTGCATTTGAAATGTAGGACATTTTATTCTTAACATGCCAGCCCTAAGGAAGTTTTGACTCCACATTAAGAAATTTAAAACTTTGGCCGGGCAGGGTTGCTGACGCCTGTAATCCAAGCACTTTGGGAGGCTAAGGTGGGTGGATCACTTGAGGCCAGGAGTTCGAGACCAGCCTGGCCAACATGGTGAAACTTCATCTCTACTAAAAATACAAAAATTAGCCAGGCATGGTGGCACACGCCTGTAATCCCAGCTACTCGGGAGTCAGAGGCATGAGAATCGCTTGAACTTGGGAGGCAGAGGTTGCGGTGAGCTGAGATCGCGCCACTGCACTCCAGATTGGGCAACAGAGTGAGACCCTGTCTCAAAAAAAAAAAAAAAAAAGATTAAAAATTTTAATCGGAATAATAACCATACTGAGAAATTGCTTTAAGATTTTTTTTTTTAGAATAAATGTCATTAAGCTGAATGTCCTGGAGAAAGAAAACACTTCTGTTTTTTTCATCGTTATTTTATTGAAAATATCTTTATTGACACAAATTATTTTTCATATAAATATTGAAAAAATGTTGAGTCATTGAGCAGTTTTCATTTTTACCGAATCTTACTGGGTGTAGCTTCTATAATCATGAGTTTTGCATGATCTCCAACAGGCTGATTTTCCTGATTGCAATTTGAGCCCTTACTATTTTTATTTTATGTTTTCACTGTCAATATCAATTCCATTTTCTTCCAAAACTACAAGATGGATTATCTCGGCTAGGTTGTATTTAATGGCTGGAATGAATTTTAGGTCTCATTTTCCAGGGAAGGGAAACTGAAACCCAGAGGTTAAGTGACTTCCCTGAAGTATCCTACCCATTTCATGTCTGAGCTGAGGTTAGAGTCTTGGCTTACAGCCCAGAGATTCTCTACTTCACAAGCATATCCACTACTGGAATAATGGAATCACAGCAGTATGCTGGTACAGTTAAAATTGGAGCCTATATGCATGCCTACCATAATTAAAGCAGGGCCGAGAAATAATGTATTTCACATCTAGTGTTAGCTCTGAATCCACACCCAAGGTGACCACCTCCTATAGACAGAGAGAAGATTGGGGTTTTTTGTTTCATTTTGTTTTGTTTTTTGAGAGGGAGTCCTGCTGTGTTGCCCAGGCTGGAATGCAGTGGCATGATCTTGGCTTACTGCAACCTCCACCTCCCAGGTGCAAGTGATTCTCCTGTCTCAGCCTCCCAAGTAGCTGGGATTACAGACACACACCATCATGCCCAGCTAATTTTATATTTTTAGTGGAGATGGGGTTTCACCGTGTTGGCCAGGCTGGTCTCAAACTCCTGACCTCAAGTGATCCGCCTGCCTCGGCCTCCCAAAGTGCTGGGATTACAGGCGTGAGCCACCACGCCCAGCCGATTGGGTTTTTTACAAAGGCACTAAGATTTGGTGGTGAGGCCAGGTTCATATAATGTCAAGAAAAGTTATGGCTTTATCGGGGAACTTGTGATATTAAAAGAATGCATGCTGAAATTGGCCAAAATGAGCAGAGAGAATATGGTGGGCAGTGTCATGGATAAGAGAATATGGGGCAGGGCACAGGGCAGAGTGCATAGTCTGGCTCATAGCCTGCAGCTTGGAGAGTGAGAGGTGGGAGAGAAACCAGAATGGGAACATCAGGCCTGGATAGTAGACAAGGAGTGTGTGTTCCATTGTTTAAGCAGTGGGGAGCCATCAGAGGTTTGAAAGCACATTTTAAAAGCTGTTCTTTGGGAAGTTTATAATGGTAACTTTAGGATGAATTCAGGGTGAGGAAACTCTAGAAATAGGAAGTCATATAAGGAGCTTTATTGGAAGAAGATTCTCCATCTATTTAATACGTCCACCTTCTTGATATTGGTTTGGAAGTCCTGAAATAGAGGTCGTGGGGAATAAGGTTTGGAATGCCCAAGCTGTGAGGACTGATTCCCTGTTTGAGAGATGGTGTTCACTGTGTGTCCCCACCAACTTAAGATCACTGCATGCTGGCGTCCCTGGCACTTCCTCAATGGCCCTAGTAGGCATCCTCAGCCCCCTAAAGCACAAGCCCTGCACCAAGACTTGCACCTTGACCTTGACCTGGGTTTAGTATATGGAGCCCTCAGGCCCGTGGTCTGCCACACTGTGCTCAGGGGCTTCTCCCAAAATGTCCTGGTTTCCAACAGGAATCAGACCTTCAGCTAGAGGTTACATCTAGGGAAACCAAAGGGAAGGAGCACGCCACCCTGAAGCTTGACTGTTCTGGAAAGCCCTCACCAATTGGAGGGGGTCTATGACATGAGAAGAAGGTGGAGTTAGACAAACCTGGTTTAAACTTTCATTTTGCCGCTTGCTAGCTGTGGGCTGGTTACTGGTCCTGGAAACTTTTTTTTTTTTTTTGATATGGAGTCTCACTCTGTCATCCAGGCTGGAGTGCAGTGGCATGATCTTGGCTCACTGTAACCTCCACCTCCTGGGTTCAAGCGATTCTCCTGCCTCAGCCTCCCAAGTAGCTGGGATTACAGGTCCCCACCACCACATCTGGCTGATTTTTGTGTTTTTAGTAGAGACAGGGTTTCACCATATTGGCCAAGCTGGTCTCGAACTCGTGACCTCAGGTGATCCACCAGCCTTCGCCTCCCAAAGTTCTGGAATTACAGGCATGAGCCACCATGCTGGAAACTCTTGAGTGAGAACAGTTACTTCATAGGGGTGATGGGAAGGTCAAAAGAGATGATAAGGATGGCGACCGATGATTCCGCATCTGTGAGCTCTCAGGCCACGGTCTACCACACACTTTTTTAATCCACAATTTTGTGGAATCACAGTAGCTATCCTATAAACTATGTCATGTTATTTACTAACTCATAACTGAAGAAACAGAAGCTTCACCTGAAAAACTTGCTTAAGGCTTTGAACAGTAATAGTATCTGAGATTTGAAAATTCAAATTCTGACCTTTCCACCACCCCACAGTGTCTTTAAGTACCTGTGAGGGGAGTGCAGTGGGGAAGGATGAACTGTAGCCGGATCTAGGCTACATGCCCCGCTGTATTAGTCTGTTCTTGTACTGCTATAAGGAAATACCTGAGACAGGGTAATTTCTAAGAAAAGAGGTTTAATTGGCTCACAGTTCTGCAGGCTGTACGGGAAGCATGACGGCATCTCCTTCTGAAGAGGCCTCAGGGAGTTTCACTTATGGCAGAGGGCAAAGCTGGAGCAGATGAGAGCTAGCCGGGGAGATGCCACACACCTTTAAACCTTTAGATGACAAGATCTCGTGAGAACTCACTCAGTATTGCCAGGACAGCACCAAGGTAGACATGGTGGGGAAAGCACCATTCATGAGAAATCTGCCCCATGATCCAATCACCTCCCACCAGGCCCCACCTCCAAATTGGGGATTACCATTAGACAAGCAATTTGGGTGGGGACACAGATCCAAACCATACCACTGCCCTTGGGGTATGTGGTGATGGTGGCAAGGCGGTGGTGTGGTGGTGGTGGACAGAATATTTGGCAGCACATGCTAACCACCATAGAATACTTGTTCCCTAAATGAAAGAAGAGTTCTTAAAAGGAGGAGGATGGAGGAGGCATGGTTCATCTGCAGAAAGCAGTAACGACCACAGCTTCCTAATTGTGCTTTTCTAAAACTCACATTAACTTTTGTTTGTTTCTTGACTACACACAACTAGAATGTGGAGGAAAGAATGACTCTAGTCCTTCGAGTGGACGATCAGGCTAGGATTTGAACATTTTCACAGATAGTCCACAGAAGGAATGACAGACAGCTAGCCACCTGCCTTTCTCGGAATTACTGCTGACAATTCATTTTTTGTGTGTTTTATTAAGAATTTTAAACAGCTTAGGAAGCATTATGAATTGTTTCTGAAGGAACAGTTCCAGAAGGGTCTTCAGCAGGTCCTTGATAACATTGACATGGTCAGAGGAAGCAACAAGCAAAAAAATGTCACTTTTGCATTTGACTAGATGAGAGGGAAAGAGAAGTTTTCAAAAACATATTGAATGGAGGAAAATAACTGTTAAATAGGCTTAAGGCAATGATAATCAAATATAGTTAATTCCCTGGAAAAATGTTTTAGCTTTGGCTGGGCATGGTGGCTCACAACTGTAATCTCAACACTTTGGGAGGTTGAGGTGGGAGGATCGCTTGAGCCCAGGAGTTCAAGACTAGCCTGGGTGGGCAAGATAGTAAGACTCTGTCCCTACAAAAAAAAAAATTAAAAGAATTAACCAGGTGTGGTGGTGCAGGCCTGTAGTCCCAGCTACTTGGGAAGCTGAGATGGGAGGATCACTTGAGCCCAGGAGGTCGAGGCGCAGTGAGCTATGTTCACGCCACTGCACCCCAGCCTGGGCGTCAGAGTAAGACCCTGTCTCAAACAAAACAAAACAAAACAAAACAAAAAGCTTTGGCTTTGTTAAGGAAATCGGCAAACAGAGTCTTCATCTCCCCCACCAGCAGTCGCCTTCTACAATGATGGATGTCCTCTTTCACGGGTTCTTTGTCTCTATCTTCCAGACAGGGGCAAAGTTCCTCTGTCCACTTATGGAAATCTGACTGTGGGCAGAAAACCAGAACACAGTAATCAAACCACACCCCACCTCCCAGCCAGAGAGCTTCTCTGAAGTCACAGGTTAGGTCCTCCAAAAGCAGGCACTGAGGCAAAGTTTGGGGTGCAAATAGTTTGTTAGAGACCAACACCTGTGGAAGGAAGGGTATAGGAGCAAGACTGGACCAAGGGAGAAATAAAACTGTGATACAGGCCAGACAAACCAGGCAGGGAACTCTTGGGAGCATATTTTCTATCAGAGTGTCCCACACTGGGCCAAAATAGTGAGGCCTTTTATGCCCAGCTCATTGACTCACCAAATTTGGGCTGCCCCAGGAAGGTCATCATCTTGGGAAAGGCAGCTCTTTGCAGCTGAGGCAGACCCCGAAGGAGCTGACAGCTGGGGGCTGTCTGCTGAATGCACTCCCTGCAGTGGAGCAGCAAGTACATCCTTGAAGAGAGGTCCAGTGGGGTGCATCTCTATGTCTACCACAAAGGCCACCCAGATAATGTACTTGCTAGCTCTCATGGATTTGGGGGCAGGGAGTTGGGAGCAGCGGGAGCTGGTGGTTTGCCTAATATGGGAACTTGGTCTTTCTTTGTTTGCATGACATAAAATTTTGACTAAGCTCTCAGTGTAATTATGTCTTATATCTGCCTTAGAAAGATGGATCAGGCCTTGGTTTTTAACTCATATCAAGATTCCAAGATAGGCAAGATGGATCTTTCAGGAAAAGGATTAAAGAATCATCAGAAAATATTTCCCTTTTTCAGTTATTTATCATGGAATAATAAATCACTCCAAAACTTAGTGGCTTCAAACAATTTATTATTTCTCACAAATATGTGGATTGAGTGAGCTCAGCTGGGTGGGTCTGATTCAGATGGGGTAGGCTGAGGTCACATGTGCAGCTGCATTCAGCTGGGAGTTTGGCTAAAGCTGGGACATCCAAGATGATCTCCTCTCCTCCAGTGCTCTCTCCATACCACCTCTAATCATGTAGTGTCCTGGCCTGGACTTTTCCACAATACAGCAGGCTGGTGTTCCAAATGGAAAAGCAGAAGATGCCAGTCCTTTTAAGGCCTGTACTCAAAAGTCCCAGAACATTATTTCCATTTCATTCTCTCCTGGTCAATGCAAAACACAGAGCAAAGCAGATTCCTTTTGGTGGGAAGAATGGCAAAGAATCTGGAGCCATTTTTAATCTCCTCCTTTGCCCTAAACCAATGTGTCTCAACCTTTGCAGATACAGATTTCCACACCTGCTCTGTAGATACCCTGATTTTATTGGTCTGGGGTGGAACCTGGGCATTGGTATTGAAGCTTCAAAGAGGTTTCTAATATGTAGCCAGTTTGGGAACCCTAAACTATGATGTCTTTTGTCCCTCTATTGATAATGACATGGCTTCCATCTGGCAGGAACCCCCATGTGGCATATGTTTGGAGAAACTTTCATTCTGATTCCTGAAGTATGTTCTAAATCCATTTTTACTTACAAGCTAACCAGAAATTTGAGAACACAGTTTTACTCTTTACAAATCAGCCATTGACCTGAAGCATTGTCTCTGTCTTCCAGTCAGTAGTATCAACTGGTATGGCACTGGTTCTCTGAAATCATCAGCCAAAACCTTAATCTAAATTGTAGACTTCAGTCCCTGCCATGCACTGCAGGTTTACAAGTGGTCTTTGTTCTTTTTAATTATTGATAGATCACTGGCAATTTAGACTTGTAAGAAAACTCTTTTATTTGTTTAAAAGCATTAGTTTCCTTTTCCCAGCAGTTTTGTGCTGTACTGAAACAACGTGTTCCTGGTGTGCAGTGCTCTTAGATAGTAGTGTGTCTGTGTTGCCTTTCAACAAAGAAAAAACTACCAAGCACTGTCTGCTTTAAACATCATCCAGAGTGATGGTTTGCAGCAAAGATGTCCACTAGCCACAGTGAATTTTTTTTCTGGATAATAGATTCATACAATTCCATGTCAAAGCAAAGAAAAAAAAAGTGCCACATTTTAGACTGTGAAGTCTTATTATAAGTAAGCTCAGTATTTCCATTAGTTACTCATTAGGCTATTTAATAAGGATTCTTAACCTGGAGTAAGGGTCTGTGGTTAGGATTCAAGGAGTTGTCAGTGAACTTGGAAGGGAAAAAACTGCATCTTTATTTTCTCTAACCTCTAACTGAAATAGCATTTCCTTTCATTATGAATTGTGAAATTTCACATTTCCTTCCATTATAAATGTAGGCAACAAATCACAGTGGCACAGCAGTACCTTTGACTTTTGTCACCAATAGAAAGCAAAGACATTCTCATACCAAATACCACATACACTGTTATAGATATGTTGAAAACCTTTTATCCTTATCACTAAAATTAAAATTATAGTAGTTTTCAGACCCTCTGGTTTCTCCTACTGAATGTGCTAATATACAAGTATGTATGTGCTATCTCACAATTTTTTTTTACTGTTTTGATGATTTCAGTGGAGTGTTTCATTTGCAATCCTAGCAAAGCCTAGGATTTGATTTTAATTCACTGTATATTATCTATGTATATGTGTGGATGCATATGCACTCTGTATTAATTATGTATGTATTTATTTTAAGGCAGGGACTTGCCCTGTCACCTAGGCTGAAGTGCTGTAGCACCATCATGGCTCACTTTAGCCTTGAACTCCCAGGCTCAACAAATCCTCCCACCTCAGCATCCCAGGTATCTGGGACCATAGGCACATGATACCACACCTGACTAATTTTTGTATTTTCTTGTAGAGATGGGGTCTTGCCATGCTGTTCAGCCTGGTTTCAAACTCCTGAGCTCAAGTGATCCTCTTGCCTTGGCCTCCCAAAGTCCTAGGATTATCGGCATGAGCCGCCATGCCCAGCCAGCATGCATTTAGAAACATTATTGTGAGAAGGTAGTCCACAGGCTGCACCAGACAGTCATAGGAGACTGTAGCACAGAAACAGATTAAGAACCCATGCATTAGGCTATTTGAATTGTTGAAAATAATTTATAGATTCTCCCCAGCCCAAATCACCTATCACCTTTGGTGATACCAGACAGATTTTATGAGCTAAACTATCAAGTAGGCTTGAATTTTGTTTCTAGTTGATTACACTGGCAATTCTAACTACTTTTGTTACCATATTCAAGTGACATTATAGTATAGGGATTAAGAGAATGGATACTGTGTTAGACTTGGAATAGATCCCTGCTCTACCATGTACCAGCTGTATGACCTTGGGCAAGTTACTTAACCTCTCCAAGAACCCCCTCACCTGTGAAATGGGGATAATATTATCACCCACCACTCTCACAGGAGGGTTCATTATTAGGATGAATTGAGATAATGCTTATAAATTACTTGACCCTCTCTCTACCTGGCACCTAATAAGCATAAAATAAATGTTGGTTTCTATTGCCATTAGGGAGCTCTCTTAGCATTAATCTATTTTCACAGGGCAAGAACCTCTTGCTCTGTTCATAGAGTCCTTAAGAGACATTTTGTATTAAAGTTTCAGATGATGAAATGAGTTCAATATTGTCTGTCAGATAGGCCTGAAACTACCACAGCTGTATCCAGTTTTAACTTGACTTTAACAAAGAGACTGTCTTGTCAAAAGGTAGTAGTAGCAGAGAGGGATGGGGCGGTGTTGGACATTTTGCTATATGACAGCCTAATAGGAAATAAAAGTGGCTGAATTGAGTAATGAGTTGTTTCTAAAGCATTGAGTCCCTTCTAGTTTAACAATAATTTGAAACATCCCTGTTGACAACAAATGAGGTGCATCCAGCCTTTTTTTTTTTCTTTTTCTCCTGTTTGTACTGAGCTTCTAACATATGGAAGACAGGAAATATAGGAGCTTACATTTAGAGAGTAAAAAACTATCAAAACAAAACAAAAAAAAAATTTGGCAACTTATTGCTCTTCTGCTGTCCAGCATGGAGATGTGGGTATTTATTTTTGTTCCTAATATTTATTTTTTTATACAGCAACCAGAGTCCCAAGGTTTAGATTCTGGCACCGGCTCTGTCATCTTAGAGCTGCTTGCCAGAGGGGGACTTCCCACTTTTGACTTTGTTTCAGTTCAATTGCTTCTCCAGGCCTTCCCCACATACTGTTTTTCAGACATGGGGCCAATCTCATCATCTCTGTGTAGGGGAGAAGAAAAAAGCACAGCAGAGAACATGTTAAATTTCCTAAAGATTCATTTTTGCAAGGATGGCAGCATCAGCAGGTGGTTTTTCTTTTCTTCTTTTAAATTTAAAATTGAATACATACCAAAGAATATTTACCATGCTGTCTAAGATAAAACAGTGATAAATGAACACTTTTGTACTCACCAGCTGGTTTAAAAAATACGACATTGCCCTTCCTAATTACCCCTGGAGGTAGACTACTGTCCTGAATTTTGCTTTTACCATCCCCTTTCTTTTTTCTTTGTTAATAGTTTTACTGCAGACATACGTATCCATATATAATATTTTACTTTTCATGTTTAATTTTATAGAAAAGAAATTATTCTGTATGTATTTTGCAAAAACATACTTTTGCTATTCAACGCTGTATGTGAGATTCACCCATGTTGATATGCTCAATTGTGTCTTATTCTTTTTCATTGCTGCATAGTATTTCATCATATACGTGTTATTCACCCATTCCACTGCCGATGGACATTTGGGTTGTTTTCAGTATTTTGCTTCTACAGATAGTGCTGCTATGGACATTTTTGCACATATCTCCTTGTGTCTGTGTCAGCCTCACTAGATAATGTTAAACTGTTTTCCAAATTGATTATTCTTGCCGGTAAAGTATAAGAGTTCTGATTATTCCATGATCTCAGCAAACACTTGGACTTGCCTCTAGTTCTTTCACCTGAGCTTATTAAATTAAAGGAAGGCTTACTGTCCTTTCTCACGTCTAAAAGTCATGGTTTGTATTCTCTTTCCATAGCTGTCTCCTGTCTTTTTTTTTTTTTTTTTTTTTAATGCCATCAAATTGAAGGACTCTGGCATACACACACACAGCGAAGGCAGAGTGGACATTTCACATCCAAGTCCGGGTGGTTATGTAGGTTCATTTTTCTTCTGGGTGTCCTGTGCTGAGGTTGGCTAGCAAAATATCCAGCTCAAAAAAAAAATCAGAAAGTTATTCCCTTAGCACCTTTTCAATTCAACTCTGCCAACAGTGGCTCAGTAAGAAGCAGCAAGTAAATAAAATCAACAGATTTCAGCTTATGCCTTGGGCTCGCCAGCAATCCCCAGACCACAGGGAGAAAATGAATCTTTTTCTCACAAAATTCCTCTCACTCCCATCACTTTTCCATTGAAACAACAAGGCAGAGAAGTTACTTTATTGACTTGCTTTCCTGTGAGTCTTACCAGAAAATGAAGAATAATAGTAATTGGCAAATACTACCCACCCAGTTCCTTAGCTAGCACTTCTCACATCTGCTTTATGATATCCTTGCTGGCCTGATTTTATTCATTTCCTAGTGCTCGGCATAGAAACCACAAGAACTAGCAAAAAAGAAAAACACTGCATTTATATAAACCAATAAAACTAGTGAGCATTTTGTGGACATTAAAAGAAACATGAGGGCTATCCCACATTATAAATTTCAAAATGCAAGTTTTTGCCTTGTGGTATTTTAAAAGTTTTAAGATGCTATTCAGGAACACTCTCAATAACTGTTTTAAATTGTTGTCGTTTAAACGTTTTTTCCTTTTCCAATATCCCACTTGCCTAGTCTTAACTAGTCTCCTTCCTCACCAATCTGCCCTTCTGTGCTTTTTCCAAAATGCAAGTTTAACTGTGGTTGTTTTCCTTGTTTAAAACCACTCACTAACTCTGATACCTGCAGGATAAAGTCCTAACTCTACCTGGATTAATGAAAAGATTTGATCTGGCCTCTGTTTCCTTTCCCAACCTTAACTCTTACCCTCTCCCTCCTTTGCAATTAAAATGTTGAAAAACAAAATACCATATCATCCCCCAAACATGCACCCAGAAATTCACATGGGATTCCCTCCTCTTGCCTTGTGAGGCCCTTTGTACTCCTCTGACACACCTGGAAAACTCCCATTTGCCTTTCATTCTTGGCAATCTTGGTATGCTTGATCTTTCCCCACATTACCTCCTTCTTGGCAACTCTCTCCATCTACGTACATCTCCTATTGTATGTACTACACTGGGGTTTCACACTTCAACTCTTTAATTGCCTTCCTCCTCTACTCGATGCTAAGTTCCTTGAGGACAGGAATAATTTATTTTAAAAATATTCATTTATTTTTGTAGCATACCCCTTAGCACAGTTCTTGGCACTGAGTAAATGTTCAGTGAATTAAAATCAAATCGGCCTCTACCTCATTCCCATGCCCCTCTCCTTTGCCTCTGACTGTGTGTGTGTGTGTGTGTGTGTTTTAATACTACATCTCTCAAGGAGTGTCATGATTGTTCACCAGTTGTACACACCAAAGTGTCTTGGAGGAAACAGAGTAGACATGCTGAGATAATGAACAGTTCAAAACAATTCCCTTCAAACTAAAGACTACACTGTTTATGTCAGCTAAAGACTATTTCCTTTCTGTGTTGCATGGGAGAAAAAATGAGAAATATTCTGGGACACAAATTTATAAAAGGAGTTGTAGAAATTTCATTACCTCAGTGCTGACTAGAGCATCCTCTCCTTTAAAAATAATTGAATTCCTGGTTTTTGTTTTTTTCCCTTCTCTTAAAAACCACACAGCTTGCTTCCTGAAGACAAAGGAAATAATAAACAATAGCAACTCCCAATTTGACTCTGATTATTTGCCAAAAGTCTTCTTAGTTCATGTGGTTCTATTTCATTAGAGAGGACCGATTAGCATAAGAAGAATGCTTCTAAATTAAGCTACCCAAATATGCACTTAGTTAGTACTCTGGGAGCTAATTTATTGTATTATTTAAAATATAAATTGGCTAGCAAATCTATTTATTGAGGTGTAACAGCTAGGCAACAATGCGTAACTTTCTCTTGGCTGTTGAGTGGTTTTTAATCATCTATTGAAATTTAACAGAGAGCCATTTCATTAAATGGAAAGCGGATAAATACTGAGAAGTCTGTATTTTAGAGTATTATCCACACATGGAGAATGATATTTGAGGAACAAAGAGGGAATTGGGATTTGCTTTTTAAACAGTAACTTTTTGTTGTTTTAATTTGAAGTGTAACCAAAGACTCACAAAATCACTTGTGGGGATGTTAAAGCAAGAAATAAACAAATAAGGCGGAAGATGGAGTAGGGTAGAGAAATAGAGGGATGGAAAAAATTGTGTTAAGATAGTGCTACGTTGTCAATTAGACTAATGCAGTATTTTTGCCTTGTACAGTTTTGGGGTTGGCAGTAAAAACTATGTACCTTGTTTTATTTTAACAAATGGCATCATGAAAATATCATGCTATTTGGCATGCTGTGTATTCTAAATTCCCAGAACCTAGAGACATTTAGGGGTTCTGGGGTTCCCTTAGGCTGTGAGTCGAGAACATAGTTGAATCCAGATACCCTGTCTGGTCTGGAGTTCTCCTAAACAGATCAGCTCTGGAGCATCTCATGGTGCTCTGATATAAATGGAAGAGTCTTGTAGATGTTGTAGCATGGTCTTGAAATTCTATCATTGTCACTTATACTAGAACTCAGTGAGGGTAGGCAGAAATGGAAACAAGTGACAGGCCTTTCTCACCTTTCTGCAAATTTTTGAAATCTGGCTCATCTGATTTCCAGAGCCAAGGTTTCAAAGAAGTTTTAGACCTTGTAATTTACGATAGGTGGATGTTCCTTAGGTTCACGTTGGAAAGAAGAAGAATGTCAGAATGTTTCCTCTTTCCCCAGGACAGCCAAAATGTCAGAGAACCAGGAGTCTGAGGGTAAACTGAAGAGAGAGGGCACTGATTTGTAGTATTTGCCAATTTCCATAGTGTAAATACTCTCACGCAGCCAATTTCAAGCTACCAACTTCACACCACTAAACATGGAGTTGGGCAGCAATGTGCACAGTTGGTTCTCCTGATCCAGTGAGGGAGTGCCCACACACTGCTGCTAGAACTATCTTGCATTGCTGTCTGCAGGAAGTAAATCTTTAGCAGGTTAGCCGGCTCTTGTTTCCATGGTACACAGAAGATGATGAGTCAGGATCTAAGTCCTTGCAGCACTCCTGGCGAGAGCATTTACTGCTATAACCTCTGCCCCTTCCTCCCCCACTCTTATTCTCTCTTCCAAAAGAAAACTACAAATGTAGATCATAAAGCTAGATATTGAGTAAGTATAAATAATGAACTGGATTGTGCTTTTTATCCTCTTGTGGATATCAAGTATAAAAACTGGACAGGGAAGGAGAGAATGAGGATGGGAAATCTTGATTACTTTTTAATTGCATCAAATCCTGTGTGGTAAAGTGGGTTCCTAAAAGGGGAAAAAGACAGAACAGTTTTTTGCCATTCTGCTACGACAAGTAAGGTCTTGCTTTCCTGGCATTTCTGTGTAGGAAGAAGAGGGTGTTTGGCATTGCATGTGGTGAAAGGGGAGAGAGGGTGGAGGGAAAGAATGGGATGGATCATGGCATTGGCAGGGATAAAACTCACTGTAGACACAGTTAAGTTGAGTGCAGTGACAGAGGTTTGCTTTCACATTCAAGCTGCTTCATTAATTTCATTGGGGCCTTTTCCAAGGAAAGGGAGGATTCATAAAAGGGAAATCAAAGAAGCCTGGAAAAGAAACATTTCCCCTTCTGAAGACTGTATTATAATCCTTTTTTCTGAAAAAGTACAGTAATGAATGTTATATTTATTAGTGCTGTAATTTCTCCTCTTCACTTCTTAAAGGGAAAAAAATACTCTGTTTGTCATAAAAACTCTGATAATAGTAGTAGAGTGACCACTGGTTGAGTCCTTATTATCTTTGTAATACACTGGCACATGGTACAAACTTAAGACATATTTGTAATGGGCCAGGCGCGATGGGTAATCTCAGCACTTTGGGAGGCCGAGGCAGGAGGATCCCTTGAGCCCAGGAGTTTGAGACCAGCCTGGGGAACATGGTGAAACCCCGTTTCTACTGAAAATACAAAAAAAATTAGCTGGATGTAGTGGCGTATGCCTGTAATCCCAGCTACTCGGGAGGCTGAGGCACAAGAATCACTTGAACTCAGCAAGCAGAGGCTGCAGGGAGCCAAGATCACATCACTGCACTCCAGCCTGGGCCACAGAGTGAGACCCTGTCTCAAAAAAAAAAAAAGAAAAGAAAAGAAAAAAAAGACATATTTGTAGACCAGATGCCCTGCATCATTTTATAAGTATTGTCTCTGAATCCTTACAAAAAGTTATTCATAGAGTAAGCAACCATTCCAGATTGCCTGACCCTTTTTTACTTTTAGCACTCAAAGCCCTATGTTCCCAGAAACCTCTTGGTCCTAGGCACAGTGCGACAAGTGGTCACCCAAATTCTTATCCCCATTTTACAAATGAGAAAATAGAGATAGTTAAGTCATTATGCCAAAGTCACAGAACTGGGCTCAAACCCTGAGCTACCAAATCCCAAGTCCGTGCTCTTAACCATCAGGCCAAATGGCTTCCTATTATCCTGTACTCTGCTTTTAGATTTTCATTAACTATACTGCCCAAGGAAAGAGAAAGCTTCAACTTCAATAATTCATCCCAACCTTGCTGAAATTAACACAGAAATTCTTGGAGTTAATACAGAGAAAATTTTCCATGACTTTTTTTTTAATAGACACGTTCAAAGCACGTCTAACTGATCTGGTGAAATAAGGCTAACAGATTTGAGTGAAAGGTCTTCACCTCTCAGGTGTTCATTCTGTATCTCTCTAAAAGGAAGGAACGTATCACAAGATTTCTTCTCATTTGAGTACCCTGATTGTCAGAAGTCTGTTTCTCATATCATGCAGTAATGCCCCTTCCACTTACTCTCATCCTTTTATTCAATCTATTATTTGGAAGTCATACTGCCCTCCCCTTTTACCACTATTAACTTGATAATAGTAGATTATTTTATCTATCCTTTATGTTTATGTAGAGATTATGACATATATCCTGATTTAAGAAAGTCAGCTTTGAGTCAATACATTTACCATTGTCCAGATATAAAAGTGTACCTTACAACAGGGGCCCCCAATCCCTCGGTCACAGACTGGTAACTGTTTGTGGCCTTTTAGGAAGCAGGCCACACAGCAGGAGGTGAGTGCAGGCAAGCATTACTGTCTGAGCTCCGCCTCCTGTCAAATCAGTGGCAGCATTAGATTCTTATAGGAGGGGAACCCTATTGTGAACTGCGCATGTGAGGGATCTAGTTGTGCGCTTCTCATGAGAATCTAATGCCTGATGATCTGAAGTGGAACAGTGTCATCCCCAAACCATCCCCCACTCCCCAACACTGTGCATGGAAAAACCGTCTCCCACAAAATTGGTCCCTGGTGTCAGAAAGGTTGGGGACTGCTGCCTTACAACACTTTAACTCACTTTACACCCTTTTTGTGCAAGTACTGTCTTTTGAAAAACTTCTACATAGTTCAAACTCCAGAAGACATTATTAATTATTGATACTCCTTACTTGTGTTCACATATGTAAATTCTCAGTTGCTGTTCATTCTCCTCTGCATTTTCATGTTTCCATTACGGATAATTTTCCTTCTGTCTGAAGAACAGTCTTTCGTACTTCTTTTAGTGCAGGTCTGCTGACAAAAACCTTTTCCAATTTTTTGTTTCCTTGAAAATATCTTTACAAGGTCTTCATTTCTATACAAGTTCTAGGTTGGCAGATATTTTATTTAAGAACTTTCAAGATATTATTTCACTGTCTTCCAGCTTTCATTGTTTCTGTTGAATAGTCAGTTTTCTTGCTGCTTTGAAGGTACTGAAAGTACTGTTTCCTTTTCTGTGACAGCTTTTAAGATTTTCTCTGTCTTTGCTTTTAGCAAAATGCTATTCTCTCTGTGTGTGTGTGTGTGTGTGTGTGTGTGTGTGTGCACATACACATACTATAGTGTAATATACTATTACTAATATACTATTATGTGTACTATGATGTGGTTAGTTTGCTTTGTGTTTATTCTATCTAGGATTCATAGAGCTTCTCAAAACTGGCTTGGTAACTTTTGTCAATTTTGGAAATTTTTCAGTCAGTATCTCTGAATGTTACTATTTGTTTCTTTTGCCCCATTTCTTCCTTATCATTTTATCCTAAAATTCCAGTTAAACATAAGTTAAATGTTTCATGGTTTCATGTCGTCTTCTTCTTCTTTTTTTTTTTTTTTGAATTTTCATACCTTTATTCTCCATGCTTCAGTCTGGATATCCTCTACTGACCTAACTTCCAGTTCATATAGTGTTTCTTCTGCATGCCTAATCTATTGCTAAAACATCGATCGAGTTCTTAATTTCAATGAACAATGAATGAGTAACTTTTTAGTTAAAGAACTTCCATTTGATTCTCTTGTATATATTCTAATTATCTTGTGAATTATTTTTCTATACCTAACATCTTGCATATTTTGTTCACAGTTACTTTAAAATGTGTACCTGGTAACTCTAATATCTGGATCATTTGTGGTCTCTGTTATCTTTTTTTCTCCTTAAATTTTAGTCATTGCTCTTGTTCTTTGTCATGCCTATTAAATTTTATTAAATGTTGAAGAAAATGTACAAAAAATATATGAAGAAAAATGTTATTTTTCTTCCAAAAGGATTTAATTTTTTCTAGAAGGCATACAGAGTAGAGGCATATCACCTTGATAAAGTTTGGGATTGAGACGATTGATTCAGTGCTTGATTTCAAGGTTTGTGAGGACTAACCTGTTTCTGGTTTGTTATTACTTCCAAGGCATTGTCTTTCACGGATCTGATGGAAAGCCTGCAGTGCTTACCAGTGCTGTCCCTCCTTGACAGGCTTGCAACTCCAATTTTTTGTTGTTGTTGTTTCTTTTGGGGTTTTCTTTGTTTTTGTTTTTTGGTCTCTCAAGCACCGTAAGACTAATGAGCTTTTCATTCTCTTATCTGCCGCTTTTGACTTGGCGTCTTGGTCAGAGAAGCTTAAAAATTGGTGAATTTCCCAAAGGGAAAAGCAGCACAAAATGTTAGGCTCACTTCCTTGTGATTCCCTTTTCTCTACGATCATGGCCTCTCTCAAGGCTTGGTTGCTCTCTGATACCTTTAAACAGCTTATTTTCTTTTTAATTCAGCTTCTATTGTTTTCTGTGGAATAAGATTGGTTTGGTACATGCTATTGTGTCACAGTCAGAAGTGGAAGTCCTAAATTACAAACAGTATTGTTGCAACTGATTAAGATGGTGTACATAGGAAGCCCCTTGGGGATGTTGTAAAGGAGCACCAAAAGTTTTAACTGCTCTAGAATATGTACCATTATGATGGCTACATGTGGGTCTCCTGAAGCACCTAGAAGCTCCTTTTCTCATTCTATTCAATAACCATTTGCTACACCAGAGGTGTACAGTGGGAGACCTCAAGAATCGTTTCCCTGAGTGCTGTTGAAGCAACTCCCAGCCTTGATCTCTGCTGTTTTTTCATTCTTTCGAAAGTGACTTATTGCATTCTTTGTTAGGAAGTGTCTGCTAACAAGCTTTGGCTTGTTTTTTATTCTCGTTCCCAAGTACCTTTTCAATATATTTTTATTTGAATGCTATTTACGTTATTTCTACTTATAGTTAGTGTCTGAAAGCAAACTAAAAGATAAGATTTAGTAAATGTGGAATGGCATAAAAGTAGTGAAAAGAACTTACATGTAAATCAGAAACCACAACAAGCAGATTCTCTTGAGGGTATGCATCTTTCTATACTGGAAAGCAGAAACAATAAACCAATCCTACATATTCTGCCTGCCAAACTTGCAGCTCCCATGTGGCTCTTTTCTCTTTCCTGGTGAGTAGCACCACCTTTGCAAATCTGCCCATGTCAGAAGCCTGAAATGGGGAGGATTTGTTGGGGATGGGTAGAGAAAGTCTCACTTAACCTTTATATCGGATTAATCACTGATTTTATTGGTTCCATCTTACTACCCTCTTCTCCTTCCCCTTCTCCCCATCCCTCCCATGAGCCCACATCCTCTCACCTGATTTGGTAGTCTCCTAATTTGCCTCCTTGTACCAGTATGACTCCCTTCCAAATTAGCCTTCTCCTTAGACATTAAGTCATTTTTCTACAATGCAAACATAAGCATGTCACTACCCTACTTAAAACCCTCTAGGATATATCCAGAATAGGCAAGTCTATAGAGACAGAAAGCAGATTAATGGTTGCCAGGGGCTGATGGGGAGAGGGGGAGTGGGAAGTGATTACTGATGTATATGGGTTTCCTTTGGGGTGGTGAAAATATTCTGCAACAAGATAGTGTGAATATACTAAATGCTACCGAATCATACGCTTTAAAATGGTTAAAGTGGTAATTTTATGTTAAGTGTATTTTACCACAGTTGCTTTTAAAGCCCGATAGGATAAGGTCCACTCATCCCAGCATGTCACTTGGGGCATCACATGGTCCCACTAGCGTTTGCCTGTTCATCTGTCTCTTCTGTTTCCCTCTATTCCTGCATGAATGGGACGACATACAGACTGCTGCATGCGCCCGCAGCTTCACGGCCCCTGCATTTCCACACAGAATTTCCTTTGTCTGCGGTGATCCCTCTGCTGCACGTGCCCACAGTTTCATGCCCCTGCATTTCCATGCCTCCTGCATTTCCACGCCTCCTGCATTTCCACACACAGTTTCCTCTGTCTGCGGTGATCCCTCCACCCCCACCCCACCCACCCACCACTCTCCGTCCAGTGATCTCCTTCAAGACCCCCAAGAAGCTTCCCCTGACACATCTACATCAACAAGCCCACTGTGAACTTCCCTCTCTTTTCTGTCATCTAAACAGGCACAACTGGGAAACCTTTACTGGCAGGTCTTTGTTTCTAGTTCCAGGGAGAATTATATTGTTTTCTAAAAAATAAAGTGGAATGAAGCTTTAAAGTGTTTGTATAACCCTGTTGAAATTCATGACACATTTGTGACCCCCTGGAACATCTGGAACACATGAAGTTAGAGGCTGCAGCTCTAGTGTGGAGGCACCCAAAATAGACAGTTCTATTCAGGGAGCCCTGAGATTAATCTTGTCACATTTAAATACGTAATTACAGCCCTGACACATTTTGTTACTCACCTCTAAAAGCTGCCAAGTGGTCTGTTATCTTTGATTTGTGAATGGTGAGTGGCTTGATTATAAACAAGAGTGGTTTATTTTTCCACACTCAAAAATATATTTATTTTTGAAGTTAATATCAGTAAAATGCTGTATGTGAATCTGCTTAAGAATATGCTTTGTTTGGGAATTTTGTGGCATGTGAAACAACTTTGTCCCTTAACAAGCTTTCTCTTCCCGCAATATTAATGACACAATTTACAATGCCATTAGGGTCATTACACATGGCAGCTCAGAAATTGGACCAGGGTCAGGTAGGTCACTGAGAGGAAGAGTAAGAACACCTGACCCCTTCAGCGCTCCTTCACCACTTGATAATTATGGACAGGGAAGGTGTGTGTGAGTGCGCATGTGCGTGAGTAAATACCAGGAGAGCGGATACCCAGGAAGTGAGGTCATGAGTAGGTATTAAACAAATTTCTACTTGTATTCATGAGTAGGTGTTAATCAAATTACCTTGATGTAAACAGAGAATTCCCTGGTTTGCCACAGAGTAGAAAAAAATTCTCAACAGTGGTTTTCAACAAGCAGTTGGAACAACAGCATCAGCATTGCTTTGGAATTGTTAGATATGCAAATTCTTAGGCCCTGCCCTGGACCTTCCGAATTGGAAAGTCTGGAGGTGATGCCTCACGATCTCTTTTAATGAGCTCAGGTATTTTTATGCACGTTCAAATTTGAGAGTCATTGTTTTGTTTTTTCGTTTGTTTTTGAGGTGGAGTCTCACTCTGTCGCCCAGGCTGGAGTGCAGTGGTGCCATCTTAGCTCACTGCAACCTCTGCCTCCCAGGTTCAAGTGATTCTCCTGCTTCAGCCTCCCCAGTAGTTGGGATTACAGGCGTGCATCACCATGCCTGGCTAATTTTTTTTTTTTTAATTTTTAGTAGAGGCAGGGTTTCGCCATGTTGGCCAGGCTCTTTCAAACTCCTGACCTCAAATGATCCGCCCACCTCAGCCTCCCAAAGTGTTGGGATTACAGGCATGAGCCACTGCACCCAGCCAAGAACCATTGTTTTAAACAACCTTTTTTAAACCAAGGTTTTTTATGAAAATGTAGGAACACCATGTTCTAGGGTAGTTTAGGTTCATATAAGCATATATACATATATATTCATTTATATTTAGAGATGGGATCTCCTTTTGTTGCCCAGGCTGGAGTGCAGTGGCTCAGTCAGCTCACTGTAGCCTCAAACTCCTGCAATCAAGCGATCCTCCTGATCTCAAGCAATCCTCCTGATATAGGCATTTTGATTCTGGATTTTCAATATAGATAAGTGTTGGAAGAATAACGAAAATGACCAATATTTACTGAAGACCATCCCAGGCCGGGCACTGTGCTAAGTATTCCAGGGACATTATTCCACTAACTCCTCACACAACTCACAACTACCCCACGAGGTAATACTTGTTTCCCAATTGTAAAGTAAAGGAACCTGAGGCTCAGTGAGGTTAAGTTCCTTGCCCAAGGTCACACAACGTGCAGTGCCTCTTGCCATGCTCCTGCACTCTGACTTCTGAGCCCAGGCTGTGAAGCACTGTGCTATCCTTTGTTTGTCCTTTGTTAGCTGCAGCACTGGTTCTGGGGGCAGGATGACCTTTAGCTCTTGGGTATTCAATTTATTGGTGTTCCGGACCATTGCTGCCAAACTCATTTCCAGTTGAAGCAGCTGGGTTTTGTCACACATATGACTTTGTTAAGTGTCCTCAGCTGAGCTGAAGCTGCACAGAAATCACTCATCAGATTCCTGCCAGGGCCAAAGATATGGATGAAAATCTGCAGGAAGAAATGTCTAGCCTGGGATTGCGGGGCGGCAAAAGTTTCCCTCTGGAGTCCTATGAAGGGGTTCTTGTCACACATGTTTACTTTCAGTTTGTGATAAAAAGTGGGCATGCTGGGTTTCCAGTTGCAAGCTTCTACACAAATGGTAGATGGGTTTCACAGTCATTGCAGTGAGGCACAAATGACCATTGATCAACTGCAGCAAAACACAAAAGTTTCACATTTGCATGTGAAAGAGTTAAGTCTGGTCCCACATCTGCAAATGGGATCTGCCTCCCTCACTGTAATATGTGAAATACAAAAATACAGAAAATTATGTTTATATCTGCAATAATTTTTTTCATCAATAAACCTCAGAGGGCTATTGAGAGGTGAATAAAAATGTTCCGTGACTAAGCTGCAAATTTCAGTTCAAAGATAAGGAATGATTGAGTAGAGGGTTTGATTAAAAACACCACACCGGTGTTTGCATCAGAAGTCAGGGTTCTAGCTAGTTATCTCACTTAACAATTGTGTGACTTGGACAAGCCACTGAATAATTCCAAATAGCTCAGTCATCTCAATGCTCATGTGAATGGTGCTCCCTGTAGTTGTTCAGTGCACAGCTTGTATAGCTGCGAGCTGCAAGGTAAATATCATCTAATAGTGTTAATCCTACTTACTGCACGTCAAGGTTGTAAGATGGAGGGTGTTGGGATATAGGGGCAGATTTTCAATATAATAAATGTACTATCCAAATATACTTTTTCTGCCTCAGTTTCCTTCAGATTGAGACAAGTAGAAGAACCCAGCCTCTTAGGAAGGGCCTTGTGAAGGTGACCTTTAATTGCTGATCGTGATTCTGCAGCTAGAAGTTACTGAAAGTGATGTCCTTTTTGCATACGTTTATTCACTTCATGCACTGGTACCTCCTGTCCATTCTCCACATATGGAACGAGACATCTCAGGCCAGGCTGACCTCTCCTGCATGTAACTTCCCAACACTCAGTGTCAGTCCTTGCCCTTTTGGCACTGAATCATGACAGCTTCCCGTTTCCCTCTACTTGGAATATTAGCTGACGCTAGAGGCTTAACGAGTACAGAGACCAGTCCCCTTTTGCTGATTGGATCTCATCATTAGAGATGTTTTAGGAATGCTTTATATCACCCAACAAGGGCTTGGGTTACGTAGGTGTCTGCATTTGTCAGAACTGGTGAGTCTACACTTAAGACTAGCGCATTTCATTGTATCTTAACTTGACTCAAAAGAAGAAAATCTGTAAACACATGTTGAACTCTGATGAATAATGTGATGCTGAAGTGTGTGGGGGAAGTGCACTACATGCCCATTTTACTTTGAGATGTGTCAAAAATATAAGATGGATTAGTGGATGGGTGTGGGATGCATAGAGGCACCCTTATGTGAGAAAGCAAGTAAAGTGAAAGTTCATGACTCAAAATCGTCACTATATGAATTGTTTTCGAATTTGCTATGTTTTAAAATGTTTTATAATCCAATATTAGGAAAAAAAAGAATGTTCTAACTCTATGCTGCTCAAAACATGACTTTCTTTCATTTCAAGTGTCAAGTTTTTTGTTTTGTTTTTTTTTTTTTTGTTTTTTGGTTTTTTTTTTTAAGAGATGGGGTCTCATTCTGTCAACCAGGCTGGAGTGCAGTGCATGTGGCATGATCCTAGCTCACTGCAGACTCCAACTCCTGGGTTCAGGTCATCTTCCTGCCTCAGTCAAGGATGTTTTTGGTTTTTTAATTTTTTTGAGAACCAAAATTTCCCCTTCATTACTGATAAAGGCTAAAATGGAAGGTATGGCTCAGTGTGAGGGACAATTGGGCTGGCTAACTGAAGGGTGGAATTAAGTAGACAATCCACCCCATTGCAGGCAGACCTCACATACCCCAGAAGTAGTGGGCTGGAGGTGGGCCTCACCAGGTAACACTTGCAGTGCAGCACTCTCAACTGCGGGGAGCAGGCAGATCACTCTCTAGAGGAAAAAGACAAGGAATAATTTTCAATTTTTACACTCATGAGAAAAGAATACAACTTTGCGTAAAATTAACTAAGCTTTAAAACTTTTCTACCTTAACATGCCTGTTACAAAAGCCATCAACAGCCAGATAGGCAGCTTGTCCAAAGGCATGCATTGGGAGAATATGTTCTGTATTTCATGTGAGTTTTAAATAGAGTTTAATCTGAATGAAAACTTTCCATGTATTTAGAATATCCATTTCTCTAAATTTCCGTTCTTTTACTTTTTCTTTTTAAGGTAATTATTCGAGGTGGAGGACATATTTTACCCTATGACCAGCCTCTGAGAGCTTTTGACATGATTAATCGATTCATTTATGGAAAAGGATGGGATCCTTATGTTGGATAAACTACCTTCCCAAAAGAGAACATCAGAGGTTTTCATTGCTGAAAAGAAAATCGTAAAAACAGAAAATGTCATAGGAATAAAAAAATTATCTTTTCATATCTGCAAGATTTTTTTCATCAATAAAAATTATCCTTGAAACAAGTGAGCTTTTGTTTTTGGGGGGAGATGTTTACTACAAAATTAACATGAGTACATGAGTAAGAATTACATTATTTAACTTAAAGGATGAAAGGTATGGATGATGTGACACTGAGACAAGATGTATAAATGAAATTTTAGGGTCTTGAATAGGAAGTTTTAATTTCTTCTAAGAGTAAGTGAAAAGTGCAGTTGTAACAAACAAAGCTGTAACATCTTTTTCTGCCAATAACAGAAGTTTGGCATGCCGTGAAGGTGTTTGGAAATATTATTGGATAAGAATAGCTCAATTATCCCAAATAAATGGATGAAGCTATAATAGTTTTGGGGAAAAGATTCTCAAATGTATAAAGTCTTAGAACAAAAGAATTCTTTGAAATAAAAATATTATATATAAAAGTAATGATGAGTCAATTCTTGATAAGCAGATGCTCTTATGCAGAGAACAAACTTAATCTTTGCCTTTTCATTTTCTTTTTCCTTCTTTGAGTTTGAGGTGTACACACTTCTGAAAGAGCCTGCAGGCTACATTAGTTATAAGAGCCATTTTAATTTGGGCTTCAAATTCTCTACTTCTTTTCCCCAAATAAAGAACAACCTAATTTTGTATCATTGTTAGAATATCAAAAAAAATTAAGATAAGCTGGCATCAATATATACATTTATAAATATACATTCATTAGCAGTTTTCTGACTAAAATGTCACATCCTGGCACATCTTTTCGATTTATGCATCATGTGCTCACATCTCTGAAATTCTACAAGACGTGTGGATTTTTCCACATCACTTCCTTCTCATATTACCCATCTATGAACTGGCTCACTGGAGAATTAAATTTAAAAAGTCAAAGCCTGTTCTTGCGGCAAATAGTTTATGGAGTTTATTCTTTTAATTTCTCATGTTGTGCCTGATTACGTTCAGGTTTGTGATCTTCCTTTTTAAATTGTTCATTGTACCCATGTCCTAGAAGTCATTAAATCAAATATTCTGATCAAAAGCAGATTTTAATTATTGCAGAGAATAAACTGGGACAGGGTAGGACGCAAGAAGTTTTTCATATAGCCCCATCTGCAAGTTAAATTAGCTGTATTTAGTCTCATAACTATGTACTGGAAAGGGCACTGACTGGCTGGGAGACCTGGGTTTAGTTTCATATGGATCACACATGCACTGGACGTTTTAGGAGAAGTCACTTCACCATACCAGCCTCCCAAAAACTCAAGGAAGGTAGCCAGAAGAGGAGACTTCTGAGGTTCTTTTGGGTTCACATGTCACTAGAGTAGTACCTATTTACAAGGGTACTATGAGATGATCCAGTTTATCCTCATTATTTCAAGAATTCCATGTTTGCAAATGGAGTCTACTTGCTAAAAAATGTATTTGTAACCCCAATATCAATACACTTGCTCTTTTGAGGTCATGTACAGAGTGGCAAAAAATTTCAGTTGCCCAACATATACATTCCCAGCTGGGGTCAAAGAAGGAGACGCTCTGCCTTCTTGTTTCAGCTTTCATACTGTAAAAAATCGTCTTTTTTTTTTTTTTTCTTATTAAGACGGAGTCTCGCTCTGTTGCCCAGGCTGGAGTGCAGTGGTGTGATCTCGGCTCACGGCAACCTCTGCTTCCCGGATTCAAGCAATTCTCTTGCCTCAGCCTCGCAAGTAGCTGGGATTACAGGTGCGCGCCACCAAGCCCAGCTAATTTTTATATTTTTGTAGAGATGGGGTTTTGCCATGTTGGTCAAGCTGGTCTTGAACTCCTGATCTCAGGTGATACTCCCACCTTGGCCTCCCAAAGTGCTGGGATTACAGGTGTGAACCACCACACCCAGCCCAATTGTCCTTTGCTAAGTCTGTTTAGTGCCACATTTTTTTCGCATTTTTGTGCTTTTTTTGTGGCTGATTTTGCTTTTTAAAATGGCCTCAAGCACGGTGCTGAAGTACTGACTAGTGTGCAAGAAGACTGTGAAGCGACTTACAGAGAAAATACAAGCAGGTATTTTGTTTTTTTCAGGCATGAGTTAAAGTGCTGTTGGCCCTGAGTTCCACGTTAATGAATCAACATTTTAAAGGTGACTAAGAAACACACTTAAGGTTATGTATTGATCAGGTGACAAGAATGTTGTGACCCACAAGCTTGAAGGAACCTAAACCTGTATTTGCCTTAGAAGCAATGGTTCAGAATTTGCTAATTCTGTCTGCATAGATGTTACAGAACATAGCTACAGTGGATAAAGAGAATTGATATCTTTCCAGAGCACTTAGCATAGGGAATAGCACAGGATAATGGCTCAATACATGGAAATTGTAGATGTTTTCATTTTTATCATCACCCTGACCCAGGTACTAGGCCAGTGGGGAGCGCTGAGGTGGCGGTGGGGGCAGAAGTTGGCAGACTTTCCAGGGGCAACCCTAGCCAACTCATTTGAGGATACAGTTCTATGAAGATTGAATCTGGCAAGTATTTTACTTTAGAAGAAGAAAGGAAAAGATTGAATCTGGCAAGTATTTTACTTTAGAAGAAAGGGAAACTAAAGAAAAACTAGTTTTTGGATTTAATTGTAGAGAGTCCTTTGTGTAGAGACTCTCCAAGTACAGTGCATGCCCTCCACAGATGTTCAAGACAATCCGTTACAGTCCAAGGAGAAAATACTAGAATGTCTGTCTATATTTGCTTCCTTTCAAAATGAGAACACAATTAGGCTTTCCTAGTATGTAATGCTGGATTCTCATGATGCCCTCCCTCAGTTCAGACATGAGACAGTCAGATGTCTTATGTGACTGCAATTGCTGTAGGTAGACCACATCTGCAAAGAGGGAGAGGCACATGGAGGAGGTCCACCGAAGCGTCTTCTCACGGTCCTGCGTCTAGTAGCGTATTGCCAATAATTGCAACTGACATTCATATAGGATGTTATCAATATGATTAGTTTCATAAAAACAAAGCCTTTCAAAGAGTAGGATGATTATAACACTGCAATTTGATGGCCAGTGGTCAAGGGGGACTGCTGTACCACACTGCTTATCTCATGGCAGTGCACTTAAAGGAGCTGTGGAACCTGAGGTTGAGTCCTGGATCCCTTCTTTGACAAAAAGACAAGCACTGCAGACGTGCTGTCATGGCAAGTGGCGATTGTTAGTATGTCGCCTAGCAGATACGTTTTTTAAAGTAAACACACAGTCCATCTTTTCAAGGTAGAAGTGATATTTTCACTTAGTGAAATTAATTAGTGAGAAAGTTAACTTCTTCTCAAAAGAAATTGAATCGATGGCAAGAGCCTTTTGAAAACAGATGTTTGGAAATGTTCCCATCTTACTATATGCACATTACAAAAACAAAACTAAAAAACCCTTAAAAGCAAAGAAAATTTCAACAATTGTCTTTGTGTAATAGATGAGACTGAAAAATGAGTTTTGGGAATTAGTGAAGCTCATCTGATGAGGCATTTCTTCTATTGGACCTACATACCTCTGTTAAGTGTCTTTTTCAGCTCTGATGGACTTTGAAACCAAGCATTAAAATAAACTGTATGTATAGCCAGACGTATGAACGACTATATCACAAAAGGGTAACCCAAGACTTTTTGAAAATGACAAGGCATATTCAACACATTGGTCCTATCGAAGATATTAACAGTAATATTTTAGAAAGCATTTTTTACCATTAAAAATCAAATACAATTTTTAAAAAGTATTTAAAATTTATCTTTATTTTATCCTTTTGCAGTTTCCACTCTGATTAAAATTTCATAATGTAAATATTGTTAGTACAGTAGTGGCATGATTACTTTATAAATGAAATAATTTTATATATGATATATTTATAATATAACATTTATAAGATATAATATATAAATCTAATTCTTATAATTATATATTATATGTTATATCATTATATATAATTATATAACATTTATAATGTATGAATATATAATTTTTATATATCTATATATAAATAAATATATAACAATATACTTATAATCTATTATATATTATATATAATTACTTATAGAGTATAATCATGCCACTGCTGTATTAATATTTACATTATGAAATTTTAATCAAAGTGGAATATATTATATATTAAATATATATTATATATGTATCTTCAGTAATTTTTTAATAAAGTTGACAGCAAAAAGATTTGGAGACCACTGTTTGAGATGACAGAAAGTCTAAAAGTAGCCTTAAACTTTGTTCCAATTTCGTTATGTTATTAAATAAAAAAACGCAAGGCATCTAACAATATATGATGCTTTCTTTTATATGAAAGAAAGAAAAGGAAGACACACACGCACACACACCCCTGAGTTTCCACAGCTAATGGCAGAGCCCATCAGGAATCAAAGTGGGTCTCTGTTCAACCCCATCCTCTTCCCATCAGGCACCCTGCTCCGGATCCCTCAGCTCTTCTCGCCTATCAGTGGGTAGGCATTAGGGTCTGTACTGCCATTATTAATGGGCTTTACTTTGAAAGTGGTGTAAACCAGACCCTTGGAAACTTTTTGATGCAGTATCTGCTCTGGAGACCCAAGAGGGGCTAATGTAAATTTGAATTGTGATTCTCTGGAAAGTACTAAGAGCTTTGAATTAATTATTGATTGATGTGAAGTCCCCAAGTTATCTTTTCTAATGCCACCAAAAATATGACAGGTAAGACCAGAAACCAAGGGCTAAGATCTTGTGGTGAGCTGCTTGACTTAAACTCTGATTTCCTGAGGAAAGTCTGGCGTTCCCTTTGTTTCTTCTTGTGAATAACAGCGCCCCCCGCCCCGCCAACTCTTACTGCTAATGATACATGGGCCTGGGCTGTGTCCATTTTGTGCCATGTAAGCCTCTGGCTCTAAGCTCAGAAACCATTTCATTCTCCATGCTGGGCCCCTGAGGGGTTGACCTCTGGTGGTCAGGGCCAGCTGCAGAGATGACTGGGAGTTGCCTGTTCAACTCCACCATCACACAGGAAGTGTGTGCCCTGGGGTGAAATATAGCTACCTGCACAGATGGGTTTACTTTTTCTTGCATATTGTAGCAGTTATTGTTATTAAAATTCTGAAGATTTAAAAAACATTCAGAAAACCAACCTGAAAGGGATTGATTTTGTTGCCTCTAAGACACCGACCCTAGGAATTAAAAGCAGACTGCTGTGATTTATATCTGCTCAAACCCAAGAAAAGACATCTGCTCAATCATTTTAAAGGGATTTTTGGCAACTTCAGGAGTATGACGCGGGCCGTCTGCATTCCCCTGGGTGCTGTGTGTGTCAGGACAGCAAGCCAGGGCTGCGGCTGCTGCTCACACAGATTCACAAGGAACTTCACTGCGTCTAGCCAGGTCTTTTGGGCAAATGTTAATCTTTTTCTTAAATCTTTAATTTTCAAATTGCAAAAGAAA